>NC_000022.11:22459564-23709564 GCF_000001405.40 Homo sapiens
CTATGCAGCCTGGGAAGTGAGTTCATGGATGCACTCAGTTGTAACACCAGACACCTGTCTGCCGTTTGCTGTTTAGCATTCACAGGGCCCAGCAGCTGTGTCCTCCCAGGGTGCCTGGAGCATCACTGACCACACCCTCCTACCTCCCACCCACCTACTCCTCAAAAAGAAAAATCAGACTCGGCATCTTATGTGAGGGGCACAGCCAGGGGTCAGGATAGATTTCCACTGAGTCCCCTCCCCTAAGAGACACCAGGGAAGAGGGGTTGTTCCGCCTAATCTATGTGGCTCAGGAAGCAGAGCACTACAGACATCTCTACCATGGCCTGGACCCTCTCTTCCTCACCCTCCTGAGTCTCTGCAAAGGTGGCTGTGACATGACTCTGATGACTGGAGAAACACCAGGGTCCTTTGTCTCACACTGAGAAAATTAGTGACATGGACACACATTGAGTGGTTTTAAGGAACAGAAAGTTTAATAGGCAAGAAAGAAGAAAACAGCTCCCCCATACAGAGGGAGGAGGGATCCTAATGGAAAATCCCACATGCAATGGAAAACAGCTGATTATATTGGGAGGCTGGAGGAGGCAGTGTCTGATTTGCAAAGGGCCCAGGGGATTGGTTTGACCAGGTGTGACATTCATGCAGCCTGTAAAAAAAACTGGCCCTCCCACCTTAGCCTTTTAATATGCAAATGCAGGTCACCATGATGTCCTGCACATGTGGCTTTTATCTGGAGGCTGCCATGACACCTGGCACACGTGGTGACAAAAAGAGGAGGGCGAAAGCCACCATATTGGGTGGACCTGGCTTCTAGCCACCAGCATTTGCATATCAGTGCTTGCCAGTCTGGTTTTTCAAGCTGCTTTCTGTTAGCAAAGAAATGGTTTGGGGGTCGCTTTTTATTAAAGGAAAATTCCACCGAGAACTTACACCATTTCTAGCTGCCTAAAAATTATTTCTTAATGACTCCTGTTATTTCCCCCCTCAGGAGAAGTAAACCTAACTGTCGTTAGGGGATGTTGGACAACAATTCTTTCTGGCTACTTCCTTCTGGAAAGGGGCGTCATGTAAGGGGACAGCAGTTGGGCCTCCTCCTGAGGTTGATCTAAGGATTCTCTGAAGAATGGCATGTCCATGTGTGGCTCTGTCTGCAGCATTATTTGGAGTTTGATTGCTTCTAGGTGAAAAGAGATAAATCTTACAAGAAGGTTTAAAATATAGGGTTAGAATATGAGTATTAAGATTACCACTGTTAGTGGGGGTACTATAGACCACAACTATGACAGCAGAGTTTGATACTTGTTAGTTACACCAGTGGATTGTAATACTGGGTTGTCTCCACTAGATGTCACTGAATATTACCAGAAAGATTAATATGAAAGTGACATTTTTCCTTGAGAAAACCATACATTTCCCCCTTTACTTGCCATTAGTGAATAGTTTTAGGCTTAGACCATTTTTATAACTTGCAATATAATTGGGAGAAATACATTATTGGGTGGCTAAATTAACTTTAGTGTTAATCTTGACAATTCCTTTTCTTTAATTATTAAATTATTTCATGACTTTCACAGACCCTCTTACAACATACTCAAACTTTCCGACTTGTCCTAAACATCCTTCCTTTAAATAACCAGTCATTTGCTTTTAGGACAAGAATTTCCCACACAAGATCTTTTCTTATATAAAGTTCCTTCTTTTATAACCTTCTTTCTATAGCTTAGAGTGCACCATACAACCAGTCTTCAATAAAAAGTCCTATCAAACTTAATGATAGTAAAACTTTCATGCTATATCCATAACTATTACTCCTGCTATAAGCAAAACAGCCTTGACTAAATCTTTCCTGCAATTGTTAATCCTGTTATAAGGATGATAATTAGACAAGATGTTACAGCAATTAGAATTTTACAACCAGAATTCCACATTGTGAGTGCCATAGTGTATAGTTCTATTGCAAATAGTAGTGTGACTGTAACAATTCCCACAAGACTGGCATAGTAAATAATTTCCATTGAAAACTTTACTTGCCAAGATATAACATTTCCCTTTGGGAATCTACAAGGTTACAAATGCAATTCTATGAATAATCAAAATCTCCCTGCGAATATGCATTAAAAAGAAGTTCTAATATTTGGTGGCAAATTTTTAGAGGAAGGGGTACAAATAATAAAAAGTGGCCGGGCATGGTGGCTCACACCTGCAATCCCAGCGCCTTGGGAGGCTGAGGTGGGCAGATCACGAGGTCAAGAGACTGAGACCATCCTGGCCAACATGGTGAAACCCCATCCCTACTAAAAATACAAAAAAATTTTGGGAGGCTGAGACAGGTGGATTATGAGGTCAGGAGATCGAGACCGCCTGTAGTCCCAGCTGCTCGGGAGGATGAGGCAGGAAAATGGCATGAACCTGGGAGGCAGAGCTTGCAGTGAGCTGAGATCGCGCCACTGCACTCCAGCCTGGGCGACAGAGCAAGCCTCCATCTCAAAAAAAAAAAATAAAATAAATAGCTGGGTGTGGTGGTGCATGCCTGTAATCCCAGCTACTAGGGAGGATGAGGCAGAAGAATCACTTGAACCCGGGAGGCAGAAGTTGCAGTGAGCTGAGATCATGCCATTGTACTCCAGCCTGGTGACAGAGCAAGACTCTGTCTCAAAAATAATAAATAAATAAAAAGCATCTGGTGAGGTAGGAGTGGGACTGAGTAGGATGAGTAGCCCTCACTCAGTTACTTATCTTTTATGATTTTCAGCTTAAGATCTTCTATTTCTCCACTTTGATATTCAGGACGTTCCTCTGGGCTGTCAGGGGTTGCTCCCTCAGGCATTCAGGCTTTGACTTGAGTGTGATGTATTCAGAAGTTGACACCTGTAACTTTTGCTGCCAAGGGGGTTGAAAGAGAACAGTGTAGGGCCCTTCGCAGCTTGGCTTAGGGAAGGAGAGAGAGGTGAGAGTTTTCACTAGTACCAAATTTCCTGGGTTAAATAAAGGTGGTTCTATTTCCTGGGGCTGGGCTTCTGCCAGTTGTGTCAATTTCTGTTGGAAGTGAGGTAGAGAGGTTACATGCTTAACCAATTTATAGGTTTTCTGCCTGAAAACAGTCTCTGAGCACATTGACAAATTTTATCCTTTCCTAAGTGAAAAGCTTGGTGAAGGATTTTAAGAACTTTCCATTGGCTGGAGGCTGGCAAATGGAGTTTGCCATCCTCTGGCTGTAGCCATCCTGAGAGATAAAAAGCATACCCTTGAGAAGTGGCCTATTCTGTTTCTGCAGGAAAATACTGAGGTTTAATTTCTGTTATGGAGCATTCCTAGATTAGAAGGGGGCTTGAAGTGTGTTAATGCCTTGAGGCTTCCTTGCCTTTGACTTAGCTGCCTGATTAATCTATTTCCTTTGGCTACTTTATTTGCTGCCTTTTGGTGTTCCTATAATGTATCCCTGCTATTTCTCACGGCATAAAAAGTGAAGATAATAGCCTGCTAATTTTCTGGTGATATTTTACAGGAAATCCATTAGTGGTAAGAGGATGTCTTTCCTTTTAAATGGCAGCATGAGTATGGAGAGCTAAGAAAGCATACTTGGAGTCCGTGTAAATGTTGGCTACCTTTCCCTTGCTTAATTGAAGTGTTCTCGTAAGAGCTATTAGTTCAGCTAATTAAGTGCTTGTGTCTGGGGAGAGATGTTGTTTAGAGTGACTACTGCTTATCCTGCCTTATGTATTTCTTGCTTTACCGGCTGTTAGTTAAAAGCGCCCCCTAAAGGACAGTAATCCTGCCACATTACGTGGGGTGTAAACAGTTAAGTTCTTTCCCAGGATTAATTTGGAGGCTTTTCTAACTGTAAAGCTATCATGACAATGGCTTGGAAGCATGTGTAAATAGGTCCTCCTAACTGCAACTAAGGTTGAGAAAAATATTGTACTAGAGTTTTTCCTGAGATGTTCCTTATGGTGATGCTATGAGAAGAGGGGAGGCCTGGATTAGAGAGAAGAAAAGAGAGAGATTGGCTTTAGTATTTAGAAGGACATCTACTTTCCTTCAATTTCCAGAATCACCCAGGTCCTGGCACCCTGTTAAATGTGCCACCCATGTTTGCAAGCGTGACCCTCCAAGCCATGGCACCAGAGGAACTAAGCTTGTGGGCCTAGTCGTGCTACCCCAAGCAGCTCTAGTCCTCTGCCTATGATTTCCCTTTGACTTCCTAGACTTGTGTGATCTGTGTGTCTCACCCCACCCCCACCCCCAAAAAAATAGATCTTGGCAGAAACTATATGGAAGGAAAGGCTCCTTTAATGGAGGGAATGTGCTAGATTGCCTGCTATTATGGCCTGTGCTAAAGCATTTACCCTTAGAAAAATGGTTCCAGTTAACTTCCAGACTTAAAATCTCCTTACTAATTAAGTACTGTTTTAATCGGAGAGAGAACAGGTGTCTTAAAGGAACGCGGGGACCTAATGGCGACTTTCCTGCTAATGGGACAGTATCGGGGCACAAATTCGGCTGCAGAGGAATTTTACTCCTAATAGTTAAAAGCAGAATTTTCCCGTTCACAGGAGCAGCATAAATCCTGGTTTCCAGTAGAAAGGTGCAAAAAGAAAAAAATTGAGAAGCTGCGGTGTACCGCGGAGATCAGCAATGTGTCGCATAAAGAGGATTTTATTTCCACTAGGTGGCGCTGTTGGCCTAGAAATACCATGTGCTCACCAGAGGAATTTTAGGGAGTAACCTCACTGAGGGGCAAAGGAAGACTTCTGTTCCTAGAAGATTGCAATGGCATTTTCCTGAGCTATCTCCCCAGTTACTACAGCATTTTCTGATCTTGCCTACCAGGATTACTTCCCTACGCTGTAAAAATTCCCGCACATTTGACACACAGAGAGAGTAAGAGACATAACGACCACGGATAAAAAAGGAAGAAGGTTCTGCGACAGGATAGCTAGGGATCCTTTACCAACATCCAGAGCAGGCCGTTGGAGGCTGGGTCCAGTCCCGAAACCTTTGAATAACACCAGGCTGTGCCCTGGCCAGAAATTCTCAGTTGCTTCAGAACTTTTCCCAGCCTCACGCGATGGCTAAGTTTCCCCATGAAAAGAAACTGATTTGAAGCATGACCAACATTCCCAAAGACCCGTGAGTATTGCGGGTTCTCCGTGTTCTGACCAGCAAGCCTAACACTCAAGTCTTTAGAACAACAGCCATGATAAGCGTATTTAGACGGCCAATGGATGCCCATAATTGATTTGATTTTGATTTTAAAATAGAGACCAAGAACCTCTGAATGACAGAACAGACTTTGAGTTCACTCCTCTAATCACTACGTCGATGAATGTTGTACCTTGGATTCCCAGTGAAGGCACCAGAAAGGATACGGCTCTGATGACTGGAGAAACACCAGGGTCTTTTGTCTCATTCTGAGAAAATTAGCAACATGGATGGACATATGTGGAGTGGTTTTAAGGAGTGGAAAGTTTAACAGGCAAGAGAGAAGAAAAACAGCTCCCCCATAGAGAGGGAGAAGGGCTCCGAACGGAAAACCCTACATGTGGTGGACAGCAGCTGGTTATATTGGGAGGCTGGAGGAGGCAGTGTCTGATTTGCACAGGGCCCAGGGAATGAGTTTGACCAGGTGTGTCATTCACGCAGCCTGTAAAAAAACTGGCCCTCCCACCCTAGCCTTTTAATATGAAAATTCAGGTTGCCATGATGTCCTGCACATGTGGCTTTTATGTGGAAGCTGCCGTGACACCTGGCACATGTGGTGACAAGGAGAAGAGGGCGAAAGCCACCATATTGGGTGGACCTGGCTTCTAGCCACCAGCATTTGCGTATCAATGCTTGCCAGTCTGGTTTTTCAAGCCGCTTTCTGTTAGCAAAGAAATGGTTTGGGGGTCGCTTTTTATTAAAAGAAAATTCCACCAAGAACTTTCACCCTTTCTTGCTGCCTAAAAATTATTTATTAATAACTCCTGTAGTAGCTGGAGACAAGGAGGCAGGGATGGCACTGGGAGGACCAGGGCTCTTCCTTGCTCCCCTGGCTTACTGAGCCACCTCCCTCACCCTGTGTCTCTCTCCTGACTCTCAGGGTCCTGGGCAGTCAGAACTCACTTGGTAACCTGCACAGTCTGTCTGTGGCTAAACCAGTCACCATCTCCTGCACTGGAAGCAGCAGCAATAAGGGTCTTGGGATTGTGTCCTGGTACCAACAATGAACAGGAAGTGTCCCCAAACCTCTGATCCATAGAAGCCAATATACACTTTTAGGGATGTAGGACTGATTCTCAAGCTATCAGTTTTCCAAAAAGGCCTTCCTGAGCATCTCTGGGCTCCAGGATGAGAACAAGGCTGATCACTAATGTTGGCATTAGTGATCATGTTTGTGATTTGCTATAAAATCATCCAGCGATGGAGTAAGATGATGGGTAAAAAGGGTTGAAAGATTAAACAAGATGAGTCACACTGATGATGTCAAAGCTAGCTGATGGGTGCCAAGGATTCATTAGACAACTCTCAGCATATTTATATAACTCAAAAATTTCCATAATAATCACTGCCTAAAAAAATCCATGTCTGTGATGAGAGGTATATGTCCTGCTTTTAATTGGTATGTAACCTGATTTTAACAATGTGGTATATAATCTGCTTTTAACAACGTGGACAAAATGTAAGCTTACATTCTGACTTCAAGTTGAAGCCCATCTTCTCCTAACAGGCAAAGGAGGAGCTGGGGTGGAGGCTATGAAAGGGACCGGAGCTCAGCGTTTCCCAGGACAAAGAAGTGAGTGAGGCCGGAGTCCCAGCAGAAGGACGAGGGGCTGTGAGATGGGCTATGGGAGTGTGCAGGGGCCACAACGTGCAGGTCATGCTGCTGGGGCCACAGGATTCAGGTTTTATATAAACAACAAGGAGCCACTGAAGGTGTTTAAGCCAGGGAGTGACATGCCACATCTGAATGAGAAGCATCTCTCTGAATTCCTTGAGGAGACAGTGTCTGAAGGAAGTGAGTGACCTGATTCTAGATTATTTACTAAAGCACCTTGTAAGTCTAGAAATCCAGGGGCCATTTACAATTAGCACAAGTGTAGATGTGGGCTACATTGAAGAAGTGATGGTCTCTTGTCATTCTTCACAGAACTAGAAAAAACAATCCTAAAATTCATATGGAACCAAAAAAGAGCCCACATAGCCAAAGCAAGACTAAGCAAAAAGAACAAATCTGGAGGCATCACACTACCTGATTTCAAACTATACTATAAGGTCATAGTCACTAAAACAGCATGACACTGGTATAAAAATAGGCACATAGACCAATGGAAGAGAACAGAGAATCCAGAAATAAACCCAAATACTTACAGCCAAGTGATATCCAACAAAGCAAACAAAAATATAGAGTGGGAAAATGACACCCTATTCAACAAATGGCGCTGGGATAATTGGCAAGCTAGATGTAGGAGAATGAAACTGGATCCTCATCTCTCACCTTATACAAAAATCAACTCAAGATGGATCAAGGACTTAAATATAAAATCTGAAACTATAAAACTTATAGAAAATAACATCAGAAAAACTCTTCTAGACATTGGCTTAGGCAAGGATTTCATGACCAAGAACCCAAAAGCATATGCAACAAAAACAAAGTTCAATAGGTGGAACTTAATTAAACTAAAGAGCTAAAGAAAAAAAAGAGCTTAATTAAACTAAAGAGCTAAAGAACTAAAGAAATCAAAATAATCACTTATAGAATGATGAAATCGGTGTCTGGGAATCAGAACATGGATGTGTGAATACAGACAGTGACTGGTGAGCTGCATGGCAAAAGGAACATCAGCAGAGTAAACAGACAACCTACAGAGTGGGGAAAATTCTTCACATTCTATACATCTGACAAAGGACTGATATATCCAGAATCTACAAAGAACTCAAACAAACTAGAAAGAAAAAAAAAACTCATCAAAAAGTGGGCTAAAGGCATGAGTAGATAATTCTCAAAAGATGATATACAAATGGCCAAGAAACATATGAAAAAATGCTCAACATCACTAATGATCAGGGAAATTCAAATCAAAACCACAATGAGATACCACCTTACCACCTGCAAGAATGGCCATAATTAACATATAATAGATGATGGCATAGATGCAGTGAAAAAGGAACACCTCTACACTGCTGGTGGGAATGTAAACTAGTACAACCACTGTGGAAAGCAGTGTGGAGATTTTTTTAAGATCTAAACATAGAACTACCATTTGATCCAGCAATCCCACTACTGGGTATCTACCCAGAGGAAAAGAAGTCATTATACAAAAAAGATATTTGCACACACGTTTATAGCAGCACAATTCACAACTGCAAAAATGTGGAAGCAACCAAAATGCCCACAACTCAATGAGTGAATAAAGAAACAATATATATATGATGATATACTACTCAGCCATTAAAAGGAATGAATTAATGGCATTAGTAGCAACCTGGATGGGATTGGAGACTTATTCTAAATGAAGTAACTCAAGAATGGGAAAACATTGCATGTTCTCACTCAGAAGTGGGAGCTGGCCAGGAGTGGTGGCTCAAGCCTGTAATCCCAGCACTTTGGGAGGCCGAGGCGGGTGGATCACAAGGTCAGGAGATCAAGACCATCCTGGCTAGTGTAGTGAAACCCTGTCTCTACTAAAAACACAAAAAAATTAGCTGGCCATGGTGGTGGGTGCCTGTAGTCCCAGCTACTCAGGAGGCTGAGGCAGGAGAATGGTGTGAACCTGGGAGGTGGAGCTTTCAGTGGGCTGATATCATGCCATTGCACTGCAGCCTGGGTGACAGAGTGAGACTCCATCTAAAAAAAAAAAAAGAAGTAGGAGCTAAGCTATGAGAATGCAAAGGCAGAAGTGTTACGGGAAGTCAGGGACCCCAAAGGGAGGGACCGGCTGAAGCCATGGCAGAAGAACATAAATCGTGAAGATTTCATGGACATTCATTAGTTCCCCAAATTAATACTTTTATAATTTCTTACGCCTGTCTTTACTGCAGTCTCTGAACATAAACTGTGAAGATTTCATGGACATTTATCACTTCCCCAATCAATACTCTTGTGATTTCCTATGCCTGTCTTTACTTTAATCTCTTAATCCCATCATCTTTGTAAGCTGAGGATGTGTGTTGCCTCAGGACCCTGTGATGATTGTGTTAACTGCAAAAATTGTTTAAACAACACTAAATCTGGGCACCTTGAAAAAAGAACAGGATAACAGTGATGTTCAGGGACAAGGGAGATAACCATTAGGTCTGGCTGCCTGAGAGCCATGTGGAACAGAGCCATACTTCTCTTCTTTCAAAAGCAAATAGGAGAAATATCGCTGAATTATTTTTCTCAGCAAGGAACAGCCCTGAGAAAGAGAATGTGTTCCTAGGGGTAGGTCTCTGAAATGACCGCTCTAGGAATGTCTGTCTTTTACAGTTGTAGATAAGGGATGAAATAAGCCCTGGTCTCCTGCAGCGCTCCCAGGCTTATTAGGATGAGGAAATTCCCGCCTAATAAATTTTGGTCAGACTAGTTGTCTTTTCTCAAACCCTGTCTCCTGATAAGATGTTATCAATGACAATGCGTGCCCGAAACTTCATTAGCAATTTTAATTTCACTCCGGTCCTGTGATCTCGCCCTGCCTCCATTTGCCTTGTAATATTTTATTACCTTGCGAAGCATGTGACCTCTGTGACCCACACCCTATTCATACACTCCCTCCCCTTTGAAAATCACTAATAAAAACTTGCTGGTTTTGCAGCTTGGGGGGCATCATGGAACCTGCCGACATGTGATGTCTCCCCCAGACACCCAACTTTAAAATTTCTCTCCTTCCCTTTATTTCTCAGACCGGCCAACACTTAGGGAAAATAGAAAAGAACCCACACTGAATTATCGGGGGCGGGTTCCCCTGATAAGAAGAATGACACAATGGACTTTGGGGACTCAGGAGGAAAGGGTGGGAAGGAGGGAAAGTGGTAAAAACTATAAATTGGGTACAATGTATACTGCTCGGGTGATGGGTTCAGCAAAAGCTCACAAATCACCACTAAAGAACATACTCATGTAACCAAATATCACCTGTTGATATTACTCCTATCAACATTACTCCTACCTGTGTCTGTGTATCTTTGTCATGTGACTTATCCCCCTTGACTTTGTGCTTGGCCCTGTTCTCACTTTGAGTAATGGAACATTTGTGGACCTTATGCAAGCTCAAGTTTAAATGTCCTTGCACCACTTGGTTTGCCCTCTTTTGCAACTCTCATTACTAAGATCTTGTCCTGGATAGTTTTTGGCCCTTCAGGCTGGGTTTCCAAATAAACACGTGTGAGTAATAAATGCTGATATTTGTGACTGTTACATAGCAATATATGAATGATACATCTAACATAAAGCAGACACTGGATATTGGTGTGGTGAGTGAAAACACTCAGGCTTGTATGTATGTAGATTCCTCTCCCACAGAGGGCAGTCATCAATATTACCAACTCAACTAAGAGGATGATTCTTATTTGGTGCAGTTTCTCTAATTCCAAGAGCAGTGGAGAAGTCTAATACCAGGGCAGTGAGCACGACCATCTGAACAACTCTTCCTTTTATGCTGGCCCTGACGCATCCTAACAGGCCAAGAAACTTGGAAGTGCCTCCCTGGAGGCAGCTGGGAGAGTGATGACAGATCGGGCTACGTGGGTGATTTATTTATATTCTTCTATTGTCTAAGATGGATATGTTTATTTAAAATTGGAAATAACTGCTATAATTAAAGCATTGAATAAAACTAAAATTAAGAATTAAAAATTTATATATTCTCCAACATCCTATCAGTCAAAGAAAATTACAGGTGGGTATTAAATTGTCAGATAAAAGAAGAACTTTCAGAGCAAAGGAAAGAAATGAATATTTATAATCTCCAAGCATTGCATGTATATTTTCTCTAATTCTACCATTTGGCTACATTTTAAGGTGCCCTAAAATTTGCTTTTTTTTTTTAAATTTTCTTTCGCTTTCCAATTCTATCTCATTATCACCCATGAAGTCCCATCTTTATTTTTTTAACAACAAAATATTAGGAGAAAATTAATCATCATTTAATCCATTTATTTTTATTTATTTATTTTTGAGATGGGGTCTTGCTCTGTCATCCAGGCTGGAGTGCAATGGCACAATCACGGCTCACTGCAGCCTCTGCCTCTGGAGCTCAAGTGATCCTCCCACCTCAGCCTTCCAGGTAGCTGGGACTATAGGTGTGCGCCACCACACCTGGCTGAGTTTTTAAAATTTGTATAGAGATGGGGTCTCACTGTGTTGCTGAGGCCGGTCTCAAACTCCTAGGCTCAAGCAATCCTCCCACCTGAACCTCCTAATGTGCTGGGATTATAGGTGGGAGCAATAATCATTTAATCTAAAATTCTCTCAGATGAGTAGGTATGGGAAAATTTTTAAAAAAATAATAATATTAAAATAATAATATAATCTAAAACCTTTTTTTCACAAATATATCTCAGGCCCAAATTTTCATCCGTCCATCCATACATTCATCAATTCATTCACTCAACCATCAAACATTTATTTATTTATTTTTTTGAGACAGAGTCTCCCTCCATTGCCCAGGCTGGAGTGCATTGGCTCGATCTCCACTCACTGTAGCCTCCGCCTCCCAGGTTCAAGTGATTCTCCTGCCTCAGCCTCCCAAGTAACTGGGACTACAGGTGCAAGCTACCACACTTGGCTAATTTTTTGTATTTTTAGTAGAGATGGGGTTTCACCATGTTAGCCAGGATGGTGTCGATCTCCTGACCTCGTGATCTGCCCACCTCTGCCTCCCAAAGCGCTGGGATTACAGGCATGAGCCACCACACCCAGCCCATGAAACATTTATTAAGGGCCCATTCTGGGTGACATATTATGTTAGGTTGGACTGTGAGGGTATAAATACAGGACAAATGAGAAGGGTTCCTTCTGTCAAGGAGAACACACTCGAAGATACTAGAAATAAAATAGAAACTTCTACGCTAATTACTAATACAGAGAATTACCAGATTTTTGAAAGCTCAACTAATAAAGCAACCACCCTTTTCTGGATATATCAAGAAAGTGTCTGCCTTGGATGTGGGATCTTAGAAAAAGAAGAGTAAGTATGGAGGAAATGAGGTCATCTCCAACAGAGGGACTGTGTGATAGTATGGACTGCATATTTCTGTCTCCCCCAAAATTCTTAGATTGAAACCCTAACCCCCCATGTGATAGTATTTGGAGGTAGAGCCTTTGTGAAATAATTAGGTTTAGAAGAGGACATGAGAGTGGAGCCCTCATGATAGGATTAGTGTCCTTAAAAGAAGAAAAAGAGACTAGATCTTTCTGCCATGCCAGGCTACAGAGAAAGGTGCCATCTACAAACCAGAAAGTGGACCCTCGCCAAGAACCAAATCTGCAGGCACCTTGATCTTAGACTTCCCAGCCTCCAGAGCTATGAGAAATAAAGGTTTGTTGTTTAAGCCATCCAGTCTTTGCTATTTTTTTTATGGCAGCCTGAACTAAGACAGCCTGGCAAACACAGGAAAGGAAGCTATAAAAGGGCACAATGGGCTGGGTGCAGTGGCTCACGAATGTAATCTCAGCACTTTAGGAGGCCGAGGCAGGTAGATCACTTGAGGCCAAGGAGTTCGAAACCAGCCTGGCCAACATGGTGAAACTCCATCTCTACAGAAAATACAAAAATTAGCCAGGTGTGGTGGTGGGAGCCTATAATCCCAGCTACTCAGGAGGCTGAGGCAGAAGAATCACTTTAGCCCAGGAGGTGGAGGTTGCAGTGAGCCGAGATTGCTCCACTGCACACCAGCCTGGGCGACAGATTGAGACTCCGTCTCCAAAAATAAAAGGCACCAATGACTGTGTGTTGAGTGACCAATTGTGTTGAGCCATAGAGGAAAGATGTAGGCACCAGTGACTTGTCCAGGATCAGGGATGACACACTTCTTTTTCTTGATAGCTATTCTGTCCTCTCCCAGACATTTTTTTTTTTTTTTTAACACTGCTGTCGCCCAGGCAGGAGTGCAGACATGGCTCATTGCAGCCTGAACCTCCTGGGCTCAAATCTCCCACCTCAGGCTCCCAAGTAGCTGGGACCACAGGCATGTGCCACTATGCTTGGCTATTTTTTTTTTTTATGTTTCGTATAGATAGGGTCTCGCTATGTTACCCAGGCTGGTCCTGAACTCCTGGCCTCAAATGATCCTCCTGCCTTGGCCTCCCAAAGTGCTGAGATTGCAGGCATGAGCCGCCTCACCTGGCCCCTCTCCCAAACTTTCTTTTGAGGTTAAATAATGTAAAAAGGAAGAGTGTGTAGAACAAAAGTAATAGCTAATGTAAAAAAAAAAGTTTAAAACAAAAATTATCCATATCTCACTACTTAGAGATAACCATTATATATATTTTGACAACAAATACCCTTCTGGATTTCTGCATTTGCTCTGTCAGATGTTAGTTGAGGTGGGACAGGGAAAGGGGTTAAGGGAGGAGGCAAGGAAAGAAGGGTCAGAATGCAATTTATCTTACGAGGCGTTTTCCCATTTAGTAATACATAATCAACATCTCTGCATGTTTTCAAGTATATAAAGCTCCTTAGATCATTACTTATTCATAGTATTACAGGGATTCTATGTTTTCTCTATTATAAACTACATGTTGTTGAACTTCTTTCAAACTACATCTATTCATACAGCAAGTCATTTACTTTGTAAAAATTCCTAAACTTAAATATCTGGTTCAACACAAGTATGCAAAATTTTGTACAGATTTTATTTACCATAGAACTATGGCTACAAATTAAATGAAAATAATAGTAATAAATTATAATAATATAGGAGTCACCTCACAGATGTTTCCAGTCACAAAGTAAGGCTTTTCCTGCTTTGTACTTAAGTTGAAATCCCCCCAAAGTGCATAAAGGCGGATACATCCTTTCTAGGGTACCCTTTTCACCCTGTAGATGAACCCTGACGTGGCCAACTGATCTACCGACAGTAGTACACTCTAGATGTCTTTTATTAAAATAATAGATAATAGAGTAATCCACAAACTAGGACCTTACACACATACGCACAGAGCAAAAGCTCCTGAGGTGCAGAGCCTACAGGAAACCTCATCAAAAGCTCTGATGGCTCCTGTCGATGAGCACCTTTAGGAGGGGCTGCTGTTGTCTTAAGTCAGAACAGAGATAGTTTGTGCCTCTCCATTTTGAAATGCTCCAGATTTCCCTTCCCTGTCTTGGTCTCTCAGAGCCTAATGTCTGTGCTGGACTAGCATAGTCAGTCTTTGGTTATGTGTCTGTATTTTCTATTTAAAGTAGTCTAGGCTGGGTGCAGTGGCTCACACCTGTAATCCCAGCACTTTGGGAGGCCGAAGTGGGTGGATCACAAAGTCAGGAGTTACAGACCACCCTGACCAACATGGTGAAACCCCATCTCTACTAAAGATACAAAAAATTAGTTGGGCGTGGTGGCGAATGCCTGTAATCCCAGCTACTCAGGAGGCCGAGGCAGGAGAATCGCTTGAACCCGGGAGGTAGAGGTTGCAGTGAGCTGAGATCACACCATTGCACTCCAGCCTGGGAAACAGGGCGAGACTCCATCTCAAAAAAAAAAGAAAAAAAAAACATTAGTCGGGGTGGCGGCGGGCGCCTGTAATCCCAGCTACTCAGAAGGCTGAGGCTGGAGAATCACTGAACCCAGGAGGCAGAGGTTGCAGTGAGCTGAGATTGCACCACTGCACTCCAACCTGGGCAACAGAGGGAGACTCCGTCTAAAAAACTAAAATAAAATAAGATACTCTAAAGTAAATTATTTAAATAATTCTCATCTTAAGCAAGCAGTTTATTCAGCATGAGGTTCAAAGTAAATAACTTCAAATCAGATGGTCATGAATATAACTTCTTTAGTCATTCAAAACACTCAGATAAACAAGACGGATAACACTGAAATGAAATACAGACAATGCAGTGGATTTTCAACAATAACTACAAAAAGGACTGAACAAAGAGACAAACAATGAATGTGGGCTTGCCTAGGAAATACAGTAGAAATGTCAAAAAAAGTTAAATGAATGAGAGGGGTACTACAATCCTCCACCCCAGGAAACCACAGCAAGGTGCCGTGGATCCTCTCTGAAGCCTGACGTTCAGGTTGTTCATATTTTAGGTACCCTGGACACTTGCTCATAGGCCCTGCAAGAGGTTACAGCAGCTGTTCCCTCCCACAGGGCAAAGCCAGATCTCACAGCCACCTAGGCCTCCCCATGACAGGGAGTTGCTCCCTGGGACAAAGACCAGAATAGGAGGAGGAGGGAGAGATAAAAGGCTCAGATTTGCATAATGTGTCCCACAAATACCTAACCTTTATGCAAGAGGTGAGGAGGGCATAAAAGAGCCATTAGAGAGTCCAACACTAGCTGTGAGGCCAGTGGGCCCTTGGAACTTCAGCACCGTGGTCTAGACTCCTCTCCTCCTCCTCACTCAGTCACTGCCCAGGTTCACAGAGATTTCAGATCAGCCTTTAGAATGATTCTTCTGCCTTCTTTTGGGAGAAAGTGGGTCTAGGAAAAATAGAATGCAAATATTTTTCCAATCCATAGGGAACAATAAGAGGTATACTAGATGAAGAGTTTATGGTCAAATATTTTTTCAAAAAAAAAATCTCTCTATGATGTAATTCTGACTGATAATAGCAAAGAAAACAAGCTCCTTATTTTATATAAAAAATTTTTCTTTTTTTTTTTTTTTTTGAGATGGAGTCTTGCTCTGTCACCTAGGCTGGAGTGCAATGGCACGATCTTGGCTCACTGCAACCTCCACCTCCTGGGTTCAAGTGATTCTCCTGCCTCAACCTCCTAGGGATTACAACCTCCTAGTAGCTGGGATTACAGGCAGCCGCCACAACGCCCGGCTAATTTTTGTATTTTTAGTAGAGACAGGGTTTCACCATGTTGGTCAGGCTGGTCTCAAACTCCTGACCTCGTGATCCGCCCGCCTCGGCCTCCCAAAGTGCTGGGATTACAGGCATGAGCCAACGCGCCTGGCCTAAAAAATTTTTCAAAACAATGCAAGTTTACTACATAAAATCTGGCTTTTTTTTTTTTTTTTTTTTTTTTTAATGATGTGGTCCTGCTCTGTCATTCAGGCTGGAGTGCAGTGGCACAATCACTGCTTATTGCAGGCTTGACCTCCCAGGTTCAAGCTATCCTCCCCTACCTCAATCTCCCAAGTGGCTGGGAACATAGGTGTGTACCACCACACTTGGCTAATTTATTTATTTTCTGTACAGCCTGGATCCCCCTGTGTTGCCCAGGCTGGTCTTGAACTTCTGGGCTCAAGCTATCCTTCCTCCTCAGCCTCCTAAAATTCCGGAATTACAGGCGTGAGCCACCATGCCCGACCTAGAAGTATTTGTTTCAAGGAGCATATTTAACTACGCCGTAAAGACCAAATAGTTCAGAAGTTAGATGTTACAATTTTAGTCTCTTCTCCTACTTCTTCTTTTTTTTTTTTTTTTTTTTTTTTGAGACAGAGTCTCACTCTGTCACCCAGGCTGGAGTGCAGTGGTGCAATCTTGGCTCACTGCAATCTCTGCCTCCTGGGGGGGTCAAGCAATTCTCCTGCCTCAGCCTCCCGAGCAGCTGGGAGTACGGGCATCTGCCACCACGCCGGCTAATTTTTGTATTTTTAGTAGAGACGGTGTTTCTCCACGTTGGCCAGGCTGGTCTGGAACTCCTGAGCTCAAGTGATTTGCCCCGCCTCGGCCTCCCAAAGTGCTGGGATTACAGGTGTGAACCGCCGCGCCTGGCTGTTCTTTCACATATTTTCTCCATAGTTCAGATCACAATGTATACAAATTTTTTTCCTGCTAGTTTTCTTTCACATTACTGCAATCTATCTCTTTTAAAAAAAGTATATAGTGCAGCTATTTCAGCCAGGCACGGTGGTTCATGCCTGTAATCCCAGCACTTTGGGAGGCAGAGGCGGCTGACCACTTGGGGCCAATGAGTTTGAGACCAGCCTGGGCAATGTGGTGAAACCCCATCTCTACTAAAATTACAAAAAAATAATTAGCCGGGCGTGGGGGCCCGCGGCTGTAATCCCAGCTCCTCAGGAGGCTGAGGCAGGAGAATCTCTTGACCGCAGGAGGCGGAGGTTGCCGTGAGCCGAAATAGTGCCACTGCACTCCAGCCTGGGCGACAGAGTGAGTGAGGCTCCGCCTCAAAAAAAAACCAAACCAAAACAACAATAACGAAAAACAACAAAAAAAGTAGATTGTGCAGCTATTAAATGAAAAGTACAAAACTGTTCAGTTTCCAGGCATTTAAAATTATTTCTGGCCAGGCCTGGTGGCTCATGCCTGTAATCCCAGCACTTTGGGAGGCCGAGGTGGGCACATCACCTGAGATCAGGAGTTTGAGACTAGCCTGACCAACATGGAGATACCCTGTCTCTAACTAAAAAAAAAAAAAAAAATTATTTCTACTTTACATTTACATTAGTACAACCAAAGTATTGATGAATTATCTTACATACTCAATTTTGGATATATACATAAACATTCATTCTGTAAATTTTTATTGGATATGTTAAAAGCATCCCATGAGGCCAGCAGTGGCTCACGCCTGTAATCCCAGCATTTTGGGAGGCCAAGGCAGGTGGATCACCTGAAGTCAGGAGTTTGAGACCAGCCCGGCCTACATGGTGAAACCCTGTCTCTACTAAAAATACAAAAAATTAGCCGGGCATGGTGGCAGGTGCCTGTAGTCCCAGCTACTTGGGAGGCTGAGGCAGGAGAACTGCTTGACCCCTGGAGGCAGAGGTTGCAGTGAGCCGAGATTGCGCCATTGAACTCCAGCCTGGGCAGCAGAGTGAGACTTTGTCTCAAAAAAAAAAAAAAAAGCATCCTATGAAAAAAATGAAATTATTACCTTTTTATTCATATATTGAAATAACTTCCAAAAAGGCTTATGCCAATTGAAACTCCTTTTAATACATCCTCACTGACAGTAAACATTACAATTTATATAATATTCATCAGTACGCTACCATTGCTTTAATTCCCATTTTTGTTTTTGCTATGGAGACTAAATATTTTGCATTTATTTACCAATCAGCTATATTTATTCTTTGTGAAATGGACAGGGATTTTTTTCTTTACAACAATTTTATAATAGTGCATTAGAGATTTGTCTTAGTAATCTTTTTTTTTTTGAGATGGAGTCTGGCCCTGTCACCCAGGCTGGAGTGCAATGGTGCGATCTCAGCTCACTGCAACCTCCACCTGCTGGGTTCAAATAATTCTCCTGCCTCAGCCTCCCAAGTAGCTGGGATTACAGGTGCCCACCACCATCATGCCCAGCTAATTTTTGTATTTTTAGTAGAGATGGGGTTTCACCACATTGGCCAGGCTGGTCTCGAACTCCTGACCTTGTGATCTGCCCACCTTGGCCTCCCAAAGTGTTGGAATTACAGGCGTGAGCCAACACACCCGGCCCCCGATTTTTCTTAGTAATCTTTGGAAACACTTCAGAAATATTTTTAATTAGCCCTTTCATAATCTCAGGCTATAATTTTCCTGTTTATATGCCATAAAATGTGAACATGTTACACCGTCAAATAAAAAAAGCAAGGTGCAGAAGACTGTGCATAATATAAATCAGTTATTTAAAAAAAAGAAAAGAAAAAATAAGAAACTATCTGAAAGGCTAAAAAAAGAATCTGAGTTGTTACTTTTTCGATGTTTGAAGAATGTGAATATATTATATACTCAACATTTTAAAATAAATGAACTTTAAAAAGAATCCTCTCAAAATGGTGTCAGCCACAATGGCACACCAGAGAGTGGGAAGGCAACACAATGACCATTAACTCAGTTTTAGCTGCCTTCCTTGTATCATAAAAACTTCTAATGTTCCATTTTCCCTGTGGTAACTTCCAAGATGGCCTCCAGTGATTCCCCACCCTCTGGTATTCCTATCTGTATATGGTCCATTCCCACATAGCATCAGGGTTGCTCTGGGTGACCAAGAGTATACAACAGAGTGAAGTTATTTTACCTCCAAGGCTATTATAAAAAACATTGCAATGCCTTCCTTGTTCTCTTTTGGATCACTCATTCTGTAGGAAGCCAGCTGACATGTCATGAGGACCATATGACAAGGAACAGAGGGAGGCCTCCTGCCAATACCCAAGTGAGTTTGAAAGCCCTAGTCAAGCCTTTCACATGATATGGCCCCAGTCAACATCTTAACTGCAACCTCATGAAAGAAGCTGAGACAGCACCACTCAGTTAAGTGACCCCAAATTCCTGACCCTCGGAAACCATGAGATAACAAATAGTGGTGGTTTTAGTTGATAAGTTTGCAGTAATATATTATACAGCAATAGGTAACTAATACAGATTTTAGTACCTGGAAGGGAGGTGCTGGTGTAATACCTAAAATGTAGGAGTGGCTTTGAAACTGGGCAGTGGGCAGAAGCTAAAAAATCTTCAAGGAGATTGTCAGTGCAAGCCTTAGTAGAAAACTGGACTCTGAGAAGGCTCTGGTGTAGCTTAAAATGAAGTGAGGAACATGTTATTAGAAAATTGAGCAAGGGGTTACGTAGTTACGTAGTGGCAGAAAGTTTAGTGACTATCACCTAGTCAGGTGAAAGTAGAAAATGTACCTGAGTCATCTAATTGAGATTTCCAGCCAGAATGCTGAAAGTGCTGATTGGTTTCTTCTTGCTACTTATAGTAAAATCTGAGGGGACAGAAACAAGCTAAGGGAAGAAGTGTTAAACAAAAAAGAGCCAAGAGCCAGTACCTGCTGGTTTTGAAAATTCCCAGTCTTTCCAGATGGCAAAAGATGCTAAAATTAACTGCTCCCAAGCAAAGGTTATATCCAGGGCACTAAAGAAAGGTGCAGAAATATGAAAGATGAGGGTAAAAATCCTTTTTACTTTTTCTTTGAGACAGAGTTTCACCCAGGCTGGAGTGTAACGGCTTGATCTCAGCTCACGGCAACCTCTGCCTCCCAGGTTCAAGTGATTCTCCTGCCTCGGCCTCCCGAGTAGCTGGAGTTACAGGTGCAGGCCACCATGCCCAGCAAATTTTTTTTTTTTTTTTTTTTTTTTTTTTTTAGTAGAGACGGAGTTTCACCATGTTGGCCAGGCTGGTCTTGAACTCCTGACCTCAGGTGATCCACCAGCCTTGGATTACAAGTGTGAGCCACTGCACCCAGTCAGAGGGTAAAATCCTTTAAGGCTCTGAAAGATCAAAAATGATGCTTCAGAGTACAGTAGTCCCCTTTATCTGTGGTTTTACTTTCCATGGTTTCAGTTACCCACAGTCAATTGTGGTCCAAAAATATTAAACGGAAAATTCCAGAAATAAACAATTCATAGGTTTTAGTTTATTTATTTATTTATTTAATGACAGGGTCTTGCTCTGTCCTTCAGGCTGGAGTGCAGTGGCGTGATCTCGGTTCACTGCAACCTCTGCTCCTCGGCCTCAAGCAATCCTCCTACCTCAGTGTATTGAGTAGCTGGGATTACAAGTGCCCACCACCACACCCAACTAACTTTTGTATTTAAGTAGAGATGGGGTTTCACTATGTTGGCCAGGCTGTTCTCAAACTCCTGACCTCAAATGATCTATCTGCCTCAGCCTCCCAAAGTGCTGGGATTAGAGGCGTGAGCCACCACACTCAGCCAACAATTCTTAGGTTTTAAATTGCATGCCATTCTGGTTAGTGTGATGAAATCTAGTGCAGTGGCTCTGAGTTCCATTCAGGACATAAATCATCCCATTGACCAGCATCTCTATGCTGTGTATGCTATGCTCTTGTGGTGTTATAATATACATTGGTTTTGTCCACAGTTCATAACTCCCACAGCCCTTGTTACAGTCTTTTGTTATAATGTTCGGTGTTAGGCCTCAGAGGTAGGCTTCTGACCTTCTGCCATCCTTTTACCTGCCCCAAGGCAGGACTCTAATCTTTCTGATTGTGGGTTCTAAGACCCTCCCAAGAGAGAATCCTGCCCTATACTCTAGCGGGAGAGAATGCTTAAGTCATGAAGCTTCCATAAAAACCCAAGAAGACTGGGTTCAGGGAGCTTCCAGTTAGCTGAACAACACTTGGAGGTTCTTGGAGGTTGGCGCACTCAGGGAAGCCATGGAAGCTCCATACCTCTTTCCACACACCTTGCCCTGTGTGTCTCTTCATCTGTATCTTTTGTAATATCCTTTATAATAAACCTGTAAACGTGTTTCCTCAAGTTCTGTGAGCTATTGTGGCAAATTAATGAAATCCAAAGAGGGGGTTGTGAGAACCCCAACTTGAAGTCAGTCAGTCAGAAGTTCAGTATACCCAGACTTGGGAGTGGTGTCTGGGGGTATGGGGGGAAGTCTGGAGGACCGAGACCCTAACCTGTAGGATCTGACACTAAACTGTTCCAGGATTCCTGACACTCAGAGACTATGTGAGTTAATGTTTAAGCTGTTAGTTTTGTGGTAACCTGTTATGCAGCAACAGATAACACATTCCCTTCCCTGTTTGCAAAGCACACAATCCCACCCATCAAAAAACATGGAAAAATGGTACTAAGGTTTCGATGTGTATGTTTATACACACCCATGCACACATCCCTCAGACAGCTTTTCTGTCATTTCTGACATTGTGCCTCTTTCTACTGTTTTGGATTCTATCAATCCCTGGATAGGATCAAGGAATAACCCCATCCCATTCACATCCAAAGTTCTAAGCCATTAGCCCACATACATGAATACAGGGGAAGATACAAATGAGTCTAAGTTATAACTAGAGCAGGGGTCAGCAAACTTTTTTCTATAAAGTGTCAGGTAGTAAATATTTTAGGCTTTGCTGGGTGTATATGGGTCTCTGGCTCTAACAATGTTTTGAAAATTTAAACTTAGCCTAAAAGCCACAGTTTGCCAATGCTTGCCCTAAAGCTAAGAAAGACTTGTGTCTTAGTGGCAGTCTTGCCACACATTGATAATTGTTCTAATTTCAATCTCATAACCGGGAAGGAAAGAGTCTAAAAGGGCTAACCACTGAAATGGAATTTACTTTATTTATATGATGAATGCTTTTAAAAGACAAAATAACTCACTTATATAACATTTTTTTGAGAGAGTCTCGCTCCATTGCCCAGGTTGGAGCGCAGCAGGGTGATCTCGGCTAAGCCTCCACCTTCCACCTCCTGGGTTCAAGCGATTCTCCTGCCTCAGCCTCCCGAGTAGCTGGGATTACAGGCACACACCACCATGCCCAGCCAGTTTTTCTATTTTTAGTAGAGACGGGGTTTCACCATGTTGGCCAGGCTGGTCTGGAACTCCTGGCCTCAAGTGATCCGCCTGCTTTGGCCTCCCAAAGTGTTGAGATTACAGTTGTGAGCCACCATACCAGCATTTGAAAGAATAAAAATCACTATGGGATTAAGTAAACTCAATTGTATTTAGAATTTATCATTCTTTTCCATAGATGTTATCATGAATAATTACAATTGCAAAGTACATATAACTTTGTATGTTCCTTTCTTATTTTGCATTATAGCCAAATAAAATTGTGTACTGCAATAGCTCCTATAATCACTACTTTTGATAACTGAATACTGTTTGTAGTAGGTATATATTTAATAATTTGACTTTCAGTTTGGTTTCCAAGTTTTGGGTTTTTTGTTTGTTTTTGAGGCAGCATCTCTTGTCACCTAGTGGTACAATCATAACTCACTGCAGACCTCCTGGACTCAAGCCCTCCCGCCCCATCCTCTCAAGTAGCTGGTCAGACTACAGGTGTGCACCACCACGTCTTAATTTTTTTTTTTTGAGACGCAGTTTCACTCGTTTCCCAGACTGGATGGAGTGCAATGGTGCAATCTCAGCTCACTGCAACCTCCACCTCCCAGGTTCAAGTGATTCTCCTGCCTCAGCCTCCCCAGTAGCTGGGATTACAGGTGCCCGCCACTACGCCTGGCTAATTTTTGTATTTTTAGTAGAGACGGGTTTTCACCATCTTGGCCAGGCTCGAACTCTTGACCACATATGATCCACCCACCTCTGCCTCCCAAAGTGCTGGGATTACAGACATGAGCCACCACGCCCAGCTGGTTTGAATCCTTTGTTAAAGAAAATTAAAAAATAGGTTAGGCATAGTGGCACACACTTGCAATCCCAACACTTTGGGAGGCCAGGGCAGGAGGACTGTTTAAGCCCAGGAGTTCGAGACCAGCCTGGGCAACATAGCAGAACCCTGTCTCTACCAAAAAAAAAAAAAAAAAAAAAAAAAAAAAAACAAAAACCTCACAAAAAACAATGCTAAAGAAAGCGAATGAGATATAATGAATAAAAACAAAAATAGAGAAAACAAAACTAAAGCAAATGGGGGGTTGCTTCTTGGAAAAAGTAAATCAGAAACATTGATAAAACCAGGACGAATTAATGACAGGAAGAGGAAATACACTTTAATATTAGAAATGAGAAAGGAAGTGGGATTCCGAGTAGTTAAAACCATATCCTATCCCAAATAGAACTACTTTTGCTTCAGGAAAGGAAGGTTTCTAACAAGAAAGCTGTAAGTGCAACCAAGTAAAAACTTGGGTTAGTAAAGAAAATGATTGTCTTAATAGATGTTGTAAATTATAAAACTAAATAATTCTCTTTAAAGATTCTAAAAAATAGAAATAGAAACTTTTTTTTTTTGAGATAGAGCTTCGCTTGTTTCCCAGGCTGGATGCAACCTCCGCCTCCCAGGTACAAGCGATTCTTCTGTCTCAGCCTCCCAAGTAGCTCGGATAACAGGCATGCGCCACCATGCCTGGCTAACTTTTTTGTATTTAGTAGAGAGGGGGTTTCACCGTGTTAGGCTGGTCACAAACTCCTGACCTCAGGTGATCCACCCGCTTTGGCCTCCCAAAGTGCAGAGATTACAAGCATGCGCCACCACACCTGGCCCCAAAAATGGAAATAGAAATTATTTAAGCAATATACTTATTACCTTTAAGGGCAAATCATTTCTTATTAAAGCCAAGAACAAAGAAGCCCATTAACTCCATCTTAAATATTGTTTAGAAGTTCTGGCTGTAGTGCCGGGCACGGTGGCTCACGCCTGTAATCCCAGCACTTTGGGAGGCCGAGGCAGGTGGATCATGAGGTCAGGAGATCGAGACCATCCTGGCTAACATGGTGAAACCCCGTCTCTTCTAAAAAAAATATAAAAAATTAGCCGGGCGTGGTGGCGGGCGCCTGTAGTCCCGGCTACTTGGGAGGCTGAGGCAGGAGAATGGCGTGAACCCGGGAGGCAGAGTTTGCAGTGAGCCGAGATCAGGGGCCACTGCACTCCAGCCTAGCTGACAGAGCGAGACTCTGTCTCAAAAAAAAAAAAAGTTCTGGTGGTAGCAATAAGGCTAAAAATGAACACAAGTGGCAAAAAGGCAAAGATTATACAGTGGTACTAAATAAAAATTACAAACTAAAAATAGGCCAGGCATGGTGGCTCACTCCTGTAATCCCGGCACTTTGGGAGACCAACGTGGGCGGATCACTTGAGGCTAGGAGTTCAAGACCAGCCTGGCCAACACGATGAAACCTCGTCTCTACGAAAAGTACAAAAATTAGCTGGGCATGGTGGCACACGCCCATAGTACCAGCTGCTAGGAAGAATCACTTGAACTCAGGGGGTGGACATTGCAGTGACCTGGGATCGCGCCACTATACTCCAGCCTGGGTCACAGAGCGAGACTCTGTCTCAAAAAACAAAACAAACGTCCCATTTTACTTATGGTGGAAAAACAATACAGCAACAGCATTTTTTTCACAAAACATTTTATTACTATAATTGATATTTTACTTATAATTTTTGGCAACATTAATAAAATAATAAATTTCACCTGAAAGAACAAGCGAGCAAAATAGACAAGGAAATTCACAAAGGGCAATAACAAAATAGTAATCTTGACATATTCAATATATTTGTAAACAAAACAAAGTGACATTGCCTTAAAAATATATAGAGGTATCAATAGAAAAACAGAGAAAGCTCCTGAAAGAACTCACTATATTAATTTTCATTTGGTTGCAGGCACAGAAATTGACTCAAGCTAGCTCAATTCTAAGACAGAAGCAAAGCCCTTGATGATGATCGCTTTCCAGCTTTTTCATGAAAACCTAGGAAATTTAAATACTTTGAAGAGGAAGAAAAGAGTGGGGAGAGAGTAAAGTGCCTTTAAGAGGAAAAGTAGAAGTTTTTTTTTTTTTTTAAAGGGAGATCTCATTGTCAGTGGCATTTTAAGAGCCTTGAAGCTCAATGAACCAAAGGAAGTGTCAAACAATTAAGTGAGGTAGCAAGCCATGCAGGCCTAGGGGAAGGGCATTCTAAGAAAGACAACAGCATGTGCAAAGTCTTTGGATTGGGAAGAATGTGATTTGCTTAAGGAATAGCAAGGCCAGTGTGTCAAAATAGTGCATCATTGGGGAAAACAGTGGAGAAGCATGACAGAGAATGAAAAAGAGAGGAAGGAGGTAGGCAGGGGCCAGATCACTGGAATCTACAGTTGGCAATTAATGACCATATGTACTCCTTAAGAGCATGCTTTAATGAGACTGCAAACAACAGTGTTGATAATACCAACCAATCACTCAACATACAACTAAAACACTTCATATTTTTACCACAGAAACAGAATACGGGAGGTAAGTATGAAAAGTCTGTAGATCTATTTATACACAGTGGGAGTATCTACCTGAGACAAGAAAAACTGGCACACACACACCCACTTGCACACACATACCCTTTCTTCAACTAAAGAAAGGATTCAGGCTGTAATTTTAGCAAAGTGTCTTAACCCAAGCAACGTAACTGAAAAGACCTAGTATAGTGTTCAAGGTGCAAATCAATCAAATGAGTGTCCGGCAAATAAATACAACAGAATCTATGGATCTAGAGTCAGAAAATTTTCTAAAATGTAGATAATATACTCACAACTTCTTTGTTATCTGTACTGCCTTCTACTCTAAGAGGGATGCTAAGCTCTTAATTATCTCTTCCCGGATTTTTGTGAAAGCTTAGGAAATTTAACTAGATTGAGGAGGGAAGAAAGGAGTGGGGAGAGATAAGGTACCTTTAAAAAGAAATCAAGGAAAAAGGGAGAGATTTCTCCAGACCTATGTATGTCTACAGCCAAGATGGCGGATTCCTTGACTGGTGAAGACAGGCTGCTGGGCACCTTGGTCAGGGGTGGAGGAACAAAGGATGGCACCAGAACACAAGCAGGGAGACAACTCCGGGAGTCCACAGAGGCAGCCAAGACTGCTGATGTTCAGGAACCAATACTCAAAAGGTACTCCAGAATACTGTGAAACAGCCCCTGGGGAGAGCAAGGGAAAAAGATTCACCCATAGTACAGATTAGATAGGATAGATCAGATGAAGGACATTAACTCTAAGTCTTAAAACTTATTGAATTAGAGAGACATTTCTTGCACACTGGTGTGTGTCAGGTAAGACCCAAACAGCATTAGTGTCAAAAAACTGGGAAACTATACATTTAACAGAATAGCTGCAAGCTGTAATACATTCATGTCCAAAGCAAGACATAAAGTTGCAAGCTTCACATGTTCAATTAGGGTAAGATATATATGCACAGAAAAATATAAAGCCATTATGGGTTTAAATTCAGTCAGTCACCCTGGGCTATTTTTGTCCACTGTACCTACTGTTGTTGGGACAGTCCTCATTCCAGCTTAACAGTGGGAAAACTAAATTTAGCCCAGTCCAGGAACTGGACAGACACCACTTGTTTGGCCCTTTTCAGTTAAAACTATGGGTCCAGTACAGTTCAAATTATAGATATTAGGGCTTCTTCCCCTTGGGAAACTTGCTTTACAGCTGTGGCTGAGAATATGGCCAGTTCATTCTCCACTAACGGCTAGCCAGAAGGGAGAGGAGAGGGAATGAATCAAATTCACCTTTAGATCACAGAACAGGAAGTCAGCTAGTACCAGGCACCATTCTATTAATTTTATTGCTATTTCACCTCAAACCAATGATACATGACGGCTGTTTGATGTCTGCAGGGGCCCTTCACCAAACAAAAGCATTTTACTTTGAATGGTTTGGCTTCCTTGGATGTTTTCAGGTAGGTAAAGACACTCTGAAGCAGTGTTCCTTTTGACCTGGCCCCAAGACTAGAATGAATGTGTGCCTATACTTCAACTAGAACAAAGAACCACTGCTCTCCCTCAACTAACCTCCGCCTTCTTGGTCTCTGCTCACGCAGCAGCTTCTCTTTCAATTCCACATCCTGGCTTTTCAGAATCTTTTCAGGTTATTTTATGCCAGCACAGCAGAGGCACTTCTGGGAATTCGGCAGCAAGTGGGCCAGGGCATAACAAAGCCATTCCAGTCTGACTAGAGTTAACCATGAAATGCTGAATGCATGGAAAAAGCTGTAAAGAAAACTAAGTATTTCAAAAATTCTATGAATTCTGTATATAGAAAAAAGAGCTTTCAAGCTTAGGAGTAACATGAAATACCAAAACAATAAATAGGTGCCAGGGGCAGTGACTCACACAACCCAGCACTTGGGGAGGCTGAGGCAGGAGGCTCCCCTAAGGTCAGGAGTTCGAGACCACCCTGGGCGACATAACAAGATTCCATCGCTACAAAAAATTAAAATAAAAAATTAGCTGGGTGTGGTGGCTGCGCCTGTAGTCCTAGCTACTCTCCAAAGGCTGAGGCGGAGGAATGCTTGAGCCTGGAAGTTCAAGGTTGCAGTGAGCTAGGATCACGCCACTGCACTCCAGCCTGGGTAACAGTGAGACCCTGTCTCTAAAGTAAAAAAAAAAAAAAAAAAAAAAAAAAAAATTAAAATTAAAAAAATAAATTAATACCTTTTTCTCTCTCTCACACACACACACAAACACCTTTTATGTGTTAAGCCAGATACAGTTAACATGAAAACCAGATGTTTTAAAATAATACCTCAAAATTCAGATCAAATAATATATATCCTGAATCTTGTTTAAAAAGTCATATATAATCCACTAGTTTCACTATTTTTGGTGCTACTGAATAATGTATGGTTTGTATTTTTTGTTTTATGAGGTTTTTTAATTTGGTTTGAAATACTTGCTTTAGATTTACTGAAACTAGAATTAATGGGACTTTTTTGAAATTTTGCTTTTAGACCTGGGGAGTGATGGTTCAGAGTCAGATGTGCTCACAGTTATGGATGCTACATCCACTGATCCTGGCTGAAGAGGTTCCAGCGACACTTGAATAGTAACTTTTGTTTCAGGAGGTAATCCTTCTAGTTGCTTAGGCTTCTTAAACATTTGATGACACTGGGTCTTGTGCTCCATTTTCTCCTTGAAAGTTAAAAACTGTAGCCGGCACTTGGAACACTGGTGTGCACTCTTTCCCCAGTGGCCCCTATAATGACACATGTATGGTGTTGCTGTTTTGAAAATTTTGAGACAAAAGGGACAAAGCAAATTCTTTGTGTTTTCATGGCACGTTCTAAAATGTGTTTCTACATCAGCAAAGACCGACGATCTATAATGGCAAACCTGGCACACATAGGGCATTTCGCCAGGCTTATGATGGTCCTTCATGTGTTGTAAGAGGACCTGATCTGTTTCAAATGACAATTCACAGATTTTACAGACAGTAGAGGGCTCCTGGGCAGTGTGGACATTTTCGATGTGACACTGTAGCTGGAAGGGAGTGGGAAACTGCCGGTGGCAGTGCTGGCAGGTGGTGTGGTTTTCCCAGCTGTCGTTCCTCTGCTTCTCAAATTCCAAATGATGCTTCACGTGATTCATAAACTTAACATTTTTTAGAACTTTCACGCAGCTGAGGCATTTAAAGGTGGTGTGAGTCTTCTGTTCCGGCTGCCCTTCTCCTTTATGCTGTCCATAGTAAAAGTCACTAAGTAACACAATGGGATTTTCTTTCTTGGGATCAAAGGTCTTGTTTTGACTTGTTAGACTCAAAATGTCTGTTTTTGCCAATTCATTTGCCCTATCAAGATTTGTATTTATAGGCTTGAAATGGATATTGTCCTTTGGAAAAGCTGCTGGAAAAGGTGCTCCATTCTGAACATGGCTTAATGAGGTATGAACATTATTTGAGGGTGTACTTTGCTGAGTATTCATTGTATGAAAGGTATCTGAAGGGAATGAAGCTGAAGAATTTCCTTCTATAATTCCATCCCTGAGTTTAGCCCTTTTGGGATTTATGCTGTTTACTTCGAAAGTGGAAAGTTGCTTTGATACACGAGGACTTTCATTTATACCTCCTACTGAAAGTGCTGTACTTACTGGATGATGCAATGAATCTGTGAATGTAATCAAAGGAGAAGGTAATTCTGAAGAGTTATTAGGCACAACTTGTGGTGAACTATTTCTATAATCAGGTTTAGACAAAGGCTCAATAATAATAGGACTATCTGTTGATCTCGATTCAAGTTGGGAAGCTGGCAGGACGGTCACTGCTTCTGATGTAACGGTCTCATGACTTTTAGGCTGCAATTTGCGAGCAGTATCTTTTCTAAGGTGATCATACTTTTTTCTCCTTGACCATGAACCCGGGGTGACTCTGTTCAAAATGTTTGAAACGACTGGTTTTGAATTTGAAGTCACCCCAACAAAGATTAGCTCAGCATCTTCATTTACATGTTCCACACCAACAAAGATGAGCTCAGCATCTTCGTCATCTACTTGTTTGGTTTCTTGTATGTTCTTCTGTGGTTCAGGCTCTTTCTCTTCCTCACATGATTGTTCCATTTTCTAATTTTTTTATTCCTGAATGGTGGGGCCACAAGTCCCAATGCTTCCTTTATATAAACTGCCACCTAAGTACAAACATACATCAGTAAGTACAGGAAAATGCATTACCTTATTTAATTTTCCTCCAAAACATTGTTTTTATAAACCACTATTTTACCCACAAGGACACTGAGACTGAAAGAGGATAAATAACAGCTTAAAACCTGTGATAAAAGATCAGGTTCCTATGAATCTAGAATCATAACTTTGCTGTACTGATTGTGCTCTATTCCATTTTAAAAAAAAAAACCTACCAGCAGCTAATCACTAGGCAAAATTATATGGAAAAGACACACATTTTTATGAGGGCATCATTGTGCAGTGTTTAGAAACATGGGCTTTGGAGTTGAAGAGTAAGCTGGAATCCTTAGTCTGCCACACACCAGATGCTTCCTCTTTAGCAAGTTTTTTACTTTTAAATGTATTTTGCTATCTTAAAGGCAAAAATTCTTATTTCTTAGACTTACAGTAATAGCTGGTTTTTTAAAAGCACCACCTATTCAATGGCAGCTTGATTTGTAGTGGAATTGGAAGAAAATTACAATAAATGAAAATATCTCAATTGATTCATATATAGTAATCTCATAAACATTAATATAGAAAAGAGGTATTAAATTTATAGAGTTAGAGTACCTACACATAACCAACAAACAGCATAGCACAATGTCAATTGCCAGGCAGATAATCTCATCCCAACTCATGGCCTTAATTATAATCCATTCAGTAATGCCTCCTAAATTTTCCCCTCCAGTTCTGACTTACCCACTGAACTTAAACACAACAGTGCTTCCTCCTCAATCTCTTCTCCACATAGCAAGCAGATTGATTGTGTTAAACAAAGTCAGACTGTATCATTGTTCAGCTCAAAACCCTCAAACGGCTTTCTGATTAACTGAGAGTAAAAGACCAAGTATTACCAATGCCTAGAAGACTACACTACCAACCCCACATACTGCTCCTGCAGTTATCTCATACTACTCTCCACTATCCACTTCACTGTAGTCACACTAACCTCCTTGCTATTTATTTTAATTTTTTAAATTAAATTTTATTTTTTTGAGATGGAGTCCCGCTCTATCACCCAGGTATATATTTCAGCTCACTGCAACCTCCACCTTCCAGGTTCAAGTGATTCTTGTGCCTCAGCCTCCTGAGTAGCTGGGACTACAGGCATGCACCACCACACCCAGCTAATTTTTGTATTTTCAGTAGAGATCGGGTTTCACCATGTTGACCAGGCTGGTCTTGAATTCCTTATCTCAGGTGATCCACGTGCCTTGGCCTCCCAAAGTGCTAGGATTACAGGGGTGAGGAACTGCACCTGGCCCTCCCTGCTATTTCTTGAACATACTAAGCTCTTTTCCTTGCTCAAAGCCCTTGTTCCTTCCAATATGAATGATCATTTGGGTATCCGCATGGCTAGCTCCTCACTGCCCTTAGGGCTCTATTCCAAGTATCCCTCTCGGTGAGGTTCTCAAATATTCCAACCAACCTCTAACCCACATTCCTAATCTCTTTTCCCTTTTCTTTCATCCCCAAAGCCCTATCACCATTTAACATATTACGATCCTATTTATCTTGATTATTTTCTATTGTCCATCCAGTGGAACATAAAACTCAAAAGGGCAGGTATTCTATCTTTTGTTGACTGTTGTATGCCCAGCACAAAGAACAGTGTCTGGCACAGGACAGGTGCTCAACAAATACAGAATTTGTTAAATGAATCAATAAATATCGACTCTCCTTCATAAGATCCTTTATTTTTAAAGAAGATTATGCTCCATTAATTCCACATTTTCTATGAATTTACTCTGAGAACTTTATCCATTGGAAATTCCGTAGGCCAATAAAGGACTTAAAGCTAGCTTTTTACAAATATTTGACCACAACCAATAGTTTAAAAAAAAAAAAGTTATATGGAGTCCAATTACACAAGCACATACACATAAATAATAACTACCTTTACTACACAGGCTGCATTCTAAAATTTTCTATTTCATTTTTCTTGTCTTTTTTCTTTTTTTTTTTTTTTTTTTGAGACGGAGTCTAGCTCTGTCGCCCAGGCTGGAGTACAGTGGCGCAATCTCAGCTCACGGCAACCTCTGCCTCCCGGGTTCAAGCAAGTCTCCTGACTCAGCCTCCAGGGTAGCTGGGATTACAGGCACATGCCACCACACCCAGCTAATTTTTGTATTTTTTAGTAGAGACGGAGTTTCACTGTGTTGGCCAGGCTGGTCTTGAACTCCTGACCTTGTGATTCACCAGCCTCGGCCTCCCAAAGTGCTGGGATTACAAGCATGAGCCATGGATTACAAGCCTGAGCTGTGCCCAGCCTCATTTTTCTTAAACTAACCACAGACCCACAAAATCAGTTAAGCCTCATCACTAGGTCACTACTAGTTGTTTCAAAAACTGGTCTAATGCTAGCAAAATGTACGCACTAGAAACCAAGGTTCATAACTCACCAATTTCTAAAAACATATCAAGATTCACTGTATCCCCATGTGGACCCTTCAAATCAGCATAATCCAAAGCATAAAAATTAAATTGACATCTAATAAATGCCATGCACATTTGTTTTAATTTTAATTAGGATATCAGTATCTAATTTTGGAACATATAGACAATATTTATTCCTATAAATATGTGTATCACCTTGGAAGTGAATTTAAAAAGGAATACAATATTAAGTAAGCATTGTCAACTATATACAAACTGGTGTATCATGAATAGTGATTTACAACTTAATCAGTAGATATATAATGCCAGAAAAAATATAAGGCAGATATGAATACACTGCTCTCTGGAGTCAACTAAAATTGGTTTAGTCTGTCTATATACAACTTCAATCGCCTAACTCCAGGATGATGTCACCTAGCCCAGTGTTTCCTAAGCATTACTGACATTTGGGACTAGATAATTCTTTGCTGGGGGCTGTCGAGAGCACTGTAGGATGTTTAGCAGCATCTGTGATCTCTACCCACTAGAAACCAGCAGTAGTCCCCCAGGGTGGCAACTAAAAATGGCTCCAGGAATTACCAAATGTCCTGTGGGAAAACTCCTGCCCAAATCCAATCTTCTCAGGATCACTTCCACATTTCCAGTAACTACCTTCTACATAATTCTAAATGTATTTTCTAACATCCTCTCTAAAGAAAATATCTGGCTGGGCACGGTGGCTCATGCCTGTAATCCCAGCACTTTGGGAGGCCAAGGCAGTTGGATCACAAGGTTAGGAATTGGAGACCAGCCTGGCCAACATAGTGAAACCCTGTCTCTACTAAAAATACAAAAAATTAGCTGGGCCTGGTGGTAGACACCTGTAATCCCAGCTACTTGGGAGGCTGAGGCAGGAGAATCGCTTGAATCCAGGAGGCGGAGGTTGCAGTAAGCCAAGACCACGTCACTGCACTCCAGTCCGGGTGACAGTGCGAGACTGCATCTCAAAAAAAAAAAAAGAAAATATTCTAATTCACAATCATTAATATTCTCCAATATCCTAAAAAATCAGACTATAATCTGACAACATGGCCATTAGATTTATCTGAAGATTAATTAGTTTATTATTGTTATTATTTTTTCTTTTTCAAGACGGAGTCTTGCTTTGTCACCCAGGCTGAAGTGCAGTGGCACGATCTCGGCTCACTGCAACCTCTGCTTCCCAGGTTCAAGTTATTCTCCTGCCTCAGCCTCCCGTGTAGCTGGGATTACAGGTGCGCCACCACGCCCAGCTAATTTTTGTATTTTTAGTAGAGACGGGGTTTCACCATGATGGCCAGGATGGTCTTCATCTCCTGACCTCATGGTCTGCCTGCCTTGGCCTCCCAAAGTGCTGGGATTACAGGCGTAAGCCACCATGCCCGGCCAATCTGAAGATTAATTTTTAAAGCCCCCAGAAGTTTATGATTTACTAAAGTTATATGGAGGGTTTGTAGACAGAGTTAGCACTAAGATGCCTAATTCCTGAATTCTGGTTTTGTGCTCTTTCTGCTAAAACTGACTTAGTGCACACTTATTTCTGATGATATTGCTGTTAACTGCTTAGTCTTTAAGAATTAAAGTGTCTCATTGGATTCATTTTTTCACTCTCTATTTTGTAAACCTGTTCAAACCTCCTCTACCTCCCAGAAAATGTCAAAGTACCTTATAAGCCATTTTAAATAACTTTTAGAGCATCACTCATTCTACCTCTCATGTCCATTCCTATTAATGGCCCCCAGCCCAGGCCGCAACTTCTAGGTTTAGGTCCACTGGTTACTTCATTTTTGTACACTTGTACTAGACCCTAAATTGTTCTGTCTCTTTTCTCTGTCCTTCAAATTATATAACACAACACCACAAGATGGATCTTAAAACACAACTGTAATTATATCACTCTTCTATCCCTAAGCGTTAAATGATTCCTCCAATTCTAGAGAATATTTTAGGTATACATAATTTGTGTTATGCTATGGGCTGAACTGTGTTCCCCCCACCCCCAAATTTGTATACTGAAGCTATAACCCCCAATGTGATGGTATATAGAGATGGTGGCTTTGGGTAATAATCAGGTTAAGATGTATTCATGAGGATAGGGCCCTCATGATGTGATTGGCGCCCTTATAAGAGGAGATATCACAGACCTTGCTTCCTCTTTCTGTCATGTGAGAACACAGCAAGAAGGCTGTCATCCACCAGCCAGGAAGAGAGCCTTCACTAAGGAACCAAATCGTCCAGCATCTTGATCTTGAACTTCCCAGCCTAAAAATGTGAGAAATGAATTCCTGTTGTTAATAAACCATCAAACAAGTAAAGAAGAAAAACTTAAACTGGGTTCTAATGACACTGCTGGACTTCCTAACCAGTTGCTCTTGGTTAGATTTTTGGCTGTTGTCCATACTGATTAACCCTCCATCCAACCATCAATCAAGGTGAAAAAGAGGAATAGAGCAAGGATCAGGAACAAAGCTAATAAGTTAATGAACAAGTTCATTAAGAACAAGAGTAGCATTAGACCATGAGAGTTTTCTTCTCCTCTAGATGTCCAGAGACCCTTCTCTACAAATGTCCACCAATGGATGAATGAATGCTTATTTTCCAATTTGCCAGAATCTTGAGATACTGGGGTAGGGAGGTTAGACATGCAAAGATATATCAGATCTAACAGGTTTGTCCTCAAAAATCAATTCTCACCTCCCATGATGGGAGAAGCCAATAGGAGGGCTTCAATTCCAAAGAAAGCTGAGAGATCAGTGGATGATAACCCACCTTCCAGATTATTTCTATGCATTCAAACAATGGCCCTTCTACTAGATCATTGTTTTTTGTTTTTTTTGAGATGGAGTCTTGCTCTGTCACCCAGGCTGGAATGCAGTGGCGCAATCTCGGCCCACTGCAATCTCTGCCTCCCGGGTTCAAGCAGTTTTCCTGCCTGAGGAGCTGGGATTACAGGTGCGTGCCACCACGCCTGGCTAATTTTTGTATTTTTAGTAGAGATGGGGTTTCACCATGTTGGCCAGGCTGGTCTCAAACTCCTGACCTTGTGATCTGCCTGCGTCGGCCTCCCAAAGTGCTGGGATTACAGGCGTGAGCCACCGTGCCCAGCCTCTAGTAAACCATTGTTATAACCACACACGAGTTTTTAACCACACACATACTCTTCTGAGGAAAGGCTTCCCCAAACTATTGGTCCTTATGATGAGATCTGGCCATATATATTTTTCTTCTGAACCCCAGGATTGTGGGGCTGTCACATTTCCTCTAACAGTACACCTTAGGAGCTCCCAGACTTGAAGAAAATTGGCTGTTTCCCACATTTGAACATTTTCCACTTTTTCCCTCAGTCTACCTTTTTGAATTGATTTCTGACTACTTCTAGATAACCTTTTTCCATTAATGAATATTGAGTGCTTATTGTGTGCCAGGCACTGCTTTAGGCACTTGAGAGAAATCGGTAAACATTAACAGACAGAAATGAACAACAAAAACAAACTATTTCAACAGAAGGAACTAACAAACAGTCCAGTGGAGGAAGAAAGATAGTAAGTATAATAAAAATGCAAATTCTCTGGTGAACTGGAAGATGACGTTATAGAATTAGGAAAAAAATAATAGAGCAGGCTTAGAAGTTGAGGAGGTATAAGAGAATTGTAATTTTACGTAGTGTAGTCAGAGTAAGTCTCATGGAGAAGGTAAATTTGGACATACACTTGAAGGGGATAAAAGGTCAGAGAGGTAGCAAGAGTGGAAATAGTAGTAAGGATCTGTAAATTCTTCATTTTTCTCTCAGTTTAGTCTGTGGCAACTGTCATGTCTTTTGATAAGGAACGACCTTGGTTTAATAGTTACTCCCCTCCTAGACTCTCAGGCTAGATTTTTTTTTTTTTTAATTGAGACGGAGTCTTGCTCTTGTTGCCCAGGCTGGAGTGCAGTGGCACAGTCTTGTGCACAGTCTTGGCTCACTGCAAACTCTGCCTCCCAGGTTCAATTGATTCTCTTGCCTCAGCCTACCAAGTAGCTGGGATTACAGGCGCCCACCACCATGCCTGGCGAATTTTTGTATTTTTAGTAGAGATGGAGTTTCACCATGTTGGCCAGGCTGGTCTCGAACCCCTGACCTCAGGTTATCCACCCACCTCGGCCTCCCAAAATGCTGAGATTACAGGCGTGAGCCACTGCGCCTGGCCTTTTTTTTTTTTTTTTTTTTTAAGATGGAGTCTCGCTGTGTCACCCAGGATGGAGTGCAGTGGCACAATCTCAACTCACTGCAACTTCTCCTGAGATGCTTGTGCCTCAGCCTCCTGAGCAGCTGGGACTATAGGTGTGCGCCACCATGCCTGGTTAATTTTTTGTATTTTTATTAGAGATGGGGTTTCCCCATGTTGTCCACACTGGTCTCGAACTCCTGACCTCAAGTGATCCACCCACCTTGGCCTCCAAAAGTGCTGGGATTACAGGCGTGAGCCACTGTACCTGGCCTCTCAGGCTAGTTTCAACCCTATTTTACACTCCTCTACCATCCTCAGCTTACTTTTGAAAAAGTATTTATTAAAAAATATTTATGAAAAAGTTATTTTTGTTTTATTTAGTTGCCCTGGGATGGAATACAAATGTTTGCTGTAGTTTTAAGGATCCTATAAAACTCCCATTTACTGCAAGGATCTCTGTTTAATGGGCATTCAATTCTAAGATAGCAAACGTGTAGAGTTATTTGTGGGGGTGGGGGACAAGTTTGAGAAAGAAGCAGTGGGGTGAAGAAAGTGATAGGCAAGGGAAGATGGTGGGGATAGGTACCATAGGAGTCCTGGTGGCCTAAAATCTAATCACAGAAGTTACTCAAGTGGGACTGATGCCTGAAAAAAATTTGTGTGTGGCTATAACAGTGAGTGGGATCTACTCTTTTTTTTTTTTTTTTTGAGATGGGAGTCTCGCTCTGTCACCCAGGCTGGAGTGCAGTGCCGTGATCTCGGCTCACTGCAACCTCCACCTCCTGGGTTCAAGCAATTCTCCTGTCTTGGCCTCCCAAGTAGCTGGGACTACAGGCACATGCTACCACGCCCATCTAATTTTTGTATTTTTAGTAGCGACGGGGTTTGATCATATTGGTCATGCTGCTCTCAAACTCCTAACCTCAGGTGATACACCCGCCTTAGGCTCCCAAAGTACTGGAATTACAGGCGTGAGGCACCGTGCCCAGCCTGGGATCTACTCCTAAGCAACAGAGAAAATCAGTCATTTTTCCCCTTTTCCTTCCCTTCCTCCTATGAGCAGAATCTTGGTCTCCATCTTTAAAAAAAAAAAAAAAAAAAAAAAAAAAAAAAAAAAAAAAAGGCCAGGCACAGTGGCTCACACCTGTAATCCCAGCACTTTGGGAGGCCGAGGTAGGCAGATAACCTGAGGTCAGGAGTTCGAGACCAGCCTGACCAACATGGTGAAACTCCATCTCTACTAAAAACACAAAAATTTGCCGGGAGTGGTGGTGGGCGCCTGTAATCCCAGCTACTTGGTAGGCTGAGGCAAGAGAATCAATTGAACCCGGGAGGCGGAGGTTACAAAGGAGATTTGACAGGGTGGCAGTTCAAACTAAAAGTGGTCTGATAGTTCAGAGTCAAGTTTCTTCACTAAAGCTGAGTTTTTAAAGGGCTTGAAGAATGATGTAAAGAGGGGTTGTGGAGGACCACAAAAAAAGACAACTAAAAAAAGGCATAACAAAGTCAACTTATTAAATGCCCAGCAACAGGGTGAAGTTAAGGGGAATGGTGGAATAAAGACCTACAAATAGCTGCTGCTTCATAAAAGCAAAGAGAACACTAGCAAAAACTACAAAAATCACGTTTTTCAGATCCTGGAAATTAACGAAAGCTTGTAAAACTCAAAAGATTTTATTACAAAATGGCTTGGCAGTTCCTCAAAATGTTAAACATAGACTTATGATCCCACAAATCTAAGTATACACTCAAAGAAATAAAGGTACTCAAGTACATGTATACTTGTTTATAGCAACAACTCATAATAATCAAAAGGTGGAAACAACCTAAATGTCCATCAATGGATGAATGGATAAACAAACCATGGTATATACATACAACAGAATGTTTATTCAGCCATAAAAGAAACGACATACTGATACATGCTACAACAGGGTAAACCCTGAAAATATACCATGTAAAAGAAGTCAGTGACAAAAGCTCATATATTGTATGATTTCATTTACAGGAAATATCAGAAATAGATAAATCCATAGATATTAAACAAAGATTTGTGGTTGCCAGAAGATAGGAAAGGGAAAATGGTGAGAAACTGCTTAATGGGTAAAGGGGTTTTACTTTGGAATGATGGAAATGTATCAGAACTAGATAGAGGCAGCACACGTACAATATTACAAATGCACTAAATATCACTAAACTGTTTATTTTAAAATGACTGATGTTATGTGACTTTCACCTCAATGAATTATTTTTTAAAAATAAAGAGGGTATATTACTACCAACCACACAGAAATAAAGAGAATTATAAAGGAATACTATGAAAAATTATCTGTCAACAAATTAGATAACCTAGATGAAACAAATTCCTAGAAAGACAGGAACTAATGAACTGACTCAAGAACAAACAGAAAATATGAATGGATCCAAAACAAGCAATAGAATTAGTAATCAAAAAACTTCCCCAAATAAAAGCCCAAAATCAGATAGCTATGCTAGTAAATTCTTAACGTTTTTAAAAGAATTAACACCAATCCTTCATTAACTCTTCCAAAAATTAGAAGAGGAGAGAAAACTTTGCACATCTTTCTATGAGGCTAGTTATTACTCTTACACCAAAATCAAACCAAGAAATCATATAAAAAAAAAGAAAACTACAGGCCAATATCCTTTTTTTTTTTTTTTTTTTTTGGAGACGGGGTCTCGCTCTGTCGCCCAGGCTGGAGTGCAGTGGCGTGATCTCGGCTCACTACAAGCTCCGCCTCCCAGGTTCAGGCCATTCTCCTGCCTCAGCCTCCCGAGTAGCTGGGACTACAGGAGCCCGCCATCACGCCCAGCTAATTTTTTTGTATTTTTTAGTGGAGACGGGGTTTCACTGTTTTAGCCAGGATGGTCTCAATCTCCTGACCTCGTGATCCGCTCGCCTTGGCCTCCCAAAGTGCTGGGATTACAGGCGTGAGCCACTGTGCCCAGCCAATATCCCTTACAGAGGCAAAAATCCTCAACAAAATGTTAGCAAACAAAATCTAACAACATATATAACGATTACATACCATGACCAAGTGGGATTTATTTAAAAAATACAAGGATGGTTCATTCTATGAAAATCAACCAACAATAATTTTATTTTTATTATTTTTAATTTTAATTTTTTTTTTGAGTCGGAATTTCATTCTTGTTGCCCAGGCTGGAGTGAAATGGCACGATCTTGGCTGACCACAACCTCCGCCTCCCGGGTTCAAGCAATTCTCCTGCCTCTGCCTCCCAAGTAGCTGGGATTACAGGCATGCGTCACCACGCCCAGCTAATTTGTTTGTATTTTTAGTAGAGACATGGTTTCTCCATGCTGGTCAGGCTGGTCTCGAACTCCCGACCTCAGGTGATCCGCCTGCCTTGGCCTCCCAAAGTGCTGGGATTACAGGCGTGAGCCACCATGCCCAGCCTATACCATTTTAATAAAGGACAAAAACTACACCTGCCTGCAGAAAAAACACTTGACAAAAGCTAACATCCTTTTATGATTTGAAACAACAAAACGATTGGGAATAGAAGGAAACTTTCTCCACCAGACAAAGGCATCTGTATGAGACTCACAGCTATTATAGTATCATACTTAATGGTGACACTGAAAGTACCCCTGCCCCTAAGATCAGGAACAAGACAGATATCCACTTTAACCACTTCAACTCAACACCGTACTAGAGGTTCTATAGCCAAGGTAATTAGGCAAGAAAAGGAAGCAAAAAGCATTCAGATTGGAAAGCAAGAAGTAAAACCATAATGGAGATGACAAATACAAATAACTCAATTTTTTAAAAGGCCAAAGAACTTGAATAGACATTTCTCCAAAGATGATACACAAAAGACCAAGTAAATATATTCAGTGTCATTAATCATAAAAGCAATGCACATTAAAACCACCTTGAGATACCACCTCACACCTAGTAGGATGACTACTATTAAAAAACAAACATTGTTGGAAAGAAATTAGAATCCTCATGCACAGTCACTGGATTGTAAAATGGTATAACTACTATGGAAAACAGTACAGAAATGCCTCATAAAATTAAAAACAGAACTACTATATGTTCTAGCAATCTTACTTCTGGGTATATATCTAAAATAATTGAAAGCAGGGTCTCGAAGAGATACTGGCACACCCATGTTCACAGAAGGACTATTAAAATAGCCAAGGGGTAGAAGCAACCCAAATGTCTACCCAAAAATGAATAAACAAAATATTATATATATATATATGCACACACACACAATAGAATATTATTCAACCTCAAAAAGGAAGAAAATCTGTCACATGCTACATGTTTGAACCTTGAGGATATTATGCCAAATAAAATAAACCAGTCACAAAAAGACAAATACTTTTGTATTTGTATAATTCCACCTATATGAGGTAACTAAAATAGTCAAATTCATAGAAACAGAAAGTAGAGGCCGGAAGCAGTGGCTCACACCTGTAATCCCAGGACTTTGGGAGGCTGAGGTGGGCAGATCATCTGAGGTCAGGAGTTCGAGATCAGCTTGGCCAACATGGCAAAACCCTGTCTCTACTAAAAAAAATACAAAAATTAGCCAGATGTGGTGGCAGGCACCTATAAACCCAGCTACTTGGGAGGCTGAGGCAGGAGAATTGCTTGAACCCAGGAGGCGGAGGTTGCAGTGAGCTAAGATCACGCCACTGCACTCCAGCCTAGGCGACAAGAGAGAAACTCTGTTTCAAAAAAAATTAGCTGGGCGTAGTGGTGGCACACACCTGTAGTCCCAGCTACTCGGGAAGCTGAGGCAGAAGAATCCCCTGAATCTGGGAGGCAGAAGTTGCAGTGAGTGGAGATCGCACCACTGCACTCCAGCCTGGGCAACACACCAAGACTCCGTCTCAAAAAAAAAAAAAAAAAAAAAACAAAAAACCAAAAAAACAAAAAACAGAAGGTAGAGTAATGGTTACCAAGGGCTAGGGGCAGAGGAAAAGGGTGAGTCTGTTGTTTAATGGGCATTGTTTCAGTTCTGCAAGATGAAAAAGTTCTAGAGATCTGTTTCACATCAATGCTTGAAACTACTGAACTATTAATTTAGAAATGGTTAAGGTGGTAAATTATATGCGTTTTTACCACAATAAAACAATTCATTTTAAAAACAGGCCCCAATCGGCATGGTGGCTCACGTCTATAATCCCAGCACTCTGGGAGGCCAAGGTGGGAGAATCACTTACAGTCAGGAGTTTGAGACCAGCCTGGCCAACATAGCAAAACCCTGTCTCTACTAAAAATACAAAAATTAGCCGGCATGGTGGCACGCGCCTGTAATCGCAGCTACTCGAGAGGCTGAGGCAGGAAGAATCACTTGAATCCAGGAGGCAGAGGTTACAGTGAGCCGAGATCATGCCACCACACTCCAGCCTGGGCGACAGAGTGAGACTCTGTTAAAAAAATAAAATAAAATAAAAAATAAAAAATAAGCTAGACACAGTGGCTCATGCCTGTAATCCCAACACTTTGGAAGGCTGAGATGGGAGGATCGCTTGAGCCCAAGAGTTGAAGATCAGTCCAAGCAATGTAGTGAGACCCCTTCTCTACAAAAAATTTAAAAACACAGGCACAGTGGCTCATACCTGTAATCCCAGTATTTTGGGAGGCTGAGGCAGGAGGACTTAGTCAGCTCAGGAATTCCAGACCAGCTTGTACAACATAGTGAGACCCTACCTCTACAAAAAATTAAAAAATTAACCGGGCGTGGTAGAGTGTGCCCGTGATCACATCACTGCACTACAACCTTGGTGCCAGAGCAAGACTGTCTCAAGAAAAAAAAAAAATTTAAATTTAGCTGGGCATCATGGCACACGCCTGTAGTCCCAGCTACTCAGGGGTGGAATGAGGCAGGGTGGCAGCTGAGATGGGAGGATCACTGGAGCCTGGGAGGTTGATGTTGCAGTGGGCCATAATTGTGTCACTGTACTGCAGCCTGGGCAACAGAGCGAGACCCTGTCTCAAAAACAAACAATAAAAAATGGGCGAAGGATTTGAACACTTCTCCAAAGATACACAAATGGCCAAGCAGCACATGAAATGCTGCTCAATATAGTCATTAAGGAAATGCAAATCAAAATCACAATGAGCTATTACTTCACATCCACTAGGTTAGTTATAAGCAAAAACAATCTCAAGCGTTGCAGAGGATGTGCAGCTATCTGAACCCTCAAATACTGCTGGTGATAATATAAACTTGTACTTTGGAAAAGTTTGGCAATTGCTCAAAATTTAAATATGGCGTTACCATATGACCCAACAATATCACTCCTAGGTATATACCCAAGAGAATTGAAAATATAACACATATATAAGCTAGCTGGAATATAGCCATAATGCTGCTACAAAGTGCAAACAACCGAATGTAAATTAATTGATAAATGAATAAACGAACTGTGGTATATCCGTACAATGAAATACTATTCAGCCATAAAAAAACTAAGTACAAACAAGCATACAATACGGTGTACCTTGAAAATACACTAAGTGAATAACACCAGACACAAAAGGCCGCATATTTTATTATTTTACTTATACAAAATGTCCAGAATAAGGCAAATTCATACAGACAGAAATAAAGTAGCAGCTGCCATGGGCTCGATGAAGAAGAATGAAAGGAATATAGCAGGTTTGAAAAATGGCCCCCAAAATATCAGGTCCTAATCCCTTAAGCCTGTAAATGATACCTTATTTGGAAAAAGGATCTTTGCAGATGGGAAAATTATCCTGGACTATACAGGTGGGCCCTAAATGCCACCACAAATGTCCTTGTAAGAGAAGCAGAGGGAGATTTCACACATACTCTAGGAAAAGGTGATGTGAAGACAGAAGCAAAGATTAGAGTGACATGGTCACAAGCCAAAGAACGTCACATCCACAAACTAGAAGATGCAAAGAATGGATTCTCCGCTAGAGTTTCCCAGGGGAGGACAGCCCTGCCAACATCTTGATTTAGGTCTTGTGAAACTTATTTTAGACTTCTGACCTCCCGAACTAAGGGAGAATAAATTTTTGTTGTTTTATGCCACCAAGTTTGTGATAATTTGTTATAGCAGCTATGGAAAAGTAATATAGGGAGTGACTGCTAATGGATACAAGGTTTCTTTAGAGTTGATGAAATGTCTTGGAATTAGATATTGCTGATGGTTGTACAATTTTGTAAGTATATAATACTAAAAACCATTCAATTTCACACCGCAAAGGGTGAATTTTATGGCATATGAACTATATTTCAAAGAAAAACAAATGCCTAGTAACAGGCTGGTATAACCCCCCATCTCCCAACAACTGCTGCTAAATTTTCAAAGCACCATTAAGCAGACTCAATTCGTAGCAAGGATAATGGAACAATGCAAGCTCATCTAGCGAACAAAAAGAATTAAGCTAGTATCAGGTGGTCAATTTACAAACTGTAGTGGGAGTCATACATTCCCAAGGATGGAACAGTTATATCTCCTTGCAGAGTGAACTCTTCTCCGATACCAAGGACTTGGAAGACCAAATAAATTATACGTAGGATTACCAAATATGCTGGTATGACCAAGACAGTTATAGTTTAAACTTCTATCTCTGTGGAATTATGGATAGTGCCACTCTTCAATCTTTAATAAGTCCTTCAGTTTAGATGATAAATTACATAGTCAACCTAGTTATAAGGAATCTAGAGGTTGTGAAAAGCTGTGAGAGCATATTCTATGCAGACCACATAGGTCCTATCATGACTCCCTATGTAACTTGGGTCTCTGCGACTGGGAAGCTCCCAGGGAAAAAACCCCAGTTAAGACTTCTGCAGAGCATTCACATTTTGTTTCAAACTTATACAACACTAATGCTAAAGCTCAACTCTCAGAATTGTATTATTCAGTATTATCCAAATAACTGATTAATTTACACACTGAAGGGAAAGAACAAGGAATGGACCTAAACACACTTGTAGTTTACAAGTATAAGAAGCTAACAAAGAATAAGATTAAAATAACTTGTGCCAGGCCGGGCATGGTGGCTCACGCCTGTAATCCCAGCACTTTGGGAGGCTGAGGCAGGTGGCTCACGAGGCCAGGAGTTTCAGACCAGCCTGAACAACATGGTGAAACCCCATCTCTACTAAAAATACAAAAACTTAGCTGAGCGTGGTGGCACACGCCTGTAATCCCAGCTACTCAGGAGGCAGGAGAATTGCTTGAACCCGGGAGGCAGAGGTTGCAGTGAGCTGAGATTGTGCCACTGCACTCCGGCCTGGACAACACAGCAAGACTCCGTCTGAAAAAAAAAAAAAACAAACAAACAACTTGTGCCCACATTAACTAGGTGTTAAAAGCCAAAAGGTGAAAGTCACTATTCTCTTTTCACATATCAAATTGACCCTAAGGTAATATTGCTGCATTAGAACTGAGCTGGTGGGAGGGATGTTAAGAAATTAGGGAGAAATTGTTAATCTACAGAAAGACCATCATATAAGGTTCTGTGTGTAGCCAAACATACACATTTGATGTTCTGATGTTTGCTATTTTAGTGGAACTATAGCTATAAAATGTATTCAATCAGTAGAATTAAAACATATCCCAGTCCACAAAAAACTAAGAGAGAAATTATACAGGAATGATCAAGAATCTGCACAGTTCTCATAATCTCATTACTACAGAGAAAAGGAGAAAGGGAAGCATCAAGGTAGTATTTGAGACGAATTTAAGAAGACCACTCATTCAATAAAAGTTTGGTGGGCCAACAAGGTGCCATGTATTGGTCTGGTGATATAGCAGTGATCCAAAGTCTTTCACTTCAGGGAGCTGACATTCCAGAAGGGGTAGTCAGAAAATAATTTTTTTAACAAAAGTAACATGGTTATATAAACACTAGGGAGAAAAATAAAGTAGGAAATGGAGGCAGGTTGATACTCACATAACATGAATATGGCTATCTGGGGAAGAATACTCCAACAAAGGGAACAGCAAACACAAAGCCTCTGAGACTGGAGCACTTAACACATGCAAGGACTGATCAATAGGCTAACACAGGTGGACCAATGAAAAGAGTGACAAGTTAGAAATGAGATAAAAAATGAGCTGTTTGTGGCAAAGGAAAGCCAAGATCATGTAGGCCATTCTAAATTCTTCAGCTTTGGCCAGGTGTGGTGGCTCACATCTGTAATCCCAACACTTTGGGAGGCCGAGGCGGGTGGATCACCTGAGGTCAGAAGTTCGAGACCGGCCTGGCCAACATGGTGAAACCCCGTCTCTACTAAAAATACAAAACGTAGCCAAGTGTGCTGGCACGTGCCTGTAGTCCCAGCTACTCGGGAGGCTGAGGCAGGAGAATTGCTTGAACCCAGAAGACAGAGGCTGCGGTGTGCTGAGATCATGCCACTGCACTCCAGCCTGGGTGGCAGAGCAAGACTCCATCTCAAAAAAATAAATAAAAATAAAAATAAAATAATAATAATACAAAAATTAGCTGGGTGTGGTGGCGGGCACCTGTAATCCCAGCTACTTGGGAGGCTGAGGAGGAGAATCACTTGAACCCAGGAAGCAGAGGTTGCAGTGAGCCGAGACTGCGCCATTGCACTCCAGCCTGGGTGACAGAGCGAAACTCCATCTCAAAAAATAAGTACATAAATAGACAAAAAATAAAAACAAATTCTTCAGATTTTACCCTGAGTGTGATGAGAGATTACTGGAAGGCTCTGAGTGAGAAGTAATATGATCTCACTCATTTCATTAGGATTGCTGTGGCTACTGTGTGGAGAATAGACTTTAGAGAGTAATAGTGGAAGCAGAAGACAAGAAGCTACTGAAATATTATGAACAAAAGATGATGGTAGTATCAGACAGGATGGAGAAATAGAGATACTAAGAAGTCGGACTCTAGATAAAAATCTAGAAGGCCCACAAGGTTCATTGATGGATTGGGTTTGGGATGTGAAGGAGAGGAGGAGGACACACAAGAGGTAATGCTGAGCAGGTAAATCTATGAGATCAGAGCCCAAGGAAAGTTCCGAGGTAGGTACTTAAATTTTGAAGTCTTCAGTATGTAGCATTATTTAAAACACAAGACTGGATGAGATCACTCAGGGAAAAGAGGTCTGAGATCTAAGCTCTGGAGCATTCCATTGATTAGAGGTCATGGAGATGAGAAGGAGCTGGTAAAGGAAATTAAAAAAAAAACAATTATTCACAGCCATTCAGGTGGGAGGAGAATTGAGAAAGAGAAGCATCCCAGAATCCAATGGGGAGGAGAAAAGGAACTGTAATATATGCTGCCAATAGATCAAATAAAATCACGAAAATCAACTAAAACTGACCAATGGATTAAGCAAAGTGGAATTCATTGGTGACCTTGACAGCAGTGGGTTTAAGGAAGAACGAGAACAGGAGATAGCAAATACGGACAACTCTGGAGAAATTTTCCTGTAAGGACAAGCAAATACAAATTAAAACAAGCAGATGGGAGATGTGGCATCAAAAACGAGATCTTTAAGGTGAGGTGATGGTACAATCAGTATGTTTGCTATATTAATGATCTGGAGAGATAGAAAACTTAACCCTAGACAAAGAGAAGTCTTGCTAGAATAATATCCTTAAATAAACAAGTGCACATGTAGAGGTTCTGGCCTTAGCAAGAAGTCAAATTATTCACCCAGAGTAACAGGACAATGCTTTGAGATCCTATGGAAAAGGGTTAAATGGTGGATAAATGGTTGCGGTGGCCATCCTCCAAGATGGCCCTAAATGAATCCCACTTCCTGGAATTCACATAGTTGTAGCCCTCTCCCACTAACAGGGTTGGCCTGTGGGATCAAGCACATACAGCAGGAAGTGATGGTATGCCACTTCAGAAATTAGGTCATAAAGACTCTGCCCTTCATCTTGGGTACAAGGTCTCTTGAATCATTTGCTCTGAAGTAAGCCAGCTGCTGTGACATGAACAGCCCCATGGAGAGGCCCACAGAGCAAGGAACTGAGGCCTCTTGCCAACAGCCCAGTGAGTGAGCTTAGAGGCAGATGATCCAAACCAAGTCAATTCCGCAGAGACTGACAATCCAGCCAAGGGTTTCACTGAAACCTCATGAGTGACCTTGAGCCAGAAACAGCCAGCTAAGCCACTCTTGGATTCCAGACCTTCAAAAACTATGAGGTAATAAATTTTTTTTTAAACTACTAAGTTTTGAGACAATTTGTTACACGGCAATAGATAACTAATACAATGGGTCTCACTGAGCTGTAATCACAAATTGCTGGGCACACAATTCACTATAATCTCACCTACTGGCATGCAATGACTTCAGATGACCTCCCCTGTCCTGCTGCATGCAGTTACCTCATGAAATACAGTCGCTGAGAAAGAGGGTAGGATAAAAGGAGTCAGCTTTATATAACTTAACATCCCTGATGCTCTTTTTTTTTTTTTCAAGAGATGTGGTAAAAGAATGCCACTACCACCCTCTCCTTTCTCAACAAAGCAATTTAGAGGGTTCCCGAATGACCTACATCAACAATTGGCCTGAACTAATCAAACACATCATTCAGATTCCCTCAGTAAAATATTGAATACCAAACAGCTATGTTTCAGCAAAGGAAAGGGCAGGGGAGCGAAACTGAAGGACGAAAATACAACTTTGGTCCTCATCAGGGAGACTTCTCTTTTCTTACCTCAGGTTTATTACAACGCAACTTTTAAGAACTTGAGCTATTCCAGGCAGAAGGTCACATCCTTGAGGTAACCAGAGAGAAGCATTAGTTACTTACATGTCACAAGAATATTTTCGATCCCACTGCCTGACATTGCCATTTAGGTGTTTATCAATCATCTCACACTTAACCAGATAAGTGAACTGAACTCCTTTCCCCCAGATCTGTTCCTCCAATCTACCCTACCTTAGCAAAGGAAAACGTCCCACCCGCCAACTGCCCAAATCAAAAGCCTGCAAATCACCCGAGGTCCTGGCTCTCACGGGAGGGACTCCATTAGGGTCCCAGGGGCTGCATTAAGAGTCCCGACAGCGACGCAGTAAATGAGACAAGACGCTGCGGTAGGGGAGAGAGACCCATACATTCAAATGCCTTAAGGGGTCTGGGCCTACAGGTCTCCAGAACTGGGGAGGGCCTGGGGTTACAAAGCAGTTTTCAGATTTTTAAATACATTGAGCGCCAAAAGAGACCCCGCGGGGGCGATGGGGGAGGGGAGCGCACTGGGAGCCAGGAAAGGCCCCTTCTCCAGGAGGCCCGGGCCCAGCCCGGGGGTGGGGGCGTCTGCGTGAGGGAGTGGAGGCTGATGTAAAAGTGGCGCCCGCTGAGATTAGGGAAGGGGGTGTGCGTGAGGGGATCGTGGGACCTGCTTCTGCCCTGCACTCCCCCACAGAAAGCGGCTGTATTGCAAAGGCCGCTCCGGCAGCGCACGGCCAAGCGCGGTGTCGCGACCCGCAGGGCTGCGGCTCGCCATGAAATCCCTCAAGTCTCCCCTCAGGGAACGCTGAAGCCGCGCCACGCCCCCGTCCTTACCAGTCCGGATCAGCTGCTGTTCGCGAGCTGCCGGCCACGCACCAGCCCCGGAGGCGCTCCCGGGGCACAGCCGGCGGCGACTACGCCTCCTCAGGCCCCCGGCGCCGCCGACGCGCACGCCTCCACACGCGCGCGTCCAGTGGAGACCTGCGATTGGCTGCCAGGTGCCGGCGCGAGATCGGCGCGGCTCCGAGCTAGGAGCATGCGCGCGCTCTGACGCCCCTGGTGGCGACGGCTGGACGCGGGGTTAAATTGAGAAGGAGGAGGGCAGCAGCAATACCCCTGAGGCCTTGAAAGGATCTTGGGTTCCGGATCACGGTTCCAGGCAGTCAGGGTTCCAGAGCTGAGGGGGTATCCAAGCAGTCAGGGTTCCAGAGCTGAGGAGCATCCAGGCAGTCAGGGTTCCAGAGCTGAGGGGCACCCAGGCAGTCAGGGTTCCAGAGCTGTCGCAGCCAGGGCTTGGGGTGGGGGGTAGGCTTCCAGTCCATCAGGGGATGGTTTGCCCACCAGAAGGCCAGCTGTTATAATTCTCAGGTGTGGTCCCTTTGTTGACTATCCATGCTTAAGGGATTGTGAGGAAACAACTGAACCTAACATCTGTCCTCTTCTAGTTACATCTGGGGCCAGTTGAATCCAGCCTGCCACCTGTTTTTGTACAGCTGGCAGCAAGCTAAGAACCGATTTCACGTTTTTTTAATGGCTAAAAAGAGAATATTTTGTGGCATGTGAAAATTATATGAAATTCAAAATTCAGTGTCCATAAATAAAGTTTTATTGGAACAACAAACATGCCCATTCCTTTCGGTATTATTTATGCCTGTTTTCCTGCTTCAACAGCAAAGTTGATTAATTGCCAGAGACCATGTATGAAAAGCTTAAAATATTTACTGTCTGGCCCTTTACAGAAAGTTTGCCCACTCAGTTTACTTGCAGCTTTGATTTTTTTTTTGAATTGACCAATTCTGCCAAAAGTCTATTTTAGCAATCTTTTTGGGGGGCGGGTAAATCGCTTTTGGTTTAATTAATCTATAATGTTATTTTCTTATCTATTTTATCTATTTCTTCCATTCTGTTATTTTCTTCCTTCGTGACTTCATAGGCTTGTTCTGTTACTTCTCATTACAACTTTTGGAGAAAAATGCCTACCTCGTTTGCTTGTAAACTTTTTTGTTTCTCTTGTATTTAATGCTATAAATTTACCTTTAAGTACCAGTTTAACTGTGTCTCACCAGTCCGCTTGGTAATATGTTCATTATCCTTCAATTAGATATGTCCTAATTTTGCTAGTTGTTAGAAATGCTTGTTCCCTGGTGCCGCAAAGAAATAGCACTTGAACATAAATTTAATTTTCTCAGCAAGGCCATTTTCACTTTCTGCAGAAAGGGTACACTCGCCAGCAGTTTTGCCACGAGAGTACCCCAAACAAAGGATACAGGGTTATTTATAACCTGACGCATCCACCCTACTGCTGTGTCCGGTTTCCATTGGCTGGAACAGGACCTCACATTCTGTGTTTGTCCCGATTGGCTAACAACTTAGAACTTTCTAAAAGAGGCAAAGGCAGAGGAGAACAAAGGAAGGAGGATGTAACTTGTAGAATGCTGAGAAAGGTAAAAACACCTCCAAATAGGAAGAGGAACAGGCTATGACCTAATGCTTGCTTGGACCAGTATAAGCATGCAAGGGCAAATATTTAGGCTAAATTGTGGGAGCTAAGAACACAAAGTATATTAATTTCTTTATTACGGCTAGCAGATATCTAAGAATGTTAGCACAGGTCTTTGAATAAATTTTACTTCTAAGAGAAGTTACTATTTATTCGTAATTAGACAGGGAGGAAAGTCTTTGAAGAGGAACCTCTATTTTTTACATAGTGATTCTTTCTAACACAAGGGTTATATAGTATATGTTATTTATTTTTGAAATCTATGAGATTTTTAAAAGATTTTTTAATTGTATTATAATCAAATCACATGGCCTAAATATTACTCACCCTTGCATTTGAAGATTTCTGTTCAGTGAAGTGTACCATAGTCAAAATGAAGAGATCATAGATGTAAAGAAGATATTTGCAGTATCTAAAATGTATATATGAGGCTGATATGTAAAGATATTTGCATTATCTAAAATGTATATATGAGGCTGATATGTAAAGAAGATATTTGCAATATCTAAAATGTACGTAAGAGGCCTGGCACGGTGGCTCACACCTGTAATCCCAGCATTTTTGGAGACCAAGGCAGGCAGATCACTTGAGGTCAGGAGTTCAAGACCAGCCTGGCCAACATGGTGAAACCCCATTTTTGTACAAAAAATACAAAAATTAGCTGGGTGTGGTGGCACGCGCCTGTAGTCCTAGCTACTCGGGAGGCTGAGGCATGAGAACTGTTTGAACCTGGGAGGCAGAGGTTGCAGTGAGCTGAGATTGCACCACTGTACTCCAGCCTTGGGCAACAGAGCGAGACTCCGTCTCAAAAAATAATAACATGAAAAATAAATCTATGAGAAATGATCTTCTTTTGGCTTCATAATAATTCCAATGTCCATCAGTAAATTAGTATCAACTAAGCTCCAGGCTTTATTCAAATGTCACTAGTTTTTCCCATCATCCTTTTTGTTCCAGATTCCCACCCAGGATACTGAATTGTACTTGGTCATTTTGTGTTCTTAGCCTTCTGTGGTCTGTGACAGTTTCTTAAACTTTTCTTGCTTTTCATGACCTTGACAATTTTAAGAAGTAAAGGTCAGGTATTTTTCAGAGTGTCTCTCAATTTAGGTTTGATGTTTTTCTCATGGTTACACTGGGGTTATGGTTTTTAGAAGACTATCACAGACATGATGTGTCTTTCTCATAATTTCTCATCAGCGATCCATGCTATCAATAAGACTTCCTACTGGCTTCTCCGCTGTAAATTACTTCCCCCCCCTTTCATACCTTATTCTAAATCTTGCCTACATGCAGGAAGGCCGTGAGGTCTCATTGAAGGAAAATTATCTACACAAGTTACTTTGCAATTCTTCTTTAAGGAAGATTTGTCTCTTCTTCCTTTAGTTTTAAATTAATCAAAAATAGCTTTTTAGTTTTAAATTAATCAAAAATAAAATAAAAAATTTAGTACCTCAGTCATACTTGCCACATTTCAACAGATCAATAGTCACCTGTAGCATATTGGACAGAGCAGAAGTAGAGCATTTTCATCATTGCAGAAAGATCTACGGACAGCACTGACTTAGATCATTAGTCAACCTTTCTTCTTCCCAAATATATGCATTTAGAAATATAAATTCCCATGAAATGCTTTAGTTCCATCCCATAAATTTTGTGGCTGTTTTCAATATCTTTCAGTTCAACATTTTCCTTTTTTCACTGCAATTTCTTAGAGGAGCTATGGGTTATTCAGAATGAGGACCAGGACTGGGGTGAGATAAGCAAGGAGGCTGAGGCACATTAAGGAGAGACCCACGCCCAGCTTCAGGTATGGCATATTGTCACCTTAGGTTCCCTGCTTGCCTCACCCTAGTCCCAGCCCTGTTTAGAAATGTATTGCCTAATTTAGGAACTTTGGGTTTTTTTTCAGTGATCTTTCTGTTACTGATTTGTAAGTTGATTCCCGTGTACTCAGTGGGTAACTACAAAGAGCCCCACAGCTAACATCACAATTAAAGTAAACTATTCTACCTGAGTTTGAGACCAAGAAAAGCACACCCATGAAAGCCACTTCAATTCGCAAAGCATTTGGAATAGCCAAGGCAATTTTGAACACCAAAGTTGGAGAAATGAAACTACCACACGGAGGATTATGCAAAGCTACAATAATTAAGATACTGCAGCATTAGCACAAGGATAGAGAACAGGACAAATGAAATGAAATAGATTCCAGAAACACATATATACAATCATACCTGATTCACAGTTTCCACGGCAATACAGTAGGGAAGGAGTGGTCTTTTTAGTAAGTGGTGCTGATTGATTTTGGGTATGTATATGAAAAAATTAGTCTTCATGCCTTATCACACCATTAACAAAAAATCAGTTTGAGATGTCTCATCAAAACAGTAAAGCTTCTAGAACATAGAAGGAATATCTTTATGTCGTTTGTAGACAATTTCTTAAATAAGACTCATGAAAGATAAACCATAAAACCACGATTTAGATCCAAATATGGGACATTTCCAGTGCCCCAGCACCCTTCCCAGTCGACAGCCCAGTTTTTAAAAAGGTAGGAGGGGGCAAAACTTGAATAGACATTTAATAAAAAGAAATACTCACGTGGCCGATAACTATATAATCTCAAGGTCCATTAATCATCAGGGAAGTGCAAATTAAAGCCACAATAAGGTACCACTACAATTTCAAGAGAAGGGCACTTACTAAAAGGACTGACAGTACCAAGTGCTGGATCAGTAGCAATGGAATTCGCAGTATCGGTGGTGGGAATGTAAATCGTTTCAATCACTCTGGAAATGTATTTGGCAGTATCTACACTAGACAGCTAAATATATGCAGTTCCAGCACTTCTCATAGCTATATATACCCACGAGAAATGATTACATGCTTACCAAAAGACACGCACAAGCTCATAGCAGCTTTATTCAAAATTGCCAAAGAATCAGCCTCAAAGTCCATCAACAGTGAAATAAATTTATACAAAACTGCCACAGTCACTCAACAAAATTCTACCCAGCAATGAAAAAGAATGTGCTACTGCTACACACAGCAAAAATGCATCTCACTTATTTTATTTCATTTTACTTTATTTTGAGACAGTCATGCTCTGTCACCCAGGCTGGAGGGCAGTGGCGCGATCTCAGCTCAGTGCAAACTCCCCCCTCCCAGGTTCAAGCGATTCTCCTGCCTCAGCCTCCCGAGTAGCTGGGACTACAGGCGCCCACCACCACGCTTGGCTAATTTTTCTATTTTATGCAGAGAAGGGGTTTCACTATGTTGGCCAGCCTGGTCTCAAACTTCTGACCCCAAGTGATCCACCCACCTCAGTCTCCCAAAGTGCTGGGATTACAGGCATGAGCCATCACACCCAGCCATCTCACTTATTTTAAAAAGCCAAAGACAAGAATCTTTGTGTGATTCCATTTATTTAAAGTTCATGAACAAGAAAAACCTCTGAGGTCAGAATAAGGGATGCCCTGTTGGGAGCATTTGACTGGGAAAGGGCTCAAAGACTTTGGAGCTACTTCTTGACAATAGGGAGCTGATGAGATGTCACTGTAAAAAACAACCTGACAGTTGATGACATTGCTTGCTAGCATCTACAGCCACAATGCACATATGGCCTAGCCTCACTTCTGCCTTTCGGAACTCCTGGAAGTCAGTCGAACATATTTTCAGCTAGAATCCTTGCTGCAAGGGAGTCTGGAATCTCTAGTGTTCATAGCCGTCTTCTTTTTAGTTTTTACAGGAGAAGACTGAGGGTCAGTGTTGCTAACAATAACGGAAGCCATACCACTTGATCCTGGCTGAACTGAAGTTTGAATAATAACTTTTGTTTCACTAGGCAACCCTTGCAGTTGCTCCGGCTTTTTAAATGTTTGATGGTCCTTGGTTTTGTGCTCTATTTCCTCCTTCAACGTCAAAAACTGTAGCCGGCACTTGGAACACTGAAGGACCCTCCTTCTGCTGTGCCTCCAACAATGATTCATGTATGGTATTGCAGTTTTGAAAAGTTTGAGACAAAACAGACAAAGCAAATTCTTTGTGTTTTCATGGCACGTTCTAAAATGTGTTTCCACATCAGCAAAGACCGACGATCTGTAATGGCAAACCTGGCACACATAAGGCATTTCGCCAGGCTTATGATGGTCCTTCATGTGTTGTAAGAGGACCTGATCTGTTTCAAATGACAATTCACAGATTTTACAGACAGCAGAGGGCCCCATGGCGATGTGTACACTATCAATGTGACACTGTAGCTGGAAGGGAGTGGGAAACTGCCGGTGGCAGTGCTGGCAGGTGGTGTGGTCTTCCCAGCTGTCGTTCCTCTGCTTCTCAAATTCCAAATGATGCTTCATGTGATTCATAAACTTAATATTTTTTAGAACTTTCACGCAGCTGAGGCATTTAAAGGTGGTGTGAGTCTTCTGTTCCGGCTGCCCATCTCCTTTATGCTGTCCATAGTAAAAGTCGCTAAGTAACACGATGGGATTTTCTTTCTTGGGATCAAAGGTCTTGTTTTGACTTGCTAGACTTGAAATGTCTGTCATTGCCAGGGCAGACTCACTTGCTCTCTCTGGATCTGTAAGATTGAAATGTGCCTTTCCATTAGCATCAGGCCAAGGAAATGTTACTCCATTCTGAACATGGTTTGATGAGTTGCAGATCCCCTGTGAGGGTGTATTTGTGCTTATTGTAGAAGACATATCTGAAGGGACCACAGCTAAAGAAGGTACCCCTGGGATTCCATCCCTGAGTTTAACCCTTTTGGAATCTCTGCTGTTTATATCTGAAGTGGAAAGTCGCTTTGAATCAGGAGAACTCTCATTTCTGCCTCCTCCAGAGACCATAGCTCCAACTAGACACTGAGTCCCTGGGGGGAGCGAGTCTGAGGAACTGGGAGAAACAACTTGTGGTGAGCTCATTTTATAACCAGGTTCAGATGAAGACTTCATAGTGACAGGACTATCTGTCGATCGCCCCTCAGACAGAGAAACCGGCATGATGGCTTTTGCCATAGAGGTCACATGATTTGCAGGCTGCGACACGTGAGCAGGATATTGACGGAAGTGGCCTTTCTTTCTTCTTGAATTTGAGCCTGGGGTGACTCTGTTCAAAATGTTTGAAACGACTGGTTTTGAATTTGAAATCATCCCGACAAAGAGAACTTCAGCATCTCTATGTACATGCTCCACCCCAACATAGATCAGATCTGGATCTTCATCATCCTCCTCCCTTTGTTTGGATTCTCTCAAATTCTTCTTTGGTGATTCCACTTTCTTACACAAAAAGATATCTCCCATTTTCAATTTACTTTTTGCTTGAAGCCACTGGTCTCTTCAACTTCCAGAGCTGTCTTTTTACAAATTGCCACCTAAGTGCAACCATGTGACAATAGTCAATATTTATTTCGAAAGACAAAATCATTACTTTATTGTATCCTCCCTTAAAACACTGAGATAACCATCAACATCTCTATTTTACACGTCAGAAATGAGGCTTGAAACATTTTAAATGGCATAATAATTTCAAATTTACCTGTCTCTCCTCCCCTGGTCTTCTGCAGTTGTGAGGCAAAGGAAGCAAGATTTCAGGAGGTGCAGATGGAACATCTCAGAGTGCTTGCCTCTAAATTTTGCACTCTAGATGCCTCACTCACCTCCTCCTCATCCCACAGGTACTCTCTCAGATGTCTAAGGTTTCTAACCAACTTGAACAAAACTTCTCTCAAAAACATTCTGCTCCTAGCCTGGGCAACATAGCAAGACCCCATCTCTACAAAAAAATTTAAAAATTAAAAAAAATTAGCTTGGCATGGTGGTACACACCTGTGGTCCCAGCTACTTGGGAGGCTGAGCCAAGAGGAACACTTGAGCCCAGGACTTCAAAGCTATGTTCATGCCACTGCACTCCAGCCTGGGCAACCAAATGAGACCCCATCACACAAACACACACACACACAAATCACAGCACACACACACACACACACCCTTTGCTGTTCCTGTAATGTTCCTTTTCTCAGTAAACTCAGTTGCTCAGTCTACAAACTTCAGAGTCATCCTTTGCCAGACTTTCTCTCATACACTACAGCCAATCAATTAGCAAAGCTAGTCTGCTCTATCTTTTAAAGATATCCAGAATCTGACTACTCTCTTCCACATCTACTGCCACCTCCCTGATGGAAGGTACCATGTTCTCTCCCTGGATCACTGCAGAAGTTGCCAGTCTTAAAAGTTTTGTCAGATCTCCCCATGGTGGCCCCAATGCCCCTGTTAAAATATACAGGGGAGCAAGTATATTTCGCTCTTAAGTCTTCAATGACTTTCCATTTCATTCATAGGAAATACCAGCAAACTTTAAATTTCCCCATGGAACCTTAGGTCATCATCGCCCTTGCTAACTCCTCTGTTGCTCTGATGCAGCCATCCTGAGCTCCGTGAATCTGGAACACAGCAGGCCTTTTTCTTTTTCAGAACTTTTGTTGTTCCCGGACGTTGCGTGCCTCTTTCCCCAGATTAACCCCATCTGGGCTCCTGGTCTGCCTCAGTCCCATGGTTCCTCTTCAGCAAGGCTTACCTGACCACAATATCAAAAATCACAACCTCCTTAACTCATATGTTCAAACCCTCAATGTTATTTTTCAACTTAGCATTTATCACTGCCTACCACACAATATGTAAAATATATCTTGCAAGCCCAGGAGTTTGAGATTACAGTGAGATATATCATGTCACTGCATCCAGCCTGGGTGACAGAGGAAAGGAAGACTCTGTGTCTTAAAACAACAACAAAAAATGGGACAGGTGCAGTGGCTCGTACCTGTAATCCCAACACTTTGTAAGGCCAAGGCGGAAGGATTGCTTGAGGTCAGGAGCTCGAGACCAGCCTGGGCAACATAGCAAGACCCATCTCTACAAAAAATTTAAAAATATAACTTGTTTCTTTTCTGTGTTTACCCACTAAACTGTATGCCACACGAGGGCAGGGAGTTGTGTTTCATTTACTCCTCAGCTTATAGAGCAATGTCTGTCATACTGTGCATGCTAAATCTTTGTTAAATAAATAGTAGCTGTTATTAATATGATCATTTAGGTGTACCAGAGGCTCTAATCCATTATTCCAGATTCTCTAAGCATTTAATGAAATCCAAATCCAAATGATTTAATACTGTTGTACAAGGGAGAAGGTAAACCTGTGTGTATGTGTGTGTAAATTGAAACAAAAGTTTTGTCAAATACTCTAATACCTTCACCTTACCACAAGGGATAGGCTCTGATACCTTCTATGCCATATTTTATTGATTCTAAGGTATAGGCTTAGATTTCCATTTTAACATCTCTAAATCAGATTGCATCTCATCATAGCATCTCATCAATATAAAATACATTTCATAATTTGTTTTTGCAGTATATATTTTTATTTCATAGTGGAATCAAAAATGACATATCTCAGATCCTTTTGTGAGGATAAGCGTGATGCTTGGGTTTTCACTCATGTGAGATGTGCTTCCCTCAAACCTTGTTATATCAGCATGTTTAACATCTGATGTAAAAAAAAAAAAAAAGGAGAGTAATGTATCTTTTATAATTGATGGCATCTTTTTTTTTTTTTTTTTGAGATGGAGTCTCGCTCTGTCGCCCAGGCTGGAGTGCAGTGGTGCGATCTCGGCTCACTGCAGGCTCCGCCCCGCGGGGTTCACGCCATTCTCCTGCCTCAGTCTCCCGCGTAGCTGGGACTACAGGCGCCCGCCACCTCGCCCGGCTAATTTTTTGTATTTTTAGTAGAGACGGGGTTTCACCGTGTTAGCCAGGATGGTCTCGATCTCCTGACCTCGTGATCCGCCCGCCTCGGCCTCCCAAAGTGCTGGGATTACAGGCATGAGCCACTGTGCCCGGCCAATTGATGGCATCTTATAGTCAGTGAAAAATCCTATTTCTTTTTGTAAGCTGACAGCACACTAAACTTGTTTTGTAGTTCTCTAATGGATATCAGCTACATTTTGGCAAACAATGGTTTAAGACAGAAATTGGAAAATTGGCCCTTCCCCTGTTTTTGTACAGTCAGGAAGCCAAGAATGTTTCTTACATTTTTAAGGTATTGTTTTCTTACTTTTTTTTTATTAAGATTTTTTTAAACTTGTACATTTTTAAATTTGGGGGAATAAACATGCAAAAGGAAGCGGGGCGCGGTGGCTCACGCCTGTAATCCCAGCACTTTTGGGAGGCCGAGGTGGGCAGATCACTTGAGCTCAGGAGTTCGAGACCAGCCTGGCCAACATGGTGAAACCCCTTCTCTACTAAAAATACAAAAATTAGCCAGGCATGGTAGCAGATGCCTGTAGTCCCAGCTACTCGGGAGGCTGAGGCAGGAGAATCTCTTGAACCTGGGAGGTGGAGGTTGCAGTGAGCGAAGATCGCACCACTGTGCTCCAGCCTGGGTGACAGAGTGAGACTGTCTCAAAAAAAAAAAAAAGAAAAAAGGAATATTTTGTGATGTGAAAATTATATAACATTCAAAATGTCAGTGTTCACCATAAAGTGTTGTGGAACACAGCCATAATCATTTTTTTAGTGCTGTTGTCCATGGCTGCTTTCACACTTCTATGACACAGTTGAGTACAGTAGTACCCCCTTATCTTTGGGGCATATGTTCCAAGACCCCCGAAGTGGATGCTTGAAACTGCAGATGGAACCAAATTCAATATATACTATATTTTTTCATATATGTACATACCTATGATCAAGCTTAATTTATAAATAGGCACAGTAAGAGGTTAAGCATAACAAAATAATTATAACAATATACTGTAATAAAAGATATGTGAGATAGGGCGTGGTGGCTCATGCCTGTAACCTCAGCACTTTGGGAGGCTGAGGTGGGTGGATCACCTGAGGTCAGGAGTTTGAGACCAGCCTGGCCAACATGGTGAAACCCATCTCTACTAAAAATACAAAAATTATCTGGGCAGAGTGGCGAGCACCTGTAATCTCAGCTACTTGGGAGGCTGAGGCAGGAGAATCACTTGAACCCGGGAGGCGTGGGTTGCAGTGAGCCGAGATCGCACCGTGGCACTCCAGCCTGGGCGGCCAGAGTGAAACTCCGTTTCAAAAAAATAAATTAATAAATTAAATTAAAGGTATGTGAATGCAATCTCTCGCTGACAAAATATCTTTATGTACTGTAGATCTTGGCAACCTTAGCATACGATTTTGTTTTCTTTCCTTATTATGTTAAAAACTTTCCCATTTTCACTTAAAGGAAGCAAGCACTTTACAGCTTCTTTTTGGCATATTTGAATCGCCAGCATTGCTACCCTTGTACTTTGGGGCCATTATTAAGTACCATAAGGGTTAATTGAACACAAGCACTGAGATACCACCAGGACAGTCACTCTGATAACTGCGACCGCTCCTAAGTGACTAAGGTACAGAGAGCGCAGCCAGCCAACAGCATGGGGACTCAGGACAAAGGGAGGATTACCATCCCAGGGCAGGGCTGACTCAAGAGCTTATCACACTACTCAGAAGGGCTGGCGACTTAAAATTTATGTATTGCCTATTTCTGGAATTTTCCAATTAATATTTTGGAACCTCAGGTAACTGAAAGCACAGAAAGGAATACCCTGGATAAGGGAAGACTACTGTAGTTGAAGCAGAGAATTGCAATGCCTAAAATATTTGCCATCTAGTCTTTCACAGAACAAGTTTGCCAGCTCTAGTTTTAGAGGAGCAAAATGAAAGATAGCAAATTTCTCAGCTCACCAGTTCCTAAAGTTGCGAGTGCATCCAGATGATTCAGTGCAGCTCAGTATGTTCCACTCTGGGCCGCAAGGGAAAGCGAAGCTGGAGCTTCCTTGTCTCCACCTCCCGGAGAAATTTGTCCAGAGACCGGCAGCACTGCTTCCGCAGGCGAACAACGCCGCTTGCTCTTCAAAGTCCTTTCTGAGGCCAGATCAGAAGGTCCCACTCCTTTTAAGCCCCTTATAGCCCAATCATTTTTCCAGTCACGTGTCTGAAGCAGTTTATCCTGATTGGATTTTCAGTTGTTGTCCAGCTTGATTGCCAAAAGTTTTCCTCCAATTGCTACTCAAAGGAAAGAATGAGGGTGGGGCTTCAGGGCTGCCTTCCAGGTTGATTGAGCTGGTGATGGGCATCCTCCCTCCTCTCTCTCTTGTTCAGAGTCTACCACTTTCTCTGCAGTGTGCCTGGGCCCTCAGCTATTGGGGATGAGAAGGGATGCGGAGTGGGAGGCAGTCCACATGTCTGTTCCAACAAAGCTCAGAGGTGAGCGAGTTGAAAAGCAGATGTCTTTCCAGTAGGAGCCCCAGGGGACAGGGTGGGTCTCAATCTCACAGCCCTTGAAGACCGAGCTCCCGTAGGAGTTTCCAGGTGTCCAAACAGGGTCCTCACTGTGAGTCTTCAACAGCTTTCTCCAAGCAGCAGCCCACTCCCTTCTTAATCCATTTCCAGGGGTCAAAGGTCTATCCTGGTTCCCTCCCATGCCCTCTCACTTCCTTCCCTCTGTCTCTCCCTCCTCCCTCCTCCTTCACTACCCCCTCCCTGGAACCTTCTCAGCTGAATTTCAGGCCCACCCTTTCACTCTCTTTACAGGCTTTGCAACACAGATTAGAAAGCGGGGGAGGGGGAGCCTCAAGAGTCCCTTGACAGGTAAGAAATATTTATATTTCCACCCCCATTCCAACGCAATGCAATCAAGTCTCAAAATTAAAACGAAAATCATTTGCAAATTAAAATGTTCTAAAGTACCATCTCCTGATAAAACTTTAAAAATACCTTTCTGGGCCGGATGTGGTGACTCACATCTGTAATCCCAGCACTTTTGAAGGCCGAGGCAGCAGATCACATGAGCCCAGTAGTTTGAGACCAGCCTGGCCAACATGGTGAAAACCTGTCTCTTATTCTTTATAAAGTAAAATACAAAAATTTCCTGGGCGTGGCCGTGCGTGCCTGTAATCCCAGGTACTCGGGAGGCTGAGGCAGAATAATCACTTGAACCCAGTAGGCAGAGCCCAAGGTGGTATAAAAGTGTGTGACCCATGGTCTTTATTCTTGTCTAGGGACTGGGGAAAGGCTGCTTGAGGGCATTGCAAGTAGCCAAGAGCATGACCCTGGAAAGGAAGGTGAAATGAGGCCCGCTACTGAGGTACACCTGTAGTCCCAGCTATCAAAGGCTGAGGTGAAAGATCTTTGAGCCCAGGAAATCCAGACAAACCTCAGCAAAATATCAAGACCTCTGTTTCTACAAAAGAAAAAAAATTTTTTTTAATTAGCCAGGCATTGTAGCACGTGCCTGTAGTCCCAGCTACCCGGGAGGCTGAGGTGGGAGGATTGCTTGAACCAGGGAGATCGAGGTTGCAGTGAACTATGATTGCATCACATACTTTAGCCTGGATGGAAGAGAGAGACCTTGTCTCATTCATTCATTCATAAATAAATAAGCAAGCAAAGTGAAATGAAGTGCAAGACTTAGACAGTAAAGTTCTAACAGGGGCCGGGCGTGGTGGCTCACGCCTGTAATCCCAGCGCTTAGGCAGAGGCAGGCAGGTGGCTTGAGCCCAGGAGTTTGAGACTAGCCTGGGCAACCTGGCAAAACCGTGTCTCCACAAGAAAATACAAAAAATTAGCCTGGGTGACAGAGTGAAACCCTGTCTCAAAAAAATAAAAAAAGAAAAAAGAAAGGAAGACAGAGAAAGAAAGAAGGAAAGAAAGAGAAAAAAAGGAAGGAAAGAAAGGAAAGGAAATGTGTATTCTGCAGAACTGATATTCACTCCTTCCTCTTTTCCAGAAGCAGAATCCTGCTAGGAAGATTCCAGGAAGCCTAGGCAGTGGTCAGGGGCTGGCTCAGGTATAAAGCAGGCCCTTCCCCTGAGACAGAAGGTTGTGGCAACAATGCTTGTGGGAGGTGAGAAAATTGAGAGGAGTGTCTAGAAATAGCTCGGAGTTGCATCTTATTTTCTTTTGCTCAGTTTTAAAAGTCCCAAATAAGACCACATCTAGCTGTTCTAACCAAGCTATTCTAACCCACTAATCTAGTAAAAATAAAATCACATGGTCTGAATATAAATTTGCATCAGGATACATGCCTTTCCTATGAAACATTTATGTTTCCTTATAAAATGTATCCTCCTTTTCTGCAGAAAACTAACTGTAATGCATCCAAAGGTCACAGAATGTGGTGAAACATCCTCATCATTGATTTTTTTAAAAAATTTTATTTATTTATTTATTTGTTTTTTGAGACATGGTCTCACACTCTGTTGCCCAGGCTGGAGTGCAGTGGAACGATCATGCAGTCTTGATGTCCTGGACCCGAGCGATCCTCCCACCTCAGCCTCCCAAGTAGCCAGGACAATAGGCAGATGCCACCATGTCTAACTGATTTACTTTTATTTTTGAGTAGAGATGAGGTCTCACTATGTTGCCTGAACTGGTCTCAAGCTCCTGAGCTCAAGCAAACTTCCCACCTCGGCCTCCCAAAGTTCTGGGATTACAGGCGTGAACTACCCGCACCCTGCCCTCCATAACTGATTCTTTTTTTTCAGACTTCACTCTGTTGGCCAGGCTGGAGTACAGTGGTGTGATCTCTGCTCACTGCAACCTCCGTCTCCCAGGCTCAAGCAATTCTCGTGCCTCAGCCTCTCAAGTAGCTGGGATTACAGGCATGAGCCAACACGCCCGGCTAATGTTTGTATTTTTAGTAGAGACAGGGTTTCACCATGTTGGCCAGGCTGGTCTTGAACTCCTGATCTCAGGTAATCTGCCCACCTCGGCCTCCCAAAGTGCTAGGATTAAAGGCGTGAGCCACCACGCCCAGCCATAGCTGATTCTTTATCAGTCTGCCTTTGGGAAGTTTCCACTGGGAAACACTCTCCAGGACTGTTTCGGACCAGCCCCACTTTCCAAACAAAGAATTCCAGTGATGAGATTAAAGCTTGTCACAATATGTTTTTCAAATGACTGGTAGAAGCAGACCTTAAGATTAAAAAAGAAGAAGAAAAAATGGCTGAAATCTTGAATCCTTTATTGCTTTAAGGCACAGAATAGGAAATGGATGGCGCGTCGGGAATGGATGCAGGTCAGGGACAGACCATCACTCATGCCACCTTGCTGTGTTTATGAAACAGAGTGCTAGAAGTTAAATTTGGGGGATGCACAAAGAGATGCCTAATCAGATGAACTCAGAGTTGGAATTGCTGTTTGTGAGACAGTTACATCAAAGGAAGAAAAGAAGGAGAGAAGAAAGGTGACTATCAGGAGAATTTTCCAGCCAGAAGAAAGACACAGAGGCACAGGCATTTCATGGCCTGAAAAAGGAAGAGCACAGAGACAAGTGTGGCTCCAGTTAAAGGACCAGCGGAGATGAAAGATGAGGTCAGTGATTTGGGTAGGGGACATAGCAGTTAAGATATTGTTGGTCAAGGCTGGGCGTGGTGGCTCACGCCTGTTAATCCCAGCACTTTGGCAGGCCAAGGCGGGTGAATCACGAGGTTAGGAGATCAAGAGCATCCTGGCTAACACAGTGAAACTCCGTCTCTACTAAAAATACAAAAAAATTAGCCGGGCGTGGTGGCGGGCGCCTGTAGTCCCAGCTACTTGGGAGGCTGAGGCAGGAGAATGGTGCAAACCCAGGAGGCGGAGCTTGCAGTGAGCCGAGATCACGCCACTGCACTCCAGCCTGGGCGACAGAGCAAGACTGTGTCTCAAAAAAAAAAATAGACGTGAAGGATGCAAAGATGCGTATGAGTGACAGTATGTCTAATCTCCTACTTTATGAATGGCCATTTTCAAATTCTATCATTCCTTCAATATTTATTAATTCTTTTGTAAAGAAGAATGTTGATTTGTCTATCAGTGTGGCACCAGGAAGATTTATGTTATTTAAAAATGTTATAAACAGATACTGTCATTATTTTTTTGATGCTTCAAATGTCAAGTGAGAGTCCCTTTACCATGCTCCCCATATCTTTATTTTTCCTTTTTTGAGAGAGAGAGTCATGATTATTCATTTATTTCACACCTGATTCTCATTACATCAGTCTGAGAGAGGAAGGAGTTATGCACCAGCGCATACAATTGTGCTGTTCTATTATCCTTCAGACAGTATTGGGATCTAGGTTCTAGTTATTTTTAAATTCAGGGATCTGAATCAGAGCCCAAAGAGGTTGACTGCTGCTGCTGGGGACTGGGGGCTGCTGGGAGAACAGCAGAAAACAGGCATGGAGCTGACCCTGGACGGTTCATGCTCCAGAACTCCGATCTTGGTACCTGAGGATCTTTCACGGAGATCATGGACAGGGGTGTGACAGCAGTTCCTCAAAGCAAATGGGGATGGCAAACCTGGGGCTGGTACTTGGGAGTTGGAAAAACAACCATATTTGCACAAGGAGAAACTGAAAAACCGCTGTCCTTCCATCTGTATCCCAGAATCCTATGTAGAACCATGAGGACAGGGCCAGGGTTGGTTCCTTGGTCTCTGTTTGTCCTCATCAGTAGTCCAGTAGGAGTCCTGCAAACTTATCACCATCTGGAGACAGTGCTGCCAACTCTTCTTTATGCCCCACTGCTTGAGATGCTAGTCGATTGCTTTAGACTATTCATGATTCTTCTTCCTCAACTCTTCACATTAAAGAAATTCCTAGCCAGGTATGGTGGCTCATGCCTGTAATCCCAGCACTTTGGGAGGCCAGAAGTTGGAGACCAGCCTGGGCAACATGGCGAAACCCTGTCTCTACAAAAAAATAGAAAAATTAGCTGAGCGTGGTGGTGGGTGCCTATAGTCCCAGCTACTTGGGAGGCTGAGGTAGGAGGATCACCTGGAACCTGGGAGGCAGAGGTTGCAGTTTGCCGAGATCACACCACTGCATTCCAGCCTCGGCAACAGAGTAAGACTGTCTCAAAAAAAAAAGGAAAGTAATTCCCGTTCTTTGATGAAACTCTGGATCTCCCGGTCATTCCGTGTTTTAATCAACTGTTCTCAGGGTTTTCTAGTTCCTTGGTTTCATAATTTCAGTCTCAAGTCTCACTTTCTCTGTTTTTATTCCTGAGTTTCCTCCTAAGGTTCTTTTCATTGCAGCCACAGGCCTTAGTCCAGGGTCTGCAGAGAGCTAGTACTTACTCTGCCCAAATGGAATCCAAGAGCATCAGAAGGTGCCCGAAGGTGGAAATGTGTTTCTGCTCTCTGCTTTTGGCAGTCTTGCTCTCCATGTCTTTTTTGACATGCCCCCTGATACAGTTTGGATGTTGTAATCAACCAGATCTCGTGTCAAAATGTAACCCCTGATGTTGGACATGAAGTCTGGTGAGAGGTGATTGGATCATGGAGGTGGATTTCTCATGAATGGTTTAGTACCATCCTCTTGGTACTGTCCTCGTGATAGTGAGTGGGTTCTCCTGAGACCTAATTGTTTTAAAGTGTGTGGCACCTCCCGCATCTCTCCTGCGCTGGCTATGATATAGCTATTATGGAAAGCAGTACGGTGGTTCCTCAAAATATTAAAAATAGAGCTACCATATGATTCAGCAATTCCATTTCTGGGTATATATCCGAAGGAAATGAAATCTATATGTTAAAGAGGTATCTTTACTCTCATGTACATTGCAGGACTATTCACCACAGTCAAGATGTGGAATCAACCTAAGTGTTCATGATGAATGGATAAAGATAGTGTGGTATGTATACACAATAAAATGGTATTCAGCCTTTCTTTCTTTTTTTTTTTTTTGAAACAATATCTTCCTCTGTCACCCAGGCTGGAGTGCAGTGGCACGACGATCATAACTCACTGCCGCCTTGAACTCCTGAATTCAAGCAATCCTCCCACCTCAGCCTCCAAAGTAACTGGGACCACAAGTGCATGCCACCAACACCTGGCTAATTAAAAAACAAATTTCTGTAGGGACAAGGTCTCACTTTGTTGCCCAGGCTGGTCACAAATGCCTGTACTCAAGTGATCCTCCCGCCTTGGCCTCCCAAAGTGCTAGGATGACAGGCAAAAGCCACCATGCCTTACCACTATTCAGCCTTAAAATTCAGCCTTAAAATCAAAGGAAGTTCTGTTATTTGCAACAACATGGATAAACCTGGATGACATTATGTTAAGTGAAATAAGTCAGACATAGAGAGACCAATACACAGTGTCTCACTTATAGGTGGAATCTAAAAAAGTTAAACTCACAGAAGCAGAGAGTAAAATGGTAGTTATTAGGGTCAGGACGGGTAGAGGATGGGGAGAATAGGCTAAAAGGTACAAAGTTTCGGTTAAACAGGAGGAATTATTAGTTTTGGAGACCTAACATATAGTCTTACAGCATGGTGACTATAATTAATAATAATGTATAGTATATTTTAAAATTGCTGAGTGAGTAGATTTTGAATGTTCTCATCACAAAATTATAAATATGAGGTGATTGCTATATTAATTGGCTTGATTGATATGTTAATTGGCTTGATTTAATCATTACACAATGTGTGCACATATATTTATCATGTACATCATAAAATATATACAAATTGTCATCTGTCAATCAAAATTTTAAAAAAACATTGAAGATCTGGGCACTAAGTATGCTCAATTGTTATTGCTTCAGTAGACAGACCTAGAAAATACAGTGTACTCATATTTCCATTTAAATTTAGTGCCATGCCAGGGATTCTTCTTTCATTTAATTTTATTTATTTTTATTTTTATTTTTATTTTTTGAGACAGGGTCTCACTCTGTCTTCTAGGCTGGAGTGCAGTGGCGCAGTCTCGGCTCACTGCAACCTCTGCCACCCAGGTTCAAGTGATTCTCCTGCCTCAACCTCCCCAGTAGCTGGAATTATAGGTGCATACCACCACGCTCGGCTAATTTTTTGTATTTTTAGTAGAGATGGGGTTTCACCATGTTGGCCAGGCTGATCTTGAACTCCTGACCTCAGGTGATCTGCCCATCTCGGCCACCCAAAGTGCTAGGATTACAGGTGTGAGCCCTTGTTCCCGGCCCCTTCCTTCATTTTATATTTTTATATATACTATACTCAAGTGATCCTCCTGCCTCGGCCTCTGACATGGTTTGGCTGTGTCCCCACCCAAAGCTCATTTTGAATTGTAGCTCCCGTAATTCCCACGTGTTGTAGGAGGGACCCAGTGGGAGATAGCTGAGTCATGAGGGAGGTTTCCCCCATACTGTTCTCATGATAGTGAGTAAGTCTCATGAGATCTGATGGTTTTCTAAGGGGTTTCCCCCTTTCACTTGGCTCTCATTCTCTCTTGCCTGCTGCCATATAAGATGTGTCTTTTGCCTTCCACCATGATTGTGAGGCCTCCCCAGCTACGTGGAACTCCAAGTCCATCAAATTTATTTTTCTTTATAAATTACCCAGGCTCAGGTATGTCTTTATCAGCAGTGTGAAAATGGACTAATACAGCCTCCCAAACTGCTAGGCTTACAGGCAAGAGCCACCATACCTGGTGACTATTCAGCCTTAGAATCAAAGGAAATTCTGTTATTTGCAACAATATAGATAAACCCAGTTGGCATTATGTTAAGTGAAATAAGCCAGACATACAGAGACAAATACACAGTGTCTCACTTTAATTTTTTTTAATTAAATTTTTTGTACAGATGGTGTCTCGCTATATTGCCCAAGCTGGTCACCAATTCCTGGATTCAAGTGATCCTCCTGCCTTGACCTCCCAAGTGCTTGGATTACAGGCATGAGCCACTGTGCCTGGCCTATTTATATTTTTAAATCCCATCATTCTTATTGTAAGACAAGTACAAGAATCTCTCCTAAGTCTAAATGTATTAGGTCATTCTTGCATTGTTATAAAGAAATACCTGAGACTGGGTAATTTATCAAGATGTTTAATTGGCTTACAGTTCTGTGGGCTGTACAGGAAGCATAGTGGCATCTACTTGTGGGGAGGCCGCAGGCAGCTTACAATCATGACAGAGGGTGAAGGGGAGCAGTCATGTCGCATGGTGAAAACAGGAACGACAGAGCAAGAGGGGAGGTGCTACACACTTTTAAACAACCAGATCACTGAGAACTCACTCACTATTGGGAGAATAGTACCCAGGGGGATGGGTGCTAAACCATTCATGAGAAATCACACCCAGGATCCAGTGGCCTCTCGCCAGGCCCCACCTCCAACAGTGGGAATTACATTTCAATATGAGATTTCCGTGGGCAAACACATCCAAACTATATTATTCTGCCCCGGACCCGCTCAAATCTCATGTCCTTCTCGTATGTCAAAATACAATCATGCCTTCCCAATAATCCCCCGAAGTCTTAACTTATTCCAGCATTAACTCAAAAGTTCAAAGTCTTATCTAAGACAAGGCAAGACTCTTCCACATATGAGCCTATAAAATAAAAAATAAGTTAGTTACTTCCAAGATACAACGGGGATACAACCATTAGGTAAACATTCCCATTCCCAAGGGAGAAATCAGCTAAAAGAAAGGGGCTACAGGCCCCATGCAATTCTGAAACCCAGCAGGGCTGTTGTTAAATCTTAAAGCTCCATAATAATCTCCTTTGACTCCATGTCCCACATCCAGGACACACTGATGCAAAGGGTGGGCTCCCAAGGCCCTAGGCAGCTCCATCCCTGTGGCTTTGCGGGGTTCAGCCCCACCCCTGTGGCTATGCGGGGTTCAGCCCCTGCCACTACTCTCATGGGCTGGCATTGAGTGCCTGAGGCTTTTCCAGGCACAGGGTGCAAGCTATGGGTGGATCCACTACAGCTCCACTAGGTAGTGCCCCAGTGGGGACTCTGTGTGGCAGCTCCAACCCCACATTTCCCCTCCACACTGCCCCAGTAGAGGTTCTTTGTGAGGCTAACATTTTGTTTGTTTGTTTTTTGAGAGAGGGCCTTCCTCTGTCTTCCACCCTGGAGTGCAGTGGCATAATCATGGCTCACTGCAGGCTTGAACTTCTGGGCTCAATAGATCCTCCCACCTTCCACAGTGCTGGGTTTACAGGCATGAGCCACTACGCCCAGCCAAAACGCGTGCACATTCTTACGTCAACCTAATAACAGAGAGAAGCTCTTTAAAAGAAAATGATGTGTGTTTGGCAATAGAGCATTGCAATGAAAATATGTATGCCCCTATGTGTGCATTTGGGGAGGTAAAGGAAGACAAAGGTTTTTAAAGGAAGGATAAGAAGGATTACATAATTGTTTTGAGATAATTTTCCTTGACTACAAAGATCAATAGCAAGGGTGACGCTAGTCCAAGGTTGGAGAGGCAGTTGCTGGGCAGATGCCCTTATGGAAGTATTTTTTGCTTAAGGTTGCGATGTCCTTTGTACAAGGTTGTTTCTGTAGAGTCTTTTGTCATTGTTTTTGTTATCAGGTATGCAAGCGTGAAAACACTCTCTTCATGGCCTTCCCAGGCTCTGTTTGTCAAGTTTTGCTTTGTTGTTGTTGTTGTTTTAACATTAGTGGCTCCATTTTGATTCTGACAACTTTCACACTTCTAAGAGTTTAGAAAATATTCTGTTACTGGCCAGGCGTGGTGGCTCACGCCTGTAATCCCAGCACTTTGAAAGGCCAAGGCGGGCGGATCACGAGGTCAGGAGATCAAGACCATCCTGGCTAACATGGTGAAACCCTGTCTCTACTACAAATACAAAAAAAAAAAATTAGCCGGGCATGATGGCGGGCACCTGTAGTCCCAGCTACTTGGGAGGGTGAGGCAGGAGAATGGCATGAACCCGGGAGGCGGAGCTTGCAGTGAGCTGAGATCGCACCACTGCACTCTAGCCTGGGCAACAGAGTGAGACTCCGTCTCAAAAAAAAAAAAAAAAAGAAAAGAAAATACTCTTACTTTTTTTTCCTAAAAATGTATTTTAATTTCTCTTTTTTCTTTCTTTCTTTCTTTTTTTTTTTTTTTTATGAGATGAAGTCTCACTCTGTGGCGCAGGCTAGAGTGCAGTGGTGCGATCTCAGCTCACTGCAAACTCCACCTCCCGGGTTCAAGTGATTCTCCTGCCTCAGCCTCCCGAGTAGCTGGGATTACAGGCGCCCGCCCCCATGCCTGGCTAATTTTTGTATTTTTAGTAAAGACAGGGTTTGCCATGTTGTCCAGGCTGGTCTGGAACTCCTGACCTCAGGTGATCCACTCGCCTTGGGCCCCCAAAGTGTTGCAATTATAGGGGTGAGACAACAGGCCCAGCTTTTTTTTTTTTCTTTTTATACTGGATTTTAAAAAACTAGGAACAGAATTCTTAAAGTCAAATGCTTATAAGGGCCGAGCATCAAACACATTTGCAGCATAGGGTAAAAGAGAAATGAGCCCTTGGAAAATAGAAGCATGCAACAGTCTTTCAAGGATGTTAATGGTACTACTCAATTTTATCTGATTTCTGCCTGATGGCAATGCTGGTGTTGCTGATCTATTTTCCAAGCAACACTGGAAATTTAAATTTTTATGTTGTCTCTCAATTTTAAAGTGCCAGAAAGTATATATTTTTAAGTTTTAAAGCATAATGAAGCCAAATAAAGCACATCTGTGTGTTGATTTGAACTGTGAATTGCCTGTACCCCAATCTGGCTTAATGAGATGTGTATTTTACACTTCACTAGTTTCTGAACTTAAGGTGAGTGGCACATGCAGAACTTAAGGCGAGGGGCACATGCAGAATGATGTGGTCCCTAACTGCCCACGGAAGTGTCTCTAGTGATTGCAGCAGCTTAATCTAAGAGTTATCCCAACTGTCATCTTCATCCCAAATATTTTAGTATAGTATTTTAGTATAGACATCCCTCACTATCTGAAGGGGATTGAATACCAGCATCCTTGGATACTCGAACCTCTTATATAAAATGGCCTAGGATGGCCGGGTGCCGTGGCTCACGCCTGTAATCCCAGCACTTTGGGAGGCTGAGGTGGGCAGATCACGAGGTCAGGAGATCGAGACCATCCTGGCTAACACAGTGAAACCCCATCTCTACTAAAAAACAGAAAAAATTAGCTGGATGTGGTGGTGGGCACCTGTAGTCCTAGCTACTCGGCAGGCTAAGGCAGGAGAATACGGTGAACCCGGGAGGCGGAGCTTGCAGTGAGCTGAGATCGTGCCACTGCACTCCAGCCTGGGCGACAGAGTGAGACTCCATCTCAAAATAAATAAATAAATAAATAAAATGGCCTAGGATTTGCATATAACCAACACACATCCTCCCATATACTTTATTTTTATTTATTTATTTATTTATTTATTTATTTATTTATTTATTTTTGGAGATGGAGTCTCTCTCTGTCATCCAGGCTGGAGTGCAATGGCATAATTTCAGCTCCTTGCAACCTCCACCTCCCGAGTTCAAGCAATTCTCCTACCTCAACCTCCCAAGTAGCTGGGACTACAATCATGAGCCACCATGCCCTGCCACCCTCCCATATACTTTAGATCATCCCTAGATTACTTATAATACTTAGGACAATGTATTATAGTTGTTGTTTTGAGACAGAGACTCACTCTGTCCCCTAGGCAGGAGTGCAGTGGCACGATCATGGCTCATTCCAGCCTTGACCTCTTGAGCTCAAGTGATCCTCCCACCTCAGCCTCCTGAGTATCTAGGACTACAAGCATAAGCCACCATGCCCGGCTAGCCTTTTTTTTTTTTTTTCTCTCTCTTTTTTGGAAGAGACGAGTTCTCACTGTATTGTCCAGGCTGGTCTTGAACTCCTAGGCTCAAGCAATCCTCTGGCCTCAGCCTCCCAAAGTGCTGGGATTACAGGTGCTAGCCACTGAGCCCGGCAATACCTACAACAATGTAAATGCTATGTAAATAGTTGTCATATTGTATTGTTTTTAAATTTGTATTATTTTTAATTGTTGAATTGTTATTATTATTTTTTGAAGTATTTTCAATCCACTGTTGGTTGAATCCTCAGATGAGGAACTCATGAGGTGTGGAGGGCCGGCTGTATATTGTTCAGCAAGTCAACTAATCTAAGACGTTTAAGCTTGTGGTTCTCATCGTGCTACAGATTCAAACTGCCCAACCCTACCCCAGGTCAGTTAGATTAAAACTTAGAGTAGTCCCTTTTCAGATCCTGAATGGATCCATGTGCCCTCCACCTGACAAAAAGCTAGTGGTGAGGGTTGAGGGGAAGTACCTTTTTTCCACCTCCCACTTCACAGGAGAAGGCTTTTCTTTCACTGTTTTCAGATTATTTTTATTTATTTATATTTTATTTTTTGAGACAGGGTCTCACTCTATCACCATGCAGTGGCGTGATCACAGCTCACTGCAGCCTCAATCTTCCAGGGCTCCCCAGTAGCTGGGACCTGCAGGCATATGCCACCACGCCCGGCTAATTTTTGTATCTTTCGTAGAGATGGGATTTCACCATGTTACCCGGGCTGATCTCCAACTCCTGGGCTCAAGCAATCCTCCTGCCTTGGCCTCCCAAACTGTGTGTGTGTGTGTGTGTGTGTCTGTGTGTGTGTGTGTGTGTGTCTGTGTGTGTGTGTGTTTTGAGACGGAGTCTTGCTCTGTCCCCCAGACTGGAGTGCAGTGGCAAGATCTCGGCTGACTGCAAGCTCCGCCTCCCGGGTTCACCATATTCTCCTGCCTCAGCCTCCCTAGTAGCTGGGACTACAGGCACCTGCCACCATGCCCAGCTAATTTTTTTTTTTTTTTGGTATTTTTAGTAGAGACGGGGTTTCACGGTGTTAGCCAGGATGGTCTCAATCTCCTGACCTCATGATCAGCCTGCCTCGGCCTCCCAAAGTGCTGGGATTACAGGTGTGAGCCACCACACCCAGCCGTGTTTTGTTTTTTTAAGACAGGCTCTTGCTCTACTGCCAGGCTCTAGGGTGCAATGACAGCTCACTGTAGCCTCAACCTCCCGGGCTCAAGCGATCCTCCCACCTCAGGGTCCCAAGTAGTGGGAACCACAAAAGTGGACCACCACACCTGGCTATTCATTTGATTCTTAACCCAGACAAATTAAATCGGTATTTCCAGAGGTGGGACCCAGGAGTATGTATTATGAAAGCTCCCAGATGTCTAATGAGCAGCATGGCTGGAAAACCACTGCTCTTGATGGCCCTGGCCCCTGCTCAGCTGTCACCAAGTAAAGCACCCGGTGTGAATGAAGCCCTCACCATCAATCTCTATGATGGGCTGAATTGTGCTCCCCTCAATTCCTATGTTGAAATGCTAACCCCTGGTACCTCAGAATGCAACCATATTTGGAGATAAGGCCTTTAAAGAGGTCATGAGGCCATTATGGTTGGCTCTGATTCTATCTGACAATACCCTTATAAGAGGAGGAAACATGGAGACACAGGCAGACACCAGGGATGCAAACACATAAAGGAAAGGTCAGTTGCAAGCAACAGAGAGAAGGCCTTGCAAGAAACCAAACCTGCCAACACCTTGATCTCTGACTTCCAGCCTCCAGAGTGGTGAGAAAATAGACATCTGTTGTTTAAGCTGCCCATTCTGTATGTTATGGCAGCAATATCAAACTAATACACTCTGCAAAATGAGAGCCACCTCATGCATAGGTAGGGGGTGTGCAGGGATAGCTCAACTCCCAGGTGACTCCGGGACACAAACAAATGCCCTTAGTGGGGGTTTCTTTTTCTTTCTTTCTTTTTTTTTTTTTTCCGGAATTGGGGTATTGCTCTGTTGCCTAGGCTGTAGTGCCATGGTGTGATCACAGTTCACTGCAGCCTCGATTTCTGAGCTCAAACAATCCTCCCACCTCAGCCTCCCAAGTAGGTGGACTATAGGAACGTGCCACTATGCCTGGCAAAATTTTTTTTCTTTTTTTTTTTTTTCAGAGATGGGAGTCTCACTCTTTTGCCTTGGCTGTTCCCAAACTCCTGGCGTCAGTTGATTTTCCTGTCTCTGCCTCTGAAAGTACTGGGATTATAGGTATGAGGCCCCCACACTTGTCCAAGGGTTTTTTTTTTTTTATTGTACCAATCTACCCTGATTTTCCAAGAAACAGCTTTCTCCCACTTTGGGGTATTTCCTAGAGACCAGTGCTGGTAGAGACTCCCTCTCAATTCTCTTTCTGGCCCCAACTCCCTTGATTTCTCTCCTAAACTGTGAGGGACAAAACCTTGAGGACGGAGAGAGATCAATTTTCACACTGTTTCAAAAGCTAGGGAAATATCTGTGTTCTGTCTGGTATAGGTAAGAAAATAATAAAAACAAATGATAACTGTATATTAGAATGGTCTGAAAGCTGATGGCCTAATATAAAAAAAGACCATACAATGTGAAGTTATGAAGAAGCAGAGGGCGTAAGTTCAACATGGTCTACAGATGCTGGGCAGGTCTGCTGGGGCGAGATTGCTACTTACCCAAGGTGGTTTCCATGGAGAAGGACAAGATGCTTTCTGCAGACTGAGTGGAGAGAAGACAAACTTTTCAGTTAGGCTTTGGGCCTGTAGCCAGTAATGTGAGTAGAGGGAGAATTTAAAAAGGGGAGTCTATTATTATTCAGTTTTCTCCACTTCTAGATGGTCTACACTATGAGCCTTGGACATGTGGGCTCCCTGAAGCCAGGGAGAGGAATGTCTAGTTCTGACTTTAGGAAAGCCAAAATTGGGATTGGGGTCTTGGAGCCACCTCTTACCAGTCAATATGGGGATACTCCCAGGCAGCAGGCTGGGCTCAGGAAACTACGTGCTCTCTTCCTTCTTCCTCCGGGAGTCCCATGTGTACCCGTTGTTTACCTCCAACATGTAGGTGAGAACATGCAGTATTTGGTTTTCTGTTGCTGAGTTGGTTCACTTAGGATAGCGGCCTCAAGCTTTATCCATGTTGCTGCGAAGGACATGACTTCATTCTTTTTTGTGGCTGCCTAGGACATTCTTAGATGACAAATTATGGCGACCCATGTTATCCCTAGCTCCTTCTGTCAAGAAAAAAAAGGGGTGGTCAGAGGCAGCCTCCAACTTTAATGGGTACTGCAAGGAAGAAGACTGGAGAACCGGTGACAGAAATGTACTCTGCTGGGTCAAGTGATTTAGCTGAGTTTTACCACTGCAAGGCTGGAGGAGACTGAGGCTTTGGGTAAATGCTCAGTCACTACCAGGTGGATTAAGGAAAAAACTCCAAGTAACAGTAATGAATCATCGGAGTAGAGGAGAAAAACTCCAAGTTATATCTAACACTGAAATCCTGAAATTGCATGTGTCTCTTCAGTGATTAGGAATGCATTACTATCAGCTATTGAATAAATACCTTATTTCGTACAAGTTTTTATTAATTTAAAAACAAGGCTGCAGCAAACCACCATGGCACGTGTATACCTATGTAACAAACCTGCACGTTCTGCACATGTATCCCATAACCTAAAGTATAATAATAATAATAATAATAAAAAACAAGGCCAGGCATGGTGGCTCACACCTGCAATCCAAGCACTTTGGGAGGATTGCCTGAGCTCAGGAGTTCGAGACCAGCCTGGGCGACATGATAAAAATCCCATGTCTACAAAAAATAGAAAAACTAGCCAGGTGTGGTGGCACGTGCCTGTGGTCCCAACTACTCAGGAGGCTGAGGTAGGAGGATTGCTTCAGCCTGGGAGGCAGAGGTTGCAGTGAGCCAAGGTTGCACCATAGCACTCCAACCTGGGTGACAGAGTGAGACCCAGCCTCAAAATACTACTACTACTACTAATAATAATAATAAAAACAAAACAAACTAAAACACTCAGGAGAGATTAGTGGTCTAAAAGCATATTTTTACAATGTATTCAGGGTTATTCCATTGTTTCTTAAAAACTACCTTTGGGAGCATCTCCCCAAACTTAGTTTGGAAGTGTTTTTTCTGGGTTGCAATAAACAAGCAAACAAAAAACTACCTTTTAATTAAAAGTAATCCTTAAATAGAGCTAACAATAAAATCAAACACACAAAAAAATTATCCATTTTAAAATTTTTTTTATATGAAGTCTTGCTCTGTTGCCCACCCAGGCTGGAGTGCAATGGTGCCATCTCGGCTCACTGCAACCTTCACCCCCCGGGTTCAAGCAATTCTCTCACCTCTGCCTCCCAAGTAGCTGGGACTACAGTCACGTGCCAGCACACCCAGCTCATTTTTGTATTTTTAGTAGAGACAGGGTTTCACAATGTTGGCCAGGTTGGTCTTGAACTCCTGACTTCAAGTGATCCCCTGCCTCAGCCTCCCGAGGTGCTGTGATTACAGGCGTGAGACACCGCACCCGGCCAAAATTCATCTAATAATTGTAAAGTAAATTTCCCTTCTGCCCCAGATCACAGTTACCTGTCTCTATTCCCAAAATAAATGGCTGTGTAGAATTTCTGATGTGTCCTTCAATATATATTCTCTGCGTCTACATACACTTACCTTCCCCTACCTTTTTATGTAAATGGGTGTTTATTATTCACATACTCCGTATTAAAATTGTGATTTATTAACATAATTTTACTGACTTATTTTAATTTGAATGGAGATAAATTTATAAAGGGGATTGATTATTAAGATTTTATGTTTAAATATTCGGAAGCAAACAGTAATGCATCTTATCTTCTGAGTAGGATGTGGGTTGAAACTGCAAAGGCAAGCATGAGATGTTTCATTAACACAAAGCCTTGAGTGCTCCAAACCCAAAAGTCAAAGCAACTTATCAATAAATGCCAAAGGATACTATTCTGACATATCTGTGTGCTGTGGTTTGAATGCAGACTCCAAATCTCATGTGTGGGAAACTTAATTTCCAATGTGGGACTATTGAAAGGTGGGGCCTTTAAGAGGTGATTGAATCATGAGGGCTCTGCCTTCATGAATGAATTAATCCATTCGTGGATTAATGGGTTGATGGGTTAATGGCTTATCATGGAAGGGGAGCTGGTGGCTTTATAAGAAGAGAAGAGAGACCTGAGCCAACATGCTCAGCCTCCTTCATGAGATGCCCTCTGTGGCATCAGGATGCTGCAGAGACCCCCAACCAGGTAAGAAGGCTTTTACCAGGCATGCCCCCTCTACTTTGGGCTTCCCAGCCTCCATAACTGTGAGAAATTCATTTTCTTTATAAACTACGCAGTTTCAGATATTTTGTTGTAAGCAACAGACAACGGACTAAGACACTGTGTTATCTAATTACGTGATTCTTGTTTTACTATTTATTTATTTAGCCTCTTGTCAGAAAAAAAATTTTTTTTTGAGATAAAGTCTCACTCTGTCACCCAGACTGGAGTGCAGTGCTGCTCTCATGGCTCACTGCTGCCTCGAACTCCCTGGCTCAAACGATCCTCCCACCTTAGTTTTTCAAGTAGCTGGGACTACTACAGGTGTGCGCCACCATGACTGGCTACTACTTTTTTTTTTTAATGTTGCCCAGGCTGGTCTCAAACTCCTGACCTCAAAAGATCCTCTTGCCTCAGCCTCCCAAAGTGCTGGCATTGTAGGTGTGAGCCACCACACCCAGCCCACCGAAAGTTTTTTCAGACATGTACCCGAGTGATTAAGAGTTTAGGATTGGCTGGGCACGGTGGCTCACGCCTATAATCCCAGCAGTTTGGGAGGCCAAGGCGGGCAGATCCTGAGGTCAGGAGTTCAAGACCAGCCTGAACAACATGGAGAAACCCCATCTCTACTAAAAATACAAAATGTGCCAGGTGTGGTGGCACATGCCTGTAATCCCAGCTACTTGGGAAGTCTGAGGCAGGAGAATCGCTTGAACCCGCAAGGGAGAGGTTGCGGTGAGCCGAGATCGTGCCATTGCACTCCAGCCTGGGCAACAGGCAACAAGAGTAAAACTCTGTCTCAAAAAAAAAAAAAAAAGAGTTTAGGATCTATATTCACTCTGCCTGGGTCCAAATCCTGGATGTTATTAACTGTATGACTTTGGGCAAGTTTATTAACACCTCCATTTTAAAAAAATCTGTACTAGGAATATAATAATAAATGCATACTCTCTCAGGATTTGATTAAATGGAATAAAATATATAGAATTCCTAGAACAGTGCCAGGAGTTTGAGGCCAGCCTGGGCAACATAGTGAGACCCCATCTGTACAAAAAATACATAAAAAATGAGGGGGGAATAGCGGTGCACACCTGTGGACTCAGCTACTTGATAGGCTGAGATGGGAGGATTGCTTGAGCCCGGGGGCCAAAGCTGCAGCAGTGCAGTGACTGCGTCCCAGTAATCCCAGCACTTTGGGAGGGCAAGGCAGGAGGATCCCTTGAGGCCAGGAGTTCAAGACCAGCCTGTGCAACATAAAGAGACCCCATCTGTACAACAACAACAAAAATTCTTACGCACTTAGTATTTGCCAGATATAATGCCAATTTCTAGGGCACAAAGGCAAATGGTAACTACCTCCCTGGATTGTTGTAAAAATAAAGCATGCAAAACATTTTGTGCCCCCAATGATCCCTTCCTCATGGTGTCCCCACACTTTTATTTTGTGCTGTCACAATGAGCAGGGCACCACCAGGATACTGGGAAATAATGACGTGTGATTTCCAAGACCAGGTCACAAAAAACATTTTGCCTTGCCCTCTTGAATCACCTGCTCTGGTGGAAACCAGACAACTGTTATTTATGTCATAGCATTCAAGCGGCCCTATGGAGAGGTCCATGTGGTAAGGAACTGAGGCTTCCTGCCAACAGCCAAGTGAAAGAGCCATCTTGGAAGAGGATCCGCCTCCCAAGTTGGCCAAGCCAACATTTTGAGTATAACCTCATAAGAGTCTCTGAGCCAGAACCACACAGCTAAGCTGCAGTAACTTTGAAGTAATAATGATTTATTGTTGTTAAGCCACTAAGTTTTGGGATAATTTGTTATGTAGTAATAGATAGCTAATACAGTTGTGCTTATTACGTTTGGTACTCGTTACTATCACCACCACATCAGTGCATTGTAGAAAACAAATTCTATGTATTAAACTGTTTTGTTTCCCCTCTGGATTAAGCTGGGCTCACAAGGGGAAAGGTGCCCACCAGAGTTTTTTTCTTTTTTATGTAATCAAGTTTTTAAAATTTTATTCTATTCTACTTTATTTTTTTAAGTTCCAGGGTACATGTTCAGGATATGCAGGTTTGTTATGTAAGTAAACATGTGCCATGATGGTTTGCTGCAGCTATCAACTCATCACCTAAGTATTAAGCCCAATATGCATTAGCTCTTTTTCATAACGCTCTACCTCCCTCCTACCCTCCCGTAAAAGGCCCCAGTGTGTGTTGTTCCCCTCCCTGTATCCATGTGTTCTCATTGTTAAGCTCTCCACTTATAAGTGAGAACATCTGGTGTCTGGTTTTCTGTTCCTGCATTAGTTTGCTGAGGATAATGGCTTCCAGCTTATGGATGTATAGTATTCCATGGTGTGTATGTACCAGATTTTCTTTTTTCTTTTCTTTTTTTTTTTTTTTTTTTGAGACGGAGTCTCACTCTGTCGCCCAGCTGGAGTACAGTGGCATGATCTCTGCTCACTGCAACCTCCGCCTCCCGGGTTCAAGCGATTCTCCTGCCTCAGCCTCCCGAGTAGCTGGGATTACAGGCGCATACCACCACGCCTGGCTAGTTTTTTGTGTTTTTAGTAGAGACGGGGTTTCACCGTATTAGCCAGGATGGTCTCAATCTCCTTACCTCAGGTGATCTGCCCGCCTCGGCCTCCCAAAGTGTTGGGATTACAGGCGTGAGTCACTGCGCCTGGTCAGTACCACATTTTCTTTAACCAGCCTGTCGATGGAAATTTGGGTTGATTCCATGTCTTTGCTACTGTGACTAGTGCTGCAATGAACATACACAAAATTATCTGAATGATTGCAGTAAACATCATATATTTGTTTGCCAGCTACCATAATAAAATACCATAGATTGGGTGGCTTAACCAACAGAAATTTATTTTCCCACAATTCTGGAGGCTGGAAGTCCAAGATCAAGGTGTTGGCAGGGTTGGTTTCTTCTGAGGCCTTGGCTTGCAAGATGGCCACCTTCTTGCTATATCTTTACATGATCATTCCTCTGTGTGTGTTCGTGTCCTAATTTTTTCTTCTTATAAGGACACCAGTCATTTTGGATTAGGGCTCTTTCATATGACTTCATTTTAATCTTAACTGCTTCTTTAAAAGCCCTATCTGGAAATAAAGTCACATTCTGAGGTTACTGGGGGATAGAATTACAACAAATGAATTTTGGGAGGACACAAATCAGCCCATAACACATCATTGCCAGCATCACATGTGGAGCATTCAACTGGAGAAACTGCCCTAATTTCTCATTTGAAGGTCTAAACATCTCTTTTATCAAAATAAGCCAGGTTCTATTAAGAAGGCTGAATGTGCATCTGGCTCGATCAACAGGCGTCTGGCTGCTTCAAATGCTTGATTTTTTTCATTCTCAGAGAATGAAATCAATGTTGAAATATTGAGTATATTCTATACAAAATCTTCATGTCACAATGAATAAGAAAAGTAGTTTTTTTGAGACAGGATCTTGCTCTGTAGCTCAGGCTGCAGTTTTTGGAGTGCACTGGTATGACATAACTCGCTGTAGCTTCCATTTCTTGGGTTCAAGTAATCCTCCCACCTCAGCCTCCTGAGTAGCTGGGACTATAGGCATGTGCTACCACTCCAGGTTAATTATTATTATTATTATTTTTGAGACGGAGTCTCGCTCTGTTGCCCAGCCTGGAGTGCAGTGGCGCCATCTCTGCTCACTGCAAGCTCCGTCTCCCGTGTTCACGCTATTCTCCTGCCTCAGCCTCCCAAGTAGCTGGGACTATAGACGCCCACCACCACACCTGGCTAATTTTTCGTATTTTTTTAGTATTTTTTTGTATTTTTTTAATAGAGATGGGGTTTCACCATGTTAGCCAGGATGGTCTCAGTCTCCTGACCTCGTGATCCACCCGCCTCAGCCTCCCAAAGTGCTGGGATTACAGGCGTGAGCCACCGAATCCAGCCACTCCAGGCTAATTATTTTATTGTATTTTTAGTAGAGATGGGGTCTTGCTATGTTGCCCAGGCTGGAATCAAACTCCTGGGCTTAAGCAATCCTCCTGCCCCAGCCTCCCAAAGTGTTGGGATTATAGGCACCAGCCACTGCACCCAGTCAAGAAAATATTTTCTAATACTGAATACAGCTAAAGAATGGATGGTAAACCATTATTGTCCAGTCAGGATCACTGTCATCCAAGTGGGACACTCAGTATTTGAGATTCTGGGTGGTGCTATAATACTTGTTGCCTTGGTATCTGAGTGAGCACTTAGTCTAAGTATAATAATTTTCTGGAGGAGTATATTAGGGTTCTCCAGAAAGACAGAACCAATAGAATGGATGAATAGATAGATGGATAGATAGATAGAAAGATAGATTGATAGGGCCGGGCGCGGTGGCTCACACGTGTAATCCCACCACTTTGGGAGGCCAAGGCAGGCAGATCACGAGGTCAGGAGATCCAGACCATCCTGGCTAATGTGGTGAAACCCCATCTCTACTAAAAATACAAAAAACTAACCAGACGTGGTGGCAGGCACCTGTAGTCCCAGCTACTCGGGAGGCTGAGGCAGGAGAATGGCGTGAACCCGGGAGGCAGAGCTTGCAGTGAGCCGAGATCACGCCACTGCACTCCAGCCTGCGACAGAGCGAGACTCCGTCTCAAAAAAAAAAAAAAAAGAAAGATAGATTGATAGATAGATATGTGAGTATGTGAGGGGATTTGTTAGGGGAACTGTCTCATGCAATTATGAAGGCTAAGAAGTTCCACAGCAGGCCATCTGCAAGCTGGAGATCCTGGGATGCTGACAGCATGGCTCACTCTGAGTCCAAAAGCCTCAGAACTAGCGGTGTAATTCTCAGTCCAGTGCTGAAGGCCTGAGAAGCTAGGGAGTGAGGGTGCACTGCTAGTGCAAGTTGTGGAGTCCAAAGACCAGAGAGCCTTGAGTTGTGACATCTAAGTACAGGAGAGGAAGAGTGTATCTCAGCTCCAAAAGGTAGATCAACACATTCACCTTTCCTCTGTTTTTGTTATTTTCAGTACTGGCCTTTGGATGGCACCCACCTACATGGAGGGCAGATCTTCCCCACCTAGTCCACTCACACTCATGCGTTAATCTCTTCTGGAAACACAGACACACCCAAAGATAGTACTTTACCAGGTTTTTAGGTATTCTTTAATCCAGTCAAGATGACACCTAAAATTAACCATCGCAAGGGTATATTCAATCTGAATGGCCAAAATTATCTGATAGAGCCTTCATATACTTGTACTTAACAGATGTACTCTTGGGATTAAATGAGTTTATGCTCAAGAAATGATATTAGCCAGGCATAGGGGTGCATGCCGTTGTCCTAGCTACCGTGGAGGCTAGGGCAGGAGGAGCATTGCTTGAGACTGGGAGCTTGAGGCTGCAGTGAGCTGCGATGGTTCCACTGCACTCCAGCCTGGGTGACTGGGCAAGACCCCACTGCAAAGAGAGAGAGGCAGAGAGAGAGAGTAGAAATGGTATCTGTTATTTTACATTAAAAGTTCTGGAATAGGGGAGTGCTATGGTCTGAACGTATCCCTCCAAAGTTCATGTTGGAACTTATGACCCAATGTGATAGTATTAAGAGGTGGGGCTTTTACGAGATGACTAGGCTATTAGAGGCCTACCCTTATGATGAATGAATTAATGTCCTTATCAAAAAGATTCCATTTCCACTATGCTGAGAGCGGAAAACAAACAAACAAACAAACACAAATGAGGTTCCACACAGCACTCATCCTTTTTGCCCTTCCACCCTTCTGCCATGTGAGGACAAAGCAGCAAGTCTCCATTTTGGAAGCAGAGAGCAGCCCTCACCAAATCTGAATCTGTTGGTGCCTTGATATTGAACTTCCTAGCCTCTAGAACTGTAAGAAATGTTTCTGTTTTGTTGTTGTTTTTTCCGAGACGAAGTCTCGCTCTTGTTGCCCAGGCTGGAGTGCAATGGTGTGATCTTGGCTCACTGCAACCTCCGCCTCCCAGGTTCAAGGGACTCTCCTGCCTCAGCCTCCTGAGTAGCTGGGATTACAGGCACGTGCCACCACGCCTGGCCAATTTTTGTACTTTTAGCAGAGGTGGGGCCTCACCATGTTGGCCAGGCTGGTCTCAAACTCCTGACCTCAGGCGATCTGCCCACCTCGGCCTCCCAAAGCACTGGAATTGCAGGCACGAGCCACCGCTCCCAGCTGAGATGTTTCTGTTCTTTGTAAATTACCCAGTCTCAAGTATTTTGTTATAGCAGCAAAAGCAAATTAAAGAAGGTATAATATCAGGCTCTCTTCTGATTCCCTAGGCTCTGCTGCACGAATTGTATTTCCAGAAGTTCCCATAGGAAGTTCTCAGGAAATGAAATGGATATGAGGTAACCTCATGTCGGGGAGTCAGTCTATGGAGGATCATAATCATACAACAACATGGTCCACCCTTGCTATAATCTATTTTTTTTTTTTTTTTGAGACGGAGTTGCTCTGTCACCCACGCTGGAATTCAATGGCGTGATCTACGCTCACTGCAACCTCTGCCTCCCAGGTTCAAGAGAGTCTCCTGTCTCAGCCTCCTGAGTAGCTGGGACCACAGGCACACAACACCACACCTGGCTAATTTTTTGGATTTTTGGTAGAGACTGGGTTTCGCCATGTTGCCCAGGCTGGTCTTGAACTCCTGAGCTCAGGCAATTTACCTACCTTGCCCTCCCAAAGTGTTGGGATTACAGTCGTGAGCCACTGCACCCAGCTGTTTTCTGTTTTCTGACTTTTATTTTTGAGACAGGGTCTCGCTCTGTTGCCCAGGCTGGAGTGCAATGGTACAATCTCGGCTCACTGCAACATCTGCCTCCCGGGTTCAAGTGATTCTCCTGTCTCAGCCTCCACAGTAGCTAGGATTACAGGCGCCCGCCACCACACCCAGCTAATTTTTGTATTTTTAGTGAAGACGTGGTTTTGCCATGTTGGCCAAGCTGTTCTCAAACTCTTGACTTCAGGTGATCCGCCCACCTTAGCCTACCAAAGTGCTGGGATTACAGGCACGAGCCACTGCGCCCGGCCTTGTTTTCTGTTTTGTTTGTTTGTTTTTTAAGAGATAGGGTCTTGCTCTGTCAGCTAGGCTGGAGTGCAGTGGCACAATCAGCTCACTGCAGCCTTGAACTCCTGGGCCCAAGAAATCCTCCCACCACAGCCTTCTGAGTAGCCAGGACTATAGGTGAGCACTGGTTAAATTTTTAATTTTTTTTTGTAGAGACAGAGTCTTGCTATGTAGTATAGGCTGGTCTCAAACTCCTAGCCTCAAGTGGTCCTCCAGCCTCAGCCTCCCAAAATTTGGGAATTTCAGGCATGAGCCACTGCATCTGACCGTACAAAATGTTAATAAACTGGCCAGGTGTGGTGGCTCATGCCTGTAATCCCAGTACTTTGGGAGGCTGAGGCAGGGAGATCACCTGAGGTCAGGAGTTTGAGACCAGCCTGGCCAATGTGGTGAAACCCCCATCTCTACAGAAAATACAAAAATGAGCCAGGCGTGGTGGCCCATGCGTGTAATCCGAGCTACTTGGGAGGCTGAGGCAGGAGAATCGCTTGAACCTGGGAGGCGGAGGTTGCAGTGAGCCGAGATCAGAGCACTGCACTCCAGCCTGGGTGACAGAGTGAGACTCCGTCTCAAAAAAAAAAAAAGTTAATAAACCTTTTACTCCTGGCCTCAAGTGTTCCGGCTGCCTCAGCCTCCCAAAATGCTGGGATTACAAGCATGAGCCATTTATTTTTCTTTTTTTGAGACGGGAGCTCACTCTGTTACCCAGGCTGGAGTGTAGTAGCATGATCACAACTCACTGCAACCTTGAACTCTTGGATTCAAGTGATCCTCATGCCTCAGCCTCCTGAGTAGCTGGGACTATAGGTGCACACTGACATGCTCAGCTCATTCAAAAATTTTTTCATAAGAGATGGAGGGGGGGGTCTTGCTATGCTGCCCAGCCTGGTCTTGAACTCCTGGACTCAAGCGATCCTCTTGCCTTGGCTTCCCAGAATGCTAGGATTACAGGTGTGAGCTACTGTGCCTGGCTTTTGATTTTTAGACAGGGTCTTGCTCTGTTGCCGAGGCTGGAGTGCATTGGTGTGATCATAGCTCACTGCAGCCTTGAATTCCTGAGTTTAAGTGATCCTCCTGCTTCAGTCTCCCAAGTTGCTAGGACTACAGGTGTGTGCCACCACGCCCAGCTACTTTATGAACGTTTTGATTCCAAAGTCTGAAAAAAGTTTTCCAGATTCATCTCCAGGTCAAATAATGTCCCTGCTGTCAGGCATCCTGCTTTAGAAGCAAGATGTAGCATTTTTCTTCCTTTACTTGCAGCAGGCAGCTAATAACTGTTATCCTGTGCTGGACCATCCATGTTCTACGCATTCTAACATGTGCTTTACATAAAAAATTAGCCCAAGTGACCCTCACTGTGACATTACACGGTACGTATTATTAATCTTTTTTTTTTTTTTTTTTTTGAGGTGGGGTCTCACTTTGTCGCCAAGGCTGGAGTACAATGGCTTACGCCTGTAATCCCAGCACTTTGGGAGGTTGAGTTGGGAAGATCCCTTGAACCCAGGACTTCGAGACTAGCCTGGGCAACATAGGAAGACCCCCATCTCTAGAAAAAATAAAAACATAGCCATGCATGGTGGCATGTGCCTGTGGTCCCAGCTACTTGGGAGGCTGAGAAAGGAGGATCACTTGAGCCTGGGAGGTTGAGGCTGCAGTGAGCCATGATCATGCCACTACACTCCAGCCTGGGTGACAGAGTGGGACCCTATCTCTAAAAAGAGAGAGAGAGAGAAAGAGGGAGAGCTTTTAAAAAATGGCAAAATGTGCCCACAAGCTGATGGGCCTATTTTTCTTTTTTTTTTTTTTTTATTGAGACGGAGTCTTGCTCTGTCACCCAGGCTGGAGTACAGTGGCGTGATCTCGGCTCACTGCAACCTCTGCTTCCCGGGCTTAAGCGATTCCCCTGCCTCAGTCTCCTGAGTAGCTGGAAATACAGGCACCCGCCACCATGCCTGGCTAATTTTTGTATTTTTAGTAGAGACAGGGTTTCACCACATTGGCCAGGCTGGTCTCGAACTCCTGACCTCAGGTGATCCGCCTGCCTCGGCGTCCCAAAGTGCTGGGATTACAGGCGTGAGCCACTGCACCCAGCCAATTTCTATTTCTTATAGAGCTTACGGTAGGAGGCTTGAAGATGGGAACAGAAGAAAAAAGGTTGAAGGGCCCAGCTGCTGTGTGTTGCAAGACAGGAAATTGCTGACAGTCTGCAATGCCAGCAGCCTCATGGGTGGTTATCACCAGGACAGAGGCCTCAGAACAGGCAGGACTGGGTGTGCTGGCACTCACGGCTACGTGCAGATAGAGCCCGCCCCTGGGCCTTGGTGTGTGACCTTCTTCCCAGGTGCTTCTTTGGGAAGCTGTACAGTGAGGGAGATGAGGCAGACTAAGGGCAGGACACACTAGCATAGGAGCGGTGGCAGCTAAGTAGGCTGACTGCCCAGGGATTGCAGAGTTCACCTGCACAGTATGACATCTCTCATCCTTTTGGATAGATTGTTCTATAAGGTGGCCTCCACCTACCCCCAACTCCCAAATCTGACATTCATTCATCTACTTCCCCTGAAGTGCTCCCTAGCACTTGCCATGAGTTTGTTCACTCTTGGGACCCCAAATCCAAGGCATCTCACTGGCTGAGATTCAGTTTACCACCTCATTGATGGGGGGACTCTTATGTCACAGAAGTAATTTTCTCACTGATAGGACCCAAGATGTCATCCTATTTTTAATGTGGGTACAAATACTAAGTAAATATGATCTTAGTGTTTTGCCAAAAGGAATTAAGATGTTTTTAATGGGTCACAAATTCAGAAAGGGGTTGGACCTGGTGGGACAGGTTGGTGAGGCCCAGACGCTCCACTTCAAGTGCAGTACTGGACATCCCCTTCCAGTACGGGAGGTCTGACTTGTGCAGTCAAGCCCAATACTGGCACAGCCACAGGCCAGGGATGGAGGCTTATGAGTCCACTGGAAAACAGGGAGGACTGAGTCCAGGGTCTCAAGGGTTTAGTAGTGAGGGCTCCTGTGAGGAACCCTTCACTCAGTGGTGTTCATTACCGGCCCCTTCCTTAGTATGTTCCAGGCCCTGAGAATGTACCTTGCATGCTCTGACCCTTTGAACACCAAAGAAATAAGCAAGGAGGTAACAGATGCCCCAAAGAGATGAATGGTGTCATGAGATCTGGGGGCTGGGACCTTGTCCAGCCTAAAGGTGTAAGTACCATGGATGAGCAGTGTCTTATTTAATCAGCAACTAGAGATTTCCTGAGGTTTAACTGGGAAAGCAGGTTCATATACTACAAGACACCAGGTGCTTCACATTGCTTCTCTTTATTTTCAACAGTTTCTTTACAACAGTCTACACAGGGATTAACTCCTACATGTACTTCCCAAGCCAGAATCTCCCTTTAGAAATTCAGATTCTATTTCTAACTCTATAAGATGTATCTCCCCAAAGATCACATTAACTCCTCAAGTCAACATCTGCCTACCCCCAACTTCCCCTTTTTTTCCTCACTGAACATTTGTCTGAATGTTTTTTCCTCACTGAACATGTTTTCCTCACTCACACTGAACATTTGTCTGAAACTGTGGCTGCTTTGTTGCTTCAAGATGCATGCACATCCTGGCTTTAGTGTCCAAGTATGCAGAATGAAGCATTTGATATGTGCACCCAGCTAATTAGGCATGAAACAGGGGCACAGGATGGGCTCCGGGTCATAGAAGGTTCTGTCCCCACAGTGAGGACAGGGGTTGGCACTAAGCCAGACCATGCTGGGCCGCCCCAACTCACACAGCAACTCCCTGAGCCTGGCATGCAGATAGGCAAGCCTCTCCAGGTGGAGGGTACCATGGATGTCCTCATAACTCTCCAGGGGGACAGGATACAGCACGTGGGTCAGATTGCTCAGCCCGATGAGGTGCTGCAGGAGACTCTGCAGGGCAGATATGGAGATGGAATTCCCGTAGAAGCTTAAGGTCGTAAGCTGGGAGCAGTGGCTCAGGGAAGGCAGGAGGGCAAGGAGCTGATCATCCGTGATCCCACACTCATCAAAGACCAGGTCCTGGAGGGTGGCAGAGGCTCTCTCCAGCAGAGCTTGGAGGGGCTCGGGACTTACATCGGTCAGCATGACCCCACTTAGACTCAGGACACTTAGCTGACTGACGCTGGGACTCTGGGACAGATGCATCACATCCCCTTCCGAAAGCCGGCAGTTAGTTATTGAGAGGGTTTCCAAGGGGTTCATCACGTGCCTGCAAATAGACAAAGCAGTTAGTGCTGGGGAATGGTGGTAGTGGGGTGGGGAGACTGGAGAGAGGCCCATTTCACCAAAACCCAAAGTCTTCCTGATGATGGTTAACCGCCAGGATGCCATGCTGTAACGGAGCATTCAAGGAGTACAAGTTCAGGTTTAGTCCTTTCTCCATCATTTGCTGTGTAAGTGGGTCAAGTAAACAAAGATCTCAAACACTCCCTTGGCTCATCTGTGAGGCAGGGTCCAACACAGACCTCTTAGGTGGTGTGAGCATGAATTGAATTGAGAGCCTGATTTGATGTCTCAAGCAAGGAAAGGCATCAGTGAATTTTAGTATTTGAAGATACAACTGAAAATACTTTCTTTCAACTCGGGCTTCCTTCTGCCACTGCCTGGGCCCCAGTCACCTCTATCTCTGTGCCTGATGAAGCTACTAGGGAGTATTCACAGTGGACAAACTGGGGCAAGGTCAGCAACATCCAAAGGGGGTTCCCAGGCTGCAGGGCTACCTTAGGTCACTGTATCATCAGCAAACCACCTATCAATTTTTGCAATTTCTCTGTTGTTCCTTCTCCCACATCTCCAGAATCCTGCATTTCCCACCTATTACCCTAACTGGAATTCTAAATCACCCTTTACAGACAGGAAATTTGAGGCAGGTTTAGAGGGAGCAGCTCATGTTGAGAAGCTGGTGAGCGCACAGCTTACAATTTCAAATCTCACCTTTGATGGGCTTTCCCTTCTTCAATGCCCTCCTTGCTTACTTTTGATCATCTTAGGCATCACTTCCTAAGGAAGAATGCCTAAAGCCACCCTTGCCAGGCCCCAACCTCCCATTACAGAGTTTTCTAACAAGGAGTCACTGTTAATAGCATCTATCCTAATGTATACCTCTAACCCTTATGAGTAGTAGTTATGTGATACCATGCTTGGGGACAGTGGTGAACAAGACGTGTTAACTGGTAGTGACTTGCTCACTCTTGCATTATTGGTGGCTGGCACATACAAGATATCCTTTATTGTTTACTGCAATAAGGAAGGGCTTGCTCTGGTCTGCAGAGAAATCTCACCATCCCTCACCTGAGCAACTGATCCAGGCGGCCTCTAAGGAAAAATAAAGAGTCCACATAGAGAGCCTGCAGGCACTGCAGACTGAGGAACTGAGAGGTGAACTGGGCGATATACTGCTCTTCCTTCTCCGGGGAAATGTAGGAAGATGCATGGATGTGGGAGAGGAGGAGTCTACGCAGATTAATCATCTGGCCCAGGTAAGGAGAAAATTTCGCCAAGGTGGGTAGCTTCCAGGTACAAGTCACTTCCAAATCTTCAATAGAGTCCAGCTGCACCATTTTCAGGATCATCTTGATATCCTGCATGGGCATTGCAAAAATCTTCAGCTTCTTACAGCACAGGCGTAGTACATTTTTCTTTCGCTTCACTTTCTCAATGAGGTAGGAGAACAATTCATCACAGGCACCTTCCTTGAGGAACAGGTCTACGAGCACCTCTACTGGAATGAAGGGCTGCTCTGCCTCTGTGCTCAAACCATCTACTTTTCGCTTCTTTGTCATGGGCTGAGCTGCTTCTGGCTCTGGAAATGAGTACAGACTGGCCCTGTTTCCAGACCATACAGTCCAGAAGTCCTGATGAGAGTTCTTCCGTAAATCCAGCACTTGAAGTTTCCACCTCCTGTGGGGAAAAACAGGTAATTAGCTGAGATGATGCTTTAAGATCAACTCAAAATAAGACCATGAGTCTCATAATGTAGGTAAGAACCAAACAGACATCCACCTTAGATCTGCACTTTTACTTCGTACTTCAGGCATCAGCTGCTCCCTTTCCCACTAGGATCCTGGGATCCTTCCTGGTCCCCAATTCCCACCCCACCAGGAGGAAGCAGGTGCATGTTCCTTCAGACACCTCTGCATTTTAATCAGTGCCCCATGTCCAGAAGCCCATTCCAAGAGTGACCCCTGCAGTAGCCCCAAGGCCTCCCTGAACTTCCTTGCTGGCAACCATCAGAGCCTCTGGCCCAGCCTTAGGCGCTCCATGCTCCCTGACCCCAGCTGCATCCTGCTCAGGTTCCCAGGGCCCCACACCAAGCTGCTAGGTCACCCTTACCTGGGGCGAACCTCCTGGGCAAGGAGCACATCAAGTCCATCAAGCACAGCTTTGAAGGTCTCCAGGTGAAGATGTTGTCCCTTCATCAGCACTCCCAGAGGGAGGCAGGTGAAGGGCCAGGCCTGCACCATTGCCTTCAGGGTCTGGCTGTGTCTCCCGTCAAAGGCTGCCATGAAGAGTGGCGGGAAGAGCTCCCTGGGCAGCAACTCCAGGGCGGCAATGGCCAGGGCCTCATCCTTCAGCAGGCTCTGCCCTGCCAGCTCCACAAGTCTCCGTGGGCTTGTCCACACACTCATGCTGATGTATCGGCTCTGAATGGAACCCTGAGGAAACATACAGGGAACAAGGCATCCCTTTCAGCCCAAGCATAAGCAACTCTATCTTTTCCTCACCCTTCTGAGGGACCAACTTAGGGCCAAAGTCACTGTGCTAGCAACAGCAGGGGAGTTCTCAGTTTACCCCGATTCCACTCTGCACTCGGTGGCCACAAAGCCACAGCTCTGCTGGCACCAGGATGAACATCTCATCAAGTGTAGAGGAGGGGACAGGACGGCCACTGGCACCATCTTGTATCTACCCACTACTCTATTTAATTCTAGTCCCCCTGGGAAGTGAGAACTAAGGAGCCTGAGGGCTGACCCTGCTCATTTTGGGAAAAAGTTTCTGATGATCACTCAAAGGCAATTCAAATGGGAGTGTCACATAGCCCAGGACAGCATCCTTCTCTGCTCCAACAAATAAGCCAGATGGGAAAGATGAGGAACACACACACAATGCACAATGGATGCCATTATGTTTCACTAAAAAATTTTAAATGAGAAACTACAGAAGCAGCACAACAGTATTACATAGCAATTGGAAGTACAATAAAAAAAAAACATTCTGAGACATGTATTTTAAGTGCGTCTCTTTTACGTATATTAAGAGTTACTACTTTGACATGGAAATCAGCGGAGCAAACACTTCACAGTAAAACAAAGCCTGGTTCTTTTCTCCCAAAACATTAGTTTTAAAATGGAGAAATAAAAATTGTGTATATTTATGGTGTACAATATGATGCTCTGAAATATGTATACATTGTAGAATAGGTACCTTAAGCTAATTAACATACATATGATCTCACATATGTGTGGTGAGAACACTTGAAATATACTCTTAGCAATTTTCATGTATACAATACATTATTAACTACAGTTACCATCTTGTATACTAGATATCTTGAAAAAGCCTCCACCCTCCAGCACAGTGGCTCATGTCTGTAATCCCAGCATTTTGGGAGGCCAGGGTGGGAGAATGGTTTGAGCCCAGGAGTTCAAGACCAGCCTGGGCAACACAAGGAGACCTCATCTCTATTAAAAAAAAAAAAAAGAAAAAAAAGAAAGAAAATGTCTTTAATTCCAAAGCATCTGAAAAGAAAAAGAAAAAAATCTATGGAATATTTTTTAACCTTTTAGTTAAAATGGAATATTTTTTAACCTTGTAGTTAAAATGGAATATTTTTTAACCTTGTAGTTAAAAAAAAGCCTAACTAGTAAATCACTGATTTAAAAAATCATAAATGATGCAAATTATAATTGCTTGCCACATACTATTTAAATTGTAATAAAGTAAAATTCAAAGTAGATGTCTTTTATTTTCCAAAAAAAAAAAAAAAAGCCGTTTAAGAAATTATTTTTAACATATACAAAATGGCAGAAATCAAAATGTTTGGGATTCAATATAAATAATAAATGTTCCAGGTAATGGTTATACTAATTACCATAATTTGATCATTACATACTATATATGCATAAACTGAAATTTCACATGTACCCTATAAATATGTACAATTATTGTGTATCAATTAAGAAATCAATCCAATAACCAAATAAAAATGTTTGGGATTAAGGCAAAACTACATTTAGAGACAAGAACAAAGCCTGTTCCTTTGTAAGGAAAGAAAAAGGAAAACCATCTAAGCAGCATTGGCCCTCATGGCCCGTGGAGACCCTGAGGTGACAGTAGAAGGAGGCAGTGGCCATAGCCTGAGGCTCCCGACTCACCAGACCCAGCTGTGGTGCAGAAGCCATCTGCCCAGACCTCTGGGAAGACCACAACATTGACTCCATGGCCTCTGGGTCCCTCCTCTGGCCCCTCTGAAGCTATTACAGGCCTTTCTGGGCATACCTCCCCTTTCAACTCCACGCTGCCAACGGAAGAGCCAAATCTAATTACATTCCTGGATCTCCAGCCAGTGAATCCTGATGGGGTTTTTTACTTACTTCAGGTTCAACTGATTGAATGGGATGTCTATTTACAAAAAGGAAAGAAAAAGTGAACAAAACCACCCAGAGAGTATAACTGTTAGGGGAATTTTTGGCCACATCAAAATTACCCAAATAGTCCAGTTAAGATAGCTTTATGAAGAGCATCATGACATCACCCCTTCCCACTCCCAAACAATCCCCAAGTATCAAATTGTCACTTATACCCCATGTTCCCTAACACAGCAAATCACATGCCTATCCAAGGAAAAAGGGAGGAACAACAGAGGGGTGGCTGGTCTTCCAGACTTTGAAAGTCAAGGCTGTCCTGAAGGAAGGTGGGTCAAAATTACACTACAATTAGGAGTTAGTCAGAAGTAAGGCTGGGCATTTGTAATGGGACTGAGTGGATTACCACAAAGACAGATAGGTTTTTTTGGGGGCGGAATTGAAAGACTTTGGCCTGGATGGAGTAGAGAAATTAAAAAGGGGAATGGCTAAGGAAGATGAAAGATAGTTCCAGTAAAGCCAAGGTAATCACTGAGGCAGGGAGGGAGTTCAATCTTCCTCCCTCCCTAGAGGGAAAGGGTGTTTTCTCCCAGAAAGTCAGGATCCTCTTGGCAAACAGCCTTGACAAGATTAAATCTAGGAATGTGGGCTGGAGAGGTGGGATAGAGAGTAATATTGGTGACCAAACCTAGGACAGCAACATTTTCAAGTCTGAAAGACCTTGTGGTTTCTTAGGAATCTTGGAGCCAGGAAAGAAATAAACAAGGGCTGAAAGCACACATCCCTGCAATTAAAGAAGTTGTCAGAAGACCTTCTCTTTATGGTTAGGTGTCCTCTTCCACACTGGGGCTGTTCACAAGCAGCAGGTCAGGCCTTTACCACAAACATAATCTCCAATGGCCAGCCCCTTCCTAAGTATTACTAATGTTTCCACACTTCAAGAAAACAGCTGTTCTTTCTTGCCCCTAAGCTGCTCAGGTACAGAGATTCTGGTCAGCGAGATGCAATCAGGCCTATCAATTAGACTCAGTTTTTCTCTATTTCCATGCTAGGCACAGTGCACAAATACATTTTCCGTCACAAAAAATTGAAGTTATATTTGGCATTTAAGGATCTGCTTAGGGATGATTCCTATCCTGGGCCTGATCACCCACTGGTGCTTTTGAAGTTTTGGAACCTCTCCACCCAAAGAATTCTCCAGGCCATTCTCTGCCTCATGCACTGTGAAGTCCCTACAATTCTTATATTCTACTGGCAAGTGTCCAGCTGGAATGTCTTGCGGCCTGACTTTGTTTACTGTGGCCTGCGTAAGGAGGCTGTAATTCGTTGAAGGATGTTTTCCATTTTGGTTCTCTCTCTGGAGACTTTCTCCTACTTTTCACCCTCAACACCTAATGGCCTTTGTGAAAACCGGGTTAAACTACAATTTGTTCTACATTTCCTTTAATTCCCAGGCAATCATCTTCACTCATCAGCTGCGGGAGACTGAGATTAGTAATAAAGGTCATTGTCAATGTCCCTAATTATCAAGCAGCTACTGGGCACAGCAAAGGCCGCAGCAGCTCTCATTCATTACCTCAAATAGCCTTCACAGAGAATCTAAAGTTCACTGTCATTTTCATTTTTAGTCTTGTAAGTCCCTGACTCTGTCTGGGGAAGAACCTGCTCAGCTCCAAGCAAGCAGGAATTGGTAGCCCTTATGTGAGGAGTTTAGAAAGAGTTTCATTTCCCTCCCTATCAAACAATCTAAGTGTTAGAAAGGGCTGATAAGCTTCACATAAACCATGGAAAAACAGGAAAACTGAGTAAGTCCAACAGTTAGGGAAGCTTCCATGGGATCCCCGCTTCCAGGAGATCCAAGGGAGGAGGAGGAACCGCGATCAAGTGTGAGTTGTGTAATCTCTGAGCTGTGCAATCTCCCTGTGAGGCAGTGACACTCCTCTGTCCAGCTTCACACTGCCAGTTTGTCCAGTGGCACTGGAGGAAGCAGCACCAGGGGCACATTTGCACAAAGGTGCTGTCCTTCCTCCCAGTATAAGGGAGAAGTGAAAAGACTGGGGCCCAGCATGACTCCTAGGGTCCAGACATGAATTGGGGAGATATTTCTGCATGTCCTGTCTACTGGTTCTTATGGTCCTTGTGGGCTGCACAGGCCAGAGTGGCCTCTGAGCTCATCAGGTGGGTGGTCTGCACCCTCCTCTCTAGTCATAGAATCCCAGTGGGGACCCCCGAAGTATCTGCACCAGGTCCTTCAGGTGTTTTTTTTGGAGTGCAGTGGCGCAATCTTGGCTCACTGCAACCTCTGCCTCCTGGGTTCAAACGATTCTCCTGCCTCAGCCTCCCAAGTAGCTAGGATTACAAGCACACGCCCCCACACACGGCTATATTTTTGTATTTTTAGTAGAGATGGGGTTTCACCATGTTGGCCAGGCTGGTCTCAAACTCCTGACCTCAAGTGATCTGCCTGTCTAGGCCTCCCAAAGTGTTGAGATTACAAGAGTGAGCCACCATGCCCAGCCTCTTTTTCTTTTTTAGAGACAGGGTCTTACTATGTTTCCCAGACTGGTCTTGAACTCCTGGGCTCAAGTGATCCACCCATTTCAGCCTCCCAAAGTGCTGGGATTACAGGCTTGTGGATACCAACAGCACCCGAGCACGGTCCCACAGTCCAACGCACTGTGCCGTCCTTGAGCCTTTAGTTCCAGCACAAGTCTCCCGGCTTCAACCCAGGTTGCATGTTCTCCCTGATCTCCCCAGGTGGCACCCAAGGATGAGGCAGTGCAATCTTGTTGCTCACTTCCCAGGACCGACACTTACCCCTAATGGCCCAAGCCCATGGGGCAGTGAGATCAAAGCCTCCTGGAGCTCATACTCTCTGACACCACTGGAAGTGTGGGCTTTTGCGTCTGATTACCCCGGGGAAAGGTTCTGAATGTAATCGTGGCTTTGGCAATAAGGTCCACAATGCATTAAGATTTTTTTTTTTTTTTTGGAGGAGGAGTTTCACTCTTGTTGCCCAGGCTAGAGTGCACTGGCACCATCTTGGCTCACTGCAACCTCCACCTCCTGGGTTCAAGCGATTCTCCTGCTCCTGTCTCAGCCTCCCAAGTAGCTGGGACTACAGATGTGGGCCACCACGCCCAGCTAATTTTTTTTCTATTTTTAGTAAAGACAGGATTTCACCATTTTGGCCAGGCTAGTCTCGAACTCCTGACCTCAGGTGATCTGCCCACCTCGGCCTCCCATGGTACTGGGATTGGGATTACATGCATGAGCCACCATGCCTGGCCTAGGGTTAATTTTTATTTTTGGAGACGGAGTCTCGCTCTGTCGCCAGGCTGGAGTGCAGTGGCATGATCTTGGCTTACTGCAACCTTCGCCTCCTGGGTTCAAGCGATTCTCCTGCCTCAGCCACTTGAGTAGCTGGGACTACAGGTGCATGCCACCACGCCCGGCTAACTTTCTGTACTTTTAGTAGACGCGGGGTTTCACAGTGTTAGCCAGGAATGGTCTCAATCTCCTGACCTGGTGATCCGCCCGCCTCAGCCTCCCAAAGTGCTGGGATTACAGGCATGAGCCACCGTGCCCGACCCTAGGGTTGACTCTCATACAAAGACAGCACGGGAAGTGAAATGCTCTTTTGTGGAAATGACCAGAAACAATAAAAGCGGCTCCTGCCTCTTCGTCTACTGTGAGGGACCTCAGGATGCAGCTCCCATCTGGCTCGAGTGACAAGGACAGAGGGGAACAGGGCTTCTCTGAGCACCTCAGACAGCTCAGGGGACCTTCTTACCCACAAACGCCTTCGTTCCATTTTGAAGCGACTTAGGCTGGCCTCAGGACCTCCAACGCTTGGATTTCTAGGTCTCAGTCACTTGTTGCCACGCACGTCTGAGAGTAATAATCAAAATGCTCCAAAAAGAAGAATACATGTATAATATTTACGAAGCAACGGCCTCCTGTGAAAACCTCCGCAAATACTGCTGAGGAAACTGACAACTGGCGACTCAATCCCGCCCTTTCAGTGCAAATCTCTGGCTCCAAACCTGAGCACCAGTGTTTCCTGGGCTGAACCAGGGGGCAGGAGGAACAACAGACCATGTGGTTGGTCACAAGTGACCCCTGTGGTCAAGGACCCTGACTACGGTCTTGCAGCGACATTTCTGCCTCTGCTCCCGCCTTCCTAGGACGCCTACGCCACTGCCTGGGCCGTCCCCAACCCCCAGCACCTTCAGAGGGGCCGAGTCCCAGAGCATCCACCGCATTACAAATGCGCACCCACCCTGGAGAGCTCCAACCACGAGCACCGCCGCCTCGGTTCAAGGCATCCTTACAGCCACAACTCCTCAACTGGGGCCAATTTTCCGGGGCAGGCGGCCCGGGGTGACCCAAGTGGCGCACATTATTTTCTTTGGTCTTCAACCCATTTCCAGAGAGAAAACAGGGACCCGGGACAGGGGTGGTGCTGGGGGCACAAGCCCAAGGTCACCCTGCGGGGAAGCGGAGGAATCAGGGCTCGAACTTACGTTTTTCCTCAGAGAGTTCACCACACCGCGAAGTTGCTGGAAGGAAAGAACGAGACAATGGCTCAGCTAAGCGCCCTAGCCGCTGCGTGGGGCGGGGGGGGCGGCGGTGGGGACCGGGGGGCTGGGCAGCCTGGTCTGACCAATCCCCGTTTCTCAGTCCTTCCAGGGCAAAATCTCACGAGATCCAGTGAGGTCGCCCAGAGAGTCGAGAGGGGCTTGTTTTCAAAGACTGGGAGGAGGAGGGGCAGTGGGGGAGGGGCAGTGGGGGGAGGAGCAGAGGAGAAGGGAGCAGGAGGAGGGGAAAAGGGGAGAGGAAGTTGGAGAGCAGAGGAGGCTGGGGGTGGGGAGGAGATGGGGGTGGGGAAGGAGGGGAGATGGGGGTGGGGAAGGGGGGGCGGGAGGAGGGTTAGGAATGGGGGAAGGAAGACAGGGTGGGGGAGGGGTGGGCATGGGGGAAGGAAGACAGGGTGGGGGAGGGGTGGGCATGGGGAAAGGGAGACAGGGTGGGGGAGGGGTGGGCATGGGGGAAGGGAGACAGGGTGGGGGAGGGGTGGGCATGCGGGAAGGGAGACAGGGTGGGGAACCGAGAAGAAAGACAGTGGGGGGGGATGGAGGAAGGAACACAGGGTGGGGTGGGGGGTCGGGATGGGGGAAGGGAAACAAAGAGTGGTGGAGGCGTGGGGATTAGGAACGGAGACAGAGGGTGGGGGAGGGGTGGGGTGGGGGAAGGGAGACAGGGTGGGGGAGGGGTGAGGATGGCGGAAGGTAGACAAGGCGGGGGAGGGGTGGGGATGGGGGAAGGGAGACAGAAGGGGGGGAGGGGTGGGGATGGGGGAAGGGAGACAGAAGGCGGGCCAGGGCGGGAATGGGGGAAGGGAAACAGGGTGGGGGTGGGGATGAGAGAAGACAGAGGTTGGGGGAGGGGTGGGGATGTGTAAGAAAAACAAAGGGTTGGGGAGGGGGAGGGAAAAGAGGCAGAGAGTGGGGGAGGGGGTGGGGATGTGGAAAGAAAGTCAGAAGGTGGGGGGTGAGGGGTGGGGATGGGTGAATACGTGATGGCTGCGGCCTTTCCCACCAGACAGTAGGGTGGGGGCAGGGTGGAAAAAGGGGGTGCGGTGGGCGAATGGAGAGGCAGTGGGGAGGCGGGGGGCTGACTGGGAGTGTGGGACGGGGTGTTCTGGGATCACGGAGACGTCCAAGTCTGGACTCTGTCCTGGGTCTGTGCTTCTGGCGACCTCCCTTTTCTTCAGTGGGATGCGGGGTGCAGGGGCCGGTTCCAGGGTCCCCTGAGCTCAAGTTCTCGCCCCACCCCGCCCCGCAAGTCTAGAAAAGATGCCCCTGGCCTTGGCTGGGTAATCTCTGGATTTACCTACTTCTGTAACCCCCCGGGCTGAAGAGACCACCCCCCGGGATTCAATTAACTTACTCTCTGGAGCGCGCGTTCCTCCCTGCTCCCGGGAGTCGGTTTCCCAGAACTTTCTGAGGCCCGCGCATGCTCCCCTCGACTCCCCGTGTTTCCACTCTCCACAGAAATCCACGCATTCACGCCCCTCCCCTCCCCCGAGCCTGCAGAGGACTCCGCCCTGCTTTCCCTACATTCAGGGCTGCTCCTTTTGTCGCCAATACAGACCTGTTGACAGGTCACGCCTGGGAAGCGGGTGGGGTGTCCCGGAGCGGTGCTGAGGCGCTGCAGGCCCGGCTTCTGGCTGCGGGGGAGCTGTACCCTGAAGCCTCGCCGGAACTCGCGTCTGGGGCCAGCAGGGGGCACTAGAGTCAACAGGGACTGTATGCAAAACCCACTTCCTCCCAGGCCCTCTAGGGGGATGGTCAGGCTTCTGCAGAGATGGGGAGGATCCTTTCCTGGTAAGGGGAGAGGGACGGGCTAGGAGCCAAGCGGAAGGACCCCGTGTTCAAGGCCCTTCAAGGGACGGGACAGGCGAGGAATCTCTTTGAGTCTTTTGAATTGTTTTATCAGTCAGGCCTGGGAAGTACTCCGCCTCCACAAACTCTGTTTTCCTGAAAGGGGTCGGGGGGGGGGACCCCAACATCTCCTGCCACAGGCTATGATGGGCATGGTGGCTAAGAGCAACAGGCCGCGTGGTGAGGCTGGCTTTTTGTGGCTCTGCCCTGCCATTCCCCGAGGCATCCCCATGCCAGTGAACAGAGCTGCGGGTTCCCAGCTGCACAGATGAATGCACGAACAAAACATAGGTCCATGCAAAGGAAGTCATTGCATTGATCCAGATTCGACCTGGGATTGTCGCATAAAACAGGGCTGATAAAAACCGTTGTGTTTTCACCTTCGAAACAGAGACTCAGCCTCCCCCTCTCTGCTTGAGGCATTCAGCAAAGGTTCGTCCTTGAGTGGCTGTGGATGCTCAAGGACTTACGATTTCTGACTTTATAAAGTTTAGGGTGAAAACAAAAAACAAAATAAGAAGACCATTGTTTTAAAGTGGCCGTTGTAGCTAATTATCTCAAGAAAGCAAACAGGCTGGTACTGAAAGTTACACAGGCGGGCGGCTCCCTGGGAGGGTTGCCCAGCTCTCCTTTTCTGAGACCTGAGCAGGGAGCAGCCAGAGGAGCTTGAAGGGATGGTGTTCAGGGCATGGGAACAGGCTGCACACATCTTCACGGAGTACGGTGCTTGTCCAGTTTGAGAAGGGAAAGAAACTGGGGCAGAGGGCTGATGAGAAGGCAGCAGATGGATAGTGCGGGATTGAAAAGGGGATCCATTTGAAGACTGGCCACCATTATTTATTTTCATCATCTGATTGCTGTTGCTCCATTGAGATCGATGCGTGGAGAACAAGTTGGGGAGTGGAACAAATGGCAGGGAGGGGAGAGAAGTGAGTGAACATGACCCTGGTCCAGCCTCATAGGACAGAGCGTGGTCATGAAGTCCACAGAGGAGGACAGGTAGGGAGGAATCATGGCATGGCCAGGTTGTAGGGCAAGAGGCAGAGAGGAGAGAGGATTGTGGAGGATGCCTGCGGAGTGCCGACTGTCAGTCGAGGCTGGTCCTTTATTTATTTATTTTTTTTTTTGAGACGGAGTCTCGCTCTTGCCCAGGCTGGAGTGCAGTGGCGCGATCTCGGCTCACTGCAAGCTCCGCCTCCCGGGTTCATGCCATTCTCTCGCCTCAGCCTCCCAAGTAGCTGGGACTACAGGTGCCCGCTACCATGCCTGGCTAATTTTTTTGTTTTTAATAGAGACAGGGTTTCACCGTGTTAGCCAGGATGGTCTTGATCTCCTGACCTCATGATCCGCCCACCTCGGCCTCCCAAAGTGCTGGGATTGCAGGCATCAGCCACTGTGCCTGGCCAAGGCTGGTCCTTTCTTTTATGGCGATGGGTGTTTGAAAGTTGCACATACCAAAATAAACTCACTATTTGTTGACCCAAAGTAAAACCCTGAGGGTATGAAAGGGAAGGGCTCATGCTTACATGGCTGAGATAAAAGCTGTCTCAGGAAGCTGGGTGTGGTGGCTCACCCCTGTAATCCCAGCACTTTGGGAGGCCAAGGTTGGAGGATCCCCTGAGGCCAGGAATTGAAGACTAGCCTGAGTGATATAGCAAGACCCCATCTATATTTTTAAAAAGGGTTGGCTGTCTCGGGACTTTTCGAAATAGCCCTGCAAGACATTCCTGTTTTGGAATCACAACAATTTAGATAAGATGCTTTTGAAAGAACACCTGCCTAGGCACAGCGTCTCCACCAATGAACTGATGCCAACTGTGGTTTTGAGTCTTCATAACCGGTGAACTGTTTGCAAGCAGCTTATTTAAATCTCTTTTTTTGCCAATACAACCTTCCCTTTGCCCTCCCCTCTTGAGATGCATATATGGCTTGCCATAGCTGAGCATCTTAGGTTATAATGCTTTTTCTCTTTTTTAATTTTTTTTTGTAAATTTATATTTATTTTTATATTTATTTATTTTTTGAGACAGGGTCTTGCTTTGTCACCCAGGCTGGAGTGTAGTGCATAATCGTAGTTCACCACTGCCTCCAACTCTCGGGCTCAAGCAGTCCTCCCACCTCAGCCTCCTGAGTAGCTAAGACAACAGGCATGCACCACCATGCCCAGCTAATTTATGTATTTACTTTATTAAAAATTTTTTTTTTTTGGTAGAGAGAGTCTCACTGTGTTTCCCAGGCTGGGCTTGAACTCCAGGCCTCAAGTGTTGCTCCCAACTCGACTTCCCAAAGTGCTGGGATTACAGGCATGAGCCACCATGCCCAGCGTATAATTTTGTATTCTAATTCCTGAATAAATTCAACAAATTTGGAGGTGTTTTTTGTCTGATGGTTCCTTTTGGTCGACAACTGGAATGGGAGAGGAACAGTGTGAGGGCAAACATCAAGTGCTTTGCTGAGCTCCGGGTGCTTTTTTTGGATAAGACACAGAAAATACAATAAGATGTCTGTAATGTTTGATTTTTTTCCAGGTTTCTTGAGGTATAATTGACAAATAAAAATTGTATGGATTCAAGGTGTACAATTCATATACATTGATCCACATATACCTTGTTTGATGATTAATCAAATTAGTTAACACATCTTTCACCCCAGCAGTCAATGTGTGTGTGCTCTGTTAGCAAATTTCAATTAATAATATAGCATTATTAACTATAGTTACTATGCTGTATATTAGAGTCTCAGGATTTACCATCTTATAACTAAAATTTTGTAGCCTTTGACCAACATCTCTCATTCCTCCCACCCACAGCCCCTGGGAACTACCATTCTACTCTGCCTCTATGAGTTCCACTTTTTGTGTTTCTTTTTTCCCTTTCCTTTAATTTTTTTTGTATTTGTTATATTACCAAACCATGTCAAAAGAGTTCCACTTTTTAGATTCCACATATTATTAGCTCGTACAGTATTTGTCTTTCTGCATCTGGCTTATTTCACTTAACATAATTTCCTCCAGGTTCATTCGTATTGTTGCAAATGGCAAGATTCCCTTCTTTTTTATGACTGATGATGTCTGTCTGCAATATTTGAAAAAAAAATGCAGATCACGTGAATGATTGTCTAATGTAATTCTATTCATGTAAAATTGTGTATGACCATAACAGTCACTCATTCATTGCTTCGAGTTCTTTACAATCGGATGCCATATTCCTGGGGCTCTGCTAGGCCTGAAATGGGGAGTAGGAGTTACAAGGTTCCTGGGATATCAGTAATTCATATTTGTGAATGTCTTAGATAAGTGGGCTAACATGTACAGAAAATGGTCACTAAAATGATAACACTGTTTGTTATAAAATACTTTTCTGTATTCTCTTGAACTTTTTTTTTTTATCATTTATTAGACTGCTTCAGCTGCCATAACAAAATATCACAGACTGGATGGATTAAACAACAAAAATTTATTTCTCACAGTTCTGGAGGCTGGGAAGTCCAAGATCAAGGTGTCAGCAAGGTGGGTGTCATTCTGAGGCATCTTCTCTTAGCTTATAGGCTGAGGCCATTTTGCGTTGTGCTCACGTGACCCCTTTGTGCGCATGTGTGGAGAGAGAGCATGGGTGCTTCTTCTTATAAGGATGCTGAAAGTTATGAGAACCCGACCCTTGTGACTTCACTTAATCTTAATTACTTCCTTAGAGGCCCCATCTCCATATACAGCCACAATGGGGATTAGGGCTTCAACATATGAATTTGTGGTGGGGGGACGCAAACACTCAGTTCATAAACATATGATTTTTTTTTCCTTGATCGGCAATGAAAATAGAGGTATCTTCATTTTGGAAAGTGAGAGTCAACCTGTGCTGAATTAGAGTGATGACAAGAGATACTTTAAGACTGCAATGAGGGAAGCAAGGGACGGGGACGCATTTGACAGTCTGTTCTGCTCTGCTCCTGGAAGTGAGAGAGGCTGAGTCGGGACTAACCTTTGCACGGATGAGATAGAGAACTGAGAGAGAAAAGTATGTATTTTTCTATGACCACCTAAAATAAACCTGGAGTTGAAGGGACCAGCACTCTCAACCTAACCATTCTGGGAATAAAAATCATAGAGACCTCGCTGATTAATGGAAACAATTTGCCTTTCGATTTTCTAAGCAGGTGAATGCAAGGAGTTTGTGAACTTTACTGCTGTTTTCGTGTTTTTTTAGGTGAAGACACTGACAGTAAGAAAAGGCAAACCACAGGTCCAAGACAAAGTGGTCAAGTCAAGAAGGAACTCAGGCTGTGTAGTCCTGGTGCAAGGCTCCTTGCCCCCAGCGTGGGGTCACACTGGCTGGCTGTGCTCCCACGACACTTAGTGCATACTGGGCTCCTGACTTAATAACACGTGTTTGAAATGGCCCCTGATTCCCAATCTGCTGCAGGATTCTGCAGATGCGCAACAGGCCACAGTGGAAGGTCTTGGAGAGAATTCAGAGTGGCTTGCCTACGTTCCCATGACCGTTTGTCTTAATGGGAGAATCACCATTTTGGAAAATTCTTTTGGAGGCCAGGCGCGGTGGCTCATGCCTGTAATTTCAGCACTTTGGGAGGCTGAGGCAGGCAGATCACCTGAGGTCAGAAGTTCGAGACCAGCCTGGGCAACATAGTGAAACCCCATCTCTACTAAAAATACAAAACTTAGCCTGGCATGGTGGTGCACACCTGTAGTCCCAGCTACCCGGGAGGCTGAGGCAAGAGAATCGCTTGAACCTGGGAGGCAGAGATTGCAGTGAGCCAAGATTGCACCACTGCACTCCAGTCTGGGCAACAGAGTGAGACTCTGTCTTAAAAAAAAATTCTTTTGGGGCTAGCTGTGAATGAGCTCAGAGGGAAAGGCAGGAGCCTTCAGGTAGGGAGCAGCATGATTCCACCCCAGATTCAGGCCTCCTGGGTGTACAGAGGGCAGGAGGATCCTCCCCAGGTATGTGAGAGGAAGGGAAGATGAGGTGTTTGGGTCAGTGAACACACTAGAAATCCAGGTGCTCACTGATGGATTGTGCTTGGCATCTCTGTTCTGCCAATCCAGCCTCAAAGCAACTTTGGAAGAGGATTTATGCGCTTCACACGCTTCCAGCTTGGGCCAGAGCATCTGCACACTCCCCTGGGTATAGGCCTCCAGGGCTTGGAGCAACGGAAGAGCTAAGAATTGTCAGTGCTCAGGAGGCAGATTTTCAGGGAGGATCCTCTTGCATCTCAGGACATGGAAAGGGCTAACAGAGCCTTAAGTGTCCTGTCCCAGTGCTGGGGTCTCAGAAGGCAGCTCTGGGGCATCTCCACCATGGTCTGACTTCTGCTGCTTGAAACCATTCTCCCTCACGGCACAGGCAAGAGTCCTCAAGGAAGAGCACCTGGGCACCTGGGTTGACTCTTCCTCTCTCCAGGTGGAGAGAACCAGTAGAGTTTACCTGGGGTCATGCTCTGAGTTAATCCCCCTCTGCATTTCTTTCTCTTCTCAGGGGCCTGGGCTCAGCCTTGACTCAGCCTTCCTCAGTGTCTGGGACTTGGGGTAAACAGTCACCATCTTCTGCACTGGAAGCAGCAGTGACATTGAGGGTTCTAACCATATCTCTTCGTACCTACAGTGCCCAGGAACTGGCCCCACACTCCTCATTTATTATGTCCATTCTCAACCCTTAGGGGGTCCCAGCTTGATTTTCAGTCTCTAGGTCTGGCAACACGGCCTTCCTGGCCGTCTTTGGCCTCTAGCCTGAAGATGGGCCTGACAGTCACTGTTTGTTCTGGGACAACCATAGCATTTTTACCCACATGTGCTCCAAGTCCACGGGGAACAGAGACCAAATCTGCCATGAGTGACCAGTGTCACAGGGCTTCACACCAGTCAGGCAGTCAGATGGTGGTGTTTGCTTTCATTTCTGCTCATCATCCCAAGGGGGTGGACGCTTCAGGAATGGGACCCTATGCAACTCTCATTGCTCTTTATAATGATGTGGGAAAGAGAAACCATCTCCCAGGGGACTTGGCTTTGCAAAAATGAAAATAAAAGCTCCCTCCTCCCTCTGTGCAGTGAATGGCCTCTGAATGCAGACTTGGTCTCCCTCTTCAGTGGCAAGGTTGGAGGAAGAACAACAGCTTCTTATTGCACTGAGACAACTCAGGGGCCACCTCATTTGAAGATGTGCATCAGTGTGAGCCCAGGTATTCCTGTACTCAATGATCGAGGTCTCTCTCCTTACCTTGTCTCCACCTGGATCTGACCAAAGTGACTGAGATGATCCAGGTTCTAGTTTTCTCTTGCTGTGTAACAAATTTCTGCAAACCTAGCACCTTAAAATAACACCCATTTATGATCTCCCAGTTTTCCTGGATCAGGAGTCTGGGATCAGCTTAGCTGAGTCATCTGTTCAGGGTCTTCCCAACCTGAAATCAGGGCATTGGCTTGGCTGTGTTTTCATCTGGAGGCTCAACTGAGGAAGATTCTGTTTCCAAACTTACTGGCAGAACTCACTTCCTTGCTGCTATATGACTGAAGCCAAGGTTTTGGGGGGCTATTTGCTGTCAGTGCCCGAAGCTCCTAGAGTTCCTAGAGGTCACCCATAGCTCTTTTGCCATTTAATGTAACCTAATGAAAAGAGAGATATTCCATCACCTTTGCCATATTTATTGGTTAGAAGCAAATCACAGGTTCTTCTTGAATTCAAGTGAAGAGATTGTGCAAGGGTATGACTCATTTGGGGTCACCATAGGGTACATCCTCAGTAATTGTGTGCAGTCAGGACTAGGGGAGGAGATTCTAATTATACAGAGAAGACTTGTGCCTTCTATTCAGAAGTTAAGAAGACATCCTTTACTTTTTAAGACACTCTGTCATTTTATTCATTGATTTTTAGTGGTGTTCTAGAAAGCAGATTTTCCAAGCGTAAAGCACAATAATGAAATGGCAGAGCTGATGACAGTTCAGATGCTATTAGATGGGTGTGCAGATCTAGGTTTAGAGCCAAGGGATGGAGTAGTGTCTCTTGGTCTCCACTGTGGAGAGGCCCCTTGGGAAAACCCACCACCCCCATTTCTCCTCACTCCCTGCCTGGACCCATGGTCTCTGCTTGGTCTGGCCTATGCTATTAAAAATATACTTCAATGATGATACTTATGTCTTGTGTTTCTCTACACTCTTTGTCTATTTGCAGTGGACAGCACACTGCATGCTGATATCAAAAATTATTCCAGCAAATTCAAAAATAAGACAGTAAAAAGAAATAAAAGACAGTTTTACAATGGAAGAGACAGAAATGAATAGTTGCACTTATGGTTGATTTAGCTGTTAAATCTAAGAGAACCAACTGCGAATGAGTAGAGAAAGCGGTCGTTGCTGCATACTGACCATTACTAGTGTGAGATACTGGGGGAGCTAGGATGGCCTCCTCTTCCTCTTCCTTCTCTTGCCTCTCCTCTTCTTTCTTTTTTGGTAAATATCTTTCCTAGATCAGCGGTTCTCAAAACTTTCGGTCTCATGACCTAATCACCTCCCAGAGGCCCTACCTCCAAATACCATCACATTAGGGGTTAGGTTTCAACATATGAATTTTGGGGGGACACGAATATTTAGTCTAGAATGCTTTTTCAAGAAAAGGAGGACAGAAAGATCATACTACAGTGGCTTTTAAAAATTAGATATGGACAGCTTTTGTTTCTGGAATATGTCAGTGTGCTGTTGTGCAAAGCATCCTGGGAACAACACCTCAGAATGTTTCCTTTCTGTGCCTCAGTAAGACTTGAAGGCTGGTAGGGTAGCCTGAGTCGTGGCTTTCAATGATATTCAGGTCCTAATTCCTGGGACTTGTGAATACTGCCTGTCTTTGTCCGTTTTGCATTGCTGTAAAGGAATAACCGAGTCTGGGTTATTTATAAAGAAAAGAGTTTTATTTGGCTCAGGGTTCTGCAGACTGTACAAGAAGCATGGTGCCCACATCTGTTTCTGGTAAGGACCTCAGAAAGCTTTCAATCTTGGTGGAAGGGGGAGGAGGCATCACATGGCAAAAGGCAGAACAAGAGGGAGAGGAGAGGTGCCACATTCTTTTAAACAACCAGCTCTCTCATGAATGAACTCACTGATCTCCACAGGGAGGGCACCAAGCTATTCACGAGGGATTTGCCCCCATGACCCCAAAACTTCCCACCTTCTTTTTCTTTTTCTTTTTTTTCTTTTCTTTTTTTTTTTGGAGTCTCGCTCTGTCACCCAGGCTGGAGTGCAGTGGCGTGATCTCAGCTCACTGCAAGCTCCACCTTCCCGGTTCACGCCATTCTCCCACCTCCCTAGTAGCTGGGACTACAGGCACCCGCCACCACACCCGGCTAATTTTGTTTTTGTATTTTTAGTAGAGACGGGGTTTCACCGTGTTAGCCAGGATCATTCTTTTTCTTTTTCTTAACCTCTGGGAGCACAGAACATAACATAGGATTTGGAGGGGACAAATATCCAAGCTATATCATTACTTTATATGAGAAAAGGGGTTTTGCAGATGTAATTAAGGATCTTGAGGGAGACATTATACTGGATTATGCAATGGGCCCTAAATGTAGTCACAGATGTCCTTTCGAGAGGGAGGCAGGGGGAGATTTGAGGACAGAAAAGGAGACATGAACAGCGGTGGGATGATGCAGCTACAAGCCAAGCAATGCCAGCAGTATCTAGCAGCTGGAAGAGTCAAGGAAACAGATTCTCCCCTGGGACCTCCAGAAGGAACCAGTCCTGCTGATAATTTTATTTCAGTTCTGTAAGCCTTCTTTTGGATTTTAGATTCTCAGAACTGCAAGAAAATAAATTGCTGTTATTCTAAGCCCCTAAGTTTTTGACAACTTGTTGTAGCAACAATGGGAATCTGATATAGCTAAGGTACCATACATTTTGACATCTTCTCTATATATGGTACCATTCTGATTTGTACTGTGCAAGGCTTCCTTGCCCTCTCACTGGTAAACCTTGGTATGCAGGAAATTATTTTTGTACATTCTCCAGTATATTAACTTTGGTTATAGGTGATACATTATATCTATTGCAAATTATCATTTTGTCTCCTAATTTGCATCAACCATGCTGCTTGTGTCTATTTATGACTGATTGTGTAGGAAAATTCTTCAAGAAAAAATCAAATAGGATGGTAATTCCTGCATCTTGGAATGCCTAAAAATCTTCTGGCAATAACTGATTACATAGAGAAACCATCTGTTTACTTCCTTCAGGAACTACCTGGCACCTTCTAGTGCTTTCCCTTGTGGACCACAGGTGATGGAGGCTGGGCCCTAATCCAGCACACACCTCCAGTCTAGCGGGCTTCTGGTCCAGTTATTTACCTACAGGTATTTTATTGATGTTATTCTTCCTCTGATGACACGCTGATTTCAAAACATGCCTAAAACCAAAGACACAGGATCTTTGAAGTCCCTTCCCTCAAATATCTGAGGCTTTTCCCCAATTGAGCAGCAGTTCACATGCTTGTAAGTTTTAAATGTGTTAGGCATTTTACTGGAAATGCTTTATATGCTTCACACTCCACAGGACTTCTTATTCCCAGCTCATTGATTGAGGAAAGTGAAATCTGCCATTTGCTGATGGGCCAATGTCAAGGCCAATGTCCCAGATCCCCTGTCAGGACAAAAGTGTGATGCAGCCAGAAGTCAGCCCTCACCTGCAAATGCTCTCCTGAACTTGCCTACCCTGGAGGGATCTGCTCACCAGGCAGATTCCAGGCGATGCCCAAAGCACTCCCTAATAAAACTCTGTGTGCTCATCTCCGCCTTAACTTCTGTTTCCAGGAGACCCAGCTTGTGACCATTGTTTCCAGGAAGATTACCAATTGTCTCTGTTTGCCCTGGACCGAAGGTTTTCCCAGGACATAGATCTTTCAGTGCTAAAACAGGACAGTCCTGAGTTATCTTAGGACCAGGAATGTCTATGAAAGGAGACACTTGAGAGATGGGATTCTGGAGCCATGGAGACCCCAATATGGGGGAGTTGGAGGTAGGGGCGCGAGGGTAGATGCGCATATAGCCCCTACCATGGTGGAGCAATGCAGTGTGTAAACTTTTTACCAGTGGTGAATAGGGATGATTTACCTATAGGAGGAAATGAAAAAGCAGGACCATGAGTCAGACATTTGAGAGACGTGAAGAAAACAGAACATTAAAGGAACCAATTCCACAGCTTTCTCTGTTGGAACAGTGTGGTAGCACTGATACTAAGTGTGATTGATGATTTGCAACAGATAAAATGCTGGAATGATTAATTAGCAATGAAAAACTAGAAGATGTGGGGCAACAAGGCTCCAGCTCCATCCTCTTAGGGTACCAGCTGGGCTCAAGAATTGACATAAAACAGATTCGCAGGAGACAAAACATACAAATTTACTTAATACAAGTTTCACATGGCACAGGAGCCCTCACAAGGAAATGAAGACCCAAAGAAGCAGTTAGAGTCAGTTACTTATATAAGGAATTGGTCAAAGAATAGTCAGTTGTGAAGAAACGACTAAAATATGTGGGGAAAAAAGCCCCAGAATCTGGTGTATCCAAATAGGACTCCACTCTGATGACAGGTTTCTTGGGCTGAGATTCCTTTGAGCCCCATCCAACTTCTTCCCAGCTGCTGAGAAGAGAAAATCTTTTAGAGGCTTCCTGGAATTTTCCCAGTCCACACTGATTTTGCTTAAAAGATAAAAGTTATTATAATAAGGTCTGTTCAGCAGTATCTCAGTTTTGACTTCTCATCCCTGAGGATAAGAATGTTGCTTTTCCTTCTAGCATAGGGAGGGACAGGGTTTTTCACATGGGACTTTTGTCTTCTGCTTTTAAGAAACAGAAAACAGCAGAATGATCTTTTTGCAACTGGTGTTTTCAAGTGCCTTTTACTTAAATAGTCAATTTGCTAGACCGGTACTTTTTTATTTCTTTTCTTTTTTTTTTTATTATACTTTAAGTTTTAGGGTACATGTGCACAACATGCAGGTTAGTTACATATGTATACATGTGCCATGTTGGTGTGCTGCACCCATCAACTCGTCATTTAACACCAGGTATATCTCCTAATGCTATCCCTCCCCCCTCCCCCCACAACAGGCCCCGGTGTGTGATGTTCCCCCACTGTGTCCATGTGTTCTCATTGTTCAATTCCCACCTATGAGTGAGAACATGCGGTGTTTGGTTTTTCGTCCTTGTGACAGTTTGCTGAGAATGATGGTTTCCAGCTTCATCCATGTCCCTACAAAGGACATGAACTCATCAATTTTTATGGCTGCATAGTGTTCCATGGTGTATATGTGCCACATTTTGTTAATCCATAGACTGGTACATTTTTAACTCCATCAGAGCGCAAGCCAAAAAGCTTCCTCCTGGGCTGAAAAAAAAAGCTTCCCCCTGGGCTGAAAAAAAGCTTCATCTTGGGCTGGAAAAGCTTTTTGGCTTGCACTCTTCCTCTGGGCCTGAGCCTTCCCTGCCCTCTCATCTGCTTGGACAGAGGGCAGGGAAGACTGAAGCCCAGAACTTAATCCTAAGTGTAGCAGACCATCGGGACCCTGACAGGGTAACAGTGGGGTACTGAGTCACGGGACGAGGCCATCTGGATTCACGCACCTGAAAATCTTGATGTCCTTGAATTTTCCAAACCTGCAGAAGTGGCCCTCCCTTACTCATTGAAACCCATGTCTCCCTTCCTTTTGCCTGAAGATGATGCAGAGACCTCTGACCTGTGAGATTGTATCCACCACCACAAGTGTCCCCAGAAATCTGCCACCACCTCCTATTAAGACCAATGGACCAATAACTAGAATTGAGTCCCAAAGAAACCTGGCAAGGAATGTGATAGACCTGCTGCAGAACTAAGGAGCTCCAGAACCAGCCAACACGTGCAGTGGGCCCCAGGCGAGTGTGTATGGGGCTGGATTCTGAGGGTGTAAGATCAAAGTGCAAAACCTAAGATTGGATTGGGGAGGGTTTATCTGCTGGAAGCACTCTCCTGGGACGCAGGCTTTAACCCCCTAGCAAAGACATTGAGGCATTCCGCAAGCCCGCCGCAAGGATTGCCCTTAGGAGGACAGAGAAAGCAATGGTCCGTACCAAGCAAGGTCATAATGCCAGATGTGCTGTGGCAGATGGTGGGAGAGGAATCAAAAGGTCCTGGGAGGCCAGGTGTGGTGGCTTATGCCTGTAATCCCGGCACCTTGGGAGGCCACTGTGGGAGAATGGCTTGAGGCTAGGAGATCAAGACCAGCCTGGGCAATATAGTGAGACCCTGTCTGTACAAAAGATTAAAAAAAATTAGTCAGGCATGGTGGCACACTCCTGTAGTCCCAGCTACTAGGGAGTCTGAGGTAGGAGGATTGCTTCAGCCTGGGGAGTTTAAGACTGTAGCCAGCTGTTCCAGCCTGGGCGACAGAGTGAGACCCTGAAAAAAAGAAAGAGAGAGAGAGAGAGAAAGAAAGAGAGAGATGGAGAGAAAGAAAGGAAGGAAGGGGAAGGGAAGGGAGGAAGGGAAGGAAGGAGAGAAAGAAAAAAGAAAAGAAAGAAAGAGAGAGGGAGAAAGAAAGGAAGGAAGGGAGAGAGAGAGGGAAAGAAGGAAAGAAAAGAAAAGAAAGAAAGAGAGAGAGAGAGAGAAGGGTTCTGAGAGTGCTTAGCTGGAAAGGCAATACCAGGTACTCATGGACATCTCCCCAAGTGAGAGAATTCTCAGGAGGGCCTGGGGACTGCAGTCTGTAATTGATTGATAAGCGGTGCACTGGTGAGAGAAATCCAGCATCCTTGAGAAACTCAGTGGGTAGTTCTCTAGACCAGGCCAGCAGGGGAAGCTGGTAAGGAAGTTGATAGCAATACGGATGGAAGGACCATGCAGTGATAGTGTCACATTGTCAGGGCTTAAGCATAGGAGCCAGGTGTGTGGCAAAAGATGAAGTGGCAGCAAGGCACCTGACATTGAATGATGGAGTCAGTCAGTATAGCATGGCACCTCTCGGGGCAAGATGCATAAGCCACCAAGAAAGGGACAGCTTCTAATCTTTTTAGCTTATTTTTTATTTTTTTGTTGAGATGGGGGGGTCTCACTAGGTTATCCAGAGTAGTCTCGAACTCCTGGCCTCAAGTGATCCTCCTGCCTCAGCCTCCCAAATTGCTGGGATTACAGGTATGAGCCATAGCTTCCGGCCTAGCTTTTAATCTATATTTTCAGAGGGAAGTAAGGAAGAAGGGTCAAACCCCATTAACAAGTTTCTGAAAGAGCCTAACTTGCAATGTCTAGTCATTCCAGAGTAGGATATTTACCCCAAGGATTAATTCACTGTAGTTGCTGTGATAAATGACCAAACCATAAACTGAGTGACTAAAAACAAAGACCTCTAAATGATTACACCTGGTATCTTTGGAGGAGCCATTCAATCTACTATACGCTGCTTCCAAGTCCTTGTAGAAAAACATACGGAAATCATGCATCATCCCATGGGTGGAAGACCTCGCTCCAGGTTAGTGAACTGCTCTGATTTGTGACTCCAAAGATGGACATTGGTGACAGCAAAAGGAGGACCCAGAATCTCGTGTATTCAAACAGAACTCCACTCTCATGAGAGGTCCTTGGATCTAGACCCTTGGGTCAAGCTTCCTCTGAGCATTGTCCAACATCTTCCCACTTGCTGAGAAGGAAGATTCTTTATGTGGGCCCTGGAATAGCCTCAGTCCAGCCTGATCTCTCTCTCTTCCCTCCTGAAGTTTTATTTCAAACATTTTGAGACTCTAAAAGGGTTTCTTTGTCTCATTTCTCTCCTCCAGTCCTACTACCAGGGTTGTCTTCAATTTATATCCAATGTTTCTCTGGCCTGGAACTGAGACCTACCTCCCAAGCAGCGACCCGACCCGTGGAGTGGGGTCCCTGGGGCAAGCGAATGGCCCTTTGCCTGGAGAACCTGGGCCAGCAGTCATGGCAGGTGACACATTCCATTCTGGGGCGAGGAACCAGGGAGGGAGCACTGCATAGATCAGAAGGGTAAACAAGGGGAGGGAGAAGGAGCAAACTTAGATTTGGGAGGGAAAGAGGGAAGGGTGCAGAGGAAGCAGAACACGGATGACTGGGCCTCCTTCAGTTGTTCTTGTGACTAGACCCTCCCATCTAAGCCACCAGGGGACAGGAAGGGTATGAGTTTGAGGACTCTAATGGCCCCAAGGTACTACTGCGGTTTATCCTACTTGTAGGCGGTCCCAAGAGCTTTGTTCTCTCCAGGGACTCCAAAGGGGATGAACTTGCAAGTCTTTTGTCTCCACTCAGTGCCTTCTCTGATTAGGCCAATAAACATCCCCAGGCCTCAGTCTCAGGCCACTGTAGGGGCTGAGGACAGTGAGAAAGATGTGTGAGCATCCACCCTTTGGAGAGGTTGAGTAGGAATGAGAGGTCCCCTGCCTTGCCTTTGGTCCTTGTGAAGGAAGATGTTGGATATTTCCCAGCTTGGCTGGAATCCGTTCCTCACCCTCCCCATTCAGAGCAGGGATGAGTAAGTCCTCCGCTTTCTCCGCAACCACAATTGTGTTTTTCAGGAAAGGATAAAGTGGGAAAGATCAGATCCCATGCCTCTTCCTCCTCTAAGTCATGGGATGACTGCAGAGAGTGAGCAAGAGGGTAAAAACAGTGCACTGAGTGTGACGTTTGCTAAAGGAACAGATAATTGCATCAAAACCTATTTCTAGCAGAGTTGTGGTGCTTGCCTATAATCCCAGCTACTAAGGAGGCTGAGGCTGGAGGATTGTGAGGCCGGGAGCTCAAGACCAGCATGGGTAGCATAGTGAGAGCTCATCTCTAAAAAACAAAACAAAAAACCACACTTATTTCTAATTGTCTAATTGGTATCCACAATCAGACCTTTCTGGGAAGTTTTTTTTCTAACATGCCTAAATGTGGCTTGGAGACTGTTTGGGTGAGGCCAATAGCTTAGCCTTCCTACTTAAGTTGTCTCCTTCATTCATTCAACAAGCAGGTATTATTGAGTGGATTGTTGGGTGCATTTGTGTGTCCTCAGTAGGATGCAGGCATGCAACACATGAAGATATGATAATTCCAGTCAGAGGAATGGCCTGTGCAAAGGCCCTGAGGTAGAGAGAAACTTGATAATTGAAAGAACAGAAAGAAATCCAGTGGGACTGGGGAAAGAGAGGAAGGAGATGAGAGGGGACTTACAGGCAGCCAACAGATCATGTGCAGACAGATCACTTGAAAGCAGAGGCAAATGGCTGGATGTTTTTGTTAATGAAAAGAGAATTTATTTGAAGATCTTCCATCATTTTTACATGAAGTGATTGATGTGTTAAATGAATGAAATTTAACATTCATGGTGTATGAAATTTATGGAAGAAAAATTGAAGCAGGCAGAGCATTTTATGGCCTTTGGGCACAAGAGAGTGAAGCTTGTCCCATGTAGAGTCATGGAGAGTGACTGGGAGATTCACCATTAGAGTTGGCAGATTGGCTCTTGGATTGAATATGGGGCATGAAGCAAAGAGTTGTTGACTCCTGGAAGTTTGACTTTGTCAATGGCGTGGCTACTACTTTCTTTTATTAAGAGAGAGACAGATGGGAGAGCAACAGGTTTGAGGGAAACACATAAAGTGCTTTGTTTGGACTCATGGGGATTTTTTGGAGAAGACAGACAAGATACAAGTAACAAGATCATGATGTCTGTAATATTTGGGTACAAAATGCAATTCATAAACCTGATTGTATAATATGATCCTATTTATGTAAAATCATATATATTTAGTTACCTTGATTCAATTTATACATCACTAATTGTTTCCAGTAATATTAACCAAAGGTCTACTATATGCCAAATAACCTTTTATGGCTAGAGATAGAAAAATGAACAAAACTTACTATGTTCATCCTTATGGAAGATACATAATTCATATTTGTAAACATCACATTTAAGTATGGCAAGAAATCTGGTGGGATGGTTCCTAAAATGAAACAATAGTTTCATAGGTTTGTGAGAATTTAGGTGATATTTCTACTTAACTTTCATGTACACTAAAAATTTTTCCTATAACTCAAAAAAATTTTTTGGAGGCAGATTAGCAAGATATTTATTTTGGAAAAGCAAGAGTCAATCTGAATTGAACTGGAGGGATGCTGAGAGTTCTAGAACTTCATAGAGAGAAAGAAAACTGAGTTATTGGGTGGGGGTTACACCTATCTTTTTGTCTTTTCTTTTCTTTCTTTCTTTTTTTTGAGATAGGGTCTCCCTCTCTCACTCAGGCTGAAGTGCAGTGGTATGATCTTGGCTCACTGCAACCTCTGCCTCCCTAGTAGCTGGGACCACCACAGGCATGCACCACCATGTCCGGCTAATTTTTAAAATTTTTTTGGTAGAGACAGAGTTTTGCCATGTTGCCCAGGCTGGTCTCAGACTCCTGGACTCAAGAGATCCGCCCACCTTGGCCTCCCAAAGTGCTGGGATTACAGGCGTGAACCACTGCGTTGGGCCGCTTATCACTTTAATGTCTAATGAGAGGCCCCTGGAGCTGGAACCCTTAGCCCCAGCCTGACCCCTGACCCTTCTCCCATGTCCTCAAATTCAAAAACTCACCTCTGGCTGTCCATTCAGTTGTTCTCAAGTCTGACTGTGCTCTTTGTCCTTCATGAACTAGAACTAGTCTTTCTTTCAAACCATTTTGATAAGCTGATCAATGTCTCCTCATACCATTTTTCTCATTCAGCCTTCCTCCTGGGGTTGGTTTTATTTACCATCTAACAATATTTCTGTAACCCTGAGCCTCTAGAGCTGCCTCAGGTGCACTAACGCTGTGACTAGGCTGCCCTGGGACAAGCTAAGAGGTTCTGCGGGGGAGGGTCTGGGCCCCTGGTGTGGCAGAAGGTGCATCCATCCTGGAGGAAGCCAGAGGACCAAGGGCCAGGAGCCTGGGGGGGATTAGAAGGGACCAGGAGGCCTGGTCCTGAGCTGGGATGGGAAGGAACGGGAAGGGGCAGGAGCAGGACAGGGATTTCCAGATCCACTCAGCCGCCTCCCTGGGGCTTGGGCTCCTCCATCTGAGGCCACCAGGGGGCGGCAAGGGCTTGGATTTGGGGAAGGGAATTGCTGTGGTTTAACCAGGGAGTGTATGAAGCTCCATGGGCTGCTTCCTCCTGAGACCCTTCTAAGGGAGAAGTGGGGAGTGGAATGTCCAAAATATGTTGTGTCCCAATATGTTCGTTTCTAGAAAGGCTAATAAATAGCCTCAGCCCCCAGCCTCAGAGCACTGCATAGAAAGAGGACAGAGGTATTTGAGGGTCATTCTGAGAGAACCTAGAAGGTATTGAGTGGGAATAAACAGTCCCCAGCTCTGCCTTTGGTCCCTGGGAAACAGAGTGCCTGGATCACTCCACAGTGGTCATCTGGGATCTGGTCCGAGGTCTCTTCCTTGATTCTGTTCCCTGAGCCTTTTTTATTCTATTTTGGATCAGATCCATGCACACGTAGCTCAGAGTTGTGCCCAAGATTTCATAAGGAATTTACAGGGTTTTTTCCCCCTCAAACTTATTTCTCTCCACAGTCTGCCCATTATTTATGGTTCCCCAGACTTTCCCTTTTGGTTTCTGGTGAAAAAACTGTGACTTTAATAAGCCTGCGGTGCTGTGCACTTCCTGCAACTGAGTCCGTGTCCACACCAAACACCAAGAGGACAAAGAGTAACAAAGGTAAGGGGATTAAGTGCCACTGTCTTGGAAATCAGCTCCAAAGATGAGAAAAGAAAGTCCGCACAGTCTCTACTGTCCCTGCTGTCACCACGAAGAATTTCCTGGAGGCTGGATCATGTAGAATGGAGAGAAGAACAAACATAAGAAAAGGAAAACGTGGACATTTCAAATTTGCCCTGAGCACTAGGGGTTTCCTTTCTCATCTTCAAGCCAGAACAGTGGAGCTTCTTCTGGAACTTTTGTGGCTGCACACTGGTACCCCTTCCAGGTATTGGTCTGCCCTGAGTGCAGGCCACAGGACACTGGGGGAAAATGGGAAGCTCTCTGCTGGTTTGATTTTACTAAAAGTGCTAGTATCTCCCCTAGTCTGCCTCCAGTGATTTGCTTTTCCAAGTAATCAAATTGATGCTCCATGGATTCTGTCCCAGGTTTTACAGCTGGGCTTGGAGAAAATGTGGTATATGCCACTGCATCCGAAATGGAACCTGAAAACAGTAATAATATTCTAAACGTGAAAATTAAATCAATCTGAATCACAGGCAGTGGAAAACATCAAAAGATGAAAGAGTTTTAAAAGTGATTTGAGGAAAGAAACAGAGAGAAATATTTTCACATTGGTTCTATGTTTACTCTATTTATCTTTTTTAATTTAATTTTAAAAATAGAGATGAGGAGGTCTCACTATGTTGCCCAGCCAGGCTGGTCTCGAACTCCTGGGCTCAAGCAATTCACCCGCCTCAGCCTCCCAAGGTGATGGATTACAGGCATGAGCCACCACACCCGGCCCCTGTGTTTCTTATGTGCTCCTTGATTAAGAAGAGTTGTTTTTTGTTTTTGTTTTTGTTTTTTGTTTTCTTGAGATGGAGTTTCACTTTTGTTGCCCAGGCTGGAGTGCAATGGTGCAATCTCGGCTCACTACAACCACTGCCTCCCAGGTTCAAGCGATTCTCCTGCCTCAGCCTCCCAAGTAGCTGGATTACAGGCGTGCACCACTACACCAGCTAATTTTTTGTATTCAGTAGAGACGGGGTTTCACCATCTTGGTCAGGCTGGTCTGAAACTCTTGACTTCAGGTGATCCACCTACCTCGGCCTCCCAAAGTGCTGTGATTACAGGGGTGAGCCACCATGCCCGGCCAAAAAGTTGGTTTATTGTAGCTTGTGGATACAGTGAGATGGAAGAAAACCCAGAAAGCAGAAATAACACTTCTTTGTAATATGAGGAAAAAAATAAAAGATAAAGTTGAATGAAATATTTCATATATATATGTTTCATATACATGTTTCTTATATATGTTTCATATACATGTTTCATATATATGTTTCATATACATTTCATATATATGTTTCATATACATTTCATATATATGTTTCATATATATATTGCAACATATATATGCAATATTCATATATATAGCCATATATATGTTTCATATATATATTGCATATATATGTTTCATATATATTGCATATATATGTTTCATATATGTTTCATACATATGTTTCATATATATATAGTTTTTTACAGAGTCTTGCTCTCTTGCTCTGTCACCCAGGCTGGAGTGCAGTGGCCTAATCTTGGCTCACTGCAACCTCTGCCTCCCGGGTTCCAGTGATTCTCCTGCCTCAGTCTCCCGAGTAGCTGGGATTACAGGAACGCACCACCATGCCTGGCTAATTTTTGTATTTTTAGTAAAAGTGGAGTTTTGCCATGTTGGCCAGTCTGGTCTTGAACTCCTGCCCTCAAGCGATCCTCCTGCCTCAGTCTCCCAAACTGCTGGGATAACAGGCGTGAGCTATCACGCTCGGTCTGAAATCTTTAGATAAGTATGAAGTCTATATAAAAAAAAAAGGCTCTTACTAGGCTAGAAATGGCCCATTTTAGAAGCTTTCATTTTCCACCTCACACTCATCTCTCTATAGATCCTCTGCATGGGCAGTGGGTGGGCCCTGTGGTCCTCAGTTCTCAGGCTGAGAACCAGAGGCTGAAAAGGACAAGTCACCTGCTCATGAGTGGGAAGGGCAGGATTGGGAGCAGCGGACTGTGGCTCCATTGCTCCTTGTTTCCTCCACAGGCCCCTCCCACGTGTGCCCCTGAATGACCTAGAATGACTAATGTGCTCAAGGGATTTGATGCTGCAGATGCTTCGGCATGAAGGGTGGGGGTGGGGATGGGACAAGGCTGCAGCTGAAGAGATGGGAGACCAACAACACACAGCAGGGGTTTCCATGGGGTGGGCACCCCCATTTCCTCACAGTTTAGAGAGCCTGGAGGTGGGTGCCAAGCAGAGGGCACCATGGCGTGGCCCAGGCCTGGAGGTTCACAGAGACACAGGCACAACACAGCAGAGACACTGAGGGCCAGGAGCTCACTCAGATGAGGGACTTCAGCAGATCTTTCTCTCTTGAGGAAATTAGGTACAAAGGAATCAAGTTCCTACCATCAGAATAGACAACAAGTTTTAATCTCCTCAGCTGAGCCCCGCTGTCCAGGGAAGCAGAAGTCTCTGAGCCCGGCCCAGGTGAGAGTGGGGTGAGGAGAGGAGCTCAGGGTGCAGATTTGCATGAAGGCCCCACCCTCCTCTGAGGCAGAGGGGATAAGACAAGTCTGGGGGTAGGCCCAGCGCTGGGGTCTCAGGAGGCAGCGCTCTCTCGGGACGTCTCCACCATGGCCTGGGCTCTGCTCCTTCTCACCCTCCTCACTCAGGGCACAGGTGACGCCTCCAGGGAAGGGGCCTTGGGGACCTCTGGGCTGATCTTTGGTCTCCTGCTCCTCAGACTCACCTGGGCCCAGCACTGACTCACCAGAGTGTATTTCTCCCTCTTTCCAGGGTCCTGGGCCCAGTCTGTTCTGACTCAGCCTCGCTCAGTGTCCAGGTCTCCTGGACAGTAGGTTACTATCTTCTGCACTGGAACCAGCAGTGACATTGGGGGTTATGACCTTGTCTCCTGGTGCCAGTAGCACCCAGGCAAAGCCCCCAAACTCATGATTTATGATGTCGGTAATTGGCCCTCAGGGGCCCCTGGTTGCTTCTCTGGCTCCAAGTCTGGCAACACGGCCTCCCTGACCATCTCTGGGCTCCAGGCTGAGGACGAGGCTGATTATTACTGCAGCTCATATGCAGGCAGCTACAATTTCCACAGTGGTCCAAGTTCATGCGTAATGAGACCAAAACCTGCCCTGGTCTCTCAGGCTCTCTCTCGCTATGAAGGTGCTTCCTTACCCTGTGCAGAAGAGGGCTTCATGCAACATGGCCTTGAGAATTTCATCCACTCTCAGCCCCTCTCCCCTCCAACAATGAAATGCAAAAGAAACATGCTCTCTGGTTAATTGTCTAGGGACAATGGCAGCTTCTTCTTTTCCTGTGTGATATGGTCCTGCATGGTGACTCTTTCCAACTTTTCAATGGCAGGGACAGAGCAATAGGATCCATCTGCTCAGTACCATTTCTGCAGTTTTCTATGAAACCCTCACATTAAATGCCTCCATCTCCCACACTGTGCTGACTGGCCTGGGTCTGTGCTCCAGAAATAACGTCTTACTCAACTCCATATCCACCACGCTGTAGTAAGGATGGCTGTCTTTGCTGGGTTATTTGTTCCTCTGCAGGTCTCTTCCCAAAGCAACACCAACTGAGAGAAGATCTGAAGATGTTGAGAGAGTGAGCATAAAAGTAAAGGGTTTTATTTATTTGCTTTCTTTTTTTTTTAACTTTGTTTTTATTTATTTTTTTGATACAGAGTTTTGCTCTTGTTGCCCAGGCTGGAGTGCAATGGTGCAATCTCAGCTCACTGCACCCTCTGCCTCCCGGGTTCAAGCGATTCTCCTGCCTCAGCCTCCTGAGTAGCTGGGACTACAGGCACGCGCCACCATGCCCAGCTAATGTAGAGATGGGGTTTCACCATGTTGGCCTGGCTGGTCTTGAACTCCTGGCCTCAGGTGATCTGCCCACCTCAGCCTCCCGAAGTGCTGGCATTACAGACATGAGCTACCATGCCTGGCCTTGTTTTTATTTTTTAGAGTTCCTTTGTCTTTGACCCGATGTCTATCTATGGGGGCTTAGCCAGGGCACATTTGAGTGATTGTTCTTTGCGAGAACATTGTTCTTTGCAGATCATTAAACCCCTGTCCTGGAAACAGTCCTGTACTTAGACTGTCTCCCTGTTAGCATGGGCTCTTTCCTAAATGATCCACAGGAAAGCTTATTTGGTGGATGGGTCTTCTGTTCCTCAAGGACTCTATGGGTAGTTTATTTTCAAGGTGAGCCAATACTGTTTCTAGCTGGAATCTCATTTAATCTCATAACCATGAGAATTAATTTTTTAAACCTGCAGGGTGTTCTCTAGCCATTTTTTAATTTTCTTTGATTTTGTGAGCCACTTTTAAATTATAATCATCATTAAACCTTAAAACATATAAACTTCAATTAAGCAGATTATATATTTTATTTTATTTTTTGAGACAGAGTCTCGGTCTGTTGCCCAGGCTGGAGTGCAGTGGCACAATCTTGGCTCGCTGCAAACTCTGACTCCCGGGTTCAAGTGATTTTCGTGCCTCAGCCTCCCGAGTAGCTGGAATTACAGGCATGTGCCATCACGCCTAGCTAATTTTTGCATTTTTAGTAGAGACGGGGTTTCACCGTGTTGGCCAGGCTGGTCTCGAACTTCTGACCTCGTGATCCACCCGCCTCGGTCTCCCGAAGTGCTGGGATTACAGGCATGAGCCATCAAGACCAGCCACATATTTTTAAAAAGTACATTGGTTATTATCCACATACCTTTGGACTGCTATAACACAATACCTTAAACTGGTGGCTTATAAAAACAGAAATGTATTTCTTACACTCGTGGAGGCTGGGAAGTCTTAAGATCAATGTGCTGGCAGATTTGGTGTCTAATGACTGTCTGCTTCCTCATAGAGGCCATTTTCTCACTGTGTCCTTGGAACTGAGGACAAAGCAGCTCCTGGTAAAGTTCAGATGTCTGTTTCTTGCAGGAAAATTTCTCTTTACAGTGATCTGGGCTACTGGCTCCAACACACGCACCCAGATGGATTTCTGAGCCGGTCATTGACCATTACCATTTTAATATTATCTCAAATTATAAACATTATCTCAACTATTGTTTAATATAATATAGCACATAAATGTTTAAAGCATACATAGCGAAACAAGGGTCTTACATTCAAAACTGTCATTTCCCCAATCACCCATCTCCTTGTCCACCAAGCCCCAGTGCCACCACTTAGCTCATTGCTCCTTTGGCTTCACTTTCTGGTGCTCTTGCAAGTGTCTGTCATGTGTTACAAACAACAACAAATAGTCCTCCAAGAACGTTTACCTCCATAGAATCCCTATCCTGTTTCCTGAGTGGACATTTCCATTTTTAATCTGGCAAAGATCAGTCAGCCCTGATTAGTGTTTTAAACTCATATCCATCTCTTTCTAGAAAAACACACTAGGTTAAGCATCTCTCTGTGGATGGGGGACCCTCATGAAGGCACACAGCTCTGAGCTGAGGTGGCCTCAATGTGTACAATGGAGCAAGACAAAGAAAAGTCCCATGTTCTGTGTGATAGACAGACAGGCACTGATGAGAGGTCTCCAGAGCTGGCGCCCTTAGTCTAATCTTGACTCTAGTCCTCGTCTTTCCGACCCTTAAACACTAGAATTCCTGGTCTGCATTCCATTAGGTCATTCTTAAATCTAGTGAGCTGTATCTCCTTCATGCAATGTTTTTCTTTCACTATTATTTTCAGCTTTATTGACATATAATTGACAAATAAAAATTCTATATATTTATGGTATACAACTTGATATATTAATACATTTGTTGTACATTGATATATTTGTTGTGAAATTACTGCAATAATTGTGTGAAATCACAATCAATCTAATTCACATAAAATAACCTTACATAATTATCATCTTCTTTCTTTTTTTTTTTTTTTTGGTGAGAACACTTACAATCTACCAAATTAGCAAATTTAAAGTAAATAATGCAATATTGTTAACCATAGTCACATTGCGGTACATTAGCTATCTAGAACTTATTCATCTTGTATCACTGTACTCTTTTATACCCTTTGATAAACATCTCCCCATTTCCCTTTTCCCTCCCCAGTCCTGACACCCACCATTTTACTCTCTGGTTCTATGAGTTTGAATATTTTAGATTCTACATGCAAATAAGATCATGCAGTATTTGCCTTTCTGTTTCTGGCTTATATCAGTTAACATAATGTCCTCCAGCTTTATCCATGTTGTTGCAAATGATGGGATTTCCTTTATTTTTTAAAACTTGGCAATATTTGTGTGTGTGTATGTGTGTGTATGTATGTATGTATGTGTGTGCATGCACCACATTTTCTTTATCCATTCATTTGTCATCAGAAATTTAGGTTGTTTCCATGTGTTGGCTATTGTGAATAATGTTGCAAAAGACATGGGAGAACAGATATCTATTCAAGATTCTGATTTCATTTTGTTTTGAGATATGCCCAGAATTGGTATTGCTGGATTATATGGTAGTTCTATTTTTAATTTTTTAAGGAATCCCCATACATTTTCTACAATGGCTGTTTAGTTTACATTCCTTTCAACAGTGTACAAGAGTTTCTTTTGTCCACATCCTTGCCAACATTTGTTATCGTTTATCTTTTTGATAAATTACAGGCACGTGCCAACACACCTGGCTAATTTTTTATATTTTTGGTAGAGACGGGGTTTCACCATGTTGGCCAGGCTGGTTTAGAACTCCTGACCTCAAGTGATCCACTGCCTCGGCCTCTCAAAGTGCCGGGATTACAGGTGTGAGCCACCATGCCTGGCCTATTTTTTCTATTTCTATAAAGAATGACATTTGTGTATTGATAGGTCTAGCATTGAATCTGGAGATCACTTTAGGTAGTATGAACATTTAAGAATATTAGTTCTTCCAATTTATAAACACGAGATGTCTTGATATTTATCTGTATCTTCTTTAACATTCTTCATCACTGTTTTATAATTTCCAGTGTAAAACTCTTTCACCTCCTTCGTTAAGTTTATTCCTAAGTACTAATTCCTTTTGTAAATGTGATTGCTTTCTTAATTTTATTTTCATATATTTACTGTCTGTGTGTAGAAACGTCATCAATTTTTGTATGTTGATTTTTTTATCCTTCAAATTTACTTAATTTAGTTTTAACAGACTTTTTGTTATTGTGGAGTCTTTAGGTTTTTCTACACTTATGTTTATGTCATCTGCACACAAAGATTAGGATTTTAATCCTTCTTTTCCAATTTGGATGCGTTTCATTTCTTTTTCTTGTCGAATTTCTCTGGTTAGGGATTCCAGTGCAATGTTGAATTAAAATAAGTGGAGAGGGGGCATCTTGCCTTGTGTGGGATCTTAGGGGAAAAGCTTCTGTTTTTTTCCCATTGATTATGATGTTAGTTGTGGGCTTTTCACATATGGTTTTTATTGTGTTGTGGTAAGTTTCTTCTGTACCTATTTCATTTTATTTTTGTTTTTTTAAATATTTATTTTATAATAGAGATTAATTTTGCTATGTTGCCCAGGCTGGTCTTGAACTCTTGGGCTCAAGCGATCCTCCTGCCTTAGCCTCTCAAAATACTGGGACTACAGGCATGAGCCACTGTGCCCGGCCTATCACTATTTTGTTGAGAGTTCTTTTCTTTTCTTTTCCTTTTTTTTCCATTGCTTTCTTTTCTTTTCCTTTCCTTTTTTCCTTTCCTTCCTTTTCTTTTCCTTTCTTTTCTCCTCCTCCTCCTCTTCCTCTTCTTTTTTCTTTCCTCCTCCTCCTCCTTCTTCATCTTCATTTAAAATCATGAATGGATGTTGAATTTGGCCACATGCCTTTTGTACATCTGTGGACATAATCATATGTGTGTGTGTGTGTGTGTGTGAATCTTTCAGCCTGTGGATGCGCTATACCATCCTTGCACATGCGGAATCATCCTTTTATCCAGGGATAAACCCCACCTGTTCCTGATGTATGATCTTCTTAACATACTGTTGAATTTGGTTTGCTAGTATTTTACTGAGAATTTTTGCATTTAATATCTGTTAATGTTTATCAGAGGTAGACTGGCTTGCAGTTTTTTTTCTTTTCTGGTGTTGTCTTTGCTTTGTTTTGGTATCAGGGTGATCCCGACCTCATAAAACAATTTTGGAAGTGTTCCCTTTTCTATTTTTTGGAAGACTTTAAGAAGAATTAATATTAACTCATCTTTGAATGTTTGGTAGAACATTCAGCTATGAAGCCATCTGGTCCTGGGCTTTTCTTTGTTGAGATATTTTTGATTATTGAGTCAATCTCCTTCTTTGTTATTGGTATGTTCAGGCTTTGTATTTTTTATTGATTTGCTTTTTTTTTTAAGTTGACTGTTTCTAGGAATTTATTTATGTCTTTTAATTTATCTAGCTTGGTGTATAATTTTTCAAAATAGTCCCTTATGATCCTATTTATTTATTTGAGACAGGGTCTTTCTCTGTCACCCAGGCTAGAGTGGAGAGGCTTGACCACAGCTCACTGCAGCCACAACCTCCCAGGCTCAAGTAATCCTCCCACCTCAGCTTTCTGAGTAGCTGGGACTACAGGCATGCACCACCATGCCTGGATAATTTCTTTTTCTTTCTTTCTTTCCTTTCTTTCCTTTCTTTCCTTTCTTTCCTTTCTTTCCTTTCTTTCCTTTCTTTCCTTTCTTTCCTTTCCTTTCCCTTTCTTTCTTTCTTTCTTTCTTTCTTTCTTTCTTTCTTTCTTTCTTTCTTTCTTTCTTTCTTTCTTTCTTTCTTTCTTTCTTTCTTTCTTTCTTTCTTTCTTTCTTTTCTTCTTTTTTTTGTATAGATGTGACCTCACTGTGTTGCCCAGGCTGGTCTTGAATTCCTGGGCTCCAGAGATCCACCTGCCTCGGTCTCCCAAGTGTTGGGATTACAGGTGTGAGCCTTTTTATTTCTGAGAAATCTGTTGTAATAGCTCCTTTTTTCATTTTGGATTTTATTTGAGTCTTCTCTCTTTTTTCACAGTGTAGCTAAGGATTTGTCAACTTCGTTTAATTTTTCAGAAAACCATCTCTTAGTTTTGTTTTTTTCTATTATCTGTTTGATTTATTTCTGCTGTAATCTTTATTATTTCATTTTTTTCTGCTAAGTTTGGGCTTAGTTTGTTCCTCTTTTTCTAGTTCGTTGAGTTATAATTTTAGGTTGCTTATTTGAGATCTTTCTTCTTTTTTAATGTTTGCTTATCTCCATAAACTTCCCACTTAGCACTGCTTTTACTGCATCCTATAGGTTTGGTGTGCTGTGTTTTAATTTTCATTTGAAGATATTTTTAAAATTCCCTTTGGTTTTCCTCTTTGACCCAATGCTTGTTCAACATGTGATGTTTGATTTCTGCCTATTTGTGAATTTTTCCATTTTTTTTTACTGTTATTAATTTCCAGATTCATTTCTTGTTGTAAAAAAAGATTTTTGGAATGATTTAATTCTCCTTACATTTCTTAAGACTTGTTTTGTGACCAAACATGAGCTCTCTCCTGGAGAATATACCCTGTGCATGTAAGAAGACATTTTGAGAACCCAGGTGGTCTTTTCTCATACCATTTTTCTCACCCAGTGCTCATACTGAGGTTAGTTCATTTTACATCTAACATTTTCTCAGCCTGGAGCTAAGACACCTCATGTACCTTTGACAAAGCCATTCTAGCACAAGCAAAACGGTCCTGAGAACGAGTATCTTAGCCACCTGGTATGGCAGAGGACACATTCATCATGGAAAAAGTCTGAGGAAAAGGGTCAAGATTAGCATGGATCGAGGGTCTGGTCCTGAGCTGGGAGGAGAAAAAGGCAGGTTGGAGTGGGACCAAACCAGGTATTTCTATCTCTCACTTAGAATTGTGTCTTGGTACTTGAGATGAACCATCTGAGGCCACCAGGGGGCAGCAGGGGACTAGGTTGGAGAAGATGATTGATAAAGTTTATCCTGACCTTTAAGAAGCCCCTGAGTCGGCCGGGCGCGGTGGCTCACACCTGTAATCCCAGCACTTTGGGAGACTGAGGAGGGTGGATCATAAGGTCAGAAGATCGAGACCATCCTGGCCAACGTGGTGAAACCCCGTCTCTACTAAAAATACAAAAATTAGCTGGGCGTGGTGGCTTATGCCTGTAATCTCAGCTAGTCGCGAACCTGAGGCAGGAGAACTGCTTGAACCAGGGAGTTGGAGGTTGCAGTGAGCCGAGATGGCGCCACCGTGTTCCAGCCTGGTGACAGCGCGAGACTCCATCTCAAAAAAAAAAAAGTCCCTGAATCTCAAAAAAAAGAATGTGACTTTATGATTAACTATGAACAGCTGCTCATTAATAAAAAGCCATTAAAAAAAAAAAAGAAATCCCAAGAGCTACTTACCCTTGAATATCTCTAAAGGTACTGGGAAGCAGTGCTCCAAATCTGTTGTGGCCCAGTGAATTCCTTTTTAGAAGCACCATTAATGGTCCTAGTTCAACATGTCAGGCCCCAGCTTTAAACCACTGCAGGGGCAGGGGATGTAGCAGTGCTTAGAACCCACCTTAGCTGAGAGGACCAAGATGGTTGGGCAGGGGATGAGGGAAATGAGAAGTTCCAGCACTGTCTGAAGTCTCTGGGAGGAGGAGTGATTGAACTTTCCCACCCGGCCTGGGAGCAGCCTGTCCTCACATTCATCCCTCACAGCACAAAGGAGAAGTCCTGGTTTCCTCAGCCTGGAGCTCCTGCAATAGTGAGGGTTAGGATATCTCTGGACTGGCCTGATGTCCTGGGCACTCTCATGGGTTCAGTCTCAGGAAATCCATGCCTAGGCTGGATTAATACCCTCAGCTGAGCCTCACAGGGAAGCAGAAGTCTCTGAGCCCAGGCCCAGGTGAGGGTGGGGTGAGGAGAGGAGCTCAGGACACAGATTTGCATGGAGGCCCTGCCCTCCTCTGAGGCGGGGGGATAAGACAGGGCTAGAGGCAGGCCCGGTGCTGGGGTCTCAAGGCAGCGCTCTCGGGACATCTCCACCATGGCCTGGGCTCTGCTCCTCCTCACCCTCCTCACTCAGGGCACAGGTGACACCTCCAGGGAAATGGCCTTGGGGACCTCTGAGCTGATGCTTGGTCTTCTGCTCCTGCTCCTCAGGGTCACTGGACCCAGTACTGACCCAGTAGAGTGTGTTTCTCCCTCTTTCCAGGGTCCTGGGCCCAATCTGCCCTGACTCAGCCTCCTTTTGTGTCCGGGGCTCCTGGACAGTCGGTCACCATCTCCTGCACTGGAACCAGCAGTGACGTTGGGGATTATGATCATGTCTTCTGGTACCAAAAGCGTCTCAGCACTACCTCCAGACTCCTGATTTACAATGTCAATACTCGGCCTTCAGGGATCTCTGACCTCTTCTCAGGCTCCAAGTCTGGCAACATGGCTTCCCTGACCATCTCTGGGCTCAAGTCCGAGGTTGAGGCTAATTATCACTGCAGCTTATATTCAAGTAGTTACACTTTCCATAGTGGTCCAAGTTCCTAGGGAACTGAGACCAAAACCTGCCCTGGGCTCTCAGGCTCTGTCTTTGCTCTGAAGATGCTTCCTCACCCTGTGCCAGGGGCTTCCTGCAACAGGGCCTTGAGAATTCACTTCTCTGTCAGCTCCTCTCCTTTTCCATCAATTCCCAAAGGAAACCTCCTCTCTTGTTTACTCTCCGGGATATGACAGCTTCTTCTTCACTCGTATGACGGATGTCCTCTCTGAATTGGAAACTACTTCTAGCTCTTTAACAGGAAGTACATACCGGCAGGGAAATGCCTGCCTAGTGCAGTCCCCATACTTCTCCGGATGATCCTCACTTTATTATTTATTTTTATTTTTGTATGCACTAAAGTCGTCAATGTAAATCCTTACGTCGAATGCCTCCACTTCCCACATTGTGTAGCACAGCCTGGATTCAGTTCTTCAGAAATGACGTCCTCTTCAATGATAAAGGACCACTGCTCTGTGAACACCCCACTCTAGTGAAGATAGCCCACCTTGCTGGGTTATTCATGTACATCTTTTGTGGAAGCAGTAACCACTGTGTAAAGCTCCAAAGATGTTTTAAAGCAATGAAAACAAAGAGGAAGAAGTGTGTGTGTGTGTGTGTGTGTGTGTGTGTGTGTGTGTGTGTGTAGGGTCCATCCTGTTTGCCCTAATATCTCAGGTTGCCGAGCTAGGGAGTATTTGAGTGACAGACTTGGTGCCCTCTCAGGATCCTCCTCCTCTCACATCACTGAGTCCCTGTCCTGGAAACACCCTACAGGTGGACAATCTCCCCATAGTATGGAAGTTTCCAAAATGGCTCCACAGGGAAGAGTTGAGCTGAACACACCCACTCTTTCTCATGGGCATCAAATATATCTAATTTTTCTGGGGAAATCATCAATTTCTAGCTGGAATCCTGATTAATCGACAGACTGTGAGAATTAAAAATTTTAAAAATATTCAGACATATCCAGAGTCCAGTATTTAAATTCTCTGGAATTTTGTGAGCCAATCTTTAAACATAGTTATTATTGTAGTTTAGAGTTCATGAACCTGAATTAAATAGATTCTAGTAAACATAAAGTGCCTTAGTTGTCTATTGTTGCATAAAAATTACTCCTAAAATTAACATATTCTTAATGAGAACACATATGCATTAATCTGTTTTCGCACTGCTATAAAGAAATACCTTATTTATAAAAGAAAGAGGTTTAACTGGCTCACAGTTCCACATGGCTGGGGAGGCCTCAGGAAACTTACAATCATGGTAGAAGGCAAAGGAGAAGCAAGAACTTTGTTCACAAGGTGGCAGGTGAGAAGAGCTGGGGAGGGTGAACTTCCAAATACTTTTTTTTTTGAGATGGAGTCTCACTCTGTTGCCCAGGCTAGAGTGCAGTGGCGTGCTCTCGGCTCACTGCAGCTTCTGCCTCCCAGGTTCAAGTGATCCTCCTACCTCAGTCTCCGAGTAGCTGTTATTACAGGCATGCGTCACCAAGACCGACTAATTTTTATATTTTTAGTAGAGATGGGGTTTTACCATGTTGACCAGGCTGGTCTCGAACTCCTGACCTCAAGTGATTTGCACACCTAGGCCTCCCAAGGTGCTGGGATTACAGGCGCAAGCCATTGTGCCTGGCCCCAGACACTTTTAAAACCATCAGCTCTCATGGTAACTCCCTACCCATCACGAGAACAGCAAGGGGAAAACTGCCCCCATGATCCAATCCCTTCCGTCCCTCAACATATGGGGATTACAAGTCCCTCCTTCAACACATGGGGATTACAATTTGAGAAGAGATTTGGGTGGAGACACAGAGCCAAACCATATTAATGTATTTGTGATCTTGTAGTTTTCTTGCATCAAGAATCTGAGAGCTGCTTAGTTTGGTGGTTCTGACTCTGGGCTCCTCATGAAATTGCAGCCAAGCTGTCAGGCGGGGCTGCATTCAGAGGCCAGAGCAGGTGGCCAGGCCCAGCCTGAGGGGGCTTCTACTGTCCCTAACCTCTTTGGCAGATGTAGATGAAGTCAGGGAAAAGGGGAGCTCCCCACAGTGGGTAGCATCCCAGTGTCAGAGGGAAGGCACCATGGAGCAGTGGGACCAGCACAGGACCCTGGGGGTGCACTCAGACCTACCTGGAGGGATGGCAAGAAGGGGCATTCACAGCAGGGACAGGATAAAGGGCCTCTGCCCCATGTCCAGAGCTGTCTTGGCAGCTCAGTCACATTGGTTATCAGGTAAATCGGAGGTAAACCCTATCCTGAGTTTTACCACTGAAAATGGGTACAATTTGAACTAGGAGTGTTTTCAGACTTTTTCTTTCCATATTGACTTCTTAATAACCGCGATTTAATTTTTTTTAACCCCAGCCTAGTTTAGCTACATAGCTTCCAAATGTCATGCTACTGTGAAACTGAGCAATTAGTTACTTTTATCAGAGCATTTTAAATTTGAACAGGTTCCTTGGTCTTTCTATGTGTAATTAGTCAAAGCTTAGGTATGGAGTAGAGGATCTTTACCAAATGCTTTTCTAGACTCTGTTTTCATTGGACTTATAGCAGCTGTTTCACCTGGGCCATGCAGGAATAGGAGAGTTGTTGCTCCTTGACATAGCATCTGTAACATGCCTATCCTTTCTGCCACTATAAAAATAGCTGTGCTTTCTCTCCACTCGTCTCTCCTGCTGTTTCCCTGTTTTTCCTATTAAATATGCAGTGTTTGCAATCCATCTTGCATTCTGAGAAGATGAGGATTTTTTTTCATAAAGAATGACCTAAAATAGCTCTAAAGATCATCAGAAGTCACAACTACATACTTACTGGAGTGCAATACCAAATGTGGCCTCTGATTACAGTAACCTGGAGCTTGCAGTTTAAGCAATTCAGTCCCTGTCACTTGTGGACAGATTCGTATGTCTGTGGATGAGAAGATGAGCAACGGTCACTCCTGTGCTCATGCACAGATCCCTCCCTGCCCCTGTCCTCAAATTCAGACTGAAGTGCATGGCCCTGGAGCATTACATGAGTGATGGTTTAAGAGCACGTTGGTGATACACACAATATTAATGGTATCTTAATTTGCTTGTTAAGCATAATTTGAAAACATCTGGACAAATTTGGACACAATTTGAAGGGCATATTTGATAATAGCTTGTGACAAATGATTCCGTTCTGGGAGAGATGCTATTTTTGGTTCTCTAAATCGCCATGAAATGAAAATCTCAGATTATAAAGAAATAGACTCAAATCCCAAGTGTCTTTTGCTTTTCATTCCCCATCAACTGTGTTGCCCAAGCACCATGTGGACACTGCTTACAGGGTAGGCAGCCACCAGCTGAAGGCAGGTTCTTTAGTTGTCTGAGCTGTCCTGGAGCTGGGAACAGCAGCGTGTGTTCTGTGCCTGTTGGTCCCTATGTAGCACACACCCACTGCATATTCTCGCTGACTCACCAGGAGGGCTTGCAGCAGCCCTGGCCTATTTTCTTCTGAAGCACCTGCCAATGGTGCATTCTCCCCTGGTCATAATGCACCAGGAGATAAACATGGCATTTGACACACAGGTGCTAACTGGATCTAGGACTTCTAAGCTTAAGTAGACTCAGAGTGGGCAATCTAAAAAAAAAAAAAAAAATAGGTTCTCAATCGGTAGCCCAGGCTGGAGTGCAGTGGCTCCATCTCCTACCTCAGCCTCCTGAGTTGCTGGGACAACAGGTGTGTGCCACCATGCCCAGCCAACAGAGAGGGCAATATGGACTTGAAATGGACAATTTCCATTACTTGAAAGTTTTTGAGAAAGAACTGAGGTTTGTTTAAGAGGAAATCAGCCAGAGACTCAAAGTTAAATCTATCAGGCCCAAAGTCTCTTTGGGGAAAGGAGACTCTTGGACGTGCACGCAGCAGCAAGTGGTATGGGATCCCTTCTCTGTGGGGACCTTGGCCCAACTGCCAATCTTTTCAACTGACCCATTTGCGTTTTCCATAAGTGCTCGCCAGCCAGCAGCTGTGACTGCCCCTCAGTCTCAGGAAGGGAGAAAGAAGGAAACAGGAGCAAAGCCTCTTTCAATCTTAGCAAATAAAGTGGGAGCTTTGACTTTTTTGAACACCCAGATGACAGGAAAGAGGAGGAAAATTTTCCTAAAGCTGTTATTTTTTAATGCCTCAGGAAGAATCACACCCGGAGTCTCATCCACACTTTATTTGGAGGTATTTGGGTCTCAGAGTTTGTGCTGAGTTAGTTAATGATTTGGGCTACTGGGATGGGGTGAATGTGTTTTACAAGTGAGAAAGAAATAAGCTTTGGAGTCCACAGGGTGGAGGCTTATTGGCTAAATTGTGTCCCTCAAGATTCATGCAATGAAGCCTTAATCACAGTGTGTGACTAAATTTGGAGACAGGGTCTTTATGGAGGTGATTAAGTGAAAATGAGGTCATGAGGGTGGGTTCTTATCCAGTCTGACTGGTGTTCTCCTTAGAAGAGAAAATTTGCACACACAGAAATCAGACACCAGAGATGAGCAGGCGGAGGAAAGACCATGTGAGGTCACAGCAAGGAGGTAACGACCTGCAAGCCAAGGAGAGAGGCCTCAGGGAAAATCAGTCCTACCAACACTTTCACCCTGGACTTTCCAGCTTCAGCACTGAGAAAATAAGTTTTGCTGTTGAGGCCACTAGTTCTTTGGTATCTTGTGATGGCAGCACTGGCAAATGAAAACAAGAGGGACCCCAAAGACCTTGGGTAGGGGGAACAGATGGAGCAGGGTGCAGGAGGCAGGGCAGGGAGGGGCTGGAAGGTCATGCTCTGAGGTTCGTTTCCTGGATGGAACTGGGACTCCACTCACTACTGTCTGGGGAACTTGGGGAAAAAACTTCACCTCCCAATATTGATTCCCTAATAAAATCTGGGCCCTGAGCATAGGGCTCCTCATCTTCCTACTCCATATGATGCAAGTTTTCTTGAAGTTATGCTTGTAAAACACTCACCAATGCATCTGGCATATATTAAGGGCTCAAAAGTAGGCCAGGCATGGTGGCTTATGCCTGTAATCCCAATACTTTGGGAGGCCGAGGTGGGGGATCACTGGAGTCCAGGAGTTCCAGACCAGCCAGGCCAACATGGTGAAACTCCATCTCTACTAAAAATACAAAAAAAAAAAAAAAATAGCTAGGCATGGTGGTGCCCTTCTGTAATCTCAGCTATTCAGGAGGCTGAGGCAGGGGAATAGCTTGAGCCTGAGAGGCGGAGGTTGCGGTGAGCCCAGATGGTGCCATTGCACTCCAGCCTAGATGATAGAGTGAGACTCCATCACAAAAAGGAAAAAAAAAAGGTTGTCATTCTGCAGCCCAGATCGTGCCATTGCACTCCAGCCTGGACGATAGAGTGAGACTCCACCACACACACACACAAACGCACACACACACAAAAACTAACCCCCGCCCCGCAAAAATCGAAGGTAGCCATTCTGCTGTATGATCTATTGATACATACAGGATGACATTTGTCCTGTGGGCACCAGGGGGCACTGTGACCCCTGGTTTGGGACACTAATGGCTCCAAGTCCCTGGTAGTACTTGAGTCATTTCCTTTCTGGCCCCTTCTATTGAGTGGAATCCTGAAACCCACCTGACTCTTCTACTCTTGAAAAATTACGCAGAGAATGTCCTCAGACATAGGGTCAGACAAGAACTTCGACATACATTTTAAAGAATGGAGAGCAGATTTACATCCGCTGCTTAACAGGGAACCAACTAACAAAGAATTAAGAATAAAGGAAGTAGAGTTGCATGAAGAGACTCCCCTTTCTATGATAAGAAAGGCCTGAAGGTCCCTTCCCAGCTGTGGACTCAGAGGCAGAGCTCTGGGGCATTTCCATTATGGCCTGGACCCCTCCCCTGCTCGTCCTCACTCTCTGCACAGGTGCTGCCTCCCAGGGCTCAGCCCCCAGTGGGATCAAGATCAGCCTGGCCCTGACCTTCAACTCAACATAGGGAGTGATGCAGGGTGTGGGGTTCTGGGAATGAGGCCCTCATCCTCAGACTCACCTCTCCTGTCCTCTCTTGTGGGCTCCGTTATTTCCTCTGGGCCAACTCAGGTGCCTGCAGTGTCTGTGGCCTTGGGACAAATGGCCAGGATCACCTGCCAGGGAGACAGCATGGAAGGCTCTTATGAACACTGGTACCAGCAGAAGCCAGGCCAGGCCCCCGTGCTGGTCATCTATGATAGCAGTGACCGGCCCTCAAGGATCCCTGAGCGATTCTCTGGCTCCAAATCAGGCAACACAACCACCCTGACCATCACTGGGGCCCAGGCTGAGGATGAGGCTGATTATTACTATCAGTTGATAGACAACCATGCTACTCAACTCACAGTGACACAGGCAGATGGAAAAGTGAGACACAAACCCTTTTTCTGTCTGTGTCACTCACTTCCTCCGGCCCCAGCAGGACTGTGGACACAGCCATGGGCAGGTCTGGCTCAGTTTTCCTGGATCTGAGACCCCAGGGTGCCCTGACCTCCAAGCCCTCCAGGGAGACTCTGAAGAGAGTGGGTTAGGTCAGGAGAGGACTTGGGGCTGGCAGGACCAGACTGTCCTGGTATTGTCCAGAGTGGCTGTGTCTTGGCTTAAGATGACCTGAGTGTAAGGATAGTCAGAGGGAGACAGCCATTGAGTGGTAATGGTCCCTGGATTTCCTTCTGTATGGTGACTGGACCTAAGGCAGTGCTGCTTTTCTGTGGCCCAAATGCCCCAGATCATTCTGAACTTCTCAGGTTTAACTGAGACCCTCAAGCCCCAGCTCCATGACATCCTCATATTCTGAACAGGGAGGGCCACCACAATGGGCAGTGTGGTGTCCATCAAGATTCCCCTTTCAGGGCTCACCCATCCGCCATACACCCAAAGCTGCCGGGAGGCCCTGGCTTCTCACAGCTGCTCCCCACCGGAAAATGCCATTGATTGCAAAGAATGGCCTCCCCCAAAAGTTTGCCCATGTCAGAGCGTGGCTCAGGTGCAATGACTGCTTGATGCCTCAATCCCAAAGTCAGGCCTTAATTTAGGATGGCCTTGAAGTGTGTTGCAGCTGAGCACTCAATTGTAACACATTCCCACTCATGCCTCCCATACTTCTTTCCTGAGAATATATCCCTAAACCTCACTGCATGGAATTCCCCCTCTCAGAGTAGGAGTCTGGGGAATTAAAAGATTTAAAAACAAACCAAAACAGTCCAAAGGGAAGAGTAACAAAGAGGAGAGAGTTGCACAGAGAGAGGACTCTGGAGTCTGCAAATGTTCGTGAGCACCGATGAGCACATATGTGGGAGGAAACAACCTCTGGAAGAGAAAAGAACCATCCAAAGACACTTGAGAGAACACTCCAGAGCGTGTGTGCACGCACACACACACACACTCACACCCCACATAAAGAAAACAACAACACTCATCATCATCAAATTGCTAAAAAACATTTTAGCAATTTTATGCTAAAATGATGATGAAGAAATGTGGTGAAGAAATGTAGCCTTAAAAGTAGCCAGAGAGACGAGGTGGCTCACGCCTGTAATCCAAGCACTTTGGGAGGTCGAGGCAGGTGGATCACCTGAGGTCAGGAGTTTGAGACCAGGCTGGCCAACATGATGAAACCCCGTCTGTACTAAAAATACAAAAAAGTTAGCCGGATGTGGTGGCAAGCGTCTATAATCCCAGCTACTCGGGAGGCTGAGGCAGGGAGAATTGCTTGAACCTGAGAGGTTGCAGTGAGCTGAGATCGCACCACTGCATTCCAGCCTGGGCAACAGAGCAAGACTCAATCTCAAAAAAAAAAAAAAAAAAAAAGTCAGAGGCAAAAGACATGTTAGATACAGGTGAACACAATGACAAGAGCAGAATTTTTATTAGAAGCAATGCAAGCAGGAAGTAGTGGAGCTATATTTATAAAATATGAAAAGAAAAAACTTATAACCCAGAGCAATCTACAGCCTCACTGAAATCCCTACCAAAATACCAATGACATACCTCACAGAAATAGAAGAAAAACCCCACAATTCTACAATTTGTATGGAGCCACAAAAGACCCAGTATAGCCAAAATGACACTGAGCAAAAAACAAAACTGGAGGCATCACATTACCTAATTCAAAATATGCTACAAACGGCCGGGCGCGGTGGCTCACGCCTGTAATCCCAGCACTTTGGGAGGCTGAGGCGGGCGGATCACGAGGTCAGGAGATCGAGACCATCTTGGCTAACACGGTGAAACCCCATCTCTACTAAAAATACAAAAAATTAGTTGGGCGTGGTGGCGGGCTCCTGTGGTCCCAGTTACTCTGGAGGCTGAGGCAGAAGAACGGCGTGAACCCGGGAGGCGGAGCTGGCAGCGAGCCAAGATCGCGCCACTGCACTCCAGCCTGGGTGAGAGAGCAAGACTCCGTCTCGAAGAAAAAATAAATAAATAAAATAATAGGCCATATGTGATGGCTCACACCTGTAATCCCAGCAGTTAGGAGGCCAAGGTGGGAGGATTGCTTGAGCACAGGAGTTTGAGACCACCTTGGGCAATATAATGAAACCCTCATCTCCACAAATTTTTTTTTTTAAATTAGCCAGCCTTGGTGGAGTGAGCCTGTGGTCCCAGTTACTTGGGAGGCTGAAGTGGGAGGATCACTTGAGCCCAGGAGGTGGAGGTTGCAGTGAGTCATGATCTTACCACTGCACTCTAGCCTGGGCAACAGAGAAAGACACTGCTTCAAAAGCAAGCAAACAACCAAAAAATCAAGTAATATCATTGAAAAGGGGGCAAAGGATCAGAATAGACTTTTCTCAAAAGAAGATAAACAGGTGGCCAACAAGCATATGAAAAAATGCTCAACGTCACTAATCATCAGGTGAATGCAAATCAAAGCCACAACGAGACATCATCTTACCCCAGCTGGAAAGGCTATCATTAAAAAGACAAAAAAATAACAAGTGCTGGTGAAGATGCAGACAAAACAGAAGACAAAAACCACGTGATCATCTCAACAGTCACATCAAATGTTTTCATGTAGGGAAACATTACTGTTTGTGATTTTCCAGACTTGCTAGAGCATCATAAAAAGTAAGATTTGTGGTGCCGATATTGGAGGGGGTGTTATTCTGTGCAAAAAACCTGGATATCCCATATCCAACTGTGAAGATACTTACTGATAAATGCTAAAAAATTGCAATATTGTGTGTCCAAATGTTCTGGGGGTCAGGAGTGGGGTCTCACACGGGAAAGGATTCAGTCAAAGAGAAAAATAGAGAGGCTAGAACATAGAGGAAAACATAATATGTCTGGAAATAAGGAGTCCAAACTAATTGGAGCTGAGTGATAACAAAAGAACAATGGCATGAACCATCTATTTCTCTCTGGAAATCTCATTGATATATTGTGCTCTCTCCAGGGCTATGCCCAGCTAGATTATAAAATTGTCTGTTCCTGAAACGTTTCTTGCGTATATGACAGGGCCTAACACTGGAATCAAGCTCAGGTTGATGAGGGCAGGGCAGTTAAGCACCCGACCCTGGTGGCCTGTGAAATACTTGGGGGAGACAGGGGTTTGTTGTCTAAAGCAGAGGAAGTGAGATTTTCCACTGTGGCTTAGACCAGAGCTTCTGAAATTCCAGTGAGCAAACAAATCCCCTGTGGAGTCTGTTTAAGATGCAGATGCAGCCTCAGCAGGTCTGCGTGGGGCCCCAGAGTCTCTATGTCCAGCAGCTCCCAGGTGAGGCTCATGCTGCTTGTCCTCCAAGAACCACACTTTGAGTGGCTTAACTCCTATTCGCCCTCCTCACTCAAGCACAGGTGAGACTCTGCCAAGGAAGGCACTGTCTGAGAAGCAAAGGTGACCTTCTGTCCTTCCTCCCCTGGTGTTTTAGTCCATGTTCTATTGCCATAAAGGAATATCTGAGGCAGAGAAATTTATAAATTTTAAGAAAGATTTCTTTGGCTGAAGCTTCTGATGGCCGGAAGTTCAAGAGTGGGCATCTGCATCTGTTGAGGGCCTCAGGTTGCTTCCACTCATGGCAGAAGATGAAGGGGAGCCAGTGCGTACAGAGACCAATGGGAGAGAGGAAGCAAGTCTTTTCCTAACAAGAATGCAGGGATGTAATTTAATCATATTTATAAAGTGTTTGACATAGAGCCTGACACACCCAGGTACTCCTAGTTGGCAGCAATTATTACTGTCGTCGCACATGAAAATTGGACCTGGGATGGAGGAAAGGCAGCGCAAACCCTCTGTTTGGGACAAGAGAGACTTAAATAATTTAAAATTGAGGCATAGGAGATAAGGAGAGTATCCCTGGGTGTTCTCCTGCCAATTCTCTCAGCATCTCGGAAACTGTTTCAAGGTGATGAAGTCAACCAGAGAGGGAAGCGGAGGAGTTTGTAGAACCAAGGGTTGCAACTTCATCCATGAGGAGGAGGTGTAGTCAGGGGATTGGGAAGAGGTGGCTGAGCTCATCTGAAGGGTGTCTAAGGTTTTCTGGCCCCCATGTCCTGGCCCATCCCTCCCTGCCCAGGGTCTCACCCCTCACCTGACAGCCCAGAGCTGGAGAGTGGCCTATGATTCTGATTAGAGACCCCACCAAAGCCCAGAGGGGAAGACATGGGTGGGAGGCGTCACAGAAGACAGTTTTCTGCCTGTGGTGTTGGGGCAGTTTCCTGGAAAGGAAATTCAGACACTGTAGGGGAGAAGAAAACACAGGAGAGGAAGGCCCCTCCCCAGGGGATTGTGGCGTTAGAGACCAAAGCATCTTCAAGAAGCCCAGCCCTGCAGGAGGTTCCCTGAGCCCAGAGTTCCTAGAGCTGTCTGTATTATTTTGCCTGGGGTGCCATAAAAAGTAACACAGACTACATGACTCAAAGAACAGAAATTTATTGTCTCACTAATCTTATGGCGATGGTAGAATCTGAGATCAAGGTGTTGGCAGGGTTGGCTCCTTCTGAGGCTGAGGGAGGGTCTGTTTCATGCCTCTCCCCTGGCTTTTGGTGGTGTAGCAGTATTAGCTGTTCCCTGGCTTATAGGTGAATCACCCCAATCTCTGCCTCCATGTTCATATGACGTTTTCTCTCTGTTCATGTCGGTGTCCAAGTTTTTTCTTTTTATAAAAAGACCAGTCCTATTGGATTTGGGGCTCACTCTATTCCAGTATGACCCGATGTTAACTAATCACATCTGCAACCACCCTTTTCCTATGTAAGTTCCCATTCTGAGGTCCTGATGGATAGCACTTCACCATATGAATTCCAGGGGGCACAAAATTCAAATTCCCAACAATGGGCCAGGCACGGTGGCTCTTTGGGAGGATCCCAAATCCCAGCACTTTGGGAGGCCAAGGTGGGCGGATCACATGAGGTCAAGAGTTCAAGATCAGCCTGGCCAACTGGTGAAACCCTGTCTCTAGTAAAAATACAAAAATTAGCTGGGCGTGGTGGTGCGTGCCTGTAGTCCCAGCTACTCGGGAGGCTGAGGCAGGAGAATCGCTTGAACCTGGGAGGTAGAGGTTGCAGTGAGCCAAGATCGTTCCACTGCACTCTAGCCTGAGCGATAGAGTGAGACTTCATCTCAAAACAAAAAACGAATTCCCAACAATGCCTCAGACATGGCTTAAGCTGCCCACTGGGGCTCTGCAGGTGGGATGTGCACCACCAAGCTCTCAGGTGGGGCATTACCTGACAGCCCAGAAGGACTCCGGGCCCTCTGCAAAGTGCCTGATCTCTTGCGCACCTTAAAAGGTAGCTTTTCAGGCTGTTCTTGTTCTTTTCATGCTGACGTAGGAGATTTTATCCTCTGCTTTTTAAGTAGAAGCTTCCTTACCCTCCTCATCATCCTGAGTAGATGCCTAGGCTGGTTTCAGAGAAATCAAACCAGGGTGGATTATGAGTTATATTAGCCACCAGCTGTCAATATTCTCTGAATGCCCAGCATCCATCCATGCTCTCTGACCATCACCAGAGTGAGCAAATCTCTGACATGTGGATAAGAGTTTCTTCCATGGGCTCCCAGCCAGGCTGTAAGTGAGACCAGAATACCCTTCCTTCAGTGCATGGGGCTCAGTGCAGCTGCCTCCCTGACAGTCTCCCTGGGACATTAAGCTTGTCAGCTTCTCTCTTCCAAATGCAGGTCTGGTTGTCCTAAGCCCAGCTCAGCGCTGCTGTGGACTTTGCATCCTAAAAACATTATCAACTCTGCCTTGTGCCTCAGTGGACTGGCCTGGAGGAAACAATATGAGGTGTCCTGGCTCTTTCCACCCCCAGCGTCTCTCTCCCTCAGTGGTACCAGTACGGTCCTCATGACGGTTCATCTATACCTGCCAATCTAGGCCTCCACACTGCCGACTGTGGATGGTCACAGAACCCAAAATGCTAATCAGCCTTAAGCAGATCATGCTAATAGTTTCTGCAGATCTGGGTGCCTCATCCCAGATCTAGGAGTTCACAAGCTAGGCCAGCTCCAGGGAGATAACATGTATCACAGAGTCTGGACACGACAAAGTGGCTTTGCTGTATTTTTGCTGGGACACATGATGGTGATATCAATAAGAACTGGCTCAGGTCCCTGCAGCTTAAGGCCCATTGAACAGGAAAGCAGCCAGGAGGATGTGCTGCCTTTTGACCTGTACACAAATCAGTGCCATGTGCCGACTGTGTGTGAATATCTGTGCCTGTGTGTATATTTGTGTACATGTGTGTATGTATGTGTACGTGTCCAAGTTGGTGTTGCAAGGAAGTGTTCCTACTGTCAAATGTTTCAAACTCAAATCTTTTCTGTTTTCCTAACTTACCTGCTTCTTCTATCTCTAGTGCCTTTGTTCTGCACTAAGAATAAGGATGAAGATTAGGGTAGTAATACTAGCAGGAGGAGTAAAGATTCATATGTGTTTAATACATATCAAGCAGTCTTCCAAGTACTTCATATTTATTAATTCCCTTCATCTCAACAACTCTATGAGTTGTTCATTATCCCTCCGTTTTACAGTTGGGAAATCTATGATACATAGATTTTGAGAAATGGGAAAACTAATGCAGAGAAAAGAAGAATAACATGCCTGATGTCAGAACTAGAAAGTGGCTGACCCAGGAGTAGAATCTCAGGTCTTCTGGCCCCAGAAAACCTGTTCTTAGGCACCATCCTGTCGCCTGTCATTGCATCAATGTGGTAAGGCATTGGTGTGTCTTTAAGGCTCCAGAAAGTTCTTTCTACTTTGTATTTATTTTGTTTTGTTTTTGAGACAGAGTCTTACTCTGTCACCCAGGCTGGAGTGCAGTGGCACCATCACAGGTCACTAAAGTCTCAACCTTCTGGGCTGAAGAGATCCTCTCATCTCAGCCTCCTGAGTAGCTGGGACTACAGGTGAATACTACCATGCCCAGATAATTTTAAAGTTTTTTTGTACAGATGGGGTCTCACTATGTTGCGTAGGCTGTTCTCAAACTCCTGGGCTCAACCAATCTTCCTGCCTGAGCCTCCCAAAGTTCTGCAATTATAGGCATGAGCCACTGTGCCCAACCTTTACTTTTTAAAAGTATCATATTGTGACTTTGAGTGCACCAGCAGTGCTCTAGTGCTGGTCTATTAGAAATGTAATTTTAAGAATATATATATATAATATACAATTTTTTAGTGGCCACATTTAAAAGGTAAAAGAAACAGGTGGAATTTATGTTCATAATATATTGTGTTTAAATGATTTATCCAAAATATTATTTCAGCATGCATTCAGTATTAAAATATTGAGATATTTATTTTATTTTTGTACTAATTCTTTGAAATCTGGTGTGTTTTACTCCTACAGCACATCTTACCTCAGACTACCCATGTTTCCAGGGCTCAGTAGCTCCCTGGGACTCATGGCCGCCATATTGGACACAGCAAGTCCAGATGGATAAAGGTCCATTTGGGTCACAGCCCCTGCAGTACATACTGACAGCTACCTGGGAAGAATGGAGAGTTCCATGACCCAAAGGGCCTCCTGAGGGAGGAATGGCAGCTCTACTTTCCAGCCAAAGCAGGAATATTGAGGGCACTAAGAAACAAGGGAATTTTTACAGTGTGTTTCACACTTCTTCCCTTCTCAAAGACATTAAATATAACTTCAATTTTAAAGGTGAACCTCGGCCATCAAAGGCATGTTTTCTATTGGTCTCTTTCCGGTGGAATGAATGGCAATGGTCCCTGTAAATTGTGCTCCAAGGATCCCTTTCAGTGGGAAGATTCTTGTGATAAGCCCAATAACAAGTAAGAAAGCAATTTTTTATACATAGATCTAGAACAAAAAGGGCTCATGATGAAGAATATTTTATTGAAGCTTAGTGTATTGCTATTTTTCATAAATTGCTGTTTTTGCCTATCCCACAAGCACTGATCACTTTTATGAAGGTACATTCTCCAAGGGTCGTCTTAGCATGTCAGGACCCACAAGCAAAGGTGTTACAAGTGACCTGCACGAGTGGCCAGCAGGACACCTGGAGGAGCCCAGTGAGATGAGGAGTGGATGCGCATCAGGTGGGAAGGCATGGAGAAGCTGTGTGCCACACACTCACCAAGGACAGGAGCGGGCGTATTTGTGGCCTGTGGCCTAATCTTAGGTCAGTTACCTCTTTAGACTAAATCCCAAGGAGTCAGCACATGGAGGTTTCGGTCCGTGCACATGGCACCTACAGGGCTTCACATGACGTTGCTAATTACAATGCAGCGGCACTTACAAAGGAATTAGTTTCATCACATCCTCAGCAGAACTAGGTCTAAAAACCAATATATATGTATAGGATATCAGGTGAGAAATACTTTCTTGCCAATCATGTGTATTAACGTTAAAGTGGTTCAGTATCTAGTGTGACAGTTGTTCAGGCTTAGTGGCCTTGACCACGTCAAAAATGGAATCCTGATCCTAACTTGTCTAGAGATTAGCCTGGCACAAGGAGCATGACCAGGCATCTGGATGTCCCCAGTGTCACTGCAGACACATGCTCCTTTTTCATCTGCCAGAGGGAGCATTAGGATGTCCTCACCTCTGTCCCCAGAACTCAGGAAGGGCAGTACACCTGACTAAAGAGTAGAGGGTTGTGAAAAGAGGGACCTAGGGCACTGGATAAGCAGGAGGAGAAGGAGCACTGGGTGGGAGGTAGAGAAAGGAGGGGGCTGAATGGTTAGGCTCTGAGGTGTGTCTCCTGGATGGAGTCTTGGATTCCACTCACTACCATCTGAGAACTTTGAGAAAACCGTGTAACCTCCTGATGTTGGGTCTCTTGTCAGTAGACATCAGTGCTTTCCTGATGTATAGGGTTACTGTAGAATTATAATGAATGCCTGGTTGAGGTGACATGTCTAATACACCCTCCAAAGCATCAGGCATATATTAAGTACTCATAAGCAGGCATTCTGTGTGAACTAGTCATACATGGAAGATGACATTCCCCGTGTGGGCACAGTAGGATGCTGTGGACTTTGGTTTGGGGACCCTAATAACTTCAAGTCCCCTGGTAGCACCCAAGTGTAAAAGGCAAAGGGCATGACTGGTGCTTCCTGTGAGGCCTCTTCTATTTGGTAAAATTCACTCTCCACTCATCGCACCCACCTGGCCTTTATTCTAAACTTGGAAAATTGCTAACATGAAGGTCTCAGCCTCAGGGCTCAGATAAGAACTCAGACACATCAATAGAGAGGATGGCTGAGGTGCTTGGCCGAGCTCAGTGAACACCCCAGAACAGGAACTGAGGAGTGTATGCATGTGTTGGGGGCAGCACTTTCTCACTCATCCAGAAAGTGTGAGGAATCTGTACAGAACTGGGGACAGGGCCCATTTTTATACCCTTCTATAAGCCCAGCCCTTGTCTGCTCACTAGGGAGCCATTCACCAAGGCCACAGGAGGGAAGGAAGTAGATTTGCATGAAGAGCATCCCCTTCCTATGTTAAGAGAGGCCTGGAGGCCCCTTCCCAGCTGTGGACTCAGAGGCAGAGCTCTGGGGCATCTCCACCATGGCCTGGACCCCTCCCCTGCTCACCCTCCTCACTCTCTGCACAGGTGCTGCCTCCTAGGGCTCAGCCCCCACAGGACCAAGAATCAGCCTGGCCCTGACATTCAGCTCAGCACAGGGAGTAATGCAGGGTGTGGGGCTCTGGAAATGAGACCCTTATCTTCAGACTCACCTCTTCTCTCTTCTCTTGCAGGCTCCGTGGTTTCCTCTGAGCTGAGTCAGGAGCCTGCAGTGTCTGTGGCCTTGGGATAGACAGCCAGGATCACCTGCCAGGGAGACAGCATAGAAGACTCCGTTGTAAACTGGTACAAGCAGAAGCCAAGCCAGGCCCCTGGGCTGGTCATCTAACTTAACAGTGTCCAGTCTTCAGGGATTCCTAAGAAATTCTCTGGCTCCAGCTCAGGGAACATGGCCACCCTGACCATCACTGGGATTCAGGTTGAAGACAAGGCTGACTATTACTGTCAGTCATGGGACAGCAGTCGTACTCATTCCGCGGTGACACAGGCAGAAGGGGAAGTGAGACAAAAACCTTTTCTCCATCTGTCACACTCTTTCTTCAGCTCCAGGAAAAAACTGTGGACAAATTCATGAGCAGGTCTTGCCCTGTTCACCCAGATATGAGACCTTGAGGCTGCCCTTCCCTCCAGGTCTCCAGGTAGGCTATGAAAAGGGTGAATCAGGAGTCAATACACACACAATTATTATAATTTTATTCTTGTTTGAAGAAGAAGTAGAGGAATAATTGAACATGTAAAGTGAAAACATGGAAAACCGAAAAAGAGGAATTATTGAACTTGTAAAGATGAAAACTACAATGTCTGAAATTTAGAAAATACACTGGGTGAGTTTGACAACAGAAAAAAGATTAGCTGCAAAAAAAAAGATTAGCTGCAAAAAAAAAGATTAGCAAATTGTATAATACAGCAGTAGAAATTGTCCAAGATGAAACACATATGGGAAAAATAATTATGGAAATTAATGATAGAAAGGAACAGAGTATCAGTGAGTTGTAGGACAACTTCAAACAGCCTAAAGTATGTGTAATTAGTGTTTGAAATAGAAATGGGTGGAGGAGAAATAGAAAAAAGTATTTGCATAAATAATGGCCAAATATTTTTCACCTTTGGTGAAAACCATAAACTGAAATATCCAAGAAGCTCAACAAAATTCAAGTATAGGAGACATGAAGGAAACAACTCCAACATAAATCATAATCAAATTAATAAAATCCAGTGATGAAGAGTCACCTAAATAATAATGCTAAGAGCAGTTCTCATTAAAAGCAATGCAAGAAAGAAGACGGCGGAGCAATGTCTTGAAAACACTAAAAGAAGAATCCTGTCAACCTTGAATTCTTTTTCTTTTCTTTTCATTTTCTTTCTTTCTTTTTCTTTTCTTTTCTTTTCTTTTTTTCTTTATTTTTTTTTTTTGAGACAGGGTCTTACTCTGTCACCCAGGCTGGAGTGCAGTGGCACAATCTCAGTTCACAACATCCAGGGCTTACATGATCCTCCCACTTCAGCCTCCCAAGTAGCTGGGACCACAGGCGTGCAACACTATGCCCAGGTAATTTTGTATTTTTTGTAGAGATGAGGTTTTACCGTGTTGCCCGGGCTGATCTCAAACTTGTGCACTTAAGCAATCTGCCCGCATCAGCTTCCCAAAGTGCTGGGACTCCAGGTGTGAACCACTGGGCCTGCCAACCTTGAATTTTTTTAATAAAAACAAACAAACAAAAACTTTCAAAAAAGGAGACAAAATAAACCCTTTCCAGACATATGCCAAATTAAAGAATTGGTTGCTATCAGACTCTTACAATTAGAAATGGTCAAGGACATCCCTAGACAGAAGGAAAATGATACCACAATGAAATGTGAATTTATACCGAAAAATGAAAACATCAGATATAGTAACCACAAGGATAAACATAGAAACCTCTGAATTGTGTTAATGTCTAATAAAGATAATTAACACTTCAAAGAAAAGCTAACGTAAATACATTGTGATTTGTAATGAAAATGAAAGTAAATTATGTGACAAAGCACAAAAGCTGAAGGGATGAACAACATGTTATAATGGTCTTATACTATATGTGAATATATAATAACACTTGAAGGTAAACCTTGATAAGTTATATACGTACTGTAAACCCAAGCAATCATTAAGATCAACTTTTTTTTTTTTTTTTTTTTTTGGAGTCTGGCTCAGTCGCCCAGGCTGGAGTGCAGTGGCACGATCTTGGCTCACTGCAAGCTCCGCCTCTTGGGTTCACGCCATTCTCCTGCCTCAGCCTCCCAAGTAGCTGGGACTACAGGCACCCACCACTACGCCCGGCTAACTTTTTTGTATTTTTAGTAGAGACAGGGTTTCACTGTGTTAGCCAGGATGGTCTCGATCTTCTGACCTCGTGATCTGCCCGCCTCGGCCTCCCAAAGATAAACCCTTTTAACAGAAATAATTATGGCTAGTAAGCCATATTAGAGTTCTCCACAGAAACAAAATCAATAGGATATGTATGTGTGTATATATGTATAATGTATATATGTGTATATGCATGTGTACATATAATGTATATGTGTGTATATACATATCTAGGTACATATATATGGAGAAGAAATTGGTTCATACAATTGTGGCTGACTAGGATGAAATCTACTGGGCAGGCTGAAGGCTGGACATTTAGGTAAGAGTTGATCTCGCAGTTTTGAGTCTGAATTCTGCAAGGTGGGACTTCAGGAATCCTCAGTATTTGCTCTGAAAACCTTCAGCTCATTAATGATGCCCACATGCATTGTGGAGAGCAGTGTGCTTATATAAAGTCTACAGATATAAATGTTAATCACATCTGAAAATTATCTTCGTGCCAACTTCTATACTCGTATTTGACAAAATCAACTAGGCACTATACCTAGTCAATCTAACACTTAAAATTAAACATCACTTAAACCAGCAAGGAGATAAAAAGAAATAATTTTTAAAAATCAGTCAAAAAAAGGAAACAGAAAAAGGGAAGGAGAAGCAATGAACATATGGCACAAATAGAAAATGAAGGGCAAGTTGGCATATTTCAACCAAATTATGTTACTAATCACATTAATTGTAAATAGTCTAAATATCACAATTAAAAGGCAGAGATTGTCATGTTGAAATGAACAAGACTCAACTATACATGCTGCCTAGAAAAAAAACCACTTCAAATTATAAAACCACAAAAATCCAAGTACAAATTAAGGACAATTCCCCCCACTCCCAAGTCTGTTTCACAAAGCAGTACAAAGAAGGATTCACAGTAAATTTTTTTTTTTTGAAGTCTTACTGTGTCACCCAGGCTAGAGTACAGTGGCACCATCTTGGCTCACTGCAACCTCCACCTTCCAGGTTCAAGTGATTCTCCTGCCTCAGCCTCTGGAGTAGCTGGGATTGCCTGCCACCATGTCTGATGAATTTTTGTAGTTTTAGTAGAGACAGGGTTTCACCGTGTTGGCCAGGCTGGTCTCGACCTTCTGACCTCAAGTGATCCGCTGGCCTTAGCCTCTCAAAGTGCTGGGATTACAGGTGTGAGCCACCATGCCCAGCCCACAGTGAACTCTTAACACACAGTTATAGAAATATGCATCACCTCTCCCATCACCCTTTCCTCTCTCTGGCTTCCAAAACCTTGGTTCTGGTACCAGAGCTGAGGGAAAACATTCCACAGAAATATTAAATCAAGGTGAAGAAGGGAGATTCTCAAGATGTAAGTAAAAGGCAAATGAGGGAATGGAAGTCGCAATGCCCTTGCATGCATAAGGACAGCTCCTGCATGAGAATGTTGTTTGAAACATTACCGAGGAATTGGTGTCCATGTTCATGCAGGACATAGGTCTATAGGATATTTTTGTCATGCCTTTGTCGGGCTCTGGTATCAGAGTAATTCAGGCCTCAAATAGGTAGTAGGGAAATGTTTGCTTCTCCTCTATATTCTGAAGGAGATTGTGTATGATTGGTGTCATTTCTTCCATAAAAACTTGATAGAATTTACCAGTGAAGTCATTTGTACTAGGTGGGCTTTTCTTAGCAGGAAGATTTTAAATTGCTAATTCAATATATTTATGTGTCATAGATCTATTCAGATTTTCTCCTTTATGAATCGATTTTGATAATTTATGTATTTCCAGATACTTATCCACTTCATTTAAGTCATCCATAATTTTGGCATTTATTGTTCGCATTATTCCCTATAACCATTGTACCTTTTGTAAGGTCAGTGGTGATGTCACTCTTTAAGTCATGGTTTTGACAATTTGGGTCAGGAGAAGATTTGGAGGAGGAGAGAACAAGGTTGTCTTGATGTTGTCTTGGCTGGAGTGTGACTTGGAGAAAAATGACTTGAATGAAAATACAGTCAGAGGGAGATATCTGTCAAGTGGTTCTGGTGCCTGGATTTCCACATGTGTGGTGACGGAGCCCAGCCCAGTGCTCTACTCATGCCCAGATGTCCTGGATTATTCCCCTGAAATACTCAGGTGAAGCTCCAGCTACACCATGGCATCCTGATATTTTAAACAGAGAAGACCAGTGTCATGGGCACTGGTGATCTGCTCCTCAGGGCAGACTCACTAACCGTGGCAGCTGGGAATCCCAGGGGCCTCACAGCTCTCACTAACCGTGGCAGCTGGGAATCCCAGGGTCCTCACAGCTCTCACTAACCGTGGCAGCTGGGAATCCCAGGGCCCTCACAGCTCTCACTAACCGTGGCAGCTGGGAATCCCAGGGCCCTCACAGCTCTTTTCTCCCTCAAATTGCTGCTGGCTACAGAGAACTGCCTCCACCAAGGGCATGCCCCTTTCACAGTGTGGCTCAGGCCTAATAACTGCATGAGACTGAAATACCAAGGCCCTGTCTCAGGTTAGGATGACCTTGCAGGGCCTCCCAGATGAGTCCTCAACTGGAGTCAGATTTCAGGCTGCCCAGTTGTGCCCCCCCATACTTCCTTCCAGAGCGAATATCTCCAAACACTACTGTATGCAATTTTCCCTCTCAGAGTCTGATTCCAGGGAACACAAAATAGAAAACAGTCTACAAGGAAGAGTACGGAAGAAGAGAGAGCAGCACAGAGACAGGACTCTGGAATCTGCAAATATTCCTGAGCACTGATGATCCCATGAGTGGAAGGAAAATACTTAAGGCCAAGAAAAGAACCACCCAAAGACATTTGAGGGAACAATTGCAGGGCATGTGCATGCGCGTGTGTGCGCACACACACACTCACACACACACACACACACCATCAGAATAGAGTTTGTTCCTACAACCAGTGTGGAAATGTGTCTAATCAGAGGCATCAGGTTAACTAATCAGAATTTCTCTGCCCTGGCTGAGCAAAGTGGCTTACACTTGTAATCCCAGCAATTTGGGAGGCTGAGGCAGGAGGATCACTTGAGGCCAGGAGTTCGAGACCAGCCTGGGCAACATTGTGAAACCCCATCTCTACAGAAAACTTAAAAAATATAGCTAAGCATGGGGACATGCACCTGTAGTCCTAGCTAATCAGGAGGTTTTAAGCATGAGGACTGCTTCTTGAGCCCAGGAGTTCAAGGCTGTATTGAGCCATGATCTCGCCACACAGTTTCAAAAAAAAGAAAAGAAAAGAGAAAAAAAAATGAATAAGAAAAGCTCTGCCTTAGTATAGGGGGAACTAACTATAGACTAAAATCTGCTCCTATCCCTCCTAGGACACCGTAAGAGCAAGTTCAGAAAGGAACATACTCTCTTCAAGAAACCCTTCTGAATCAAAGAAGACAAAAATATGTGGAGAAATATAAAAATATCATGCACCTAAAAAGCAAAACTTCACGATGTCTGGCATCTTATTACAATAGCAGGACAACGTGAGTCAGAAGTAAAAAAGTTGGTCAGCGCATCATGGCCCTGAAATTGCACAGGTAATACACTTTCTAGACCAGAACAAAAAGCAGTTGTTGTAACTGTAATCCATTTGTCCTGGAGGGTAGAGTATTGATGGAACAAGTTAAATGGAGACATGAAAGACATTTAAAAAACACCTACATTTAAGTCCTAGAAATGACCACAGAAATATATGAAATCAAAGTACTTTGAATGAGATTGCTGGTATATTACATGCTGAAAAAGAAGAGATTAGTGAATCTGATGATATAGTAATGAGAACTATTCAAAATGAAATATGCAAAACTACTGAAAATGACAAGAAAAGAGCATCGTTGAGTTATGGGACAACTGCATGCCAATGCAACCTAAAATAACGTAATTTGTGTTACTGAAAAAAAGAAGTTGGTGGGGGTAGGGGAGTATATAGAAAAACTACAAAACAAAATAATGACTAAAAATGATCCAAATTTTGTGAACATCATAAGCCATCCATTTTCACGAAGCTCAACCAGCCCCTGACAAAATATATTTTAAAATATAAATACGTTAAGATAACAATACCAACACATATCATAATCAAATTGCTAAAGCACAGTGATGAAGAGACACTCTTAAAAGCAGCCAGAAAGAAAAGACATGTTAGATATAATACTAAGAGCAGAGTTCTCATTAGAAGCAATGCATGCAAGAAGACAGGTAGCTACATCTTTATAATATTAAAAGGAACAACTGTCAACCCTGCAGTCTTTACCCGGTGAAATATCTCTCAAAAATGAAGGCCAAATAAAACCTTTTTCAAATAAATAAAACTTACAGAATTGATAAATCACAAGCCGTCACTAAAAGAAATGATGAAAGACATCCCTCATACAGAACAAAAATTATACCAGATAGAAGTGTGAATCTGCACAAAGAATGAAAAGCATCAGAAATGGTGACTACATGGATAAATATTTTAATAGTGCATAATGTAGAAATAAAAGGGCTTGAACAGCACTATAGAACAACTAGACTTAACCGATGCCTGTAGAACTCTTCAAGCAACAAAAGCAGAATGCACATTCTTCTTGCATGCACATGGAACATTCTCCAGAAAAACCGTATAAAACAGATTGATAATTTTTAAAAAGATAGAAATCACACAAAGTATGTTCCCAAAACAATGTCATTAGAGAAATCCAAAAAATTGAGGGAAGACCATGAAAACTGCATGAAAAAAATTGAGATGAATGGACAAATCACTAGAAATACAAATTCTATTAGAAGTGACTCAAGAAGAAATAGAAAACCCGATTAAAACTATAGAAAGAGATTAAGTTAATAATAATAAGAAAAGCCTTCCCATAAGGAAAGGCCCAGACACAGAGGGCCTCACTGGTGACTATTACCAAATGTTTAAAGAAGAATTAATATAATTTATCATTAAACTTTTCCAAAATATAAAAGAGATAAAATCACTTGCCAACTCTTTCTCTGAGGCCAATATTACCCTGATACCAAAACCAGACAGAGCCATTACAAGAAAAGATAAATACAGAGCAATGACCTTACTGGATATAGATACTAAAGTCCTTAACAAAATACCAGAAAATGTAATCTAACAAGATATAAAAAGAAGTACATACAATAACCAAGTGGTGTTTATCCGAGGAATGCAATGATGGTTTAACATCTGTAATTGAATTAATTAATAGAAGGCATCGTATTAATAGAAGAAAGGACGAACCATATTGTCATCTCAAAATCACTTAAAATGTTTTCATGCAAGCAGACTTTCTTTCTTGCTGTTTTTAGGCCATCATGAGAAGTGGAGATGGCATGGGGTAGTATTTCATGCAAAGAATCTGGATATTCCATACTCAACTGTGAGGATACTTTCTGATAAATGTAAAAGATTGTAATATTACGTTTCTGTATGTTCAGAGAACACTTCCTAGACAAGATATGTGTACAGAACCGAAAGGACAATTAGGATTTTGGCAGGCATTGAGTGAGGAGTGGAGTCACTGCAAGTGTCAGTCAGAGAACAAGAAAGATGTTAGGAACCATGTATTTCTACCTGGCCATCCTACTGGGATACCATCCCCTTCCTAACACATCACCCATGTGGCTTGTAAAAATGTCCATACTTGAAACATTTTGTCCACATAATTACAGGTCTAGTGCTGGAATCAAGTTCCCTTTGATGACATCAGGACAGTTAAAGGATCTGCGTGTCTAACTGCCCCCAGGTGATGCTAACATTGCTGCCCTCTGAGGACCACAAGCAAAGTAGCTCAGCTCCTGACCTCCTGCTCCCAGCACAGGTGAGATGCACCTCAGCTACATCTGTGAAGCCCAGGAGACTTTCTCTCCCTCCTCAGGCTCCCTGGAGTGATGACCCAGGACTCATGCCTCTGCACATTTATCCTTTCCCTCAGAGTTTGGGGCCTTATCAGTCCTGTTACATCTTCTCAGCATCTGAAACCACTGGAGAGGTGGTCACCATCTCCTGTGCTGACACAGCAGTGACATTGGGGGTTATAATTCTGTCTCTTGGTAACAAAAGCAACAGGGAAGAGCCCCATATGACTGAGGGGTGAGATCAGGAAAAAGCCTCAGAGATTCCAGTTCTAATCTCAGGCCGTTCTTTGTATTCTTTTATGAGCTAGTTAGTCAGCTGGTCAGTCAGCTGTGGCCACAAGAAGAAATGGAAGAGAGGTTCAGAAAACAGCCCTAGAGACCATAGACCCAGAGCTCTAGAGACAGCAGGCCCAATGTGCTACACAGGGCCACAGGGAAAGGCATCAGGTTCATTAGAAGACAGAAGACAGGAGGGCAGGGGATCCCTTAGACCATGACTTTTATCAGAATTTCCTCAGGAAAAGCAGGGCAAGCTAAAAAATTTATGATTGGCCAGCCTGAATAATGTCAGCAGGCTTTGGGCTACTAAGGTGGTCTCTAGCTGCTTGGTACCTGGCCCTGGGACGATAAAGGCAGAGGAATATTGTATCCTGGGATGCACAAACCAGACAGGGGTGGTGAGGCTCTGAACACGTTAGTTTCCATATGAAAGGCAGGCTTCTGGCTGAGCCCATTGCTCTTTCAAGGAATAGAGAACTGGGGAGACCCAGGAGGGGTGGTCTTTTCCCAGACAGAAATGTTTTTTAAGATGTCAAAATATCAAAATATATAGAAAATTATATACAGTTGACCCTTGAATAACATTGGTTTGAACTGCATGGGTCCATTGATTTTCTTCTGCCCCTGTCACCCCTGAGACAGCAAGATCAACCCCTCTTCTTGCTCTTCCTCTTCAGCTACTCAACCCGAATATAAAAAAGATAAAATCCTTTATGACGATTCAGTTCCATTTAATGACTAGTAAATATATTTTCTCTTCCTTATGATTTTTAAAATAACATTTTCTGTTCTCTGGCTTACTTCATTATAAAAAATACTGTATATAATATACATAACATACACAATCTGTGTTAATTGACTGTCTAAGCTAGGCCTGGCTCTGACCCTGATCCTGGGAGACACTTTAGGCAGATTACTCTGGAAATAAGTCCCTCAGTCTCTGACCATCTCTCTCTCCTCGGCGGGTTCTCTGTCCTCCCATGGGAGCTCAGTGCCCATGGTGCAGACAGCCCCTCTCAGCTGCTCAGGACCAAGTAGGGAAGCTCTGCTCTGTCTTGGTACCCGCAGAACCCAGGCTGGTGCCCATGCTGGGACTTTAATGTGGTGACAAAACTCCTCATGCAGTGCTGATTGATTCTCTGACAGTGTCTAGGAATGTAATTCCCCTGACCAGGGGACAGGTTGAGGATGAGTTTCAGGGGGGATGACAACAAGACTTCCAATGACACAGCCACAGGGAGAATTGAGATGCACAATCTGCTGTCCCCAGCCTGGATCACACGCTCCCCCTGCATTTAGGAAAGTTGCTTAGAATTAGGCTGAAGAGGTCAGGATTCAGTTTTAACATTGACCTCTCTCTCATTTTCTCTTTTACTCTCTTTTCTCCTTCTCTCTTCCTCTCTCTTTCTTTCTCTTTCTCTATGATACTGAAGCCCTTATTCACCCCCATTCTCAGCTATGAAATGGACATGGAACCCTGACATCGTGAGTTTCCTCAAGGATCACAGGAGTGGAGTAAAGATCTGAGCCCTGTCTCCAGGTGTCCTCAAGGGTCTACATCACAGGCTCCTCCATCCTGCTCTTCCCTTACACAGGGGCTCCCCTCAGATCCTGCCCATGCCTAAATTTAGGCCCCATTTCTTTGAGACCTGTGGACACTTCATCCTGAGGTTCCTGAGGGTTTTTCTCCCTGCTGACGGGAGATCCCACTGATCACATGGTCTGCTTGTTGTTTCTCAATCCTGGAGCACAGCTGCAAGTGTCACCTGAGACACGGCCAATCCCCCATACAGGACAGCAGTGAAGGTGGAAGAATCCCAGAGTGACCGGGTACCGTCATTCATTCAAATTCCATGGGGCTCTTGCTGCATCACTGGGTGTCATCCTTTGGGAACCTGGACTTCTAAACTATAAGACTCAGAGTTAGAAAACAGAATCATAAATTCCCCATGTAAGCCACTACTTCCACCCCTGGTCCTGGACTCAGATATGTTACTAATGAGGAACACAGTTCCTCATAGTGGCTGCTGATTGAGGACATGGTGGGCAAACTGTGGTTGATGGACACATCTGTCTTGCATCCTGCATTGGAACACAGTCTTGCTCATGTCTTTATGAGTGACATGTGGCTGTTTTCATGCTGCAATACAAGGCTTGGTTGTGGTGACAGAGATCCTATGGTCTGAAAATCTGAAATACTATACTAAAGGTCCCATACTGTATCATGTCTTCTACATGAATTATCTACAATAGACAAATCCATGCAGGCAGAAAGAAGATGAGTGGTTGCCCAGAATTGGAGAAGGTGATGAAAGAGGAGAGGCTGCTCACTGGGTGCAGAATTTTCTTTTGGGTGATGAAAATGTAGGAGAACTACACACACAGCTGGTGGCTGCCCAACAAAGTGAAGGTGCTAAGTGCCACTGCGTTGTACATTTTGAAGTGATTAATTCTAGGTTATATGAATTCCACACAATACAAAACTATGATTTTCAGAAATTGACTGTTATAATTGTGTTATTATATCTACAACTTTATGATGGCACTAAAGGACCATGAGCAGTCAATGCAAAGGATCCAGACAATATTTCAAGGGCTCTTCCAGAGTAACAAGACATGAAAAGGCAGCTCTGGTTCTCTCTTGCCTGGCGTATTTTACCCTCGGAGTTTTTTGTTTTTTTGTGTTGTTGTTGTTGTTGTTGTTGTTATTGTTGTTGTTGTTGTTACAGAGTCTCGCTCTGTCGCCCAGGTTGGAGTGCAGTGGCGCGATCTCGGCTCACTGCAAGCTCTGCCTCCCGGGTTCACGCCATTCTCCTGCCTCAGCCTCCTGAGTAGCTGGGACTACAGGCGCCCGCCACCGCGCCCGGCTAATTTTTTGTATTTTTAGTAGAGACGGGGTTTCACCGTGTTAGCCAGGATGGTCTCGATCTCCTGACCTCGTGATCCGCCCGCCTCGGCCTCCCAAAGTGCTGGGATTACAGGCTTGAGCCACCGCGCCCAGCCAACCCTCGGAGTTTTTATGAGCACCGAAGGGTGCAGGGAGCTGGAAGCTACCCACCAGGTGCCTGGCTCACTCATGTCTGGGTGCAGCAGCTCCCCCAACAGGCAGCTGGCAGAACTGAAAGGGAAGAGCTATATCCTTCTGAGCCCCCACAATTGTGGTGCAGGATTGTTCCCGACACTCCCATCCAGTCTGCTTGCTCCTGCACACTTAGAAATGATCATTATTTCTGCCCAGGACCTCCCTGGTCTTGCTCTCCCCTCTTCCTCCCCAGGCGACCTTGGGAACTTTACTCACCCTCTGGCCCTTCCCTCCTCTGTCCAGTGTTTTCCCCACCCACTGTGATCAGCTCAGATCAGCGAGTCTGTGGGACATTAGGGATCAGTCACCCATGTGAGGCCCTCGACGGGGTCCCAGGATGGAGCAGTGTATGTCCCCACAAGGCTGCTTATTGCACAAGTAATGGAGGAACAAAGGGGTGGGTAAGCCCCCTCCTGGGCAGCTTCAGACCCTGCTAAAATAGGAAACAGCCTGGGGCAGGTCTGACCCCACTTGTGTCTCTCCTGCCCCCACCCCAGCAGCAGCGTCCTGGAGGCCATACCATGTGCTAAGCAGATGCCAAGATCACGTCATTCATCATCACCTGGAAATTCCCCTAACCACACCTTAATACGCTGCACTCGTGCCTCAGCTAAAAGTATCACACACTGCATTGCAATGAGTTTGGATCCCAGACCCCCTTGATGTTTGTCACTGCTCTTTCAGATCCTCGAAAACACCTACCCCTCCCTGCAGGTCAGTGACAGACTCTTCTTCCTCACACTTCCTTTCACTGTTTCTTCCTTCCTGAGAGCAGCTCCAGAGACTCCTCTTCAGGGAGGCGCCCCAACCTCTGATTACACAGCAGTCTGCCTGTCATTTTCTGTGTATGCATTCTATTAATGATCTGCAGAGCACCTAAACTTCATGCCTCTTTTCCTAACATGTTTATTAATTGATTTTCTGGTGCTAAATACTCCTACAATCAATCAAAAATGCTTCTCCTCTGCTTGGACACTCATGAGAAACAGTCATGAACCATTTGCTATTTTATCCTCAAAAAGTAAGTGTGGAGTTCACTGCTGTTCCCCACATACTCACCAAATAATGAGAAACCCAGCAATTACCCAACTTTCTGCTCCACCATCATGACACAGTAGGCTTTTCTTTCATTTGTGTGGACTTAAGACCTCAGGATGGCTGCTGCAGCTCCAGCTATTATACCCATATTCAAGAGCAAAGGTGCTGCACGAAAACAGTCTGTTTATTTCCATCACAAGAGAAAATGTTCCCTGAGAAGATCTCCAACCACCTGACCCTTACAGCCCTGGGGCCAGCATGGGACCATGTGGTCAGTCCAAGCCAAGAGTGACCAGGGAAAACAAGGATCTTTTTGTAAATAAATAGAGGAGAAAATACACAGGTAGAAGATGGTGCTTCTACTACAAACTGTTTCTATTACACAGCCCCAACCCCCATGTAGGAAACTCCTGGGGTCAGAGACAGTCTTTCTCGTGCTGAATTCCCAGGATGGAATATTGCCGGATCAGAGTGGGTCTCAATAAATACTGGCTGGGTGGATATGCTCCTGCCTTTGTTTTTGGGGCAGGAGCCACCACTGCCTCATGTTTTTCTACACCTGGAGCCATGAAACTTGGTGTCTGAGGTCTGCGGCACTATATGCAGAGCCTTGGTAAGATGCACTGGACCACTTACCAACCCAGTGACAGTAGAGGGATGTCTTAGGTGGGCCCTACCCATTTTCCTCCAATAGGACGTGCTCATAATTTCATGGGTAACCGAGCCCCTTATGCCTGGTATTGAGGCATATAAGGCCAAATAAAGAAGAGGAATTCCTCTCTTGGAACCAGCAGTCCATGGACAAGGGAATCAGGGACCTGAGCAGCAGGTTCTGAATCCACACCTGATCTGGGGCAGGACCCAGAACCTATCAAAGTCTTCTGCTGTTAACTATAGAATGGGCTCACAAAATGCAGACAGAATGATCTGTGAACTCCACCTGGCCTGGCTAGCTGAGAACCAAGGCCAAGACATAGTTTAAGGTAAAGATGTTGGCCCAGACTTTGGGACCAGCAAGTGAAGGAGAATTCTGTGGGCTGAGGTGGGTCTGTAGGGTCCTCCCCTCCCCTCTCTGTGTCCCTTGGGGCTGAGCCCTTCTCTGGAAACTACAAAGCTACTCCAGTAGCAGCCCCTGATTCTGCTGACTTGCATCACGGGCCGCTTTCTCCATCAAGGGGATAAGAGAGGCCTGGGAGAAACCTACCCGCCCTGGGCCACAGGAAGCAGCATCAGGGATGTCTCAGTCATGGACTGGACCTTTCTCAGCCTCCTCGCTCACTGCACAGGTGCTGCCGCCAGAGTCCCAGCCACCCGCCCAGCCCCGGGCTGTGGGACCAGGCTGGCCTTGATTGTGAGCTCAGCAGGGCTCTGCCTGTGGTGGAAAGGATGCTCATGACCTTGCTGCAGGGTGAGGGGCTGGTAAGGTTGAAATCTTCCTGTACTCCTGTGCTCATGGGCACTCTGAGGGGCACAGTCAGGCTCCCTTTCATCCCAGAAGCTCTGTCCCAGCCAGGCAGGTGCAAAGGAATCCTGAGGATCAGCTCCTCAGCTTCAAGCCTTTTCTCCCTCATCTCCTGCAGGTTTCATGGCCACATATGAGCTGTCTCAGCCACCCTCAGTGTCAGTGGCCCCATTACAGATGGCCAGGATCACCTGCTGTGGAAATACTGTTGGAGGTGGATATGTTTATTGGTACCAGCAGAAGTCAGGCCAGACCCCTGTGCCGGTCATCTATAAAGACAGCAAGTGGCCCTCAAGGACCCCTGAGTGATTCTCTGGCTCCAACTTGTGGAACACAGCCACTCTGACCATTAGTGGGGCCCAGGCCAGGGACGAGGCTATTACTGTAGCACCTATGATGGCTGAGGGAGCAGCAGGCAGTGGCTCACAGTGAAACAGACAGATGGGGATGTGGGACAGGAACCTCTAATATAACTAGGCTCAATATCTCACATCCTCTCTAAGCCAGGATGTCCAACATTTTGGCTTCTCTGGGCCACATTGGAAGAAGAAAAATTGTCTTGGGCCACACATAAATACATTAACACTAACAATAGCTGATGAGCTTAAAAAATTGCAAAAAAATCTCATAAAGTTTTAAGAAAGTTTACAAATTTATGTAGGGCCACGTTCAAAGCCATCCTAGGCTGCATGTGGCCTGCAGGCTGCAGGCTGGACAAGCTTGCTCTAAGCAGTGACCATGACTTTGGTCTCAGTTCACTCAGGTGGTTTCTCATGGTAGCCAAAGCAGCAGGAGAAACTGTCGGATTTCTATTTAACCATGAATTTTACAATTACATTCATTGTAAATCCAAACATCTTGTCCCTTTATTACCTGGGCCCTACAGAGACTAGTGCACAGGTTCATGGGATAAGAAATGTCTCCAGAGAGCTTGGTTTCTGCACTAGAGACAGTCGTTTCCCTCCCTTTCAACACAGAGTGTGGCAGGAAAGGAACCAGTTCTCTGAGCTAACCCTGAGAACTTGGGCTTGAGAAAAAGAAAGCATTTTGAACCAGTAGGATTGTGCCCACAGAATGAGATGTGCTACTCTGGCCCAGCCCAACTCCTTTCATTTCAGGAGCTCTGTCTGGGCCAGGCAGGTGCAATGGAATCCTAGGGATCAGCTCCTCAGTTTCAAGCCTTTTCTTCTCTGGGTGTCTGAGAACAGGAGTTGTCTTGCACGTGCACATGAGAAAGAAGTGCACACACGACTCTCAGGTGTGAGCAGCAAAGACAGAACAAACCTTTCCAGAAGGGGCAAATTTCATTAAGATGACAGGGCCTTGTTACACAACCCCACATGTCTGGACTGGGATCTCCTATTGGATCTTGCCATAAATGCAAGGTTTCTTCTCCCATCATAAATTCCTGCATTGCAGTAGACCCAGCTGGGTTCTAGGGCTCAACCAGCAGGGCACTCCCACCACTGTGTGGACCTGCTGCAGAGCCTTCCTGCTCTAGGACCCACAGACATGCAACTTTTCTTTGTTTTTGCTATTTGGGTTGGAGCAACATCCCAAGAGTGAATAATGCTTCTTCCAGAATCCATCATGACCATATATACTTCTTGATGCGAAGTTAGGATGTAATAATGTGTCCTTTTTTTCTATGGGAGGTGCTCAGCTGTTCCAAACAAGAAGACCCTAAACATTTCTGCTCATATGAAGGATGACTCCCTAGGTTTGCTTTCCTATTCTCTGAATGCATGGGTCTCCCCAAATCTTCCAATGACCTTTCACTGCATGCACATCTCATCCAAATACCACCACATGGTGGATGCTTGGGCATGGTAGCGGGTGCCTGTAATCCCAGCTACTTGGGAGGCTGAGACAGGAGAATCACTTGAACCCAGGAGGCAAAGGTTGCAGTAAGCCAAGATTGCACCACTGCACTCCAGCCTGGGTGACAGAGCAAGACTTGGTCTCAAAAAAAAAAAAAAAAAAAAAAAGAAAGAAAAGTTTATATTTTTGTTCTAATGGTTATCTTAATATCTTCATTCTATAATTATATGTTTTATATAATTATAATAGCTATATAAGATATAATACCCCTAGTATGTTGTTTTTTGGATATTCTACTTGCTCCTGATGGTTAATTTATGTGTCAACTTGGCTAAGCTATGGTGTCCCGTTGTTTGGTCAAATACTTGTCAATATCTTGCTGGGAGGTTATTTCATAGATGTGATTAACACTGACAGTCAATTGACTTTAAGTAAAACAGATCACCCACCATAATATGGGTGGGCCACCTCCAATCAGTTGAAGGCCTTAAGAACAAAAACTGAGGTTTCCCAGAGAAGCAGGAATTCTGCTTCAAGACTGTAACACACAAACCCTGCCTGAGTTTCTGGCCTGCTGACTGCTCTACAGATTTTAGGTTCCAGACTTCGAGATCAACTCTTACCTGAATTTATAGCCTGCTGGTTTGCCCTACAGATTTTAAACTTGCTAGTCCCCACAATTATGTAAGCCAATTCCTAAATAAATCTCTCTATGTATAACCTATTGGTTTAGCTTCTCTGAAAAGCTTTCACATCCAGTTTCCTGGATGTTAAGAATTACTGAAACTAGCTAGTAACTTACTTTTTTTTTTTTTTTTTTTGAGACAGAGTTTTGGTCTTGTTGCCCAGGCTGGAATGCAATGGCACAATCTCAGCTCACCTCAACCTCCACTTCCTGGGTCCAAGCAATTCTCTTCCCTCAGCCTCCTGAGTAGCTGGGATTACAGGCATATGCCACCATGCTTGGCTAATTTTTGTATTTTTAGTAGAGACACGGCTTCTCCATGTTGGTCAGGCTGGTCTTGAACTCCCAACCTCAGGTGATCCGCCGCCTTGGCCTCACAAAGTGCCTCACATGAGCCACCACGCCTGGCTCCTAGTAAATTCTTCTTTTCCGTGATGTGTCTCTTACCTCTAATAATACTTTTCTTCTTAAAGTCTACTTCATTAAAAATAGTTATGCTGGGCATGGTGGCTCATGGCTGTAATCTCGGCACTTTGTTGGAGGTCGAGGTGGGTGGATCACTGAAGCCCAGGAGTTCAAGACCAGCCTGGGCAACATGGCGAGACCCTGCCTCTACAAAAAATACAAAAATTAGCTGGGTGTGGCTAATATAATTCTAAGTTGGCACACTTGTAGTCCCAGCTACTTGGGATGCTGAGGTGGGAGAATCGCTTGAGCCTAGAAGGGAGAGATTGCTGTAAGCCAAGATCACATCATTGCACTCCAGCCTGGGAGACAGTGAGGCTCTATCTCCAAAAAAAAAAAAAAAAAAAAAAAAAGTTATACAGCTTTCTTGGTTAGTACATGCATGACATATTTTTCATTATTTTCTACCTCTCTGTATCCTTATATAAAAGGCATTAGTTGGGTTTTACTTTATTTTCAATTATTTTAATTTTTATTGTCCTTTTAAATGTAACTAATGATTTATTTACGTTGAAACCCACCACCAATTTGTTTTCCATGCCTATTCTATTTCTTCTTATCTCCTCTCACATCTTGTTTTGGATTTATTATTTTTATTATTTAATTTCCTCCTTCTCTATTAGTTTCATAACTGTGCAGTCTTAGAGTTATTTTAAAAGATGACAGTGGATTATTTTAGAGCTTACAACATGCATCCTTCACTTATCAAAGCCTAACATGAGCTAGTACTTTTTGTTGTGGTTGAGACAGAGAGAGTCTTCCTCTGCTGCCCAGGCTGGAGTGCAGTGGAGCAATCTTGGTTCACTGCAACCTCCACTTCTTGGGTTCAAGCAATTCTCCTGCTTCAGTCACCTGAGTAGCTGGGACCACAGGTGTGCACCACTATGCCCGGCTAATTTTTGTATTCTTTTTTAGTAGAGACAGGGTTTCACCATGTTGGCCAGGCTGGTCTTGAACTCCTGACCTTAAGAGATCTGCTTACCTCGGCGTCCTAAAGTGTTGGGATTACAGGCGTGAGCCACCACGCCCAGCCTATGAGTTAGTACTTCTATCCTCTTCCTAGTCAGTAGAAGAACCTTGGAACAGGAACTAAATTTACCCCCAGTGACTTATATGCTAATATTTTTGTGTATTTTAAACATATGTGTGTGCATAGATGTATCTGTGTGTTTTTTGTGTTTTTATTCTTATTTATGTTGAGAGTGTAGAGCTATGTAAGAGTAAAGAGAATTGTGTAATGAAGCCCCGAGTATCCATTCAATTTCAACAACAATCTTATGGCCAAGCTCATTTCATGTATACTCTTTCCTGCTTCCCTCTACCCCACATTATTTCAGTGCAAATCCCAGATATATAACTGTACCCATACATATTTCAGTATGTTTTATTTATTTTAAACCCCACAAGATATCATTTTCTATACTACTGTAATTTCATACCAATAACATTCATTTAGATTTACCCACACATCTACCTCTTCTGTTACCCTTTATTTTTATTTATAAAAATATCTTTGGGAAAAAATATCCTTCAGCACATGGTCAAGGATCTCCTGAGGGCTATGTCATGGACAAAATATACATATATATTCCATATATATACACACATATACACACACACATATATACACATACACACACACACACACACACACACACACACACACACATATATATTCCACTTTCACTTTTTTGTTTGTTTTTTGAGACCGAGTCTTGCTCTGTGGCCCAGGCTGGAGTGCAGTGGTGGGATCTCAGCTCACTGCAACTTCTACCTCCTGGGTTCAGGTGATTCTCCCGTCTCAGCCTCCTGAGTAGCTGGGATTACAGGTGTTAGCCATCACGTCTGGCTAATTTTTGTTTGTTTGTTTGTTTTTGAGACGGAGTATCACTCTGTTGCCCAGGCTGGAGTGCAGTGGCATGATCTCGGCTCACTGCAACCTCCATCTCCCTGGTTCAAGCAATTCCCCTGCCTCAGCCTTCCAAGGAGCTGGGATTACAGGTGCATGCCACCATGCCTGGATAATTTTTTTGTATTTGTAGTAGAGACCGGGTTTCCCTATGATGGTCAGACTAGTCTTGAACTTCTGACTTCAGGCAATCCGCCCACCTCGGCCTCTCAAAGTGCTGGGATTATAGGCATGAGCCACCGTGACTGGCCTGTTTTTTTTTTTTTTGAGATGGAGTTTTGCTCTGTCACCCTGGCTGGAGTGCAGTGGCAAGATCTTGGCTCACTGCAACCTCCACCTCTCGGGTTCAAGCAATTCTTGTGCCTCAGCCTCCTGAGTAGCTGGGATTACAGGCATCCACCACCACATCTGGCTAATTTGTGTATTTTTGGTAGAGATGGGGTTTCACCATGTTGGCCAGGCTGGTCTCGAACTTCTGACCTCAGGTGATCCACCTGCCTCGGCCTTCCAAAGTGCTGGGATTACAGGGAGGAGCCACCATGCCCAGCCATTTTCACTTTTGAAGGATATTGTTAGTGAGCATAGAATTCTAGGTTGGCAGATATTTTCTTTCCTCAGTTTGAAAACATGATTCCTTGTATCTGATTTCTCCTGCTTTTATTGGGAAGCCAATTCTCAATCTAATTTTGCTCATTTGAAGGCAATGGCTTTTTATGTTGTTGTGTTTTCTGAGATGGAGTCTTACTCTGTCGCCCAGGCTGGAGTGCAGTAGTGCAATCTCAGCTCACTGCAACCTCTGCCTCCTGGGTTCAAGTGATTCTTCTGCCTCAGCCTCCCAAGTAGCTGGGATTACAGGTGTCCACCATCACACCTGGCTAATTGTTGTATTTTTAATAGAGATGAACTTTTGCCATGTTGGTCAGGCTGATCCCAAACTCCTCATTTCAGGTGATCCGCCCGCCTCAGCCTCCCAAATGCTGGGATTACAGGCATGAGCCAGCCCCCAACCCTGGCCTGAAGGCAGTATCTTTTTTCCTCTGGCTGCTTTGAAAAGTTTTGTCTTTGTTTTGAGCAGTTTACACTGATGCATTGAGGTGGCTCTTCATTCCATGACTTGATTCTTTTTTGTCCATTTTAGAAAATTGTCAGCTTTATCTCTTCAAGTATTACGTCTTCCCCATCCTCTCTCTACTCTCCTTATGAGACTCCAATTTCACATGACTTATGCCTTGTTAAAGTATCCCCCATGTCTCTTAATCCATTCCTGTATGTTCTATCTATTTTTCTCTTTGTACTTCAATTTGTATAGTTTGTATCAAACTATCTCCCAATTAGCCGGGCGTGGTGGTGGGTGCCTGTAATCCCAGCTACTTGGGAGGCTGAGGCAGGAGAATTGCTTGAACCCGGGATGTGGAAGTTGTAGTGAGCCGAGATCATGCCACTGCACTCTAGCCTGGGCAACAGAGTGAGACCCTGTCTCAATAAATAAATAAATACATACATACATACATACATACATACATACATACATACATACCAGTTCACTATTTTTTTTATGTTTGTGTCTAGTGTGCTGTTCAAATTGAGTTCCTAATTCCATTTTTTTTGAGACTTTTTTTTTTTGAGTCTCTATCTGTTGCCCAGGCTGGAGTTCAGTGGTGCAATCTCAACTCACTGTAGCCTCCATCTCCCAGGTTCAAGGGATTCTCATGCCTCAGCCTCTCGAGTAACTGGGATTACCACCATGCCTAACTCATTTTTGTATTTTTAGTAGAGATGGGGTTCTGCCATGTTGGCCAGGCTGGTCTTGAACTCCTGGCCTCATGTGATTGGCCTACCTCTGTCTCCCAAAGTGCTGGGATTATAGGCCTAAGCCACCACTCCCAGCCTCCATTTTTTTTTTTTTTTTTTTTTTTGAGACGGAGTCTCGCTCTGTCGCCCAGGCTGGAGTAGAGTGGTGCGATCTCGGCTCACTGCAACCTCCCCCTCCCAGTTCAAGTGATTCTCCTGCCTCAGCCTCCCGAGTAGCTGGGACTACAGGAGCATGCCACCATGCCTGGCTAATTTTTGTAATTTTAGTAGAGATGGGGTTTCACCATATTGGTCAGGCTGGTCTTGAACTTCTGACCTCAGGTGATCCACCCACCTCAGCCTCCCATAGTGCTGGGATTACAGGCATGAGTCACCACACCTAGTGCATCCATTTTTTGTAGCTGCCAGTTTTCTGATGAAATTCTTAATTATTTCTTTATATCCTTGATACACATGTAAAGAATTTATTTTAAAGTACATGGTCTGATGATTTTATATTCTGGAGATCCTATGGGCCTTTTTCAAAGTTGTCTGTGCTTTCTCTTGAGTTTTGTTCCTGCTGTCTTATTTCCTTGTTTGCTTGGTTGTTTTTAATTTGGCAATGGAAGTTGTGTATAAAAATTGTTACAAATAATTTTTTTTTTTTGAGATGGAGTCTCGCTTTGTTGCCCAAGCTGGAGTGCAATGATGTGATCTCGGCTCACTGCAACCTCTGCATCCCAGGGTTCAATTCTCCTACCTCAGCCTCCCAAGTAGCTGGGATTGCAGGCAGGTGCCAGCACGCCTGGCTAATTTTTGTATTTTTAGTAGAGATGGGTTTTCACCATGTTGGTCAGGCTGGTCTCAGACTCCTGACCTCGTGATCTGCCCACCTCAGCCTCCCAAAGTGCTGGGATTACAGGCGTGAGCCACTGCGCCCAGCCAGAAATAATTTTTAAAAATAATTTCGAGCCCAAGCATGATGGCTCATGCTTGTAATCCCATCACTTTGGGAGGCTGAGGCAGGCAGATTGCTTGAGCCTAGGAGTTCAAGATCAGCCTGCGCAACATGGTGAAACCCCATCTCTACAAAAAATAAAAAATTAGCTGGGTGTGGTGGTGGTGTGTGCCTGTAGTCCCAGCTGTTTGGGACGCTGAGGTGGGAGGCTCACTTGAGCCTGGGTGATCGAGGCTGCAGTGAGCCATGATCCTGAGACTGTACTCCAGCCTGGGCAACAGAGTGAGATGCTGTCTCAAATAAATAAATAAATAAAAATAAAATAATTTGAGGCCTAGGGCTCTGAAATTCTGAGATCTCCTTTATGCATTTGAGTGACTGAGATGATCTGAAGCTGGATCCAGTGCTCCTGAGGGCTGCTTTATTTCTGGTTGACTGTGACTCCTAGAGTAAGAAACCTGCACCCCATGTGTGGGGTATTATGGCATCCCCTCCCTCAGCCACATGAGTAAGTCAACAGCACTGCTCTAGACCAGGTGTGGTGGCTCACGCCTATAGTCCCAGCTACTCGGGAGACTGAGGCAGGAGGATTGCTTCAGGCCAGGAATTTGAAACCAGCCAGAGCAATATATTATTAGGTTGGTACAAAAGTAATTGCGGTTTTTGCCTTTAAAAGTAATGGCAACCCTGTTTCAGCAAAGTAAAAAGCAAAAAAAAAAAAAAAAAAAGGAAGGAAGAATTAAAAAAAGAATCAGCTGGGCGTGGTGGCTCACGCCTCTAATCCCAGCACTTTGGGAGGCCAAGGCGGGCAGATCATGAGATCAGGAGATCGAGACCATCCTGGCTAACACGGTGAAACCCCATTTCTACTAAAAATACAAAAAATTAGCCGGGCGTGGTGGCAGGCGCCTGTAGTCCCAGCTACTCAGGAGGTGGAGGCAGGAGAATGGCATGAACCCAGGAGGTGGAGGTTGCAGTGAGCCGAGATCATGCCACTGCACTCCAGCCTGGGTGACAGAGTGAGACTCCGTCTCAAAAAAAAAAAAAAGAATCACTGCTCTGTCTCTCAGCCTCCTCTTCCAGGATTGGCCGTCGCCTTGAGGGGAATGCTGGCCTTGCCTGTCTCCAGCCCTGTACCTCTCTGCCTCCTATGCCTTTAAGCACATGTTTTCTATTTGCTGGGCTGTGAAATCTGCTCTTCATCTGATGGGGTTTGCTTTATAGGTGACTAGATTCTTTTCTCTTGGTGGTTTTAGATTTCGCATTTTCACATTGACCTTAAATAGTCTGATTATAGTTTGCCACGGCAAAGACCCTTTGCATTGCATTGTTTGGGGATATTTGAGCCTCCTCTATCTGGATGTCTAATCTCTTGTTAGATGTGAGTAGTTTTCATTATTATTTTATTAATGGGCTGGCATGTGGGCCTTGGTTCCAGGCGGGCTCAGAGGGGCAGCTGCCTGATGTCTGGGCAGCTTCTCTTTCTGTCTTTTCTTACCTGGACTCTGGGTTGCTTGTTAGCTGCTTCTGCCAGTTCTGAGTTTTCAAGGGGAGAGGGGCCCAGTGATGGCTGTTCTTTGAAGGAAAGGGAAGAATGTCTCCTGTTTAACATGTTTCTATGTTTCCAGTTACTTGGTTAGTTAGTTAGAGCCAGGGTCTCTCGCTCTGTTGCGCAGGCTGGAGTGCAATGGCATGATCGTGGCTCACAGCAGCCTCCACCTTCCAGGCTCGAGCAATGCTCCCACCTCAGCCTCTCAAGCAGCTGGGACTGCAGGTATGTGCCACCATGCTTGGCTGCCTTTTTAAATTTTTTTTTTTTAATACAGACAAGGTCTCACTATATTGCCCAGGCTGGTCTTAAACTCATGGGCTCAAGTGATCCTCCTGCCTCGGCCTTTCAAAGTGCTGATATCACAGGCAGGGTTTCCATTTTTTAAAGCTCCCAGCAGTGGTATAAACTCCTCCTTTCCAGAGAAAGCGCACTCTGTCCGCATCCCTCATGTTGTCCTCTCCTGCCTCTGCTTAGGGTTCACTCCGGGGGAAAGTGCCACTTGAGAGTTTCCTTTTTATGTGTGGTTCTGACTGACCGCTCCCTGCTCACAGATGCTGCTTCTCAGGGTGGGGTCCCTGAGGCCTGGAGTGTGGCCTCTGACGACCTTCAGGGCCAGGTGCGGAATGAGAGCCTGTGGCCACATGGCCCCCGGTGGGAGACGTCCCGCCGCCCTTTGCTTCTCTGTGCCACTCTGGCTGCACAGTTCAGAGCCTTGGGAAACGTTAACCAGTAGGACCTAGAAGGGGAGGTGAGAAGGGGTCACCCCCCAGGTGTGCCTGTGGTGAGCCTTCGTGCTGAGCAGGTGCAGGGAGGGAGGCCCAGGTGCACACACCTGTGAAGTAGGGGCAGCTGGCTGGGCTCCTTGACCTGCTCCAGAGCTTCTTATTTTCTGGCCACTTCACCTGCAGAAGGCCCAGGTGGCTGTAGCCGCTAGGGTCCCTTGCAGTGGAAATGATGCCTGTCCTCAGCCCCTCTCTAGGCCTGGCGCTGTGCTCAGCACCGTCGTGTGTGTGTATGTATATGTGCACGCATGTGAATGTGTGCAGACATCATGAGGTGTGGTCCCTGCTGTTAGGCAGCTTGCCTTGTGGCTGAAGTGAACCATCACCTGAATCAAGGGATGGAAACACAAGGCCAGATGCAGTGGCCTTCTATGGAGTCAGACGGTGGCTCCGTGACCTGGCTTCACTCCAGAACTACCTGGGGTTTCTAGCTGTGCAAATCCCAGGTCCCACTCAGATTATGAGTCCAGTTCTCTGCAGGTGGAACCCAGGAAGGTGTATTTTTAACAAGATGGTACTGCTCATTCACCCAGCCCAGCCAGTGGTCTTGGCATACCCAGGAACCGCTGACATAGAGCTTGTGCTCCCCATAAAGTGGGAAACAGAGCGTTCCTGGGTGGGGGACATGTGGCTTGGTCATGACAGTCAGGGTGTTACATACCAGGACAGACTGTGTTCGGGTGACATTAAGGACAAGCTCCTGCAGGCTAGCTGCCTGGATAGTGCTGGCTGGGGGTAGAAGTTAGAGGGGTCACAGAGGGGCTTCCTCCCGGCCCCCTCATCAGCTGCTTGATTTAGGGCTTGGTTCTGGGTCCTTCTGGGCCTGATTCTGAACCATGGGACTGGTGTGGCCTGCAGGCTCCTCCCGCCACAAGCTGTTCATGGTGCAGGGGGAGAACAGTGTCCACAATTCCCCAGACAGCAGCTGTGGATGCCAGGCCCCCAGGAGTTGTTACTGAAGTTGCTGCTGGACAGCTCGCCTTTCACTGAGCTCCACATAGCACCCGTGGTGATGGGAGCCGGATGGAGAGAGCCTGCCAGCCTGCACATCAGCTCCCAACTGGGCGGGGCAGAGGGAGGAGGGGGTGGGGACCCCAGGCAGCAGGGCTCTGGGAGCAGTGGGGCCCTGGGTTCCAGGGGTGTCTGGCAGGCCCCTCCTTACTCTACGTCTCTCAGCCTCTGGATGGAGGTGCTGGCCGCAGTCGGGCTCTGCCTCTGACTAAGGGTTGGGGAAGTGGCGGGTGTGGGCTGCTGCCCCGTGGGGCCTCTGAACAGACCCCAGGGCCTCTGCCAATCATGACTCCTTCCTTTCAGCTGGACCCACAGGCCCTGCAGGACAGAGACTGGCAGCGCGCCGTCATCGCCATGAATGGGGTACGTGTCCGTGGGACTCTCCTGGCGCCCACTTCCCCCAGAAGGATAGGGTGGCCTCTGTTCATTTCAAATCAGTCAGAGGTGGCTGAGCCTGAGGCAGCATCTGAGAGGGAGCCTGGTTGGAGAAGGGAGGGCCCCCAAGAGCAGAATCACCATGCACGGGAATCGTCATTCATTGGCTGGAATGCAGTTGCCAGCCAGGCCCTGAGCATCCCTCCTCAAACAAAGGTCTCATGGCACCACCAGGACAGGTGGGGCCTCCACTCAGGGACCTGGGGGCTGCCCATAGAAATGGAGACCCCTGATTTGTCTTTAGGTACCCCAGAAAGGTTTAGGCCTTAAAAGCAATGACACACCCAAAAAGGCCCGGGTATAAATGGTAAAATGTTAATATTTGAGATTCTTGGCTTTTTCTTACATTATTCTGTCTTTCCTACTTAATTTTTAATTGTTACTAAGAGAAAGCTGGTCACAGTACACTATAATCTCAGCTACTCTGGAGGCTGAACCAGGAGAATCACTGGAGCCCAAGAGTTTGATTACAGCCTGGGCAACATTGCAAGATCCCATATCTTAAAAAAAAGTAAGCAAGCAAGAGAAGCAGCGGGGATTTTAGGAGGTGCTTCTGCAGAAACCAGTCGTTTACATCATCTTCAACAATCCTGGCTCTTGCTGAAGTAGACTAGGGGCTTCCCCGAGGGGCGGCTCCACCTCATGCTGAGACCTCTGCATGCCTTGGGGGTGGAAATATTTGATGAGACTCCCAGGGGTCCTTGGGACCTTGGGCTATGAGGACCAGAAGGATTAGAGGACTGTGCCCCTTCTCCCCACTGTAGATCGAAGTAAAGCTCTCGGTCAAGTTCAACAGCAGGAAGTTCAGCTTGAAGAGGATGCCGTCCCGAAAACAGACAGGGGTCTTCGGAGTCAAGATTGCTGTGGTCACCAAGTGAGTGGGGAGGGGCTTGGGCTCACGCACTGAGGGTGCCTGTCCCTTCAGCTGTTTCTGCAGAAAAGAGCATGTGTGGGTCTCTCCTCTCTGTGCGTGGCCACTGCACGGTGAGGTCAGGCCCCAGGGAACACGGCGTCTTCAGCTACCTCCTGTGTTTCCTGCAAACCAGCTCAGGAATGTCCTTGCCACCTTGCTTGGAAGCAGTAGGCTGGCTCCAGGAACTGCCCAAGTGCAGGGTTTTCTGCCCTTGCTTGGAATTAGTCACGGTCCCAGATTCCTGTTGAATGGTTGTAACCCCTGCCCCTTTGTCACGAGTCAGTTGCCAAGAGAAGCCTGTTTGTTGGTTTGAGAGCAGTTCATGCAGACATAGACCACTTCCTCTGAGAATTCATTTGCCTCCCTAGGATGGAATCTGGCTGGGCCTCTGACCTTGCTGGTCACGTGGGCCGGGGCCTCCATCAGTCATACCCTGGACTCCTATCTGTGTCTAAACACCACGCCCCACCCCCACTCGCATAGCACTCTGGGAGGGCTGTGGGCATGAGCAGCGAGGACTCCATCAGCAGCTCCCCCAGATAAGCCCTGCTAATGAGGGGGCTTGCGAAGCAGCTTTGATGTGCTGGTAAATCCAGGTGCAAAACAGAACTCAAGTTAAGGCCTCCGCACAGCACTGCGTTCTAACTGTGAAGGATTCTTACTCTAGTGTCCTGTGTGGAGGTATTGGAATTGTCCATTGCTAAGACTCAGAGGAGAAAAGCACTTAGCATCGCAGGACTTGGAGCACCGGTGCTGAGGCAACCCTTCATTCATTCGTCGGATGTGTGTTAAGGCCCAGGCCCAGGGCAGGGGTCAGGGATTCTCCTCTCACACAGCACGTGGGTGGCAGGACCAACACCGGGTCTGACCTCCCAGACGGGGGCACAGGCTGCTAACCCCAGGCCTGGAATCTGTCAGATGCCCTTCCCGTGCTGACTTGACTTAGACAGGCCTCCTGACCTTCCCGCAAAGGTCATGTGTGATTCGCAGGGGTTCTGGCCGCTTGAAAGGTTCCTGAGAAAGTACATGCCATGAGGACAGAGCTTGCAGAGGGAGGACAGGCATGCAGAAGGCTCTGTGTGCAGCCCCAGACCTGGGTACCTTCGTCACCGTCCTCACCCCACCTCCGGGTGTGCACATAGGGAGCAGGTCTCCTGTGTTATGGCCCAAGCAGGGCTGTTAGGACACTGAGAACATTCCCTCCTCCCGCAGGAGAGAGAGGTCCAAGGTGCCCTACATCGTGCGCCAGTGTGTGGAGGAGATCGAGCGCCGAGGCATGGAGGAGGTGGGCATCTACCGCATGTCTGGGGTGGCCACGGACATCCAGGCACTGAAGGCAGGCTTCAACGTCAGTGAGTGTCGGCCTGCGCAGGACGGGATGGAGGTGTGGGCAGTGGTGTCCGCGATGAGATCTCAGAGTGCTCCATGGCCCAGGCATGTCACATCCTTCTCTGTGTCTTTTCTTCATTTACTGTTTTATTATTTTAAAAAAAGAGAAAACAAGAGTTGTACAAACAGCTTCTATAGAAGCCAGTTTTTACACCATCGTACCCACTCATGCCACTTGGTGGAGTGGACCAGGGGCTTCTGTGGGGACTTGGCCTTCCTGCCTTGGGGGTGGACAGGAGGTGGAAGCCCAGGACTCAGTGCGGTCTGTCCACTGCCCTGTATGAGGATGTGGTGGGCAGAGGGCACTGATGAAATTCAGCGCAGGCCGGGGCTGCAGCATCTCCGCCTCCATCTCACCAACCCTCACAGGCTTTGAAGGACCCAGACTGGCCTCAAATGCCAGGGGAGGGCACTGAGACCCCAGAGGGTCCCTCCCAGCATCTTCAAAGCAACAGGATTTTGTGCCTGCAGGCCCTTCTTTGCAGCACACACCACCCACCCTGACCAGGACCCCTAGAATGCCCAGCATCCCTGGGAGGGCCCTGTGGTAGTTTCAGCTCCCTCTGGGGGCCCAGAATGAACCTGGCCTGTGGTGAGGATGTAAGCACCAATGGCCAATTGGGTCCAAAGGAAGACACCGGTTCAAACACTGAAACCAATCAGATTCTCCCACGGCCTTCCTGCTATCAGACGACACTGGTGCAGGGGTGGTTGCTATGTACAGGGCAGAGCCACCCAATCCCCACGCAGGCGCTGTGTCCTGCCATGCTGGCCTCCTCCTGGCCATCACATCAGGCCAAGCAGGGGAGAGGAATGGGAATGCCCACGCACCCCTATCAACTCTGCAGACACAGAACCATGCACAGCTCTTGGGAGGAGTCAGATGAGCTGCTCAAAGCCCAGGAGGGACCCGCACAGTGGTCAGTGTGGCAGGGACGGTGCTTTAGCCAAGGCAGGGATGGCGGGTGACTCACTCAGGATCTTCAAGGAGGCCGCTGCATTTCCATGCTCTTTCCAGATAACAAGGACGTGTCGGTGATGATGAGCGAGATGGACGTGAACGCCATCGCAGGCATGCTGAAGCTGTACTTCCGTGAGCTGCCCGAGCCCCTTTTCACTGACGAGTTCTACCCCAACTTCACAGAGGGCATCGGTGAGCACTGGAGGCCTTGGCCTCGTGGGAGATGTCTCCCCCATGTGCACTGCTGCCCTCGGAGGCTGTGAAAAGCGAGGTGTGGGAACCTGAGTTGTAACCCCTCTGCCATGGTCGGCATTTTAACCCAACCTCAAAAAGCAGGGGACCAGAACCGAGCCTGTCCTGGAAGGCCTTGCCCATCCCCAGAGGGCTCCCCATCCCTATTCCTCAAGGAGGCCAAGTGGGTGAAATGGTCAGCACTGCCGTGCTGTGGGGTCCTAAAGTCTGCTGTCCTCCTTCCTGCAGACCAGGGCTAAACACTGGTGCCCAGGTGCTCTTGCCATGGGTCCTGGTCCAGCCAAGCATGGTTTCAAACATGACCTGACCCTTAGTCAACCTGGAGGCTGATGTCTAGAGTGGGCGCTGGAGCGTGCAGCACCTGTGGCCTCTGCATCACCCTTAGGGCAGGTCTGCCTCCCGGGCCCATGCACAGAGGACCTGGTCTCCCAGCCTGCAGGTGCCCCTGTGGTGTCCAGGACGACGAGGGGGTCTCTGCGTACTTGGTGGGGCTGGGACCCTCCCACTTCCCACCTCCTTGTGTCCCTCACTCCGCTGTTTCATTCCATGCTGAGCCTCCCCTGCCTTGGGCTCCCTGGGGAGGGGGTGGTGGCAGGAGTTGCCCAAGGGCTGCTCTGCCCATGAGCAGCTGCTCTAGCGGCTCCTCCTGCTGCTGTTCGCCAGGTGCTGCTGACCCCTGCGAGGTAGAGAAAAGGCGTTCAGGTGGTTCACACCCCACACAGGTGCCCCTCACAGGGTCCTCACTGGCGGCCAGCGCTGTGGGTGTGACGATGATGACAAGCCTAAACTGCGCAAGGACTCGTGTCCCGGGCGCTCCATGTGACCACCTCGGGAGAGGTCTCCGGCTTGTCGTAACCCAGGGGAGTGACCCACTGCCTCCTGCAGCTCTTTCAGACCCAGTTGCAAAGAAGAGCTGCATGCTCAACCTGCTGTCGTCCCTGCCGGAGGCCAACCTGCTCACCTTCCTTTTCCTTCTAGACCACCTGGAAAGGTAGCCCAGCTCTCTTGTGGCTGCCCAGGACTCCAGGTCTCCAGGCCGTTGGGGTGCCCCTCTGCTCCCACCAGACCCCCAGCACCAAGGACCTTTTCCCCCGACCCCTGTCTGCAGTAACTCACTGCTTCTAAGGACTAGCACCACTGCCACCCCTGCCCCTGCCTCTCCTCTTTGCCACCCGCCTCCCTCTGCACTGTGGCCTTAACAAAGAGCTCAGAGCTTTGGCCGTGGCCAGCAGTGCATTTGGACCGCCCCCACTTCCCTCCCAAGCACATCATGAAGACCTCCCCATCAGCCCAGAGCTGGCCCCTTGTCCCGGGCCACTGAGACCCAGAAGTACCAAGGCTGGAGTCAGCTTGCAGCACAGCCAGGGTCGAGGTCACTCCCTCCCTGAGGACTCTAGCATGGCACAGCCCCTCTGCCTCTCTCCTGGTGGTGGCGTTGAAACAGCACCCTCTGCTTCGGTCCTCTACAGGGTGGCAGAGAAGGAGGCAGTCAATAAGATGTCCCTGCACAACCTTGGCACGGTGTTTGGCCCCACGCTGCTCTGGCCCTCCGAGAAGGAGAGCAAGCTCCCTGCCAACCCCAGCCAGCCCATCACCATGACTGACAGCAGGTCCTTGGAGGTCATGTCCCAGGTATGGGAAGACAGCCTCCAGCCCATGCAACCCCAGCCTGACAGAGGTGGCCTCTGCCTGCCCCACCCCCAGTCCTGCCCATCTTCCCACTTGCATTGTATGTGGTGGTGGCTGAGATTCAGAGAGAGGGACTTGCCTAGGTTTGCATGGATGGGAGTGATAGGGGGTGCCCAGGCCACCTCCTGGTCCTGCTGGTGCATCTTGCTGGGGGCTTAAAACCACCCCAAGTGTTCAGGTGTGGTGGCTCATGCCTGTAATCCCAGCACTTTGGGAGGCCAAGGCAGGACAACCGAACCCAGGTGTTTGAGATCAGTCTGGGCAATGCAGCAAACCCCATCTCCAGAAAAAATAGAAAGAAAAATTAGTCAGGCATTGTGGCACACATCTGTAATCCTAGGTATCTGGGAGGCTGACACAGGAGGATTGCTTGAGCCCAGGAGTTAGAGGCTGCAGTGATCCATGATGGAGCCACTGTACTCCAGCCTGGGGGACAGAGCAAGGCCCTGTGCATCTCTAAAATAAATAACCACCCCCCACCCAACAAGTCATGCCTTGTCAGGACCCCACCCCACCCCCGTCTCACTGTAAGGGGTTCATGACACCAGCAGGGGTTTCTAGCACCTGAGGTGGACTTGGGGGCTTGGGCCCCAAAGACCTCCCCACCAGCAGCTGTGAGCCCCCCTCTGAGCCACTCTCCTCTTCCCCACTCTGCGAGGGCAGGTCGAGGTGCTGCTGTACTTCTTGCGGCTGGAGGCCATCCCTGCCCTGGACAGCAAGAGACAGAGCATCCTGTTCTCCACCGATGTCTAAAGGTCCCAGTCCATCTCCTGGAGGCGGACAGATGGCCTGGAAACCTCTGGCTAATCGGGCCATCTGTAGAGTGGGAATCAAGATTTTCTGAGGCATCCTTGGGCCACCCCCAGGTGTCAGGCCATCTGCCAAGAGACAGTGGCCCAAAGCAGAAGGACAGGTGGCCTGGGCAGATCCCGCCCAGGTCTGAAAGCCCCAGGCTGGCCTCAGACTGTGGGTTTTTTATGTGGCCACCCGAGGGCGCCCCAAGCCAGTTCATCTTGGAGTCCAGGCCTGGCCCTGGGAGACAGGGTGAAAGCAGTGGTTTTTATGAACTTAACTTATAGAGTCTAAAAGATTTCTACTGAATCACTTGTCAAGAAGCGCCCTCTCTGGGGAGAAGGGAACGTGACCGGATTCCCTCACTGTTGTATCTTGAATAAATGCTGCTGCTTCATCCTGTGGGGGCCGTGGCCCTGTCCCTGTGTGGGTGGGGCCTCTTCCATTTCCCTGACTTAGAAACCACACTCCACTTAGAACAGGGTTTGAGAGGCTTAGTCAGCACTGGGTAGCGTTTTGACTCCATTCTTGGCTTGCTTCTTTTTCTTTCCAGAAGGATTTTTGTGCAGAAATGGGTCTTTTGTTGCCGTGTTAGTCCTCCTTGGAAAGCAGCTCAGAAGGCCCGTGAAATGTCGGGGGACAGGACCCCCAGGGAGGGAATCCCAGGCTACGCACCTTAGGGTTCGTTCTCCAGGGAGAGCGACCTCGTCCCCCGATCCTGACCGCCCTTCCGGCCCACGCTCTCCTGTTTGGCTTCCACAGGCCTGGACTTCTCTGGCTTCTCTGCCCACACACTCCCTGCCCCCAGTGTCCCTGCCCCTGCCCCAGCACAGGTGACTTCATTTCTGTCCTCTCAGCTCAGTGGACTCGCTCAACTTTTGTATAAGTCTCCACTTGGTGGTAGCAGCTTGCTGATGACTTGTTTTAAAACTTTCATCCTAAATAACCTTTTGATGCTTGAATATTTTTAAGTTTTATACATAGTTTCTAATTTTTTTCCCAGCAGATCCAGATACCTAATAAGATGCTGGAATGTAATCCCTGGACAATCCGTGTCCTGGCAGCATTTGGTCTTCCTCTAAGCGCCTGGCTCCGCTGTTCTCAGGAGTGGGTTCTGAAGTCTCTGGAGAACAGGATACGTGGAGGGTTAGGAAGGGGCCAGGCCTAGAGACGGGAGACTCCCTCCCGGAGCAGGTGGAGGCACAGGACCATTCGCTACCCCATCTGCCGGCACCTGCGGGGGAGCCCAGGCATTCTTTGTAAGCCCTCCTGACCACCTGGCTCAAAGAAAACAGAAGCATGGAGGCCGCCAAGTATTTTCAAGAAATAACCCCATGAATATTCCATCACTTTTTTAGAAAGAGGGGCTTGGGGCAGGCAGAGGAGAGAAGGGAGAGCAAACTGAGAGCCAAGTTTCCAGACAGTCCTGCAGGAGGAGAGGATGCAGCTCCCCAGAGGGAAGCAGGATCACATTTAAGGAAGTGTGTGGGGTCCCTGGATGACACCAGCACCCAGTGCGGCTCTGTCTGGCAACCGCTCCCAAGGTGGCAGGAGTGGGTGTCCCCTGTGTGTCAGTGGGCAGCTCCTGCTGAACCCGCAGCTCACTGGGGAGCCTGACAGTGGGGCCATGCGCCTGACACTCCTCTCTGCTTGTGGACCTGGCAAGGCAGGGAGCAGAAAACAGAGCCCCTTGAAGGCTTCCTGTCTGCGTCTGTGTGCAGTGTGGATTTAGTTGTGCTTTTTACTTGCTGGGAGAGCACAGCCACCATTTACAAGCAGTGTCACCCTCGTGGGTGGCGAGGACAGAACAGGAGCCTCTGCTCTCTGTACCTATCTGGGCCCGGTGGGCTCCCTTGTCCTGGCTTCCATCTCTGTCTCAGCGACCATTCAGCCCTGCGCAGGAACACATGTTGCTTAGAAAAGCCAAATCCAGCCTTGTCTCTGCCTCCTCTGGTCTCATGATGTGCATCTGTTACCTTGAAACTGGAAACCAGTCTATCAATGTCTGTGCCAATTTTTTATTCCCTCCCCAACCTCCTTCCCCATAGGACTTTTTATTTATGTAGGATGTGTGCTGTCTAATGATGGGATGACCACACTTTTCCATGTTCTAAAAGTGCTCCTCTCCCGCAGGGTCCCAGGGCTGGTGGTTGCTTTGGGTCTACAGCTACGTCTTACCCGCCTCCTGCCTCAACAGCCTGTGTGGTGGCAAAGCCGGTGTGGGGCTGGGGAACGCAGCGTTCTCCAGGAGGGGGACCCGGCTCTCCTTCTGCAGTGCAGGCAAAGGCCTAGATGCCAGTGTGACCTCCCACAAGGCGTGGCTTCCAGACTCCCCGGCCGGAAGTGATCCTTTTTTGCCGCGGGCCCTGAGTTTGAAGCAGCCTGGCTTTCTCTTGGTAAGTGGCTGGTGTCTTAGCAGCTGCAATCTGAGCTCAGCCACCTACACACCACCGTGGCCGACACTTTCATTAAAAAGTTTCCTGAGACGACTTGCGTGCATGTTGACTTCATGATCAGCGCCGCTGGGAAGAACCCCTGAGCCGGTGGGGTGGGGCTGGAAGCAGCAGGTGCAGTGATGGGGCTGGGTGCCCAGGAGGCCTCAGTGCTCAATCAGGCCAAGGTGGCCAAGCCCAGGCTGCAGGGAAGGCCGGCCTGGGGGGTGTGGGTGAGCACAGGCAGGCACCAGCTGGGCAGTGTTAGGATGCTGGAGCAGCATCCGTAACCCCACTGAGTGGGGTAGTCTGGTTGGGGCAGGGACCGCTGTTGCTTTGGCAGAGAGAGATGATCCCCACTGGGGAGAGGCTGTTCTGACTCTGCAGGTGGGACAGGGACAGATGGCCACCAGGGTGACCCGGCTGGTCTTCCTTTGCTATGCTAAGCCCTGGGACGTGGAGGATTCCTGCCACACAGCCTGGGCCCGGTTTCTTACCTGTGGCCACCGCTCTGGCACGAGCCCCTCAGTCTTGGGTGGTTTCTGCCTGGTCCGGGATTTGGTGTTCCTGCTGAGTCCAGCCTTTCTGCCACCTCCGCATGGGCCGTGGGTGGTGTTGTCAGCTGCCTCCCACCTTGGCTTCAGTAGCTCACCCAGCTCACAGGGGAGCTGCCCTGGGCTGGAGATGGGCATGCACCCTGGGTCCTACTTGAATGAATGCAGCTTGAGGAGAGCCGGCCATATACACTGGGCCACAGGTTACCCTCGGCAATGCCCACATCAGCCGTCAGCCTGAGCCTCCCCAGGAGAGCAAGGCTCACACGACAAAGGCTGCCCGTGGCCAATGAGGTGGCTGAGCCCAGCCAGGACCTTTCTCGGACTCCCGGGATGTGGCTCTGCTCGTGAGCTGCCTGGTCAGCTCTCTCGGGGTGAGAGGGGCTTGTCACACGGGCCCCTGCCTGCAGTGTGACCCTTCTCAGCTTCTCTCAGCAGCCCTGCCTGCGGAGTGTCACCGCCACCATGATCATTTCCCTGACACTGCGAGGGTGTGGGGACGTCCTGGGTAGAGACAGGGCCCGTGGCAGCAGCAGGCTCAGGGGCGCCCTACACTGGTGGGCTGGGGACCTGGTGGAGACCACGCCAAGGGCTGGACAAGGGGACGAGCCTCCACCCTGGCCTCTCCGCAGGCCTCAGCAGCCCCTCCCACAGGCAGAAGGGTTGACACTGGGTTCTGCCCTCACTGCAAGAGCTGCAAGTGCCACGTGCTGTTCTGCCCAATCTGGTGTCTGCAGGTGAGGAAAGGGCTGCCGCTGGCCCGTTTCTGAGTGTTCAGCACCTAAGGATGACAGCACTGTCTGTCCCTACCCTCCGGGTCCTGTTTGAAAATCAAACCCATGCTCACAGGCCAATTTTTTTTTCTTTTAGAGACAGGGTCTCACTTTGTCACCCAAGCTGGAGTGCAGTGGTGCGATTATAGCTCAATGCAGCCTCCAATTCCCGGACTCAAGGGACCTTCCTGCCTCAGCCTGCCAAGTAGCTTGGACTATAGCTGTGTGTTTTCTTATTATTTTGTAGACATGGGGTCTGGCTATGTTGTCCAGGCTATTCTCAAAATTCCCGGCCTCAAGCAATCCTCCCGCCTCGGCCTCTCAAAGGTTGGGATTACAGGTGTGAGGCAAGGCACCCAGCTCAGCCACAGAGCCCTATTGCATCTCTCTTACTAGGAGCAAGAGCTGACTGCCCCCTCATCCCCATTCCAGAGTGTTGGGGCTGTGTTCAGCCGAGGCCGGGCCACTGGCATGGCCCAGGGAGCGGGATCATTCACTGCTGCCCCAAATCTGAGATCATTCCACCTTGACAAGACTTCCTCATCCAATCCCTTTACTTGACAGCTGGGGAAACCAATGCGCACAGAGCACCCCCAGCTCACTCGGGGTCTCAGAGCTGATCCATGAGCGGAGGCTGAGATCCTGGGATCTTGTCCCCCAGCCTCCCTGCAACCTTAATCCCTTTCTGCTGAAAGAGATGGGGCCGGACCTCGACCAGCAGCCCTGGCCTGGACATGACTGTGCTCATGCAGGTATTGAGGCCGAGATGCCCCGGCATCATATGTTTTTCTATTTTCTTTTTTTTTTTTTTGAGACGGTGTCTCACTCTGTCACCCAAGCTGGAGTGCAGTGGCATGATATTGGCTCACTGCAACCTCTGCCTCCCGGTTAAAGTGATTCTCCTGCCTCAGCCTTCCAAGTAGCTGGGCCTACAGGCTTGTACCACCACACCTGACTAATTTGTGCATTTTTACTAGAGACGGGGTTTCCCCATGTTGGCCAGGCTCGTGTCGAACTCCTGACCTCAAGTGATCCACCTGCCTTGGCCTCCCAAAGTGCCAGGATTACAGGCATGAGCCATGGCGTCACTTAAATGTAGTGAGAGGCCGGGCACAGTGGCTCATGCCTGTAATCCCAGTACTTTGAGAGGACGAGGCTGTCAGATCACCTAAGGTCAGGAGTTCGAGACCAGCCTGGCCAACATGGTGAAACCGTGTCTCTAAAAAAAAATAGAAAAAAATAGCCCTGCATGGTGGTGAGTACCTGTAGTCCCAGTTACTCAGGAGGCTGAGGCATGAGAATCGCTTAAACCTCGGAGGCGGAGGCTGCAGTGAGCTGAGATGGCGCCACTGCACTCCAGCCTGGGTGACAGAGCAAGACTTTGTCTCTAAATAATTAAATAAATAAATATGGCTGAGCATGGTGCCTTAGGCCTGTAATCCCAACACTTTGGGAGGCTGAGGCAGGTGGTTCATGAGGTCAGGAGCCCGAGACCAGCCTGGCCAAGATGGTGAAACACTGTCTCTACTAAAAATACAAAAATTAGCCAGCTGTGGTGGCAGGCACCTGTAATCCCAGCTACTTGGGACACTGAGGCAGGAGAATCACTTGAAACTGGAAGTCAGAGGTTGCAGGGAGCCGAGATTGCACCACTGCACTCTAGCCTGGGCGATGGAGAAAGACTCCATCTCAAATAAATAAATTAATAAATACAGAGCAAGATTCCATCTTAAATAAATAAATAAATAAACATACACCTGTAATCCTAGCAGTTCGGGAGGCTAAGACAGGTCGATCACCTGAGGTCAGGAGTTCGAGACCAGCCTGACCAATATGGCAAAACTCCATCTCTACTAAAAATACAAAAATTAGCCAGGCGTTTTGATGTGTGCCTGTAGTCCCAGCTACTTGGGAGGCTGAGACAGGAGAATTGCTTGAACCCAAGAGGTGGAGGTTGCAGTGAGCCGAGATCTCGGCTGCACTTCAGCCTGGGTGACAGAGTGAGACTGTCTCAAAAGGAATAAAAAAAATACAAAATAAAAAAAATGTAGTAAGATGGCAGAGTCGTGCCGCGGAAGCGTGCTGGTCCTATCCATGTAGTGAAGGCTGATTTCATACAGAAATGTCACAAGAACTTTTTTTCTTTTTCTTTTTTTTTGAGACGGAGTCTCGCTCTGTCACCCAGGCTGGAGTGCAGTGGCGCGATCTCAGCTCACTGCAAGCTCTGCCTCCCGGGTTTATGCCGTTCTCCTGCCTCAGCCTCCCAAGTAGCTGGGACTACAGGCCTGTGCAGCAGATGCAGGGGGGCCACTAGGCCCAGGCAGTCTTGGGACTTGTGTGTCTCCTGCTGTGCATCCATACTGGGTGCTTTAGAAACGGCAGGCAGACCAGAAGCCCCTGTTGCAAGTGAGGACAAAGTGTGGGAAGGCCGTGAGGGTCTGCAGTCCGAGATGGCCTGGTCCTCAACCTGCAGTGCACTGTTGATGCACTGGAATGCCGCCTCCTTCTCCCAGTCCAGGTCTTCAGCAGTGACCCGGTACCCCAGCTCTAAGGGAGGTGGCAGCATCAAAGGCTCCCCTCGCCTGCGTGGCAGCAGGGGAAACTTGCATCTACGGGGCCTAGAGGCCTGGGATATGGGGGAGCCACCCCTGGGAGCGAGTGTCTGCCCTGGTGCTGTATCTGCCGTCTTTTCACACTGGGTGTGACCCGAAGAGACAGCCTGAGGTCCGTCCTCACTCACTGTGTTTGAGGAACTGAGGGTCAGCTGGCAGTGGGATGAGGCTGGCCCCTCTTCCACTTTCGTTCCGGGAGGCCTCCCGTAGAGCTGTAGGGGCTCGAGATGGCATTTCATTTGGGGCACGAGCTGGTCCGGGAGGTCTGCGATCTCTGGTTCTGACCTCTGGGCACCTGCTGCAGCTGTGGCTGAGGCCCAGAAATGTGAAGGGCCTCCATCCACTCCAGTAGTGACCCCAACGTGGGGTTCAATGCGGAGGGGGGAGGGGCTGCTGCGGCAGCTGCAGGAGCAGAAGTGCCACGCCTTGTTCTTCTCATGCCCGCATCCATGCTTGCAGCTGGGAAGGGGGCAGGAATCAGCGAGGTGACCTGGGCTGAGTCCTGGGAATGGGAAGAGGTGGCAGGAAGGGGATCTGAGGAGGAGAACAGGGGGCCTGGTGGTCTGTGCTTCTTCCCAGACATGGGAGCTGTAGAGGGGACCTCTGCAGCAGATGCTAAGGGGGCCAGTAGGCCCAGGCAGTCTTGGGACTTGTGTGTCTCCTGCTGTGCATCCATACTGGGTGCTTTAGAAACGGCAGGCAGACCAGAAGCCCCTGTTGCAAGTGAGGACAAAGTGTGGGAAGGCCGTGAGGGTCTGCAGTCCGAGATGGCCTTGTCCTCAACTTGCAGTGCACTGTTGATGCGCTGGAATGCCGCCTCCTTCTCCCGGTCAAGGTCTTCAACAGTGACCCGGTACCCCAGCTCTAAGGGAGGTGGCAGCATCAAAGGCTCCCCTCGCCTGCATGGCAGCAGGGGAAACTTGTGTGTACTGGGCCTAGAGGCCTCGGATGTGGAGGAGTCATTCCTGAGGGTGAGTGTCTGCCCTGGTGCTATATCTGCTGCCTTTTCACACTGGGTGTGACCTGAAGAGACAGCCTGAGGCCTGTCCTCACTCACTGTCTTTGAGGAACTGAGGGTCAGCTGGCAGTGGGATGAGGCTGGCCCCCTCCTCCGCTTTAGCCCCGGCAAGCCTCCCGTGGAGCTGTAGGAGCTGGAGATGGCATTTCGGTTGGTGCAGGAGCTCGTCCAGGAGGTCTGGGATGTCTGGTTATATCTGATTTCTGACCTCTGGGCATGGAGGTCTGTCTGCAGAGGCCCGGGCCCGGGCACAAAGGGAGAGAGGCCTCCATTGTCCCGCAGGGGCCGAAATGCAGACGGTGCATCCCCGGTGACCTCCGGGACCCTTCTCTGATCACCAGGATTCTCTTGGACTCTAGGGTCCTTGTCCTGCTCAGGCATCCCTGCCCCGCTCTCCTTGAGGGCCCTCAACACTATCTTCCCTGGACACAAGTCTGGGGACAGCCGGGTGTTGTGGACCCCAAAGGGGTGACTCCCGGCTCCTGGGCCCCACAGAGAGTCCATGTTCTCAGTGCAGTGGCTGAGCTGGAGGACGCCCTGGAACTCGGAGCACACAGCACTGGCTTGCTGTGGTACCTGTGCAATCAAATTGAAGGCAGGATCCCAGGAAGGAACGCAGCGCTTGCAGGATCACCGAAAACCTTCTTAGAGTTGTCTTGACACCACTGATGTCAAGTGTCTGGGTACTTGTAGGATGGCCTGCCACTCAGTGCACGGGCAGGAGCAACGGGGAGATCCCACAGGCAAAGTGAACTGGGGGATGGGCTGAACGGGCTCCAGGCAACTGAGCCCTACTGGCAGGTCCTCGGCCTGGGCCCGAACAGGAAGGAGGGGCACAGAGTGCCCAGGTAACCGCTCCTGGGAGCAGTGGGGAACCGTCGGTTGCTTGAACTCTCGAGAGCTGGGCTCTGAGCGTCCTCGTCCAGCCGCCAACTCGGCCAACGGCTAAGCCAGCAGTTTCTTCTGTTGCCGGGCAACGCGCCTTTTAAACCTGAGGGAGCGGGCGCGTGAGCACATCACGGCGCCCGTGACAGAGCGAGCTTAACGGATTAATAAGCGCAGCCAGGTACCCGCGCGAGGCACTTGCTGGCAATGGCGGGAGGCGGACGTGGGGGGTCATGCAATAGGTACTGGAAGGAGAGAGGCGGGCACAAAGGTCGCGGGAGGAACAGGTGCCCACAATGGCGGCAGATCTGCCCGTGGATCACTGAAGATTCCTGCTCTCCTGCTGAGGTGGAGATTGCAGTGAGCTGAGATCGCACCATTGCACTCCAGCCTGGGCAACAGAGTCAGACTCTCTCTTTTTTTTTTTTTTTTTTTTTTTTTTGAGATGGAGTCTCCCTCTGTCGCCCAGGCTGGATTCCAGTGGCCTGATCTCTGGGCTCACCGCAAGCTCCGCCTACCGGGTTCACGCCATTCTCCTGCCTCAGCCTCTGGAGTAGTTGGGACTACAGGCGCCCGCCACCACACCCGGCTAATTTTTTGTATTTTTAGTAGAGACGGGGTTTCACCGTGTTAGCCAGGATGATCTCCATCTCCTGACGTCATGATCCGCCCTCCCAAAGTGCTGGCATTACAGGCCTCGGCCTCCCAAAGTGCTGGGATTACAGGCGTGAGCCACCGCGCCCGGTGTTGAAACTCCCTTGAGGCATTTTCTTCGGCCTTCGGGTCCATCCTCTGTCTCCTCCTTGACCTCCTCATCTCCTCCTCGCCACTGCCTTGGGGACCTTGGCCAGGCTCATGGCATCCAGCAGCCACTCAATGTCAATACCTCCATGTTCATCTCTCAGCCCGCCCTTGCCCGTGAACCCATGCTTATTTATTTATTTTTTTTATACGTGCACCCATGCTCTTCAGGTCTGATGAAGTATCCAAAATCAAGCTCCTGACCATCCTCAAACCTGCCCCTTCTGCAGGGTTTACCTCGCTAGTCGGCGCCATCCTTGATTCTTCTCTTTCTCCCACCCAGGCCATCATCTCTTGCCTGGTTGATACCCACAGCCTCCCCTTTGGGCTTTATCCTTATCCCCGTCATAGCTGCCAGAGGGACCCTGTGAAAACACTCCCCAGCCTGCTCATTCTTCTGCCCTAAGCCTGCATGGCACAGAGCAAAAGCCAGTTGTTATGGGACCTAGGAGGTCCTGTGGGATGGGCCCCAGCCTGCATCTTCATCCTCTTCTCCCCACCCCACTCCATTCACTCTCTGCCTATCGCTCACCAGCCTATACCACCTGCCTCAGGGCCTTTGCACTGACCATTTAGGCCACATTCCAGGCTCTTTTCACACGTTGCCTCCTCTGAGAAGCCCTCCCTGACCACTCTGCCCATACCTCATGCCTCTTGATTCCCCTTACCTGGCTTGTGGTTTCAGCACTTTCCCTGTGTGTGTTTGTTTTTCTTGGCATGAGGGCAGGACCTAAGTGTCTGTTCCCTGTTGATTCCCCAGTTCCAGGCATGCAGTGCAAATTCTAGAAATATTTTTTGCATGAAGGAATGAGTGATTGAATGCAGCAAGGGTCTGGAGGCTGAGGACCAGGCAGACAGACATTCAGAGTTGCTGGAATGCGACAGAGACAGGGAGTCAGACTGGTCATGCAAGATCCTGGGCCTGCCCTTGGGTCCTGGGGAGCCACGGAAGGTTGTGGGTGCCAGAGGGTTGTGGTCAGAGCCACAGTCAGGGGCCTTCTGAGACCTGTGTCCCCTCCCCACCCTCCCTCCCCACCTCCTCAGGCCAGCTCTGGGGTCTCGGCAGGTGGTCCACAACATGACCTCTGAGTTCTTCGCTGCCCAGCTCCGGGCCCAGATCTCTGACGACACCACTCACCCGATCTCCTACTACAAGCCCGAGTTCTACACGCCGGTTGATGGGGGCACTGCTCACCTGTCTGTCGTCGCAGAGGACGGCAGTGCTGTGTCCGCCACCAGCACCATCAACCTCTAGTAGGGGCTGCTGGGCCGCCTGGGTGGGAAAGGGCCAGGGGCGGGTGGCCCAGGGACTGCCCACTTATCCAGTAAGGTGGCTCCATCACCTCTTTTCCTGGTGGGAAACTGAGGCCCAACCTTGGTAGCTTATCCTGGGCCTCTCAGTGAGTATGTTTGAGCCTCAGTGGGTGGATAGGGACCAGGCTGGGCCAGGCAAGGTCAGGTGCTGTCTGACCTGGCTGGGCGGTAGCTTTGGCTCCAAGGTCCGCTCCCCGGTCAGCGAGATCCTGTTCAATGATGAAATGGATGACTTCAGCTCTCCCAACATCACCAACGAGTTTGGGGTGCCCCCCTCACCTGCCAATTTCATCCAGCCAGGTATGGGGTGGAGGTCTGGGGATGGGGGACTGGGGTGGAGAGGGGCGGGTGTCCTGGGCAGGCAGCTGACGGGCATCCCTGTCTTCTCCCATCGGCCACAGGGAAGCAGCCGCTCTCGTCAATGTGCCCGACGATCATGGTGGGCCAGGACGGCCAGGTCCGGATGGTGGTGGGAGCTGCTGGGGGCACACAGATCACCACAGCCACTGCACTGATATGTGTCACCCCTTTTCTCCCTGGCCGTGCCCACCCTGCACAGCCCCCAAGCCATGCTGATCACACTCCCATGCCCCAGGCCATCATCTACAACCTCTGGTTCGGCTATGACGTGAAGCGGGCCGTGGAGGAGCCCCGGCTGCACAACCAGCTTCTGCCCAACGTCACGACAGTGGAGAGAAACATTGACCAGGTGGGCCGGGGGTTGGAGAAACTGAGTCACGGTGTGGGGCCCCAGGGCATCCTGGGCTGGAGGCCTGGATCATCACAGAGTGGACAATTGTTGGTGTCCTCTCTCTAGTGCCTGGGCCATCTGGAGCCCCTGTGCCATGAGGGCCAAGCCCCCTGCTCCAGTGAGACCCAGCAGGCCCCAACCTGCTCTTCCTGATGACCTGGCCCGAAATGGCACCACCTGGGCTGAGGCCTGTGACCACACAGGTGTGGTTCAGGTGGCATCTGGAGCCCTGCTCAGGCTTCCCCTCTCCTCCCACCCCCAGGCAGTGACTGCAGCCCTGGAGACCCGGCACCATCACACCCAGATCGCGTCCACCTTCATCGCTGTGGTGCAAGCCATCGTCCGCACGGCTGGTGGCTGGGCAGCTGCCTCGGACTCCAGGAAAGGCGGGGAGCCTGCCGGCTACTGAGTGCTCCAGGAGGACAAGGCTGACAAGCAATCCAGGGACAAGATACTCACCAGGACCAGGAAGGGGACTCTGGGGGACTGGCTTCCCCTGTGAGCAGCAGAGCAGCACAATAAATGAGGCCACTGTGCCAGGCTCCAGGTGGCCTCCCTGCCCTGTCTCCCCACTCTCTGGGCCTCAGTGTATTGTGTGTGAAATGGAGCCATCTGACTGGGGAGGAACAGAGAGGTGGGATTCGGAGATCTTCACAATGCGGACACTGGAACTAGCCTCAGCATCTTCAGCATGGGGAGAGCCAGGCACATGGCTGGGGGCCAGGGGAAGGTTCACACCAAGCCCTGCCCCTTTCCACCCTGATCCCTCGGACTTTGGGGCCAGGCCCTCCCTTACTGGGGCTGGGCAGTGACACTACCTAGGATCAGCCACCAGGGGGTGCCACGACCCTGGCACTTTCTTAGGCAGAGGGTGGCCAGCTGATGCTGGGAACCCGGGCGCCTTCTCAGACCCGTAGGCGTCCAGCTCACCCTGCCGATGACACTGGAGGTGAAGCTGAGGTCCGAGGAATGGGGACTGGGCAACAGGCTGGAGGAAAACATCTCGGTCAGAGCCACGCCCCTGGGGGGTTTCCAAGAGCAAGCCCAGAGTGAAACCCAAGCTTGTGATCCTCTCCAGAGGGAGGCCTGGTTCTCAGGGAACAGCAAACGGGAAGATGTCCCCAGATCCCAGGGATCAGGGCTTGGACCAGCCGGGGACGCAGCCCAGAGGGAGTGGGTCCAGAAGGAAACAGCTAGACACAGCAGCCTTCACCATCCGCAGCCCCTCCAGGCCTCCCTCGGGGCCTGCTCCCTCCTCTGTGCACAGTTCCAACACCTGGGGCAGGGTTCTGGGAAGGGCTGGTGGAGGTGGGCTGGTGGGAGGCGGTGATCACAGCCCAGCACCTGGATATCACCAGGGGCACTGGGGCCAGGGGCCAGGTGAGGCCAGGTCGGGGCTATCCTTCAGGAGCCCCGAAAACCTGGTGATTCCAAAGGGCCCATAGACAAACAGGTTTTTATGCCTGTGGAGTCAAGTCCCACTGGGTCTGAGCTCTGCAGGGCTGTGTCTCTGGGGCTCTGCAGGGGTGAGATGGAGGTGGGCTCAAATGGTGTACAAGTCACTCCTCAATCCTTATTTTATTTATTTAATTTTTTTAAAAAAAATTTAAACCAATAGAGATGGGGACTCACTATGTTGACCAGGCTGGTCTTAACTCCTGACTTCAAGCAGTCCCCCCATCTCAGTCTCCCAAAATGCTAAAATTACAGGGGTGAGCCAGTGCACCCAGCCTCAATCCTTATTTTGGCCTGAGAGGAAAGGCCGTGGCCCCATTTGCAGGGGAGAAGACTGAAGCTGGAGGGGCAGGCCTTGCTCTGGGTTGCACAGCAGCAAGAGAAGTGGGAGCTGGCCACGAGGCTTCCTCGACTCGACACACTGGTGGGGTACACCCTGGTTCTCCAGGTCCCATGGGGCTCAGCCCAGGACTACCTCGGGGGGTGAGGTACTTAAATCCTCTCCTTCATTCTCATCGCCCTTTCCCCCATCATTTCCTGAGGAAGAACATTCAGGGACCTGAAGGGGTGGCCTGCCCCTCCACATCTGTGGGTGTTTCTCATCAGGTGGGACAAGAGACTGAGAAAAGAAAGAGACACAGAGACAAAGTATAGAGAAAGAAAAGTGGGCCCAGGGGACCTGCGCTCAGCATACGGAGGCCCCACGCTGGCACCAGTCTCTGAGTTCCCTAGTATTTATTGATCATTATCTCTACCATCTCAGAGAGGGGGATGTGGCAGGACAATATGGTAATAGTGGGGAGAGGGTCAGCAGGAAAACATGTGAACAAATGTCTCTGTGTCATAAACAAGGTTAAGAAAAAGGTGCTGTGCTTTGATGTGCATATACATAAACATCTCAATGCATTAAAGAGCAGTATTGCCACCAGCATGTCCCACCTCCAGCCCTAAGGCAGTTTTCTCCTATCTCAGTAGATGGAATATACAATTGGGTTTTACACCGAGACATTCCTTTGCCCAGGGACGATCAGGAGAGAGATGCCTTCCTCTTATCTCAACTGCAAAGAGGCCTTCCTTCCTCTTATACTAATCCTCCTCAGCACAGACCCTTTACGGGTGTCGGGCTGGGGGACGGTCAGGTCTTTCCCTTCCCACGAGGCCATATTTCAGACTGTCACATGGAGAGAAACCTTGGACAATACCTGGCTTTCCTAGGCAGAGGTCCCTGCGGCCTTCTGCAGTGTTTTGTGTCCCTGCTTACTTGAGATTAGGGAGTGGTGATGACTCTTAACAAGCATGCTGCCTTCAAGCATTTGTTTAACAAAGCACATCCTGCACAGCCCTGAATCCATTAAACCTTGAGTCGACACAGTACATGTTTCTGTGAGCACAGGGTTGGGGCTAGGGTTACAGATTAACGGCATCTCAAGGCAAAAGAATTTTTCTTACTACACAACAAAATGGAGCCTCTTACGTCTACTTCTTTCTACATAGACACAGTAACAGTCTGATATCTCTTTCTTTTCCCCACAGGGACCTTCCTGGCTGTGCCTCGGGTCAGGACCAGAATGACACCCATTCATTTCCCTGGGCCTTTGCTCCGGTGGTCCCTGCACCCTGGCCTCTGCCTGACGAGGATGGTGGGGAGAGGAGGGGGGACGTCCCCCACACTGCTGTCTCCACTGTTCCTGCTGCCCAGGCCTCTGGGCTTCCAGGACTACAGCGGGTGGGTGGGTGGGCTGGCCTGAGCCCAGGAATGCACTTCAGTTCCTGGTTGAGCAATGTCACTGAGGCTTGGGAGTCGGGTGGGGGCGGGAGGAGGCGTCCACAGGCCCCCCCTACCGTGAGAGGCAGCCGTGGGAACAGCCTACCTCTAAACAATCACTGCAGCCCAGGCTGACCAGGGGCTCTGGCCGGACATAGGGGCCTGGCAGGCTGTGTGCCCTGTAAGGACACAGTCTGTCTCTGTGCCTCAGTTTCTCTGCTGCCCAGATGGAGGGGCCCAGACTCCAGGTGTACACATCTGGAGCAGGCAGTGTTCAGTTGGGGAGGAAGCGGGGAGGACTGTGGGGGCCATGTGGGAAGGATTCCACCCCACATCACCTGCACCCCTGCTGAGCCTGGTCAACGGAGCCCCTCAGTGGGTCCTCACTCTCCTGGCTGCCTCCCATTTAGGCACCCTGAGGCCTGGGGAGAACAGAGCCAGGCCAGTGTCCCTAGAGAGGCTGCGCTGCCAGCACAGTAGTAGCGGATTTGGATTCAGGGAAGCAGACCTGCAGCCAGGGTGGGAAAGAGCTGCAGGCGGGGTGGAGCCCCCACATGGCACAGCCCCCCTCCCTGGAGGTCCATGCTGCATTTCCAGGACAGCAAGTCCCAGGGATGGATGGTGCCTGGTGCCAAGGGCTAGAGGCATGGTCTGTCTGCATTCCCTACAGGGGCATCTTGTAGTCACCAGCATTTGATGCTGTCAAGTCCCCCTGTCCTCTGTGCAGACTGGGAAGCCCTTGGTCACCCTGGGGGGTGGGGGGACCCAGGCCAGGCTGCAGAAGCATAAGGACTTGAACCCGGGTCCTGAGTGACACCACCTTGGGTCCTCCTCCCTCTGCCTCTGTTCAGCTCCACCTTGATGCTGACTAGGCTGGGCCATGCGGAGAGGGTTAGGGGATAGAGATGAGAGCTGGGGAGCAGGGCTCCACTCTGGGAGGGGGGCAGCCTTGCGGGATCCAGGGCAGAGTTAAGCGGCCCCAGCTCCGCTTTCCTAGAGCTGCTGAGAACCCGGGAAATGGTGTGGAGGTTCCGGGGAGCCCTGCCCCTACCTGGCAACCGCAGTGCAACAGGCACCAAGTTCTCCTGCACATTGCGACAGTGGGACCCTGGGCTCTGGCGGGCGGTAGGTGGGGCCTTTGGACCTACCAGCAGTGAGGGAGTTAACACAGCAGCTGACTTCTCTAGGCAAGGAAAACTCCCCTCAGACGCTTTGCTGCCTGGCCTCCTGCCAGCAACAAGCAGGAGCTGAAAACTAGAAGCTGAGGCATGAGTTTGGTCACTCCGTAGTGTGCACTTGGTGAGGGCAGCAGCTGGCCACAGCTGCCAGCCGTCTGTCCATTCGCCCATCTGTCCATCTGGCAGCCCGCTGTTCAGACCTGTCTGTCTGTCCGCCCATCTGTAAGCCCATCTCTGTCCCATTGTCTATCTGACCATCTTTCTCTTACTGTCCTCTTTGTCTAGCTATCTGGCCTGTCTGTCGATCCATCTTCGTGTCTGTCTTCAGCCCCCACCTGTTTGTCCATCTGTCCAATTACCTGTGAGTCTATCTATGCATCTTCTTGTCCATTCATCTGCCCACCCATCTGTCCCTCCGTCTGCCCACCGGCCTCCCCTCTCCTTCTGGGCCGCAGAGCCACGGCCCAGGACTGCAGAGCCATGGTTGGCCTGGTCCTGCTGGGGCTGGGGCTGGCGCTGGCTGTCATTGTGCTGGCTGTGGTCCTCTCTCGACACCAGGCCCCATTTGACCCCCGGCCTTTGCCCACGCCGCTGTTGCTGCTGACTCCAAGGTCTGCTCGGATATTGGACAGTGAGTGAGATGTGGGAGGAAGCTGGGTGGCCCTTGGCAGCCAGCCCCTCCTGGAGAAGGCGTGTGTGTGTAAGCGTGTGTGTGTGTGAGAGATTATGTGTGTGTGTGTGGGTATGTGAGTGTGAGTGTGGGGTGTGGGTGTGTGTAAATGTGTGTGATCGTGTTTGGGTGTGTGTATGTGTGAGTGTGTGGGTGTGTGGGGGTATGTGAGTGTGAGTGTGTGGGGGGTGTGGGGGGGTGTGAATGTGTGTGATTGTGTTTTGCTGTGTGAGAGTGTGTGTGACTATGAGTGTGTGAGTGTGTGTTGGTGTGTGGGTGTGTGTAAATGTGTGTGATTGTGTGTGTGAGTGTATGTGTGGGTGTTTGTGGGTGTGTGTGAGTGTGTGAGTGTGAGTATGGGGGTGTGGGTGTGTGTGAATGTGTGTGATTGTGTGTGGGTATGTGTATGTGTGGGTGTGTGTGTGCATGTGTGTGTGTGTGCGCGCACGTGCACTGGCCCAGGAAGCAGGAGCCGTGTGTGTGGGCTTCAGCACCTGCAGGACTTGAGCGCAAGGAGACAGCCTCAGGGCCCTTGCACAGAACAGGTGGCAGGGTGTGCCCGTGGGGCAGATGGGGACTTGGGGACAATGGTGGTGTGTGAGTCCATACCTGGCTCCAGGATTCAGGAGGCCCATTTGCATATCCCAGGTGGGAACCTGTCTGGCCCCGGCTGACCCTGCTGGCCGGTGCAGGCCCCTTCAGTGAGGCCAATTCTCCAAGGCTGCGGTCTTCTCCCAGGGTCATGGGTGAAGGGGTTTGGAGGCTCCCTGCGTGGGTACTGGCCTGCTGGGGTACACACAATGCTGCCATAGCCAGTCTGCCCCTACACCCAGCCCGGGGCCACATCTCAGGTCTCTCAGTCCTGAGGAGCCCGGTGCCCCACCCCTCACATCCTCTCTCCCTGAGTCAGGGCCTGGGTCTCGTGAGCTGAGTGACTGATACTTGGTGTCCTGGATGAGGGCGTGGTGGAGAGGGGCCACAGCGGGTGTTTCCTGACCCTCTTCCAGGAAGGTGCTGCTGCCGCTGCAGGGAGGACACATACAGGATGCCCCTTCCTGCCCCCTGCCTCCCATTGGGCCCACAAAAGCCAGGGCAAGCCTCCCCTCCCTGCCAGCCACCTGGTCTGCTTCCCAGAAATTCTGTCTTGCAGGCTGTTGGGAGGATCCCAGTACTTTGTAAACTAAAGCAAGGGAGGAGTGGCCGTTCTCTCTCTTTGCTCATTCATTCACCTTTTCATTCATTCCTTCTTCCCTCCATTCCCCCATCTGTCCATCCTTCCCTGCCCTGATTGCTCATGCCACCCCCCCTCCAGCCCCTCCTGACCTGGTCCTTTGGTTTCTCTTCAGGGCTTTCTGTCTCCTCCCACAGGGCTGAGAATGGCAGCTCAGGGACAAGTGGGGGCTGGGGACTGCTTAGTCTCCCCAGTGGCTCTCAGGGGATTTGAGGGTTTGACGCCAGCTGCCACCCCAGGCTGTGCCCCTCCTCTGCTCAGGAGGACATGCAGAGATGCGACACCCACTTAAACTCGAAGTTGCAAAGATGCAAATGAGACTGGGGTCTCAGGCACCAGAGACCACCCATGGGCACGTGGCTTTTGGGAGTGGGGACCTGCTGCCACAGATCTCTGAAGAGTCTGGACCTGCTGGGTCTCCCCGAGTGACTGTCTGGGGGTCTCCATAGCATGCCCTGCTGTGTGCGCGACGGTCACTGGTTGGGTAGGGGTCTCTACTCTAAAGCTCCCTCTGCCGGCATCCCCTCGAACTCTCCCTTGGTGAAGAGAGGATGTGGTTTTCCCCCAGTGTTTTATCAAACAACTCTCTCCACTTCCTGTTTTAAGAAGCTGGGAGTGGAAGAGAGCCTGGGGCTGGCCCCAGCTGCTGCTGCGAAACAGGGGTCACTGGACGCTGGGACCCTGGCCGGGCTGGCTGGAGGCCTCAGGAAGAGGCCTGCTACAGTGTCATCCTGGCCAAGATTCCTCCCTGCAGAGGACCCTGGCCACACTGCCACAGGGTCTGCTGGGGCCACCAGAAGCCCATGCTCCTGCCTCCATCTCTCCCCTTTGTGCTCACCTCTCACCAGGAGGCCCTCCCAGAGTTCAGTCTCCTGCTTTTCTTTTTTTTTTTTTTTGAGATGGTGTCTCGCTCTGTCACCAGGCTGGAGTGCAGTGGTGCGACCTCAGCTCACTGCAACCTCTGCTTCGTTGGTTCAAATGATTCTCCTGCCTCAGCCTCCTGAGTAGCTGGGACTACAGGTGCCAGCCACCACGCCCAGCTAATTTTTGTATTTTTAGTAGAGACGGGGTTTCACCATGTTGGCCAGGATGGTCTCTATCTCTTGATTCGCCCGCCTTGGCCTCCCAAAGTGCTGGCATTACAGGAGTGAGTCATGGCACCCGGCCTCATCTCCTACTCTTTCAGCACCAGGTTTTATTCTTGGGATTCTGCTACAGCCGCAGCCCCTGGGTGCGAGCTCCTAAGCTTTCTGCGAGTGTGGACCCAGCACCGTGCCTAGTAGACATACAAAAGGAACATGGTGACAGTGAGGTCTGTCATCTCCAGCATAATGACTCTTTTGATCCTTGTAAAAAAGGTGATTTTTGGCTGGGTGTGGTGGCTCACACCTGTAATCCCAGCACTTTGGGAGGCTGAGGGGGGTGGCTCACTTGAAGTCAGGAGTTGGAGACCAGCCTGGGCAACATGGTGAAACCACGTTCTCCTGGGTGTCCAGGTGGTCCAAGACCCCATGACTATATCATGACAGGAAAGAGAGAGTTAATAAATCTGAGGGCATAAAATGTGAACATATACTGTTTCCATCCCACATGAAGGCACATGTGTCTGAGCCTACTCTCTGGGAGGAATAGAGATCTCAGTTTCCACATCAGGGTTGCATTCTATGCACCTGCAGCCATGTTATTCTGCTGTAGCAGATGCTACACTTGGCACCGACATTGCAGATGGGACCATGACCTTACTGGAGTTGTAGAAATCTACTTTCACCTTCCAGAATCCATTTAATGTTTATAGGAGCTAGTCCAAGAAATTAGATGGAAATAAAGTCCTGCTACAACCTGAGAATCTTTAGGCCTTTAAAGGTAACACTATTACATGCAACTCCCAATGAAGGGTGAAGCATGATTATTATTTACCTTTTTTGATGGGGTGAAATGGGGAGAGAGTCGGAATTCATCACATACATAAAAGGCAGGTCGTATAAATGTTAGTGTTTGTGAGTCACAAGGTCTGTCTTGCAGCGACTCAGATCTGCACTTGTGGCATGAAAGCAGCCATTGACTGAACATAAATGAAGGGATATGGGTTTGTTTAATGAAACTTTATGTACAAACGTAGGTAGTCACTATGGTTTGCTGACCCCAGCTTTTCCATTGCCCCATGGAACTTTCTTTGGGATGCCTTTTTGCAGTGGGTTCTAGGTGAGAAAAATTGGCTCGGATCTGGATGCTGAAGTTGAGACTGGTGCTGTCATGTGGCTACTGCCCTCGTCCATCCTGGGTGACTTCTGACTGTTGTGATGAGCAGGGCCCTTTGTGGCTGCCTAGCTCCTGGTGCCAAGAATGATGAACCCTCTGCATTGCCCTCTGCAAGGCAGACCACAGGACAGCCACCCTGAATTGCTCGTTCTCACTGTGTCCACCTTGCCTAAGATGGTTGGGCACATTCACTGGCTGGTTAATTCCAGATAGTGTTATCTCATTAATGCCAGGCAGTACCTTCTAGAAGAGGCTCCTACCATCTGCACTAGACTATGGAGCTTCTCCGGGGTGCTAGTGCTCTGTCACCTGAATATGCTTCAGGGATTTGCTAAACAGAATGTCCTTCAGGCCCTCCCATAGAACACAGGGAAACATTTTGTTTTCCCTTGTGTGACTGCAAAAGGGAAAACAAAAATAAGCCTGGGAAAGGGTGATTTAGGACTTTGATGATGTCGAGGCTGGGAACTCCCATCAGAGTTTCTATATATGATGGGGAGGGGCCAATTTTTTGAAAGTCAGCATTGACTGGCCATTGGACACAGGTGGCCCTACATTGACTCTCTCTTGCCCAGGACCTCTCCTCAAAAAGTCTCAGGTGATTCAGCCCCACAGCAGCAGGGGCACGACACCTTCTGTCCTGAAGGCTGATAACCGGTGATGTGGACAGCTGCCATTCACTCTGGGGAAGATGCTGCCTAATTCCACACCCACCGCCTGCATGTCTAGTGAGAGCCTGCCTATTCCTATGGGGACACCCCAAAATTAGCTCCACCAAGAAGCCTCCTCCACCTCCATTCTCCACAGAAGACACTCATCTTATATGCTTGGCTACAGGTCCTGTTTGCTCTGCTATTATCCCTATCACCTGTCCCTGTCTGTTCAATTGTCTCACATGAGCAGAGAGACGATGTCTCATTCAGCCTTATTTCCCATGGGTATTAATAAATATTCATTGAGTCAATTAAAAATTCATGTAATAACCTATCAATGCATGTCTCTGTGTGAGGTAAAGAAAGCATCCTGATTGTAAATATAACTCTCATGTTAAAAGCTGGGAGCAGTGGCTCATACCTGTAATACCAGCACTTTGGGAGGCTGAGGAGGGTGAATTACCTGAAGTCAGGAGTTTGAGACCAGCCTGATCAATATGGTGAAACCCCATCTCTACTAAAAATACAAAAATTAGCAGGGCATGGTGGCGTGTGCTTGTAATCCCAGCTACTCGGGAGGCTGAAACAGGAGAATCACTTGAACCTGGGAGGCGAAGGTTGCAGTGAACCGAGATCATGCCACTGCACTCCTGCCTGGGTAACAGAGCAAGACTCCGTCTCAAAACAAACAAACAAAAGCATTCTTACAGATTATCTTGGCTTTTATTCCTTTATTCTACCAATAAGTTGTTAGCCTCTCTTATGTGCCATTTGTTACAAAAAATCAGCTGTCATTTTTATGGAGACTGAGAAGTCCCCTGATCTGTCCATTGTAAGCTGAAGACCCAGTAGGGCCGGTTTTATGGATTAGTCCAAGCCCCAAGGCTTGAGAACCAGGGGAGCCACTGGTCTAAGACTCAGTCCAAGGGAAGGAGAGGATCAAGGTCCCACTCATGCAGTCACACACAAAGGAGGAATTCTCCCTGCTGGTGCCTTTTGTTGTATCCACGCCTTCAGTAGATTTGATGATGCCAACCACACAGAGGAGGGCAAAGTACTAACTTAGTCCAGGCATTCAAACATGAATCTCATCTGGAAACACCCTCATAGACACACTCAGAAATAGTGTTCAATCTGGGCACCTCATGGCCTAGTCCATTTGACCCATAAAACTTACCATTACTATCATTAAAATGGCATACGTTATGTATATTTTGTTACCATAAAAAATTTACATTCTGAAAATAAAGTACAGTGTCTTAGCTCATTTGTGCTGCTACAACAGAATACTTGAGGTTGAGTGATTTACAAAGAACAGACAGTTATTTCTCACAGTTGTGGAGGCTGGGCAGTCCAAGATCCTGGTGAGGGCTTTTATACTGCATTCTCATGTGGCAAAGGCAGAAGGGCTGGAGAAAGCTAAAGGCTGCATGAAGCCTCTTTCCTAAGGGCCTTAATCCTCTCAAGAGTGAGGAGCTGTCATGCCCTAATTGCCTCTTAAAGGCCATCTCTTTTAACACTACCACACTGGCAACATCTGAATTTTGGAGAGGACACATTCAAACTATAGTAGCAAGTTTAATTTGGAAATAATTCTACTCAAAAAAGCATTAGAATTGAGTAATGAAACCCTGTATATCCCCTCCCTGGATGCAACAATGGGGTACGTTGAGTCCAATCCAGGGAGCATTCTCGCTTCCTCTCTCTACTCCATCTTAAAAAATTAACAATAATTTTCTGTCCACTCCATAATCCCATTTCACCAATTGCCCAAAATACCTACAGTAGTTATTTAATTATGTTTACTAACAGAATCCTCAAGATTCCAACCCTTATATTTGATTTTTACTTCTCTCTGATCGATCTGGCATTTATCGACGAAGATTCCATCAAACCCTGGGCTTATGAAAAATTTTGCAAAAATTCCACAGATAGGAAAGTGTTCATTGTGTGCAGCAGAAAAATGTTCATCATGCAGAGTGGAAACATGTTTATGTGTGGCAAGCAATGGTAAAGTGAGTCCTGCATTTTAAAATGAAAGGACAGTAGATGGAAATTAGAGGTCACACTGTGAAATAATGAATTCTGTTAAAGGCAACAACATAGGTTAGTATAAAAGGCAGCATTATGGTATTTTTGGTTAGTAACTTCTCTTTGGAAACCTATCACAAGCAGAGAGACTGAATCCATAATTAAAACCTTCCAGCCAAAGAAAGTCCAGGACCAGATGGCCTCCATGTTTTTTATATCAGCCATTTAAAGAATTAGCATCAATTCTTATCAAACTCTGAAAAACTAGAAGAGGAAGAAACTATTCCTAACGAGCCCAACATGACCCTGACCGAAGTCAGTTAAAGACCCTACAAGATGTGACAACTAAAGACCAATATACCTCGTGAATATAGGTGCAAACATCCTCAAAATGTGTGCCAGCAACATGAATCCAACAGCATATTCAAAAGATTATGTCATATAACTAAGTGAGATTAATATCAGGAATGTAAGGAGGGTTCAATATAAGAAAATGAATCAATGGAATATACAACATTAATAGCTCAAGAGAGAAAATACATATTCCAAATAACATAGAACAACAAAATCCAACACCTTCTCTAAATGAAAAAAAAAAAGCACCCAGAAAACTAGAAGTAGAAGGAAACAACCTCTGTGTGATAAAAGGCGTTTGTAAAAATCCCACAACAAACTTCATACTCAATAATGGAAGACCGAAAGCTATCCCTCTGACATCTCCGGATGCCTAACCTTATTTAAGTGAGTTCAGCAAAGTTGCAAGATGCAAGATCACCATGCAAAACTCATTCATATTTTTTTTTGGGGGGGGATGGAATCTTGCTCTGTTGCCCAGGCTGGAGTGCAGTGGCTCAATTTCGGCTCACCTCAAGCTCCGCCTCCCGGGTTCACACCATTCTCCTGCCTCAGCCTCCCGAATAGCTGGAACTACAGGCGCCTGCCACCAAGCCCAGCTAATTTTTTGTATTTTTTAGTAGAGACGGGGTTTCACCGTGTTAGCCAGGATGGTCTCAATCTCCTGACGTCATGATCCACCTGCCTCGGCCTCCCAAAGTGCTGGGATTACAGGCAGAGCCACCATGCCCAGCAACTCATTCATATTTTATATGCACCAGCAATGAACATCTGAAAAAGAAGTTTTAAAAGTAACTCTATTTACAAGACCACCAAAAAGAATACAAATAAATTTATCCAAGAAGATGAACTTCTTGTACACTGAAAATGTCAAGACATTTCTGAATGAAATGTGCAGAGATGCCTCAGGTGGCTCCTGCATATTCCGCCCCTGGTGAAGCATGTTTGCATTTTCTTGGGAACTGAGCACCTCCTGCTTGGTCGTAAGGCAGACAGGCCACACAGAGAAGAATAATTCCTCCCTTTGGGCCAGCAGTTCAGGGATCAAGAAATCCTAGACCTGAGGAGTAATTTCTGAATCTACACCTAGACCAAGGTGGTGTCTGAGCCTCCAGCAGTCAGTGAAGAGCAACCAGCAGTGGTCAACAGAGAGTCACATGGCAAAGCCGCCTGGAGCTGGGCTGGACCTGCATGTCAGGGAGATGCTGACATGCAGGGAGGGTCAGTGACCATGACCTAACACTGGGGGGAAAAATGTCCTTCTTTTTCTAGAGTATCATCGTTAACATTGATGTACAAACTCTTTTGCCCCATGTCTCTTACATCTGGCTCTTTTAGAATTTGCTTATTTCACAGCAACAAGTTCAAGTCTTATACTACATTGCATCCCAGCCCACCCAATTATGCTAAAACTCTGGATCTGTCAAACACTTTCAGAGCAGCAGATTTGTACCTGGCCCTAAACGCATAGTGGGGACACTGAGGCACAGCTCCTAGGGCCTTCCCCTGAAGCTCCACCAAGGGCAAAAACTTATACAAGCTTCATGGATATTAAAAACCTCCATGTTCACTTAGCAAGGGAGAAATTTTATTCAAGTTCTGCAGCTCAGGAGCTGTGCTCAAGAGCAAGACCCAGAACTTCTCAAAGCCTGGTTTTGGCACCTGTAGAATGGAGCCCAAAAACGCAGACAGACTTACCTCGGAGCTCTATAGGGCCAGGACAGCCCAGGAGTAAAGCCAGTTTGAGACACAATTTGGGGTGAAGATGTCGGCCCAGAATAGAACCAGGAGAGGAAGAAGAAACCCGTGTGCTGAGAGTGGGTCTGCTGGGACCACTCCTCTCCTTCCTGGGCCCTTTGGGGCTGAGCCCTTCTCTAAAAACCACAGAGCTACTCCAGCAGCAGCCCCTGACTCTGCTGATTTGCATCATGGCCGCTTTATCCAGCAAGGGGATAAGAGAGGCCTGGGAGGAACCTGCTCAGCCTGGGTCTTGGGAAGCAGCATCGGGGGTGCCTCAGCCATGGCCTGGACCCCTTTCCTCCTCGGCCTCCTCCCTCACTGCACAGGTGCTGCCCCCAGGGTCTCACTCACTTGCCCAGCCCCAGGCCTCTGGGTCCAGCCTGGCCCTAACACTGAGCTCAGTAGGGCCCTACCTGTGGTGGGCAGGATGCTCATGAACCTGCCGCAGGGCAGGGGGCTGGTGGGGCAGAAATCCCCCCACACTGTGCTCCTGTTCTCTTGGTGCCCTAAGGGCACTTTTATTCCTGGGGCTCAGGTCAGTTCAGGCAAGTGGCAAGATATTCTTTGGTTAATCCCCAGAGTTTCAGGCCTTTTCGCTCCTCTTTTCTCTCCTTGCAGGCTCTGTGGCCTCATATGTGCTGACACAGCCACCCTCAGTGTCAGTGGCCCCAGGACAGACACCCAGGATCACCTGTAGGGGAAATAATATTGGAATTAAACCTGCTTAATGGTACCAGCAGAAACCAGGCCAGGCCCTTGTGCAGGTCATCTATGGGGATAGCAGATGGCCTTCAGGGATCTCTAAGTGATTCTCCAGCTCCAACTCGGGGAACATGGTCACCCTGACCATCAGTGGAGCCCAGGCTGGGGACGAGGCTTTCCTCTCAGGTGTGGGGCAGTGGCACTGCACACAGTGACAGAGGCAGACAAGGAAGTAAGACACAGACCCCTTCCCCATCTGTGCTGCTGTCGTCCTCCAGCCCGGCAACACTGTGGACAAAGCCATGAGCATGCATGACCCAGTTCACCTGGATCTGAGACCCCCAGTCTTTACTTCCTTCAGCCCTCCAGGCAGGCTGTGCAGAGGGGGCATCCAGAATGGATTTAGGGCTGAGGTGACCAGGATGTATTGGGGTTTTGTGGACTCCACTGTGATTCAGGGAAATTAGATCTTCCAAGCAGACCAAGGTCAATATCCTCAGTTATCTCTGGATTTCCATAGGTGGTGATAGGCCAGTCCTTGGCCGAAATGTCCTGAATCAGTCCCCAGAACTGCCCAGCTGAGGCTCCTGTCATTCTCTACAGAAAAACTAGTGGAGTGGACACTGTGGGATCCTCCCAGATCCCCTCTTATGAGCTCACCCACACAGCACTCCTGGGAGCTTCTGGCAGCTCAGAGCTGTTCGGTGCAGAAATCTGCCTCCCCCAGGTTTATGTCTCTTCTCAGGGAGGTTTGGTTTCATGACTGCCTGTGGCCAAGGTCTCAAGACTCTTCCTCAGTATAACAGGACCTGAAAATCCTCCAAGATCCATAGCTCCTTGTAGGGCTGACTGAAGCCTCAATATGTGTCAGGGCCTCCTTCTGCCTGGTGTTGCCTCCATCACTTTCTTAATCATCTGTGTATGATATTCTCCATCTCAGAGTCTGTTTCCAGGGAACCCAAACTAAGATCACCAGCCATCCCCAACACGGGCCATGAGGGAGCTGAAGAGGCCACTGTACACTAGAAAGCATCAGTTTACTCTTAAATTACCACTGCGAGTCTGCAAATGCCCAGCGAGACCTGAGTGGTTTTTTTTTTCATTTGTGTGAAATGAAAAGGGAGACTGACATGCCAGATGCTCTGGGTTCTGAGGGAGAGTTGGAGTCAGATCCTCCTGCAGGAATCCAGGGGCAGCAGGAGCAGCCTCGCCCCATGCAGGGACCACAGATGCACCCAGAGGGTGAGCTGCAGGATGGACACTGCCCACCTCCAATCTGTATATCCTGTGCAAAAAAATCATTGTTTTCACCCCTTCTTCAGCCTATCAAAGTTGTCACTTAAAAAGCCACTACATCTCATCCTGTGAACAGGAAACCCATCCACATCTCCATCAGCCACATAATCTCCACATAAAGATTCTTCAAAAAATAGTAATAATAGCTGTGAAAAAGTATCTAAAATATTGCATGACAATCATACTTAGATTACATATGAAAATGGCACTATTTTTGATATGCTAGGTAAATAAAATATATTATTTGAAGTCATTTACCTTCTTCTCTTTATATGTCTAATGTGGTGACTAGACTAGCCTAGTGGGATTCCCATTAGGCTCATCATACTGTGATTGAACAGTGCTGGTCTGCACCTCTTCAGGTTAACAGGGGCTGTGGAGTGACCTGGTGCAGGAAATATCATCTCCATCCATAGGATATCAGTGTGAACCCAGGGAGAGGCACTGGTGCAAGAGAGATGAGAACAGGGGTGTGGAGTAGGGGACTGAGCCTTCACTTTGAGCCGAAGAAGTTTCCTTTCCTATCCTCAATCCTGAACAAGAGGGATTTCTGGACTTCTTTTTGTTTTCAAGTTTGTGCCCCTTCAGATTTGGGGCTGTCTGGAATCCTGCCAGGGGACACCGAGAAAAAATAGGAGTCTCACACTGACTGTTGTATTTCATCTGCTGGGGCCATCCCAAACCACTGCGTACAATTTCCTTTCCTGGTGCTCAAATAGCTGCTCCACGCACTTGTTGTGGTTTCAGAGATGAATCTGGGTGGGAAGACAGGACAGTGTATGTTATAATATTTAAATGGAACCCAAATCCATTAATATTTATTTTAATATGGAACATTAAAAGAGTTTTGTAATAGGCAATGGGAAAAGGTAAAAAAGATAAAAGCTTTTTGAGAAAAAAAACAAAAACAAACTTATAGAATGTCTATGTGTCTTCAGTGTTGCAGGGTTGAGAGAGATCAGCTTTATGGTGCCCCATGGATGTGCTGAGATGGGGAAAATCAAGAAAGAAGGAAGTATGTACCACTGTGACTCAACAAATAAATCAAAGTAAAATGGACTTAAATCTTTCAATAAGTCATTCACAATAAATATCACTCTGGTGCACACAGAAATGCCTGTTAGCAAACTTTCCCTTCCCCCTGGCCATGTCTCCATGGATCACCTGTGTGCAGAGTGGCTCCGGTCAGTGCTCTGTGTTCCCTCCACAGGGCTCCCCACAACATGTGCCCTGTGTGGATGTGGGTGCATCGCCTGGGGTGGCTGATGTGCTCCAGGGATTCGATGCTGCAGATGCCTCAGCACCAAGGGTGGGGGTGGGAATGGGACAAGGCTGCAGCTGGGGAGACCAAGGATCAACCACACACAGCAGGGGTTTCCACGGGGTGAGCAGCCTCATTTCCTGACAGTAGAGCGAGCCTAAAGGTAGGTGCCAGGCAGTGGTATCTGTGGGGTGGCCCAGGCCTGGAGGGTCACAGAGACACAGGCACCACACAGCAGAGACACTGAGGGCCAGGAGCTCACTCAGGTGAGGGACTTCAGCAGATCTTTCTCTCCTGGTACAAAGAGATCAAGTTCCTACCATCAGAATAGACAAACAAGGACTTTAATCTCCTCAGCTGAGCCCCACTGTCCAGGGAAGAAGTCTCTGAGCCCAGGCCCAGGTGAGAGTGGGATGAGGAGAGGAGCCAGGACACAGATTTTCATGGATGCCCCGCCCTCCTCTGAGGCAGAGCGGATAAGACAGGGCTGGGGGCATACCCAGTGCTTGAGTCTCAGGAGGCAGCGCTCTCGGGACGTCTCCACCATGGCCTGGGCTCTGCTCCTCCTCACCCTCCTCACTCAGGGCACAGGTGATGCCTCCAGGAAAGGGGCCTCAGGGACCTCTGGGCTGATTCTTAGTCTCCTGCTCCTCAGGCTCACCTGGGCCCAGCACTGACTCACTAGAGTGTGTTTTTTCCTTTTTCCGGGCTCTCGGGCTCAGTCTGCCCTGACTCAGCCTCACTCAGTACCCGGGTCTCCTGGACAGTCGGTCACCATCTCCTGCACTGGAACCAGCAGTGACGTTGGGCATTATAACTATGTCTCCTGGTGCCAGCAGCACCCAGGCACATGATTTATGAAGTCAGTTATAGGCTCTCTGGAGTCTCTGATCACTTCTCTGGCTCCCAGCTCTGGCAACATGGCCTCCATGACCATCTCTGGGCTCCAGGCTGAGGACGAGGCTGATTATTACTGCAGTTCATATACAAGCAGCAACATTTTCCACAGTGGACATAAGATTGATTCTCAGGCTCCAAGTCTGGCCAGTGAGCTTCTTTGAGACTCCCTGGGATCCCAGCAGTGACACTGATCACTATTGCTGTCCCACACATCCCAAGTGATGAGGAAGTAAGACCAAAACCCTCCTGAGATTCCTGACTTGTGTCCTGACACCAGGGCTGTTGGGATTCCTGTCTTTCCTTCAAGATTGTTCAAATAAGCAGTGACAGTCACTTCCATGTGAGATATGAGAAGAAGAATAATTCCATATGAACCAAATCCACGAAGCCTACACTGAAGCCTGCCAAGTTCTCTGCAGTCCAGCGCGATGAAGGGAGCATTTTCGTGGGAACTTTTGGGAATATGAGGGGAGCCAGGCTCAGCTATGGGTTCCAGAGACAAAGCTCCTGGATGTTTCTCCCCGGCCTTGGTCCATCACCTGCTACCTCTCCTCACTCTTTCCACAGACACTGCCCCAGGCTAAGCCCCCACAGGACCCTAAGCCTATTCCTGACCCTGAGCTCAGCCCAGGTGATGCTTCAGGAGATGGGATCCTGAGAATGAGCCCCAACATCTCTTTAACCTAAGGTGTGGGGTCATGAGACACCTGTTAGCCATAAGACACCTGTCCCCCACCTGCTCAGGAGACAGTGGAGCAGGCAACAGTGCAGAGAGAACCAGCAGGAGCCAGGCCAGGCCCTGCATCCAAAGCAGGCCCCAGTCCCCACAGATTCTCCAGCTCTAGCCTGTGGTACAGCCCCCACTTTCTGCAGGCTGAAATGGGCTTCTCAGGATGGGCAGGCCATGATGGGGGATGGCAGTGTGTCCACAGGACACAGCCCTGCTGCCTGCCTGACCCTCATGCCCCCTCCTTCCCCACCCTGGTTAATCTCCACCAGAAAGGGCCCAGGTTCAGAACTCAGGACACCTGGATCAGCTCCTGGACTTGCCCCCACTGCTCTCTGTTCTCCTGAGCCACTTAGTCTCTTTTGGCCTCAGTGTTACCTGCTGTGAAGTGAGGAGGCTTATACTGAACTGAGGAAGCTCTTTTCTTCATTCAAAATTAAAAGACAGAAAAACAATGAAAGTCATGTAAATTAAAGCCTGCTGAGGGGATGTCATTTAATGGGCTTCAGTGGGTTTCAGACGTGGAACTTCTTGTCTTTTCTCTGCAGGGATTCCAAGACAGGGGCTCAAAAGAGCTTGCTTTCTGTATGGTGGGAACAGCGGTCCCTAGCTGAGAATAAGCAGGAGATTCCCAGCTTCATCAGGAAGGCAGACTAGGCTAGTGTAGAAATCCTCTCCGTACAAACTCTGAGAGGTGTTGAATAAAATAAAGATAAACATAATTTCATGTTTTCATGGTGCCGATGATGGTGATGTTAGCTCACAACTAAGCTGCAGTGCCTGGAACATCAGGAAATCACAGTGAATCACAGCTGCTCTTATTGGGTGGGAGGTGCACCAGTTTGATGCCTAAGTACATAGAAAGCCTGGGTCCCTGTAGGATGGCACATGCATCTCTCTGGACTTTGAAAGCTTTGCAGAAGAGCTTCAGTTGACTCACTCTAATTAGTCCGGACTGAACAAAACCACTAGAGGAGGGCATTTCAACCCTGAGACACTTCTATAGCCCCAACTTCCTACCCTGCGTGTGCGAACTCTCTGTGCTGGGCTGGGCAGGGCAGATTGGGTCACCCTGCACAGAATGGGGCTGGACTGTCTGGTCCTCAACTTCTGAGGTGACAGGTGCTGTGGAGGCACGTGGAAGAAAAAAGCTCCTGGGCTGAGTCTCCTCCACCAGCTGGGGGCAGCAGAGCTGCAGCCAGGAGCAGTCAGGATTAAGGCTGGGGCTGCCCAGCTGGGGCAAAGAGAAGGCCAGCCTGGCGTTCAACAGGTGTCCAAGAATCAGTCTTCAGACTGAAAGTGAGTGCAGTTCATCCTATCCCCTCAGGCTGCAGTGACCATTCTCTGAGGGTCAGACTCATACAGTGTCACCCCAGGACACTGACAGAAGCCCGGCACAGTGAAGGCCTCACCTGGGAAATGCAGCTGGAGGAGGCTGGGACCAGGTGTCAACTGGGGCAGCTTACTCAGGAAGGGGATTTCTTTGGAGACATCCCAAGGTTGAGGTGCTCTAGGAGGGGGCACAGCGTGAGGTGACGGGGCTCCCAGGGCCCGGGTTCTTCACCCAGGATGGCTGTCTGAGCCTCCTGCCACTCTCAGGGCCTTGTCCCTCTCAGTCCAGCAGCAACCTGGGGAGCTGAGCCCTCTGTCCTGGGCACTTCCAGATACACCATACCTCACTTCCTTCTGCCTCACCTTCCAGCTCCAGGCGGACTCTGACTCAGGGGGAAACTCCTGTGCTCAGGGGAGTCTCGGGTGGGTGGGGTGAAGCATTTGGGATCCTGATCCCTTCATGGGGCATCCCCAGCATCCTTAAGGAGACACTCTTCAGAGGGACAGGGCTTCTCACCTGCCTCAGCTCTGACCATGGGGCTGTCCACACTCAGTGACAGGACACTGACCAGGGATCTGACTGGAGTGACCAGGAACCTGGCTGGGGCAACCAGGGACCACCCACCCTCTGGAGCTCACATGCTGTGCAGAGACCATGACCCTGGGACCCCTTCAGAGACCATGGGGCCTGAAGTTAGATTTTCAGTCCAGTGTGGTTTTCTCCTGCTTTTTGCAAGTTTACATAAAACATTGATGAGAAAAACATACATAAATAACAGACGAGCTGAGGGTGCCAATTGCTAATCTCTTGTGGCAATGAGGGGTGATGTAGCAGGAGCAGCACCATGGCTGAAATGAGACCAGAGGCCCTGTTGACTCCACAGGGGTGTGTGGTTGCTTAAATGACCCAACTATTCCCACTGAATAATCAGCAAGTGTCCCAATGACACAGCACAGCATTTAGATGAAATGAACAAGAGGGGACTGAGTCTGAGGGACCAGGGGGAGGAAGATCATGGGTCCCTGGGCCACCTGCTGCTGAGTCAGGTGTCAGCAAGATCTCTCCGCAGAGCCCAGCTCAGCCCATGGCCAACCTCCTGGAAGGTCCACAGCTCTGCTGAGCCTGGCCCAGGACAGACCCCAGGTCAGCGAGGTTTGGGACAGTGGTCATGAGATTAATTCCCAGAAAGGTGACTGTGATCACAGGGCTTGAAGGCTGCAGCTGATTTTCTAATCTGAGACCCTGCTTCTTCCTCCTGTTGCCTGTGCTGCCCTCACAGCTGGTTTGAGTGACATCTCTCCAGGAGGAGTCGCAGAGGATGTAAATTTGCATAAACGCCAAACACTGACTGCCCCCAAAAGCTGGAGAGGGAATAAGAGAGGCCTGGGGAGCCCAGCTGTGCTGTAGGCTCAGGAGGCAGAGCTCTGAATGTCTCACCATGGCCTGGATCCCTCTCCTGCTCCCCCTCCTCATTCTCTGCACAGGTGCTGCCCCTAGGCTCAGTCTCCACAGACCCCAAGTTGAGCCTGACCTGAATCCTGAGCAAAGCCCTGCCACTGCCTCTGGGGGGGATTCCTGGCAATGCGTCCTTTGTCCTCAAGCCCCCTCTCCTGTCTTTTCTTGCAGTCTCTGTGGCCTCCTATGAGCTGACACAGCCATCCTCAGTGTCAGTGTCTCCGGGACAGACAGCCAGGATCACCTGCTCAGGAGATGTACTGGCAAAAAAATATGCTCGGTGGTTCCAGCAGAAGCCAGGCCAGGCCCCTGTGCTGGTGATTTATAAAGACAGTGAGCGGCCCTCAGGGATCCCTGAGCGATTCTCCGGCTCCAGCTCAGGGACCACAGTCACCTTGACCATCAGCGGGGCCCAGGTTGAGGATGAGGCTGACTATTACTGTTACTCTGCGGCTGACAACAATCTCACAGTGACACAGGCAGATGGAGAAATGAGACACAAACCCCTTGCCATCTGTGTCACCTTCTTCCTCCAGCCCCAGGAGGACTGTGGACAAAGCCACGAACAGGTCTGGCCCAGTACACCCAGATCAGAGACTCTGAGGCCTCCTTCCTTCCAGATCTCTACGGAGGCCCTACAGAAGGTGGATCAATAATAAATTCGGGGTTGGCAGGTCCAGTAGGTCCTGGTGTTTTCTGGGCTGGAGTGTGACTTGGGGAAAAATGACTTGAATGGAAGTACAGTCAGTGGGAGACATCTATTGAGTGGTGATGGTCCCAGTATTTCCTTGTGTGGTGACTGAACCTAGGGCAGTGCCACTACTCTGTGGCCCAAATGCCCTGGGTTATTCCTCTGAGTTCCCCGTGTATTATTGAGATGCTCCAGCCCCCACTCTCATGGTATCCTGATCTGAAGAATCATGGCCAGTGCCCATTGCAGTGTCTCCATCTAGGTGCCATTTTCAGGACTCATGCATCCAGCATCCAAACAAGGCTGTGTGGGAGACCGTGACTTGTCACAGCTGTTCCCCACTGGAAAATGCCACTGAGCTGCAGAGAACTGCTCTCCCAGTGATGTTCCCCCTTCACAGTGTGGTTCAGGTGCAATGCCTGCCTGGTCCCTAGATTTTAATGCCATGTTTTCATTTAAAATAACCACGAAGTGTCTCTTGCTGAGCGCTCCGGTGTAACACATTCCCAGTCATGCCTCTCACAATTTTCTTTCTGACAAAATTTCCTGAAACCCTATTGCAATGAATTCTCCCTCTCAGAGTAGGATTGCAGGGAGTTCACAAATTAACAAACAAACCAAATACTGTCTAGAAGAAAGAGGATCAAAGAGGAGAGAGCTGCACAGGGAGCGCACTCTGGAGTCTGCAGATATTCATGAGCACCGATGAGCATGTGCATGGGAGGAAACCTTCTGTGATAGAGAAAATAACCATTCAAAGACATTTGAGGAAACACTCCATAGAGCTCACACACACATCCATGTGCACACACATGCACAATCAGAATAGTGCCTGTTCCTCCGCTCCATGAAGAAAGGCCCGAGTTAAAGTGGGTGAGATTTACCAGTGAGAAGAGCTTTGCCTCAGTACTGGGGAAAACATTGCCCTAGACAAAAGGCATCTCTGGTGTTAACTAAGAAAGTGTACGGCCCCTGTGCTGATGCCCATGTCAAAGACCATCACACGTATTTTAACCAACTAGCCCAGAGTTGTCACCAAGAGTTTGATCTTACAATAATTCTGCAATGAACATCCCTATTCAGACTCCTTGGAGTTCACCTATGAAGATTACCATAGAATAAATCTCTAGAAGTTGAATTGTTAGGTCAAAAAGAAGTACGTTTGTAATTTTCACTGATTATTCTCAGATTCCTATTCACGGGGGGGTTGTACCAATTTACAGTGCCAGCCATAAATCTTTGACGTGAGTATGCTGTTGAAAGTTTGGGTTTTTGCCAACATGGTAGATTAAAATTTTGTTGTCTTGTAACAGTGTTATTTTGGATTTCTCCTATTCTGCTTGAGGTTGAACATTTTCTCAAACATTTCAGGGCTCTTATATTTTAGGATTTAGTGAGCTTTTTTCTAAAATGGCCAGGTAAGGAGGGTTTTAGCCCCTGTGGGCCAAGAGTCAACTTTGACCATATTATGAGGGAACTTATAACTCCAGTTACAATGTAACCATTTAAAGCTATAAAAACCACTCTCAGCTCTGGGACCACACAAAACAGGTGGCAGGCCAGGGGTGGCCACAGGATGTGGTTTAATGGTCCCTGTTTTGTAGGGTCATTTGAAGTTTAAAAATTTCACCAGCATATATTTTAGGTGGAGATCTTTTTGTGGGTAATACTGTATTTCACCGCCTATAGTGGCCTGAGATTTCTCTCTAGATAAGAACACACTTTTCTTATTTTTTGGATGGATTTTGGGTCTATCTGTGATAGCCCTGTGTCATAAACTCATAACTTTTGTGTCCGTCCTTTTACTGTGATTTTTGGGAGTGTGACAGTATATCAGGAATACACTATCCAGGGTGGAAAATCAGAGAGAGGGGGAGGAGCAAGTGGGCAAGGAAGCTTGTACCAAAGCTGGAATATCCACTGCAGCAGGCTCAGAGAAAAGGGTCCTAATATCAGCATTTGACTGAAGCCAAAACCACAAGAGACCATAGAGGTTCTGAGGATGACAAATAAAAACATAGTTTAAGTTTTAATGCATTCATTATTTTTATAATCCACAAAAATTCTAAAACTCAGAATTTAACAATGGGATAAGGAAAAGAGTTTGAGATGTTAAACGATAAAGACCCCAAGGAAAGTTGCCAGGAAAAGAACAGGACCTTTTTGGTGGAACTATGTTTATGCTGTAAATTACCCTCTTCTATATGTCTATATATATATTTAGGTATAAGAGAACATCTCATGGAACACCCTTCTTCACCACAGTCAAAGATCACCCTCACCCAAGGAGGGAACCGAAAGGGAACGTCAATATGAGACAGAAAACATAATGCACTTTTGTATAAACATTAGGAGAGTCTCTATTTGCATATCAAATGTGGATGCTTAATGTTAACATTGGAAATAGTAGGTTAATATGCATGTGAGGTGAGTTTTCTTTTGACTATTTCTGTCTGTGATTTATCTTTCTTAATAGGGACATTTCTGCCCTTAGAACAACTTAACTTGTGATATTTTTTGTTCTATTATCTGTATCAGCTCTGTTTTTTTTTTTTCAAACAGTGGCAAAGATATCCCATGACTAATGATTAATAAATTCAATTAATGGGTATTTAAATTATTTCAAGAGTGGACAGTTGTGACTTCCCCACATCTAACTCACAGATGTCGCTGATGCTGACTCACTCTTCTCTTCCAATCATAGCAAATAAAGTGGGAGCTTTGACTTTTCTGAAGACCCAGATGACAACAGGAGAGAGGAGGTGAAACCCCCTAAAGCTGTTATCCTTTAAACCCTCAGGAGGAATCATCCTGGAGAAACACCCACACTTGAGTTGGATTATACCTAAATGAGAGTTTGGTCTTAGAGTTGGTGCTGAGTTAGTTCAGGATTTGGGTTGTTGGGATGGAGTGAATGCGCTTTACAAGTGAAAAATACATGAGTTTTTGGGTCCATAGGTTGGAGAGTTCTTGGCTGAATTGTGTCCCCCAGAGTTCATACAATGAAGCTCTAATGCACGGTGTGTGACTGAATTTGGAGAGAATCTTTAAAGAGGTGATTCAGTGAAAATGAAGTCATGAGGGTGGGTTCTTATCGAATCTGACTGGTGTTCTCGTGAGAAGAGAAAATTTGCACACACAAAAATGAGACACTCGAGATGAGCGTGCAGAGGAAAGACCGTGTGAGGACTCAGCAAGGAGGTAGCGACCCGCAAGCCAAGGAGAGAGGCCTCAGTGAAAACCAAACCTATAAACACTTTCATCTTGACTCCCCAGCTTCAGAACTGTGAGAAAATAAGTGTCTGCTCTTTAGGCCAGCAGGTCTTTGGTATCTCATTAAGGTAGCACTAGCAAATGAAAACAAAAGGGACCCCAAAGACCTTGGATGCGGGAGGAGGAGGAGATGGAGCAGGGTGCAGGAGGTGGGGCAGGGAGGGGCTGGAAGTTCAGGCTCTGAGGTCATCTCCTGGGTGGAATCCTGACTCCACTCACTGCTGTCTGGGGACTTGGGGAAAAACAATTAACCGCCCAATATTAATTCCATAGTAAAGATCGGGCCTTGAGCACAGGATTCCTCATCTTCCTTTTTTATATGATGAAAGTCTTCTTGAGGTCATGCTTGTAAAACACTCAGCAATGTATCTGGCATACACTATGGTCTCAGAAGTGGTTATTATGAATTTTCTAGTGATATGTAGAGGATGACATTGGTCCTGTGGGCAGAGGGGGCACTGTGGACCTTGGTTTGAGGACTCTGAAAGACACCAAGTCCGCTGGTAGTGCTCAAGAGCGAAGAGCATCACAGATGCTTCCTCCCAGGCCCCTTCTATTGGGTAAAATTTACTCTCCACTCCTGACACCCATCTGGTCCTTCTTCTGACCTTAGCACATTATCAGTTTGAAGACTTAAGGCTCAGGGCTCAGATGGGAGCTAGGACAGGCACACTGGGGAATGAGGAGTAGATTTGCATTCACTGCTCATCAGAGAGCCCACCCAACAAGGATACAAGAATAAAAGAAGTAGATTTGCATGAAGAGCCTCTCCTTCCCATGATAAGAGAGGCCTGAAGGTCCCTCCCCAGCCATGGGCTCAGAGACAGAGCTATGTGGCATCTCCACCGTGGCCTGGACCCCTCCCTTGCTCACCCTCCTCCGTCTCTGTGCTGCCTCCCAGGGCTCAGCCCCCAAAGGACCAGAGATCAGACTGGCCCTGAGCTTCAGCTCAGCACAGGGAGTGATGCAGAGTGTGGGGCTCTGGGAATGACCCTCATCCTCATAATTAACTCTCCTGTCCTCTCTTGTAGGCTCTGTGGCCTCCTCCATGCTGACTCAGGAGCCAGTAGGGTCTGTGGCCCTGGGACAGTCAGCCAGGGTAACCTGCCAGGGAGAAAACCTAAGAAGCCATGGTACAAACTGGCACCAGCAGAAGCCAGGCTAGGCTCCTGTGCAGGTCATACATCGACAAAATAACCAGCCCTCAGGGCTCCCAGACCAATTCTCTGGCTCCAAGTCAGGAACACAGCCACCCTGACCATCACTGGGGCTCAGGTTGAACATGAAGCTGACTATTACCATCACTCATGGGACAGCAGTGCTACTCACCTCACAATGACACAGACAGATTGGGAAGTGAGATCTAAAGACCTTCACTGTCTGTGTCACCCTCTTCCTCCAGCCATAGCAGGACTGTGGAGACAGCCATGAGCAGGGCTGGCCTGGGTCACCTGCATCGAAGTCCTCCAAGCTGCCCTTCCCCCCAGCTCTCCAGGTAGTCTCTGCAGAGAATGAGTCAGGATAGGATTTGGGGCTGGCAGAACCAGGCTGTCCTGCTGTTATTTGGAATGGATGTACCTTGGCTCAAGATGACCTGAGCCATCTTACTGGAAGGACTTACTGGAAGGACGGTAAGAGGGAGACAGCTCCTGAGTGCTCATGGTCACTGAATTTCCTCCTGTGTGTTGACTGAACCCAATGCAGTGCCTCTACTCTGTGGCCCAAATACCCTGGATTATTTTTCTGAACTGCCCGTGTTTAACTGAGACCCTCAAGCCCCAGCTTTGTGCATCCTGATGTTCTGAACATGGAAGCCTTTCACAGTGTGCACTGTGACATCCCTCAGATTCCCGTTTCAGGACTTATGCACCCACCATCCTCCCAGGGCTGCAGGGAGGCCCTGGCTTCTCACAGCTCTTCCCCACCAGAAACTGCCATGCAGTACAGAGAATAGCTTTGCTCAAAGAATTGCCCATTTCAGAGTATGTTTCGGGGGCAATGACTCCCTGATGCCTTAATCTGAAAGTCATGCTTTAATTTAAGACCCTGAATATCAAATTGAAGTGCCTTCTAGCTGAACACTCAATTGTAAAACATTCCCAGTCACACACTCCACACTTCTTTCCTGAGAATATATCCTGAAACCCTATTGCATGGAATCCTCCCTCTCAGAGTAGGATTCCAGGGAACTTAAAAATTAAAAAAAAAAACAACACACCAGTCTAGAGGGAAAAATATTGAAGAGGAGAGAGTTAGGGAGTTGCACAAGGAAAGAACTCTGAAGTCTGCAAATATGCATGCACTGAAGAGCACTTGTGTGTAAAGAAACTCCCTCTGAAAGAGAAAGACCCTTGAGGGAACACTCCAAAGAGTGTGCATGCGTGCGCACACACACACACACACACACTCCAGTCACAGAGGAAAGGCCTGAGTTACAGAGCATGAGGTGGACTCATCAGAAGAGCTTCGGCTCAGTATTGGGGAAAATGTCGGACAGACATAGGGCTACTCCACTGTCAACTAAGAAAGTGTAGAAGCAAACTGGGAAAAGTTAAGACAGTTTCCAAGTAACTTTACTGAATCCAAAAATAAAAGACCAAAATAGAGAAGAAAATGCAAAAGGATTATAAACTCAACAAAGAAAAATTCACAATGATTGGCATTCTGTCAATATTTCTTGCAAGCAAAAAAGAAAATATATGCTTTAACACAGAGAAAAATGAATCAATCCAAAGTGGCCAAAAATTGCACACATGATAGACCTTGTAGGCACGAATTTTGGAGCAATTCTTTTTTTTTTTTTTTTTTTTTTTGATGGAGTCTCACTCTGTTGCCAGGCTGGAGTACAGTGGCGCGATCTCAGCTCACTGCAACCTCCGCCACCCGAGTTCAAGCGATTCTCCTGCCTCAGCCTCCTGAGTGGCTGGAACTACAGGCATGTGCCACCACACCCAGCTATTTTTTTTTTTTAATTTTTAGTAGAGACGGGGTTTCACCGTATTGGCCAGGATGGTCTCGATCTCTTGACCTCATGATCCACCCGCCTTGGCCTCTCAAAGTGGTGAGATTACGGGCGTGAGCCACCGCGCCAGCCTTGGAGCAATTCTTATAACTCTTTTCTCCTTCCTCATGAGAATGGAGGATCTATTGAATGTGTTAAGTGGAGAAATGGAAAGCATAAAGCAAGATGCAAGTTAAACTTTTAGAAATGGCCCCTAAATATCTGCATTGAAAAAATACACTGGATGAGACTCATTGCAGATTAGAAGCTGTGAAGGAATAGATGAGTGAACTTGAAGATATGGCAATGGAAGTTATGCAAGATGAAGCACAAAAAAAGTGAAGAGAGCATCAGTGAGTTTCAGGACATCTTCAAGCTGACTTACTGGTTATAATTAAAGACATGAAGGGAGATAACATTGGTGGGGGGAGAGGAAAGGTAGAAAAGCCATTTAAAGGAATCATGGCCACAATTTCCCAAATTTGGTGAAAGCTAGAAACCCACTACTCCAAAAAGCTTAACAAGTCACATACACACACACACACACAAACACACACACACAAATAACACACCACCAACACTCACCATAATGAAATTGCTAAAAACCTATTATAAAGACATACTTTTAAAAGTAGCCATAAAGACATGGTATGTACAGATGAACAACATCATAAAAAGAACAGATTTCTTTTTCTTTTTAAAATTTTCTTAAACATCTGTGGGTACAGAGTAGGTGTATATGTTTGTGGGATACATGAGATATTTTGATACAGGCATTGCCATGTGAAATAGTCACATCATGGAGAGTTGGGTTTCCATCCCCTCAAGCATTTATCCTTTGTGTTACAAACTACTCAATTACACTATTTCAGGTATTTTAAATTGTACAATTAAGTTGCTGACATGTTATCAAATAGTATTGATGTAACTCTGACATGCTATCAAATAGTAGGTCTTATTCATTCTTTCTATTTTATTTACCCATTAAGCATCCCCTAATAAGAGCAGATTTCTTCTTAGAAGTCATGCAAGCAGGAGGCAGTGGAGCTATATTTATAAAATATTAAAAGAAAAAACTTACTACCAAAACCCATCCACAGACTCAATGCAATCCCTATCAAAATACAAACGACATTCACAGTAGTAGAAAAAAACTCTATAGTTGGTATGGAACCACAAAATCCCCTGAATAGCCAAAGCAATACCAAGCAAAAAGCCCAGGCTGAATATGTCACATTATCTGAATCAAAATATACTACAAACTACAGTAACCAAAACAAGATCGATGGTATTGGCTTAAAATCAGACACTGAGACTAATATAATGGAATAGAATACCCCAAAATAAATTCATATATTTACAGCCAACTGATTTGCAGCAAAAATGCCAAAAACATACGTTGAGAAAATGACATACTTTTCAATAAATGGCGCTGAGAAAAACTGGATATTCATAGGCAGAACCTTGAAACTAGACTTTTATCTCTCTCCCTATACAATAATCAACTCAAAATTTATTAAAACTCCGAAATATAAGACCCAAAACTATAAAACTACTAGAAGGGAACGTAGAGAACACAGGGGAAGTTCTTCAGGACGTTGGTCTAGACAAAAATTCCATAGCTAAGACTTCAAAAGCACAGGGAACAACACGAACTAGACATATGGGACTTCATTAAACTGAAAATCTTCTGAAAAGCAAAGGAAACGATCAACAGAGTGAAGACAACTTCTAGAATGAGAGAAAATATTTGCAAACTATTCAACTCAAAAGGGCCTAAGATCCAGCATAAGAAAATAAGACAAGGAGCTGAAATAACTCATCAGCATAAAAAACAAATAATACAATTAAAAAGTGGATAAATGATATGAATAGACTTTTCACAGTCAAAGACATACAAATGGCCAACAGGTATATGACAAAATGCTCAATATCACTAATCATCAGGGGTACGCAAATCCAAACCTCCATGAGATATCATCTCATCCCAGTTGGATGGCTATCATCAAGAAGACAAAAAAATAACAAACACTGGTGAGGATGTAGAGAAAATAGAAGACAAAACCACATGGTCATCTCAACAGTCACATCAAATGTTTTCATGCGAGGAAACATTACCATTTGTTGTTTTTCTAGTCTTGCTAGAGCATCATAAAAAGATAAGATTTGTGGTGCCACTATTGGAGAAAATGTTATTACATGCAAAGACTCTGGCTATCCCACACCAAACTACATGAACACTTACTGTTAAATGCTAAAAGAGGCCAGGCACGGTAGCTCACACTCGTAATCCCAGCACTTTGGGAGACCGAGGCAGGCGGATCACAAGGTCAAGAGATCCAGACCATCCTGGTGAAACCCCATCTCTACAAAAATACAAAAATTACTTGTATTTTTGCACGGTGGCACACACCTGTAGTCCCAGCTACTCGGGAGGCTGAGGCAGGAGAATTGCTTGAACCCGGGAGGTGGAGGTTGCAGTGAGCCAAGATCACGCCACTGTACTCCAGCCTGGCGACAGAGTGAGACTCAGGCAAAAAAAAAAAAAAAAACCTAAAAGATTACAATTCTGCATTTCCAAATGTTCTGGTGGTCAGAGACCACTTCCTTGACAAGTGGTGAGTACGGGGATCTGATGGGATAGGTGGCATTTAGGCAGGTATTGGGTGAAGAATAGTGATATACACAAGAAACTTTCAAAGAGAAAAACACACGGAAGTTGGAACACAGAAGAGAACATAATATGTCTGAGAAATAAGGAAAGTCCAGACTCACTGGAGCTGAGTGAGAACAAGAAAAATGGCATAAGCCATGTATTTCTCTCTGGATATCTCATCAAAATATTGTCTCCTCCCCAACACACCACCCATGTGAATTATAAAAATGCCCGTTTTTAATTTTTGTTTGCATGTCGTGACAGAGTCAAGCACGTGAATCAAGCTGAGTTTGATGAGTCCAGGGCTGTTAAGCTCCAGACCCAGGTGGCCTCAGAAGGACTTGGTGGAACAAGGGCTTGTTGTCAAAAGCAGAGGAAGTGAGATTTTCCATTGTGGCTTAGACCAGAGATTCTTAAATTCCAGTGGACACACAAGGCCCCTTAAGGATCTGGTTAAGATGCAGATGCAGCCTCAGCAGTTCTGGATGTGGCCCCAAATTCTCTGTGTCCGGCAACTCCCAGGTGAGGCTGCTGCTGCTGGTCCTCCCAGGACCACACTTTGAGTGGCTGAACTCTTATTCACCCACCTCACTCAAGCCACGGGTGAGACTCACACAAGGAGGGCACCTTCTAGAAGCACAGGTCACTTCTCACTCCTCCCCTTGTGTCTTAGATCCTTTCCTGTTACTATAAAGAAGTACCCAAGGCTGGGTAATTTATACAGAAAATAAAAGTTTTATTTGGCAGACAGTTCCAATGGCTGCAGAGTTCAAAATGTGGCATCTGCTCTTGTTGAAGACCTCAGGCTGCTTCCTGTCATGGTGAAAGGTGAAGGCGAGCCAGTGTGTGCTGAGGTCAATGAGGGGAAGGAAGCAAGAGAGAAAGGGAAGATACCAGTCTCATTTAAATAAGCAGCTCTTCTGGAAACAGAGGAAATTCACTCACCCCAAGTGAGGGCATTAATCTATTCATGAGAGATCCACTCCTATCACCCTAAAAGCTCCCATTAATTCCCACCCCCAACACTGGGGATTCAATTTCAGCATAAGATTTGCAAGGGATGAAGATCAAAGCCATAGCACCCTGAGGCTTGGCCACACACTTGCTCATCTCCACATTTGTCCCTTCCTTCAGGACCGGGATCCTGACTGCTCTGACTCAGTCTCCGTCTACCTCATGGACACCTGGCAGTCGGTCATCATCGGTTTTGCTGAATCAGCAGCAACATTGGGGGTAACAATTGTGTCTCCTGGTTCCACCAGAGACAGAGTAGAGACCCACACAGCTGAAGTGTGGGGTCAAATATTAAAACTAAGAGACATAAGATTGATTCTCAGGCTCCAAGTCTGACAAGTGAGCTTCTTTGAGACTCCCTGGGATCCCAGCAGTGACACTGATCACTGTTGCTGTTCCACACATCCCAAGTGATGAGGAAGTAAGACCAAAACCCTCCTGAGATTCCTGACTTGTGTCCTGACACCAGGTCTGTTCTTCCCTCCCCTAGAATAAAACATCTCTTAAGCACAAGGCTGAAGAAATGTGGCCTCCTCCTTTCTCCCACAGCTGGTCAAAGTGGATACCTGAGAGAATTGGCTCACTGAGGCCTCTTGGGAACAAAGGCTGGGTTCCTGCCTGTGATCTGTGTACTGAGACACATTCCGGACCTGCCCAGGAAAGGCAAGTATAGATGATGTTTAGTTGTCACAGAGTCCAAGTAGGGACAATTCAGCGGTGTCTTCTTGGGACCCCTGCCTCTGGCTATTTTCATCTACTTTATAATGGGCCAGGGCCATTATTTCCAACTTGTCATATCCTTTTTCTCCTTTCCTCACCAGGTAAGGAGGTGGAGGACAGTTGATGAGGGCTGGCTTATGAGTTACCCCAGGATGCAAATGACTTTGAAGTCAAGCCCATGTGGGGTCAAGCTCAGTCTATAACCAGGGTCTTTTGAGCTCTGGAGGAGCCAGGCATCCCAGCCATCAAAGAGGTCTTGCATTTGCTAATAAATCCTCTTCTTCCAACCCACAGCTTATCTTGGCTGCCTACCCTCATCTCTGTCAGGAAGCAATCCTTCGTTGTTTAACACCAAATTATTCTTACTTGGTCAGTTTAAAAGTCCCTTCCTCAGAAAGGTCATCTGTGGCCTGAAGACAAAGTGAGAAGGCTTTGCTGCATTTTCATTTGGAACCTTACATTGCCCCTTCTGCAATGTTCTAACCACACATGGCACATATTTACAGGACAGCGTGATAATTCACTTTTGAAAATACAGAATGTGCTCATGGAACAGGACAATGTCATACTTTTGGGGCCTGATGAGCATGTCCTTTTCACAGGACCCCCCAGAGCTGCCCATGCATCCAGAAGGTACCATTCTACTCTATGCAAAACGATGGGGCATTTCTATATTGCAGTTTCTTAGGGTTCCTTAGAAAGAGGCCACCCCCAACACAGAGCTGCACACCTTGTGACCACTTACTGTCAATTCCTCAATGCTGTCTCCAAGTCTCACCATGCACAAGGGAGGAACACAGAGACCCTGGATTCCTAGAGACTTGCATTTCTTGGATGAACAAATCTGGGGTTTGGTTGGTGGCAGAGAGCTCAGGGCTCATGTGTGAGCATCACCTGATGCTTCCTCCAGGGTCAGAGTCCAGCCCCTACCCTGGAAGGATGAAAGATATTGTCCACAGAAGTGGTATAAAGGTAACAGCATCGAGGACGGAGCTGCCTCTTGAAATGGGCTATTGCTTTGCACAACGCTGGAGACCTAAATTATGTTGACTATAATGGAAGAGTAGTCCCTGCGGATGGCCTCTAATTGGGTGGAAGAAAGCAGAGGGTCTGCGTCTGAGAGAGCAGCAATGGGCAGATTCAGCACAGGCATGGGCAGAGCAGCAATCAAGGGTACCTGAGCAGCAATGGCCCCGGGAGAGGCCTGGCACCTGCCGGAAGTGACGTTGGAGACAGAGAAACATCTAAGACTTAAGGCTTCTCTTTCTGTGCAATTCCCCCACCCCACAGTTTATGTGTCACAGATATTGGCACCTCCTTACTGTAAGGGGTCATATGAATAATACAGTCCTCAGGGGCATGGGTTCGAGGGGCAGCCAGGTTTATCCTCGAAGCCCACTTCTGTTACCTGCAGCTGTGTGGCTGTAAGCAAGGCATTTAATCTCTCAGAAAACCATCCTAATGAGAGGTTAAGAACCTCTGAGAAAAAAACTTAGACAAGAATTGACAGTAATTCTTCACTATTGAGGCTGCAGGGATGTAACTTAATCATGTTTGTAAAGTGCATAACACAGAACCTGACATGCCCCAGCTGCTCCTGAGTTGGCAGCAATTATTCCTGACATCACTCATGAGAATTGGACCTGGAATGGGGATGGAGGGAAGGCAGTGCAGAGGGTTTCAGAGGGTTAGGAAAAGAGAGACTTTAATGATTTAAAATGAAGGCCTAGGAGTGGAGACAAGCGTCCTGGGACATTCTCCTGCCAACTCTCACAATGTCTCAGAGACTGTTCCAAGGTGAAGTCTACTAGAGAGCTAAGGGAGGAGTTTGCAGAATCAAGGTTTGCAATGTCATGCATGAGGGGGCAGAGAGTCAGCGGGAGGGAAGACAGCTGAGCTCATCTGAAGGGTATTTATGGTTTTCTGGCCCTAGAGTCCTTGGCCATCCCTCTATGACCAGGGCCTCAGATAAGCAGAGAGCTTATCTGCTTCTCTCCTCCAACGATAGTTCCTGGTTATCCTGAGCCCAGGTCAGTGCAGCTGTGGCCCATTCTCTCCTCTTTGTGCTCAGTGGACAGACCTGGAGGAAACAGTAGGAGGTTCCCCTGCTCTCTGTCCCCAGGGTCCTTTCCTTTCAGTGGCACCAGCCCAGCCCTAGTGTCCATCCATCTGTGCCTGCCCAGTCAGGCCTCCATGCTGCCCCCTGTAATGGCCACAGGTCAAAAACTGATTGTCAGTCTTGAGCAGATTGTCCTGACTCTTTCTGCAAAACTGAGCCTCTCACCCAGCACCAGGACGTCACAAGCAAGGCCAGCTGTAGGAAGGCAAGTAGGGGAGTAACGTGCATCACAGAGTCTGGACAAGACAAAGTAGTTCTGCTGGGACACATCCTGGTGATGTTTCTCAGGATGGTTCAGGTCCCTGCAATTGCAGGCCCAGAGAACAGGACTGAAGGCTGGAAGATGTGCTCCCTTTCTCCTGTACACAAAACAGTGCCATGTGTGCATGTGAGTAAATGCATATGCCTGTGTGCTTGTGTGTGTGCACCTGTGTAAATGCATATGCCTGTATGTGAGAGTGTGTGTGTGTAAATGCATATGATGTGTGTGAGTGTGTGCATGTGTGTAAATGCATATGCCTGTGTGTGTGCATGTGTGTAAATGCATATGCTGTGTATGAGTGTGTGTGCATGTGTGTAAACGCATATGCCTGTGTGTGTGCATGTGCATGTGTGTAAATGCATACACTGTGTGTGAGTGTGTGTGCATGTGTGTAAATGCATATGCCTGTGTGCTGGTGTGTGTGCATGTGTGTAAATCCATATGCCTGTGTGTGAGTGTGTGTGCCTGTGTGTAAATGCATATACTGTGTGTTGGTGTGTGCATGTGTGTAAATGCATATGCCTGTGTGTGTGTATGCATGCGTGTAAATGCATATGACTGCGTGTGAGTGTGTGTGCATGTGTGCAAATACATATGCCTGTGTGCTGGTGAGTATGCATGTGTGTAAATGCATATGCCTGTGTGTGCATGTGTGTAAATGCATATACCTTGTGTGTGTGCACATGTGTAAATGCATATGCCTGTGTGTGAGAGAGTGTGTGTAAATGTGTGTGCTGTGTGTGAGTGTGTGCATGTGTGTAAATGCATATGCCTGTGTGCTGGTGTGTGCACATGTGTGTAAATGCATATGCTGTGTGCTGGTGTGTGTCCATGTGTGTAAATGCATATGCCTGTGTGTGAGTGTGTGCATGTATGTAAATGCATATGCTGTGTGTGTGTGTGCATGTGTGTAATGTATATGCCTGTGTGTGTGCATGTGTTTAAATGCATATGCTATGTGTGTGTGCATGTGTGTGTGAGTGTGTGTGCACTTGCATGTGTGTGTGCATGTGTGTAAATGCATATGCTGTGTGACTGTGTGTGCATGTGTGTAATGCATATGCCTGTGTGTGAGTGCATGTGCATGTGTGCACATGTGCATGTTAGTGTTGCCAGGGAGTGCTTCAAGTATCGAATGTCCCAAATTCACAACTTTTCTATTTTCCTCACTTACCTCCTCCCTGACACATGCTTCTCAGTTAAGTGAGTTCATATGCGCAAGGCCTACAAACAGGCAAGGCATGGGCCATAGTCAGTGCTGAGTCAGTGTCATCAAATATTGTTATGCTTATATAGAACCTTGTCCAGGGTGGGCCAAATGTATGCCCCTGTCTTGTCCTGACAGAGCAGCAGAAAGGGAGACTGAGACAAAACAATGGCCAGGGCCCTGGCAACACGGAGACACCTTCCCACTCCTGTGAGCTTCACAGACAACCCTGGGTATGGGATTCCTGTCATTCCTTTAAGATTGTTCAAATAAACAGTGACAATCACTCTCATATGATATATGAGAAGAAGAAGAATTCCATATAAACCAAACCCATGACGCCCACACTGAAGCCTGCCAAGTTCTCTCCAGTCGAGCCCAATGGAGGGAGCATTTTCATGGGGACTTTTGAGAGTATGGAGAAGACCTGAGGAAACCAGGCTCAGCTGTGGGCTCCAGAGGCAAAGCTCTGGGATGTCTCCCCATGGCCTAGACCCTTCGCCTGCCACCTCTTCTCACTCTTTGCACAGATGCTTCCCCCAGGCTAAGCCCCCACAGGACCCTAATCCTAGTCCTGACCCTGAGCTCAGCCCAGGTGATGCTTCAGGAGATGGGACCCTGAGAATAAGCCCTAAAGTCTCCTCAACCTGCAGGCTCTGTAGTCTCTTAAAGACTCAGGTACCTCCAGTAGAGTTGGCCATGAGACATCTGTCCCTCCAACTGCTCAGGAGCAGGCAACAGTGCAGAGAGAAACAGCAGCCCAGGCCAGGCCCTACACTCAAAGCAGCCCCCAATCCCCACAGATCCTCCAGCGCTAACCTGGGGTACAGGCCCCACCTCTGCAGGCTGAGGTGGGCTCCTCAGCATGGCTAGGCCATGACGGGGGATGGCAGTGTGTCCATGGGACACAGCCCTGCTGCCTGCCTGGCCCTCATGCCCCGTCCCTCCCCACCCTGGTTAAGCTCTGCCCCAAAGGGCCCAGGTTCATAACTCAGGACACCTGGATCGGCTCTTGGACTTGCCCCCACTGCTCTCTGTTCTCCTGAGCCACTTAGTTTCTTTTGGCCACAGTGTTACCTGCTGCGAAGTGAGGAGGCTTATACTGAACTGAAGAAGCACTTTTCTTCATTCAAAATTAAAAGATAGAAAAACAATGGAAGTCATGCGAATGGGGGGATGTCATTTAATGGGCTTCAGTGGGCTTCAGACATGGAATTTCTTGTCTTTCCTCTGCAGAGATTCCAAGAAAAGGACTCGAAAAGAGCTTGCTTTCTATATGGTGGGAACAGCAGCTGCCAGCTAAGAATAAGCAGGAGAGTCCCAGTTTCATCAGGAAAACAGACTAGGCTAGTATGGAAATCCTCCCTGCAGAAACTCTGAGAAGTGTGGAATGAAATAAACATAAACATGAAATTAATCTGCCAACGATGGTGATGTTAGCTCACAACTAAGCTGCAGTGCCAGAAACATGCGGTGATTGCAGTGAATCATAGCTGCTCTTACTGGGTGGGAGGTGCACCAGTTTGCTTCCTAAGTGCATAGAAAGCCTGGCACGCACGTCTCTCTGGACTTTGAAAGCTTGGCAGAAGAGCTTCAGTTGACTTACTCTAATTAGTCCTGACGGAACAAAACCACTAGAGTAGGGCATTTCAACCCTGAGACACTTCTGTAGCAATTGTTCCTGCCCCACATCCCTGCACTGCATGTGTGACCTCTCTGTGGTGGGCTGGGCAGGGCAGATTGGGCCACACTGGCACAGAATGGGGCTGGACTCTCTGGTCCTCAACTTCTGAGGTGACAGGTGCTGTGGGGTCACCTGGAAGGAAAAAGCTCCTGGGCTGAGTCTCCTCCACCAGTTGGGGGCAGCAGAGCTGCAGCCAGCAGCAGTGAGGAGAGAGGCTGGGGCTGCCCAGCCGGGGAAAAGAGGAAGGCCTGCCTGAGGTTCAACAGGTGTCCAAGAATCAGTCTTCAGACTGAAAGTGAAGACAGTTCATCCTATCCCCTCAGGCTGCAGTGACCACGCTCTGAGGGTCAGACTCATATAGTGTTACCCCAGGACACTGACAGAAGCCTGGCACAGTGAAGGCCTCACCTGGGAAATGCTGCTGGAAGAGGCTGGGCCCAGGTGTCAGCTTGGGCAGCTTCCTCAGGAAGGGGATTCCCTGGAAGAAGTCCCGAGGTCAAGGTGCTCTAGGAGGGGCACAGTGTGAGGTGACGGGGTTCCCAGGGCCTGGGTTCTTCACCCAGGATGGCTGCCTGAGCCTCCTGCCACTCTCAGGGCCTTGTCCTGCCCTGTCCAGCAGTGTCCTGGGGAGCTGAGCCCTCTGTCGTGGGCACTTCCAGATACACCCTGCCTACCCTCCCTCTGCCTTTCCTTCCAGCTCCAGGCAGACTCTGACTCAAGGGCAGCTCCTGTGCTTAGGGGAGTCTCAGGTGGGTGGCGTGAAGTATTTGGGGCCCTGGTCCCTGCATGGGGCATCACCAGCCTCATTGAGGAGACACTCTCCAGAGGGATGGGGATTCTCACCTGCCTCAGGCCACAGCTCTGACCCCGGACCTGTCCATGCTCAGTGACAGGACAATAACCAGGAACCTGGCTGGAGTAACCAGGGACCACCCATCCTCTGGAGCTCACATGCTGTGCAGAGACCATGACCCTGGGACCCTGGGACCCTGGGACCCTGGGACCCTGGGACCCTGGAACCGTGACAGAATCCATGGGGCCTAAAGTTAGATTCTCAGTCCACTATGGTTTTCTGCTGCTTTTTGCAAGTTTACATAAAACATTGATGAGAAAAACATAAATAAATAACAGACGAGCTGAGGGTGCCAATTGCTTATCTCTTGTGGCAATGAGGGAATGGTATAGAAGGAGCAGCACCATGGCTGAAATGAGACCAGAGGCCCTGTTGACTCCACAGGGGTGTGTGGTTGCTTAAATGACCCAACTATTCCCACTGAATAATCAGCAAGTGTCCCAATGACACAGCACAGCATTTAGATGAAATGAACAAGAGGGGACTGAGTCTGAGGGACCAGGGGGAGGAAGATCATGGGTCCCTGGGCCACCTGCTGCTGAGTCAGGTGTCAGCATGATCTCTCGGCAGGGCCCAGCTCAGCCCCATGGCCAAACTCCTGGAAGGTCCACAGCTCTGCTGAGCCTGGCCCAGGACAGACCCCAGGTCAACGAGGTTTGGGACAGTGGTCATGAAGTCAATTCCCAAGAAGGTGACTGCGATCACAGGGCTTCAAGGCTGCAGCTGATTTTCTAACCAGAGATCCTGCTTCTTCTTCTTCCTCTTGTCGCCTGTGCTGCCCCCACAGCTGGTTTGGGTGACATCTCTCCAGGAGGAGTCCCAGAGGAAGTAAATTTGCATAAACACCAAACACTGACTACCCTAAAAAGCCTGAGAGAGAATAAGAGAGGCCTGGGGAGCCTAGCTGTGCTGTGGGTCCAGGAGGCAGAACTCTGGGTGTCTCACCATGGCCTGGATCCCTCTACTTCTCCCCCTCCTCACTCTCTGCACAGGTGCTGTCCCCAGGCCCTGCTCCAGGCCCTGCTCCAGTCTTATTCCCCACAGATCCCAAGTTGAGCCTGCCCTGAATCCCGAGCAAAGCCCAGACACAGCCTCTGGGTGCGACTCCTGGGAATGGGTCCTTTGTCTTCAAGCCCCCTCTCTTGTTCTTCCTTGCAGGCTCTGAGGCCTCCTATGAGCTGACACAGCCACCCTCGGTGTCAGTGTCCCCAGGACAGACGGCCAGGATCACCTGCTCTGGAGATGCATTGCCAAAGCAATATGCTTATTGGTACCAGCAGAAGCCAGGCCAGGCCCCTGTGCTGGTGATATATAAAGACAGTGAGAGGCCCTCAGGGATCCCTGAGCGATTCTCTGGCTCCAGCTCAGGGACAACAGTCACGTTGACCATCAGTGGAGTCCAGGCAGAAGACGAGGCTGACTATTACTGTCAATCAGCAGACAGCAGTGGTACTTATCCCACAGTGACACAAGCAGACAGGGAAGTGAGACATAAACCCCTCCCCCTCTATTTCATCCTCTTCCTCCTGCCCCAGGAGGACTGTGGACAAAGCCATGAGTAGGCTTGGCCAAATTCACCCAAATCTGAACCCCCAGGCTGCCCTTCCCTCCAGCCCTCCAGGCAGGCACTGCAGAGTAGTCAGTCTGGAGTGGATTTGTGCCTGGCAGGCCAGGCTGTCCTGTGTTTCTTTGCCTGGGGTTTGAGTTGTCGATGGAGGGTCTGACTGGAAAGACAGACACAGGGAGACATCCATGCAGGCATGTCCAAAGGGACATGGGGAACTCTCAGGTCTCAGTTGAATGCAGTCATTGTTGTATCCTCTGGGAAAGCATTCCTCTAGTGCATCTAAGACCTCCAGACCCACAGAGCCTGAGATCAGGAGGAGAGAATGTTAAATTTTTGCTAATGGACCACTGAAGACATTTTTGAGTGGAGCCACTACAATTTACTCCTTGATTCTGGACTCATGGATCCTGACTGTGGGAGAAACAGCACCATCTATTGGGCACTGATGCACAGAACATGCCCTATCCTGGAAGACATTGTCCAGCCCTACACATACTTGCCACTTGCCTGGTGCAGTAATGGTGTCTCCAAGCAGTCATTAAACCATTCATATAAGCCATATGTCTCAGAATGTTTGGGACAAGAGTAAGAATCTTGATTGCCAGAAGAAAAGGCCCATAGCCCTTTATTTGCAGTGAAATGAATTCCTTGGTCAGAACCTCCTGTGGAATACCATCATGATGGGTGCGTCATTCTGTAATCCAGAGACAACAGTTTTGGCAGAAGCATTGCTGTCAATGAAAGCAAATCCTCTGTAGAATAAATGTCAATTCTAGTAAGAAAAAAGAGCTATTCCTGCCATGATGGAAGAGTGCAAACGAAATTAATATTAAGCAGGCCCCTGGCTGTTTTCCACAGAGAAAGTCATCCTATAGGGATCTCTGTGTTAGTCTCTGCTGTTGGCAGATGGTCACTCAGCAGTGGCTACAGCCAGGCCAGCTCCAGTTAGTGGAAATCGACATTGATGAGCCCATGGACAGCCTCCATCCCTGCCACCATGGGCGCTTTTTTTTATGGAGCCCACTGGGCATTGACAAGAGTGGTTGAGGGAGGCTGCCTGATGTCCACAGAACAAGTCACCCTACTCACCTGATTAGCAAAATCACTTCATTTTCACAGAAGACTTGGTGAGTATTGACATATGGAAAAAATTCTCTTACTTTCTGCCCACCGGAGGAGGTCTATTCACACATCTCTCCCCCTGACGTATTTGTGATCAATATTCTCATTGTGTCTCTCTCAAGTCCCTGAACATCCTTGAGCATCTTTCAAGACCCTGAGTCACAACCTGTGAATTAGGAACCTCTGCCCATCTCTTGGCAGGTGACATGAGCCAATTGCACTGCTTAAAATTCTACTTTAATGAGAATGTTCCTCCAACACTGCTGTTCAGGGATTCTCAGAGGCCAGGTGGAGTACTAGCACTGTCCACACCAGTAGTGGCTGCATGTCCTGCAGAAAACTCTGTAACCCCAGCCTAAGTGCCTCCTCCTAGGCAGCTGATCTCAGGGAGCCCCTCAGGACGTCAAGGCTGTAGGTTGAGAGGAAGACATGGTGCAGGGCTCCGGTCATGTCTATTTGGCCAACTCTTCATGAAACTTACTTGGGCCTCGTGACCTAGTCCCTCAAGTCACAAATACATCCCTGCCATGTGATTGAGGAGCTGCTGGAAATGGCCAACCGGGACTGTGGTTCAGACCAAACCTAGCATACTGGCAACTTGGGTCACATGGTGAGCTGTGTGGCCACAATCACACAGAGCCTCTGCTGAGGCCCAGGAGCCTTCACAGTCTTTCTCAAATGGAGCTTTCTGCTCATTCAAAAAAATAAGTAGAGGGAGGCTGGGACCCCAGGACCACTTAGACCACGCACATGATCTTGTCTGATTATTCTGAATCCTTGCATGCTCAGCTATGCATTATGGTAACCAAGCCACAGTGTCTTTGGCAATAAAATGCCACTACTTGGCCCCCACCTACCCTGGGATCCCCTCAACCACATCTTGCTACCCAAAACAGGTTTCACCTCCACTGAGAGAAATTTATTTTTATATTGAGAAGATGAAAGATTAATTATTTCAATTGTGAAAATTTTATAGGACAGTAATGTGAAAATATTTTAAAAGACACTTTACGAAGAGTGAAAGACCTTCCATTAAACCACTCAATATATGACACTGTAATTGGCCTACCCAAACCCTAAGTTCAGCTCCGGGTTGGGACCTTCTGGGAATGGACCCTTCATCCTCACGCCCTCCTCTCCTCTCCTCTCCTCTCCTCTCCTCTCCTCTCCTCTCCTCTCCTCTCCTCTCCTCTCCTCTTCTGTCAGCCCTGTGCCTCCTATGTGCAGAGACAGCTGGTCTCAGTGTTGGTGGCCCTGGGACTGACAATCATGAGCACATACTCTGGAGATAACCTTGAGATAAACATGCATTAAGGAACCAGCAGAATCCAGGCCAGTCCATGGTGCTGGTCATCTAGTATAACAGCAACTGACCCTCAGGGACATCTGCCCAATTCTTAGGCTTCAACTCAGGGAACATGGCCACCATGACCATTAATGGAGCCCAAGCCCGGGAAGAGACTGACTATTGCTGAACTGCAGATAATAACAGTGGGAGCAGCTGGCAGGGACTCATAGTAACACAGAGAGACAGGGACTAGCCACAGAACTGTCCCATCTCGGCCTGGCTCTCATTCTCAGCTGCCCTGTGAGCAGCTGAAGGTCAGGCCTCAGGGTCAGGCGTCCTCTCTGGTCTTAACCTGGCCCCTGCAGGGCTGGTGATTCTGAGCAGCTTCTCCATCCTCTCAGGGCCTGCATGTGTCCAGTGAGAAGTGAGTGGACAGGGGGAAGCTGGTTGGAGCTGCAGGAACCTCTGTCAGGTTTGTGGTGTACATGAAAGGTTTAGGAATCCACACAACATCACATGGCCCCAGATGTAATCACACATCACACAGGGGAGGAAAGAGCTGTCGCAGAGGGTACAGTCCTGTGGAATTTCTCTTTTCCTTGGGTATAAGCAGCTTAGTGGAAGCTCCAGAGGCTGTGTCTCCTCTGGTTTCCAGATGAGTTCAGTTGACCTCCGCATTCTAAAGGGGTGCCTGAGGCCTGAGGAGGACTGGAGACCCAGCCCCTTTTGGCCCCAGGGCCCTTTCTGTGCTGACATTTCACAGAAACTGAAGAGGAAGAACAGACACTACCTTTCATCCCACCTGGGGACTGTCTTTGGGGCACGCTGAACTCCCATGGCCCCCAAAGTCCCATCACCTTCCCCAGGTAGGTCAGACCTGACTGGATGTCCCTCTAGTGCCCTGATAGTGTGGATTTTATCTTTGGGCTCTGGGCTGCTTTCTGAGGAGCTCACTAAGAACCCTTGATGCCAAGTCCAGGACCTGCCCCTCTGCTCCATGTCCCAGGGGCTGCAAGCATGACGGGAAGGTCCTGCTGGGTGAGGATGGTGCCCTTTTCCAGAAGAGATGTCTGATTCCAGTCTCTAGGGCCAGGTTTGTTGGGCTTTTTTTCTCACTTGGAAGGTCTCAGTCTGCTTATTACCTTCTTTAAAAGTACAATTGGTTTAATCGTGAAATCATGTGCATGCACTAAAGTTTACAGACTATGGTCATCAGCACATATGTACACTCTTTCTGGATGGGACAACTGTGGACACGGCCATACTGGGGTCTCTGTCTCTCTCATTATCACAAGGGAGGATACCAACAGCTCTCTCCTATGCAGACCGTAGTCATGTTTCCCAATTGCACAAGAATGTCTCTTACAGTTGTTTAATTTCCTTCCCAGCCAGGACGCTTAAGTTTCCCATGCTGATACTTGGTTGCTATTTCTCTCTGATCCAACATTTTTCAAACAGTATTGCTTGCAACCCAAGGCTTATGAAACACTTTACCAAAAGTTCCACAAGAAAAGCTCAAGTTTCTCATGCACCGTTGGACCAGGTTCATTGCGTGCAGTAGGACCTTGCTCAAGTGATGAGTCCATTTGATGTTTTCACCATCAAGGTGAAGGGTATTATGACTTTTGGGCACTGAGTTGATAGAAGGAAGACAGCAGCTGATGATGGCCCTGCCCACCGATGTGTGTGTGTGGGCAGGACCTATCGATGGATTTAGAAGTTGAGGGAACTGTTTATTCTGCAGATGGAATTTCCAGCACTGAATCTCCACCAACCAGACACTAGCACTCAGCAGGTGCTCTGTAAGAAGAAGCCCTTCACTGCCAATCACGGCCATTACACAGGTGAAGGAGAGGATGATTTTTAACAGCCATTGACCCTCACAGTAAACTGAGGTCAAAACTCTGGTACACAAAGTGACTTTGAGAGAACAGGCTGAGGAAGCAGGTTAATTAGTAGCAGAAGGCTTTGCCGAGAGCAGGAACAAAACAGGGTTGGTGAGGAACTAGTGATGCCATGGTGTGGAAGGAACAAGGCCTGTACCAGGAGCAGGAAGGGGCATGGGAAAGACCACACTGCCACATGTGATGAGTCAGCACATGGAAGGCACAGCAAATGTTGCACAAAGGTTTTTGTGTAATAACCTGGCAAACAGCTGCTTCTCTATCAAGATTGATGAGTCAAAAAATGTTACTGATGCATTGCTGTCACATGTGAAGGTGTGTGAAGAATGGTGACATTCAAGGAAACCTGTTCTCTGCAGACACCTACCCACCAGTACAGCAGACACCCCAGCTATGCCAAGGGCTTTGTCTTCCTCTGGGGTAAGAGCCTGGGAACAACAAGTTGGCCCCTGAAAGGGGTGCCCCATCATGCGCTCTTCATGGCTGAGTTAAGTGGGGAGCTCCCAGAGAACTTTCCAGTAAATGGTCAATCTGTTTGTTCTGGGTGCATTGAGCATGACCCAGGATCAATGGAAGTGACAGAAGCTTAATTTCCCCAAGGCTGCAAGGCGGGCACTGGGAGGACGGCTGAAGCAGTTTAGCCACCACCCCCTAGTGGCTCCAGCCCCAGGTAAGCAGGGACAGTTGAAGGGCCTGCCTGAGCCCACCTGTGTCTAATTAGTTCCAGCATCAGCAGCTGCATCCTGTAGACCACCAAGGAGTGTGTGTGCCCAGCCCCTCACAGATCACCTGAGCATAAACAGGAAATTCTCCTTCTTACACCTGACTGCACCACACATCTGCCCCTTGCTCTTCATTTACAAGACGCTATCACATCAGACACGGACTGATCTGAGTCCCGGGTTCCCTCAGGTTTCTGCTGTCCTCTCAGATCCCCACACACAAAAGACTCTTCACCACAGGGCGTTGAGCCAGCTCTTCCCCAACACTGCCTCTTACAGGTTACTCTTCTCCAATATGATGCGGGTTTGATTTCAGTGTTTCTACATATATACTTTTGTATTTTATTGGGTAAGCTGAGCCCCTTGTACCTGATCTTGAGTCAGGCAGGGGCCACACAGAGAAGAGGTGTTCCTCCCCTGGGACCAGCAGTCCTCGGATCAGGGCATCAGGGACCTGAACAGCAGGTTCTGAATCCACACCTAGACCCAGGAAGTCCCTGAGCCCCCAGCCCACAGTGTGGAGCGGCCACCAGGGGGAAGCAGAGAGTTACCTGGCAAAGCCACCTGGCGATGGGGCGGGCCTGGGTGACAGGGAGACGCTGACATGCAGCAGGAGCCAGTGACCATGATCTCACACCTGGAATGAAAGGGTCTTTATTTTCATAGAGTATTGTCCTTGTGTACTTGACACTCATGTAGAAATTCTAGAATAGGATTTTACCTTCAGCTCTTGCAGATGCTGCCTCTTTCTCTGCCACAGCTCCAGGCACTTGACTTCTCACAGTGCCCTCTCCTCACACACCCAGTTGTGCTAAAATGGTGTCCCTGCCATGTGCAGTGTCCTCCCTGAGGTCACAGGTGTCCCCTTTATCTCCCCTTTGCTCTGGGAGCCCCTGTCCTGCAGACACAGTGGCTTCTCCTTTCCTGGCTGCTCCTCCACTTTCATTGTCCCTGGTCTTTCCGGACTCTCTCCTGGGGAAGCTGCCAAATCATGGCTCTTGATTTCCTGGTGAGTCACAAAATAGTTGCTCATTAACCTTTAGTTGACTTAAGTTCTTAATCATTGATACATTTTCCCCAACAACTGACGACAACTTAGTTATAATAAACATTCACTTCTGGGGGTCTTGGAGTTTGCAGCCCCCTCTCATTCTCTCATGGAGCAAACATTTCCTTCGCCTTCTCATCTGTCTCTGATCCTGACAGCATCCTGGAGATACTGAGGCACAGCAGCTATGACCTACCCAGGAGCTTGCAGCCAAGGCAGAAACTTCCATCACCTCATGGATCTTCCAGCACTCTGTGTGCACTTGACAAATAAGAAATTCCATTGTCCTCTACCACTCAGGAGCTGTGCCCTGCGGTGGGACCTGCACCTTTCCAAGGTGTGTGTTATCATCTGCACAGTGGAGATGAAGAGGGAACCTGCATTGGGTTCTGGAAAGTAACATCTAAAAATATATTTAGACCTGCAACAGAAATCTCCTCTCTAACATAAAATATTTATGATCAGGACACACTGAGAGGCCTAGACCAAAATTAAGCACTGCCCTCCTGAGCCAGGATAGAATGGAGGAGGGGACTGGGGACCCCAGATAATTCCACAGTTACCAGCATGACTCTATGATCACCTCCTGGACCAGATCAAAGATCATCCCATATGAAGGACTTCATATTCCTTAGGAAATACAAAGTCACCTCTGAGCTCTGCTGTGACCAAGTGAGCCCAGGAATGAGGCTGAGCACAGTGTGATGTGGAGATGTCTGCAGAGAATATGGAATCAATTGATAAAGGAGATCCTGTGGGCAAAGGGTGGGAGGGCAAGGCCACCCCTAACCTCTTTGGGTCCCTTGGGGCTGAGTCCTTCTGGAAACCACAAAGCTCCTCCAGCAGCAGCCCCTGACTCTGCTGATTGGCATCACGGGCTGTTCTCTCCAACAAGGGGTTAAGAGAGACCTGGGAGGAGCCTGCCCAGCCTCAGACTTGAGAAGCAGCATTGGAGGCACTTCAGCCATGGCCTGGCCCCTCTTTTCCTTGGTCTCCTGACTCACTGCCCAGGTGCTGCCCCCAGGGTCTCACCCACCTGCCCAGCCCCAGGCCTCCAGGTTCAGCCTGGCCATCAGTCTGAGCTCAGCAGGGCCCTGTGTGTGGTGGGCAGGATGCTCGTGACCCTGCTGCAGGGGGAGGGGCTGGTTGGGCTGAAATGCCCCCACTCTGTGCTCCTGTGCTCATGGGTGCCCTGAGAGCTCTTTTATTCCTGGGGCTCACTCCAGCCCTGGCAAGTAGCAAGATATCCTGGGGTTGAGCCTCTCAGTTTCAAATTTTTTATCTCCCCTTTCCTTCTTGCAGGCTCTGTCACCTCCTGTGAGCTGACACAGCCACCCTCAGTGTCAGTAGCTCCAGGACAGATGACTAGGATCACCTGTAGGGAAAACAGTATTGGAAGTAAAAGTGCTTAATGGTACCAGCAGAAGCCAGGACAGGCCCCTGTGTGGGTCATCTATGGGGATAGCAGGCGGCCTTCAGGGATCTCTGAGATTCTCTGGCTCAAACTCAGGGAACAGGACCACCCTGGCCATCAACAGGGCCCAGGCTGGGGACGAGGCTATTACTGTAAGATGTGGGACATTAGGACTCCTCATCCCACAGTGACAGAGGTAGATGGGGAAGTGAGACACAAACCCCTTCCCCATACGTGTCACTCTTGTCCTCCAGCCCAGGAAGACTGTGGACAAAGCCATGAGCATGGGTTTCCCAATTCACCTGGATCTGAGACCCCCCAGGCTGCCCTTTCCACAGGCCCTCCAGGCAGGCTCTGCAGAGGGGACATCAAGACTGAATTTAGGGCAGAGGTGACCAGGATATATTGAGGTTTGGGGGACTCAGTTGTGATTTGGGGAAATGGGGCCAGAATGGAAGGTCAGGCCAAGGTCAACATCCTTAGTTGGTCTCTGGATTTCCATAGGGGGTGAAGGCCAGTCCTTGGGCTGAATATCCTGAGTCAGTTTCCAGAACTGCCCAGCTCAGGCTCCCATGGCATCCTGCCATTCTCTGAAAAGGGCCCTGGCATGCCAGGTGCTCTGGGTTCTGAGGGAGAGTTGGAATCAGATCCTCCTGCAGGAATCCAGGGTCAGGAGAAGCAGCCTCACCTGACACAGGGACCACAGATGCACCCCCACAGGGTGAGCTGCAGGATGGATGCTGCTCATCTCCAATCCTCACATCCTATGCAAAAAATCATTCTTTTCACCCCTCCTTCAGTGTATCAAAGTTGACACTTAAAAAGCCTTAAGAGCCCACTCTTGTCAACAGAAAACCCATTCACATCTCCATCAGCCACACAATCTCCACAGAATGATTCTTCAAAAAACGATAACAGTAGACATGAAAAGGTATCTAAAATGTTACATAAATAATTGAACTTAGATTACATATGAAAATGATACTATTTTTGGTATGCTAGGTAAATAAAATATATTATTTGGACTCCTTTACTTTCTTCTCTTTGTATTTCTAATGTGGTGACTAGACATTGGGATTCCAATGAGGCTCACATCATATTGTGATTGAACAGTGCTGGTCTGCACCTCTTCAGGTAACAGGGGCTGTGGAGTGACCTGGTGCAGGAAGCCCCATCTCCAATCATAGGACATCAGTGTGAACCCAGGGAGAGGCACTGGTGCAAGAGAAATGAGAACAGGAGTGTGGACCATCTGCTTGTACAGGGGACTGAGCCCTCACTTTGAGCCAAATAAACTTTTTTTCTATTTTCAATTCTGAAGAAGAAGACTTTCCTGGACTTCTTTCCGTTTTCAGATTTGTGCCCCTTCAGGTTTGGCCTGTCTGGATCCCAGCCAGGGGACACCGAGGAAATCCAGGAGTCTCACACTGACTCTGTTGTATTTCATCTGCTGGGGTCATCCCAAACTGCTGCGTATCGTTTCCTTTCCTGGTGCTCAAATAGCTGCTCCATGCACTTGTCACGGTTTCATAGCTCAGTCTAGGTGGGAAGACAGGATAGTGTATGTTATAATATTTAAATGGAACCTGAATCCATTCATTGTTTTTGTTTTTTTGTGTTTTTGTTTGTTTTTGTTTTGTTTCGTTTTTGAGAGAGAGAGAGAGTCTTGCTCTGTCGCCCAGGCTGGAGTGCAATGGTATGATCTCGGCTCACTGCAACCTCTACCTCCCAGGTTCAAGCGATTCTCCTGCCTCAGCCTCCTGGGCAGCTGGGATTACAGGCCCCCGCCACCACATCCAGCTAGTTTTTGTATTTTAGTAGAGATGAAGTTTCACCATTTTGGTCAGGCTGGTCTCAAACTCTTGACCTCAGGTGACCCACCTGTCTTAGCCTCCTAAAGTGCTGGGATTATAAAGGTGAGCCACCACGCCCGACCCAATAGTTTTTTTAAAATATGAAATGTTAAAAGAGTTTTGTCATAGGCATTGGGAAAGGTGAAAATAGATTAAAAACATTTTAAGAAAAAAACCAAAAATGTACTTGTAGACTGTCTGTGTGTCTTCAGTGTTGCAGGGTTCAGAGAGGTCAGTTTTATGGTTCACTAAGGAGGGGCTAAGATGGAGGAAACCAAGAAAGCCAAAAACACACATCTCTGCCACTCAAAACATAAATCAAAGTAAAATGGAAAAAATCTTTCAATAAATCATTCCCAATAAATATCACTCTGGTGCACATAGAAAGGCCTGTTAGCAAACTTTCCCTTTCCCCTGCTGGCTCATATCCCCATGGATCACCTGTGTGCAGAGTGGACTCTGTGGTCCCCATTTCTCAGGCTGAGAACCAGAGACTGGGAAGGACAAGTCACCTGCTCATGAGTGGGAAGGGCAGGATTGGGAGCAGCTGGCTTGGGTTCAGGACTGTGGCCCTGGTCGGTGCTCTGTGTCCCTCCAGAGGGTCCCTCCCACATGTGCCCCGTGTGGATGTGGGTGCACTGCCTGGGGTGGCTGATGTGCTCCAGGGATTCGATGGTGCAGATGCTTCAGCACAAAACGTGGAGGTGGGGATGGGATGAGGCTGCAGCTGGGGAGACCAGAGACCAGCGCCACCCAGCAGAGGTTTCCACGGGGTGGGCAGCCCCATTTCCTGACAGTAGAGACAGGCTGGAGGTGGGTGCCAAGCAGAGGGCGCTGTGGGGTATGCCCAGGCCTAGAGAGTCACAGAGACACAGGCACTACACAGCAGAGGCACTGAGGGCCAGGAGCTCACTCAGGTGAGAGACTTCAGCAGATCCTTCTCTCCTGAGCAAATCAGGTACAAAAAAAATTAAGTTCCTGCCATCAGCATGCACAAACAAGAACATTCATCTCTTCAGCTGAGCCCTGCTGTCCAGGGAAGCAAAAGTCTCTGAGCCCAGGCCCACGTGAGGGTGGGGTGAGGAGAGGAGCCCAGGATGCTGATTTTCATGGAGGCCCCGCCCTCCTCTGAGGCAAAGGGGATAAGACAGGGCTGGGGCAGGGCCAGTGCTGGGGTCACAAGAGGCAGCGCTCTCGGGACGTCTCCACCATGGCCTGGGCTCTGCTGCTCCTCACTCTCCTCACTCAGGACACAGGTGACGCCTCCAGGGAAGGGGTCTTGGGGACCTCTGGGCTGATCCTTGGTCTCCTGCTCCTCAGGCTCACCGGGGCCCAGCACTGACTCACTGGCATGTGTTTCTCCCTCTTTCCAGGGTCCTGGGCCCAGTCTGCCCTGACTCAGCCTGCCTCCGTGTCTGGGTCTCCTGGACAGTCGATCACCATCTCCTGCACTGGAACCAGCAGTGATGTTGGGAGTTATAACCTTGTCTCCTGGTACCAACAGCACCCAGGCAAAGCCCCCAAACTCATGATTTATGAGGGCAGTAAGCGGCCCTCAGGGGTTTCTAATCGCTTCTCTGGCTCCAAGTCTGGCAACACGGCCTCCCTGACAATCTCTGGGCTCCAGGCTGAGGACGAGGCTGATTATTACTGCTGCTCATATGCAGGTAGTAGCACTTTCCACAGTGGTCCAAGTTCATGGGGAACTGAGACCAAAACCTGCCCAGGGCCTTCAGACTTCCTCCTTGCTCTGAAGATGCTTCCTCACCCGGTGCAAGAGGCTTGCTGCAGCGCGGCCTTGAGAATTCTTCTCTCTCAGCTCCTTCCCTTTCCACCATGAATTCCAACAGGAAACCTGCCCTGTGGTTTCCCATCCAGGACAGGGACAGCTTCCTGATGCTTGTGTGCTGTGGTCCCTGAATGTGCAACTCTTCCCAGCTCTTCAAATGCAGGGACAGTGACAAGGAGCTGCCTGATTGGTGCAGTCACTGCTTTTTTCAGGGATGTCTTCACCCTACATGTATCATCATCCCCTACACTGTGGGTAGAATTTTAGCAACTACATTCTAATGGTTATCGCCACAACTTTGATCTTAGAAATAACAGTGCAGTGAACATCCCTATGCAGGCTCCTTTGAGTTCCTGTGTGAATACGACCATAGGATTCATTTCTAAAAGTGAAATTGCGGGTCAGAAAGATGTGTGTTTGTGATTTTCACCCAATGTTGTCAGATTCCCCTCCAGAGGGATTGTACCAATTTTCAATGCCAGCTGGAAGTACTTGTTCAGAGTACATTGTTGAATGTGGAAATTTTTGCCAACGTATCAGAGTGAAAAATGGTACCTTGTTACAGTTTTATTTTTCAGTCTCCCGTTCTGCTTAAGGTTGGGCCTTTTCACAAATAGTTCAGTACTCTTCATTTTTCATGATTTGGTAAACTTTATAAAAAATATCCAGATAAGAAGAATTTTAGTCTTTGTGGCCAGACACGGTGGCTCATGCCTGTAATCCCAGCATTTTGGAAGACTAAGACGGGTGAATCGCTTGATCCCAGGAGTTTGGGATTAGCCTGGGCCACACAGTGAACCCTCATCTCAATTAAATTAAAGAAAATAAAAATAATTTTTAAAAAAATCCTTTGTGGTCCAAGGATCAACTTTGGGGATATTACCTATGGACTTATATCACCATTTACAATGCAAACATTTAAAATGATAACAACTACTGTCAGCTGCAGAACTAATTTGACTCCATCAAAAAAAAAAAAGCTAAAAGATTATAATTCTGCATTTCCACATGTTCTGGTGGTCAGAGACCACTTCCTTGACAAGCAGTGAGTACGGGGATCTGAAGGGTAGTTAGCATTTAGGCAGGTATTGGGTGAAGAATAGGGATATACACAAGAAACTTTCAAAGAGAAAAACACATGGAAGTTGGAACACAGAAGAGAACATAATATGTCTGAGAAATAAGGAAAGTCCAGACTCACTGGAGCTGAGTGAGAACAAGAAAAATGGCATAAGCCATGTATTTCTCTCTGGATATCTCATTAAAATATTGTCTCCTCCCCAACACACCACCCATGTGAATTATAAAAATGCCCGTTTTAAATTTTTGTTTGCATGTCGTGACAGAGTCAAGCACGTGAATCAAGCTGAGTTTGATGAGTCCAGGGCTGTTAAGCCCCAGACCCAGGTGGCCTCAGAAGGACTTGGTGGAACGAGGGCTTGTTGTCAAAAGCAGAGGAAGTGAGATTTTCCATTGTGGCTGAGACCAGTTTCTTAAATTCCAGTGGACACACAAGGCCCCTTAAGGATCGGTTAAGATGCAGATGCAGCCTCAGCAGTTCTGGATGTGGCCCCAAATTCTCTGTGTCTGGCAACTCCCAGGTGAGGCTGCTGCTGCTGGTCCTCCCAGGACCACACTTTGAGTGGCTGAACTCTTATTCACCCACCTCACTCAAGCCACGGGTGAGACTCACACAAGGAGAGCATATTCTAGAAGCACAGGTCACTTCTCACTCCTCCCCTTGTGTCTTAGATCCTTTTCTGTTACTATAAAGAAGTACCCAAGGCTGGGTAATTTATACAGAAAATAAAAGTTTTATTTGGCAGACAGTTCCAATGGCTGCAGAGTTCAAAATGTGGCATCTGCTCTTGTTGAAGACCTCAGGCTGCTTCCTGTCATGGTGAAAGGTGAAGGGGAGCCAGTGTGTGCAGATGTCAATGGGGGAGAGGAAGCAAGAGAGAAGACAAAGATGCCAGGCTCTTTTTAATAACCAGCTCTTTCGGAAACAGGGGAATTCACTCACCCCAAGTGAGGGCATTAATCTATTCATGAGAGATCCACTCCCATCACCCTAAAAGCTCCCATTAGTTCCCACCTCCAATACTGGGGATCCAATTTCAACATAAGATTTGGAGGTGACAAAGATCAAAGCCATAGCACCCTGAGGTTTGGCCACACACTTGCTCATCTCCACATTTGTCCCTCCCCTCAGGACTAGGGTCCTGACTGCTCTGACTTAGTCTCCCTCCACCTTATGGGCACCTGGCAGTCGGTCATCATCAGCTTTGCTGAATCAGCAGCAACATTGAGGGTAAAAATTGTGTCTCCTGGTTCCACCAGAAATAAAGTAGAGCCCCACACAGCTGAGGTGTGGGGTCAAAAATTAAAACTAAGAGACATAAGACTCATTCTCAGGCTCCAAGTCTGGCCAGTGAGCTTCTTTGAGACTCCCTGGGATCCCAGCAGTGACACTGATCACTATTGCTGTCCCACACATCCCAAGTGATGAGGAAGTAAGACCAAAACCCTCCTGAGATTCCTGGCTTGTGTCCTGACACTGGGGCTGTTGGGATTCCTGTCTTTCCTTCAAGATTGTTCAAATAAGCACCGACAATCACTTCCATGTGAGATATGAGGAGAGAATAATTCCACATGAACCAAATCCACGAAGCCTACACTGAAGCCTGCCAAGTTCTCTGCAGTCCAGCACGATGAAGGGAGCATTTTCATGGGAACTTTTGGGAATATGAGGGGAGCCAGGCTCAGCTATGGGTTCCAGAGACAAAGCTCCTGGATGTTTCCCCCTGGCCTTGGTCCATCACCTGCTACCTCTCCTCACTCTTTCCACAGATGCTGCCCCAGGTTAAGCCCCCACAGGACTCTAAGCCTATTCCTGACCCTGAGCTCAGCCCAAGTGATGCTTCAGGAGATGGGATCCTGAGAATGAGCGCCAACGTCTCTTTAACCTGAGGTGTGAGGTCATGAGACACCTGTTGGCCATAAGACACCTGTCCCCCACCTGCTCAGGAGACAGTGGAGCAGGCAACAGTGCAGAGAGAACCAGCAGGAGCCAGGCCAGGCCCTGCATCCAAAGCAGGCCCCAATCCCACAGATTCTCCAGCTCCAGCCTGGGGTACAGCCCCAACTTTCTGTAGGCTGAAATGGGCTTCTCAGGATGGGCAGGCCATGATGGGGGATGGCAGTGTGTCCACAGGACACAGCCCTGCTGCCTGCCTGGCCCTCATGCCCACTCCTTCCCCACCCTGGTTAATCTCCACCCAAAAGGGCCCAGGCTCAGAACTCAGGACACCTGGATCAGCTCCTGGACTTGCCCCCACTGCTTTCTGTTCCCCTGAGCCACTTAGTCTCTTTTGGCCTCAGTGTTACCTGCTGTGAAGTGAGGAGGCTTATACTGAACTGAGGAAGCTCTTTTCTTCATTCAAAATTAAAAGACAGAAACAATAAAGTCATGTGAATTAAAGCCTTCTAAGGGGATGTCATTTAATGGGCTCCAATGGGCTTCAGACATGGAACTTCTTGTCTTTCCTCTGCAGAGATTCCAAGAAAGGGACTCAAAAGGGCTTGCTTTCTGTATGATGGGAACAGTGATCTCCAGCTGAGTATAAGCAGGAGAGTCCTAGTTTCATCAGCAAGACAGACAAGGCTAGGGTAGAAATCCTCCTGGCACAAGCTCTGAGAGGTGTGGAATGAAATAAAGATAAACATGAAATTAATGTGCCTATGATGGTGATGTTAGCTCACAACTAAGCTGCAGAACCAGAAACCTGGTGATTGCAGTGAATCATAGCTGCTCTTACTGGGTGGGAGGTGCACCAGTTTGCTTCCTAAGTGCATAGAAAGCCTGGGTCCCTGTAGGATGGCATGCACATCTCTCTGGACTTTGAAAGTGTTGCAGAAGAGCTTCAGTTGACTCACTCTAATTAGACCTGACTGAACAAAACCATTAGAGGAGGGCATTTCAACCCTGAGACACTTCTATAGCAATTGCACCTGCCCCACCCCACTGAACTGCGTGTGTTACCTCTCTGTGCTGGGCTGGGCAGGGCAGATTGGGTCACACTGGCACAGAATGGGGCTGGACTCTCTGGTCCTCAACTTCTGAGGTGACAGGTGCTGTGGGGTCACCTGGAAGAAGAAAGCTCCTGGGCTGAGTCTCCTCCACCAGTTGGGGGCAGCAGAGCTGCAGCCAGGAGCAGTGAGGAGAGAGGCTGGGGCTGCCCAGCTGGGGCGAAGAGGAAGGCCAGCCTGGGGTTCAACAGGTGTCCAAGAGTCAGTCTTCAGACTGAAAATGAAGACAGTTCATCCTATCCCCTCGGGCTGCAGTGACCACGTTCTGAGGGTCAGATTCATACAGTGTCACCCAAGGACACCGACAGAAGCCCGGCACAGTGAAGGCCTCACCTGGGAAATGCAACTAGAAGAGGCTGGGCCCAGGTGTCAGCTTGGGCAGCTTCCTTAGGAAGGGGATTCCCTGGGAGAAGTCCTGAGGCCGAGGTGCTCTAGGAGGGGCACAATGTGAGGTGACAGGGCTCCCAGGGCCCAGGTTCTTCACCCAGGATGGCGGCCTGAGCCTCCTGCCACTCTCAGGGCCTTGTCCCTCCCTGTCCAGCAGTGTCCTGGGGAGCTGAGCCCTCTATCGTGGGCACTTCCAGATACACCCGACCCCTCCTGCCTCTGCCTTTCCTTCCAGCTCCAGGTGGACTCTGACTCAGGACGCAGCTCCTGTGCTCAGGGGAGATTCAGGTGGGTGGCGTGAAGCATTTTGGGGCCCTGGTCCCTGCATGAGGCATCACCAGCCTCCTTCAGGAGATGCTGTCCAGAGGAACAGGGCTTCTCACCTGCCTCAGGCCACAGCTCTCACCACGGGGCTGTCCTTTGATCAGTGGCAGGATCTGCATGGCTGGAGGGACTACTGACCACATGCTCTCTGGAGCTCATGTCTTGTGTGGAGACCATGACCTGGGGACCCTCAGAAAGACCAAGCAGCCTAAAGTTAGATTTTCAGTCCAGTGTGATTCTCTGGTTCTTTTCGCAAGTTTACGTAAAACGTTGATGAGAAAAAGTGAATAAATAAAGGAAGAGTTGAGGATGGCAATTGCTGGTCTACTGTGGGGCTGGGGGATACCATGGAAAGAGCAGCACCACATGTCAAATGAGACTAGAGATTGGGATGCATCCGAAATATGTGTGGTTGCTCAAATGACAAAACTCTTCCAACTGCAATGATTCATAAGTGTCCTACAGACACAGTACATCATGTACATAACATTACCAGGATGGGGCCAAGTGACTCGGGGGTATCCGGAGCAGGGATGAAAGAGGAGAAAGATGATGCATCTTTGGTGTACTTGCTGCTGAGTCAGGCGTCATCAGTGATTTCTCAACAGGGCCCAGCTCAGCCCCAGGCCAGGCTCCTGGAAGGTCCATAGTCCTGCTCAATGCAGCCCAGGACAGGCCACATGACACAGAGGTTTGAGACAGGGACCATGTTGTCAATCCCCAGGACGGTGACTGTGATCACAGGCCTTGGAGGCCAAGGCTGATTTTCTGACTGGAGAAGCAGACGAAGGAAGCTGGGGATTCACCCCTTCATTTTAAGTTTCTCATGCTGCCCCCAGAGCTGGCTTGAGGGATATCCCGCCATGAGGAGTCCCAGAGAAGTAAATTTGCATAAACACCAAGGATGCACTGCCCCAGTGGGCCTGAGAGGAAATAAGAGAGGCCTGGGAAGCCCAGCTGTGCTGTGGGCTCAGGAGGCAGAGCTGTGGGTGTCTCACCATGGCATGGGCCACACTCCTGCTCCCACTCCTCAACCTCTACACAGGTGCTGCCCCCAGACCCTGCCCCAGGCTCAGCCCTCCTAAGCCCCTGGTCTTACCCTGAACCCTGAGCTCAGCCCAGGCATAGCCTCAGGGCGATACTACTGGAATGGGTTTGTTATCTTCAAGCCCCCTCTCTTGTCCTCTCTTGCAGGCTCTGTTGCCTCCTATGAGCTGACACAGCTACCCTCGGTGTCAGTGTCCCCAGGACAGACAGCCAGGATCACCTGCTCTGGAGATGTACTGGGGGAAAATTATGCTGACTGGTACCAGCAGAAGCCAGGCCAGGCCCCTGAGTTGGTGATATACGAAGATAGTGAGCGGTACCCTGGAATCCCTGAACGATTCTCTGGGTCCACCTCAGGGAACACGACCACCCTGACCATCAGCAGGGTCCTGACCGAAGACGAGGCTGACTATTACTGTTTGTCTGGGGATGAGGACAATCCCTCAGTGACACAGGCAGATGGGGAAGTGAGACACAAACTCCTTTTTCATCTGTGTTGTGTTCTTCCTCCAGCACCAGGAAGACTGTGGACCAAGCAATGAGCAGGTCTGGCCAAGTTCTACTGGATCTGAGACCTCCAGGCCATCCTTTTTTCCAGCTGTCCAGGTTGGCTCTGCAGAGGGTGGAGCAGGAGTGGATTTAAGGCTGCTATAATCAGAATTTATGGTGTTTTGGGGCCTCATGAGTGACTTGGGGAAATAAGAACTGGATGGAAGATGAAAGAGATGTAGAGAACCATCACTTGACCTTAGATTTCCATACGATGGTGATTGGGTCACTCCTTCTTCAAAATATCCTACATCAGTCCCGAAAAATACCCACCTCAGCTCAACACCTGAGCTTCCAGGCTTCCATGGCAGCCTGGGATTTTGAACAGGAAAAGCCAAGGAGGGGACACTGTGGCATCTGCCTCAATACCCTTTTCTGAGCTCACCCAACCTCAACTGCTGGGAGCTTCTAGGAGCTCAGAGCTGTGCCCTCACTGGGAAGTGCTATTAGCTCCAAAGAAAACTTCCTTCCTCATATTTAGGCCCAGTTTTGAGAGTTTTGGTTTGATGACTGCCTGAGCCAAGAACCCAAGGCCCTGTCCTAATAGAGGATGACACTGAAAGGCCTTCCAGATCCAGACATCCCAGTATGGATGCCTGAGGCCTCAGTTGCAACCCTATTGTGGGTCAGGGTCTCCTTCTGGTGGGCGATGCCTCCCTCACTCCTTCCAGATCCTCTGTGCATGCACATCTTTTTCTCAGAGTCTACTTCCAGGAAACCCAAACTAAGATGGCTGGCTATCACCAAAATAAACTACCATAGACCTGAGGTGGAAACACCAGCGAATTTCCCAAATTTCCATTGTGAACATCCAAATGCCCATTTATATCTGAGTGTTCCTTGTATTCTTATAAAATGAAAATGGAGCCTGACATACCAGGTTTTTGGAGTCCTGAAGGAGATGTGGAGACAGATCCTTCTGCAAGGAATCCACCGAAAGGGGAGCAGCCTCACCCCATGCAGGGGCTGGAGATGCTCCCACAGGGGCAGCTGTAGCATGGACGCTACCAACCTCCACCCTGCACATCCTGCACAAACAATCACTCTTTCACCCCTCCTTCAGCTTATCAAAGTTGACACTTACGAAGCCAGCACAGCTCACCCTTGTCAATCAGACTCCTTCAAACCTCCATCAACCACACAATCTCAACATAAAGAATCTCCCCAACATAATAATAGGAACAGTAGCTATGAAAATGGCTATAAAATATCTCATAAATAATTTTAGATTGTGTTCATGTGTAAATATTATTTTTCACACTTTGGGTTAAATAAAATATATTACTGAAACTAGTTTACCTTTTTATTTTTTATGTCTAGTATGGTGACTAGACAGTAGGATTCACATGAGACTCACATCATGTGATTGTACAATGCTGGTCTTGTCTTACCCCTTGAGGTGGCAGGTGCTTTGGAGTAACCTGCTTCAGCAAGCCCCATCTCCACCCGTAGGACATATGTGTGAAGCCATGGAGAGGCACTGGTGGAAGAGAAATGAGAACACAGATGTGGACCAGCTGTTTATGCAGGTGACTGAGTCCTGGAGCCCTGATCCTGTTCTAACCTAGATGTGTCACATCCATCTCACCAGAGACCGCTGCTGGCCTGCCTTAGCTCATAACTGGGGGGATCTGGCAGTTCATGAAACATGGTCGCTTGATGTCCAGTGTTATCCTGTCTCTCTCAGGGCCCAATAAGACAAAAGGAGCTGCTTTTAGAAAGGGAAGTAACACTCTACTGCACATGACATGGCCTTATTCCAAAACCCCATGAGTCTACGTTGGGATTCTCCAGTGGGGTTTGCCATGTACAGGAGGTTTCAGTTCCCACAGTAGAGTCAGCTGGATTCTCTGGACCCAACAGCAGGACACTCACAACCCTGCCTGCACCTGCTGCAGAGCCTCAATGCTCTGGGCCTGGAAAACAATGGGTGATATTTGTGGCTCCTGATATATGGGTTGGAGCCACATCCCCAAGTGTAAAATATGCTACTCCTAGACCTTTATAGACCTTGTGTCTGTTTCTTCCTGGAGGGAATTGAAGGGTATAATAACATGTTCTTTAATTTGTAGGAGACTCTCAGCTGCTCCAGACAACTGAAGTCCCAATTTCTGCTAATACAGAAGAGGGAACAGTTTATTTCCCACTCTTAAAAGTGCATGGATCTCACAAAAGCTTCCAGTAGGCCATGCCCATCATGTATATGTGATTCAACTATGATATCAAGATGGTCTGAACCCTCATGATGATATCATGATAGAGATAAGAGAGCTAATGATGCTGGGCAGAGAAAGTGTGAATGTATACTGTCGTCCATTCCACCTGAATGCACACTGATTCTGATCCTATTCTCTGAGGGAAATAGACAAGACCTCAGTATCTGCTTCAGTGAGGTAACTGTGCACCTGCAGCCATAGCATTCTGTTCCCAGAGATCCCCATCTGGCACAGATATTGCTAATGCCACTATTGCCCATCTGGGTCTGTACAAATCCAAATTCATCTTCCAGGATCATTCAACTATTGTAGAGATCAGTCCAGTAAACTGAAAACAAAACCCCAGAAGTAATCACACGTACTGCGGGAGAGGAGAGAGCTGTCTCAGAGGGCACAGTCTTGTTGAAATTCCTCTGCTCCTTGGGAAGAAACAGCCCAGAAAAGGCCCCAGGGGCTGCGTCTCATCTGGGTTCCTGGATGAGGCACACCCCCTACTGCACTGAGATTCCACAGAAGCTGGGGGTGAAGTGCAAATACCGTCTTTGGTTCATCCTTGGGATTTTCTTTTTATCACACACTCGTCATTTTGTCCACAATGTCCAAAGTTTCTAAAGTGCTGTCTAATAGATAGAGGTTCTTTGTGCGCTGAACTAAAAGCTCTTGGGTTGGACAATGGTGATGTTTGCACAACATTTTTACTGTACTTACTGCCGCTTAATTACACACTTAAAAATGATTAAAAGGATGAAACATTTTGTTATGTTTATTTTACCATAATAAAAATATTGCATGCTCAGGAAGCAAAGTAATTTTGCAATTATACAACTGTTAAAAATGGAAGAATTATGTACTGAGCACCATTTTCTCTGTTGTTTATGCTACAATTCAACTTTCTCTCTCTCTCACTCTTTCTCTAATTAGCAATGATCTTCTGTCTGGTCCAAGGTCACACATTTCCAGTCTTCCAGAAATGTCTGTTGAATCTGTTAATTTGTTGCCAGGAAGAATACTCAAACTTCTCATGCTCATATTTGAGTGTTAGCTGTCTCCAGCCAGCATTTCTAAGCCAGACCCTTTGTCAAGGCTTTTGAATAATTTTGTGAAAAGTACCCCCAAAGATGACAGTGTTCACTGTTGGCAGCAGGACTGTTTCCATGCAGTAGGGCTATGCTGGGTGTGCAGTGGAGCTGTGCACACTGTGCTCACGGGGCAGATTCTGTGCTGCTGACTCTGATCCCTGTGCTTGGGAGGACCGTGTCCACTGCTGAGTCTACATCTGAATTTGATTCTCAAGAAAAAGGTCATTCATAGCTATTGGACACTGAGTCACATAGAGGGACAGAAGGTGGCTGAGGACACCTTATCTCTGATGAGCATAAGGGGATTAGATCTGCTGGTGGAACAGGAAGCTGAAGAAACCTGTGGCTCTAAACATGGAATTTCCAGCCCTGAGTCTCTGCTGTCCGTGCCCCTCTCATCTGTATGTTCCTGGGAGATGTGGACCACGGGGGTTAGAGGTGAAGGGGATTGGGAAGCTTTCATGTTCTCTCTCACCATCTCCCTTGCTTATCTAACACACTCTTACACACCTACTTTATTGGAGCTTCTGCTCTACAAACATGGCTGAGCTCTAAATTAGAGACTTTTGAAAGTGCAGACGGATGCAGGAACTCGTCCATCTGGAGACTTTCCACCACTTGAAGCAGTGAACACGTCTGTGCAAGGCTCAGAATTTCAAGTGACAGGATGTTGGGATTTCAAAGAAAACTAAATCTTTGGATGAACCACGACAGAAGAGGGAAGGTTCACACATTTCCCTGCTGCTTGGGCCTCAGTGAGGACTGACTCAGCCAGTCTCAGGCTCCTGGAGACCGCCTGGGAGATCTGCACTAGGAAACCATTTTCAGCACAGCCTGGGGCTGGTAAGGGGCCCTTACTCTGTTATTCTGCTGCCTGATAATTTTGCATCCAGAGAAGAATTAGGACCTGTGAGTCCAGGAATTTCAAAGCCCATAGACAAGGTCCCCTCATTCTGCCGTGACAGCCTCAGCTCTGCTTTCCCAAAAAAAGAGCATCTTCCCAGCATGAAGAACCAGGAGCAAAGAGGGAGCTTCTCCCAGGGGTGAGCAGGGCAGAAGCCACCTTGGTCAGTGGGAAGGAAACATGCTCAGCTCACATCTGACCCAGAATGACTCAGTCACACCTGTGCAGGGTCACCTGTGTGTGAGCATCATCTATTTGCTCCATGAGAAAATACCTTGTGTGGCTCTTGGGTAAAATCATACCATAGGTGACATTTCTCTGCCTATTGCTTCAGCCGATGCTTTTCGTGATTCCCTTTAGGACACTGGCATAAGGTAAGCATGTCAGGTGTGGGACGTATTGAACAGGAAAAGCAGAGGCTTCTCATATCAATGCTCGTGGCTTGTATTTGGGCCCATACCTCATGGAAATGGGAAAAACAGAAAAGAAAATGATACTCTGCTCAAAAAAGCACTGAGAAATGCTATAGTATTAATATATCGACAACTCATTTATTGAGCTAATGAAATATTAACATAGATAGATCATTTTTATAGGGGGATCCCTAATCCTTAAACATTATATTAAAAATTTGTCAGCTTAAAGGATCATTAAAAGGCCTATGTTTGATTGAAACCTGGAGTACTGTACTTTGAGTCTTCTAATCAGCCAATGAGTGCAGGGAGCTGGCTGCCCTCCCAGGTCCTGACTGGCTCCATGTCCAGGTAGAGCAGCGCTCCCCACAGGCAGCTGGAGGAACTGACGAGGGGAAGCTGTTGGCATCAGGGCCTCAAAAATTTGACTCAGGATTTTCCCACGTCCCCTCCCCAAGTCCAGGCGGGTTCCAGGACACTCAGAAGAGCTCATCATTATGGGTCTAGGACTTCCCTGGTCCTGCTCTTCTTTCTTCCTTCCCCAGTGGCCTTAAGATTGTCACTCCCTGTCACAGGCCCTTCCTTTCCTTGTCAAGTGCACTCCCTGAATTCTCTGCTCCTGGGTCAGGAAAGCTCTGGAACTTCAGGGAAAGCAGTGCTGGGTGACCCAATGGGGACCCAGAAAGCTGGCCCAGGGCCAGATACACAGGCAGCAGGGTGGGTCCCTACAGTGCTGCCTGGTGGGCATCAGGTAGAGGGGAGTGACCAGGACCAACTCCCCTGAGTGTCTTCAGGGCCAGGTGAACTAGGGAGGGTCTGGGACCTGGTGTGGACCCATGCACTGACCCAGGAATAGGACAGGAAACTCCTCAGAGCAAGGACTGTGTTTTCCTCATGCTGAGCTCCTGAAAAGCAGTCTTGCCAGGATAGAGTGGGCCAGGGTGGATATATGTTGGGTGAATGAGCTTCTGTCTCTGTTTTATTGCAGGAGTCACTACGAAGGTACGCTGGCCCTGTATTTGTATCCAGAACCAGTCAAAGCCACCTGTGAGTCCTGCATCCCTCAGTACCAAGCCCCAGTCCCCCTTCAGGACCACCCACCACACAGAGAGACAGACGTGCAGGGAGCCTGAGGAAGAACCTGAAACCTCCTCTACTACATGGAGTGTTTGTATTTCCATCAGGAATCTTGAGCACCTTGTGCCGGGTCTTGAGGCAGGAAGGGGCCACACAGAGAAGAGGAGTTTCTTCCCTGAGGTCAGCAGTCCATGAACGAAGGGATCAGGGACTTGAGCAGCAGATTCTGAAGCAACACCTGGACCCAGGAGGCCCCTGAGCCTCCAGCAGCCCGCGTAGAGTGGCCACCAGGGGGCAGCAGAGAGTAACCTGGCAGAAGCACCTGGAGATGGGGTGGGCCTGGGCATCAGGGAGATGCCCACATGCAGGGAGGGTCGGTGACCATGACCTGAGATCTGGAGGGAAAGAGGTTCTTCTTTTCTTAGAGTATTTGTCCTTGACACCGATGTTTACATTCTTCTGGCTTCCTGGTTCTCAGATCTGACTCTTGGAGATGATCCTTATTTTTCTGACACACATTCAGGCACTTTGCCTCTTCCCATCGACCTGGCCCCCATCTCACTGTCACACATGCCATCCCATCCTGTAGTCAGACGTGTCCCACCTCCCTGCCTTTGCTCTGGGAGCCCCTGTCCTGCAGACACAGCCACTTCTCCTTCCCTGGCCACCCCTCAACGTCCACTGTCCCCGGTCTTTCCTGACTCTGTTCTGGGGAACCTGCCAATTCGTAGTTCTTGATTTCCTTATGAGACACACAATACTTACTCATTAATCTTTTGTTGACTTAAGTTTTTATCCATTGTTACATTTTCCCAGCAACAGAAGACAACTTAGTTATAATAAACACTTACTTCCTGGGTCTTGGAGTTTGCAGCCCCCTCTCATTTTCTCATGAAGCAAACATTTCCTTCACCTCCTGATCTGTCCCTGGTCCTGACAGCACCCTGGTGATACTGAGGCACAGCACCCATGACCTGACACTAGAACTCGCAGCCAAGGTAGAAACTTACCGCATCCCATGGATCTTCCAAAATTCTATGTGCCCTTGGCAACCAAGAATTGCATTCTCCTCTAGCACAGAGGAGCTGTGCCCTGGAATGGGGCCTGTACCTGTCCAAGGCTTGTGCCGTCCCCTGTGGGAGATGAGAAGCGTCCCTGCATTGGGCTCTTGGGGACCCGTCTTGGACATGAGTGAGAATGAAGAGGGTCCCTGCATTGGGCTCTGGCATGTGACTTTAAATGGATTTAGGCCTGTACCAGACATCTCATGTCTGACATAAAATATTTACAATCAGGACATTACTAGAGAAGCAGAAAAAAGCTAACCACCTCCCTTCTGAGCCAGGATGGAATGAAGGAGGGGACTGTGGACCCCAGATAATTCCCCTGTCACCACTGTGACTCTAACAACCTCTTAAATCACGGCCAACATCTATCCCATAGGAAGGTCTTTATATCCCCTAGAAAATACAGAGGAAGTCAGCTCTGAGCTTTTCCACGACCAACCCAGCCAAGGAGCAAGGCTGGGCACAACCTGGGTAAAGATGTGAGCCCAGACCATGGGACCAGTGGGTGAAGGAAAATCGCATGGGCTGAGGGGGTGGGTAAGCAGGGGCCAGCCCTCCTCTCTCTGTTTCCTTTGGGGCTGAGTCCTTCTCTGGAAACCACAGATCTCCTCCAGCAGCAGCCTCTGACTCTGCTGATTTGCATCATGGGCCGCTCTCTCCAGCAAGGGGATAAGAGAGGCCTGGGAGGAACCTGCTCAGTCTGGGCCTAAGGAAGCAGCACTGGTGGTGCCTCAGCCATGGCCTGGACCGTTCTCCTCCTCGGCCTCCTCTCTCACTGCACAGGTGATCCCCCCAGGGTCTCACCAACCTGCCCAGCCCAAGGGTTCTGGGTCCAGCGTGTCCTTGATTCTGAGCTCAGGAGGGCCCTTCCTGTGGTGGGCAGGATGCTCATGACCCTGCTGCAGGGTGGGAGGCTGGTGGGGCTGAACTCCCCCCAAACTGTGCTCAAAGGCTTGTGAGAGCCTGAGGGACTGCACCTGCCAGGAGAGAGTAGTGAGTTTTCAGTTCAAAGTCTCCATACAACAGGAAAGTCATGGGCCACTGGGGCTGGGGCTGATTGCAGGGGATACCCTGAGGGTTCACAGACTCTCTGGAGCTTGTCTGGGACAGCAGGGCAAGGGATTTCATAAGAAGCATCTTTCACCTGCAAGCCAACCTCTCTCTTATTTATTTATTTATTTATTTATTTATTTATTTATTTATTTTTATCTTTGCAGGCTCTGTGACCTCCTATGTGCTGACTCAGCCACCCTCGGTGTCAGTGGCCCCAGGACAGACGGCCAGGATTACCTGTGGGGGAAACAACATTGGAAGTAAAAGTGTGCACTGGTACCAGCAGAAGCCAGGCCAGGCCCCTGTGCTGGTCGTCTATGATGATAGCGACCGGCCCTCAGGGATCCCTGAGCGATTCTCTGGCTCCAACTCTGGGAACACGGCCACCCTGACCATCAGCAGGGTCGAAGCCGGGGATGAGGCCGACTATTACTGTCAGGTGTGGGATAGTAGTAGTGATCATCCCACGGTGACACAGGCAGATGAGGAAGTGAGACAAAAACACCCTCCCAGCCTCGGTCACCCTCTTGCTCCAGCCCCGGGAAGCCTGTTGATAAAGCCATGAGTGAATCTGGCCCAGTTCACCTGGATCTGAGCCTTTCAGGTTGCCCTTCCCTCCAGCCCCCTCCAGGAGTCTCTACAGAAGATACATCAGGCATAAATATGGCCTGGAAGGGCCAGAATCATCTGGTGACTTGGGGCTGTTGTGTGAGTTAGAGAATGAAGGCTTGGGTGGAAAGACAGACAGAGGCAACCTCTGTCCACTGTCCTACCCCTGGATGGTCATATGGTGGGGACAGGGCAAGTCCTTAGACCAACTGTCTGGATCAGGCCCCAGAACTACTGCCCAGTTCTGCTGAGGTCCTGGCCCCCAGGCTGTGTGGCAGCCTGTGATTCCCAACAGAGCAAACCAGAGGAATGGACACTGTGAAGTCTGCCCAGATCCCCTCCTCAATGTGACCCACCTGGCACTGCTGAGAAGCCCAGCAGCTCAGAGCTGTGCCCTCACTGGGAAGTGCTGTTGGTTGCAGAAAGCTTCCTCAAGTTTGTGTCCCTTTTCAGAGGGGTTCGGTTTAATCAACCAAGATCTCAAATCCTTGCCTCAATTTAAGATGCCACTGAATGAAGGGCCTCCCAGCTCCAGAGCTCCCTGTGTGGATACCTGAGGCCTCAATGTCAACTCCATCACGAGTCAGGGTCTCCTTCTGCCCCGTGTTGCCTCCCCCACTCCCTTCTGAATCTTCTGTGCATGGACATCTCTATTGCAGAGTTAGCTTCCAGAGAACCCCATCTAAGATGGCCAGCTGTCCCCAACATGGGTCATCAGGGACCTGAGTAGGCCACTATAAACTGAAAACTCTGGTTTCTGTCCAAATTTGCAGAGTAAATGTTGAAATGCCCAATCTGATGGTTCCTTGAATTTTTATGGAATGAAAAGGGAGCCTGACATGCCAGGTGCTCTGGGTTGAGGGATTGTTGGAGTCAGATCTCCCTGCAGGAAAGCCCGGGGCAGGGGGAGCAGCCTCACCCCTCACAGGAACCACAGATACACCCACAAGGTGAGCTGCAGGATGGATGCTGCCCACCTCCACCCTCCACATCCTCTGTAAATGTTGCTCCTTTCTACAACTCCAACCAGATATGTAGATGTGGCGAACTACGTAAAATACGGATCATTCATCACATCAAAACCCACTGCAGGACACCCTGGTCAACAAAGAACCCAATCACATCCCCATCAACTACATAGTTTCCAAATTTTCCATCTCCAGAAAAATAACAATAACAATATACATGAAAATCGATGTAATTTATCTCATACATAATTTCATGTTGATAACGTGAAAATGATAGTATTTTGCTCTACTGAAATAAATAAAATATATATATATATCTGAATTTATTTGTCTTATCTTTTCATATTTAATGTGGTGACTAGACACTAGGGGGTCACAGGAGGATCGTGTCATACCACTATGGGACAGAGCTCCTCACAACTCTTTCAGGTGACAGGTACTGTTGAGTAACCTGCTGCAAGCATCCCCATCTCCACCAGACCATATAAGTGTGAACCCAGGAAGAGGCACTGGAACAATAGAGAGAAAAACCTGCTTGTGCAGAAGACGGTGCCCTTGAGCCCTGCTCCTGCTCCATCCTACGGGTGCCACATTCATCTCATGGTGTAATATTTCGTGCCCTGCCTGAGCTTATGACCGAGGGGATATGGCAGGTCTGACTGTGTGGTTACTGGTGTCTCATGAGGTTCTGGATGTAACAAAGCCCTCGAATATAGAAGAGGTTGTTTTCAAAAGGAAATAATTATCTACTGCACATGACATAGACTTGTTGCTAAATCCCATGCGTCTACACTAGGATTCTCCTCTGAAGCCTTGCCTTAAGCACAAGGTTTCAGTTCCTATGTCCAGTTCCTCTATTATGGTAGAGTCTGCTAGTTTCTCTGGCCCAATAGCAGGACACTCACTCCCCCACCTGCACCTGCTGCAGAGCCTTTCTACTCTTGGCCCCAAAACACTGGGTGACACAGTTCTCAGACCCATGATTTATAGTGTCAGTATTCAGGCCTCAGGGGTCCCTGATGGCTTCTCTGGCTCCAAGTCTGGAAACACAGCCTCCATGACCATCTCTGGGTTCCAGGCTGAGGATGAGGCTGATTATTACTGCAACTCACATAGGAGAGGTGGCACTTTCCACCGTGGTCCAAGTTCATGGGGAATTGAGACCCAAACCTGCCCTGGGCTCTCAGCCTCTCTCTTGTTCTGAAGATGCTTCCTCACCCTGTGCAAGGGGCTTCTTGCAGCACTGCCTTGAGAATTTCCCCTCTCCCAGCTCCTCTCCTTTCTCACCAGGAAGTCCAAAAGGAAACCTGCTCTGTGATTTCTCATCCAGGACAGTGACAGCTTCCTGATGCTTGTGTGCTGTGGTCCCTGAATGTGCAACTCTTCCTAGCTCTTCAAATGCAGGCACATAGTGAGAAAAGCTGCCTGACTGGTGCATTCACTGCTGTTTTTAAGGATGTCCTCACCCAAAATGCATCCTCCTCCCAAATTGTGAAGAACAATCTGGACAGAGGTCATTACAGGGAGTTTCAAGAAACTGCATCTTATTCAATTGTGTCCACCATGGTCTGGTAAAGATGGCCCTCCTGGATGGACTATTCCTCTGCATGTCTGTCCTGAAGCAGTGACCACTGTGAGAAGATCTGAACATGTTTGTGAGGTATTAAGGACGAGAGGAAACTGTTGTTTTTATTATTCTTTTGTTTTTGTTTTTGAAACAAACTTTTGCTTTGTCGCCAGGCTGGAGTGCAGTGGCAGAATCTTGGCTTACTGAAATCTCAGCCTCCCAGGCTCTACCAATGCTCCCTGCCTCAGCCTCCCGAAGAGCTGGGATAACAGGTGACCACCACCATGCCTGGCTGATTTTTGTATATTTAGTAGAGACGGGATTTCACCATGTTGGCCAGGCTGGTCTTGAACTCCTGATCTCAGGTGATGCACCCACCTCGGCCTCTCAAAGGGATGGGAATACACACAGGAGCCACTGCATCTGGCAGTGTTTTTTTTATTTTTGCTCCTCCTCTTTGCCTCAATACCTCAGGTTGCTGAGCTGGGGAGATTTTGCGTGACAGGCTCAGTGCTCCCTCAAAATCCTCCCGTCTCAATTCGCTGGGGCCCTGTCCTGGAAACTCCCCAAAAGTGGATGGTGTCCCTATAGGTTGGGAGTTTCCAAAATGGCCCCACAGGGAAGAGTTAACGTGAGTCCATTCCTTCTTCCTCATTGACATCCAGCATTTGTAATTTCCATGGGTGTCAATACTTTTGTAGCTGAAATCTTTCTTAATCTACTAAAGGTGAGAATGAATTTAATAAATATTCAGACATTAGTTGCATCCAATATTTAAATTTTATGAGTCAATTGGTAGACATAGCCATTATTATATATAATTTAGGCTTCATAAACTTTGATTAAATAGGTTTTATTAAAAACAAAGTAACCATTTTATTATGTGTTTAGACTATATCAACATGTTGTGTACCTGAAATATCCACAAGAAAATATATTTCAAAAACCAAATTGTATTTATTGTCTATTGTTGCATAAAAATTGCTCCCTAATATTTAGCATGGTAAGAGAACACGTGTTTGTGATCTTGTCACTTCGGTGCATCTGGAATTGAGAGCAGCTTAGTTTTGTGGTTCTGGTTCTGGGTTGGTCATGAAGTTGCAGCCAAGCTGTCAGGCCAGGCTGCATTCAGAGGCCAGAGCAGGTGGCCAGGCCCAGCCTGAGGGGCTTCCACTGTCCCTAACCTGTTTGTCTGATGTGGAAAATCTCAGAGGAAAAGGAGAGAGTGAAGTGTAAGGCACCTGTCCCAGTCCCCCTTGTCAAAGGCCATCCCATACCTGCACCATTTCTTATTCTTTCCTGGGGCGTCATAGGCATAGAGCACTGCCCATTCATTCTAACGCTGTAGAGTATTCTGTAGTAGGATTTTAGCCATGCAGCCTCTAATGGTTATCACCATGATTTTGATCTTACAAATCACACTGCAGCAAGCATCCCTGTGCAGACTCCTTTGAGTTCATGTGTGCATATCACCATAGGATAAATTTCCAGAAGTGGAATTGCTGGGTCAAAAGGATGTGCATTTTTAACTTTTATCCATTGTTTTCATATTCCCCTCCAGTTCTACCAGTTTACAATACCAGCCCTAAATATTGATTGGAATTCATTGGTGAAAGTGCAAGTTTGTGCCAACCTATCAGATATACAAAGTTATCTTGTTACACATTTATTTTTGATTTCTCCTATTTTGCTTGAGGTTGAGCATTTACTCAAATATTTCAGTGCTCATTATGTTTTAGGATTTGGTAAACCGTTTCTTCAATGCCTCGGTAAGAGGTATTTTAGTCTTTGCCATGCACAAGACAACGTTGGGATAATATGTATGTTCTGATACACCATCTACAACGTAATCATTAAAACATATAAAAACCACTATCAGTTCTGGGGCCATTAAAAAAATTGGTGGCAGGCCAGGGATGTCCCACAGGATGTGGTTTAACGGTCTCTGGTTTCTAGGGTTATTTGAAGTTTGAACATTGCACCCGCATATGTTCTATGTGGAGATCTCTTTGTGAGGGACACTGTAATTCACCTCCTCTAGGGGCCTGAGGTCTTTCTTTGGATAAGAACCTACCTGTACCATGTGTTTGATTGGATCTTGTGTCTGCTCAAGACAGCCCTGTGTCACAAGCTCATGACTTTCATCTTCATCCATTTGCTCTGTTTTGTGAGAGCTTCAGTATATCAGGAATAGAGATTCCTCCGAGGTGAAAAATTAGAGGCAGAGGGAGGGGCAAATGGGCAAGGAAGCTTGCACCAAGTCGGGAGTGATCCAGTGTAGGCTGAGAGAAAAAAGGTCTTAAAATCAGCCTTGTAGCTGAAACCAAAAACACACAAGATGGTTGGTGTTCTGAGCATCATTAACAAATGATAAATGAAGTTGAACTTTTAAATGTATTGCAAATTTTTATAAAGCAAGTAGATCGTTAAACTCAGAATGCAACAATGGAATAAAGAAGAGAGTTTGAGATGTTTTTAAAATTTATTTATTTATTTATTTATTTTTGAGATGGAGTCTCACTCTGTTGCCAGGCTGGAGTGCAGTGGCACAATCGCGGCTCACTGCAACATCCACCTCCCGGGTTCAAGAAATTCTCCTGCCTCAGCCTCCCAAGTAGCTGGGATTACAAGCTCTCGCCATCATGCCAGGCTAATTTTTGTATTTTTTGTAGAGACATGGTTTCACAATGTTGACCAGGATGGTGTCAATCTCCTGACCTCATGATCCACCCGTCTCGGCCTCCCAAAGTGCTGGGATTACAGGCATGAACTACCGTGCCTGGCTGAGTTTGAGATTTTAACTGTAAGTCCTCCAACTAAGTTGCCATGACAAGAACAGGGATGATGAGAGTGGAAATATGTTATCCTGCAAATTATCGTTTTATGTAAAAGAATATTTTCCCTCTTTTAGGTAAAGGAAGCATCTTCTGGAGCACCTTCTCTCTGACTATCAAAGCACCATTAAGCCACAAATAAACTGTAACATGAAGTAGGAAACAACTGCCCTTTTATATAACCATTGAGAGGTGGCTTTATATGCATACCAAAATGTTGATGCTCAATGCTAAAATTGGATTTAGTAATTTAATATGCCTACAAGAAATTAATTTTCTTTGGATTATATTATTTCTGTGTACGATTTATCTTAGTTAACTTGGAAATATTCTGCTCTAAAAACAACTCTTGTTTTTTGGGTTATATTTTCTGTATCAACTATAGCTCTTTTCCAAATGCTGTCAGAGATAGCCCATGGCTACTGATCACAAAATTCAATTTTATGGCATTTAAATTATTCTATACTCTAAATTATTTTAAAAGTGCACAGATGTGAATTTTTCACATCTGACTCAAAAATGTTGCTGATGTTGACTCACTTTTTTATTTCAATCTTATTGAAGTAGGAGTTTACTTTTCTGGAACCTGGATGATAACAGGAGACTGGAGAGGAAACCCCCCAAATTGTTTTCCTTTAAACCCTCAGGATGAATCATCCTGGATAATCACCCACACTTGATTTGGGTGATATCTAAATGAGAGTTGGGTCTTAGAGTAGGTGCTGAGTTAGTTTAGGACTTGCGCTGTTGGAATGAGTTGAATGTTTTTACAAGTGAGAAAGACATGAGTTTTTTGGAGTCCAGAGGGTGGGGGGTTATTGGCTGAATTAAGTCCCCCAAAATGTATGCATTGAAGCTGTAACACACAATATGTGACTGAAATTGTGCATAGGGTCTTTAAAGAGGTGACTAAGTGAAAATGAAAAAATTAGGGTGGATTCTTCTCAAATTGGACTGATGTCCTCCTAGGAAGAAGAAATTTGCACACACAGAAATGAGGCACCAGAGGTGAGCGTGCAGAGAAAAGACCAGGTGAGGATTCAGCAAGGAGGTAGCAACCTGCAAGCCAAGGAGAGAGTCCTCAGGGGAAACCAAACCCACTACCACCTTTATCTTGGGTTTTCCAGCTTCAGAACTGTGAGAAAATATGTTTCTGCCATTTCGGTCACTAATTCTTTCCTATCTTCTTGTGGGAGCTCTAGCAAAAACAAGAGGGACCCCAAAGACCTTGGATGAGGGAGAAGGAGGAGATGGAGCAGGGTGCAGGAGGCGGTGCAGGAAGGGGCTGGAAGGTCGGGCTCTGAGGTGCATCTCCTGGGTGGAATCTTGACTCCACTCCCTATTGTCTGGAGGACTTGGGAAAAACATTTAACCTCCTAATATTCACTCACTAATAAAGATGGGCTTGAAGCACAAGGCTCCCCATCATCCTATTCTATATTACAAAAGTCTTCTTGAGGTAACACTTGTAAAACTCTCGCTAATGCATCTGGCATGTATTATGGACTCATAAGTAGCCCTTCTGAGTGATCTAGTGATGTGCAGAAAATGGCATTCATGCTGTGTGCACCAGGGGGCACTGTGAGGTTTAGTCTGAGGCCCCTAATGAGTCCAAGCCCCTAGTAATGCTCAAGGGCGAAGAGCCTGACTGTTGCTTCCTATGAGGCCCCTTCTAGTGGGTAAATCTGAAAATGCACTTGGCCCTTCTTCTGATCTTGAGAAATTACTCAGAGAAGGCCATCAGGCTCAGGGCTCAGACAAGAACCAGGACAAATGTTTTAGGGAATGGAGAACAGATTTGCATCCACTGCTCACCAGAGCCACCTAACGACGACACAAGAATAAAGGAAGTAGATTTGCATGAAGAGACTTCCCTTCCTATGATAAGAGAGGCCTGGAGGTTCCTCCTTAGCTGTGGGCTCAGAAGCAGAGTTCTGGGGTGTCTCCACCATGGCCTGGACCCCTCTCTGGCTCACTCTCCTCACTCTTTGCATAGGTGCTGCCTCCCAGGGCTCAACCCCATATTATCATGCTAGCTGTGCCAACCTGGCCCTGAGCTTCGGCTCAACACAGGGAGTAGTGTAGGGTGTGGGACTCTAGGCGTGAAACCCTTATCCTCACCTCTTCTGTCCTCTTTTGCAGGTTCTGTGGTTTCTTCTGAGCTGACTCAGGACCCTGCTGTGTCTGTGGCCTTGGGACAGACAGTCAGGATCACATGCCAAGGAGACAGCCTCAGAAGCTATTATGCAAGCTGGTACCAGCAGAAGCCAGGACAGGCCCCTGTACTTGTCATCTATGGTAAAAACAACCGGCCCTCAGGGATCCCAGACCGATTCTCTGGCTCCAGCTCAGGAAACACAGCTTCCTTGACCATCACTGGGGCTCAGGCGGAAGATGAGGCTGACTATTACTGTAACTCCCGGGACAGCAGTGGTAACCATCTCACATTGACACAGACAGATGGGGAAGTGAGACAGAAACCCCTTCACTATCTGTGTCATCCTCTCTCTCCAGCCCCAGCAGGACTGTGAACAAAGCCATAAACAGGGCTGGCCCAGTTCACCTGCATCTGAGACCTCCAGGCTGCCTTTCCCTCCATTCCTCCAGGTAGGCTCTGCAGAAGGTGGGTCAGGATGATGTGAGGCTTGAAGGACCAGGCTGTTCTGCTGTTGTTTAGACTGAGTGTGCCTTGCCTCAAGATGACCTGAATGGAAGGACCACAAGAAGGAGATGGGCAGCTGTTGAGTGGTCATGATCCCTGGAGTTCCTCTTGTGTGGTGACTGGATCTAACACAATGCCTGTACTTTGTGGCCCAAATGCCCTGGATTATTGGTCTGAACTCCCCATGTTTAACTGAGACCCTCAAGCCCCAGCTCCATGCATCCTGATGTTCTGAACAGGAAAGTCTTTTCTAGTGAGCACTGTGGCATCCCTTGGCATCCCAGCTTCACACAGCAATTCCCCACCAAAAAATGCCTTTGAGTGCAAAGAACGGCTTCATGCAAAGATGTGCCTCCTTCAGAATGTAGTTCAGGAGCAATAACTACCTGATGCCTTAATCCCAAAGCCATATTTTAATTTAGAATGACCTTGAAATGCCTTCTAGCTGAGCAGTCAGTTGTAACACATTCCCAGTCACGCCTCCCACACTTCTTTCCTGACAGTATGTCATGAAACCCTACTGCATGGAATCCTGCCTCTTAGAGTAGGATTCCAGGGATCTCAAAAATTGTTTAGAAATGAACAAAAACAGTCTAGTTGGAAGAGTATCAAAGAGGAGGCAGTTGCACATGCAGAGAACTCTGAGGTCTGCAAATATACATGAACTGATGAGCACTTGTGTGTAAAGAAACACCTCCGAAAGAGAAAAGAACCACGCAAAGACTCTTGAGGGAACACCTCACAGAGCTCACTCCCACACACACCCACCCACGCACTCACAGACACTCACACACTACAGTCACAGAGGAAAGGCCTGACTTACAGGGCATGAGGTTGACTCATCAGAAGAGCTTTGCCTCAGTACTGGGGAAAAAGTCACCCTAGACAAAATGCTGCTCAGGTCTCAACTATGAAAGTGTAAAAGCAAACAGAAAACTCAAACTGTTTTTCTGAACAGTAAAGTAACTTTACTGAATTCAACAATAAAAGACAGAAATAGAGAATGAACTGCAAAAGAATTCTCAACCCAGCAGGAAAAATGCACAATGCCTTCATCCTGTCAATATTTCCTGCAAGGTAACCAGAAAATATATGCTATATCAAACAGAGAAGTGAATCAATCCCAAATGGCAATAAAATTGCACACATGATAGACCTTGTAGGCAAGGATATGAAAGAAATTCTTATAACTCTATTCTATTCTACTTGTTCTTGAGGATATAAGATTGAAAAATCATATTAAGTGGATACATAAAACATATAAAGACAGACGCAAGTTATACTCTTATAAATGATCCATAATATGTCTGCAATAAAAAATACACTGAATGAGACTGATTGCAGATTGGATTCTGTGAAAGAATAGATGAGTGAACTTGAAGATATGGCAATGGCAGCTATTCAAGACGAAGCACAAAAGCGTAAACAGAGTATCAGTGAGTTTTAGGACATCTTCAACTGCCTAAATTGGTATAATGAAAGTCATTAAAGGAGGTAAGATTGGACAGGGAAGAGAAAAGGCAGAAAAACAATTTAAAGGAACAATGACCAAAATTTCCCAAATTTTGTGAAAACTAGAAACCTCCTATTCCAAAAAGTTTAACATGTCCCAAAGACACACACACACACACACACACACACAGAGAGAGAGAGAGAGAGATAGAGAGAGAGAGAGAAAGAGAGAAAGGGAGAGAGAGAGATACAGGTGAACAACAAAATGACAAGAACAAATTTGGTTTTTAAAAATTTTTTTAATTTTAGTGGCTTCATAGTAGGCATATATTTTTATTGGGTACACGAGATGTTTCAAAACAGGCATGCAATGTGAAATAGCCACATTATGGAAAATTCGGTATTCATTCACTCAAGCACTTATCCTTTGTAGTATAAACTATTCAATTACACTCTTTTAGCTTTATAAAATGTACAGTTAAGTTGTTATTGACTATAGTCATCCTGTTGTGCTGTCAAATAGTAGGCCTTATTGATTATTTCTAACTAGTTTTTTCTTACCCAGTAACCATCCCCAGGTAATAGTTGATTTCTTATTAGAAGTAATGCAAGCCTAAATCAGTGGAGTTACATTTAGAAAATATTAAATGAAGAAACTTACTACCCAAAGCAATCTACAAACTCAATGCAATTCCTATCAAAATACCAATGATATTATTCACAGAAATAAAAAATCCTCTAAAATTGGTATAAAACCCTAAAAGACGCTGAATAGCCAAAGCAATACTGAGCAAAAAGAACACAGCTGAAGATATCACACTACTAGAATTAAAATATGCTACAAACTATAGTAACCAAAACAGGAAGTTATTGGCATGCAATCAGACACTGAGACCAATATAACAAAATAGAAAACCCGTAAATAAATCCATATATCTATATATAGCTGACTTTCAACAAAGATGTCAAGAATGTACACTGAGAAAATGGCACAATTTTCAATAAGTGGTGCTGAGAAAACTGGATACCCATCTACAGAACAATGAAACTAGACACTTATCCTCTCCACAAAAAAATATCAACTAAAAATGGATTAAAGGCCCAAATATAACACCCCAAACTATAAAACTACTAGAAGGGAACTTAACATAGGGGAAGAACAAATTCTTTAGGACATTGTTCTAGATAAAAAATTATATGGCCAAGACTTCAAAAGCACAGGCAACAACAAATAATAGAGATATGGGACATCATTAAACTACAAAGTTCCTGAAAAGCAAAGGAAACAATCAACAGAGTAAAGACAACATGTAGAATGAGAGAAAATATTTGCAAACTGTTCACTTGACAAGGGCCTAACATTCAGTGTATGAAAATTTTAAAAAAACTGAAATAACTCATTAGCATAAAAAAACTAATAATATCATTAAAAATGGGCCAAGAATTTGAAGAGACTTTTCTCAATAGAAGATATACAAATGGCCAACAGGCATACGAGAAAAATGTTGAACATCACTAATTAGTGAGGGAATGAGAATCAAAACCCCAGTGAGATACAATCTCACCCTAGCTGGAATGGCTATGATCAAAAAGACAAAAAATGCAAAGCTGGTGAAGGTAGGTGACTTCACATTTCTCTAGTCCGATTCTCTGGGAACAATGAGAGTGCTCTGTCTTTGCTCTCCCTCTAGTAACTATTTTTCACACGCAAAAATATGGACCCTAGTGGGAAATAATGCCTAAGACCACCAACACCTTAATCATTTGTTCATCACACTAGAAATGAAACTGTTTTCCAAATAATATTAACATCTATCTGTGTCTATCGCCATTGTGTCAATGTCTGTGTGATCCTATAACATTTAGAAGGCCTAGAAGAATGCCCTTGCTTTTTGCAATATGAAAATGGCCGATATCATAGATGATATAGATATAGATAGATAGGGGGTTGTATTTTGAAATGTATTTCTCTAAAGGACTTCTTTCACTTCAAATTTGAAATTATTCTTGTTTTAAATGTCACAAATGATAAACCTTATAGAATGATAACACAATTGTATGTGTTATAAAGTCACAGGGTCTATCAAATGATGAACCAATCATTCGGTGTTGAGGTTAGTAGTATTTTTTTTATTTCGATTCTCACTAAATGAGAACACGTTTTGTATTGAGGGGCCATGCCCTAACCATACCACATCGTGGGGTTGCTCAGAGACTGTGAGGTTCTGCCCACACTAAGCCAGAAGGAGAATTTTATTCCTAAGCCAGGATGAGAATTTTATTCCTCACACTGCTCTCTGCACTTGTTTGTATCCCATAATATCCCCCAAAAGTGAGCATGAGAAGTTCATTTTTTAAGCTGCTTGTTCATTCTCTTACATTTAATACATGTACCAAAAATTGTCTTCATTTTTAAAATAAAATGTTATGCTATCTTGTAATCTATAACCCTATAGAATAATCTTGATCCATACACTTTTGCTATCACAAGCAGAACAAGATCCACTTCCTCTCTCTGGGATAAATCCCATGACCGCTGCTCTTTGAGCATTATTTTTCTTAAGTTATTTTTTAAACAGAAATTTATCTGACTTACCTTAACCAAATGTCTTTTCAAAGTAACCGCATTTCTTTTAAGTGAAAAATTAAATAGTTACCTTCTGTTATCAAGAATTATCTGAATACAAAATATTTATTGTTTCAACTTTAGAAGGAATGAAAAACATCTACAGGTTACTAATCTAAAAATGCAGGCTCTGGGTTTCTATGGTGTTAACATGTCTTCCAAATTTTAAGTAACAGGTATTTAAATAACATGAACTTTGTTTTCAAACTTAGAAAATGTTTCAACCTTTTGGCTGGGCATGGTGGCTCAAGTCTATAATCCCAGCAATTTGGAAGGACGAGCTGCGAGTTTTGTCTGATCCCAGGAGCTCAAGACCAGCCTGGGCAACATGATGAAACTCCATCTCTACCAAAAGTTATAAAACTTTGCCAGGCATGGTGGCACTGCCTGTAGTCCCATCTACTCAAGAGACTGAGATGGGAGGATTGCTGGAGCCAGAGAAGTTGAGGCTGCAGAAGGTAAACTGTAGAGGCTAAAACATGATAAATATTTAATTCATCACTTAAAAGAAATGTTGGTTACATTGAAAAGAAATTTGATTAATGTAATTAGATATATTTCTGTTTAAAAAATAATTGAAGTAAGCCCTGTTAGCACCACTGCATTCCAGCCTGGGCAACAGAGCAAAACCTGTTAAAGAAAGAAAGAAAGAAAGAGAAGGAAGGATGAGGAAGGAAGGAAGGAAGGAAGGAAGGAAGGAAGGAAGGAAGGAACGAAGGGGAAAGAAAAAAAGGAAGAAGATATTTCAAGCTTTACAGTACCAGAGCCACTCTGTAATCAATAAGCAACAGGACCAAAACAGAAAGAGATTCTGTAGAACAGTCTAACCAGCGATACAATTATACATTTCTGTTCAGATATCAAAACCATTTTCAATAGTAAATATATGGAATGAACTCCCCACAGAGATCAAGTAGGATGTATGATGTGTGAATGAAATTATGAGTTGAGAGTAGGAAATTTATAAATTTAATCAAACAAATTAAAGCATTATGAGGAAGTTGTACTGCTAATGTATTACTTGGCAAGCTGTTCAGTGGAACACCAAGATATTCTTAAGGAAGTTGCAAATATCTTTTAAAATGTTATCATTGAAGTGGATTTTTAAAAAATGAGGACATGAATACCTTTACAAAGTATTCAGGGATAAAGAGAGAAAAATAAATTTAGATTGTGCATACATATATAAAATTTATTTTAAAAGATAAGCTTGTCTTTTTTATCCCTTAAATAAAAGGAGCAGATATTTAAATTCCTTGTCTTTTATTTTAAAATTTAGAAAATGCTTACAGCTTCCCACACTGAAATTTATACTAAGACAGATAATCTAATCAAGGGATAACAAAATCAAAACAGAATTCTCTTGATGAATCTATTTTCTTGATTTTTAAGTCTCAGTGTGTACTCTATAGTAAAACTATTTATAATTGATTCTGCTGTTTGAAAATATTTACTGATCGTTTATCTTGCACCAAGTGATCTCCAGCTCTGAAGATAGGTCAGTGGGAAAACATACAAAGTTGCCCAGCTTCGTTAAACTTAAATTCTAATGAGGAAAAAAGAAGTAATTAATCAGGGACTTTAAAACAGGAGTGTTGTGATATGGCTTGGAATTCTAACTGCTTCCTGTGCTTGCTGTGTGGAGACTGGATTGAAAAATAGGGCGATAGAAGCTTAAATTCATATAGAATATGGCTAGCCTGTATTTTGAGGGCCCCTGAAATAAGAATGTATAGTAGTTCTCATTATTTCCTCAAGAAATCTGTGCAGTAGAGCTTTGGCCTTGGGAGGGAAGTACTATAGTCACCAAGTGGTGAGGGTGGGAAGGTGAATTTGCAAATACCACTTGGAATGAGTTCACTTTAAAGGTAAAGCTGGCAGGATTTTCATACATGTCAGATCTGAAAAAATGTGTGTGCGTGTGTGTGTGTGTGTTATAGAGAGAGAGAGAGAGAGAGAGTGAAAACCAGACAGATACCGAGAGAGAACGACAGATCTGCAGTGACAGAGAGAATTAAAAGCGGACACCACGAATATTGAGCTCAGAAACTATAAAATGGGAGGTGCCATTAAACAGAATGGGGAAGAGCAAGTTTGAGGAGTATCAGTGGCTCCATGTGGACTTATTGATTTTGACATTCCTAACAGATGTCCAAATGGAGAAGTCAGACAGTGTTGTGCGTAGTCTAGTGTTAAGGTATCAAAGAAAATATCAGGAAATGAGTGACACAAAAATTAGTAAGAAAGCAAAGATAAGAAACATTAGTCAAAGTCCTGAGTCCAGTGGTTATCTAACACCCAAAAAGTAGTAGGCCGGGTGCCGTGGCTCATGCCTGGAATCCCAGCACTTTGGAAGGCCAAGGCGGGCAGATCTCCTGAGGTCGGGAGTTCAAGGCCAGCCTGACCAATATGGAGAAACCCTATCTCTACTAAAAATACAAAATTAGCCGGGTGTGGTGGCTCATGCCTGTAATACCAGCTACTCAGGAGGCTGAGGCAGGAGAATCGCTTGAAGCAGGGAGGTGGAGGGTGTGGTGAGCCGAGATTGCATCATTGAACTCCAGCCTGGGAAACAAGAGCAAAACTTCATCTCAGAAAGAAAAAAAAGTGATAAAGACAAGAAGAAACCAGCAAAAAAGTACTAGGGGTAATTATCAAAAATGTCAAAGGGAAAGTAGGTTAAGTGTTCTGGAATTCTCTCAAAGAAAGTTTTGAAAAAAGGAGGGAGGAAGAGATCAACTGCTTTCAATGCTGCTGATACATAAATTAAGACAAAGGCTGAGGAATTATGCTTCAATTCATCATTTAACGATATGGATATTGTTTGTGCTTTGATAAGAGCAATTTTCTTGGAGTGAGTAGGTGAGAAACCATATTGGAGTGGTTTCTCAAAGGAATGCCTGATCTCTGGATTCTTAAGGAAACTTTTTATTGAACAGTGGAGGCACAAATTGGATTTGTTTTAATTCCGGGGTCGGGACACACTCTAAACATGTGCCTCTGCATGCCTCGCTTATTACAGCTAGGTATCCTAGTATCTTTCAGTAACAGAATAATCACCTGCAAAACCCACACCCATTTAATAGACACGCTTTACAAAGACTGATACTAGAAGTTGTTGGAGAGGATGTGGTTCCACGTAATATCTTATGAGTCACTGATGGGCAAGTAAGCTGGTAAAATGTCTTTGGAAAACTCACTATACCTGCTATACTAAAACATTCAGATACCAAACACCAGAAATTCCATATTGTAATATATTTCTATGAGAAAAAAACAAGAGCCCTGTATTAAAATATAGATTATTATTAAAAATAATCACACTGGGTTTCCTGATTTTTTTATTAGCAAGTCAGTCTCTGCCTGATTCAATAGTACAACCTCTATCTAATATATATATATAGTGTTTTTAATCAACCACTAAGAAAAAGTATTATATTTTATATCAATTCTACATTCAGTGCCGAAACCAGCATTTTGTAGATTCCAGAGATTTGTTGAATAAATAATGAATAACTTAAATAAGTTAATATTTATAGTATCCATATACAAATAATACATCATCTCAGAATACAATAATAACGTTTGTTATGCAGAAAATGATTTCAATCTCAGTTAAAAATATTTTGGGCTTAGGAGTTACTGTCATATATGGATGCTCACATTGTTTTGTTTATACGAAAATGTTTGTAGTTAACGTACGTTTTTGGTACTTAAGCCTTTTGTTCTTGCTGCCATAGCAAATAGTGTGCCTATTAGGAACAAGAACCAGAGGTTTACTTCATCTTAACAGATTTCTTAATAAAATACATGCCATACTGTTTGGTTTAATGCATAAGCAAAGAGTCATTCACTCCGCCATTGCTACGTGTCCCTCCTCTAATACGGCTCCTGAAGATGTTACCGATAGCAGAGGACTTTGTGTTCAACCTAAGCACTTTATAGCCCTTTCACTTTCAACTAAGTATGAGATAAAATAATTCAGCACCAATAAAACAAACACTTCTTAAATACTGACCCTTTTTTTGAGCCTGTTTCACGTTACGCAGCAAGACAGAGTACACTTCTCTTTCCCAGCAAATCAGTGTTGGCACTACACCCTCTACACTCTGAAAACTTGTATTATTGGCTTCCTTAGAAACACAATTTGAGCTTATAATTTAGATGTCATCAAATAATGTACAAAAATATGCTACTTCCTTCCCCTTCACTTCTCTTCTCTTCTCTTCTTATCAGATAATTGTCAGTTGTTTTTTCTCTCCAACTCCTTTCCTCCGACTACTTGATTTTTAAAAGACTTTCTGCACATTTCCAATCTTAGTATTGTAGAGACAAAATGTGTGGTCAAACTGCATATATAGGAAGAGCTGAATTATATGCAAGCATTTTTAAATACACAATTCCTCCTCAGTTTTCTGTGATTATTTCATATAATCAAATGTCTTCCAGATACACATCCCAAACGAGTGGTTGTCAAGCTCTGCTTTGTGGTCTAATTTCATCAGAATTATCCAAAATTCTTATGATAAATACAGATAAATTGACATAACTCCAGATTTATGAAATCAACATTTCCAGAACCCAGGAATATGCATTGAAAAAGTGTATTCCTCAGATGATGCTGACATGATACGGGATCCGAGTTTACAATGCAAGGAAAATTACCTTCCTTGCCCTTCAGCTGACCCTTGTATCCAGAGGTCCTCTTCCCCTTTCATATTCTGCCCTCTCTCCTTCTGCACCTTTCTCCTTTCCTCCCTCCAGTTCTGCTCATCCAGATCCCAAGCCCTCCCCCATGGATTCCCTAAACCTCCCAAATGGTCAGTTGCCACTAAAGTTCCCTCTGTCTCATGAACAAGTTATGTGGGCAAATGTAAAATTTAAGCTTGGACCAAGCTGACTCAAGAGCGGCAATTACAAATTTCCCTAAACCCAGAGGGGACCAGCAAACACTTGTAGAAGATTAGAGATTTCCTGTGAGTGCAAAGGGCTCAGAGTGTCCTGATGCTGTAGACCAAATCTTACTGTCCCCTCCAATTCATGTGTTAAAATCTAATTCCCTATGTGATGGGATTTGGAGGTGAGGCCTTGGAAGGTGATTAAGTGATGAAAGCAGAGAACCCGTGAAGGGGATCAGTGTCCCTATCAAAGGGACGGCTGAGAACTCCTCATCCCTTCTGTCATGTGAGGACACAGTACAAAGATGGCCGTCTATGAACCAGGAAGGAAGCCCTCACCAGACACAAAATGTGCTGACCACTCACTGCTGACTCCAGTGAGTCAGAGGAGCGCAGGCCACATACCTGGGTCTCTGCCTCCATGCCTCCCACAGTGCCCAGGGCTGAGAGCAGAGTGGCAGCTGCTGACTGGGGCTGTGCTGGCCACCTGCTCTCTTCTACCTCTTGCTCAAGCCATGCTTTCAGCCCCATGGCTGAGGCCAGTGGCTAGAGCAGGTGCCATGATGTCAGGCAGCTCCTTAATGGGCTGGTCCTTGGCAGGACCAGGGCAGGGGCAGGAGGGCTCTGCAGCTGCCTCTAGCTCCAGTTCTGTCCCTGAAGGGGGCTCTTCCCCTAGTGCTGGCACTGGCTCATCAGCTGGTGCTGGAAGGTCCTGGATTGCCGCACATTGAGCAGGAGATGAAAAAGAAGAAAGAGTCACCAATGTCAGTCACTTTCCACTGGAATTTCCACACACAGAATCAGCCTCACTGAATTAAAGGAATTCCAGTCCAAAAACACTGCCCCCGCAAAGTCTCCAAAACTACAGGCCCCCCCTCACCATGTGCCTGTGCCTGGAGGAACTCCAGAGGCTCCAGCAGGCCAAGGACAATGCACGGATGTGGCCCGGATGGGATCACCAGTGAGGCCTGGCCTCGTAGGGCCTGCCCAGGGCTGTCCTGTGGTACCTGGGTGCGCCTTCGGCCAGAGGTGCCTGGGGTGAGGAATGAGCCTGCATCGGCATCATGGGAAAAGGCTGTCACTCTGGGCCCTCCTGAAGCAGGAGCCTCAAGATATGCGGATGCAGCATGAGAACATCTTGCTCTCCTGAGCATCTCCCACCAAGGGAACTGGCTGCGGGACTGTCTCTAGGATGTGGGTGCCTGGTTACCAGAATTCTAAGTTCTGTGAGGGTATATCACCAAGGAAGTGAAGTCACTTCTTTAAGGTTCCGTATCCTCAGCCCCTTCCTTCCATAAGACCTACTCAGAACCCCCTGGGCTGCTGGCTGCTCACCCTCCCCCCAGGCCAGATCCTTACCTGTACACAGGTAAGTCCACCCAGGGCCTGCTTGTACACGTGCTCCTGATGTGCACCTGGGACCTAGGAATCCACTTAGGGCCTGTGATCCAACAGGGGCCTAATGTTGTTTAAAAGTAATTTTTATTATTCCTACAGGAAAGAAAAGGCCTTCTAGCAATAAGAAGCACAGTTTCACATCAAAAACATAAAAATGATCAAAATCTTGGGGAAGAAATGTATCAATTTTAATCACTGAAATGTTAACTTTTGATAAATATTTAAGTTTATAAGGAAAAATAAAACCATGCTGATAAAACCACAGTTGTAGGGAATGCTATAGAGTTTCTCCTTTGTGGTTTGAACACAGAAAGGTCCCACCTAGTTAGGCTCATAATTTTCTACCTTAATCTTCTTGTTCTTATGATTAATGGAAAAAATACCATGACAATGATGGTGATGATGGTTCAAGTACACACTGAGGTTTAGTGACAGAAACATCAGGTGCTCCCAGTTACAGTGCAGCTGTTCTTATTGGGGTGGGAAAATCAATCTTGTGTTCAGTATACACGGGAAGCAGGAGTACATGTGGATATGACCACATTTCACTGGACTTATATTTTAAACAGAAGATCTACAGTTTATTCTTCAAAAAATAATAACACTTGCCATGCAAAGTATATATATAAGATGTCTCAAATAATTGTACTTACATTGCATATGAAAGTGATACTATTTTGATATGCTAGGTAAATAAAGTAAATTATTTAACTCATTTACTTCTTCCCTTTGTATTTTTAATGCGATGACTAGACATTCAGATTTCCATGAGGCTCACATCATATTGTGAATGAACAGTGCTGGTCTGCACCCCTTCAGGTTACAGGGGCTGAGGAGTGACCTGGTGCAGGAAGCCCCATCTCCATCCATAGGACATTGGTGTGAACCCAGGGAGAGGCGCTGGTGTAAGAGAGATGAGAACACAGGTGTGAACCACCTGCTTGTGCAGGGGACTGAGCCTTCACATAAGTTGACACTTAAAAAGCCACCACACCCCACCCTTGTCAACAGGAAACCCATTCACATCTCCATCAGCCACACAATCTCCAAGATTCTTCAAAAAGTAATAACAATAGCCATGCAAAGTATATGATATATATCATAAATAATTGTACTTACATTATATATGAAAATGATACTCTTTTTGATATGCTAGGTAAATAAAATACATTATTTAAACTCATTGACTTCTTCTCTTTGTATTTATAACATGACAACTAGACAGTGGGATTCCCATGAGGCTCACATCATATTGTGATTGAACAAGGCTGGTCTGCAGGGCTTCAGGTTACAGGGGCTGTGGAGTGACCTGGTGCAGGAAGCCCCGTCTCCTTCCATAGGACATCAGTGTGAACCCAGGGAGAGGCGCTGGTATGAGAGAGATGAGAACACAGGTGTGAACCACCTGCTTGTGCAGGGGACTGAGCCTTCACTTGGAGCCAAAGTTTTCTTTCCCAGGTTCAATCCTGAACAAGAGGGCCTTCTGGACTTCTTTTTGTTTTCAGGCTTGTGCCCCTTCAGGTTTGGGGCTGTCTGGATCCCAGCCAGGGGACACTGAGGAAATCCAGGAGTCTCACACTGACTGTTCTATTTCATCTGCTGGGGCCATCCCAAACTGCTGTGTACCATTTCCTTTCCTGGTGCTCAAATAGCTGCTCCATGCCCTTGTCATGGTTTCAGAGATGAATCTAGGTGGGAAGACAGGACAGTGTATGTTATAATATTTAAATGGAAGCTGAATCCATTAATATTTATTTTAATATGAAACATTAAAAGAATTTTGTCATAAGCAATGAGGAAAGAGGAAAAGATATTCAAGTTATTTTGAGAAAAAATAAAAATGTATTTATCAAATGTCTGTGTGTCTTCAGTGTCGCAGGGTTGAGAGCAGCCAGCTTTAGGTTGCCCTGAGGATGCGCTCAGATGGGAAAAAGCGAGAAAGCAGGAAACGCGTCTCTGTGACCTGACAGATAAATCACAGTAATGGAAATAAGTCTTTCAATAATTCAAACATTCACAATAAATATCACTCTGATGCACACAGAAAGGCCTGGTAACAAACTTTCCCTTTGACCTGCTGGCTCATATCCCCATGGATCACCTGTGTGCAGAGTGGACTCTCTGGTCCCCATTTCTCAGGCTGAGAACTAGAGGCTGGGAAGGACAAGTGGCCTGCTCATGAGTGGGAAGGGCGGGATTGGGAGCAGCAGACTCGGGCTCAGGACTCTGGCCCTGGTCAGTGCTCCTTGTTCCCTCCACAGGGTCCCTCCCACATGTGCCCGTGTGGATGTGGGTGCACTGCCTGGGGTGGCTGATGTGCTCCAGGGATTCAATGCGGCAGATGCTTCAGCACCAAAGGTAGGGAGTAGGGATGGGACGAGGCTGCAGCTGTGGAGACCAGGGACCCATGATGCCCAGCAGAGGTTTCCACGGGGTGGGTAGCCCCATTTCCTGACAGTAGAGACAGCCTAGAGGTGGGTGCCAAGCAGAGGGCACTGTGCCATGTGCCCAGGCCTGGAGGGCCACAGAGACACAGGCGCCACACAGCAGAGACACTGAGAGCCAGGAGCTCACTCAGGTAAGGGATGTCAGCAGATCTTTCTCTCCTGAGCAAATCAGGTACAAAAAAATTAAGATCCTGCCATCAGAATAGACAAACAGGGACTTTAATCTCCTCGGCTGAGCCCCGCTGTCCAGGGAAGAAGAAGTCTCTGAGCCCAGGCCCAGGTGAGGGTGGAGTGAGGAGAGGAGCTCAGGGTGCAGATTTGCATAAAGGCCCCGCCCTCCTCTGAGGCAGAGGGGATAAGACAGGGCTGGGGTCAGGCCCAGTGCTGGGATCTCAGGAGGCAGCTCTCTCGGAATATCTCCACCATGGCCTGGGCTCTGCTCCTCCTCACCCTCCTCACTCAGGGCACAGGTGAGGCCTCCAGGGAAGGGGCTTCGGGGACCTCTGGGCTGATCCTTAACTCCTGCTCCTCAGGCTCACCTGGGCCCAGCACTGACTTACTAAAATGTGTTTCTTCCTTTTTCCAGGATCCTGGGCTCAGTCTGCCCTGACTCAGCCTCCCTCCGTGTCCGGGTCTCCTGGACAGTCAGTCACCATCTCCTGCACTGGAACCAGCAGTGACGTTGGTAGTTATAACCGTGTCTCCTGGTACCAGCAGCCCCCAGGCACAGCCCCCAAACTCATGATTTATGAGGTCAGTAATCGGCCCTCAGGGGTCCCTGATCGCTTCTCTGGGTCCAAGTCTGGCAACACGGCCTCCCTGACCATCTCTGGGCTCCAGGCTGAGGACGAGGCTGATTATTACTGCAGCTTATATACAAGCAGCAGCACTTTCCACAGAGGTCCAAGTTCCTGGGGAACTGAGACCAAAACCTGCCCTGGGCTCTCAGGCCCCCTCCTTGCTCTGAAGATGCTTCCTCGCCCAGTGCAAGCGGCTTCCTGCAGTGCGGCCTTGAGAATTCTTCTCTCTCAGCTCCTTCCCTTTCCACCATGAATTCCAAAAGGAAACCCGCTCTGTGGTTTCTCATCCAGGACAGGGACAGCTTCCTGATGCTTGTGCGCTGTGGTCCCTCAATGTGCAGCTCTTCCCAGCTCTTCAAATGCAGGGACAGTGACAAGGAGCTGCCTGAGTGGTGCAGTCACTGCTTTTTTCAGGGATGTCTTCACCCTACATGCATCACCATCCCCTACACTGTGGGTAGAATTTTAGCAACTACATTCTAATGGTTATCGCCACAACTTTGATCTTAAATAACAGTGCAGCGAACATCCCTACGCAGACTCCTTTGAGTTCCTGTGTGAATATGACCACAGGATTCATTTCTAAAAGTGAAATTGCAGGTCAGAAAGATTGTGTGTTTGTAATTTTCACCCATTGTTGTCAGATTCCCCTCCAGAGGGATTGTACCAATTTTCAATGCCAGCTGGAAGTACTTGTTCAGAGTACATTGTTGAAAGTGGAAATTTTTGCCAGCTTATCAGACAGAAAAATGTTACCTTGTTACAGTTTTATTTTTGAGTCTCCTGTTCTGCTTACATTTTGGCCCTTTCAGAAATAGTTCAGTACTTTTTCTTTTTTTAGGATTTAGTAAACTTTATAAAAAATATCCAGATAAGGAGAATTTTAGTGTTTGTGGGCAGGCACAGTGGCTCACACCTGTAATCCCAAGCACTTCGAAAGAGTAAGACAGGTGAATTGCTTGTTCCCAGGAGTTTGAGATTAGTCTGGGCCACACAGCAAACCCTCATCTCTATTAAATTAATGCAAATAAAAATAAATTTTAAAAAGAATTATTTTAGTCTTTGTGGCCCAAGAATCAACTTTAGGGATATTACATAGGTACTTATAACATCATTTACAATGTAACCATTTAAAAAGATAAAAATCACTGTTATCTCTGGGCCATGCAAAAACAGTTGTCAGGCCAGGAGTGGCCACAGGATGTGGTTGAACGGTCCCTGGTTTGCAGAGTTATCTGAATGTTGAAAATTCCACCAGCATATGATCTAGGTGGGGATCTCTCTGTGAGGGTCACTGTATTTCACCTCCTGTATTCGGCTGAGGTCTTTCCTTGGATAAGAACATGCTCACATCATCTATTTGATGGGCTCATGGGTTTGCCCAAGACAACCCTGTGTCACAATCACATAACTTTTATCTGCATTGCTTGTTCTGAGTTTTGGGAGAGCTTTAATATATCAGGAATAGACTCCTCCTAAGGGAAAAGTCTGAGGGATATGGATGGGCAAGGGGTCAAGAAAGCTTCTACCAAAGCTGGAATATCCAGGGCAGGCTCAGAGAGAAGGATCCTAATATCAGCATTTGACTGAAGCCAAAACCAGAAGAGAACATGGACGTTCTGAGAATAATAAGTAAATAAACAGTTTAAATTTTAAATGTATTGAATATTCTTATACTCCATGAAAATTCTAGAACGGAATTTAACAATGGGATAAGGAAGAGAGCTTGAGATGTTAAACTATAAAGACCACAAGGCAAGTTGCCAGGAAAAGAACAGGACCTTTTTAGTGGAAATAGGTTTCTGCTGCAAATTACCTTTCCTATGAAATTGGTTTTTAGGTATAAGGAAACATCCCATGGAACATTCTTCTTTCCTACAGTCAAGATCACCCTCACCCCACAAGGGAACCTCAATATCAAATAGAAAAAATAATGCACTTTGTATAACCATTAGGAGAGTCTTTATTTGCACATCAAAATGAGGATGTTTAATGGTAACATTGGAAATAGTAGTTTAATATGCATAAGTGATGAATTTCTTTTGACTATACCATTTCTGTCTGTGATTTATCTTTCTTAATAGGGACATACTCTGTTCTTAAAACAATTTAACTTGTGTTATCTTTTGTTCTATTATCTGTATCAGCTCTGTTTTTTTTTTCAAACACTGGCAAAGTTATTCCATGGTTAATGATTATTAAATTCAATTTATGGATATTTAGATTATTTAAATTATTTCAAGAGTGGACAGATGTGATTTCCCCACATATACCTCACAGATGTTGCTGATGCTGACTTGTTCATCTCTTCCAACCTCTGCAAACAAAGTGGGAAATTGGATTTTTCTGAACACCCAGATGACAACGGGAGAGGAGGTGAAACCCCCCTAAAGCTGTTATCCTTTAACCCCTCATGGTGAATCTCCCATCCACACTTGAGTTGGATGATATGTAAATGAGAGTTTGGTCTTAGAGTTGGTGCTGAGTTAGTTCAGGATTTGGGTTATTGGGATGGAGTGAATGTGCTTTACAAGTCAAAAACTATGAGTTTTTGTGTGCATAGGTTGGAGAGCTCTTGGCTGAATTGTGTCCCCCAGAATTATACAATGAAGTTCTAATGCACAGTGTGTGACTGAATTTGGAGACAGCCTTTACAGAGGTGATTAAGTGAAAATGAGGTCATGAGGGTGGCTTCTTCTCCAATCTGACTGGTGTTCTGAGAAGAGAAAATTTGCACACATAGAAATGAGACACTAGAGATGAGCATGCGGAGGAAAAACCATGTGATGACACAGCAAGGAGGTAGCCACCTGCAAGCCGAGGAGAGAGGCCTCAGGGAAAACCAAACCCACCAACACCTTTATCTTGACTCCCCAGCTTCAGAACTGTGAGAAAATAAGTGTCTGCTCTTTAGGCCAGCAGGTCTTTGGTATCTCATTAAGGTAGCACTAGCAAATGAAAACAAAAGGGACCCCAAAGACCTTGGGTGCCAGAGAAGGAGGAGATGGAGGATGGTGCAGGAGGCGGGGCAGGGAGGGGCTGGAAGTTCAGGCTCTGAGGTGCATCTCTTGGGTGCAATCCTGACTCCACTCACTGCTGTCTGGGGACTTGGGGAAGAATCATTAACCTCCCAATATTAATTCCATAATAAAGATTGGGTCTTGAGCATAGGGCTGCTCATCCTCCTATTCCATATGATGCAAATCTTCTTGAGGTCATGCTTGTAAAACACTCAGCAATGTATCTGGCATACACTATGGCCTCAGAAGTGGTTATTCTGAATTTTCTAGTGATACATAGAGAATGGCATTGTTCCTGTGGGCAGAGGAGGCACTGTGGACCTTGGTTTGAGGACTCAGAAAGACACCAAGTCCTCTGGTAGTGCTCAAGTGCGAAGAGCGTCACAGATGCTTCCTCCCAGGCCCCTTCTATTGGGTAAAATTTACTCTCCACTCCTGACACCCATCTGGTCCTTCTTCTGACCTTAGCACATTATCAGTTTGAAGACTTAAGGCTCAGGGCTCAGATGGGAGCTAGGACAGGCACACTGGGGAATGCGGAGTAGATTTGCATTCACTGCTCATCAGGGAGCCCACCCAACAAGGATACAAGAATAAAAGAAGTAGATTTGCATGAAGAGCCTCTCCTTCCTATGATAAGAGAGGGCTGAAGGTCCCTCCCCGCTGTGGGCTCAGAGACAGAGCTCTGGAGCATCTCCACCGTGGCCTGGACCCCTCCCCTGCTCACCCTCTTCACTCTCTGAACTGCCTCCCAGGGCTCAGCCCCCAAAGGACCAGAGATCAGCCTGGACCTGAGCTTCAGCTCAGCACAGGGAGTGATGGAGAGTGTGGGGTCTGGGAATGACCCTCATCCTCATAATTACCTCTTCTGTCCTCTCTTATAGGCTTTGTGGCTTCCCGTAAGCTGACTCCAGAGCCAGCAGTGTCTGTGGACAGTCAGCAAGGGTAACCTGCCAGGGAGAAAACCTAAGAAGCCATGGTACAAACTGGTACCAGCAGAACCCTGCCAGATGCCTGTGCAGGTCATACATGGTAACAACAACCAGCCCTCAGGGATCCCAGACCGATTCTCTGGCTCCAAGTCAGGAACACAGCCACCCTGACCATCACTGGGGCTCAGGTTGAACATGAAGCTGACTATTACCGTCACTCATGGGACAACAGTGGTACTCATCTCACAGTGACACAGACAGATTGGAAAGTGAGATCTAAAGACCTTCACTGTCTGTATCACCCTCTTTCTCCAGCCATAGCAGGACTGAGCAGGGCTGGCCCGGGTCACCTGGATCGAAGCCCTTCAGGCTGCCCTTCCCTCCAGCCCTCCCGGCAGACTGCAGAGAGTAGGTCAGGATAGGATTTGGGGCTGGCAGAACCAGGCTGTCCTGCTGTTATTTGGAATGGATGTACCTTGGCTCAAGATGACCTGAGTGGAAGGACAGTAAGAGGGAGACAGCTACTGAGTGCTCATGGTCACTGAATTTCCTCCTGTGTGTTGACTGAACCCAAGACAGTGCCTCTACTCTGTGGCCCAAATACCCTGGATTATTTCTCTGAACTGCCCATGTTTAACTGAGACCCTCAAGCCCCAGCTTTGTGCATCCTGATGTTCTGAACATGGAAGCCTTTCATAATGTGCACTGTGACATCCTTCAGATTCCCATTTCAGGACTTATGCACCCACCATCCACCCAGGGCTGCAGGGAGTTCCTGGCTTCTCACAGCTCTTCCCCACCAGAAACTGCCATGCAGTACAGAGAATAGCTTTGCTCAAAGAATTGCCCATTTCAAAATGTGTTTCATGGGCAGTGACTCCCTGATTGCCTTAATCTGAAAGTCATGCTTTAATTTAAGACCCTGAATATCAAATTGAAGTGCCTTCTAGCTGAACGCTCAATTGTAAAACATTCCCAGTCACACACTCCACACTTCTTTCCTGAGAATGTATCCTGAAACCCTACTGCATGGAATCCTCCCTCTCAGAGTAGGATTGCAGGGAACTCAAAAATTAAAAACAAACAAACAAAAAACAGTCTAGAGGGAAAAGTATTGAAGAGGAGAGAGAGAGTTGCACAAGGAGACAACTCTGAAGTCTGCAAATATTCATGCACTGAAGAGCGCTTGTGTGTACAGAAACTCCCTCTGAAAGAGAAAGACCCTTGAGGGAACACTCCAAAGAGCGCGCGCGCACGCGCGCGCACACACACACACACACACACACACACACATTCCAGTCACAGAGGAAAGGCCTGAGTTATGGGGCATGAGGTGGACTCATCAGAAGAGCTTCGGCTCAGTATTGAGGAAAATGTCGCCCTAGACATAGGGCTACTCTGCTCTCAACTAAGAAAGTGTAGAAGCAAACTGAGAAAAGTTAAGACAGTTTCCAAGTAACTTTACTGAATCCAAAAATAAAAGACGAAAATAGAGAAGAAAATGCAAAAGAATTATAAACTCAACAAAGAAAACTTCACAATGATTGGCATTCAATCAACATTTCCTGCAAGGAAAAAAGAAAATATATGCTCTAACACAGAGAAAAATGAATCAATCCAAAGTGGCAATAAAATTGTATACGTGATAGATAGACCTTGTATGCAAAAATTTTGGAGCAATTCTTATAACTCTTCTCCTTGCTCATGAGGATAGAGGATTGATTGAAGGTGTTAAGTGAAGAAATGGAAGGCATGAAGAAAAATCCAAGTTTAACTTTTAGAAATGGTCTCTAAATATCTGCATTGAAAAAATGCACTGAATGAGAATGATTGCAGGTTAGGTGCTGTGAAAGAATAGTTGAGTGAACTTGAAGACATGGCAATGGAAGCTATTCAAGATGAAGTACAAAAAAAGTGAAGAGAGCACCAGTGAATTTCAGGACATCTTCAAGCTGACTTACTTGGTATAATTAAAGGCATGAAAGGAGATAACATTGGTGAGGGGAGAGGAAAGGTAGAAAAGCCGTTTAAAGGAATCATGGCCAAAATTTCCCAAATTTGTTGAAAGCTAGAAACCTACAACTCCAAAAATCTTAACAAGTTACACACACACACACACACGCAAGTAATACAACACCAATACTCATCATAATGATATTGCTAAAAAACTATGATAAAGACATACTTTTAAAAGTAGCCATAGAGTAAAGACATGGTAGGTACAGGCGAACAACATAAGAAGAAGAACAGATTTCGTTTTCTTTGTAAAATTTTCTTCAACATCTGGGGGAACATAGTAGATATATGTATTTGTGGAATACATGAGATATTTTGATACAGGCATGCAATGTGAAACAGTAACATCATGGAGAATTGGGTATCCATCCCCTCAAGCATTTATCCTTTGTGTTACAAACTACTCAATTACAGTATTTTAGGTATTTTAAATTGTACAATTAAGTTGTTATCGATGTGCTATCAAATAGTATTGACATAACTCTGATGCGCTATCAAATAGTAGGTCTTATTCATTCTTTCTATTTTATTTACCCATTAAGCATCCACAAATAAGAGCAGATTTCTTCTTAGAAGTCATGCGAGCAGGAAGCTCGCATGTGGAGCTATATTTATAAAATATTAAAAGAAAAAACTTACTACCCAAACCCATCTCCAGACCATGAATTTCTCTCTGGATATCTTATTAAAATATTGTCTCCTATCAAATCTCTATCAAAATACCAATGACATTCACAGAAGCAGAAAAAAAATTCTGTAACTGGTATGGAACCACAAAAGCCCCTGAATAGCCAAGCAATACCAAACAAAAAACCCCAAGATGAATATATCACATTATCTGAATCAAAATATACTACAAATTATGGTAACCAAAACAGGATCAATGGTATTGGCATAAAATCAGACATTGAGACTAATAAAATTGTATAGAACACACCAAAATAAATTCATGTATTTACATCCAACTGATTTTCAGCATAAATTCCAAGAACATACATTGAGAAAAGGACGCACTTTTCAATAAATGGTGCTGAGAAAGTGGATACCCGTATACAGAAGAATGGAACTAGACCCTTGTCTCTCTCCGTATACAACAATCAACTCAAAATCTATTAAAAACCCCAAGTATAAGACCCAAAACTATAAAACAACTAGGAGGGAACGTAGAGGACATAGGGAAAGTTCTTCAGGACATTGGTCTAGACAAAAATTCCATAGCTAAGACTTCAAAAACACAGGCAACAACAAAAACTAGACATATGGGACTTCATTAAACTAAAAATCTTCTGAAAAGCAAAGGAAACAATCAACAGAGTGAAGACAACTTGTAGAATGAGAGAAAATATTTGCAAACAATTCAACTCAAAAGGACCTAAGATCCAGTATAAGAAAATAAGACAAGGAGCTGAAATAACTCATCAGAATAGAAAACCAGTAATAGCATTAAAAAGTGTACAAATGATATGAATAGACTTTTCACAGTCAAAGACATACAAAAGGCCAATAGGTTAATTAAAAAATGCCCAATATCCCTAATCACCGGGGCATGCAAATCAAAACCTCCATGAGATATCATCTCATCCCAGCTAGGACAGCTATCATTAAGAAGACAAAAAAATAACAAATGCTGGTGACGATGTAGCAAAAATAGAAGACAAAACCACATGGTCATCTCAGCAGTCACATCAAATGTTTTCATGTAAGGAAACATTACCATTTGCTGTTTTTCTAGTCTTGCTAGAGCACCATAAAAGATAAGACTAGTGGTGCCAATACTGTAGAAAATGTTATTACATGCAGAGAATCTCACTATCCCATACCAAACTACATGGATTCTTACTGTTAAATGCTAAAAGATTACAACTCTGCATTTCCAAATGTTCTGGTGGTCAGAGACCACTTCCTTGACAAGTGATGAGTACGGTGATGTGAAAGGATAGTTAGCATTTACGCAGGTATTGGGTGAAGAATAGTGATATACACAGGAAAGCTTTCAAAGAGAGAAACACATGGAGGTTGGAACACAGAAGAGAACATAATATGTCTGAGAAATAAAGAAAGTCCAGACTCACTGGAGCTGAGTGAGAACAAGAAAAACGGCATGAACCATGTATTTCACTCTGGATATCTCATTAAAATATTGTCTCCTCCCCAACACACCACCGATGTGAATTGTAAAAATGCCCGTTCTTAAATTATTTTTTGCACATCATGACAGGGTCAAGCATGTGAATCAAGCTGAGTTTGATGAGTCCAGGTCTGTCTGATGAGTCCAGACCCAGGTGGCCTCAGAAGGACTTGGTGGAACGAGGGCTTGTTGTCAAAAGTAGAGGAAGTGAGATTTTCCATTGTGGCTTAGACAAGAGATTCTTAAATTTCAGTGGACACACAAGGCCCCTGAGGGGTCTCGGTAAGATGTAGATGCAGCCTCAGCAGTTCTGGATGTGGCCCCAAATTCTCTGTGTCCAGCAACTCCCAGGTGAGGCTGCTGCTGCTGGTCCTCCCAGGACCACACTTTGAATGGCTTAGCTCTTATTCACCCACCTCACTCAAGCCACAGGTAAGACTCACACAAGGAGAGCATATTCTAGAAGCACAGGTCACTTCTCACTCCTCCCCTTGTGTCTTAGATCCTTTTCTGTTACAACAAAGAAGTACCCAAGGCTGGGTAATTTATAGAGAAAATAAAAGGTTTATTTGGCTCACAATTCCAATGGCCACAGAGTTCAAGATATGGCATCTGCTCTTGTTGAAGACCTCAGGCTGCTTCTAGTCATGGTGAAAGGTGAAGGGGAGCCAGTGTAGGCAGAGGTCAATGGGGGAGAGGAAGCAAGAGAGAAGAGGAAGATGCCAGGCTCTTTTAAATAACCAGCTCTTTCGGAAACAGTGGGAATTCACTCACCCCAAGTGAGGACATTAATCTATTCATGAGAGATCCACTCCCATCACCCTAAAAGCTCCCATTAGTTCCCACCTCCAACACTGGGGATCCAATTTCAACATGAGATTTGGAGGCGACAAAGATCAAAGCCATAGCACCCTGAGGTTTGGCCACGCACTTGCTCATCTCCACATTTGTCCCTCCCCTCATGACTGGGGTCCTGACCACTCTGACTCAGTCTCCCTCCACTTCATGGACACCTGGCAGTCGGTCATCATCTGTTTTGCTGAATCAACAGCAGTATTGGGGGTATTCAACATTCCACATTTGTATTGTTTGAAAATTGCCCAATCTTAGGTGTTTTGTTATTGCTACACAAACAGACTAAGACATTTACTATTTAATGGTTACATTTCATTCTCTTTTTATGAAATTTTGTTGCTAACAGGGACTTTCTGCTTGGTCAGAAGATTAACAATTGTGTCTCCTGGTTCCACCAGAAACAGAGTAGAGACCCACACAGCTGAGGTATGGGGTCATAGATTAAAACTAAGAGACATAAGATTGATTCTCAGGCTCCAAGTCTGGCAAGTGAGCTTCTTTGAGACTCCCTGGGATCTCAGCAGTCAGACTGATCATTATTGCTGTCCCAAACATCCTATGTGATATGGAAGTAATATCAAAACCCTCCTGAGATTCCTGACTTGTGTCCCGACATGAAGTCTGTTGGGATTCCTGTCATTCCTTCAAGATTGTTCAAATAAGCAGCAACAATCACTCTCATATGAGATATGAAAAGAAGAATTCCACATGAACCAAACCCTGAAGCCCACACTGAAGTCTGCCAAGTTATCTGCAGTCCAGCGCGATGGAGGGAGCATTTTCGTGGGGACTTTTGAGAGTATGGAGAAGGCCTGAGGAAACGAGGCTCAGCTATGGGTTCCAGAAACAAAGCTCTGGGATGTCTCCCCATGGCCTCGACCTCTCACGTGCTACCTCTCCTCACTCTTTGCACAGATGCTGCCCCAGGCTAAGCCCCCACAGGACCCTAATCCTAGTCCTGACCCTGAGCTCAGCCCAGGTGATATTTCAGGAGATGGGACCCTGAGAATGAGCCCTAAAGTCTCCTTATCCTGCAGCCCCTGTGGTCTCTTAGACTCAGCTACCCCCAGTAGAGTTGGCCATGAGACACCTGTCCCCCACCTGCTCAGGAGAGAGTGCAGCAGGCAACAGTGCAGAGAGAACCAGCAGGAGCCAGGCCAGGCGCTGCATTCAGAGCAGCCCCCAATCCAACAGATTCTCCAGCTCTAGCCTGGGGTACAGCCCCCACCTTCTGCGGGCTGAAGTGGGCTTCTCAGGATGGGCAGGCCATGATGGGGATTGGCAGTGTGTCCATGGGACACAGCCCTACTGCCTGCCTGGCCCTCATGCCCCCTCCCTCCCCATCCTGGTTAAGCACCACCCCAACGGGCCCAGTTTCAGAACTCAGGACACCTGGGCCAGCTCCTGGACTTGCCCCCACTGCTCTCTGTTCTCCTGAGCCACTTAGTCTCTTTTGGCCTCAGTGTTACCTGCTGTGAAGTGAGGAGCCTTATACTGAACTGAGGAAGCTCTTTCTTCATTCAAAATTAAAAGACAGAAAAACAACGAAAGTCATGCGAATTAAAGCCTGATGAGGGGATGTCACTTAATGGGCTTCAATGGGCTTCAGACAAAACTTCTTGTCTTTCCTCTGCAGGGATTCCAAGAAAGGGACTCAAAAAGAGCTTGCTTTCTGTATGGTGGGAAGAGCAGTCCCCAGCTGAGAATAAGCAGGAGAGTCCCAGTTTAATCAGGAAGACAGACTAGGGTAGTGTAGAAATCCTCTCAGCACAAACTCTGAGAAGTATGGAATGAAATAAAGACAAACAAGAAATTAATGGTGCCGACGGTGGTGATGTTAGCTCACAGCTAAGCTGCAGAACCAGAAACATGCGGTGATGGGCTGAGTCTCCTCCACCAGCTGGGGGCAGCAGAGCTGCAGCCAGGAGCTTTCAGGAGAGAGGCTGGGGCTGCCCAGCTGGGGCAAAGAGAAGGCCAGCCTGGGGTTCAACAGGTGTCCAAGAATCTGTCTTCAGACTGAAAGTGAGTGCAGTTCATCCTATCCCCTCAGGCTTCAGTGACCACGCTCTGAGGGTCAGACACACGGTGTCACCCCAGGACACTGACAGAAGCCTGGCACAGTGAAGGCCTCACCAGGGAAATGCAGCTGGAGGAGGCTGGGCCCAGATGTGAGCTTGGGCAGCTTCCTCAGGAAGGGGAATCCCTGGGAGGCGTCCCAAGGTCGAGGTGCTCTAGGAGGGGGTATAGTGTGAGGTGATGGGGCTCCCAGGGCCCGGGTTCTTCACCCAGGATGGCGGCCTGAGCCTCCTGCCACTCTCAGGGTGTCATCCCTCCTGGTCCAGCAGTGTCCTGGGGAGCTGAGCCCTCTGTCCTGGGCACTTCCAGATACACCCGACCCCTCCTCCCTCTGCCTTTCCTTCCAGCTCCAGGCGGACTCTGACTCAGGGGGCAGCTCCTGTACTCAGGGGAGTCTCGGGTGGGTGTGGTGGGGCATTTGGGACCCTGGCCCTGGATGGGCATCCCCAGCCTCCTTCAGGAGACACTCTTCAGAGGGACAGGGCTTCTCACCTGCCTCAGGCCACAGCTCTGACCATGGTGCTGTCCACGCTCAGTGACAGGACACTGAGCAGGGGCCTGGCTGGAGTAACCAGGGACCACCCAATCTCTGGAGCTCACATGCTGTGCAGAGACCATGACCCTGGGACCCTTACAGAGACCATGGACCTAACGTTAGATTCTCAGTCCAGTGTGGTTTTCTGCTGCTTTTTGCAAGTTTACATAAAATATTGATGAGAAAAACATGAATAAATAACAGACAAGTTGACGGTGCTGATTGCTAATCTCTTGTGGCAATGAGGGGTGATGTAGCAGGAGCAGCACCACGACTGAAATGAGACCAGATGCCATGTTGACTCCACAGGGGTGTGTGGTTGCTTAAATGACCCAAATATTCCCACTGAATAATCAGCAAGTGTCCTAATGACACAGCACAGCATTTAGATGAAATGAACAAGAGGGGACTGAGTCTGAGGGACCAGGAGGAGGAAGATCATGGGTCCCTGGGCCACCTGCTGCTGAGTCAGGTGTCATCATGATCTCTCCACAGAGCCCAGCTCAGCCCCATGGCCAACCTCCTGGAAGGTCCACAGCTCTGCTGAGCCTGGCCCAGGACAGACCCCAGGTCAGCGAGGTTTGGGACAGTGGTCATGAGGTTAATTCCCACAAAGGTCTATGATCACAGGGCTTGAAGGCTGCAGCTGATTTTCTAACCAGAGACCCTGCTTGTTCCTCCTGTTGCCTGTGCTGCCCTCACAGCTGGTTTGAGAGACATCTCTCCAGGAAGAGCCACAGAGGATGTAAATTTGCATAAACGCTTAACACTGACTGCCCCCGAAAGCCTGAGAGGGAATAAGAGAGGCCTGCGGAGCCCAACTGTTCTGTGGGTCCAGGAGGCACAGCTCTGGGAATCTCACCATGGCCTGGATCCCTCTCCTGCTCCCCCTCCTCACTCTCTGCACAGGTGCTGACCCCAGGCCCTTCCCCAGGCTCAGTCCCCACAGATTCCAAGTTGAGCCTGACCTGAATCCTGAGCAAAGCCCAGACACAGCCTCTGGGTGGGACTCCTGGAAATGGGTCCTTTGTCTTCAAGCCCCCTCTCTTGTTCTTCCTTGCAGGCTCTGAGGCCTCCTATGAGCTGACACAGCCACCCTCGGTGTCAGTGTCCCTAGGACAGATGGCCAGGATCACCTGCTCTGGAGAAGCATTGCCAAAAAAATATGCTTATTGGTACCAGCAGAAGCCAGGCCAGTTCCCTGTGCTGGTGATATATAAAGACAGCGAGAGGCCCTCAGGGATCCCTGAGCGATTCTCTGGCTCCAGCTCAGGGACAATAGTCACATTGACCATCAGTGGAGTCCAGGCAGAAGACGAGGCTGACTATTACTGTCTATCAGCAGACAGCAGTGGTACTTATCCCACAGTGACACAAGGAGACAGGGAAGTGAAACATAAACCCCTCCCCCTCTATTTCATCCCCTTCCTTCTGCCCCAGGAGGACTGTGGACAAAGCCATGAGCAGGCTTGGCCAAATTCACCCAAATTTGAACCCCCAGGCTGCCCTTCCCTCCAGCCCTCCAGGCAGGCGCTGCAAAGGAGTCAGTCTGCAGTGGATTTGTGCCTGGCAGGCCTGGCAGTCCTGTGTTTCTTTGCCTGGGGTTTGAGTTGTTGATGGAGGGTCTGACTGGAAAGACAGACACAGGGAGACATCCATGCAGGCATGTCCAGAGGGATGTGGGGAACTCTCAGGTCTCAGTTCAGTGCAGTCATTGTTGTATCCTCTGGGAAAGCATTCCTCCAGTGCACCTAAGACCTCTAGACCCACAGAGCCTGAGGTCGGGATGAGAGAATGTCAAATTTTTGCTGATGGATCACTAAAGGCATTTTTGAGTGGAGCCACTACAATTTACTCCTTGATTCTGGACTCGTGGATCCTGACTGTGGGAGAAACAGCACCATCTATTGGGCACTGATGCACAGCACATGCCCCATCCTGGAAGACATTGCCCAACCCTACACATACTTGCCACTTGCCTGGTGCAGTAATGGAGTCTCCATGCAGTCATTAAACCATTCATATAAGCCACATGTCTCAGAATGTTGGGGACAAGAGTAAGAATCTTGAATGCCAGGAGAAAAGGCCCATAGCCCTTTATTTGCGGTGAAACGAGTTCCTTGGTCAGAACCTCCTGTGGAATACCATCGTGATGGGTGCATCATTCTGTAATCCAGAGATAACAGTTTTGGCAGAAGCATTGCTGTCAATGAAAGCAAATCCTCTGTACATGCCAATGCTAGTAAGGAAAAAGAGCTGTCTCTCCCATGATGGAAGAGCTCTAATGAAATTAATATCAAGCAGGCCCCTGGCTGTTTTCCACAGAGAAGGTCATCCTATAGGGATGCCTGTGTTGGTCTCTGCTGTTGACAGATTGTCACCCAGCAGTGGCTTCAGCCAGGCCAGCTCCAGTTAGTGGAAATTCACATTGATGAGCCCATTATCAGCCTCTATCCCTGCCACCATGGCCACATTTTTTTGGAGTCTGTTGGACAATGACAGGAGTGGTTGACGGAGGCTGCCTGGTGTCCATAGAACAGGTCACCCTACTCACCTGATTAGCAAAATCACTTCATTTTCACAGAAGACTTAGTGAGTATTTATATATGGAAAAAAATTCTCATGCTTTTTGCCCACTGGAGGAGGTCTACTCACACATCTCTCCCCCTGACATATTTGTGATCAGTATTCCTGTTGTATCTCTCCCAAGTTCCTGAACATCCTTGACCATATTCCAGGACCCTGAGTCACAGCCCATGAATTAGGAACCTCTGCCCATCTCTTTGCAGGTGACATGAGCCAATTACACTGCTTAAAATTCTGCTTTAAGGAGAATGTTCTTCCACCACTGCTGTTCAGGGATTCTCAGAGGCCAGGTGGAGTACTAGCACCGTTCACACCAGTGGTGGATGCATGTCCTGCAGAAACATCTGTAACCCCAGCCTAATTGCCTCCTACTAGGCAGCTGATCTCAGGGAGCCACTCTGGAGGCCAAGGCTGTAGGGTGAGAGGAAGGCATGGTGCAGGGCTTGGGTCATGTCTGTTTGGCCAACTCTTCACGCAACTTACTTGGCCCTCGTAACCTAATCCCTCAAGTCACAAATACATCCCTGCCGTGTGATTGGGGAGCTGCCTAAAATGGCCACCCGGGACTGTGTTTCAGACGAAATCCAGCATATCAGCAACTTGAGTCTCGTGGTGAGCTCTGTGGCCACAATCACACAGAGCCTCTGCCAAGGCTCAGGAGCCCTCGCAGTCTTTCTCAAATGGTGTTTTCTGCTCATTCAAAACAAAATAAGTAGGGGGGGGGGCTGCTCACGTGCTTCCAGTCTGGGACACTAGGACCACCTAAACCACACCCACGATCTTGTCTGATTATTTTGATTCCTTGTTGGCTCAGTTATGCATTATGGCAACCAAACCACAGTGTCATTGGCCATAAAATGCCAATCCTTGGTCCCCACCTACCCTGGGATCCCCTCAACCACATCTTGCTACCCAGTTAAGGTTTCAGCAACACTGAGAAAAATGTATTTTTATATTGAGAGAGGAAACATTCTTTCAATTGTGAAAAATTTATAAGGCAGGAATGTGAAAATATTTTAAAAGACATTTTACAAAGGGTGAAAGACCCTCCATTAAACCACTCAATATATGACACTGTAATTGGCCTCCCAAACCCTGACTTCAGCTCTGGGTTGGGACCTTCTGTAAAGGGGCCTTTCATCCTCAAGCCCTCCTCTCCTCTCCTCTCCTCTCCTCTCCTCTCCTCTCCTCTCCTCTCCTCTCCTCTGCTCTCCTCTCCTCTCAGCCTGTGCCTCCTACATACAGAGACAGCTGCTCTCAGTCTTGGTGGCCCTGAGACTGACAACCATGATCACATGCTCTGGAGATAAACTCAGGATAAACATACACTTAGGAACCAGCAGATGCCAGGCCAGGCCTCGGTGCTTGTAATCTGGTATAACAGCAAGTGACCCTCAGGGACCTCTGCCCAATTCTTAGGCTCCAAATCAAGGAACATGGCCACCATGACCATTAGTGGGGCCCAGGCCCGCGACAAGGCTGACTATTACTATACTGCAGATAATAACAGTGGGAGCAGCTGGCAGGGACTCATAGTAACACAGAGAGATAGGGACTAGCCACAGTACTGTCCCACCTCGGCCTGCCTCTCATTCTCACCTGCCCTCTGAGCAGCTATAGGTCAGGCCTCAGGGTCAGGTGTCCTCTCTGGTCTTAACCTGGCCCCTGAGGGGCTGGAGGTTCTGAGCAGCTTCTCCATCCTCTCAGGGCCTGCATGTGTCCAATGAGAAGTGGACAGGGTGAAGGTGGTCAGAGCTGCCAGGACCTTTGTCAGGTTTGTGGTGTACATGAACAGTTTAGGAATCCACACAAAAGCACATGGTCCCAGTTGTAATCATACGTCATGCAGGGGAGGAGAGAGCTGTCGCAGAGGGCACAGTCCTGCAGAATTTCTCCTTTCCTTGGGTAAAACCAGCTCAGTGGAAGCCCCAGGGGCTGTGTCTCCTCTGGTTTCCAGATGAGTTGACCCCCACATTCTAATAGGTTGCCTGATGCCTGACAAGGACTGGAGACCCAGCCCCTTTTGGCCTCAGGGCCCTTTCTGTACTGATATTTCTCAGAAACTGAAGAGGAAGCACAGACACTACCTTTGGTCCCACCTGGGAACTGTGTTTGGGGCACACTGACCTCCCATGGCCCCCAAAGTCCCATCACCTTCCCCAGGTAGGTCAGTCCTGACTGGATGTGCCCCCAGCGCCCTGATAGTTTGGAGTTTATCTTTGGGCTCTGGGCTGCTTTCTGAGGAGCTCACTAAGAAACCCTTGATGCCAGGCCCAGGACCTGCGCCTCTGCTGCATGTCCCAGGGCTGCAGGTGTGAAGGGAGGGTCCTGCTGGGTGAGGGTGATGCCCTTTTCCAGGAGAGATGTCTGATTCCAGTCTCTAGGGCCACATTTATTGGGCTTTCTTTTCTCACTAGGATGTCTCAGTCTTTTTATTTCCTTCTTTAAAAGTACAACTGGTTTAGGGTGACCTGCTCGGGTCCCCTTCCACATTGTAGAAGCTTTGTTATTTCACTCTTCACAAAAAATCTCGCTGCTGCTCACTCTTTGGGTCCATGCCACCTTAAAAAAAAAGTACAACTGGTTTAATCATGAAATCATGTGTACACACTGAAGTTTACAGATTATTGCCATCAGCATATATATATATATATATATATATATATATATATATACTGTTTCTGGTTGGGACAACTGTGGACAAGGCCATACTGGGGTCTCTGTCTCTCTCGTTATCACAAGTGAGGATACTAACAGCTCTCTTTTATGCAGACTGTGGTCATGTTTCCCAGTTGCACACGAATGTCTCTTATGGTTGTTTAGTTTCCTTACCAGCCAAGACCCTTAAGTTTTCATGCAGACAATTGGATGTTATTTCTCTCTGACCCAACATTTTTCAAACAGTATTCCTTGGAACCCAACAAAAGTTCCACAAGAAAAGCTCAAGTCTCTGGTGCACAGTTGGACCAGGTTCATTGTGTGCAGTAGGACCTTGCTCAAGTGATGGGTCCATTTGATATTTTCACTATCAAGGGGAAGGGTGTTACGACTTTTGGGCACTGAGTTGATAGAGGGAAGATAGCAGCTGATGATGGCCCTACCCACCAATGTGTGTGTGGGCAGTACCTATTGATGGATTTAGAAGTTGAGGGAACTGTTTATTCTGCAGATGGAATTTCCAGTACTGAATCTCCAGCACCCAGCCACTAGCATTCAGCAGGTGCTCTGTAAGAAGACCTTCACTGCCAATCACAGCCATTACACAGGTGAAGGAGAGGATGACTTTTAACAGCCACTGACTCACAGTAAACTGAGGTAGAAATTCAGCTTCACAAAGTGACTTTGAGGGAACAGACTGAGGAAGCAGGTTAATTATTCGCTGAAGGCTTTGCCCAGAGCAGGAACAATACAGGGTTGATGAGGACGTAGGGATGCCCTGGTGTGGAAGGAACAAGGCCTGAACCAGGAGCAGGAAGAAGCATGGGAAAGACCACGCTGCCACATGTGATGAGTCAGCACATGGAAGGCACAGCAAATGTTGCGCAAAGGTTTTTGTGTAATAACCTGGCAAACAGCTGCTTCTCTATCCAGATTCATGAGCCAAAAAATGTTACTGATGCATTGCTGTCACATGTTAAAATGCTGGGAAGCATGGTGACATTCAAGGAAACCTGTTCTCTGCAAACACCTACCCACCGGCACAGGAGACACCCCAGCTATGCCAAGGGCTTTGTCTTCCTCTGGAGTAAGAGCCTGGGAACAATCAGGTGGCCCCTGAAAGGGGTGCCGCGTCTTCTGCTCTGCATGGCTGAGTTAATTGGGGAACTCCCAGAGAACATTCCAGAAAACAGTCAACCTGTCTGTGCTGGGTGCATTGAGCATGACCCAGGATCAATGGAAGAGACAGAAGCTTAATTTCCTTATGGCTGCAAGGTGAGCACTGGGAGGACGGCTGAGGCAGGTTAGCCACCGCCCCTGAGTGGCTTCAGCCCCAGGCAAACAGGGACAGGTGAAGGGCCTATCTGAGCGCACCTGTATCTAACCAGTCCCAGCATCAGCAACTGCATCCTGTGGACCACGAGGGGGTGTGTGTGCCCAGCCCCTCACAGATCACCTGAGCATAAACAGGAAATTCTCCACCTTACACCCGACTGCACAACACATCTGCCTCCAGCTCTTCATTTACAAGGTGATATCACATCAGACAGGGACTGATCTGGGTCCCAGATCCCTCAGGTTTCCGCTATCCTTTCCAGTCCCCACACAGAGCAGACTCTTCACTGCAGGGTGTTGAGCCAGCTCTTCCCCTCACAATGCCTGTTACAGGTTTACAAGTTACTGTTCTCCAATATGATTGGGGTTTGTTTCACTGTTTCTCTATATATATATATTTGCATTTTCTTGGGTAAGCTGAGCCCCTTGTACCTGGTCTTGAGTCAGGCAGGGGCCACACAGAGAAGAGGACTTCCTCCCCTGGCACCAGCCGTCCACAGATCAGGGCATCAAGGACCTGAGCAGCAGGTTCTGAATCCACACCTAGACCCCGGAAGTCCCTGAGCTCCCAGCCGACAGTGTGGAGCAGCCACCAGGGGGAAGCAGAGAATCAACTGGCAAAGCGACCTGGGGATGGGGCAGGCCTGGGTGATAGGGAGATGCTGACATGCAGTAAGAGCCAGTGACCACCACCTCAGATTTAGAGGGAAAGGGTCTTTATTGTCCTAGAGTATTGTCCTTGACACTGATGTAAAAATTCTAGAATCACATTTTGTCTTCAGCTCTTTTGCATGCTGACTCTTTGTCTGACACAGATCCAGGCACTTGACTTCTCACAACGCCCCCTCCTCCACACCCAGTTGTGCTAAAACTGCATCCCCCTCATGTGCAGTGTCCTCTCTGAGGTCACAGGTATCCCCCTACTCCCATTTGATCTGGGAACCCCTGTCCTGCAGACATAGTGGCTGGCTTCTAACTTCCTAGCTGCCCCTCCACATCCACCGTCCCTGGTCTTTCCCGACTCTCTCCTGGGGAAGCTGCCAAATCACAGCTCTTGATTTCCTGGTGAGTCACAAAATAGTTGCTCATTAACCTTTAGTTGACTTAAGTTCTTATCCATTGATACATTTTCCCCAGCAACTGGAGACATCATATTTATAATAAACATTCACTTCTGGGGATCTTGGAGTTTGCAGCCCCCTCTCATTCTCTCATGGAGCAAACATTTCCTTCACCTCCTCATCTGTCCCTGGTCCTGACAGCATCCTGGAGATACTGAGGCACAGCAGCAATGACCTACCTAGAAGCTCACAGCCAAGGCAGAAACTTCCAGCATCTCATGGATCTTCCAACACTCTGTGCGCACTTGGCAAATAAGGAATTTCATTGACCTCTATCACTCAGAGGTTGTGGGCTGTGGTGGGACCCGCACCTGTCCAAGGTGTGCATTATCACCTGTACAGTGGAGACGAAGAGGGAACTTGCATTGGGTTCTGGAAAGTACTGTCTAAAAATAGATTTAGACCTACACCAGAAATGTCCTCTCTAACATAAAATATTTATGATAGGACACATTAGAGGCCTAGACCAAAATGAAATACCTCCCTCCAGAGCCAAGATAGAATGGAGGAGGGGACTGGGGACCCCAGATAATTCCACAGTTACCAGCATGACTCTATGGTCACCTCCCAGACCAGGTCAAAACCCATCCCATAGGAGGGACTTCATATTCCTTTGTAAATACAGACAAAGTCACCTCTGAGCTCTGCTGTGACCAAGGGAGCCCAGGAGTGAGGCTGAGCACAGTGTGATGTGGGGATGTGTGCAGAGAATATGGAATCAATTCATAAAGGAGATCCTGTGGGCAAAGGGTGGGAGGGCAAGGTCACCCCTAACCTCTTTGGGTCCCTTGGGGCTGTGCCCTTCTCGAAATCACAAGGCTCCTCCAGCAGCAGCCCCTGACTCTGCTGATTGGCATCATGGACCCTTCTCTCCAACAAGGGGTTGAGAGACCTGGGAGGAGCCTGCCCAGCCTCAGACTTGAGAAGCAGCATTGGAGGCACTTCAGCCATGGCCTGGCCCCTCTTTTCCTTGGTCTCCTGACTCACTGCACAGGTGCTGCCCCCAGGGTCTCACCCACCTGCCCAGCCCCAGGCCTCCAGGTTCAGCCTGGCCGTCAGTCTGAGCTCAGCAGGGCCCTGTGTGTGGTGGGCAGGATGCTCGTGACCCTGCTGCAGGGGGAGGGGCTGGTTGGGGTGAAATGCCCCCACTCTGTGCTCCTGTGCTCATAGGTGCCCTGAGAGCTCTTTTATTCCTGGGGCTCACTCCAGCCCTGGCAAGTAGCCAGATATCCTTGGGTTGAGACCCTCAGTTTCAAGTTTTTTCTGTCCCCTTTTCTTTCCTTGTAGGCTCTGTCACCTATGAGCTGACACAGTCACCCTCAGCGTCAGTGGCCCCAGGACAGATGACCAGGATCACCTGTGGGGAAAGCAGTATTGGAAGTAAAAGTGCTCAATGGTACCAGCAGAAGCCAGCCAGGCCCGTGTGTGGGTCATCTATGGGGATAGCGGGCGGCCTTCAGGGATCTCTGAGAGATTCTCTGGCTCCAACTTGGGGAACGTGGCCACCCTGACCATCAACAGGACCCAGGGTGGGGACAAGGCTATTACTGTAAGATGTGGGACATTAGCACTCCTCATCCCACAGTGACACAGGGAGATGAAGGAGCAAAACACAAAAACCTCTTCCATTGGTGTCACTCTTGTCCTCCAGCCCAGGAAGACAGTGGACAAAGCCATGAGTGTGTGTTGCCCAGTTAACCTGGATGTGAGACCCCCAGGCTGCCCTTTCCACAGGCCCTCCAGGCAGGCTCTGCAGAGGGGGCATCAAGAGTGAATTTAGGGCTGAGATGACCAGGATATATTGAGGTGTGGAGGAATCAGTTGTGATTTGGGGAAGTGGGGCCTGGTTGGAAGATCAGACCAAGGTCGACATGCTTAGTTGGGCTCTGGATTTCCATAGGGGGTGAAGGCTAGTCCTTGGGCTGAATATCCTGAGTCAGTTTCCAGAACTGCCCAGCTCACGTTCCCGTGGCATCCTGCCATTCTCTTCAGGAAAACCAGTGGAGTGGACACTGTGGGATCCACCCATATTCCCTCTTCTGAGCTCACCCACCCAGCACTGCTGGTAGCTCTGGCAGCTCAGAGCTGTGCCCTCACTGAGAAGGGCTGTCAGCAGAGAAAACTGTCTCCTCCAGGTTTATGCCCCTTCTTAGCAAGGTGTGGTTTCATAACTGCCTGAGGTGAAGCTCTCAAGACTCCCTTTCAATATGGGAGAAACAGAAAATCCTCCCAGCTTCACAGCTCCTTATTGGGATGGTAGAAGACTCAATGTGGGTCAGAGTGTCCTTGTGCCCGGTGTTGCCTCCCTCACTTAGTTTCACACCTACTGTGAAAGCAAAGCTCCATCTCAGAGTCTGCTTCCAGGCATCCCAAAATAACATAACCAGTCATCCCGAACGTGAGCCATCAGGAACCTCAGGAGGCCACAGTATACCAGAAAGCACCAGTTTATTCCTAATGATCATTGTGAGTTTGCAAATGCCCAATGAGATCTGAGTGTTTCTTGCATTTGTATGGAATGAAAAGGGCCCTGGCATGCCAGGCACTGTGGGGTCTGAGGGAGAGTTGGAGTCAGATCTCCCTGCAGGGAAACCTGGGGCAGGAGGAGCAGCCTCATCCCATGCAGGGACCACAGATGCACCTGCAGGGTGAGCTGCAGGATGGACACTGCCCACCTCCACCCTCCACATTCTGTGCAAAAAATCATTCTTTCCACCCCTCCTTCAGCCTATCAAAGTTGACACTTAAAAAGCCACCACAGCCCACCCTTGTCAACAGGAAACCCATTCACATCTCCATCAGCCACACAATCTCCACATAAAGATTCTTCAAAAAATAATAACACTTGCCATGCAAAGTATATATATAAGATGTCTCAAATAATTGTACTTAGATTGCATATGAAAGTGATACTATTTTGATATGCTAGGTAAATAAAGTAAATTATTTAACTCATTTACTTCTTCCCTTTGTATTTTTAATGCGATGACTAGACATTCAGATTTCCATGAGGCTCACATCATATTGTGAATGAACAGTGCTGGTCTGCACCCCTTCAGGTTACAGTGGCTGAGGAGTGACCTGGTGCAGGAAGCCCCATCTCCATCCATAGGACATTGGTGTGAACCCAGGGAGAGGCGCTGGTGTAAGAGAGATGAGAACACAGGTGTGAACCACCTGCTTGTGCAGGGGACTGAGCCTTCACTTTGAGCCAAACAAGCTTCTTTTCCTATCTTCAATCCTGAGCAAGAGGACTTTCCGGACTTCTTTTTGTTTTCAGGTTTGTGCCCCTCCAGGCCTGAGGCTGTCTGGATCCCAGCCAGGGGACACAGAGGAAATCCAGAAGTCTCACACCGACCCTGTTGTATTTCATCTGCTGGGGCCATCCCAAACTGCTGCGTACCATTTCCTTTCCTGGTGCTCAAATAGCTGCTCTATGCACTTGTCATGGTTTCAGAGATGACTCTAGGTGGGAAGACAGGATAATGTATGTTATTATATTTAAAAGGAACTTAAATTCATTAATATTTATTTTAATATGAATCATTAAAAAAATTTGTCATAGGCAATGGGGAAGGAGGAAAAGATATTAAAATTATTTTGAGGAAAAAACCAAAATTGTATTTCTCGAATGTCTGAGTGTCTTCAGTGTCTCAGGGTTGACAGCGGTCAGCTTTAGGTTGTCCTGAGGATGTACTCCATTGGGGGAAAGCAAGAAAGCATGAAACACACATCTCTGTGACCTGACACATAAATCACAGTAAAATGGAAGTAAATCTTTTAATAAATCAAACACTCACAATAAATATCACTCTGGTGAACACAGAAATGCCTGTTAACAAACTTTCCCTTTCCCCTGCTGGCTCATATCCCCATGGATCACCTGTGTGCAGAGTGGACTCTGTGGTCCCCATTTCTCAGGCTGAGAACCAGAGGCTGGGAAGGACAAGTCACCTGCTTGTGAGTGGCAGGGGAAGGATTGGGAGCAGTGGACTCGGTCTCAGGACTGCGGCCCTCAGGACCAATGCCACCTAGCAGAGGTTTCCACGGGGCGGGCTGCCCCATTTCCTGACAGTAGGGACAACCTGGAGGTGGGTGCCAAGCAGAGGGCACTGCAGGGTGTGCCCAGGCCTGGAGGGTCACAGAGACACAGGCACCACACAGCAGAGACACTGAGGGCCAGAAGATCACTCAGGTAAGGGACTTCAGCAGATCTTTCTCCTGAGCAAATCAGGTACAAAAAAATTAAGATCCTGCCATCAGAATAGATAAACAAGGACTTTAATCTCAGCTGAGCTCCACTATCCAAGGAAGCAGAAGCCTCTGAGCCCAGGCCCAGGTGAGGGTGGGGTGAAGGGAGGAGCTCAAGGTGGAGATTTGCATGCAGGCCCCACCCTCCTCTTTGGCAGAGGAGATAAGACAGGGCTGGGGGCAGGCCCAGTGCTGGGGTCTCAGGAGGCAGCGCTCTCAGGACATCTCCACCATGGCCTGGGCTCTGCTGCTCCTCACCCTCCTCACTCAGGGCACAGGTGACGCCTCCAGGGAAGGGGCTTCAGGGACCTCTGGGCTGATCCTTGGTCTCCTGCTCCTCAGGCTCACCGGGGCCCAGCACTGACTCACTGGCATGTGTTTCTCCCTCTTTCCAGGGTCCTGGGCCCAGTCTGCCCTGACTCAGCCTGCCTCCGTGTCTGGGTCTCCTGGACAGTCGATCACCATCTCCTGCACTGGAACCAGCAGTGACGTTGGTGGTTATAACTATGTCTCCTGGTACCAACAGCACCCAGGCAAAGCCCCCAAACTCATGATTTATGAGGTCAGTAATCGGCCCTCAGGGGTTTCTAATCGCTTCTCTGGCTCCAAGTCTGGCAACACGGCCTCCCTGACCATCTCTGGGCTCCAGGCTGAGGACGAGGCTGATTATTACTGCAGCTCATATACAAGCAGCAGCACTCTCCACAGTGGTCCAAGTTCCTGGGGAACTGAGACCAAAACCTGCCCTGGGCTCTCAGGCCCCCTCCTTGCTCTGAAGATGCTTCCTCACCCAGTGCAAGCGGCTTCCTGCAGTGCGGCCTTGAGAATTCTTCTCTCTCAGCTCCTTCCCTTTCCACCATGAATTCCAAAAGGAAACCCGCTCTGTGGTTTCTCATCCAGGACAGGGACAGCTTCCTGATGCTTGTGTGCCGCGGTCCCTGAATGTGCAACTCTTGTTAGCTCTTCAAATGCAGGGACAGTGACAAGGAGCTTCCTGATTGATGCAGTCACTGCTTTTTTCAGGGATGTCTTCACCCTACATGCATCACCATCTCCCACACTGTGGGTAGAATTTTAGCAACTACATTCTGATGGTTATCGCCACAACTTTGATCTTAAATAACAATGCAGCGAACATCCCTGTGCAGCCTCCTTTGAGTTCCTGTGTGAATATGACCACAGGATTCATTTCTAAAAGTGAAATTGAGGGTCAGAAAGATGTGTGTGTGTAATTTTCACCCGTTGTTGTCAGATTCCCCTCCAGAGGGATTCTACCAATTTTCAATGCCAGCCGGAAGTACTTGTTCAGAGTACATTGTTGAAAGTGGAAGTTTTTGCCAACCTGTCAGACTCAAAAATGATACCTGTTATGGTTTTATTTTTGAGTCTCCTGTTCTGCTTAAGTTTGGGCCTTTTCAGAAATAGTTCAGTACTTTTTCTTTTTTAGGATTTGGGAAACTTTTTCTTAAATATCCAGATAAGAAGAATTTTAATCTTCGTGGCCGGACACCGTGGCTCACGCCTGTAATCCCAAGTGTGTTGGAAGGGTAGGATGGGTCAATTGCTTGCTCCCAGGAGTTGAGATTAGTCCGGGCCACACAGTGAACTCTCATCTCTATTAAATTAAAGAACATAAAAATAAATTTTAAAAGGAAGTATTTTAGTCTTTGTGGCTCAAGAATCAACTTTGGGGATATTCCATAGGTATGTATAGCATCATTTACAATGTAACCATTTAAAATGATAAAAGCCACTGTCAGCTCTAGGCCATACAAAAACAGGTGTCAGGCCAGGGATGGCCACAGGATGTGGTTGAACAGTCCCTGGTTTGTAGGGTTATCTGAGGGTTGAAAATTCCACCAGAATATGATCTAGGTGGGAATCTCTCTGTGAGGGTCACTGTATTTCACCTCCTGTATTAGCCTGAGGTCTTTCATTGGATAAGAACATGCTCACATCATCTATTTGATTGTATCATGGGTTTAAGACAACCCCGTGTCACAATCACATAACATTTATCTGCATTGCTTGCTCCGAGTTTTGGGAGAGCTTTAATTTATCAGGAATAGACTCCTCCTAAGGCAAAAGTCTGAGAGAGAGGGATGGGCATGTGGGCAAGATAGTTTGTACCAAAGCTGGAATATCCAGGGCAGGCTCAGAGAGAAGGTTACTAATATCAGCATTTGACTGCAGCCAAAAACAGAAGAGAACATGGAGGTTCTGAGAATGACAAATAAACAAATAGTTTAAGTTTTAAATGTATTGAATGTTTTTATAATCCATGAAAATTCTAGAACAGAATTTAACAATGGGATAAGGAAGAGAGCTTGAGATGTTAAAACTATAAAGACCCCAAGCCAAGCTGCCAGGAAAAGAACAGGATCTTTTTGGTGGAAATATGTTTCTGCTGCAAATTATTATTTTATGTGTGTGTGTGTGTGTGTGTGTGTGTGTGTGTGTGTGTGTGTGTGTAAGGAAACCTCCCATGGAACATCCTTCTTCCCTACAGTCAAGATCACCCTCACCCTACAAGGGAACCTAAACAAAATGTCAATATCAAATAGAAAAAAATAATGCACTTTGTATAACCATTAGAGAGTCTCTATTTGCACATCAAAATGTGGATGCTTAACGTTAACATTGGAAATAGTATTTTAATATGCATATGAGATGAATTTTCTTTAGACTATTTTTGTGAATTATCTTTCTTAATAAGGACATACTCTTCTCTTAGAACAATTTAACTTGTGATATTTTTTCTATTTTCTGTATCAGTTCTGTTTTTTCTAAACACTGGCAAAGATATCCTATGGCTACTGATTAATAAATTAGATTAATGTGTATTTAACTTAGGTAAGTTAGTTCAAGAGTGGACAGATGTGATTTCCCCACATATCCTATGGCTACTGATTAATAAATTCAATTAATGGGTATTTAACTTAGGTAAGTTAGTTCAAGAGTGGACAGATGTGATTTCCCCACATATCCTATGGCTACTGATTAATAAATTCAATTAATGGGTATTTAACTTAGGTAAGTTAGTTCAAGAGTGGACAGATGTGATTTCTCCACATATACCTCACAGATGTTGCTGGTGCTTACTCACTCTTCTCTTCTAATCTTAGCAAATAAAGTGGGAAATTTGACATTCCTAAACACCCAGATGACAACAGGAGAGAGGAGGTGAAGCCCCAAAGCTGTTATTCTTTAAATCCTCAGGATGAATCACCCTGGAGAATCACCCACACTTCAGTTGGATGATACGCAAATGAGAGTTTGGTCTTAGAGTGGTGCTGAGTTAGTTCAGGATTTGGGTCACTGGGATGGGGTGAATGTGTTTTACAAGTGAAAAATACATGAGTTTTGGGGTCTGCAGGGTAGAGAGTTCTTGGCTGAATTGTGTCCCCCAGATCTGGGTTGAGTGACATCCCACCAAGAGGAGTCCAGGAGAAGTAAATTTGTGTAAACACCAAACATGCACTGCCCCACTAGGCCTGAGAGGAAATAAGCGAGGCCTGGGAAGCCCACCTGTGCTTTGGGTTCAGGAGGCAGAGCTCTGGGTGTCTTACCATGGCCTGGACCCCCTCTCTGCCTCTCCTTCCTCACCCTCTACAAAGGTGATGCCCCCAACCCTGCCTTAGGCTCAGCCCTTACAGGATCCTGAGCTGGTCCTGCCCTGAACCCTGAGCTCAGCCTAGGCATAGCCTCAGGGTGACACCACTGGAAATGTGTTTGTTATCTTCAAGCCCCCTCTCCTTTCCTCTCCTGCAGGCTCTGTGGCCTCCTATGAGCTGACACAGCCACCCGCGGTGTCAGTGTCCCCAGGACAGACAGCCAGGATCAGCTGCTCTGGAGATGTACTGAGGGATAATTATGCTGACTGGTACCCGCAAAAGCCAGGCCAGGCCCCTGTGCTGGTGATATATAAAGATGGTGAGCGGCCCTCTGGAATCCCTGAGCGATTCTCTGGGTCCACCTCAGGGAACACAACCGCCCTGACCATTAGCAGGGTCCTGACCAAAGGCGGGGCTGACTATTACTGTTTTTCTGGTGATTAGAACAATCTCACAGTGACACAGGCAGATGGGGAAGTGAGACACAAATCCATTTTTCATCTGTCTCATCTTTTCCTCCAGCACCAGGATGACTGTGGGCCAAGCCATGAGCAGGTCTGGCCAAGTTCTACTGGATATGAGACCTCCAGGCCATCCTTTTGTTCAGCCCTACAGGTTGGTGCTGCAGAGGGTAGAGCAGGAGTGGATTTAGGGCTGCTATAATCAGAATTTTCTTGTGTTTTCAGGCCCCTGAAGTGACTTGGGGAAATAAGAACGGGATGGAAGATGAGAGAGATGTAGAGAACAATCACTTGGCCTTAGATTTCCATACGATGGTGATTGGGTCACTCCTTCCAAATATCTTACATCAGTCCCCAAAAATGCCCAGCTCAGCTCAACACCTGAGCTTCCAGGCTTCCATGGCAGCCTGGGATTTTGAACAGGAAAAGCAGAGGAACAGGAAAAGCACTGTGGCATCTGCCTAGATATGCTTTTCTGAGCTCACCCACCCTCAACTGCTGGGAGCTTCTAGAAGCTTAGAGCTGTGCCCTCACAGGAAAGTGCTATTGTTTCCAGAAAACTTCCTTTCTCATATTTAGGCTCAGTTTTGAGAGTTTTGGTTTGATGACTGCCTGAGCCAAGAACCCAAGGCCCCGCCTTAATACAGGATGACACTGAAAGGCCTTCCAGCTCCAGACCTCCCATTGTGGATGCCTGAGGCCTCAGTTGCAATCTTATGATGGGTCAGGGTCTCCTTCTGGTGGGTGATGCTTCTCTCACTCCTTTCAGATTCTCTGTGCATGAAAATGTTTATCTCAAAGTCTACTTTCAGGGAACCCAAACTAAGACGGCCAGCTGTCACCAAAATGAGCCACCATAGACCTGAGGTGGCCACTATACCCTGGAATGCATCAGCGAATTTCCTAAATTTCCACTGTGAGCATCCAAATGCCCAACGATTTCTGAGAGATCCTTGTATTCTTATAAAATGAAAAGGGATCCTGAAATGCCAGGTGCTCTGAGTCCTGAAGGAGAGGTGGAGGCAGATCTTCCTGCAAGGATTCCACGGAAAAGGGAGCAGCCTCACTCCATGCAGGGACCAGAGATGCTCCCACGGGGGCAGCTGTAGGATGGATGCTGCCCACCTCCATCCTGCACATCCTGCACAAACAATCACTCTTTCACCCCTCCTTCAGCTTATCAAAGTTGACACTTACGAAGCCAGCACAGCTCATCCTTGTCAGACTCCTTCAAACCTCCATCAACCACACAATCTCAACATAAAGAATCTCCCCAAAATAATAATAGTAACAAAATAATAATAATAATAAAATAATAGTAACAAAATAGTAATAGTAATAGTAATAGATTTTCAGGCACAGAAATAGTAATATAGTAGCTATGAAAACTTCTATAAAAATCTCATAAATAATTTTAGATTGTGTGCATGTGTAAATATTATTTTTCACACTTTGTGTTAAATAAAGTATATTATTGAACCTAGTTTACCTTTTTATTTTTTATGTCTACTATGGTGACTAGACAATAGGATTCACATGAGACTCACATCATGTTGTGATTGTACAATGCTGATCTGGTCTTACCCCTTCACATGACAGGTGCTTTGGAGTAACCTGCTTCAGCAAGCCCCATCTCCACCCATAGGACATATGTGTGAAGCCACGGAGAGGCACTGGTGGAAGAGAAATAAGAATATGGGTGTGGACCAGCTGTTTATGCAGGTGACTGAGTGCTGGAGCCCTGACCCTGCTCTAACCTAGATGTGTCACATCCATCTCACCAGAGACCACTCCTGGCCTGCCTGAGCTCACAACTGGGGGGAAATCGCATTTCTGGCAACATGGTCACTTGATGTCCAGTGTTATCCTGTCTCTCCCAGGGCCCAGTAAGACAAAAGAAGCTGTTTTTAGAAAGGGGAGTAACACTCTACTGCACATGACATGGCCTTCTTCCAAAAACCCAGGAGTCTACATTGGGATTCTCCAACGGGGTTTGCCATGTGCAGGAGGTTTTATTTCCCATGGTGGAGTCTGCTGGATTCTCTGGCCCCAACAGCAGGACACTCACAACCCTGCCTGCACCTGCTGCAGAGCCTTCCTGCTCTGGGCCTGGAAAACAATGGGTGACATTTATGGCTCCTGATACATGGATTGGAGTCACATCCCCAGTAGTAAAATATGCTACTCCTAGATCTTATAGGCCTTGTGTCTCTTTCTTCCTGGGGAAAATTGAAGGTTATAATAACATCTTTTTTTTTTTTTTTTTTTTTTAAGATGGAGTCTCGCTCTGTAGCCCAGGCTGGAGTGCAGTGGCCCGATCTTGGCTCACTGCAAGCTCCACCTCCCAGATTCACACCGTTCTCCTGCCTCAGCCTCCCTAGTAGCTGGGACTACAGGCACGCGCCACCGCACCCGGCTAATTTTTTTGTATTTTTTTATTTTAGTAGAGATGAGTTTTCACCGTGTTAGCCAGGATGGTCTCAATCTCCTGACCTCGTGATCTGCCCGCTTCGGCCTCCCAAAGTGCTGGGATTACAGGTGTGAGCCACCGCGCTCGGCCATAACGTGTTGTTTATTTTGTAGGAGACTCTCAGCTGCTCCAGACAACTAAAGTCCCAATTTCAGCTAATATGGAGGAGGAAACATCTTTGTTTATTTCCCACTCTCAAAAGTGCATGGATCTCACAAAAGCTTCCAATAGGCCGTGCCCATCATGTACATGTGATTGAACTATGATATCCAGATGGTCTGAGCCCCCATGATGATATCATGATAGGGAAGGGAGAGCTAATGAAGCTGGGCAGAAAAAGTGTGAATGTATACTGTTGTCCATTCCACGTGAATGCACACTGATTCTGATCCTATTCTCTGAGGACAATAGACAAGACCTCAGTATCTGCTTCAGTGGTTTAACTGTGCACCTGCAGCCATAGCATTCTGTTCCAGGAGATCCCCATCTGGCACAGATATTGCTAATGCCACTATTGCCCATCTGGGTCTGTACAAATCCAAATTCATCTTCCAGGATCATTCAACTATTGTAGAGATCAGTCCAGTAAACTGAAAGTGAGGACCCCAGAAGTAATCACACGTACTGCAGGAGAGGAGAGAGCTGTTTCAGAGGCCACAATCCTGTTGAAATTCCTCTGCTCCTTGGGAAGAAACAGCCCAGAAAAGGCCCCAGGGGCTGCGTCTCATCTGGGTTCCTGGATGAGGCACACCCCCTACTGCACTGAGATTCCACAGAAGCTGGGGGTGAAGTGCAAACACCGTCTTTGGTTCATCCTTGGGATTTTCTTTTTATCACACACTCGTCATTTTGTCCACAATGTCCAAAGTTTCTAAAGTGCTGTCTAATAGATAGAGGTTCTTTGTGCGCTGAACTAAAAGCTCTTGGGTTGGCTAATGGTGATGTTTGCACATTTTTACTGTACTTACTGCCGCTTAATTACACACTTAAAAATGATTAAAAGGATGAAACATTTTGTTATGTTTATTTTACCATAATAAAAATATTGCATGCTCAGGAAGCAAAGTAATACTAGTTTAATTTTGAAATCACACAACTGGTAAAAATGGAAAGAAAAGCACCATTTTCTCTGTTCTATATGCTACAACTCAACTTTCTCTCTCTCTCTCTTTCTCTAATTAACAATGATATCCTGTCTGGTCCAAGGTCACACATTTCCAGTGTTGCAGGAATGTCTGTTGAATCTGCTAATTTGTTGCCAGGAAGAATACTCAAACTTCTCATGCTCATATTTGATTGTCAACTGTCTCCAGCCAACATTTCTAAACCAGGATCCTTTGACAAGACTTGTGAAGAATTTTGTAAAAAGTACCCCCCAAGATGACAGTGTTCGCTGTTGGCAGCAGGACTGTTTCCACGCAGTAGGGCTATGCTGGGTGTGCAGTGGAGCTGTGCACACTGTGCTCACGGGGCAGATTCTGTGCTGCTGACTCTGATCCCTGTGCTTGGGAGGACCGTGTCCACTGCTGAGTCTACATCTGAATTTGATTCTCAAGAAAAAGGTCATTCATAGCTGCTGGACACTGAGTCACACAGAGAGACAGAAGGTGGCTGAGGACACCTTATCTCTGATGAGAATAAGGGGATTAGATCTGCTGGTGGAACAGGAAGCTGAAGAAACTTCTGGCTCTAAACATGGAATTTCCAGCCCTCTGTCTCTGCTGTCCATGCCCTTCTCATCTGTATGTTCCTGGGAGATGTGGACCACGGGGGTCAGAGGTGAAGGGGATTGGGAAGCTTTCATGTTCTCTCTCACCATCTCCCTTGTTTATCTAACACACTCTTACACACCTACTTTATTAGAGCTTCTGCTCTACAAACATGGCTGAGCTCTAAATTAGAGACTTTTGAAAGTGCAGACGGATGCAGGAACTCGTCCATCTGGAGACTTTCCACCACTTGAAGCAGTGAACACATCTCTGCAAGGCTCCAAATTTCAAGTGACAGGATTTTGGGATTTCAAAGAAAACTAAATCTTTGGTGAACCACGACAGAAGAGGGAAGGTTCACACATTTCCCTGCTGCTTGGGCCTCAGTGAGGACTGACTCAGCCAGTCTCAGGCTCCTGGAAACCTCCTAGGAGATGTGCACTAGGAAAGTCTTTTCAGTACAACCTGGGGCAGGTAAGTGGCCCTTACTCTGATATTCTGCTCCCTGATAATTTTGCTTTCAGAGAAGAACAAAGACCTGTGATTCTGGGAAGTTCAAAGCCCCCAGACAAGGTCTTCTCATTCTCCCGTGACAGCCTGAGCTCTGCATTCCCAAAAGGAGGAGCATCTTCCCGGCATGAAGAGCCAGGAGTAGAGAGGGAGCTTCTCCCAGGGGTGAGCAGGGCAGAAGCCACCTTGGTCAGTGGGAAGGAAACGTGCTCAGCTCACATCTGACCCAGAATGACTCAGTCACACCCGTGCAGGGTCACCTGCATGTGAGCATCATCTATTTGCTCCATGAGAAAATACCTTGTGTGACTCTTGGGTAAAATCATACCGTAGGTGACATTTCTCTGGCTATTGCTTCAGCCAATGTTTTTCAAAATTCACTGTAGGACACTTACATAAGGTAAGCATGTCAGGTGTGGGATGTGTTGAATAGGAAAAGCACAGGCTTCCTGTATCAATGTTCATGGCTTGTATTCATGGCCATAACTCGTGGAAATGGAAAAAAAAAAAAAACAGAAAAGAAAATGATACCCTGCTCAAAAAAGCACTGAGAAATACCATTGTAGTAATATATCTTCAACTTATAAGTTGAGCTAATTGAACATTAACTTAGATAGATCATTTTTATGGGGGGATTCCTAAACCTAAAACATTGTATTAAAAATTTTGTCAGGTTAAAAGATCATTAAAAGGCCAATGTTTGATTAAAATCTGGAGTCTTTTACTTTGGGCTGCAATCAGCCAATGAGTGCATGGAGTTGGCTGCCCTCCCAGACCCTGACTGGCTCCACGTCGAGGTAGAGCAGCGCTCCCGACAGGCAGCTGGAGGAACTGACGAGGGGAAGCTGTTTGCATCAGGGCCTCAAAAATTTGGCTCAGGATTTTCCCACGTCCCCTCCCCAAGCCCAAGCTGGTCCCAGGACACTCAGAAGAGCTCATCATTATGGGTCTAAAACTTCTCTGATCTCGCTCTTCTTTCTTCCTTCCCCAGAGACCTTGGAATTGTCAGTCCCTCTCACAGGCCCTTCCTTTCCTTGTCAAGTGCACTCCCTGAATTATCTGCTCCTGGGTCAGCAATTCTCTAGAACTTCAGGGAAAGCAGTGCTGGGTCACCCACATGGGGCCCCAGAAAGCTGGCTAAGGACCAGACACACAGGCAGCAGGCTAGGTCCCCACAGGGCTGCATGGTTGGCATCGGGTAGAGGGGAGGGACCAGGAACCACTCGCTGAGTGTCCGTAGGGCCAGGTGAACTAGGGAAGGGCTGGAACCTGGTCAAAGAATTGTGTACTAAGCACCACTTTCTCTGTTCTATATGCTACAACTCAACTTTCTCTCTCTCTCTCTTCTCTAATTAACAATGATATCCTGTCTGGTCCAAGGTCACACATTTCCAGTGTTGCAGGAATGTCTGTTGAATCTGCTAATTTGTTGCTGGGAAGAATACTCAAATTTCTCATGCTCATATTTGATTGTCAACTGTCTCCAGCCAGCATTTCTAAACCAGGATCCTTTGACAAGACTTGTGAAGAATTTTGTAAAAAGTAGCCCCCAGGATGTCAGTGTTCACTGTTGGCAGCAGGACTGTTTCCACGCAGTAGGGCTACTGCAAGCCACACCTGTCCCCACACAGTAGCATCTTCCTGGAGGTCAAGAGTGATTTTGTTTGCTATGCTGCCCCAGATCACCTAATTTATTACCTGTGAATTTCACACACTACACATCCTGCCTGTCCCCAAATTCTTCACTTATGGGCAAATGTCACATCTGACCTGAACTGGTTTACATCCCAGATCCCCTTCAGGCTTCCCACTGTCCTTTCAGATCCTCACACACCCAAGACCCTTCTCCGCAGGGCACAGACACAGCTCCCTGCACACGCTTCCATCACTTGTCTCTTCACTCCTTCCTCAAAGGAACTCCACAGACTCTTCTTCAGGGAGGCCTTCTCCAATCACTGAAGCTACAGCAGCCAGCCAGTCAGCTTCTGTCAGAACTTTCAATGATTAGCTGCATAGAGCTTACAATTACACATTTGTTTTTTCTATCGTTATCTTTTGACTGATTTATTTCTATTAATCATTGCATTATCAGTCAGAAATGCTTTTTCACTACAAGAACACATGTGGCAGGAACCAGGGAGCTTCCAATTTTCTTCCACAAAAATAAGTCTGCACGTGCTTGGTGGTTGTTTTCCAGATGCTCTCCAGTTCCATAGGAAGCTCAAATATTTCTACCTCTCCATTCCCTTTCAATGAGATGTTGACTTTGTTTTCATTGTTGTTGATGTAAGACCTCAGCATGGCTGCTGCAGCTCCAGCTATCACACCCAAGTTCAAGAGAAAAAGCAAAGCACAAACCCAATCTAGTCCTTCCTTCATAAGAGGAAAAGTTTCCTGAGAAGAATCTCAGCCATCTGACTCTTACATCCTATGGACCAACGCTGGGCTACATGGTCACTGCTGGCTAGAAGAAACTGGAAATTTGCCTGACTTTCAAGTGAATAGAGGGGATGACACACAAGTAGAAGGTGGTAGGGAGTATCTGCTGGGTCTGTAAACCCAATCTGCCTACTGCACTGATCCAGCAACAGGACAGGAAACTCCTCAGAGCAAGGACTGTGTCTTCCTCATGCTGAATTCCTAAAATGCATTCTTGCCAGGACAGAGTGGGTCAGGGTGAATATTTGTTGGGTGAATGAGCTTCTGTCTCTGTTGTATTGCAGGAGTCACCACCAGTGCACATTGGCCCTGTATTTGTATCCAGAACCAATCAAAGCCACCCCTGAGTCCTGCATCTCTCAGTACCAAGCTCCAGTCCCCCTTCAAGACCACCCACCACACAGACGTGCAGGGAGCCTCAGGAGGGCACTGTCACCTCCTTCTCCACATGTGAGTGTTTGTATTTCCATCAGGAATCTGAGCACCTCGTGCCCAGGTTTGAGGCAGGAAGGGGCCACAAACAGAAGAGAAATTTCTTCTCTGAAGTCAACAGTCCATGAATCAAGGAATCAGGGACCTGAGCAGCAGATTCTGAAGCTACACCTGAACCCAGGAGGCCCCTGAGCCTCCAGCTGACAGTGTAGAGTGGCCACCTGGGGGCAGCAGAGAGTAACCTGGCAAAAATCCCTGGAAAGGGGGTGGAGCTGGGCATCAGGGAGATGCTGACATGCAGGGAGGGTCAGTGACCATGACCTGAGACCTGGAGGGAAAGAGGTTCCTCTTTTCTTAGAATATTTGTCATTGACACTGATGTTTAAATTCTTCTGACCTCCTGTCTCTCAGATTTGACTCTTGGAAATGGTGCTTATTTTTCTGATACAGATTCAGACAATTTGCCTCTTCTCATTGCCCTGGCCCCCATCTCACTGTCACACATGCCATTCCATTCTGTAGTCACGCGTGTCCCACCTCCCTGCCCTTTTCTCTGGTAGCTCGTCCTGCAGACACAGGGGCTTCTCCTTCCCTGGCCACTCCTCCACGTCCACTGTCCCCAGTCTTTCCCAACACTGTCCTGGGGAACCTGCCAAATCACAGCTCTTGATTTCCTTATGAGGCACAAAATACTTGCTCCTTAATCTTTTGTTGACTTAAGTTTTTATCCATTGATATATTTTCCCAGCAAGTGAAGACAACTTAGTTATAATAAACATTCACCTCCAGGGTCTTGGAGTTTGCAGCCCCCTCTCATTCTCTCACAAAGCCAACATTTCCTTCACCTCCTGATGTGTCCCTGGCCCTGACAGCACCCTGGGGATACTGAGGCACAGCACCTATGACCTGGCATTAGAACTCACAGCCAAGTAGAAACTTATCACATCCCATGGATCTTCCAAAACTCTGTGTGCACTTGGCAACCAAGAATTGCATTCTCCTCTAGCACTGAGGGGCTGTGCCCTGGGGTGGGGCCTGTACTGGTGCAAGGCTTGTGCTGTCCCCTGTAGAGTGGGAAGTAAAAGGTCCCTGCATTGGGTTCTGGATTGTGTCTTCAAAATGAATTTAGGCCTATACCAAACATCTCATGTCTGACATAAAATATTTATGACCAGGACATTTCTAGAGAAGCAGAAGAAAGTTAACCACCTCCCTCCTGAGCCAGGATGGAATGGAGGAGGGGACTGTGGACCCCAGATAATTCCCCCATCACCACTGTGACTCTGGTAACCTCTTGAACAGGGCCAACCACTATCCCATAGGAAGGACTTTATATCCCCTAGAAAATACAGAGAAACTCAGCTCTGAGTTTTTCCATGACCAACTCAGCCCAGGGGCAAAAGTGGGCACAATCTGGGTAAAGATGTGAACTCAGACCATGGGACCAGTGGGTGGAGGAGAATCCCATGGGCTGAGGGGGTGGGCAAGCAGTGGTCACCCCTTTTCTCTCTCTCTCTGTGTCCCTTGGGACTGAGCCCTTCTCTGGAAACCACAAAGCTCCTCCAGCAGCAACCCCTGACTCTGCTGGTTTGCATCATGGGCTGTTCTCTCCAGCAAGGGGATAAGAGAGGTCTGGGAGGAACCTGCCTAGCCTGGGCCTCAGGAAGCAGCATCAGCAGTGCCTCAGCCATGGCCTGGACCCCTCTCCTCCTCAGCCTCCTCGCTCACTGCACAGGTGCTCTGCCCAGGGTATCACCAACCTGCCCATCCCCAGGGCTCTGGGTCCAGTGTGGCCATGACTATGAGCTCAGGAGGGCCCTGCCTGTGGTGGGCAGGATGCTCATGACCCTGCTGCAGGGTGAGGGACTGGCGGAGCTGAAGTCCCCTCAAACTCTGCTCAGAGGCTTGTGAGAGCCTGAGGGGCTGCACCTGCCAGGAGAGAGTACTGGGTTTTCAGTTCAAAGGCTCCATGCAGAGGGAAAGTCCATGGGCCACTGGGGCTAGGGCTGATTGCAGGGGATACCCTGAGGGTTCACAGACTCTCTGAAGCTTTTCCAGGACAGCAGGGCAGGGGATTTCATACGGATCTTTTACCTAAAAGCCATCCTCTCCTTTTTTTTTTTTTTTAATCTTTGCAGGCTCTGCGACCTCCTATGAGCTGACTCAGCCACACTCAGTGTCAGTGGCCACAGCACAGATGGCCAGGATCACCTGTGGGGGAAACAACATTGGAAGTAAAGCTGTGCACTGGTACCAGCAAAAGCCAGGCCAGGACCCTGTGCTGGTCATCTATAGCGATAGCAACCGGCCCTCAGGGATCCCTGAGCGATTCTCTGGCTCCAACCCAGGGAACACCGCCACCCTAACCATCAGCAGGATCGAGGCTGGGGATGAGGCTGACTATTACTGTCAGGTGTGGGACAGTAGTAGTGATCATCCCACGGTGACACAGGCAGATGGGGAAGTGAGACAAAAACACCCTCCCAGCCTCGGTCACCCTCTTGCTCCAGCCCCGGGAGGCCTATGGATAGAGCCATGAGTGAATCTGGTCCAGTTCACCTGGATCTGAGCCTCCCAGGCCGCCCTTCCCTCCAGCCCCCTCCAGGAGTCTCTATAGAGCATACATCAGGCATACACATGGCCTGGAAGGACCAGAATCATCTAATGACTTGGGGCTGTCGTGTGAGTTAGAGAATGAGGGCCTGGGTGGAAAGACAGACAGAAGCAACCTCTGTCCTCTGTCTTACCCCTGGATGGTAATGGGGTGGGGATGAGGCCAGTCCTTAGACCAGCTATCTGGCTCAGTCCCCAGAACCAACCCTGCTGAGGTCCTGGCCCCCAGGCTGTGTGGCAGTCTGTGATTCCCAACAGACCAAACCAGAGGAGGGGACACTGTGAAGTCTGCCCAGGTCCCCTCTTCAATGTGACCCACCTAGCACTGCTGAGAAGCCCAGCAGCTCAGAGCTGTGCCCACAATGGGAAGCGCTGTTGGTTGCAGAAAGCTTCCTCAAGTTTATGTCCTTTCTCAGATGGTTTTGGTTTAATCAACCAAGATCTCAAGTCCCTGCCTTAATGTAAGATGCCACTGAATGAAGGGCCTCCCAGCTCCAGAGCTCCCTGTGTGGACGGACACCTGAGGCCTCAGTGGCAACCCCATTATGAGTCAGGGTCTCCTTCTGCCCACTGTTGCCTCCCTCACTCTCTTCCAAATCTTCTGTGCATGGAAATCATTGCAGTCACCTTCCAGGGAACCCCATCTAAGATGGCCAGCTGTCCCCAACATGGGCTGTCAGCGACCCGAGGAGTCCACTATCCACTGAAAATTCTGGTTTCTGTCCTAAATTTTCAGAGTACATGTTCAAATGGCCAATCTGATGGTTCCTTGAATTTTTATGGAATGAAAAGGGAGCCTGACATGCTCTAGGTTGAGAGATAGTTGGAGTCAGATCTCCCTGCAGGGAAACCTGGGGCAGGCAGAGCATCCTCGCCCCACGCAGGGACCACAGATGCACCCACAGGGTGAGCTGCAGGATGGACACTGCCCATCTCCGCCTTCCACATCTTCTCCAAATGTCACCCCTTTCTACAACCCCAACCCAAATCATTGATCTCCAGAAAAATAACAGTAACAATAGCCATGAAAATCTATGTAATTCATCTCATAATTTCATGTTAACATGTGAAAATGATAGTATTTTGCTTTATTGACATAAATAAAATATACTATTTATCCAATTTTATTTGTCTTATATTTTTATATTTAATGTGGTGACCAGACACTAGGGGTCACAGGAGGATCGTGTCATACTGTTATGGGACAGAGCTGGTCAGGACTCTTTCAGGTGACAGGTGCTGTTGAGTAACCTGGTGCAGGAAGCCCCATCTCCACCAGACCCAGGTGTGAACCCAGGAAGAGGCGCTGGAACAATGGAGAGGAGAACCTGCTTCTGCGGAATACAGTGCCCTTGAGCCCTGCCCCTGCTCCATCCTACGTGTGCCACCTCCATCTCAATGTGGATCATTTCTTGCCCTGCCTGAGGTCATGACTGAGGGGATCTGGCAGGTCTGGCTGTGTGGCCACTGCTGTCTCATGTGGTTCTGGTTGTAACAAAGCCCAGGAACATAGAAGAGGCTGTTTTCAAAAGGTAAATAATAATCTACTGCACATGACATAGACTTGTTGCTAAATCCCATGGGTCTACAGTAGGATTCTCCTGTTGAGGTTTGCCTTAAGCAGAAGGTTTCAGTTCCTTTGTCCAGTTCCTCTATTATGATAGGGTCTGCAGTTTCTCTGGCCCAATAGCAGGACACTCACACCCCCGCCTGCACCTGCTGCAGAGCCTTTCTGCTCTTGGCCCCAAAACAACGGGTGACACAGTTCTCAGACCCATGATTTATGGTGTCAGTATTCAGGCCTCGGGGGTCCCTGACGGCTTCTCTGGCTCCAAGTCTGGAAACACAGCCTCCATGACCATCTCTGGGTTCCAGGCTGAGGATGAGGCTGATTATTACTGCAGCTCACATAGGAGAGGTGGCACTTTCCACAGTGGTCCAGGTTCATGGGGAATTGAGACCCAAACCTGCCCTGGGCTCTCAGCCTCTCTCTTGTTCTGAAGATGCTTCCTCACCCTGTGCAAGTGGCTTCTTGCAGCACCACCTTGAGAATTTCCCCTCTCCCAGCTCCTCTCCTTTCTCACCAGGAAGTCCAAAAGGAAACCTGCTCTGTGATTTCTCATCCAGGACAGTGACAGCTTCCTGTTGCTTGTGTGTTGTGGTCCATGAATGTGCAACTCTTCCTAGCTCTTCAAATGCAGGCACATAGTGAGAAAAGCTGCCTGACTCATGAAGTCATTGCTGTTTTTAGGGGCGCCCTCACCCTAAATGCATCCTCATCTCCCACGCTGTGCAGGCCAATCTGCACAGAAGTCATTACAGGGAGTTTCAAGAAATTGCACCTTAGTCAACTCTGTGTCCACTATGCTCTCGTGAAGATGGCCCTCCTGGCTGGGCTATTCCTCTGTACCTCTGTCCTGAAGCAGTGACCACTGTGAGAGCTGAGCATGTTTTTGAGGGATTAAGAACCAGAGGAAGCTGTTGTTTTTCATTATTATTATTATTATTATTATTATTATTATTATTTTGAGACAGAGTCTCGCTCTGTCACCAGGCTGGAGTGCAGTGGCACAATCTTGGCTCACCGTAACTTCAGCTTCCCAGGTTCAAGCAATTCTCCCTGCCTTAGACTCCTCAGTAGCTGGGATTACAGGTGCCCACCACCATGCCTGGCTAATTTTTGTATATTTGGTAGAAACGGGGTTTCGTCATGTTGGCCAGGCTGGTCTTGAACTTCTGACCTCAGGTGATCCACCCGCCTTGGCCTCCGAAGTGGTGGGAATACACACGTGCGCCACCACACCTGGCTGCGTTTTTCTTATTTTTGTTCCTCTTCTTTGCCTCAATACCTCAGGTTGCTGAGCTGGGGAGATTTTGAGTGACAGACTCAGTATTCTCTCAAAATCCCCCTCTCTCACATCGCTGAGGCCCTGTCCTGGAAACTCTCCAAAAGTGGATGGTCTCCCTATAGGATGGGAGCTTCCAAAATGGCTCCACAGGGAAGAGTTAACCTGAGTTCATTCCTTCCTCCTCATTGACATCCAGCATTTGTAATTTCCATGGCCATCAATACTACTATAGCTGAAATCTTCATTAATCTACTAAAGGTGAGAGTGAATTTCATACATATTCAAACATTAGTTTCATCCAACATTTAAATTTTATGAGTCAATTGGTAAACATAGCCATGATTACATGTAGTTTAGGCTTCATAAACTTTGATTAAATGGATTTTATTTAAAACAATGTAATCATTTTACTATATGTGTATCCTACCTATATCAACATGTTGTTACTTGAAATATCCACAAGAAACTATATTTCAAAAACCAAATTGTATTTATTGTCTATTGTTACATAAAAATTGCTCCCTAATAGTTAGCATATTAAGAGAACACGTGTTTGTGATCTTGTCACTTTGGTGCATCTGGAATTGAGAGCAGCTTAGTTTTGTGGTTCTGGCCCTGGGTTGGTCATGAAGTCGCAGCCAAGCTGTCAGGCCAGGCTGCATTCAGAGGCCAGAGCAGGTGGCCAGGCCCAGCCTGAGGGGCTTCCACTGTCCCTAACCTGTTTGGCTGATTGGAAAACTCAGCGGAAAAGGAGAGAGTGAAGTGTAAGGTGCCTGTCCTGGTCCCCCATGTCAAAGACCATTCCATACATGCACCATTTCTTATTCTTTCCTGCAACATCCTAGGCATAGAGCACTGCCCATTCATTCTAAGGCTGTAGAGTATTCCACAGTAGAATTTTAGCCATGCAACCTCTAATGGTTAACACCATGATTTTGATCTTACAAATAACACTGCAGCAAGCATCCTTATGCCGACTCCTTTGAGTTATTGTGTGCATATGATCATAGGATAAATTTTCAGAAGTGGAATTACTGGGTCAAAATGATGTGCATTTGTAATGTTTACCCATTGTTTTCACATGTTTCACCAGTTTACAATGCCAGCCCTAAATATTGATTGGAATTCATTGGTGAAAGTGCAAATTTTTGCCAACCTATCAGATATAAAAAAGTTACCTTGTTACACTTTTATTTTTGATTTCTCCTATTGTGCTTGAAGTTGAGCATTTGCTCAAATGTTTCAGTGCTCATTACTTTTTAAAATTCGGTAAACTTTTTCTTAAATGTATAAATAAGAAGTATTTTAGTCTTTGCCACACAGGAGTCAACTTTGGGGATACTATGTAGGTACTGACAGCACCATCTGCAATGTAAACATTAAAATATATAAAAACCATTTTAACCCATTAACCATCCCCAGATAATAGCTGATTTCTTATTAGAAGTAATGCAAGCCAGAGTCAGTGGAGTTATATTTAGAAAATATTAAATGAAAAAACTTACTACCCAAAGCAATCTACAAACTCAATGCAATTCCTTTCAAAATACCAATGACATTATTCACAGAAATTTAAAAAAACCTCTAAAATTGGTATAAAACCAAGAAAGATCCTGAATAGCCAAAGCAATACTGAGCAAAATGAACACAGCTAAAGATGTCACACTACTAGAATTAAAATATACTACAAACTATAGTAACCAAAACAGGAAGGTAGGTATTGGCAATCAGACACTGAGACCAATATAACAGAATAGACAACCCAGAAATAAACCCATCTATCATATAGAGCCAATCGATTTTCAACAAAGATGCCAAGAACATACACTGAGAAAATGGCACAATTTTCAATAAATGGTTCTGAGAAAACTGGATATCCATGTACGGAACAATGAAACTAGACACTTATCCCCCTCCATATAAAAAATCAACTAAAAATGGATTAAAGACTCAAATATAAGACCCAGGCTATAAAACTACTAGAAAGGAACTTAGAGAACATTGGGGAAGAACAATTCTTTAGGACATTGTTCTAGATAAAAGTTGTATGGCCAAGAGGCAACAACAAATAATAGAGATATGGGACATCATTAAACTGAAAAGCTCCTGAAAAGCAAAGGAAACAATCAACAGAGTAAAGACAATGTGTAGAATGAGAGAAAATATTTGCAAACTACTCACCTGACAAGGACCTAATATTCAGTATAAGAAAAGTTAAAAACTGAAATAACTCATCAACAACAACAAAAAAAACTAATAATACCATTAAATAGTGGGCCAAGAATTTGAATAGACTTTTCTCAATAGAAGACATACAAACGGCCAACAGGCATATGAGAAAAATGTTCAACATCACTAATCAGCGAGGGAATTAAAATCAAAACCCCAGTGAGATACAATCTCACCCTAGCTGGAATGGCTATGATCAAAAAGACAAAAAATACAAATGCTGATGAAGATATGCGACTTCATATTTTTCTAGTCCAATTCTCTGGGAACAATGAGAGTGCTCTCTTTGCTCTCCCTTTAGTAACTATTTTTCACATGCAAAAATATGGGCCCTACTGGGAAATAATGCCTAAGACCACCAACACCTTAACTGTTTGTTCATCACACTAGAAATGAAACTGTTTTCCAAATAATATTAACATCTATCTGTGTCTATCACCATTGTGTCAATGTTTGTGTGATCCTATAAAGTTTAGAAGGCCTAGAAGAATGCCCTTGCTTTTTGCAATACAAAAATGGCCTAACAGATATAGATGACATAGATATAGATATAGATATAGATGATATAGATATAGATATAGATGATATAGATATAGATATAGATAGATAGGGGGTTGTATCTTGGAATTTGTTTCTCTAAGGGACTTATTTCACATCTAATTTGAAATTATTCTGGTTTTAAACATTATAGAATGATAACACAATTGGTGAACCAATCATTCTGTGTTGAGGTTAACAGTATTTTTTTACTTCAATTCTCACTGAATGAGAGCAGTTTTTATACGGAGGGGCCATGCCATAACAATATCACATACTGGGGTTGTTCTCAGACTGTGAGGTTCTGCCTACACCAAGCCAGGATGAGAATTTTATTTGTCAAACTGCTCTCTCCACTTGTTTGTATCCCATAATATACCCCAAAAATGAGCATAATTTCATTTTTTATGCTGTTTGTTCTTACATTTAATACATGTACCAAAAAGTTGTCTTTGTTTTTAAAATAAAATTTTATGCTATCTTTTAATCTATGTCCCTATAGAAAAATCATGATCCATACACATTTGTTATCACAGAAAGAACAAGATAAATTTCCTCTCTCTCTCATAAATGCCATGACCGCTGCTTTTTGGGATTATTTTTCTTAAATTATTTTTTAAACAGAAATTCATATAACTTACCTTAATCAAATTTCTTTTCAAAGTAATCACATTTCTTTTATGTGAAAAATTATTTACCTTCTTTTATCAAAAATTATCTTAATACAAAATATGTATTGTTTTACTTTTAGAAGAAATGGAAACTATCTACACATTACTAATCTAAAAATACATGCTCTGGGTTTATATGGTGTTAACATGTCTTCCAAATTTTAAGGAATAGGTATTTAAATGTCATGCACTTTGTTTTTAAATTTAGAAAATGTTTCAACCTTTTGCCTGGGCATGGTGGCTCATGCCTAGAATCCCTGCACTTTGGGAGGCCAAGGTGGGAAGATCACCTGAGCTCAAGACCAGCCTGTGCAATATGGCGAAACCCCATCTCTACAAAAAATTTCAAAAATTGGCCAGGCATGGTGGCACCACCCACAATCCCAGCTACTCGAGAGGCTAAGATGGGAGGATTGCTGGAGCCGGAGAAGTTGAGGCTACAGAAGGTAAACTGTTGAGGCTAAAACATGGTAAATATTTAATTGTTCACTTAAAAGAAATGTTGGTTACATTGAAAAGAAATTTGGTTAACGTAAGTTAGATAAATATCTGCTTAAAAAATAATTTAAGCGAGCTGTTAGCACTACTGCATTCCAGCCTGGTCAACAGAGCAAAATCTGTTGAAAGAAAGAAAAAGAAGGAGAGAAGGGAAGGGAAGAGGGAAGGGAAAGGGGAAGGGGAAGAGGAAGACAGAGGTGGAGGGGGAGGGGTGGAGGAGGAAGAGGGAAGGGGAGAGAGAGAGAGAAAGAGACAAAGAGAGAAAGAAAGACAAAGAAAGAAGGAAAGAAAGAAAGAAAGAAAGAAAGAAAGAAAGAAAGAAAGAAAGAAAGAAGAAAGAGAAAGAAAAAGAAAGAAGGAAGGAAGGAAAAAAAGAAGGAGAAAAGAAAGGGACAGAAAAAGGAAGGAACGACGGGGAAAGAAAGAAAAAAAGAAAAAATATTTCAAGCTTTTCAGTAGCAGAGACACTTCGTAATCAATAAGCAACAGAACCAAAACAAAAAAAAAAATCTACAGAACAGTCTAAATACAATTATAAACTTCTGATTCGGATATCAAAACCATTTCAATAATAAATATATGGTATGAAAACCTCACAAAGGTCAAGTAGAATGTATTATATTTGAAAGAAATTACGAGTTGAGAGTAGGAAATTTATAAATTTAATCAAACAAATAAGCATTATGAGGAAGTTGTATTGCTAATGTATTATTTGGCAAGCTGTTCAGTGGAACACCAAGATATTCTTAAGGAAGTTGCAAATATCTTTTTTTTTTTTTTTTTTTTTTTGAGACGGAGTCTCGCTCTGTCGCCCCGGCTGGAGCCCACCACCACGCCCAGCTAATTTTTTGTATTTTTAGTAGAAACAGGGTTTCACCGTGTTGGCCAGGATGGTCTCGATCTCCTGACCTCGTGATCCACCCGCCTCGGCCTCCCAAAGTGCTGGGATTACAGGCGTGAGCCACCGTGCCCGGCTGCAAATATCTTTTAAGATGTTGTCATTGAAGTGGATTTTAAAAGTGAGGACATGAATACCTTTAAAAAATATTCAGGGATAAAGAGAGAAAATTAAATTTAGATTGTATACATATATAAAATGTATTTTAAAAGATCAGCTTGGCTGGGCGCGGTGGCTCACGCCTGTAATCCCAGCACTTTGGGAGGCCGAGGGGGGCGCGGATCATGAGGTCAGGAGATCGAGACCATCCTGGCCAACATGGTGAAACCCCGTCTCCACTAAAAATACAAAAATTAGCTGGGCATGGTGGCGGGCACCTGTAATCCCAGCTACTGGGGAGGGTGAAGCAGGAGAATCGCTTGAACCCAGGAGGCGGAGGCTGCAGTGAGCCGAGATCGCACCACTGCACTCCAGCCTGGCAATAGAGTGAGACTCTATCAAAAAATAAAAAATAAAAAAATAAGCTTGTCTCTTTTTATTCCTTAAATAAAAGGAGCAGACACTTAAATTCCTTGCCTTTTATTTTAAAATTTAGAAAATGCTTACAGCTTCCCACAGTGAAATTTATACTTAGATAATCTAATCAATGGATAATAATATCAAAACAGAATTCTTTGACCAATCTATTTTCTTCATTTTTAAGTCTAAATGTATACTCAAAGAAATAAAACTATTTATAATTGATTCTGCTGTTTGAAAATATTTACTGATCATTTACCTTGCACCAACTGACCTCCAGCTCTGAAGATAGGTCAGTGGTAAAGTATACAAAGTTGCCCAGCTTCGTTAAACTTAAATTCTAATGAGGAAAAAAGAAGTAATTAATCAGGGACTTTAAAACAGGAGTGTTGTGATATGGCTTGGAATTCTAATTGCTTCCTGTGCTTGCTGTGTGGAGACTGGATTGAAAAATAGGGCGATGATAGGAGCTTAAATTCATACAGAATATGGCTAGCCTGTATTTTGAGGGCCCCTGAAATAAGAATGTATAGTAGTTCTCATTATTTCCTCAAGAAATCTCTGCAGTAGAGCTTTGGCCTTGGGAGGGAAGTACTATAGTCACCAAGTGGTGAGGGTGGGAAGGTGAATTTGCAAATACCATTTGGAATGAGTTCACTTTAAAGGTAAAGCTGGCAGGATTTTCATACATGTCAGATCTGAAAATCTGTGTGTGCGTGTGTGTGTGTGTGATAGAGAGAGAGAAAGAGAGAGAATTAGAACAAGACAGATACAGACAGACAATGACAGAGCTGCAGAGACAGAGAGAATTAAATGGGGACACCAAGAATATTGAGCTGAGAAACTATAAAATGGGAGGTGCCATTAAACAGAATGGGGAAGAGCAGTTTTGGGGAGTGTCAGTGGCTCCACGTAGACTTATTAATTTTGAGATTCCTAAACCACATCCAAGTGGAGAAGACAGACAGTATTGTGTGTAGTCTAGTGTTATGGTATCATATAAAATATCAGGAAATGAATGACACAAAAATTAGTAAGAAAGCAAAGATAAGAAAGATAAAAGTCCCGAGCCTAGTGGTTATCTACTGCCTAAAAAGTAGTAGGCTGGGCATGGTGGCTCAGGCCTGTAATTCCAGCACTTTGGGAGGCCAAGTTGGGCAGATCACCTGGGGTTGGGAGTTCAAGGCCAGCCTGACCAACATGGAGACACCTCGTCTCTACTAAAAATACAAAATTAGCCAGGCATGGTGGCGCATGCCTGTAATACTCAGGAGGCTGAGGCAAGAGAATTGCTTGAACCCAGGAGGTGGAGGTTGCAGTGAGTCGAGATCGAATCATTGCTCTCCAGCCTGGGCAACCAGAGCAAAACTTGGTCTCAAACAAAAAAAAAAAAGAAAAGAAAAGAAAAGAAAAGAAAAAGAAAATTAGCAAAGATGAGAAGAAACCAGCAAAAAGTACTAGGTATAATTATCAAAAATGTCAAGAGGAAAGTAGGTTAAGTGTTCTAGAATTCTATCAAAGAAAGTTTTGAAAAAAAAGAGGGAGAGATCAACTGCATTAAATGCTGCTAATACATAAATTAAGCAAAGGCTGAGGAATTACGCTTCAATTCATCATTTAACAATATGGATACCATTTGTGCTTTGATAAGAGCAATTTTCTTGGAATGAGTAGGTGAGAAACCATATTGGAGTGGTTTCTCAAAGGAATGCCTGATCTCTGGGTTCTTAAGGAAACTTTTTATTGAACAGGGGAGGCACAAATTGGATTAGTTTTAATTCCGGGGTCCGGACACACTCTAAACATGTGCCTCTGCATGCCTCGCTTTTTAAAGCTAGGTATCCTATTATCTTTCGATAACAAAATAATCACCTGCAAAACCAACACACATTTAATGGACACACTTGTAAAGTGTGTACTAGAGGTTGTTGGAGAGGATGTGATTCCACGTGATAGCTTACGAGTCACTGATGGGCAGGTAAGCTGGTAAAATATCTTTGGAAAACTCACCATACCTGTTATACTTAAATATTCAGATACCAAACAGCAGAAAATCCATATTGTAATATATTTCCATGAGAAAAAACAAGAGCTCTGTATTAAAATATTGATTATTATTAAAAATAATCCCACTGGGTTTCCTGACTTTTTTATTAGCAAGTCAGTCTCCGCCTGTTTTCAGTAGTACAACCTCTATTTAACAAATGTTTTGTATTTTTAATCAGCCACTTAGAAAAAATATTATATTTTATATCAATTCTACGTTCAGTGCCAAAACCAGTGTTTTGTACATTCCACAGAATTATTTGTTGAATAAATAATGAATAACTTAAATAAGTTATAGTATCCATATATAAATAATATATCATCTCCGAATACAGTGATAACATTTGTTATGTAGAAAATGATTTCAATCTCAGTTAAAAATATTTTGGGCATAGGAGTTACTGTCATATAAAGATTCTCACATTGTTTTGTTTATATGAAAATGTTTGCAGTTAACGTACATTTTTGGTACCTAAGGCTTTTGCTCTTGCTGCCATAGCAAACAGTGTGCCTATTAAGAACACGAACCTGAGTTTTATTTCATTTTAACAGATTTCTTAATAAAATATATGCCACCTTATTTGGTTTAATACATAAGCAAAGAGCCATCCACTCCACCATTGCCCCTTGTCCCTCCTCCAATGCAGCTCCTTAAGATGTTACTGATAGCAGAGGACTTTGTGTTCAACCTAAGCACTTTATAGCCCTTTTATTTTCAACTAGGTATGAGGTAAAATAATTCAGCACCAATAAAACAAACACTCTTTAAACAATGACCCTTTTTCTTAGCCTGTTCAACAAAACGCAGCAAGACAGAGTACACTTCTCTTTCCCAGCAAATCAGTGTTGCCACTACATTCTCTACGTTCTGAAAACTTGTATTATTGACTTTCTTACAAACACCCTTTGAGCTTATAATTTAGATGTCATCAAATAATGTACAAAAACACGCTACTTCCTCCCCCTTCTCTTCTCTTCTTACCAGACTATTGTCAGTTTGCTTTTCTATCCAACTCCTTTCTTCTGTCTACTTGATTTTTAAAAGACTTTCTACATATTTACTATCTTGGTATTGTAGAGACCAACTATGTGGTCAAACTACACATATAGGAAGAACTGAATTATATGCAAGCATTTTTAAATAAACGATTCCTCCTCAGTTTTCTGTGATTATTTCATATAATCAAATGTCTTCCAGATACACATCCCAAACGAGTGGTTGTCAAGCTCTGCTTTGTTGTCTAATTTTATCAGAATTATCCAAAATTCTTATGATAAATACAGATGAATTAGCATAACTCCAGATTTATGAAATGAAAATTTCCAGAACCCAGGAATATGCATTGAAAAAATGTATTCCTCACGTGGTGCTGATGTGATATGGGATCTGAGTTTAGAATCCAAGGAAAATTACCCTCCTTGCCCTCTAGTTGGCCAGAATTACCTAGTTGACCAGAGTTGCTCTCTTGTTATCTAGAGGTCCTCTTCCCTTTTCACATTCTGCTCTCTCTCCTTCTGTACCTTCCTCCTCTCCTCCCTCCACTTCTGCTCATCCAGATCCCAAGCCCTTCTCCATTGATTCTCCTAAAACTCCAAATGGTCAGTTGCCACTAAAGTCCCTCTGTCCCATGAACAAGATTTGTGGGCAAATGTAGAATTTAAGCTTGGACAGAGCTGAATCAGAGCTGCAATTAAAGATTTCCCTAAACCCAGCAGGGACCAGCAAATACTTATAGAAGATTAGAGATTTCTTGTGAGTGCAAAGGGCTCAGAGTGACCTGATGCTATAGACCAAATCTTATGGTCCCCTCAAATTCATGTGTTAAAATCTAATTCCCCATATGATGGGATTTGGAGGTGAGGCCTTGGAAGGTGATTAGATCATGAAAGCAGAGACTGTATGAATGGGATCAGTGTCCCTATCAAAGGGACTGCTGAGAGCTCCCTCATCTCTTCTGTCATGTGAGGACACAGTAAAAAGATGGCAGTCTATGAACAAGGAAGGAAGCCCTCATCAGACACGAAACCTGCTGACGAGTTGACCTTGGATTTTACCATCTCCAGAAGCATGAGAAATGAATTTGTTTCTCTGCTACCTAGTGCAGTGCATTATCTTTTGGCACCCAGATTGGCTACAGTACCAACATATCAACTTGTACACGTAATTTTTGAAATTCTGATGCCAAATCTTTGATGGCAACAGGTGATTGATCTGCTGGAGGAATGGACTGACATGATCCCTCTTTCCACAATAAACCAGAGAGTAAAAACAAGCAAAAGTAGGTCAAGGTCTTCTAAAAGCCGTACCTGAAAGGTTTCCAGTAACAGTTGATTAGATGGTAATTCAATCACACAAACAACCACGGCAAAGATACACAACTATCAGACATTTTCAGAATAGCCTCTAAAACAACATCTGACAACATTAGGGAGTTAAAGAAGGCACGAACTTTCAAAAAGTCAAACTTTATTTAAATGTTATTGTAGAAACTTGTAATTTTAACACTATGGATGAATTCTAGGGCAGGTGGTGGCATGGCATGGCGATTTGGGGGCACAAGTGCTGAGTTTTGAAGCTTCGGTTTTGATACCCTTTGGAGATGCCCCCTGGCCTCCACACCCCTGCCCACCTGTCAAGAAGAGCCTGTCCTGGGCAGCACCTCAGGGACAAACAGCCCAGAAGCCCAGTTGAGGGCAGACCTCCAAGGTTGGAGGAAGAAGCCGCCTCTGGGAGCAGGAGGAGCTGCTGGATCCCCTCCTCCCAGGTTTCTTTTCCTGCCCCCCAGCGCCTCTTGCAGGCAGGCAAACAACCCCAGCAGGAGCAGCAGCAGGCCCTTCAGCCGCAGGGCTGCAGCTCTGCTGAATGAGAGAAGCCTCTCTCTGGCGAGTCAGAGGAGCGCAGGCCATATACCCGGGTCTCTACCTCCATGTCTCCCACTGTGCCCAGGACTGAGCCCAGCGTGGGAGATGCGGGCTGGGGCCGTGCTGGCCACCCCCTCTCTTCCACCTCTTGCTCCAGCCATGCTTTCAGCTCCAGGGCTGAGGCCAGTGGCTAGAGCAGATCTCATGATGTCAGGTAGCTCCTCACTGGGCTGGTCCTTGGCAGGACCAGGACAGGGGCAGGAGGGATCTGGAGCTGCTGATAGCTCCAGTTCTGTCCCTGAAGGGGGGTCTTCCCCTGGTGCTGGCACTGGCTCATCAGCTGGCGCTGGAATTTCCTGTGTTGCTGCACATGGAACAGGAGATGAAAAAGAAGAAAGACTCACCAACGTCAGTCACTTTCCACTGGAATTTTCACACACAGAATCAACCTCGCTGAATGTAAGGTATTCCAGCCCGAAAACACTGCCCCTGCAAAGGCTCATAGACTATAGGCCACCTCACCGTGTGCCTGTGCCTCGATGAACTCCAGAGGCTCCAGCTGGACAAGAACAATGTGCAGATGTGGCCGCGATGGGATCACCGGTGGGGCCTGGCCTGGTAGGGCCTGCCCTGGGCTGCCCTGTGGTACTTGGGGGCGCCTTTGCCCAAATGGCCAGAGGCGCCTGGAGTGAGAGATGAGTGAGGTATTGCCCCTCACAAGAGGGCATTAGCTGCGGGGATCCGCCCACAGACCCTGACCCAAATGACGGATGAATAAAACGTACACTGACACAGAGTTATTCTGCTTTGCCAGTCCTGCTGAGTGTCCCACTGCCTGCACACCAAGAGAGGTTTGTCACTGCAGCTGGCCGTGAATAGCTCGCACTGCAGGCATTTATTTAGTATAGAATTTACAACGGAAGCTTTGAGTAAATACTCTTGTGGATAATTAACATGGTTAAGAGAGTAGTTCTACCAATGATTAAAGCTCAGGTACCATGGTTTAAAGTAAATACCACTGGGGGCAATTTCCCGGGTCTACCTCCCCCCTCCTCCCCAAGAGGACTATCTGGCTCAAAGGCTAGTTAATGGAAGTAGGGTAAACAGACTTAACTGGGGAAGCCTCTATTGTCCCTAACATTTACCCTATGAGCTAATGCTCTAAGATAAGAAGCAGCTGCCTTCAGCCTGTTCAATTATTACAAGCTATGTAACCTTTCCGCCTTCCAAAAGGTTTGTGACTATTCCCTGTAACTTTCCCTAATATTTCCCTTTAATATTTCTGCCACCATCCTGAGTGAATCCCAATAGATGAGCCTGCGTCAGCATTGTGGGAAAAGGCTCTCGCTCTGGGCCCTCCTGAAGCAGGAGACTCGAGATGTGGGAATGCAGCATGAGAACATCTTGCTCTCCTGAGCATCTCCCACCAAGGGAGCTGGCTGCGGGTCTGTCCCTAGGATGTGGGTGCCTGATTACCAGAGTTCTAAGTTCTGTTAGAGTCCATCACCAAGGAAGTGAAGTCACTTCTTTAAGGTTCCGTACCCTCGGCTCCTTCCTTCAAAACCTACTCAGAACCCCCTGGGCTGCTGGCTGCTCACCCTCCCCCCAGGTCAGCTCCTTACCTGTACACAGGTAAGTCCACCCAGTGTCTGCTTGTACACCTGTGCCTGATGTGCACCTGGGGCCTGGGAATCCACTTAGGGCCTGTGATCCAACAGGGGCCTAATGTTGATTAAAACTAATTTTGATTATTCCTATGGAGAAGGAAAGGCCTTCTAGCAATAAGAAGCAGAGTTCCAAATCAAATACGTAAAAATGATCAAAACCTTGTAAAAGAAAAGTATCTTAATTTTAATCACTGAAATGTTAACTTTTTGATAAATATTTAAGGTTATAATGAAAAATAAAACAATACTAATAAAATAACAGTTGCAGGAAATGCTATTGAGTTTCTTGTTTGTGGTTTGAACACTGAAAGGTCCCACCTAGTTATGGTCATAATTTCCTACCTTAATCTTCTTGTTCTTATGAGTAATAGAAAAAAACACAATGACGATGAATGTGATGATGGTTCAAATACACAACTGAAGTTTAGTGGCAGAAACATCAGGTGCTCCCAATTACAGTGCAGCTGTTCTTACTGAGGTGAGAAAAAAAATCTTGTTTTCAATACACACGGGAAGCAGGAGTGCACGCGGATATGACCGCATTTCTCTGAACTTATGTTTTTCACAGAAGAGCTACAGTTTATCCTGCATTCTCCGTTCTGTGATCAAAAACCATGGAACAGAGAAGAGCATTTCAACCTGAGACTCAATTATAAGAATTGCGTCTGCCCCACCTCCCTGCAACCATATATGCCACCTCTCTGTGCTGAGCCTGAGGGGTTCACATATGGCACAGACTGAGGCTGGACTCAACAGTCCTTACCCTCGCAGGTGACAGGCGTTCTGGGGTCACTTGGAGGAGGGAAGCTCCTGGGCTCTGTCTTCTCCACCAGCAGGGGGCAGCACAGCTGCAGACAGAAGAGAGGCTGAGGCTGCCCAGAAGGAGCCTAAGAGGGAGGCCAGCCATGAAGGCTCAAAAGGTGTCCAAGGATCAGTCCTCAATTTGGAAGTCCAGTAAAGTGCATCCTATCCCCTCGGGCTGCAGTAACTCCGTCCTGACTGTAAGACTCATGCAGCGTCACTCAGGGCACTGACAGGAGCCCAGGGACAGTGAGAGCCTCACCTGGGAAATGCAGCTGGAGGCGCCTGGGCCCCGGTGTCAGCCTGGGGAGCTTCCACAGGGCTGGGATTCCCTGGGAGACGCCCCGAGGTCAAGGTGCTCTAGGAGGGGGCCACAGTGTGAGAGGACAGGGTTTCCAGGGCCCAAGCCCTTCACCTAGTATTGCTGCCTGAGCCTCCTGCCACTCTCATGGTCTTGTCCCTCTCTGATCAGCAGCATTCTGGGGAGCTGAGCCCTCAGTCCTGGGCACTTCCAGAGACCTCCCCCCGCCACCCCTTCTCCCTCTGCCTTTCCTTCCAGCTCCAGGCATACTGTGACTCAGGGGGCAGCTCCTGTGCTCAGGGGAGTCTCACGTGGGTGGGGTGGTGCACTCAGGACCCTGGCTCCAGGATGTGGCATTTCCAGCCTCCTTGAGGAGATGCTCTCCACAGGGAAGGGGATTCTCACCTGCCTCAGGCCAGAGCTCTGGCCACGAGGCTGTCCTTGGCTCAGGGACAGGATACACCTCATTGCAGGAACCAAGGACCACCCACCCTGCAGACCCCACACCCTGTCCAAAGGCTGTGTCCCTGGGATGCTTACAGCGACCATGGGGCTTAAAGTTGAATTTCCCATCAATATTTCATGTAAACTTGCAAAAAGCACAAGAAAACCACACTGGGCTGAGAACTCTGGTGCTATTTTGCTGCTTTTTACAAGTTTACATAAAATATTGATTGGAAAAATAAACAATGGCAGAGCTGAGGATGGCAATGGCTGGTCTACTGTGGGGATGGGGATGGCCTAGAAGTATCAGCCCCATGGGTGAAATGAGACCAGACGTCCTGATGACTCCACATGGGTGAGTGGTTCCTTAAATGACTCAACTATTCTCACTGAAATAGTTAACTAGTGTCCTAATGACACAATCCATCATTTAGATGAAATGACCAGGATGGGACATTTCCTCCAGCCAGGAAGACTGTGGACAAATTCATGAACTGGGCTGGCCCAGTTCACCTGGGTCTGAGACCCCCTGGATCTGAGTCCCTCCAGCCCTCCAGGCAGGCTCTGAAGAGGGGGCGTCAAGAGTGGATTTAGACTTAGGTGACCAGGATGTATTGGGGTTTGAGGACTCAGCTGTGACTTAGGGAAATGGGGCCTGATTGAATCATCAGACTGAGGTAGACATCCATCAGCTGGGCTCTGGATTTCCATTGGTCATGACAAGCCAGTCCTTGGCCTGAATATCCTGGATCAGTCCCCAGAACTGCCCAGCTCAGGCTCAAGTCATTCTCTACAGAAAAACCAGTGGAGTGGACACTGTAGGATCTGCCCAGATTCTTTCTTCTGAGCTCACCCACCCAGCACTGCTGGGAGCTTGTGGCAGCTGAGAGCTGTGCCTTTCCTGGGAAGTGTGGCTCAGCGCAGAAAACTGCCTCCTCCAGGTTTATGCCCTTCCTCAGCAAGATTAGGTTTCATGACTGCCTGAGGCCAAGTTCTCAAGACTCTGCCTCAATATAGGAGGAAATGAAAATCCTCCCAGCTCCACAGCTCCCTGTAGGAAAGACTGAGACCTCAATGTGCGTCAGGGTCTCTTTCCGCCCAGTGTTGCCTCCCTCACATCCTCTGTGCATGAATTCCTCATCTCAGAGTCTGCTTCCAGGGAACCCAAATTAAGATCACCAGCCATCCCCAACATGGGCCATGCGGAACCTCAGGAGGCCACTGCACACTGGAAAGCGCCCATTTATTCCTAAATTAGCACTGTGAGTATCCAAATGCCCAATGAGATCTGAGTGTTTCTTGCATTTGTATGGAATGGAAAGGGAGCCTGACTTGCCAGGTGCTCTGGGTCTGAGGGAGAGTTGGAGTCAGATCTCCCTGCAGGGAAACCCGGGACAGGAGGAGAAGCCTCACCCCATGCAGGGACCACAGATGCACCCACAGGGTGAGCTGCAGGATGGACACTGCCCACAGGGTGAGCTGCAGGATGGACACTGCCCACCTCCACCCTCCATGCCCTGTAGAAAAAATCATTCTTTCCACCCCTCCTTCAGCCTATCAAAGTTGACACTTAAAAAGCCACCACACCCCACCCTTGTCAACAGGAAACCCATTCACATCTCCATCAGCCACACAATCTCCAAGATTCTTCAAAAAATAATAACACTAGCTATGCAAAGTATATGATATATATCATAAATAATTGTACCTAGATTATATATGAAAATGATACTTTTTGATATGCTAGGTAAATAAAATATATTATTTAAACTCATTGACTTCTTCTCTTTGTATTTATAATGCGATGACTAGACAGTGGGATTCCCATGAGGCTCACATCATATTGTGATTGAACAAGGCTGGTCTGCAGGGCTTCAGGTTACAGGGGCTGTGGAGTGACCTGGTGCAGGAAACCCCGTCTCCATCCATAGGACATCAGTGTGAACCCAGGGAGAGGCGCTGGTATGAGAGATGAGAACACAGGTGTGAACCACCTGCTTGTGCAGGGGACTGAGCCTTCACTTTGAGCCAAAGAAGTTTCTTTTCCTATCTTCAATCCTGAACAAGAGGGCTTTCTGGACTTCTTTTTGTTTTCAGATTTGTGCCCCTTCAGGTTTGGGGCTGTCTGGAGTCCCAGCCAGAGGACAGTGAGGAAATCCAGGAGTCTCACACTGACTCTGTTATATTTCATCTGCTGGGGCCATCCCAAACTGCTGTGTACCATTTCCTTTCCTGGTGCTCAAATAGCTGCTCCATTCACCTGTCATGGTTTCAGAGATGAATCTAGGTGGGAAGACAGGACAGTGTATGTTATAATATTTAAATGGAAGCTGATTCCATTAATATTTATTTTAATATGAAACATTAAAAGAATTTTGTTATAGGCTATAGGGAAAGATGAAAAGAGATTAAAAGTATTTTGAAAAAATGTATTTATCGAATGTCTGTGTGTCTTCAGTGTTGCAGGGTTGAGAGAGGTCAGCTTTAGGTTGGATGTGCTCAGATGAGGAAAAGCAAGAAAGCAGGAAACACGCGGCTCTGTGACCTGACACATAAATCACAGTAAAATGGAAATAAATCTTTCAATAAATGAAACATTCAAAATAAACGTCACTCTGGTGCACACAGAAAGGCCTATTAGCAAACTTTCCCTTTGTCCTGCTGGCTCATATCCCCATGGATCACCTGTGTGCAGAGTGGACACTGTAGTCCCCATTTCTCAGGCTGAGAACTAGAGGCTGGGAAGGACAAGTCACCTGCTTGTGAGTGGGAGGGGCAGGATTGGGAGCAGTGGACTCGGGCTCAGGACTGCGGCCCTGGTCGGTGCTCTGTGTTCCCTCCACAGGATCCCTCCCACATGTGCCCGTGTGGATGTGGGTGCACTGCCTGGGGTGGCTGATGTGCTCCAGGGATTCGATGGTGCAGATGCTTCAGCACAAAGCTTGGGGGTGGGGATGGGATGAGGCTGCAGCTGGGGAGACCAGGGACCAATGCCACCCAGCAGAGGTTTCCACGGGGTGGGCAGCCCCATTTCCTGGCAGTAGAGACAGCCTGGAGGTGGGTGCCAAGCAGAGGGCACTGCAGGGTGTGCCCAGGCCTGGAGGGTCACAAAGACACAGGCACCACACAGCAGAGTCACTGAGGACCAGAAGCTCACTCAGGTAAGGGATTTCAGCAGAACTTTCTCTCCTGAGCAAATCAGGTACAAAAAAATTAAGATCCTGCCATCAGAAAAGACAAACAAGAACTTTTTATCTCCTCAGCTGAGCCCCACTGTCCAGGGAAGCAGAAGTCTCTGAGCCCAGCCCAGGTGAGGGTGGGGTGAGGAGAGGAGCTCAGGGTGGAGATTTGCATGGAGGCCCCACCCTCCTCTGAGGCAGAGGGGATAAGACAGGGCTGGGGGCAGGCCCAGTGCTGGGGTCTCAGGAGGCAGCACTCTCGGGACGTCTCCACCATGGCCTGGGCTCTGCTCCTCCTCAGCCTCCTCACTCAGGGCACAGGTGACACCTCCAGGGAAAGGGTCACAGGGGTCTCTGGGCTGATCCTTGGTCTCCTGCTCCTCAGGCTCACCTGGGCCCAGCACTGACTCACTAGAGTGTGTTTCTCCCTCTTTCCAGGATCCTGGGCTCAGTCTGCCCTGACTCAGCCTCGCTCAGTGTCCGGGTCTCCTGGACAGTCAGTCACCATCTCCTGCACTGGAACCAGCAGTGATGTTGGTGGTTATAACTATGTCTCCTGGTACCAACAGCACCCAGGCAAAGCCCCCAAACTCATGATTTATGATGTCAGTAAGCGGCCCTCAGGGGTCCCTGATCGCTTCTCTGGCTCCAAGTCTGGCAACACGGCCTCCCTGACCATCTCTGGGCTCCAGGCTGAGGATGAGGCTGATTATTACTGCTGCTCATATGCAGGCAGCTACACTTTCCACAGTGGTCCAAGTTCCTGGGGAACTGAGACCAAAACCCACCCTGGGCTCTCAGGCTCCCTTTTGCTCTGAAGATGCTTCCTCACCCTGTGCAAGGGGCTTCCTGCAGCACGGCCTTGAGAATTCTTCTCTCTCAGCTCCTCTCCTTTCCCACCATGAAATCCAACAGGAAACCTGCCCTGTGGTTTCTCATCCCGGACAGGGACAGCTTCCTGGTGCTTGTGTGCTGTGGTCCCTGAATGTGCAGCTCTTCCCAGCTCTTCAAATGCAGGGACAGTGACAAGCAGCTGCCTGATTGGTGCAGTCACTGCTTTTTTTTCAGAGATGTCTTCACCCTACATGCATCACCATCTCCCACACTGTGGGTAGAATTTTAGCCAAATATGGCTGGGCGCAGTGGCTCACACCTGTAATCCCAGCACTTTGGGAGGCCAAGGCTGGCAGATCATGAGGTCAGGAGATCGAGACCATCCTGGCTAATACGGTGAAACCCCATCTCTATTAAAAATACAAAAAATTAACCGGGCACGGTGGCGGGCGCCTGTAGTCCCAGCTACTTGGGAGGCTGAGGCAGGAGAATGGCATGAACCCGGGAGGCGGAGCTTGCAGGGAGCCAAGATTCGTCACTGCACTCCAGCCTGGGTGACAGAGCAAGACTCCATCTCAAAAAAAAAAAAAAAAAAAAGAATTTTAGCAACTACATTCTAATAGTTATCGCCACAACTTTGATCTTAAATAACAGTGCAGTGAACATCCCTATGCAGCCTCCTTTGAGTTCCTGTGTGAATATGACCATAGGATACATTTCTAAAACTGAAATTGCGGGTCAGAAAGATGTGTGTTTGTAATTTTCACCCATTGTTGTCAGATTCCCCTCCAGAGGGGTTCTACCAACTTACAATGCCAACCATAAGTATTTGTTCAGAGTACATTGTTGAAAGTGTAAATTTTTGCCAACCTACCAGACTGAAAAATGTTATCTTGTTACAGTTTTATTTTTGAGTCTCCCATTCTGCTTAAGGTTGGGCCTTTTCACAAATAGTTCAGTACTCTTTATTTTTTTAGTATTTGGTAAACTTTTTCTTGAATATCCAAATAAGAAGAATTTTAGTCTTTGTGGCAAGGCACAGTGGGTCATGCCTGTAATCCCAGCAGTTTGGAAGGCTTAGACACGTAAATTGCTTGAGCCCAGGAGTTCGAGATTAGCCTGGGCAACATAGTGAACCCTCATCTCTATTACATTAAAGAAAATAAACATAAATTTTAAAATGAAGTATTTTAGTCTTTGTGGCCCACGAATCAACTTTGGGGATATTACATAGGTACTTACAGCACCATTTATAAAGTAACCATTTAAAATGATAAAAACCACTGTCAGCTCTGGGCCACACAAAAACAGGTGTCAGGCCAGTTCTGGCAGGGTGAGGGCTACTATGGTGGGAAAGGGAAATGGAAGCCAGTAGAGCTTCTCCTACCTAGAAAAATAGTAAATCAAAAACAGTGTCATATCCCTGGAGGGATTGCAGAGATTAGTGCCACCATCAAGGACTTGAAAGACACAGAGGTGGTGATCAGCACCACATCCCTGTTCAACTCTCCCAGTTGGCCTGTGCAGAAGACAGATGGATCTTGGAGAGTGACAATGGATTATCATAAGCTTAACCAAATGGTGACTTCAATTGCAGCTGCTGTACCAGATGTGGTTTCATTGCTCAATCAAATTAACACATCTCCTGGTAGCTGGTATGCAGCCATTGACTTGGCAAATGCCTTTTTCTCCATTCCGGTCCATTAGGCCCACCAGAAGCAATTTGCCTTCAACTGGCAAAGCCAGCAATATACCTTTACTGTCCTACCTCAGAGATTTATCAACTCTCCAGCTTTGTGTCATAATCTTGTTTTTTTTTTCTTTTGAGACAGAGTCTCGCTCTGTCACCAGGCTGGAGTGCAGTGGTGCAATCTCAGCTCACTGCAACCTCTGCCTCCTGGATTCAAGCAATTCTCCTGCCTCAACCTCCTCAGTAGCTGGGGCTACACGCGCGCACCACCACGCCCAGCTAATTTTTGTAATTTTAGTAGAGACGGGGTTTCACCATGTTGGCCAGGATGGTCCCAATCTCTTGACCTCGTGATCTGAACGCTTCTGCCTCCCAAAGTGCTGGGATTACAGACCTGAGCCACCATGCCCAGCCCTTTGTGTCATAATCTTATTCAAAGAGATCTTGATCACTTTTCACTTCTGCAAGATAGCACACTCGTCCATTACATTGATGACATTATTGGATTGGATTCAGTGAGCAAGAATTCACAAACACAATGGACTTATCGGTGAGACATTTGCATGCCAGAGAATTTGAAATAAATCTGACTAAAATTCAGGGACCTTCTACCTCAGTAAAATTTCTACGGGCCAAGTGGTGTGGGGCCTGTTGAGATATTCCTTCTAAGGTAAAGGATACGTTCCTGCATTTGGCTCCTCCTACAACCAAGAAAGAGGCGCAACGCCTAGTGGGCCTATTTGGATTTTGGAAGCAACACATTCCTCATTTGGTTGTGTTACTCTGGCCCATTTATTGAATGACCCTAAAGGCTGCCAGTTTTGAGTGGGTTCCAGAAGAAGAGAAAGCTCTACAACAGGTCCAGGCTGCTGTGCAAGCTGCTCTGCCACTTGGGCCATATAACCCAGCAGATCCAATGGTGCTTGAGGTGTCAGTGGCAGATAGCAATGCTGTTTGGAGCCTTTGGCAAGCTCCCATAGGTGAATCACAGTGCGGTCCTCCAGGATTTTGGAGCAAGGCCCTGCCATCCTCTACAGATAACTACTCTGCTTTTGAGAGACAGCTGTTGGCCTGTTACTGGGCTTTGGTGGTAACTGAACATTGACTATGAGTCATAAAGTCACCATGGGACCTGAACTGCCTGTCATGAACTGGGTTCTTTCTGATCAATGTAGCCATAAAATGGGTCATGCACAGCAGCATTCCATCATCAAATGGAAGTGGTATATACATCATCAGGCTCGAGTAGGCCCTGAAGGCACAAGAAAATTACATGAAGAAGTGGCTCAAATGCCCATGGTCTCCACTCTTCCCCCCTGCTTTCTCTCCCCCAGCCTGCACCGATGGCCTCATGGGGAGTTCCCTATGATCAGCTGACAGAGGAAGAGAAGACTAGGGCCTGGATCACAGATGGTTCTGCAAGATATGCAGGCACCACCTGAAAGTGGACAGCTGTAGCACTAAAGCCCCTTTCTAGAACATCCCTGAAGAACAGCGGGGAAGGGAAATCTTCTCCGTGGACAGAACTTTGAGCCGTGCCACTGGGTGTGCACTTTGCATGGAAGGATTTTAGCCAACTACATTCTAAAGGTTATTGCCACAACTTTGATCTTAAATAACAGTGCAGCGAACATCCCTGCATCCCTGCATGGAAGGAATGCCATTTCCCATAAATCACCAAATCACTCAGAATGACTACGCATAAGCCCTTAATATACGCCAGATGCATTGGTTATTGTTTTACAAGCGGGACCTCAAGAAGACTTTCATAATACGGAATAGGATGATGCAAAGCCCTATGCTCAAGGCCCGATCTTTACTAGAAAACTAGTATTGGGAGGTTACATGTTTTCCCCAAACAGATCTTTGAGGAATCCCGCAGATGCCAAAGACCTGCTGGCCTAAGAGTAGACACTTATTTTCTCACAGTTCTGAAGCTGGAGAGCCAAGATAAAGGTGTTTATAGGTTTGGTTTCCCCTGAGGCCTCTCTCCTTGGCTTGCAGGTTGCTGCCTCCTTGCTGTGTCCTCACATGGTCTTTCCTCTGCACACTCATTTCTGGTGTCTCACTTCTGCGAATGCAAATTTTTATTAGCCTGGGTTAATAATTTTTATATCAGCCTGGCAGATTCTATCACTGATTTACTTGATTATCCTATTTACTTGATTATTAAACTCCTTCTCTGCTGAGGTCACCCATTGGTGAGCACTCGCATGGGATACAAATATCTTCACAGTTTTTGATCACTCAGAGGGATCCATCCACATAGCTCTTCCCCAAATTTCTTTGTCATCAATTTTCCAATCATGCTTCTTCCAAGTCCCTGATCATCCAACCAAACCATTGGCTACAGCCTATGAATCAGTATAAAATTGCATATCTGGACATTTCTCCTTCCAGGCAGTGCTGAGAAAAGTGGACATCCACATGCAGAACAATGAAACTGGACCCATCTCTCTCCAAATAAAAAATCAGCCCAACAAGGATTACAAACCTAAGGATAAGACCTGAAGCTATAAAACAACTAGAAGGGAACATAGATAAAATTCTTCAGGACCTTGGGATACACAAAAATTTTTATGACTAAGACTTCAAAAGAACAGACAACAAAAATAAAAATAGACAAATGGGAGTTTATTCAACTAAAATGCTTCTGCAAAGCAAACAACAGATTGAAGACACCCTTAGAATGGGAGAAAGTATTCATGTGAATAGGTCCTAATATCCTGTTCATCTGAAAAGGCATAATATCCAGTGTAAGAATAGAGGACAAGGCTCTAAAATAACTGATTAGCATTAAAAAAAAAAAAAGTGGGCAAAGGACCTGAATAGACTTTTCTCTAAAGAAGACATACAAATGGCAAACAGGTATGTGAAAAAATGCTTAAGGTGACTAATAATCAGGGAAATGCTAACTAAAACCCAAATGAGATATCATCTCACCGCTGCTGGAATGACTATCATCAAAACATAACAAGGCTAGGCGCGGTGGCTCACGCCTGTAATCCCAGCAGTTTGGGAGGCCGAGGCGGGCGGATCAAGTGGTCAGGAGATCGAGACCATCCTGGCTAACATGGTGAAACCCCATCTCTACTAAAAATACAAAAAATTAGCTGGGCATGGTGGTGGGCACCTGTAGTCCCAGCTACTTGGGAGGCTGAGGCAGAAGAATGGCATGAACCCGGGAGGTGGAGCTTGCAGTGAGCCAAGATCGCACCACTGCACTCCAGCCTGGGCGACAGAGCGAGACTCCGTCTCAAGAAAAAACCTAACAAACACCCGTGACGATGAAGAGAAAATAGAAGAAAAAATCACATGACTGTCTCAACAGTCAGATCAAATGTTTTCTTTCAAGGAAACATTTTTGTTGGTTGTTTTTTCTAGTCTTGTTAGAGCATCACGCATGATAAGATTTGTGGTACAGAAGTTAGAGGGGATGTTGTTCCATGCAAAATATCTGAATATCCCATACCCAACTCTTCGGTTACTTACTGATAAATGCTAAAAGGTTACAATTTTGTATTTTCAAATATTCTGGTGGCCAGAAACCTCTTCCTTGACAAGTCTGGAGTACAGGTATCTGACTCCAGATGATTAGAATTTAGGCAGGTATTGTGTGAGCAGTGAGGTCACACACAGGAAACGTTCCAGTCAAAGAGAAAAACAGACGGAGGCTGAAACACAGAGATCATATGTCTGAGAAATAAGGAAATTCCATACTAATGGGAGCTGAGTGAGAACAAGATATGAACCATCTATTTCTCTCTGAATATCTCATTGGGATCTTGTCCCTTTCCCAGCATACCACTCATGTGGATTTTAAAATTGTCTGCTCTTAAAACATTTCTTGCACATCATTAGAGAGTCCAGCACTGGAATCAAGCTCAGTTTGATGAGACCAGGGCAGTTAAGCACCAAACCCAGGTGTTCTTAGAAGGGCTTGTAGAAGACAAAGGTGTGTTGTCAAAAGCAGAGAAAGTGAGACTTTCCATTGTGGTTTAAACCACAGCTTCTGGAATTTCATTGGGCACACAAATCCCCTGAGGATTCTGGTTAAGATACAGCTGTGCCCTCAGCACATCTGGGTATGGCCCCAGATTCTCCATGTCTAGCAGCTTCCAGGTGAGGCTGATGCTGCTGGTCCTCCAAGGACATTTTGAGTGGCTTAGCTCCTATTCACCCTCCTCACGCAGGCACAGGTAAGACTCACCTAATGAAGAAACCTGAGAAGCACAGGTGAACTCTCCCTCCCCTCCTGGTGTCTTAGTACCTTTTGTGTTGCTATAAAGGAATACCTGAAGCTGGATAGTTTGTAAAGAAAAAAAAGGGTTTATTGGGGTCATGCTTCTGATGGCTGGAAAGATCAAGATTGGGTATCTGCGTCTAGTGAGGGCCTCAGGCTGTCTCCACTCATGATAGAAGGTGAAGGGAAGCCGGTCTGTGCAGAGATCACTGGGAGAGAGAAAGCAAGCTTTTTTTCCTAACAAAGCTGCAGGGATGTAATTGAGTCATATTCATAAAGTGCTCAATACAGGGCGTAACATATTCAAGTGCTCCTTAGTGGACAGCAATTATTACTGACCTTGCTCATGAAAATTAGACCTCAGATGGAGGAAAGGCAGTGCCGAGGGTTTTAGATTGTTCGAAATAAGAGAGATTAAAATGATTTAAAATAGAGGCCCAGGAGCTGAGGCAAGCATCCCCAGGTGTTCTCCTGCCAACTCCCCCCCATGTCTCAGAAGCTGTTTTCAGGCAAGTCAGCCAGGGAGGAAAGTGGGGGAGTTTGTAGAACCAAGGATTGCAACTTCATCCATGAGGAGGAGGTGTAGCCAGCCAGGTGGGGAGAGGCTGCTAAGCTCATCTGAAGGCTGTTGAAGGCTTTCTGGCCCCATGGTCCTGGGCCATCCCTCCCTGCCCAGGGCCGCATTCCTCAGCTGACAGCCACAACCTTGAGAGAGGCCTGTGAGTCTGATCAGAAATCCTGCCAGGGCCCCGAGGGGGCAGGCATGGAAGGGAGGTGTCTAAGGTCACAGGAGACACTATTTGCTGCCTGTGGGGCTGGGACAGGCTCCTTGAGAGGAAATTCGGGCACTGTACGGGAGGAAAACACAGGACAGGGAGGCCTCTCCCCAAAGGATTGTGATGATAGAGACCAAAGCATCTGCAAAGAGCCCAGCCCTACAGGGGATTCTCTGAACACAGCATTCCTCGGGGCGTCTGTGTTATTTTGCCAGGGTTACCATAATAAAGTAGCACAGACTGGATGCTCAGAGAAAAGAAATGTCTTCTCCACTAATCTGTAGGTGATGTTAGAATCTGAGATCAAGGTGTTGGCAGGGTTGGTTTCTTCTGAGGCTGAGCGAGGGCCTGTTCTGTGCATCTCCCTGGCTTCAGGTGCTTCTGGAAGGATGTGCTGTTCCCTGAATTACAGACAAACACCCCAATCTCTGCCTCCATGTTCATATGGCATTTTCCCTATGTGTGTCTCTGACCATGTTTCCTCGGTTTTTTGTTTGTTTGTTTTTTGCTGTTGTTGTTTTGTTTTGAGATCGAATCTCGCTCTGTCGCCCAGGCTGGAGTGCAGTGGCATGACCTTGGCTCACTGCAACCTCTGCCTCCCAGGTTCAAGTGATTCTCCTGCCTCAGCCTCCCAAGTAGCTGGGATTACAGATGCCTGCCACCACCTTCAGCTAATTTTCATATTTTTAGTAAAGATGGGGTTTCATCAGGTTGGCCAGGTTGGTCTCGAATTCCTGACCTCAGGTGATCCACCTGCCTCAGCCTCCCAAAGTGCTGGGATTACAAGCCTGAGCCACTGCATTCAGCCATTTCCCCCTTTTATAACAACACCGCTCCTGTTGGATTGGGAGCCCACTCTACTTCAGTATGATGTCATGTTAACCCATTACATCTGTAACCACCCCATTCCCATATAAGATCCCATTTTGAGGTTCTGGGGCTGAGGACTTCAATATCAATTCGGCGGGGGGGAGCCTACAATGTAAATTTGTAACATTGTCTCTGTCATGGGCCAGCTGTCAATATTCCCTGAATATCCAGGATCCACCCATGCTCTCTGGCCATCACCAGAGTGAGCAAATCCCTGACACATGGATAAGAGTTGCTTCCATGGGCTCCCAGCCAGGCTGGAAATTCTTGATTCATGGAATCAAGAATCTTTCTCCAGTGGGTGGGGCTAAATGCAGCTGCCTCCCTGACAGTCTCCCTGGGACACTAGGCTTATCAGCTTTTCTCCTAAAGCTGCAGGTCCTGACTGTCCTGAGCCCCAGCTCTGCTGTGGTCTTTGCATCTTAAGATCTTATTCAACTCGCTTTTGTGCCTCAGTGGACTGACTTACAGGAAAACAGTGGGAGATGCCCCTGCTCTCTCTCCCCAGGGTCTCCTCCCCTCAGTGGCACAAGACCTGCCCTATTGACTGGCAGTCCCCCCATGCCCATCTCAACCTCCACACTGCCCACTGTGCACGGTCACAGGTCACAAACTGATTGTTCACTTTGGGCAGATCACCTTGACAGTTTCTGCAGAACTGGGTGCTTCTTCCCAGAATCAGGAATTTACAAACAAGGCCAGTTCTAGAGATGCAACTGGGAGAGTAATGTGCATCACAGCGAATCTGGACAAGACAAAGTGGTTTTGCTGTAGTTCTCCTGGAACACATTCTGGTGATGTGTCCATCTCCCAGGATAGTCTTAGCAAGTTACATCCAATGCTGCATCAGGACCCACAAGAAAAGGAACTGGCCTGCATGAGTGGCCGGCAGGGTCCTGGGAGGAGACCCTGAGATGCCCAGTGACAGGAGGAGTGGATTCTTAGGTTGGTAAGCGTGTGGAGGAACTGCGAGTGATGTGCTCAGCCAGGTACAGGAGCAGGCGTATTGGTGACCTGTGGCCTCATCTTATCTCAGTTGTCTCTTTAGACCAAACTCCAGGAAATCAGCACATAGAGACTTCTGTCTGTCTCCGAGATCATCGCAGGACTTCACACGTCTTTTCTATTTATAATACAACATCATGTTGTGATTGAATTACTTTCATCACAGCCTCAACAGTCCTAGGTCTGAAAACTAATACATATACTTAGAATATTAATTAAGGAATACTTTCTTGTCAATTATGTTTATTAAATTAAAAGACTTCAGTATCTAGTGTTACAGCTGTCCTAATTCAACAGCCTTGACCTTCTTAGAAATAAAATCCTGATCCCAAATTTTTCTGGGGATATGACTGGCACAAGGAGCCAAGCAGACATCTGGATGTCCCAGTGTCACTGCTGACATGTGCTTTTTTGTTATCTGTCATGGGGTGAACAGAGGAAGTGTCCCTACCTCTGTCCACAGAACCCATCAAAGACAGTGCACCTGATTAAAGAAGAGAGGGTTGTGATCAGAGGGGTCCGGGGTCCTGGGATGAGGTGGGAGGAGGAGACTCATGGGAAGAAAGGAAGCAGGGCAGGAAGAAGCTGAAGTTCAGGCTCTGAGGTGCATCTCCTGCATGGAATCTTGACTCCACTCACTTCTGTCATTGTGTAATCTTTCAATGTTGGTTCTGTCATCAGTAAACTTGAGGAGAGGTTATGCCATAAGCATAGGGCTGAGGAAGGGTTATTATAAATATCCAGTCATGGTTGTGCCTATAAAACACTCACCAAAGACTCTGAATATATTAAGGTCTCATAAGTAGTTGTTTTGCATAATCTAGTGATACATGGAGGATGGCATTCCTCCTGTGGACAGCAGGAGGCACTGTGGGTGTATTGTTTGGGGATGCTAATAGCTCCAAGTCCCCCAGTAGAGCTCACGTGCAAAGGGTGTGACTGATGTTTCCTTTCAGGTCCAGTCTTTTTGAGTACAATCCACTCTCCACTCCTGACACCCACTTGGCCCTTCTCCTGCCTTTGAGAAATGACTACCCTGAGGCCATCAGCTCCAGGGCTCAGCTATGAGCTCAGACAGACACGCTTGGGAATAGAGAACAGATTTGGATTCAATGCTCCTTCCTTCTTGAGCTTCAAGAAGAGGATAAGATAGGAGCTGGTTGTGTCCAGGCTCCACTGGGCAGCCTCGATCAGAGCTCTCGGAAGTGCCTCCCACCACGGCCTGTGTCTCCTTCTACCTCCTGCCCTTCATATTCTCCACAGGTTGGAGCATCCAGAGAATTCAGGGAAACCCTTTCACTGCTATTTCCCCCCAGCACTGGTCCTCAGTGGCATTCTTTCCAGTTCTCCTGTGCATTCAGCATCATTCATGAAATTATATGTTTCCAGGTCTCTGTGCTCTGTCTGTGCTGACCCAGCCCCCGTCTGCATCTGCCTGGCTGTGAGCCTCAGCCAAGGTCACCTACACCAGTGAATAGTATCAACAGAGACCAAGGAGGTCCCCCTAGTGTATAATGGAGGTTAAGAGTAATGGCAGCAACAGCAAGGGGAACAGGATCCCCAGTCACTTATTGGGCTCCAGCCCTGGGGCTGAATGCTACTTAATTATCTTCAACCTCCAATCTGAGGATGAGGCCGAGTATCACTGTGGAGAGAGCCACATGTTTGATGGTGAGGATGGGTGAGCCACAGTGACACAGACCAAGAAGTGAGGCCAAAACATACCCCCTCCCCTTCCTCTTCAAGGACTGAGAGTGAGAAGCCCTATGTCATCTCCATTGACCCTGAGAATGTTGACTCTCCCCCTTTCAAATTTCATCATCCCAGATGTCCTCCCTCAAGACACCCTTAGGCAGAGGCAGATGCAGGCCATGATTGAGGCCATTTTGATAAGTCATCAATCTGTTTCCACCACACCAGCCTGTGGGGACTACACTGGGAGAGACCAGAACAGCCCAGGCAGGAAAACGGCCCTGAGAGAGGGGTCGGGCTGAGATGACTGCATCCAGTGAGTGCCATTGCACCCTGCACCCCTGCCTCAGGGGACTGTCATGGGGCTCTGCCTGAGGAGGCAACATGGATCTTGACATGTCCCCAGCCATTTATGAGAACTGTAGTTGTGTGCATCCTCATTAACACTCAATATTATTGTCAGTTTTTGTTTAAAGCCACTCTAATAGATCTGTAGCGATTCTTATTAATTTTTTAACTTGTATTTTCTTAGCAACATCAGGCTGAGCATCTTTTCAGGTGCTTGTTATCTGTATATCTTCTTTGGTGAAAAGCTTAATCAAATCTTGGTCTATTTTTAAAATTCACTTTTCCCCATATTCCCCTTCATGCAGTATTTTTCAAAAATGGTGAATAAATGAAAGTTTTGCTGACATTTAAAAACTCACAGAATTGTTCACCACCAGACTGTTGCTATTAGAAGGGTAAAGGATATCCCTAGACAGAAGGAAAGTGATGTCACATTGAAATGTGAATTTACACAAAAAAGTGAAAACATCAGGCTGGGCCCAGTGGCTCATGTCTGTAATTTCAGCACTTTGGGAGACTGAGGCAGGAGTATTGCTTGAGCACAGGAGTTTGAGGCTGATGTGAGGTATGATCATACCACTGCAGTCCAGCCTGGGCAACATATTAAGAATCTGTCTCTATTAAAAAAAAAAAAAGGAAATAAAAAAATTAAATATCAGGTACAGTAACTACATAGATACTTGTGAAAACCTCTGTATTATGTTAATGCCAATAAAATACAGTTCACTGATCAAAGATAAATTAATAAAATACATTGTGATTTATAATGAAAATAAAGGCAAATTATATGACAAAGACAGCACAAAATCTGTGGTGGGTGAAGAACATGTTATCAAGGTCTCATATGGGAATGTGTAACAACTGCAGGTAGATTTTCATAAGATCTCTATATACATAAACCTTAAAGTAGTCATTAAATCAAACCTTTTGATCAAAAAAGAATTAGAGCGAATAAGCTACATTAGGGTTATCCACAGAAACAAAATTGGTAAGATATATATGTGTGTATAACATACATATGTGTATATACACATGCATGTATGTGAGCATATCGAGAGAGAGAGAGAAACTTAAAAGAAGAAATTGGTTCATAGGATTGTCCTGTCTGACAAGGATAAAAATCTCTTGGGCAGGCTGAAGGCTGGAAATGCAGGTAAGAGTTGATGTTGCGTCCTGAGCCTGAATTCAGCAATACAGGACTTAAGAAATCCTCACTCTTTGCTCTAAACACCTAAACACTTTCTTTTTTTTTTTTTTTTTTTTTGTGAGACAGAGTCTCACTCTGTCACCCAGGCTGGGTTACAGTGGTGTGATCTCAGCTCACTGCAATCGCCACCTCCCAGCTTCAAGTGATTCTTGTGCCTCATCCTCCCAGGTAGCTGGGATTACAGGTGTGCACCATCACATCCACCTAATTTTTGTATTTTTAGTAGAGACCGGCTTTCTCCATGATGACCAGGCTGGTCTCGAACTCCTGGCCTCAAGTGATCCTCCTGCCTCCTTGGCCTCCCAAAGTGCTGGGATTACAGGTGTGAGCCACCAGGCCTGGCCTGCTCTATACACTTTCTACTCATGAATGAGGCCCACCGCATTGTGATGAGTAATCTGCTTATACAAAGTCTACTGAGTTAAATGTGAGTCACATCTGGAAAATATCTTCACATAAACTTCTATGTTTGTACTGGACAAAATCAACCTGGAACCACATCCTAGTCAATGTGCCACTTAAAATTAACCATCACTTAAGCCGGCATGAAGATAGAAAGGAACCATTTTTTAAAGCAATCAAAAACAGAGACAGAGAAAGGGAAAGAAAAACAAGGAACATATCCATAGATTGTATTTTTTAAGTCACTTTTTGAGGTTTTCTGTTGTTTTCCTGTTTTCTATTTCATTGATATTTGGCTCTTAACTATATTAATACCTTTTCTCTATTTAAATTGAATTTCAATGCTCTCCTTTTCCTTAGATTTATGAGGTAGAACCTTAGTTTATTTTAGATCTTGCTTCTTTCCACTGCCAAACATTCAATCCAATAGATTTATTTAAAACTACTTACTTATATCTATTTTTTAAATTTTAATACATTTGTTTTTGTGTTTTAAAAGTTCAGTATTTTCTAATTTTGTTGTGATTTTTTTCTTTGACTTATGAAATATGTAGTTTTATCTTCTTTCATTTCCAAAAAATTGAAGATTTACCACAGTTCATCATGTATCAATTCCATTTAATTAGTTAATTCTGCATTAAATCATACCTTGCATGAGCTTCATATTTTCAAATTTGTTAACATTTGTTTTGTGGCCTAGAATAGGAAGTATCATGAAAAATGTTCCCTGTGTATTTGAAATAGCAATGTTTATTCTGCTGCTGTGGGTATAGTTTTCTACGAATTCAATTAGCCTAAGTTGGCTAATAGTTCAAATATATATTCTTACTGTTTTTTTGTGTATTTATTTTGTAGGTCTGTGAGAGAGAGCTATTGAAATGAACAACACTAATTGTAGAATTTCCCATTGCTTCTTTTGAGAGAGGAAAATTTCCAGTCATGGTTCTTAATACTTTATTCTCCTGACAAAAGGTCACCTATGATTTTCCAACACTAATCAAGGAAAAAAAAAAGGCAGAGTTAAAGCCACACTCATGGATGCCACGGGAGCAGTGGGTGACCACATGATGTCCCTCCACTGGTTCAGTAGATTTAGCGAGACATTATATTTTGGCTTTTAAAAATCATAAATCTGGCTAAGACATCCATGAACAAATTTGAAGACATACACATTGAATAAAATATGAAAATTAAAAGAAAGGTAACTGCATACGTAAAACATTGCTATCACAGCACCTGACTCATGGGAAATGGATAAAAAGTATTATAAATTCAATTACATTTACTTACACATTAAACAAATATGAATTTAAACCAGTTCACTAAACTGTCTCATATACTGTTTAGGTGATGGAGATTTATTGGTGCACAAAAAAGACAAGAATACCTGCTCTCAGAGTGGCATCATGGAAGATGGTGGAGTACGAAGCTCCAGCAAATGGTCCCTCCTGTGAAATTACTTGAAGTGGCAAGAGTCATGACATTAACTCTCATAAAACAACAGAATCTTGTCCCACATTTGCAGTATTCAGGGATGTGCCGATGAAGGGAGAGACATAAAATAATCTCTGTCAGGTCAATTTCTGGCCATGGAAATAATTGAACAGAAACTGCATGGATCACTCTGACAAGGAAGCTGGTCCTTACCAAAATATTTTGGAAATGTCACCACGCAATTGAATAACAGCACCTTTCAGCAAGCAACATCAGCCAAGGCAGAGAAGAGAGACAATCTGATTTCGAGAGTGACAATATCATAACATCCAAAATACCCAGATCTCAAGAAAAGTTTACAAAGCAGACAAACATAAAAGAAAGCAAGACCCACTAAAAGGAAAGAAATAAATCAACTGAATGCATTCCTCAGGAAGCACAGGCATTGCACGTGCTACACAAACACTTCAAATGAACTGCCCGTATATGCTCAAAAAGCAAAAGGACTCCATGGAAACAGAACTAAAGGAAAGCAGGGAAATGATGTTTGAACAAGCATGAAATATCAATAATGACAAGTTTTATAAAGGAACCAAGCAGAAATACTGAAACTGCAAAGTTCAATAGCTGAAATCAAAATCTCACCAGAGGAGTTAAGTAGTGGTGTGAGCAGACAGAAGAATAATCGGTGAACTTGAAGATACATCATTGAAATTCCACAGGATGAGCATAAATTTTTTTAGAAAAGAATAAATGAACAAAGCCTAAGAGACATATGAGACAACATCAAGCATATCAATATTGCTTTATGGGAGTTTCAGAAAGAGAAGAAAAACAGGAAAGGAAAAATAAAATACATAAAGAAAAATAGCTCAAAACTTCTAAGTTTGATGAAAGATTAGAATCTATACTTTCGAGGAGCTCAATAAACTCCAAGCAAGTTAAACTGAAGTCTGCAGTGAGACACATTCTGATCAAAGCATCAAAAGCCAAATACAAAAGGAAAAGTGTAAATAGTAACAAAAGGAGAGTTGGGGTAGCTAAAGCAATTTCAGACAATATAGGCTTCAAGTTAAAAATGCTTACAAGAGACAAAGAAAGGCGTTATAATTGATGAAATAACCAACTAGTCAAGAAGACAGAATAATTATGCACCAAGGGATAGCACTTCAAAGTACATAAAGGAAGACCAATTTGAAAAAAAAAATATGTAGATCTATAATATAACTTGGAGACTTCACTTCTCCACTTTTACTGACCACCTAGGCCGGGCATGGTGGCTCACGCCTGTAATCCCAGCACTTTGGGAGGCTGAGGCGGGTGGATCATGAGGTTAAGAGATCGAGACCATCCTGGCTAACACAGTGAAACCCCGTCTCTACTAAAAATACAAAAAAAAAAAAATTAGCTGGGCATGGTGGTGGGTGCCTGTAGTCCCAGCTACTCGGGAGGCTGAGGCAGGAGAATGGCATGGACCCAGGAGGCGGAGCCTGCAGTGAGCAGAGATCACACCACTGCACTCCAGCCTGGGCAACAGAGCAAGACTCCATCTCCAAAAAAAAAAAAAAAAAAAAAAAAGATAATAAGAGAAGAGACACAAATAAGTAAAATCAGAAATTTGGGACAATAGTACAAAGCTTATGGAAATTTAAATTATAATAGAAGAACACACAAGCAATTGTATGCCAAATCTTAGAAGATATGGACAAATTCATAGTAAACACAGATTGCCAATCTGACTCAAGAAAAAAGAGAAAAAAATCAACAGAAATATAGAAAATAAGGGATGTAAATCAGCAATGGAAACTTCCGAAAAAAGAAAAACTCAAAACCAGATGGCCTCACTGGTAATTCTGCTAAATGTAAAAAGGAGTTGATATCAACCATAATCAATCTCTTCCCAAAACAGATTAAGAGGAAGTACTTCCCAGCACATTCGAAGACCCTAGCATTAGCCTGACACCAAAGGCAAACAAGGATAGTATTTTAAAAAAACTAAACTAAAGGCTAATATTCCTTAAGAATGAGCATGCAAAAATCCTCAACAAAATAAAAGCAAACCAAATCCAACGTTAAGTTAAGGGGAATAAAGGATTTCAAAGATGGTTCTACATAAGAACATGAATCAACGTAATATATATTAACAGAGTGACAGAAAAAGTGTATGATCATCTGAGTAGATGCAGAAAAAGTGTTTCACAAAATTCACATTTTCCTGATTAAAAAAAAAACACACACTCAGCAAACTCGGAATAGAAGGAAACTTCTACAAACTAATAAAGGACCTTTATCTAAAGCCACAGTGTACATCACATTAAATGGTGGAAGAGTAAAAGCTTCCCTACTAAGATCAGGGACAAAACAAGGACTCCTGCCTCCACAACTACTATTTGACATTGTACAGAAGTTTTAGTCAAAGCTCTTAGGCAAAGAAAGAAATAATAGGTATCTAGAATGGAAATGAAGGAGTAAAATCATCCCTATTTGCACAGAACCCGATTCTAAACGTACAATATCCCAAAGAATACACGCACAGAAAAACTAACAAAGTGAATAAACACATTGAACCAAGTTTCAAGGTACAGGAACAACTGGACTTGCCACAACTTTTCTTTGTTATCCTGGGCATTAGTTCTCTTGGCCTCAATTTTATCTTTAAAACTGGGAGGCTTATACTGCAGTTGAGAAAAAGACACAAAAAGAACCTGTTAGTTAAAGATGGAATAAGTGAATCTCAGAGGGTGGACACAGGTTGGTGAGGTCCTGTCCATCTCTGGGGGCATTTTTCTGGAGTGTGGGAAAGCATGTTCCCAGATGTGTTAGCAAGATACTCGCAATTTTCTCAAAACAACAGACAAGGATAGTGTAGAAATCCTCCCACCACAAATTGTGAACAGTGTGTGATGAAATAAAAATAACAGTCATAGAAAAAGATGGCGATGATGATGATAATGACTTAAGTACACAACTAAGGTTTAGTGATAGAAACATCAGGTGTTCCCAAATTCAATGCAGCTTTTCTTATAAAATGGGGGCACCAGTCTTAGTTCCCATATATTTAGGAATTGAGGGTCCCCATGAGGTGTCGCTGCATTTCTCTGGGCTTTTATGTTTATCACAGAAGAGCTACAGCTTACCCTGCACTCTCCAGCCCGCAATCAAAAATCATGGACCAAAGAACAACATTTCAGCACAAGACTCCATTATGGGAATTGAATCTGCCCACCCTCCCGAAACCATATACACCTTTCTGTGCTGACATGAGAAAACCACAGTGGATCACACTGGCTCAAAGTGAGGCTGGACTCCTTTGTCCCCAACCTCCCAGATGACAGGTGCTGTGGGGTCACCCGGAGGAGAAAAGCTCTCCTAGGCTCAGTCTTGTCCACCAGCAGGGGGCAGCAGAGCTGCAGCCAGGAGCAGCCAGAGGCTGGGGCTGCCCAGGTGGAGCCTAAGGGGTAGGCAGCCCTGGGAGGTCTACAGGTGTCCAAGGTTCAGTCCTAGGATTGGAAGTCAGGACAGTCCATCCTATTGCTTCTGGTTACAGCGACCATGTTCTGAGGGTCAGACTCAAACAGCATCACCCAGGACACCGACAGGAGCCGGGGCACAATGAGAGCCTCACCTGGGAAATGCAGCCGGAGGCACCTGGGCCCAGATGTCAGCCTGGGCAGCTCCCACAGTGCTGGAATTCCCTGGAAGATGCCCCAAGGTTGAGGTGCTCTAGGAGGGGGCCCAGTGGGAGAGGATGGGGCTCCCAGGGCTCAAGTCCTTCACCCAGGATGGCCATCTGAGCATCCTGCCACTCTCGGGGCCTCGCCCCTCCCTCTCCAGCAGTGTCCTGGGGAGCTGAACCCTGTCCCAGGCACTTCCAGGGACGCCTGACCCCTCCTCCCTCTGCCTCTCCTTCCAGCTCGAGACTGACTCTGACTCATGGGGCAGCTCCTGTGCGCAGGGGAGTCTCAGGTGGGTGGGGCGGCACATTCAGGGCCCCGGTTCCTGGGTGGGGCTTCCCGGGCCTCCTAGAGGAGATGCTCTCCAGAGGGAAGGGGGTTCTCACCTGATTCAGGCCAGAGCTCTGACCACAAGGCTGTCCTTGGCTCAGTGACAAGAGTCTGCTGCATTGCAGAGACCAGGGACCACCCACCATCCAGAGCTCACACTCTGTGCAAAGGCTGTGTCCCTGGGATATTTGCAGAGACCACCAGGCCTAAAGTTGAATTTCCCATCAATATTTCATGTAAACTTGTAAAAAGCACCAGAAAAACACACTGGACTGAGAACCCCGATGCTTTTCTGGGGCCTTTTACAAGTTTACACAAAATACTCATAGGAAAAAATAAATAAATAATGGAAGAGCTGAGGATGGCAATGGCTGATCTATGTGGGGATGGGGGATGGCCTAAAAGGAGCGGCACCATGGCTGAAATGAGAGCAGACGTCCAGATGATGCCACAAGGGTGTGTGGTTGCGTAAATGAACCACCTACTCCTACTGAAATAATTAACAAGTATCCTGACGACACAGTACGTTATTTAGATGAAATGACCAGGATGGGACTAAGTAATGCTGGGGGACCCAGAGAGGAGGGGGAATATGGTGGGTTCTTGGTCCACCTGCTGCTGAGTCAGGTTTCATCAATGATCTCTCAGCAGGGCCAAACTCAGCCCCAAGCCAGGTTTCTAGAAGGCCCGCAGCCCTGCTGAGCCTGGCCCAGGACAGACCACAGGTCAGAGAGGTTTGGGACAGTGGTCATATGGCCAGTCCCCAGGAAGGTGACTGTGATCACAGGCCTCAGAGGTCGAGGCTAATTTTCTGACCAAAGACCCAACTCCTTCTTCAGTCACCTGTGCTGCCCCCACAGCTAGTTTGAGTGACATCTTTCAATGAGGAGTCCCAGAGGATAGAAATTTGCATGAACACCAAGCACTTACTGCCCCATAGGGCCTGGGAAGGAATAAGAGAGGCCTGGGGAGCCCAGCTGTGCTGTGGGCTCAGGAGGCAGAGCTCTGGGAATCTCACCATGGCCTGGACCCCTCTCCTGCTCCCCCTCCTCACTTTCTGCACAGGTGCTTCTCCCAGGCCCTGCCCCAGGCTCAGTGCCCATAGACCCCAAGTTGGCCCTGCCCTGAACCCTGTGCAAAGCCCAGACACAGTCTTAGGGTAGGACCCCTGGGAATGGGCTCTTGATCTTCAAGCCCCCTCTCCTGTTTTCCTTGCAGTCTCTGAGGCCTCCTATGAGCTGACACAGCCACCCTCGGTGTCAGTGTCCCCAGGACAAACGGCCAGGATCACCTGCTCTGGAGATGCATTGCCAAAAAAATATGCTTATTGGTACCAGCAGAAGTCAGGCCAGGCCCCTGTGCTGGTCATCTATGAGGACAGCAAACGACCCTCCGGGATCCCTGAGAGATTCTCTGGCTCCAGCTCAGGGACAATGGCCACCTTGACTATCAGTGGGGCCCAGGTGGAGGATGAAGCTGACTACTACTGTTACTCAACAGACAGCAGTGGTAATCATAGCACAGTGACACTGGCAGATGGGGAAGTGAGACACAAACCCCTTCTTCATCTATTTTACCCTCTCCCTCCAGCCCCAGGACCGCTGTGGACCAACCCATAAGCAGGTCTGGCAGAATTCACCTGGTTAGGAGATCCTTAAGCTGCTTTTCCCTCCACTCCTCTAGGCAGACTTTGCAGGAATGAGTCAGGAGTGGATTTGGGCCTGGCAGGGCCAGACTGCCCTGTGTTTCCTTGCCCACGGTTTGAGTTGTGAATGGAGAGTATGAGTGGAAAGACAGACACAGCGGGACATCCATGCAGGCATGAACAGCCCAGAGCGACAGGGGAAACTTTCAGCTCTCAGTTCAATGCAGTCATTGTTTTATCTCTTGGAAGAAGCATTTCTCCAGTGCAACTAAGACTCTAGACTCACAGAGCCCGAGGTTGTGGGGGAGGACATTAAATTTTGCTCATGGATCACTAAGGACGTTTTTGAGTGGAGCCACTACAATTTATTCATTGATTCCTGGACTCATGGATCCTGACTGTGGGAGAAATAGTACTGCATATTGGGCACTGCTGTACAGCGCATGCCCCATCCTCAAAGTCATTGCCCAACCTTACATGTTTTTGCCATCCTGCTGCCACAGTAACTGAGTCTTCAAGCAGACACTGAGCCATTCATATAAGCCAGATGCCACATTGGTGAAGATGGTAAGACACTTGAATGCCATGAGGATGGGCCCATGGTTGCTGTTTATTTGCTGTGATATGAGTTCCTTGGTCAAAGCCCCCTGTGGAATACCATCATGGTGGGTGAAGCATTCTGTAGTCCAGAGATAAAAGGTTTGGCAGAAGCACTGCAGTCAAAGAAAGCAAATCCCTGTCTATACTAAGTGTGTATTCTGGCAAGAGCAAAGAGCTATCCCTGCCATGAAGGAACAGCTTTAATGAAATTAATATCAACCAGGCATCCTATAGGGATCTTCCTGTTGGTCTTCACTGTTGGCAGATGGTCACTCAGCAGTAGCTACAGCCAGGTCAGCTCTAGTGAGTGGTAGTCCACTTTGATGAGTCCATGGACAGCCTCCTTTTCTGCAACCATAGGGCATTTGTTATTGAGCCAATTGGGCAATGATGGCAGTGGTTGGGGCAGACTGCCAGGTGTCCAGAGAGCCACCCATCCTACCAACCTGTTTAGCAAAATCAATTCCTTCTCATGTCAGACTTCACAAAATATTCACATAGGAGATAAATATTCTCATGCTTTCTGCTTGCTCACACATCTCTCCCTCAGACACAGTTGTGATCAATATTCTGATTGTATTTCCTGTGTCCCTGAACATCCTTGATCATCTTCCAAGTCCCTGAGTCACAGCCCATGAACTAGGAACCTCTGCCCGTCTCTCTTTGCAGATGACATGAACCAGGTACACTGCTCTAAGTTCTGCCTTAAGGAGAGTGTTCCTCCACCACTGCTGTTCAGGGAAGCCCAGAGGCCAGGTGGGATACTAGCACTGTCCACAGCAGGGATGGCTGCATGTCCTGCAGAAACCTCTGTAACCCCAGTCTAAGTGCCTCCTCCTAGGCAGCTGGTCCCAGGGAGCCCCTCAGGAGGCCCAGGCTGTAAGGTGAGAGGATGGCCATGGGGCAGGAGTTGGCCCGTGTCTATCTGGCCACCTCTTCATGCAACTTATTTGTCCTTGTGACCTGATCCATCAGGTCTCAGGTACAGCCCAGCCATGTGATGGGGAGGCCACTATAAATGGCCACCTCGGACTGGGGGTCAGATAACATCCAGCTCATTGGCAGCTTGTGTCCCATGGTGAGCTCTGTGGCCACAGTCACAAAGAGCCCCTGTTGAGGCCCAGGAGCCCCCCCAGTCTTCCTCTAATGGAGCTTTCTGCTCATTTAGAAAAATAACAATGGGGAGGTTGCTCGCCTACCTCAGGTCTAGGGTCACTGGGACCACCTAGACCACATCCATGATCTTGTCTGATTATTCTGATTCCTTGTTGGCTTAGCTATGCATTAGTGTAACCAAGCCACAGTGTCTTAGGCACTAAAATGCCACTACTTGGCCCCTGCCTACCCTGGGGTCCTGTCAACCACATCTTGGTATCCAATTCAGTTTTAGCACCACTAAGAGAAATCTATTTTTATATTGAGAACAGGAAACATTAGTTATTTCTATTGTGGAAATTTTATAAGACAATAGTGTGGAAATGTTTTAAGAGACATTTTACTTAGAGTGAAAGACCTTCCATTAAACCACTCAATAAATTGCTCCATAAATGGCCAGCCCAAACCCTGAGTTCAGACCAGGCACAGCCTCGGTGTTGGGACCTTCTGGGAATGGGTCTCTGTCATCAACCCTTCTCTACCCTCCTGTCTGCACAGCCCTGGGCCTCCTACATGCAGGGACAGCTCCCCTCAGTGTCGGTAGCCCTGGGACAGATGACCATGATCATATGCTCTGGAGATAACCTCGGAATAAACACGCATTTTGGAACAAGCAGAAGCCAAGCCAGACCTCAATGTCGGTCCTCTAGTATAACATCGACCAGCCCTCAGAGACCTCTGCTTAATTTTTAGGCCACAAACTAGCGAACATGGCCACCCTGACCATCAGCAGTGCCCAGGCCAGGGACAAAGCTGACTATTACTGTGCCTCAGATTGTGACAGTGGGGGCAGCTGGCAGGGACTCACAGTGACAAAGACAGATGGGGACTTGCAACAAACTGTCCCACTTCAGCCTGCCTCTCATTCTTACCTGCCCTCTGAGCAGCTGTAGGTCAGGCCTCAGAATCAGGTGTCCTCTCTGGTCCTCACCTGGTCCCTGCAGGGCCGGAGATTCGTAACAGCTTTTCCATACTCTCAGGGCCTACATGTGTTCAATAAAACCTGTACGGGGGAAGCTCGTTGAAGCTGCAAGGACCTTTTACAGGTTTGTAGAACACATGAGAACTTCAGGAATCCATATAGTGTCACATGGCTCCATGTGTAATTACACGTCACACAGGGAAGGAGAGAGCTGTTTCACAGGGTGCAATCCTACTGGAATTCGTCTTTTCCTTGCGTAGAAACAGCTTAGTGGAAGCCGTGTCTCCTCTGGTTTCCTAGATGAGTTGACCCCACATTGTAATGGGGCACCTGAGGCCTAAGGAGGACAGGAGACCCAACCCCTGTGGGCCCCAGGAGCCTTCCTGTCCTGACATTTCACAGAAACTGCAGAGGAAGTGCAGGCCCAACCTTTGGTTCCACCTGGGGACTGTCTTCAGGGAACACTGACCTTTCCCAGTCCCCAAATTCCCAGGACCTGTCTGACCTGACTAGGTGTGCCTCCAGCTCCCTGATAGCTTGGATTTTATCTCTGGGCTCTGGGCTGCTTTCTGAGGAGCTCACTAAGAAGTCCTTGGTGCCAAGTGCAGGACTTGCCCCTCTGCTCCATATCCCGGGTCTGCAGGCACAGGGGACAGGTCCTGCTAGGTGAGGCTGGCACCCTCTTCCAGGAGGGATCTCTCATCCCAGGCCCTAGGGACAGGTTCACTGGGCTTTCTTTTCTCACTTAGAATCTCTTAGTCTTTTTGTTTCCTTCTTTAAGAGTACAACTGCTTTTTGGTGAAATCATGTGTATACATCAAAGTTAACAGACTACTGTCACAAGCGCATATATATACACATCCTCTTCCTAGATGGGGTAACCGTGGACACTCTGCCATAGTCGTCTTTTTGTTTCTCTCTCTCTACCACAAGTGAGACTATTAATAGCACTCTTCTATGCAGACCATAATCATATTCTCCAGTTGCACAAGAACGATTCTTATAGTTGCTCAATTTCCTTGCCTTTCAGGACCCTGAAGTTTCCCATGCCCACATTTGGTTGCCATGTCTCTCTGATCCAACAGTATTCCTTGGAAGCCGAAGCTTATGAAACATTTTGCAAAAAGTTCCACAAGAAAACTCAAGTTCCTTGTGCACAGTTGGACCATGTTCATTGTGTGCAGTAGAACCTCGTTCCAGTGTTGAGTCCATTTTATGTTTTGACCATCAAAGGGAAGGGCATTATGACTTTTGGGGACTGAGTCGATGGAGGAAAGATAGCAGTCGATGATGACCTTATGCACTGATGTGTATGTGGCCAATGTCTATAGATGGATTTGGAACTTGAAGGAGCTGTTCATTCTGCAGATGGAATTTCCAGTGCCGCATCTCCACCACCCAGCCACTAGCACTCGGCAGGTGCTCTGTAAGAGGAAGCCCTTCACTGCCAATCAGCCATTACACAGGTGAAGGTGAGTGAGACTTAATAGCTATTAACCCTCAAAACAAACTGAGGAATAAACTCAGGTTCACAAAGTGACTTTGCGGGAACAGCCTGAGGAAGCAAGTTAATTAGTAGCAGAAGGTTTTGCCCAGAGCAGGAGGAATCACAGGATCACTGAGGACCTAGTGATACCATGGTGTGGAGGTGCTGTGAAGCATGGTGACATTCAAGAAAACCTGTTCTCTACAAACACCTACCTACCCACAGGCACAGCAGACACCCCAGCTATGCCAAGGGCTCTGTCTTCCTCTAGAGTAAGAGCCTGGTAGCAAACAGGTATCCTCTGAAAGGCAGGTGCCCCATCAGTCAGCTCTGCACGACTGAAACAAAAGGAAAATTGCCAGAGAACTTTCCAGAAAACAGTCAACCTGCTTGTGCTGGTGCATTGATGGTGACCCAGGATCAGTGGAAGTAACAGTAGCTTAATTTCCCCATGGCTGCATGATGGACACCGGGAGAGAAGTGTGGAGGCGGATTAACCACCACTCTAAGTGGCTTCAGCCCTAGGTAAGCAGGAACAAGTGAGGGGGCTGAGCCCACTTGTGTCTAATCAGTCCCAGCCTCAGCGACTGCATCCTGGAGACCAACAGGGAGTGTATGCGCTCAGCCCCTCCCAGATTGCTGAGCATAAGCAAGAAATTTCCCTCCGCACACCTGACGCACCACACACCTGCCCCCAGCTCCTCACTTACAAGACAATATCAAATCAGACAGGGACTGGTCTGGGTCCCAGATCCCCTCAGGTTGCCGCTGTCCTCTCAGATCCCCACACACAGCAGACTCTTCCCCTCACACTCCTGTTCCAGGTTACTCTTCTCCAATATGATGGGGGTTTGCTTTCATTGTTTCTGTATTTTTTGTATTTTTATGGGTAAGCTGAGCCCCTTTTACCTGGTCTTGAGTCAGGCAGGGGCCACACAGAGAAGAGGAATTCCTCCCCAGGGGCCAGCAGTCCACGGATCAAGGCATCAGGGACCTGAGCAGTAGGTTCTGTTCCTATGCCTGGACCCAGGAGGCCCATGAGCCTCCAGCAGTCAGTATGGAGCAGCCACCAGGGGGGCAGCAAAGAGTCACCTGGGAAAGCCACCTCGGGATGGGGTGGACCTGGGCATCAGGGAGATGCTGACATGCAGGGAGGGTCAGTGACCACGACCTGACACCTGGAGGGAAAATAGGTCCTTCTTTTTCTAGAGTGTTGTCCTTGACACTGATGTAAAAATTCTAGCATCAAATTTTATCTTCAGCTTTTGTAGATGCTCCTATTTCCCTGACAAAGGTCCAGGCACTTGACTTCCCCACACATCCTCTCCTCACACACCCAGTTGTGCTAAAATGCTGTCCCTGTCACGCACAGTGTCCTTCCTGAGGTGACACGTGTCCCCCTCCCTGCCCTTTGCTCTGGGAGCCCCTGTCCTGTAGACACAGCAGCTTCTTCTTCCCTGGCTGCTCCCCATCTCCACTGTCCCTGGGCTTTCCCATCTGTCTCCTGGGAAAGCTGCCAAATCACAGGTCTCAATTTCCTTGTGAGGCACAAAATAGTTGCTCATTAACCTTCTGTTGACTTAATTAAGTTTTTAATTCCTTGATTTGTTTTCCCCAGCAACTGAAGACAACTTAGTCATAATAAACATTCATTTCCAGGGGTCTTGCAGTTTGCTGACCCCTCTCATTCTCTCATGGAGCAAACATTTTCTTGACCTCCTTATCTGTCATTGGTCCTCACAGCACCCTGGGGACACTGAGGCACAGCATGTACGACCTGCCCTGGAGCTCACAGCCAACGAGGAAACTTACCGCATCCCATGGATCTTCCAACACTCCATGTGCACTTGGCAACCAAGAAATTTTATTCTTCTCTAGCACTGAGGAGCTGTGCCCTGGGGTGGGGTCTGTACCTATCCAAGGCACATGCTGTCACCTGTAGAGTGTGGATAGAGGGTCCTTGCATTAGGTTCTGGAAAGTGTCTTCAAAAACGGATTTAGGCCTACACCCAAAATCTCCTCTCTGGCACAAATTATTCATGATCAGGATACATCTAGAGGCCTAGACCAAAATTCACCACCTCCCTCCTGAGCCAGAATGGAATGGAGGAGGGGACTGGGGACCCCAGATAATTTCCCCATCACCACTGTGACTCTATGGCCACCTCCTGCAACAGTTAGGGATAATCACATAGGAAGGGCTTCATGTATCCTAGGAAAAACACCCAGAGTCACTTATGAGCTCTACCATGACCAAGTGAGCCCAGGAGTCGGGTTGAGCACAGCGTGGTGTGGAGATATCTGCAGAGACCGTGGAACCAGTTTGTAAAGGAGATCCTGTAGGCTGAGGGTGAGAGTGCAAGGCCACTCCTCCCCCTCTCTGCATCCTTTGGGGCTAAGCCCTTCTCTGGAAACCACAAAGCTCCTCCAGTAGCAGCCCTTGACTCTGCTGATTTGCATCACAGGCTGCTCTCTTCAGCAAGGGGATAAGAGAGGGCTGGAAGGAACCTGCCCAGCCTGGGCCTCAGGAAGCAGCATCGGGGGTGCCGCAGCCATGGCCTGGACCGCTCTCCTTCTGAGCCTCCTTGCTCACTTTACAGGTGCTGCCCCCAGTGTCCCAGCCACCTACCCAGCTCCAAGGCTCTGGGTCCAGCCTGGCCTGACAGTGATCTCAGCAGGGCCCTGCCTGTGGTGTGCAGGATGCTCATGATCCTGCTGCAGGGGGAGGGGCTGCTGGAGGTGAAATCCCCCCACACTGTTCTTCTGTGCTCATGGTCCCCTGAGGACACTTCTATTCCTGAAACTCAGGCCAGGCAGGTGGGAAGGCATTGTTGGGTTGAGCCTCTCAGTTTCAAGTCTATTCTATTCTCTCCCCTTTTCTTGCAGGTTCTGTGGCCTCCTATGAGCTGACTCAGCCACTCTCAGTGTCAGTGGCCCTGGGACAGACGGCCAGGATTACCTGTGGGGGAAACAACATTGGAAGTAAAAATGTGCACTGGTACCAGCAGAAGCCAGGCCAGGCCCCTGTGCTGGTCATCTATAGGGATAGCAACCGGCCCTCTGGGATCCCTGAGCGATTCTCTGGCTCCAACTCGGGGAACACGGCCACCCTGACCATCAGCAGAGCCCAAGCCGGGGATGAGGCTGACTATTACTGTCAGGTGTGGGACAGCAGCACTGCACACAGTAACACAGGCAGATGAAGAAGTGAGACACAAACCCTTTCGCCATCTATGTCACCCTCTTTCTCTAATTCAAGGAGGACTATGAACAAAGCCTTACGCAGATCTGGTTAAATTCTCTTTAATCTCTGCCCCCAGCCTGTCCCTCCCTCCAGTCCTTCAGGCGGGGTCTGCAGAAAGTGCATCAGTAGTTCATTTAGGGTGATGTGATCAGGATGGACTGGTGTTTTGGTGACTCAGCTGTGACTTGGGAAAATAGGGCCTGCATGGAAGATCAGACTGAGGTAGACATCCACAGTTGTCTCTGGATTTCCATAGGTGGTGACAGGCCAGTCCTTGCCCCAAATGTCCTAGATCAGTCCCCAGAACTGCCCAGCTCAGGCTCCTGTGGTAGCCTGTCATTCTTTAGAGAAACACCAATGGAGTAGACACTGTGGGATCTGCCCAGATCCCCTGTTCTGAGCTTACCCACTAAGCACTACTGGGAGCTTCTGGCAGGTCAGAGCTGTGTCCTCACTGTAAAGTGCTGTTCGGTGCAGAAAACAGACTCCTCCAGGTCTATGCCCTTTCTCAGTGAGGTTAGATTTCATGACTGCCTGAGGCCGAGTTCTCGACTCTGCCTCAATATAGGAAGACCTGAAAATCCTCCCAGCTCCACAGCTCTCTGTAGGAAAGACTTGAGACCTCAATGAGGGTCAGGGTCTCCTGCCCAGGGTTGCCTCCCTCACCTCCTTTCACATCCTCTGTGCATGCAATTCCTCATCTCAGAGTCTGCTTCCAGGGAACCCAATTAAGATCACCAGCCATCCCCAACATGGGCCATGTGGGACTTCAGGAGGCCACTGTATGCTGGAAAGCACCTGTTTATTCCTAAATTAGCACTGTGAGTATCCACACGCCCAATGAGATCTGAGTGTTTCTTGCATTTGCATGGAATGAGAAGGGAGCCTGACTCGCCAGGTGCTCTGGGGTCTAAGGGAGAGTTGGAGTCAGATCTCCCTGCAGGGAAACCTGGGGCAGGAGGAGCAGCCTTACCCCATGCAGGGACCACAGATGCACCCACAGGGTGAGCTTAAGTATGGACACTGCCTACCTCCACCCTCCACATCCTGTGTAAAAAATCATTCTTTCCACCCCTCCTCCAGCCTATCAAAGTTGACACTTAAAAAGCCACCACAACCCACCCTTGTCAACAGGAAACCCATTCACATCTCCATCAGCCACACAATCTCCACATAAAGATTCTTCAAAAAATAATAACAATAGCCATGCAAAGTATATGATATATATCATAAATAATTGTACTTAGATTATATATGAAAATGATACTCTTTTTGATATGCTAGGTAAATAAAATACATTATTTAAACTCATTGACTTCTTCTCTTTGTATTTATAACATGATGACTAGACAGTGGGATTCCCATGAGGCTCACATCACATTGTGATTGAACAAGGCTGGTCTGCAGGGCTTCAGGTTACAGGGGCTGTGGAGTGACCTGGTGCAGGAAGCCCCGTCTCCATCCATAGGACATCAGTGTGAACCCAGGGAGAGGCGCTGGTATAAGAGAGATGAGAACACAGGTGTGAACCACCTGCTTGTGCAGGGGACTGAGCCTTCACTTTGAGCCAAATAAGTTTTCTTTCCCAAGTTCGATCCTGAACAAGAGGGCTTTCTGGACTTCTTTTTGTTTTCAGGTTTGTGCCCCTTCAGGTTTGGGGCTGTCTGGAGTCCCAGCCAGGGGACAGTGAGGAAATCCAGCAGTCTCACACTGACTCTGTTGTATTTCATCTGCTGGGGCCATCCCAAACTGCTGCGTACCATTTCCTTTCCTGGTGCTCAAATAGCTGCTCCATGCACTTGTCATGGTTTTATAGCTCAATCTAGATGGGAAGACAGGATAGTGTATGTTACAATATTTAAATAGAACCTGAATCCCTTAATAGTTATTTTAATATGGAACATTAAAAGAGTTGCATCATAGGCAATGGGGAAAGATGAAGAAAGATTAAACGCATTTGGAGGAAAAACTAAAAATGTCTTTATTGAATGTCTGTGTGTCTTCAGTGTCGAAGGGTTGAGAGAGGTCAGCTTTAGGTTGTCCTGAGGATGTGCTCAGATGGGGGAAAGTAAGAAAGCCGGAAACGTGCATCTCTGTGACCTGACACATAAATCACAGTAAAATGGAAGTAAATCTTTCAATAAACCTTTCAAGATAACATCACTCTGGTGCACATAGAAAGGCCTGTTAGCAAACTTTCCCTTTTCCCTGCTGGCTCATATCCCCATGGATCACCTGTATGCAGAACGGACTCTGTGGTCTCCATTTATCAGGCTGAGAACCAGAGGCTGGGAAGGACAAGTCACCTGCTCATGAGTGGGAGGGGCAGGATTGGGAGCAGCGGACTCAGGCTCAGGACTGTGGCCCTGGTTGGTGCTCCTTGTTCCCTTCACAGGGTCCCACCCACATGTGCCCGTGTGGATGTGGGTGCACTGCCTGGGGTGGCTGATGTGCTCCAGGGATTTGATGGTGCAGATGCTTCAGGACAAAGCATGGGAGTGGGGATGGGACGAGGCTGCCGCTGGGCAGACCAGGGACCAACGCCACCCAGCAGAGGCTTCCAGTGGGGTTGGGCAGCCCCATTTCCTGAGAATAGAGAGAACCTGGCAATGAGTGCCAGAAAGAGGTTACTTCGAGGTGTGCCCAGGCCTGGAGGGTCACAGAGACACAGGCACCACACAGCAGAGACACTGAGGGCCAAGAGCTCACTCAGGTGAGGGGCTTCAGCAGATTTTTCTCTCCTGAGCAAATCACGTGCAAAGAAATCAACTTCCTGTCATCAGAATAGACAATCAGGGACTTTAGTCTCCTTGGCTGAGCCCCGCTGTCAAGGGAAGCAGAAGTCTCTAAGCCCAGGCCCAAGTGAGGGTGGGGTGAGAAGAGGAGCTCAGGATGCAGATTTGCATGGAGGTCCCGCCCTTCTCTGAGGCAGAGGGGATAAGACAGGGCTGGGGGCAGGCCCAGTGCTGGGGTCTCAGGAGGCAGCGCTCTCAGGACGTCACCACCATGGCCTGGGCTCTGCTCCTCCTCACCCTCCTCACTCAGGGCACAGGTGATGCCTCCAGGGAAGGGGCCACAGGGACCTCTGGGCTGATCCTTGGTCTCCTGCTCCTCAGGCTCACCTGGGCCCAGCACTGACTCACTAGACTGTGTTTCTCCCTTTCCAGGGTCCTGGGCCCAGTCTGCCCTGACTCAGCCTCCCTCCGCGTCCGGGTCTCCTGGACAGTCAGTCACCATCTCCTGCACTGGAACCAGCAGTGACGTTGGTGGTTATAACTATGTCTCCTGGTACCAACAGCACCCAGGCAAAGCCCCCAAACTCATGATTTATGAGGTCAGTAAGCGGCCCTCAGGGGTCCCTGATCGCTTCTCTGGCTCCAAGTCTGGCAACACGGCCTCCCTGACCGTCTCTGGGCTCCAGGCTGAGGATGAGGCTGATTATTACTGCAGCTCATATGCAGGCAGCAACAATTTCCACAGTGTTTTAAGTCAATGAGGAAGTAAGATCAAAACCTGCCCTGGGCTCTCAGGCCCCCTTCTTGCTCTGCAGATGCTTCCTCACGCTGTATAAGGGTTTCCTGCAGGATGGCCTTGACAATTCTCCTCTCTCAGCTCCTCTCCTTTCCCACCATGAGGTCTAAAAGGAAACCTGCTCGTGATTTCTCGTTCAGGACTGTGGCAACTTCCTTTTGCTTGTGTGCTCTGGTCCCTTAACGTGCAACTATTCCTAGCTCTTCAATGCAGGGACGTAGGGACAAGGAGTTTACTGCTTGGTGCAGTCCCTCCTGTTTTCAGGAACATCCTCATTCTAAATGCATCCCCCATCTGTCACACTATGCAGATCAATCTGGACAGAAGCCATCAGGGGGATGGCTTCCAGTTTCCAGGAATTGCATCTTGTTCCACTCTGTGTCCACCACGCTCTAATGAAGATGGCCCTCCTAGCTTAAAGTGACCACTTTAAGAAGACTTGAAGATGTTTTTGAGGGATTAAGAACAAAGAGGATGCTGCTGTTTTTCTTTTTATTGCTCCTGCTCTTTGCCGAAATTCCTCAGGTTGCTGAGCTGGGGAGATTTTGAGTGACAGGCTCAGTGCTCTCGCAGAATTCTCCTCCCCTCACATCGCTGAGGCCCTGTCCTGGAAACTCCTCACAAGTGGACGGTCTTCCCATAGGATGGGGGATTCCAAAATGGCTCCACAGGAAAGAGTTAACCTGAGTCCACCTCCCTTCCTCATGGACATCGAGCATTTCTAATTTTCATGGCTGTCAATACTTTTGTACCTGGAATCCCTAATAATCTAATGGTGAGAATTGATTTAGAACACATTCGGACATTAGCTGGGTCCAATATTTAAATTTTCTGAGCCAGTTGTTAAATACAGCTATTATCATATATAGTTTAGGCTCCTTAAACTTCGATTATACAGATTATATTTAAAACAAAGTAACTAGTTTACTATATATATTTACAAAGTAACTACTATATAACATCATGTTGTGTACCTGAAATATAAACACTAAAATTTATTTCAAAAACCAAAGTGTATTGTCTATTGATGCATAAAAAAACACTCACAAAACTTAGCACACTAAGAGAACACATGTCTGTGACCTTGTGACTTGGATGCACCTAGAATTGGGAGTAGCTTAGTTTGGTCATTCTCGCTCCTGGTTAATCACGAGGTTGCAGCCAAGCTGTCAGGCCAGGCTGCATTCAGGCTACATCTGCCAAAGAGGTTAGGAACTGTGGAAGCCTCCCTCTGGCTGTGGAAGCCTCCCTCTGGCTGTGGAAGCCTCCCTCTGGCTGGGAGACTTCCGCAGTTCCTAACCTCTTTGGCAGATGTAGATCATCTCAAGGATAAAGGAGAGAGTGGAGTGAAGGCCCCTGTCCTTGTCCTCCATGTAAAAGACCATCCCATGCATGCACTATTTTTTATTCTTTGCTGAGACATCCTAGGCATAGAGCACTGCCCCATTCATTCAAAGGTTGTAGAGTATTCTATGGTAGAATTTTAGCCAACTCACTTTTAATGGTTATTATCACTATTTTGATCTTATAAATAACACTGCAGCGAACATCCTTATGTAGACTCCTTTGATTTTATATGTAGACATGACCATAGAATAAATTTCTAGAAGTCAAATTGCTGAGTCAAAAGGATGTGTGCTTGTAATTTTCACTCACTGTCCTCAGATTCTCCTCTAGAGGGGTTATCTACAAATTCGCAATGTCAGCCATAAATATTCGAACAGAGTACACTGGGGAAAGTTTAAATGTTTTTCAACCTAGCAGATTTAAAAATGTTATCTTTTTTTAGTTTTGATTTCTCCTGTTCTGCTTGAAGTTGAGCATTTTCTCTAATACTTCAGTGCTATTTATTTTTATAATTTGGTAAACATTTTCTTAAATGTCCAGATAAGAAGGATTTTGGTCTGTGGTTCCCAAGAGTCAACTTTGAGGATATTCTGTAGGTATTTTTAGCACCATTTATAGTGTAACCATTTAAACCTATAAAAACCACTCTCAGCTCTGGGGCCATGGAAAAACAGGTGGCAGGACAGGGATGGCCCACAGGATGTGGTTTAACGGTCCCTGATTTGTAGGGTAATTTGAAGTTTGAGAATTCCACCGCATATGTTCTAGGTGGAGATCTCTATTTGAAGGATACTGTATTTTACCTCCTATAGTGGCCTGAGGCTTTTGGATAAGAACATACTTGTATCATCTATTTAATTGGATCTTGGGTCTTCCCAGGACAGCCCTGTGTCACAGTCTCATGTTTTTCATCTCATCCATTTGCTCTGAGTTTTCAGAAAGCTTTAGTATATCAGAAATAGACTGACCCTAGGTGGAAAATCAGAGGTACCGGGAGCAGCAAATGGTCAGGGAAGCTTGCACCAACTCTGGAATAAACCAGTACAGGCTCAGAGAAAAACATCATAAAATCAGCATTGTAGCTGAAACCAAAAACATGCATGATCTTTGAAGTTCTGGGGATTATAAATAAATAAATGAAGTTTAAGGTTTAAATGTGTTGCAAATTTACATAAAGCATGTAGATTTTAAAACTCAGAATGTAGCAATGAAATATGGAAGCTTGAGATTTTAAGCTGTTAAGGCCCTACAACAAATTGCCAGGAACAGAACAGGAACTTGATAGTCATAATGTCTTATGCTGGAAATTATCATTTTCTCTAAATGAAATTTTTTTCCCTTTTTTCTTAGACATAAGGAAACATCTCATTGAACACCCTTCTTTTCCACTGTCAAACACCCTTACCCAGAAAGGAACTGTAACATTAAGTAGGAAACAACTGCTTTTTTTCATAACTATTGAGAGATTTCTTTATTTGCACATCAAAATGTTGATTGTCAATGCTAAAATTGGAATTAGTAGTTTAATATGCACACAAGAGATTAATTTTGTTTGGATTATCCCATTTCTGTCTATTATTTGTCTTAGTTAACTCAGACATATTCTGCTTTTGGTATTTTTTGTTTTATTTTCTTTGCCAACTACATGTAAACCAAAAATAAAATTCCAATGCTCCCCCAACAACCCCGCCATCTGAGTGGACTCTCTTCTCTTGGTGGGGGCACTCCAAAGTTAATCTGAAAGACTGGTTCAGGCCATGGCAGAAAAGGGGTGTCAGACATGTCTCATTAAGCCCTTTTCCTTTTTGGAATTCAGGAAAAGCCAACCTGCACTTAACATCAATACAAATCTTAAGTCTGATAAGAAACATTTACAATCTATTCTCTCTGAAGCCTGCTACCTGGAGGCTTCCTCTGCATGATAAAACTTTGGTCTCCACAACTTATTATAACCCAGACATTCTTTTCTATTAATACTTTCAACCAACTGCTATCAGAAAAATTTAAAATCTATCTATAATCCAGAAGGCCCCACAACCCTGCCTCCCATCACCCTCTTGTTTTGACTTATCCTGCCTTTCTGGACTGAACCAATGTATATCTTGAATGTATATAATTGATATATCTTGTCTCCCTAAAATATATAAAACCAAGCTGTGCCCCAACCTCCTTGAGCACAAGCTCTCAGGGTCTCCTGAGGGTTGTGTTCACCAGTCATGGTCACTGATACTTGGCTCAGGATAAATATCTTAAAATATTTTACACAGTTTGACTCTTTGTCAACATATGGCTCTTTTCAAAACACCATTTGACACCCAGACATAACCCGCTGCTAATGATTACAAAATTCAATTTTATTAGCATTTAAATTATTACTTTAAATTATTTCAAGAATGCATGGATGTGATTTCCCCCACATCTAACTCACAAATGTTGCTGATGCTGACTTGCTCTTTTCTTTCAGTCTTAGCAAATAAAGAGGGAGTTTACTTTTCTTGATACCAGAAGATAACAGGAGAAAGTAGGTGAAACTCCCGAAAGCTGTTATCGTTTCCACCCTCAGGATGAATCACACAAGGAGTCACCTGCACTTCATTTGGATGATAAATAAATGAGATGGATCTTAGAGTTGGTGCTGATCTAGTCAATGATTTGGGATGTTGGGCTGAGGTGAATGTGTTTCACAGGTGAGAAAGACATGAGTTTTAGAGTCCATAGTGTGGAGGGTTATTGGCTGAAGTGTGCCCCGAGAATTCATACAATGAAGCTCTAATCACAGTGCATGAATGAATTGGAACATAGGGTCTTTAATGGGGTGATTAAGTGAAAATGAAGCCAGTAGGATGGGTTCTTTTCTATCTGACAGGTGTCCTCTGAAGATGAAGAAATTTGAGCACACAGAAATGAGACACCATAGATGAGCATGCAGAGGAAAGATCACGTGAGGACACAGAAGAAGGGAGTGATTTGCAAGCCAAGGAGATGTTACAGTAGATAACTAGGCAGACGTGACAGGGCAGGAGACCCCCTGCCCCAGGAATGTCACGCAAGCATCAGATGATGGTCAGGTAGTTGTTAAAACTGTCTCTGTGAATTAATAATTAGTCACAGCCGGCACCAAGGAAAGGCGGTCTCCCAATAGATAGAAAATACCTGAAGCTGGTGATCAGCAGCTTTCTGATAAGATCTCAGGCCTTGGGTGAGTGGGCTCAAGCAGGCAAACTAAAAGGCAAAACAGAGGCCAGGCATGGTGGCTCACCCCTGTAATCCCAGCACTTTGGGAGGCCGAGGTGGGCCAATCACTTGAGGTCAGGAGCTCTAGACCAGCCTGACCAACATGGTGAAACCCTGTCTCTACTAAAAATGCAAAAATTAGCCAGGTGTGGTGGTGCATGCCTATAATCCCAGCTACTCAGAAGGCTGAGCCAGGAGAATCACTTGAACCTGGGAGATGGAGGCTGCAGTGAGCCGAGATTGCATCACTGCACCCCAGCCCAGGTGACAGAGCAAGGGTCCTTCAAAAAAAAAAATGCAAAATAGCAGAGTTTAACCTGGATCTGAGACTCCCATGCTGCCCTTCCCTCCAGCCCTACAGGCAGGCTCTGCAGAGAGTGAATCACCAGTAAATACACAAACAAATATGATTACGTTCCTTTTGTTTAAGAAGTAGAGGAATGGGCCGGGCGCGGTGGCTCACGCCTGTAATCCCAGCACTTTGGGAGGCCGAGGCGGGTGGATCATGAGGTCAGGAGATCGAGACCATCCTGGCTAACAAGGTGAAACCCCGTCTCTACTAAAAATACAAAAAATTAGCCGGGCGCGGTGGCGGGCGCCTGTAGTCCCAGCTACTCGGGAGGCTGAGGCAGGAGAATGGCGTGAACCCGGGAAGCGGAGCTTGCAGTGAGCCGAGATTGCGCCACTGCAGTCCGCAGTCCGGCCTGGGCGACAGAGCGAGACTCCGTCTCAAAAAAAAAAAAAAAAAAAAAAAAAAAAAAAAAAAAGAAGTAGAGGAATGATTGAATATATTAAGTGAAAATAAGGAATACCAACACAAAGAAAAATTTAACTGTAAGTATGGTTAAAAATACACTGGGTGAGATAGACAAGTTAGATGTCGCAAAACAAGAGATTAGCAAACTGTATAGTGTAACACTAGAAACTATTCAAAATGAAACACATAGCAAAAAATAACGATAAAAATAAACAGCATCAATGAGATGTAGGAGAACTTCAGACAGGCTAATATACGTGTAATTGAAGTCCTCAGAATAGAAGATGGGGTAAGAATGAAAAGAAAAAATATTTGAATGAATAATGACAAAATATGTTCCACATTTGGTGAAAACCATAAACTGATATAACCCAGAAGCTCGATAAAACTTAAGCATAGGAAACACAAAGAAAACAACTCCAAAACACATCATAATCAAATTAATAAAATCTAGTGATGAAAAGTAGTCATTTAGGACAAAACTACAAAGAGCAGATTTCTCATTAGGAGCAATGCAAGCAAGAAGATAGTGAAGCAATGTCTTGAAAATAATAACATGCAAAATCCAACAACCTTGAATTCTTTATCCACCAGAAACATCTTTCAAAACTGGAGGCAAAATAAGACTTTTTCAGACATGTGAAATCCTACAGAATTGATCACCATTAGACTCTCGCTATTAGAAATGATAAAGGACACCCCTAAACAGAAAGAAAATAATCCTACATTGAAATGTGGTTTGACACAAAGAAATGAAAAATCAGATATGGTAGCTACCTGGATCAATTAGAAACCTCTGTATTATGTAATGTCTATAAAAAGAACAGTAATGTCTATAAAGAGAACTGTTCAGAGAAAAATTAATAAGAATACATTATGATTTGTAATAAAAATAAAAGCAAACTATATGACAAAGCAGAAAAGCGAAGGTGGGTGAAGAACATGTAATAATGGTTTTGTACTATATGTGAATATATAATAGCACCTGAAGGTAGATTTTGGTAAGTTATGTATTTACTGTATACCCTAAAACAACCATTAAAATAAAACCCTCAACAAAAAAGAAATATGGCTAGTACGCTATATTAGGCTTGTCCACCAAAAATTAATAGGATATGTATGGATATGAATATATATGTATAATGTATCTATATGGTGAGAGAGACAGACAGAAACTTATTTTAAGAAGCTGGTTCATACAATAGTGGTGGCTGATGGACAAAATCTGTTGGGCAGGCTATAGGCTGGAAATTTAGGTAAGAGTTGATATTGCCGTCCTGAGTTCAAATTCTGCAAGAAGCTAATGTTTCCCCAAGACAGCATCAGCTGTTATTATGCACACTGGCTCCAAATCGAGGAAAGTGTCCCCCCTGACCATTAGCAGAGCTCATGCCAAGAACAAGGCTGATCATTAACATCAATCACTGGGAAACTTCAGTATTTATTCTAAAAACCTTGAACTCATTAATGAGACTCACACACATTGTGGAAAGTAGTATTGATACAGGAGACAGAAATTATTTAGGCAGATAGTGAGGGTGACAGGGTCCTCAGCAGAGCTTCTCATCTAACAAAAAGCAGCCCTAAAAATCATTTCTTTTATAACAAAGAGCAGCCTGAAAAAACCGTGCTGCAAACATAGATAAGCAAGCTGGAAGCTTGCATGGGGCAATGCCAGCAGCTATGCCAATAGAAAAGTACTACCTGGGGGTCAGCCATGTCCAACATGGAGGCTCCATCTTCCCTTTTTTTGTCACCATGTGTATAGCAATAGAGAAATGGGCAACATGGAGCAGCTCAGGCAGATAACCCACCTGCGTAATAACAGATTAGGGCAGGGTTGGCCAGAAATGTGCACCCTATGCAAATGGTACACCTAGTCCTAATCAGTTTTTCATGCCCTGTGCAAGTAGCACACCTGGTCTAACCAGTCTTTGACACCCACCTTATGTAGATCAGATACTGCCTCCTCACCAGCTCATCTATAAAATTCCCTACATTTCACTGCAGATCCGGCAACCCATTTTTCTGGGTCCCCTCTCTGCAGCAGAGAGCTATTATCTTTCTTTCACCTATTAAACTTCTGCTGTCAACCTCATTTGTTGTCAGATCATGTCCTAGTTTTCCATGGCCCTGAGACAATGAACTTTGAGTATTCACCCCAGACAATGAGGCTATTTCAATATGCTTATACAAAGTCTACTGGTTTGAATATTTATCACATTTGAAAAATATCTTCATGACAATGTCTACACTGGTGCTTAACAAAATCAACCTGGTACCATGTCTTAGCCAATCTGACACTTAAAATTCACCACCACTTAAGCCAGGAGCTAAAGAAAACCAATTTTTAAAAATAAATTTCAAAAGAGAGAAAAAGGAAAGAGGAACAATGAACATATAAGACAAATAGAAAAAAAGAGCAAGATGGTATATTTTAACAAAGTATATTCCTAATCACATTAACTATAAATGGTCTAAATACCACAATTAAAAGGCAGGTATTATCATCTATATTCTAAAGGAGTTCAGGTAGGGTTGGTATGCTTTCTTCCATAAAAATGTGATACCAGTGAAGCTATTTGGGTATAGGTGGGCTTTTCTTAGCACGGAGATTTTAAATTGCTACTTTAATATCTTTAAGTGTCATAGACTTATTCAGATTTTCTATGTATTCATGAGTCAATTTTCATAATTTATGTCTTTCCAGAAATTTTACTTCATTTATCTATAATTTTGGCATTTACTGTTCATAATATTCCCTATAACCATTCTCACCCTTTTAGTGTCTATAGTGATGTCATTATTTTAGTCATGGTTTTGGCAACTTGTGTTTCTTTTTCTTTTTTTTATCATGGTCACTTTACCTAAAGATAAAAATCTATTGATTTTATTAATCTTTTTGAAGAGCCAAGTGTTTTTTTTTTTTTTTTTGAGGTTTTCTATTGTTTTCCTATTTTCTATTTCATGAATGTTTGGCTGTGATCCCTATTATTACCCTCTATTCACTTAGAATTTGAATGTTCACCTTTTTTAGGTTTATGAGGTAGAAGCTTAGATTATTTTCTTTAATTCTTTCTTCTTTCCAATACTAAGCATTTAATGCCATAGTTTTTCTTCAAAGCAGACTTAGCTGCATTCCTTAAATTTTAATATGTTGTGTTTTTATGTTTAAAAAGGTTCAGTATCTTCTAATTTATGTTGTGATTTTTCTTTGATTCATGGATTACTTAACAGTCTGTTCTTTCACTTTCAAATAATTGAAGATTTCCTATGGTTCTTCCGGTATTAATTCAAGTTAATTAGTTAATTCTGCATTAAATTATATCTTCTATGATTTTCATCCTTTCAAATTTATCAATATTTGATTTATAGCCTAAACTATGAACTATCATGAAAAATGTTCCATATGTATTTGAAAAGATAACATGTATTCTGCTGTTGTGGGTGCAGTTTTCTACAAATTTATTATAATTAAGATAACTTGGCAAATGGTTCAAATCTATATTCTTACTAGATTTCTGTGTAGTTATTTTGTAGATCTCTGAGACAGAGCTATTGAAATGAACAACACAAACTGTAGAATTTCCCAATGATTATTTTGAGAGAGATCATTTTTAAAATCATGGATCTAAATAATTTATTCTCCTCACAAAATGTCTTCTATGATTTCCAAATACTAATCAAGGGAAGAAGGCAGAGTTAAACTCACACTTGTAGATACCACGGGAACAGTGAGTGATCATGTGATGTGCCTCCAGAGGTTAGGCTAATGTAGTTAGAGTGGTTTATATTTATTTATTTATTTATTTATTTATTTATTTATTTATTTATTTAGACAGAGTCTCGCTCTGTCACCCAGGCTGGAGTGCAGTGGCGCTATCTCGGCTCACTGCAAGCTCCGCCTCCCAGGTTCATGCCATTCTCCTGCCTCAGCCTCCTGAGTAGCTGGGACTACAGGCACCCGCCACCACGCCCAGCTAATTTTTTGTATTTTTTAGTAGAGACGGGGTTTCACTGTTAGCCAGGATGGTCTCGATCTCCTGATCTCGTGATCCGCCCACCTGGGCCTCCCAAAGTGCTGGGATTACAGGCGTGAGCCACCGCACCCGGCTGGTTTTTTTTTTTTTTTTAAATCACACAGTTGGGCTAAAATATCCATGAAAAAATTTGAAGCATGTACCTTGAATAAAATATGAAAATCAAAAAAGTTAATTGCACACGTACAACATTGTTACCACGGTGCCTGCCGCATGGGAAATGAACAACAAGTGTTATTAATTCAATTCTATTTTCTTACACATTCAATGAATATGTATTGAAACAAATTCACTGAATGGTCCCAGATACTGAATAGGTCCTTGAGATGTACTGGCAAACAAGACAAAAAAAAAAATACATGTTCTCCGGGTGGCCTCATGGAAGATGGTGGAGTAAGAAGCTCCAAGAAATGGTCCCTCCTGTGATATAACTATTGAAGTGGCAAGAACCATCAGCATTCACTCTAATAAAACTATGGTATCTCATCCCATATTTGCAGCATCCAGGGAAGAGCTGAAGAAGAAAGAGACAGGCTTAAGGAAGTCTCTGTCAGGTAGATCTCTGACCACAGAGATAACTGAACAGAAATTTCGTGGATCACTCTGACAAGAAAGGTAGTCCTTGCGAAAATATTCAGGAAAAGTCACAACACAAATAAACAACTGCACCCCTCAGATGAACAACTGCACAATATCAGCCAAGGGGCATAATCTGATAATCTGATCCTGGGAGTTAACAACATCACAATATTCAAAATACTCAGATCTCAACAAAAATTTGCACAGCATACAAAGTCACAAGAGAGCACGACTCATTCCCAGGAAAATAATCGACTGAAAATCTTCCTTAAGAAGCATTCATTTGCTCCCATCTTCTCCCTTGGTTATATAACACGTCCTTCCACATATACTTGATTAGAGCTTGTGCCCCACAAACATGCCTGGCATGTACATTAGTGACTTCTGAGAGGGAGGTGGGGGCAGGAAACAGTCCCTCTGGATACATTTCGCATCACATGAACCAGTGAACACATCTCTGCAAGGTCCTGCATTCTAATAAACAAGATTTTTCTGTTTAAAAGAAAACTTAAGTCTTTCAGAAAACTGCATTTCAAAAGGGAACCTTGTCTCTGCTGCTTGGGCTGCAGTGAGGACAGATTTACTAAGTGCTGGTTGCTGTGTTTTGTCTTCTAGTGTGGGTACACACATCTAGAAAAGTTTTAAAGAAGATTGGGGAACCCCCACCCAGCACTGGTGGGACTTTGAGTTTGCTACGGTTGTGAACAGAACATGGAACAGAGGACAAGGTGGCCCCTCCTGAAGATGAGAGTTTTGCTTCTTGCTGGAAGTCCCTGGACTCCTGGAGTGTTCTCAGGGGACCTCTTAACAGGATCTCAAGGGAAAGAATCCAGGGTACTGGATCCACACAATCAACCTCACGGATTTCTGAGTAGGTCATTAACCTATCATGCCTTTAGCGTTATCTCAAATTATACATGGTATCATCTCAACTAATGTCTAAAACAATATACGGCATAGATATCTAAAGAACTAGTGGTACATGGAGGATGGCTTTCTACCTCTGAGCCCTAGAAGGGACTGTGGGCCTTGGTTTGGGGACTCTAATGACTCTAAGTCCCCTGGTAGTGCTCAAGTGCAAAGGGAATGACTGACGCTTTTTTTGAGGCCCCTTCTATTGTGTAAAATTTATTCTGTACTTGTGACACCCACCTGGTCCTTCTTCTGAACATGGGAAATTGCCAAGATGAAGTCTCCAGGCTAACGGCTCAGACAGGAGCTCAGATAAACATGCTGGGAAGTGGAGAGCAAATTGACATTCAAAGCTCCTCCCAACAAGCTTCAAGAAGAGGGTAACACAAGAAGTCCTTGTAACCAGGTTCCACGGGGCAGCCTCAAGCAGAGCTCTTGGAAGTCCCTCCCACCACGGTCTGGGTCTCCTTCTACCTCCTGCCCTTCATTTTCTCCACAGGTCAGAACATCCAGGGAATTCAGGGAAACCCTTTCACTGCTATTTCTCCACAAGCTCCAATCCTCAGGGGCATTCTTTCCAGTTCTCCCGAGCATTCGGCATCATTCATGAAATTCTATGTTTCCAGGTCTCTGTGCTCTGGCTGTGCTAACTCAGCCCCCGTCTGCATCTGCCTCACTGGGAGCCTCAGTCAAGCTCACCTGCACCCTGAGCAGTGAGCACAGTACCTACATCATCAAATGGTATCAACAGAGACCAGAGAGGTCCCCCTAGTATATAATGAAGTTTCACAGCGATGGCAGACACAGAAAGGAGGACAGGATCCCCAATTGCTTCTCGGGCTCCAGCTCTGGGGCTGACTGCTCCCTCACCATGTCCAACCTCCAGTCTGAGGACGAGGCTGAGTATCACTATGGAGAGAGCCACAAGATTGATGGCCAGGATGGGTGAGCCACACACAGTGACACAAAGGGAAAGTGAGGCCAAAACCCCCCACCTCCCCTTTCTCCTCAGGGACTCAGAGTCAGCAGTCACATGTCCCCTTCCAAGTCCCTGAGACTTCTGACTCTCCTCCTGCAGAGACACCCCTAGGCAGAGGCAGATGCAGGCCATGATTTAGGCCATTTTGACAACTCATCATTCTGTCTCCTCAACACCAGTCTGTGGGGACCATACTAGGAGAGACCAGAGCAGCCCAGGCAGAAGGACCCTGAGAGAGTGGCCAGGCTGAGATGACCGTGTCCCAGTGTCTCACTGTGCCCTGTGCTCCCTTACCGGGCTCTGCCCCAGGAAAGGACATGGATCTTGACCTGTCACCCCCCATTTATGAGAGTTCAATGTGTGTGCATCCTCGTTAGCACTTGATATTGTCAGTTTTTCCTTAAAGTCTTTCAGATAGAGCTGTAGCGATATCTAATTATGTTTTTAACTTTTATTTCTTTAATGACTTATTATGCTAAGTATCTTTTCAGGTACTTATCTGTGCTTTGTATGTCTTCTTTGGTGAAATATTTAATCAAATCTTTGCATTTTTAAAATTCAGGTTTCTCAGGTTCACATTTCCTCATGTATTTGTATGAGTTTATATGCATGCATGTGTGTCTATGCATTCCATTCTGTGTGATTTCCCAACATGTATCAGCACAGGTATCCACCACTACAATCAAGACACAAACCAGGTCCATCACAACATTTCCTGGTGTTTCCCTTTGATAATATCTACCTCCTCCCACCCAGTTCCCTCCCTTGCCCAACCCTGGCAACCACTGATTTGGTTCCCTATTCCTAAAATTTTGTCTTGCAAAAACGTGATACAAATACAACCCTATTGTAGTAGACAGACTTTGGGGTTGGAATTTTTTACTTAGCATCATTCCCTATAAAGTCATTGGAAAGGTGTGTGTATCAATAGTCAGTTCCTTTCAATTGCTGAGCAGTATCTCTTGGTATTAGTTTAACAAAACCTGATGAATTACTCACCCACCGAAGGGTATCTGGATTGTTTTCAGTTTGGAGCTACTACACCTGAGGGTGCTACGAACATCAGTTTGTATGTTTCTTGTGAACATAAGTATTCAGTTCTTTGAAATGAAGGTCCAATATTATAATTGCTGTGTCATACACTAATTAGGTCTTTAGTTTTCTGAGAAGCTGACAAACTGTTTCCTGAAGTGAATGTAACATTTTTTTCTGGCCAGTAATGAAGGAATGATCAAATTTCTCTGCTTCTTTGGGAATTGTGTGTTTTTACTCTTTTTTTAGGTAACTATTGTGATAGGTGTGTAGTGATATTCCATTTTTTAAAATTTCGTGTCTCTGATCGTTAATGATGATCACCTTGTCCTGTGCTTATTTGCCATCTGTATGTCCTCTTTGATCACGTTTGTGCCCTTTGCACATTTTCTAATTAGATTGTCTTTTGTTTTGCTCTTAACTGGTATTCAGTGTTGGGTGTTTTGTTTTTTTGAGACAGGATTTTACTTTGTCATTCAGCCTGGAGTGGAGTGATGCAATCACAGCTCACTGTAGCTTGGACTTTCCTGACTCAAGCAATCCTCTTGCCTCAGCCTCCCAAGTAGCTGGGACAACACGCACACACACTGCCTCACTAATCGTTTACAGAATTTTCTTTGTAGAGACAAGATCTCCCTATTTGCCCAGGCTGGCCACGAACTCCTTAGGCTCACGCAATCCTCCCTGCTCAACCTCCCAAGGTGTTAGAATTACAAGCATGAGCCAATGCACTCGGCCGGTTTTCACTGTTCTTTATGTATTTTTTATACTAGTCCTTTACTGGATATGTGATTGGCAAATACTTAATGCCAGTCTGTAGCTTCTGTTCACATCCTCTCAAGAGAGATTTTTGCAGAGCAAAAATTGATGGTTTTGTTAAGGTTCAATTTATCAGTCTTTCATTTCATGACTTGTGTACTTGGTGAAGTCTAAGAATTCTTTGCATAGACATAGATCTTGAAGATTTTCTCCTTTTTTTTTTCTTTTTTTTGACAGAGTCTCGCTGTCGCCCAGGCTGGAGTGCAGTGGCGTGATCTCTGCTCACTGCAAGCTCCACCTCCCGAGTTCACACCATTCTCCTGCCTCAGCCTCCTGGGTAGCTGGGACCACAGGCACCCGCTACCACACTCGGCTAATTTTTTTGTATTTTTAGTAGAGACAGGGTTTCACAGTATTAGCCAGGATGGTCTCGATCTCCTGACCTCATGATCTGCCCCCTTCGACCTCTCAAAGTGTTGGTATTACAGGCGTGAGCCACCGCACCTAGCCGATTTTCTCCCATTTTTAATATAAAAATAATAGTATCGCTGGGCACGGTGGCTCACGCCTGTAATCCCAACACGTTGGGAGGCCAAGGTGGGCAGATCACAAGGTCAGGAGATTGAGACCATCCTGACACGGTGAAACCCCGTCTCTACTAAAAATACAAAAAATTAGCCGGGCATGATGGCAGGTGCCTTTAGTCCCAGCTACTTGGGAGGCTGAGGCAGGAGAATGGCGTGAACCCGGGAGGCAGCGATTGCAGTGAGCCGAGATCGCGTCACTGCACTCCAGCCTGGGTGACAGAGCGAGACTCCGTCTCAAAAAAAAAAAAAAAAAAAACAGATAAATAAAAAATAAATCTGAGAGATGGCTGAGCAATTTCACTGAGTTTCATCATGGAATTCTGGCCTCCCAAACACCAGCATGGCCCCTGTTCCTACAATCTCCTGCTTCAAGATCAACCCAACCCTGCTACCCAGACCAGATGCTAGATGGTCAAGACAGGGCTGTGAGAGCTAAAGAATCTTCAGGGTCCACGATGAATTTACATTGGAGCTTCCTTTTCCACGGATATTCACATCAATAGAGAAGATGACTGAGTTCTTGCCTACCTCTGTGAATACCTGAGACATGAACTGAGATGTGTGTGTGCATATGGTGCGGGCAGCACTTCCTCACTCAATACTAGGGAGAGTGTGAGGAAACTGGATACAGACCTGGAGATAGGGCACATTTTTACACTCTCTATTAAGCCCTGTCCTTCTGTGCTCACCAAGGAGTCACCCAACAAGGCCACAACAGGAAGAGAAGCAGGTTTCTATGAAGAGACTTCTCTTTTTGTGATGAGGGCCCAGGAAGTCCACTGTCTAGCTATGAACTCAGAGGCAGAACTCTGATGCATCTCCACCATGACCTGAATCCCTCTCCTCTACTCACCCTTCCTGCTGTCGGCACAGGTTCTGCCTTCCAGGGCTCAGCCCCATAAGACTAGGGATCAGCCTGGCCCTGACCTTCAGCTCAGCACAGGGAGTGACGCAGTGTGTGGGGCTCTGAGAATGAGACCCTCATCTTCAGACTCACCTCTCCTGTCCTATCTTGTAGGCTCAGTGGCCTCCTCTGAGCGGACTCAGTTGCCTGCAGCGTCTGTGGCTTTGGGACAGAGGGCCAGGATCACCTACCAGGGAGACAGCATAGAATACTTTTATGCAAACTTTTGTACCAGCAGAAGCTAGGACAGGTCCCTGTGCTGGTAATCTATGGTGACAGCAACTGGCACTCAGTGATTCCTGAACAACTCTCTGACTCCATATCAGAGAACATGGCCACCCTGATAATCAATGGGCCCCAGGCTGGAAACAAGGCTATTACTGTCAATCATGAGACAGCACTGATACTCATCTCACAGTGACACAGGCAGACAGGAAAGTGAGACACAAACCCCTTCCCACCTATGTCACCCTCCCCCTCCAACCTCAGGAGGACAGTGGTCAGAGCTATAAGCAGGTCTGGCCCAGTTCACTCAGATTTGAGACCCCCAGGCTGCCCTTCCCTCCAGCCTTCCAGGCAGGCTCAGCAGAGTGTAAATTAAGAGTGGATACACAATGAATTATTAGAATTGTATTTCAGTTTTTCAAGAAGTAGAGGAATGATTGAACATGTTAAGTGGAAGTATAGAATACCAAAAAAGGACTAATTGAGCTTGTACTGCTAATAATTACAGCATCTGAGACATTAAAAACACACTGGATGTGATTAACAACAGATGATGCAACACAAAAGATTAGCAAACTCAATAATGTAGCACTAGAAAATATTCAAAATGCAGCACATAAAGAAAAAATAATGATGAAAATGAAGAGAGTGTTACAGTATATTTATAGAAAAAATGAAGAGTGAGTTATAGGACAACTTCAAACAGCCTGAGGTTGGCTGGGAGGGGTGGCTCACACCTGTAATCCCAGCACTTTGGGAGGTCTCGGAGGGAGAATCCTTTTGAGACTAGAAGCTCAACACCAGACTAGACAACATAACGAGACTTCATCTCTACAAATTTTTTTTAAGAAAATTAACTAGGCATCATAGCCTGCAGCTGTAGTCCTACCTACTTAGGAGCCTGAGACAGGAAGATTGCTTGAGCCCAGAAATTCAAGATGGCAGTGAGTGAGGTACGATCATGCCACTGCACTCTAACCTAGGACACAGAGCAAGTTCCTGGGTCTCACTCTGTGGTTCAGGCTGGAGTGCCATGGTGCAATTACAGCTCACTGCAGCCTTGACTTCCCAGGCCCAAGAGATCCTCCCAGCTAAGCCTCCCAAAGTTTCTGGGACTACAGGCATGCATCACATGCCTGGTTAATTCTTTGTATTTTTTGTAGAGATGGGGTTCTCCCTATGTTGCCCAGGCTGGTCACAAACTCCTGGGCTCGAGCAATCCTCCCGACTCAGCCCCGCAAAGTGTTGGGATTACAAGCATAAGCCACGCCACCTGATGTGAAGAAATATTTAAATACAACAACCTAAAGTATGTATAATTGACATCCATGGAATAGAAAAGATGAGGTGGAGGGTCAGTAGAAAATATATTTGAATAAATAATGGCCAAATATGTTCCACATTTGGTGAAAACCAAAAATTGGTATATCCAAGAAGGTCAACAAAACTCAAGCACAGGAAACATGAAGAAAACAACTCCAAAACACATCATAATCAAATTATAAAATCTAGTAATGAATACCCACTTTAAAGTTTAATTCCAAGAGCACATCTCTCATTAGAAGTAATGCAAGGCACAGTGGAACAATATTTCGAAAATGCTGAAAGGAAAAACTTGTGAACCTTCTGTTATTTATCTAACAGAAATAACATTCAAGAGCGGAGGGTAAATAAAATGTTTTCAGACACATAAAAACTTACAGAATTGATCACTATCACTTTTGGCATTAGAAATGGTAACAGACATCCATAGACAGAAGGAAAATCATACCCAGTTGAAAAGCAAATTCACACGAAGAAATGAAAACTTCAGATAGGGCAATGACATGGATACCTATAGAAACCCCTGTATTATGTTAACATCTATGAAAGATAACTGTTCAAAGGAAAATTAGTAAAAAAATCACTGTGATTTATTGTGAAAACAAAATTAAATTATATGACAAACAGCACAAAAGCAGAGAGGAGTGAAGAACATGTTATAATGGTCTTATACCCTGTATGAATATCTAATCACACTTGAAGACAGATTTTGGTAAGTTATATATGTACCATTAACCCTGAAGTAATTATTAAAATAAACCCTTTTAACAAAAAAGAATTATGACTAGTAGTAACCTGTATTAGGATTCTCCACAGAAACAATATCAATCAGATATGCGTGTGTGTGTGTGTGTGTGTGTGTGTGTGTATTGAGAGAAAAAAGAGTGAAAGAAATGTATTTTGAGGAAGTGGATCATATGATTGTAGTGGCTGACAAGGATTAAATCTGTTGGGCATGCTGAAGTCTGGAAATTCAAATAAGAGTTAATGTTGCGGTCATGCATGCAAATTTAGCAAGCCAGCACATCAGGAAATCTCCATATTTGTTCTAAATACCTTCAACTCACTAATGAGTCCCACCTACATTGTGCAGAGCAATCTGCTTATACAAGGTCAACTAATTAAAATGTTCATCACATCTGAAAAGTATCTTCATGTTAACTCCTATACTGGTGTTTGACAAAATCAACCTGGCCCATATCCTAGCCTATCTGACACTTAAAATTAACCATCATTTAAGCCAGAAAGAAAATTTTAAAAATATTTCTAAAAATAAATCAGAAAAGGAAACAATAGAAGGGGAAAAATAACGAACATATGGGATGAATAAAAAATGAGGAGCAAGAAGGTATATTTCAGTAGGATTATATTACTAATCTCATTAATTGTAAATGGTCTAAATATCACAACTAAAATATTGTCAAATTGAAATTAACAGCAAGACTCAACTATATATGCTACCTAGAATAAACCTACTTGAAATTTTAGAACCACAAAAAGCCAAATACAAATCAACGACAATCTTCCCAACCCCTGGTTTCCCAACAAAGCATTACAAACCGAATTCACAGGGATTAACACATAGTTAAAAAATATGTCTCACTTCCACCAACACTCTTACCTCTCTTCAGCCTCTAATGCCTAGATCCCAGTACCAGAGTTGCAAGAAAACAGGGCACACAAATGTTAAATCAAGGTTACTAAGGGTCACCCTCAAGAGGTAGGTGAAAAGAGAATGAGGGAATTGAAGCCACAAGGGTCCCACTTGCATGGGGCAGCTCCTGCATCACAATGTTGATTGATACATTATTGATGAGTTTTTGTCCATGTTCATGGTGGACATAGGTCTATAACTTTCTTTTCTTGTCATGACTTTGGCTTTGGTATTGGAGTAATGCAGGCCTCAAAGAGTAAGTAGAAAAATGTTTCCCCTGCTGTATAATCTGAAGAAGTTCTTGTAGGATTGGTATCATTTCTTAATTAAAAATTTGATAGAAATTTACTATTTAAAACTGGGTGAGCTTTTCTTAGCAGGAAGACTTTTAATTGCCAATTCAATACCTTCAAATACCATAGATCTATTTGGATTTTCCATTTCTTCCTGAGTCAGTTTTGATCATTTATGTCTTTTAAGGAATTTTTCCACTTAAGTCATTTATACTTTTGGCATTAATTGCTTGTAATAATTTCCCTAACCATTTTAACTTTTGTAAGGTTGGTAGTCATGGCACTCTTTTATCATGGTTTTAGTACTTTGTGTCCTCTTTCATGTTTTCCTAGTCAGTCTACCTAAAAGTAAAATCAATAGGTTGTATTTATCTTTTTGAAGAGCCAAGTTTTGTTTTTTAGAGGCTGTCTATTGTTTTTTTTTGCTATTTCATTAATATTTGGCTCTGATCTTTCTTATTAACTTTTCTTTTTTTTGCTTTGAATTTAAATGCTCACCTTTAGCCTAAATTTATGAGGTACAAGCTTAGATAATTCATTTTAGATCTTTCTTCTTTCCAACATTAAGCATTAAATGCAATAGATTTCCTTCAAAGCACTGATTTAAGCTGTATTTCTTAAGTTTTGATATGTTGTCTTTTTGTGTTTTAAAGGTTCAGTATCTTCTAATTTATGTTGTGTTTTTTCTTTAGCTCATGGATTACTTAGTTGTGTTCTTTCCTGCTCAAATAATTGAAGATTTCCCATAGTTCATCAGGTATTAATCCAATTTAATTAATTATTTTGGCATTAAATAATACCTTCTATGATATTCATCCACTGAAATCCACTAAGATTTGACTTGTAACCTAGAACACAGATTATTTCAAAATCATTTAAAAATGTGCTAAATGTATTTAAAAGCATAATGGGTATTCTGCTCTCATGTTTGAAAGTGTAATGGGTATTCTGCCATTGTGGGTGTAGTTTTCTACAAATTCAATTAGGATAAATTGGCTATTTGGGAGGCCGAGGCGAGCAGGTCATCTGAGGTCAGGAGTTCAAGACCAGCCTGGCCAACATGGTGAAACCCCGTCTCTACTAAAAAATAATACAAAACTTAGCCAGGCGCGGTGGCAGGCACCTTAATCCCAGCTACTTGGGAGGCAGAGGCAGGAGAATCGTTTGAACCCAGGAGGCAGAGGTTGCAGTGAGCCTAGATAAAGCCATTGCACTCAAACCTGGGGGATAAGAGAGGGACTTCTCTCAAAAAAAAAAAAAAAAAAAAAAAAAAAGATAAATTGGCTGATCATTCAAGTCTGTATCTTGATTGAATTTCTGTATAGTTGTTGTGTGGATCAATGTCAGGGAGCTACTGGAATGATTTAACACTAATTTTAGAATTTCTGATTGATTTTTTGAGAGAGGAAATTTTCATGGGTCTAAGTACTTTATTCTTCTGACAAAAGGCCTTTTATGATTTCCCAAGACTAATCTAGGAAGAAAAGGCAGAGTTCAAGCCACAGTTGGTGATACCATGGGAGCACTGAATGATCATGTGAGGTGCCTCCACTGGTTAGGTGTATGTAAATGAAGATTTTTTAAAAAACTAATTGGGAGGCCGGGTGCAGTGGCTCATGCCTGTAATCCTAGCACTTTGGGAGGCTGAGGCAGGTGGATCATGAGGTCAGGAGATCAAGACCATCCTGGTTAACACAGTGAAACCCCGTCTCTACTAAAAATACAAAAAAAAAAAATTAGCCGGGCATGGTGGCAGGCACCTGTCGTCCCAGCTACTCGGGAGGCTGAGGCAGGAGAATGGCGTGAACCCAGGAGGCAGAGCTTGCAGTGAGCCGAGATCGTGCCACTGCACTCCAGCCTGGGCGACACAGTGAGACTCCGTCTCAAAAAATAATTAAAAAATTAAAAAATACAAAACAAATCTGGGCTAATATGTCCAGAAATTTTGAGAAAATGTATGTTGAATAAAGCATGAAAATGTAAAGCAAGGTGATTGCATATGTATAACATTGCTACCACAAGGCCAACCTCATGGGAAAGAAACAAAAACTGTTAGCAGTTCATTATGTTTACTTACACACTGAACAAACATGAATTGAAACCAATTCAATGAACTGTCCCAGATACTGTTTAGGTACTTGAGATGTATTGGTGAACAAAAGAGACAAAAGTACCTGATCTCACAGTGGCATTATGAAAGATGATGGAGTAGGAAATTCCAGGAAATGGTCCTTTCTGTGAAATAACTACTGAAGGGTAAGAACCATCAGAATTAACCATAATAAAATGAGGAAATCTAGTCCCACATTCGCAGCATTGAGGCAAGTACTGATGAAGAAAGAAACAGGCATAAGAAAATCTCTGTCAGGTTAATTTTTGCCCATAGAAGTAACTGAACAGAAACTTTATGGATCACTCTGATAACAAAGTCCTTGCAAAATTATTTTGGAAGAGTCAACTACACAAACGAATAACTGCACCCTTGAGCAGCAACATCAGCCAAGAAGGAGTAGGGAGACAATCTGATTTTGAGAGTTACAACATCACACATTCAAAATACACAGATTTCAACAAAAACTTAAAAAGCAGACAAAGTTAAAAGGAAGCATGACCCATTTACAGGAAAAAGTTTAATGAACTGAATGTACTCACAAGGAAGCAAAGGCATTGGACAAATGACACAAATACTTCAAATAACCATTTACATATGTTCAAAAATTCAAGAAAACCATGCGAGTAACAACCAAACAAAACTGGAAGAATAATGTTAGAACAAGTGAGGACTATCAATAAAGAAAAAGAAGTTATAATAAAAGAACCCAAGCAGATTTTCTAGAACTGAGAAGTTCAATAGCTAAAATCAAAATTTCATCAGATAAGTTCAGCAGCAGTTTGAGCAGGCAGAAAAATAATCAGTAAACTTAAAGATACATTGTTGTAATTACACAGAATGAGCATAAATTTTAAAAGAATAAATAAAATGAGCAGAGCCTAAGAGATACATGGGACATCATCAAGCATATCAATATACGCATTGTGGGAGACTCAGAAGGAAGAGAAAAAAGAAAGTATAAAATACATGTAAAAATAATGGCTAGAAACTTCCAAAATTGATGAAAGATATGAATCTATACTTTCAAGGAGCTCAGTGGCCTTCATCAGGTTAACCTGACACAGACTCACAGTGAGGCACAATATGCTCAAACCATCGAAAACCAAATACAAAAGAAAAATATTGAAAGCAGCAAGAGAAAGAGACTCATCACAAACAGTAGATTCTCATGAAATTAACATTTGGTCTTTGATCAGAAACAAAACAGTCCAAAAGGCAGCACAATAATCTATAAAGTGATTTATAAAAATATATTATCTACCAATTCTGCATTTAGTCAAACAAATCTTCTAAAATAAAAAATAAAATAAGATAATCATAGATAAGCAAAGTTTAGTAGACCTGGTAGATCTGCCCTACCAGAAACACTACAGGAAGTCCTTAAGTCTGAGAAAAGACACTACATAATTTGAATACATGTGAAGAATTAAAGATCTCTTTTAAATATAAAGCTAGTGCTGTTGTATTGTTGGTATGGAGCTGCTGTGTTTTCCATGTTATTTATGAGATATATGGAAAAAAATCAATAATTATAAAGCCATGTACATAGGCACAAAATGTTTAAAGATGTTATTTGTGACATTAACAAGGTCTAAAAGGAGAGGAAATGGAACTGGATAGGAACAGAATTAATGGATATTATTGAGACTAAGTTCGTAGCAATTCTAACAATTTTAAAACATTAATCGTTACTCCAATGATAACTAGTAAAAACTAAATTGAGTGTATAAGGGAAAGAAAATGAAGAAGGAATCAAAATGGACCCAGAAAAAAATTAATAGAACACATGGGAAACAATTATTGGGGTAATTTAGGAACAACAACAACAAAAGATAAAAGATATGTAGAAAACAAACAGCAAAATGACAGACTTTCTTTGTTATCAGTGATTACTTTAAATATAAATGGATTAGATTCACCACTTGAAGCAAAATAACAAAATGAAATTTTTAAAAGTAAAAAAAAAAAATAGAATCCATGATCTATCTACATGGTGTTTATGGAGAACCAATTTAGACCCAAAGACACAAATAGGTTGAGTAAATAGTAACAAAAGAACTGGTGTGGCTGTCGTGACATGATGCAATATTGACGTTAAGTGAATTATAGTTGTAAGTGAGAAAAAAGGGTATTCCTTATTGATAAAATGGTCAATTAATCAAGAAGATATAATAGTTATACACACGTATGCACCAAGCAATAGCACTTCAAAATATGTGAAGGAAGACACATTTAAAATAAAAGCTAGAGAGATCTATAATATAAATTGGAGACTTCAGTACCCCACTTTAAAAAAGAATAGAACATATGAACAAAAGATTAATAGAAAATGCAGCTATTGAACACTATAATCCAGCTAGACCTAACAGATATATACAAAATACTGCACAAAACAAAAGCAGAATACACATCTACTCAAGAGCACATGGAACATTCTCCAGAATGGACGCTATTTTAGGCCTTAAAACAATTCTCAACAGTTTTTTAAAACTTGAAGTCATACAGGGAGTCATCTAAAACCACCAGGAAACGAAGTTTGGGTAGGGGAGGAACAATATTTCCTTCTACTCAACTTAGATTTATTGGCCAGCAGTCCCTATCACACAAGACAGATTAAAAAATAAACTCATGCACATTTATTAAATATAATTTTTACTTGGCATGGGAGCTTTAATAAGGAAATGAAAACTCAGAGAAATGGCTGAACCTGAGGACTTTACATTTAGGTATGATGAGGAGAATACAGGTGTGGAGAAATATGACTAAGAATGAAGTAAATGCAGTAAATGGGGGAAAGAGCAAGGCCTGTGTTCATTCTTCTCAGCACACCTTCATTTTAGAGGAAACAATGCTCTCTTTTCCTCTTCTTTCTAATCAACAACTCAACTTTACAGCTCATGGAACAAGAAAGAGAAAAGCAAACTTAAACCAAAGTCCACAGAAGGAAAGAAATAAGAATCATTAGACCAGAGATTAAAGAAATAGATGAGAAAAAAAACTATAAAGAATATAAATGGCATAAAAAGTTCCTACTTGGATAAGAAGAAGAAAATTAACAAGCTGTTAGGCAAACCAACTAAAACCATAAGAGAGAAGACACAAATAACAAAAATAAGAAATTTGGGATAATACAACCAACGTTATGGGAATTAAAATGATTATAAGAGAACACCATAAGCAACTGTATGTCAAATCTAGAAGAAATTGACAAATTCATAGAAAAATACAAATTACCAATCTAACTGAAGAAGAAATAAAAAATCAGCATAAGAAATAGATTAAGTCGGCAATTGACAATTTCTCTAAAAAGAAAAGCCCAGAGCCAGATGTCCTCACTGGTAATTCTACTAGAGATTTAAGGAGGAAGTAATACCAATCATACTCAATCTCTTCCAAAAATAGATGAGGAGGGAACACTGCCTAGCACATTCTAGAGGCCAGCATTAGCCTCGTAGCAAAAACAAACAAGGATACTATAATACAGAAAACTATTGGCTAATACTCCTGAAGAATAAGCATCTAAAATTCCTAAATTAAATAAGAGAAAACCAAGTCTAACTACACATTAAAGAGAACACATGGAATGAAAAAGCGAGATTTATCCCAGAATTGCAAGGATGGTTCTACATAAGCAAATGAATCAACGTAATAAACAATATCAATAGAGTGACAAGAAAAAGCATATGATCTCAGAAGATGCAGAAAAAGCATTTGACAAAGTTCATCCACTTTCAAGACAAAAACACTTAGCAAACTAGGAACAGAAGGAAACCTGCACAAATTGATTAAAGAAGGGCCTTTATCAAAATCCACAGTGAATCTCACAGTAAATGGTGAAAGAGTGAAAGCCTCCCCACAAAGATCAGAAGCAAAACAAGGACTCCTGCTTTCACAGCTGCTATTCAACATTGTCCAAGAAGTCTTAAATTTCATTAAAACAAAAAAGGCTAGTGCTACCTCCCACCACAAGCATGGATCAGCGTTAGGAAATTAAAATAATGGTAATAGAAAAATTATAATGACAGTGATGATGGTGATGGTTTTTTAAGTACACAACTGAGGTTTAGTGGCAGAAATCCGGTACTTCCAATTACAGTGCAGCTGTGCTTATTGGGGTGACGGAATCAATCTCGTTTTCAGTATACATGGGAAGCAGGAGTACATGTAGGGTACAACTGCATTTCTCTGGAACTGTTTTTCACAGAAGAGCTACAGTTTATCCTGCACTCTCCATTCTGTGATCAAAAACCATGAAACAGAGAAAAGCACTTCAACCTGAGACTCAGTCACAAGAACTGCACCTGCCCCACCTTCCCGCAACTATATATGCCACCTCTCTGTGCTGAACCATGAAGGCCAGAGGGGTTCACATGTGGCACAGACGGAGGCTGGACTCCCTGGTCCGCACCCTCCCAGGTGACGGGTGCTCTGGGATCACCTGGAGAAGGCAAGTGCCTGGGCTCTGTCTTTTCCACCAGCAGAGGGCAGCAGAGCTGCAGCCAGAAGAGAGGCTGGGGCTGCCCAGGAGGAGCCTATGAAGGAGGCCAGCCTTTGTGGGGGGTGGTCAACAGGTGTTCAAGGGATCAGTCCTCACTTTGGAAGTTTGGTATAGTCCCTCCTGTCACCTGGGGCTGCAGTGTTCATATTCTGAGGGTCAGACACACAGCATCACCCAGGATACTGACAGGGGCCCAGGCACAGTGACGGCCTCAGCTGGGAAACACAACTGGAGGCACCTGGGCCCTGGTGTCAGCCTGGGCAGCTCCCATAGGGCTAGGATTTCCTAAGAGACGCTCCGAGGTCAAGGTGCTCTAGGAGGGGGAACAGTGTGAGGGGACAGGGCTCCCGGGGCTCAAGCCCTTCACCCAGGATGGCTGCCTGAGCCTCCTGCCATTCTAAGGGTCTCATTCCTCCGTGTCCAGCAGCATCCTGGGGAGCTGAGCCCTCTACACTTGGCACTTCCAGAGACACCCTACCACCCCCTCCCTCTCCCTCTCCTTCCAGCTCCAGGCCGACTCTGACTCAGAGGCAGCTCCTATGCTCAGGGGATTCTCAGGTGGGTGGCGTGGGACATTTGGGATCCTGGTCCCTGGATGGGGCATTCCCAGCCTCCTTGCGGAGATGCTCTCCAGAGGGAAGGGAATGTTCACCTGCCTCAGGCCACAGCTCTGACCATGGGACTATCCTGGGCTCAGTGACAAGATCTGTCTGGCTGGAGGGACCAGGGATCCCCCACCCTCCAGAGCTCATGGGTGTTCAGAGACCACGACGCTGGAACCCTCACAGAGACCAAATAACCTAAAGTTAGTTTCTCAGTCAGGTCTGGGTTTCTGGTGCTTTTTACACATTTATATGAAACACTGATGAGAAAAAATAAAGAATCAAAGAGCAGAGGATGGCAATTTCTAGTCTATTAGAGAGATGGGGGGTGTCATACAAGGAGCAACTCAGGTGAGAAACGAGACTAGACTGTGTAATGAATCCACATGAGTTGTGGCTGCTCAAAGGACCAAACCATGGTAATGGAAATCAAGTTTAGGATATAAGTATCCTAAAGACACAGAACCACATTCTAATTAAACTACCAGGACAGGACCAAGTGAGTCTGGGAAACCCAGAGCTGACTTGGAGGAGGAGGAAGATGATGGGTTCCTGGCCCACCTGCTGCTGAGTCAGGTGTCATTGATGATCTCTCAGCACGGCCCAGCTCAGCCCCATGGCCAGGCTCCTGGAAGGTCCACAGCCCTGCTGAGCCTGGCCTAGGACACAGCACAGGCCAGGATGGTATAAAACAGTGGTCATGTGGCCAAACTCCAGGAGGTGACTGTGATCACAGGCCTTCAAGGATGGAGTCTGATCTTCTGACCAGAGAAGCAGATAAAGTGAGCTGGGACCCACTTCTTCTTCCTCAGTCTGCTGTGCTTCCCACAGAGCTGGTTTGAGTGACATCCTTCAGTGAGGAGTCCCAGAGGATGCCGATTTGCATCAAACACTCACTGCCTCAAACGGCCTGAGAGGCAATAAGAGAGAGCTGGTGAGCCCAGCTGTGCTGTGGGCTCAGGAGGCAGAGCTCTGGGTGTCTCACCATGGCCTGGATCCCTCTCCTGCTCCCCCTCCTCACTCTCTGCACAGGTGCTGCCCCCAAGCCCTTCCTTCAGGCTCAGAACCCATAGGATCCTGAGCTGGGCCTGCCCAAACATGAGTTCATCCCAGGCACAACCTCAGGGTGGGACCCCCTGGGAACAGATTCATCATTTACAAGCCTCCTCTCCTGTCCTCTCTTGCAAGCTCCTATGAGCTTACACAGCCACCCTCAGTGTCAGTGTCACCAGGACAGGCAGCCATGATCACCTGCTCTTGAGATAACCTCAAAGATGAGTATGTTTACTGGTTCTGGCAGAAGCCAGACCAGGCCCATACTGGTGATATATGAAGGCAGCAAGCGGCCCTCAGGAATTTCTGATTTTCTGAGTCCAGCTCAGGGAACATGGCCACCCTGACCATCAGCAGGGCTCAGACTGAGGACGAGGCTGACTATTACTGTCACAGGTACAATAGAAACAGTGATGAGCCCACAGTGACACAGGCAGATTAGGAAGTGAGACACAAACCCCTTCCCAATCTGTGTCACCCTCTTTCTCCAGCCCCAGGATGGCTGTGGACAAAGCCATGAGCAGGGCTGGTCCAGTTCACCCAGTTCTGTGACCCCCAGGCTGCTCTTCCCTCCAGCCCTCCAGGCAGGTTGTGAAGAGGGTGAGTTAAGAAGAGATTTGAGGCTGTGTGACAGGCTATCCTGGGGTTTTTCTGGCCAAGGATAAAGCTGGTGAAAGAGAGCCTGAATGGACGGGCAGACAGAGTGGCCCATGCACGTAGTGGCAAAAGACCTGGGTTTCCACATGCCAGCCCTTCAGGCAGGCTCTGCAGAGAGTGGGTTAGGAGGAGATTTGAGGCTGTGTGGACAGGCTGTTTTGGGGTTTTCTAACCCAGGATAAAGCTGGTGAAAGAGGGCCTGGATGAAAGGACACACAAAGCGTATCTTTCATCTAGTGGTAAAGGATGTGAGTTCCATATGGTGAAGCCTGGGTCACCCCTTGGCCCAGACGTCCTAGGTTAGTCCTCAGCATTTCCCTAGCACTTAAGTTCCTGAATCTCCTGGCAGCCTTATATTCAAAACGGTGTAAGCTGGAGTGGACGCTGTGGGGTCCACCTAGACTCCACGTTAAGGTCGACCCACACACTCTCAGAGCCTACGAGTGGATACCCATGCTGTGGGGCACATGTCACCTGACAGAGTGGCTGACCACCCCTGATCTCTTCTTTCTGACCACTTGGGTGTTTGGCACTATGTCCATCATGGACACTCTATGGGCTATTAACCTATGATTCAAAGTTTCTTCTGTGTGGTGCCCGTGCCCAAAGACCACCCACAGGCTTCTGCCCATACTCCACTTCCCCCATTTCCAAGTTTTTCTCTTGCAGTCCCTGGAACACCTGCCCAGGTCATTTCCCACTGCCCTAAGCCCCTATCTGCCCTGGCATCCGGCCACTCACCTTTCCTCACAAAATGAATGACCAGGCGCCATGCCCTCATGCAGGAAAGATGTCCCCTCTCCATTGTCTCTTAATGCCACCCCTTAGTACACCCATATAGTGCAGCTGTGCTCTACTTCATGGTGATCCAGTTCATTGCTGGGCTACTCTGGAAATTTTTGCTCCATCAGCTGAGCAGAGGGACTGCTACCCACACAACGTAAGTGTAAACCCAGGGAGCAGTGCTAGAGCAAGAGAGATGCAAACTTGGCTGTGGACCACCCACAGGTTACTCAGCTCTGGGGCCCTGCTCCTGCTCCATCCTAGCTGTGTCACATCTGTCTCACCAGGGATCGCTGCTGGGGTCTGCCTGAGCACACGACGGGGGAATCTGGCAGTTCTGGCTGCTTGGTCACTGAATGTCCGATGCTGTCCTGTATCTACCAGGGAACAAGAGCACATGGGGAGAGTTGTTTTCCAAATGAATATAATTCTCTCTTGTGGATGACATGGAATTGTTCCAAATCCCATGGGATTGGAATCCCATTGGGAAAATCTCATGGGATTTTCCCATGAGAGATTGCGTAAACATGAGTTTTCAGTTCCTATCATAAATTCTTCCATTCCTATCACCAATTCTGTGACTATGGTAGAGTCTGCTGGATTCTGTGGTCCCAACAGCAGGACACTCATACCCCTGCCTGAACCTGGTGCAGAACCTCCCTGCTCTGGGCTCCAAAACAGTGGGCGATGTTCATGGCTCCTGATATATGAGTTGGAGCCACATCCCCAAGGGTTAAATATGCTGCCTCTAGACACCAGAATGACCTTAAAGCTTTGTGTTTCTTTCTGGTGGGAATTGTAAGATCTAATAACGTGCTCTTTATTTTGTGAGAGATACTAAGCTGCTCCAGAGAACTCAATCCTAAACATTTCAGCTACTACACAGGATGAATGGTCTTAGGGCTTGTTTCGCACTCTCAGGAATGCGTGGGTCTCACCAAAGCTTCCAATAGACAGGGCCCCCTCATGCACATCTGATCCAAATACAGAATAGAGCCCTAGGAGGTTCTCCTGGGTGTTCAGATGGTCAAAGCCCCTATGACAATATCATGAAAAAGAAGGGAGAGTTAATGAAGTTGAAAAAATAAAAGTATAAACCTATACTGCTGTCTACTCCTTGTATGCACACCGTTTCTGATCCTGTTCTGAGAGGAATAGAATGAGTTTCTGCATTGATGGTGCCTGCTGTGCACCTGTAGCCATGCATGGTGGTGTGTTCTATCAGGGTCTTCATCTGGCACAGCAATGGCAGATGGAACTACCAGCTGACTGCGTCTGTAGAAATCCACTTCCATCTTCCAGGATCCATTCAACAATTGTAGGAATCATTTCAGTAAACCAAACACAAGAGCCTCAACTATAACTACAAGTCCTCCAGGAGAGGAGAACGCTGTCTCAGAGGGTGCATTCCTACTGGAATTTCTCTTCTCTTTGGGACAAACCAGCCCAGAGGAGGCACAGGGGCTGTGTGTCATCTGGTTTCCTAGATGAGGTGTCTCCTCCTCACTGTCCTGAGATTTTGAAGAAACTGGGGAGATTGGTGCAGACACTCCTTGGATCCTTACAGGAAACTTCCTTCAGACCACACACTCCTCAATTTGTTCCCAAGCTCCAAAGTTTCTAAAGTCACTGTCTAAAGGGCCCACAGTGTTTTTGTGGAGTGGTGGAAAAGCTCTGGGGATGGAAAGTGGTGGTGGTTGCAAAGCATTCTGAATGTACTTACTGTTGCTGAATGCACACTTACAAATGATTGAAATGGTTTAAAAATTGTTCATTTTGCCATAATAAAAATACTGCACACTCTGGAGGAAAGTAAACCTAGTTTAATTTTGAAATTGTTCAATGGATACCAATCAAAGAATAGTGTAGCAAGCACCATTTCCCCTCTCGCTATAGCAGCAACTGATCCCCTTGTGCTCTTTTGGACTCTCTCCCCTGCTCTCTCTCTCTCAATAATAAGCAATGCTCTTCTCTCCAGTCCAAGCTCACACTTCCCCAGTTGTGCAGGAATGCCTATTGTAACTGTTAATTTATTTCCAGGCAGAGTCCTCAAGATTCCTCTGCTCATATTCTGTTCTCAGCTGTCTGGAGCCAGCATGACAAGTGAGCCAAGATCACTTGTCATGAGAGACTTGTGGAAGGTTTTGCAAAAAGTTCCCCAAGAAAAAACAATGCTCATTGTTGACAGCAGGTCCATTTCCACACAGTAGGGCCATGCTGGGTGTGCAGTGGGGCTGTGCACACTGTGCCCACAGGCCAGGCTCTGCACTGCTGACTCTGATCCTGTGCTTGGTAGGACCTTGTGCACTGCTGAGTCCACTGCAGACTCGACCCTGAATGGGAAGGTGGTTCCTAGCTGCTGGGCACTGAGTCTCATAGAGGGACAGATGGTATTGAGGATGCCCGGCCCCTGATGTACATAAGGGGACAAGGTCTGCTGGTAGAACAGGAAGATGAAGGAACCTGTGGCTCTAAAGGTGGGGTCTCCAGCCCTCAGTCTCAGCTGCCCATGGCCTCATCTGTGTGCACCTTGTCAATCCAGACCATGTGAATTAGAGGTGAAGGGAATTGAAGGACTTTCCCATTTTCTCCCATTTTCTCTCTTGGTTACAGAATGCACCCTTCCACATATACTGTATTAGAGCCTGTGCTCTACAAACATACCTGACACTAAATTAGTGACTTTTGAAAGTGCAGATAGGTACAGCAACCAGTCCCTCTGGAGACATTTCCCATAACATGAACCAGTGAACCCATCTCTGAAAGCCCTCATGTTTTAAAAGACAAGATTTTTGAATTTCAAGGAAAACTAAACCTTTGAAAAAAACATGATTCAAAAGAGAACCTTGCCACTTTCCATTCCTGCTTGGGCTGCAGTGAGGACAGATGCAGCAAGTGCTTCTGATGTCTGTGTCTGTTCCCCTGTGTGGACGCACATATCCAGGCGAGTTTCAGTGAGGTAGGAGACTTCGGCAGCATTGGCCGGGCTCTGGTTTGCTTCTGGTGCTAACGGAACATGGAAGAGAGGACAAGGTAGCGTGTCCTGAAGATCACATATTTCCTTTTTGCAGGAAGTGCCTGGGCTCCTGGAGTGTTCTCAGGGCTTTGATCCAGGCCACCGGCTCCGCAATCAACATCACTGATATTTCAGCAGGTCATTGACCTAATTCCATTTTAGTGCTATCTCAAATGGAAACATTATTTTCTTGTAACTATTCATATAGCAACATAGCACTTAAATATCTAAATAACACACACAGAAACAGTAGTCTCAAATGCAAAGCTGTCACCTCCCCACACCACACACTTTCTCACCCGAGCCCCTGAGCCCACCCTTCCCTCGGCCCCCCCTCTCCTGTGCTGTTAGAAATCTCTGTCTTCTAACAGGGACAGTGACACAAAACAGCCCCCCCTCCCGCCCAGCACTCACACCGCAGAGCCCCTAGTCCATCTCCTGAGGGAACGTTTACGTTTCTATTCTGACAGAGAGAAGTCGCCGTGAATGGAGTCTTTACCCCAAACCCAGGAGTTTCTGAGGAACACATGGGGTCAGCCACTGTCTGTGTGGGGAGGCTTCACCTCAGGGAGGCGCCCGGCTCTGGGCTGAGGGGGACTCAACGTGCACTAAAAGGCAGGACTAAGGCAAGTCCCGGGTCACAGTGTGAGGGACGCACGCGCCCTGAGGAGGGGTCCCTGGTGCTAGGCCTGACCCAATTCTAACCCCAGGCACCTTTCCTCAGCTCCTGTGGCCCTGGGACACCTCCCTACCCTGCTTCCCATGAGGCTGGTCACAGCTCTTGTGAGCACCGCCTCCTCCATGTCACACTTTTTCTGTCAACATTTTGAGGAGCCAGTTGGTTTTCTCCTCATTCCATGTTCCTGTCCCACCTGCCTGCTGGGGGTGGATTTATTTCATGTATGAGGTTTCCTCAGCCTGAGCCACAGCTGCCTCAAGGACACCAACCCTGTGGGACACTCCTCTGGGAAAAGCAAACAAGTGCCAAGAGGAGCATCTGAAGCTCTGGTGTGGGAGATGTCCTCCACCCTGGGTCAGGGGAGTCTGGAGGGGATGAGAAGGGACCAGGGGCCTGGGATTGAGCTGTGAAGGGAACCAAAAGGCAGGAGGGACAGGGCAGGGGCTGTCAGCTATGACTCAGGGGAGGTTCCTGGGCCTCAGGATCCTCCCTCTGAGGCCACCAGGGGGCGGGGGTGGCACATGCCTGGACCTGGGAGGTCCCTGCTGGGCTTCACCCTGGGTGGGTCCTAGGAGCTCCTTCCTCCTAAGTCCCCCTAAAGAGACAGAGGCATTCTGGGGTCCTAAATCTGTCATGCCCCCATAAATGCATTTCTACGAGGGCCAATAAATGAACTCCAGGTTTATCCAAGCAGCAGCTTCAGGCGTCTGCAGACACAGAGCGGGGAGGAATTAGCCAACCTGAGGCACCCTAGAAGGGCTGAAGGGGGCTGAAGGGGACTGAAGGGTCCCTGTGGGGCCTGTGGTCCTGGGGAGGGGAGAGCTGGGGTGTCTCCCAGCCACTCTGGGCCCTGTCCTGACACTTCTCCCACAAAGAAGGGAAGGGAAATCCTGGGACCCCACAGCCAGGACCAACCGTGAACCACAGGACAGGAAGGACAGGGACCCCCAAGGCTGGCTCCATTTCCCAGGCACTGTCATGGGCTGAGTCTCAGGAAATCCAAGTCAAGGAGTTTCAATCCCCCTGGCTGAGCCCCACTGTCCAAGGAAACAGAAGTCTACGGGCCCAGGCCCAGGTGAGGGTGGGGTAAGAAGAGGAGCTTAGGATGCAGATTTGCATGGAGGCCCCGCCCTCCTCTGAGGCATCAGGGTAAGACAAGGCTGGGGGCAGGCCCAGTGCTGGGGTCTCAGGAGGCAGCGCTCTGGGGACGTCTCCACCATGGCCTGGGCTCTGCTCCTCCTCACCTCCTCACTCAGGGCACAGGTGACGCCTCCAGGGAAGGGGCCTCGGGGACCCTTGGGCTGATCCTTGGTCTCCTGCTCCTCAGGCTCACCTGGGCCCAGCACTGACTCACTAGAGTGTGTTTCTCCCTCTTTCCAGGCTCTTGGGCCCAGTCTGCCCTGATTCAGCCTCCCTCCGTGTCCGGGTCTCCTGGACAGTCAGTCACCATCTCCTGCACTGGAACCAGCAGTGATGTTGGGAGTTATGACTATGTCTCCTGGTACCAACAGCACCCAGGCACAGTCCCCAAACCCATGATCTACAATGTCAATACTCAGCCCTCAGGGGTCCCTGATCGTTTCTCTGGCTCCAAGTCTGGCAATACGGCCTCCATGACCATCTCTGGACTCCAGGCTGAGGACGAGGCTGATTATTAGTGCTGCTCATATACAAGCAGTGCCACTTAACCACAGTGGTCCAAGTTCTTGGGGAACTGAGACGAAAACCTGCCCTGGGCTCTCAGGCTCCCTTTTTGCTCTGAAGATGTTTCCTCACCCAGTGCAACGGGCTTCCTGAAGCACAGCCTTGAGAATTCTTCTCCCTCAGCAACTCTCTTTTCCCACCATGAAATCCAAAGGAAACCTGCTCTGTGGTTTCTCATCCAGGACAGGGACAGCTTCCTTTTGCTTGTGTGTTGTGGTCCCTGAGTGGGTGCAACTCTTCCTAGCTTTTTAAATTATGGGAGGGTGACAATGAGCTCCCTGACTGGTGCAGTCCCTGCTGTTTTCAGGAACATCCTCATCCTAAATGCATCTGAATCTCCCACTGTGTGCAGACCAATCTGGACAGATGTTATTAGGGGGAGTTTCCAGAAGCCACATCTTACTCAACTCTGTATCCACCACACTCTGGTGAAGATGCTTTTTTGGTGCCCATCCTCTTGGGTAAAGTCCACTCTCTACTCATGACAGCCATGTGTCCCATCTTCTGAACTTGGGAAATTGCCACACCAAACCCTCAGGCTCAGGGCCCACATAGGAGCTCAGAAAGACGCACTGGGAAATGGAGAAGAGATCTGCATCCACCCCTCAGTGGAGAGACACCTAACTAGATAATAAGATAAGGAAGTAGGTTTGCATGATGAGTCTCCCCTTCTTATGATAAGAGAGACCTAGAGACCCCCTTCTCAGGTGTGCGCTCAGAGGCAGAACTCTGAAGCATCTCCACCATGGCCTGGACCCCTTTCCTGCTCACCCTGCTCACTCTCTGCACAGGTGCTGCTTCCCAGGGCTCAACCCCCACAGCACCAGGGAACAGCCTGGCCCTGACTTTCAGCTCATCACGGCAGTGATGCAGGGTATGGCACTCTGAGAATGAGACCCTCATCTTCAGACTCACCTCTCCTGTCCTCGCTTGCAGGTTTTGTGGCCTTCTCTAAGCTGACTCAGCTGCCTGAAGTGTCTGTGGCTTTGGGACAGATGGCCAGGATCACCTGCCATGGAGAGGACTTAGAAAGCTATTATGCACACTGGTACCAACACAAGTCAGTCCAAACCCCTAATCTCATTGTATACAATGATAGAAAGCTGTGCTCAGAGATCACTGAGCGATTCTCTGGTTCCTGCTCAGGGGGAACAGCCACACTGACCATTACTGGGGCTCACGTTGAAGACGAGGCTATTTTTGTTTTTCTGGAGATAAAAACACATTCATAGTGACACAGACAGATAGGGAAGTGAGGCACAAACCCCATCACCATCTGTATCACTCTCTTTCTTAAGCCCCAGGAGTATTGTGGACAAAGTCGTGAGCAGGGTTAGCCCAGCTCAGCTGGATGTGTGACCCCGAGGCACCTTTCACTCTAGTCATCCAGGAAGGCTCTACAGAGGGTGGGTCAGGAGAAAATTTGGGGCTGAAAACTAAGCTGTCCTGGTGTTGTTTAGCTAGGTATGAATTGGCTTAAGATGACCTGACTGGTAGGACAGTCACAGCAAGATAACCATTGAGTAATCATGTTGCCTGGATTTCCTTTTGTTTAATGACCAAACCTAAGGTAGCTCTCTGGTCCAAAATGCCCTGGATTAGTCCCCTGGACTCCTCATTCTTTAACTGAGACCTTTGATCCCAGCTGTCATGGCATCATGATGTCGTGAACAGGGAAGTCCATTGTAATGGCAACTGTGACATCAGGGGTCATTTACCCACTATCTACCCAAGGCCGCAGGGAATCCTTGGCTTCTCACAGCTTTTTCTCACTGGAAAATGCCATTGAGTGCAGAGTACTGTGTCTTCCAAGGATGTGCCCCCTCCATAATGTGGTTTGGGAGCAATGATTGCCTGATGCCTAGATTCCAAAGCCATGCTTTAATTCAGGATGACCTTGAAGTGCCTCCTGCTGAGTGCTCAATTGTAACACATTCCCAGAAGAGCCTCCCACACTTATTTTCTGGGACTATATACCCGAACCCTACTGCATGGAATTCAACCTCTCAGAGTAACTTTCCAAGAAACCCAAAAATTAAAAACTAAACAACAACAAGAAAACAATATAGAGAGAAGAGTATCAAAGAAAAGCAAGTTGTACAAAGAGAGAACTCTGGAGTCTTCAAATATTAATAAGCATCAAGCAGCACATGTGTGGACGGAAACTCCATTTTCAGACAAACAGCAGTCCAAAGACACTCGCGGGAACACTCCACAGAGCATTCTTTCTCTCTCTCTCTCTCTCTCTCTCTCACACACACACACACACACACACACACACACAAACACAAAATATGAATCCTGCTTGTTCCTACAGTCACAGAGGAAAGGCCTGAGTTAAGGAGCATGAGGTCGAATCCTCGGAACAGCTTTGCCTCAGTCCTGGAGAAAATGTCAGCCTAGACAATAGGCTGGTCTGGTCTCAACTAAGTAAGTTAAAAAGCAAGTTTTAAAAAGTACCAAGTTTCCGAGTAATTATACTAAATCCAAGAATAAAAGACCAAATAGACAGAGAAGTGCAAGTATATTCTAAATCCAACAAGGAAAAACTCAAAATGTCTAGCACCTATCAGATTTCCTTGCAAGAACCAAGAAAATACATGCTATAAAAAGCAGAAAAGTTCATCAGTCCAAAGTCTCCCTGAAATTGCACAGATGATAGACTTTGTAGGAAGAATACAAAAGCGATACTTATAACTATCTTCCACTTGCTCAAGAGGGTACGGGATTGATTGAACATGTTAAGTGGAGACACGGTAGACATAAAAAGATCAAAGTTGAACTTACAGAAATTACCTCTAAAATGTCCGCGATAAAAATAAATACATAAATAAATAAGGGCCAGGCATGGTGGCTAATGCCTGTAATCTCAGCATTTTGGGAGATCATGGTAGAAGGATTATTTGAGCCCAGGAGTTTGAGAACAGCCTGGGTGACACAGGGAGACCCTGTCTCTACAAAAAAATAACAAAATCAGATAGATGCATGGTGCACACCCATGGTCCTAGCTACTTAGGAAGTGGTGGAAGAATTGCTTGAGCTCTGTAGGTCAGGATGGCAGTGACCTGTGATCATGCCGCTGAACTTTGGCTTGGGTGATAGAATGACACCGTCTCAAAAAAAAAATGTCTGAGAATAATTGTAGATTAGCTCCCGCAAAATAATAGATTACTGAACCTGAAGATATAACAATGAAGCTCTTCAAAATGAAACACCAAAAAAGAGAAGATAAAAAATTACACTGAGCATCAATGAGTTTTACGACATCTTCAAGGAGCCTTAATTGTATAATTAAATGAACTAAAGGAGACAAGATTGGTGGAGGGAGAGGGAGGGTACAAAAACCACTTAAAGAAATAAGGAAAAACGTGCAAAATTTGGTGAAAACTATAAACTTATGATTTCACATAGTTTAACACAACCCAGACACCCACACACAAACACAAACACACAGACATCATATACACAAAAAAACACACACATAAAGAAAACATCAACACCCGCCATAATCAAATTGCAAAAAAAAAAAAAACAAAAACAAAAACAAAAAAAAACTGTGATGGAGAAATGCTCTTAAAAGCAGCCAGAGAGAAAAGACATGTTTGATGCAGGTGAACACCATAATGATGAGAGTAGCTTTCCCATTAGAAACAATACAAGCAAGAAGGCAGTGGAGGTACATTCATAAAACTTTTTAAAACTTACTACGCACAGCATTGTACATATTCAGTGTAATCCCTATCAAAACACCGATGTCATTCTTCACAGAAATAGAAAAAAAAAATCAATCTTGAAATTTATATGGAATTACAAAAGACACTGAATAGCCAAAGCAATAGTGAGCAAAAAGAATAAAGCTGCAGGTGTCACACCACTTGTTTTCAAAATATGCTACAAGGATATAGTAACCCAAATTATACTATACTGTTTTATAGTATAAAACAGACACAGACCAGTGTAACAGAATAGGAAACACAGAAATAATCCACATATTTACAGACAACTGGTTTTTGTCAAAGGCACCAATAACATACATTGGTTAAAAGACAGCCTTCTTGGTGCTGCTGAGAAAACTGGACATTCACAGGCACAAGAATTAAAATAGACCTCGATCTCTCACCACATACAAAAGTGAATTCAAACTGGATTAAAGACTTAAATGTAAAACTTGACACTACTAAACTACTAGAAGAAAACACAGGGAAAATAGGGAAAATGCTTCCGGACTTATGTGTAGACAAAGATTTTATACCTAAGCTTTCAAAAGCACAGGCGACAAAAACAAACATAGACCAATGGAGCTACATTAAACTAAAAGTTTCTGCTCAGCAAAGAAAACAATAAGCAAAGTAAAGAGACAACTTGTAGAACAGGAGAAAATATTTACAAACTGTTCATCTGGCAATGGATTCACATACAGAATAAGACAATAAGACAAGAAAGCAAAACAATTCAACAGCAAAAAAAAAAAATGCCAAATAATACCATTAAAAAGAGGTCAAAGAATTTGAATAGACATCCCTCAAAAGAAACATACAAATGGCCAAAGGGTGTATTTTTTAAAATGCTCAACATCACTAATCATCAGGGCAATGCGAATCAAAATCACAGTGAGACATCATCTCACCCCAGCTAGAGTGACTAATATCAAAAAGACAAAACATAACACATTCTGGCAAGAACGCAGTGTAAAGGAACTCTTATACACTGTTATATACTGTTGGTGAGAAGGTAAATTTTAAATTAATACGGCCATTATGAAAAACATGATAGTGTTTCAGAAACACTAAAAATAGACTATCATCATACAATGCAATAATCCCACTACTGGGTATTTAATCACAGGAAAAAACGTCAGTATATCTAAGGAATTCCTGCACTCCCACGTTTACTGCAGCACTATTCATAATAGCAAAGCTATAGAATCAACCTGTTTTCATCAACAGATGAATGCATAAGGAAAATGTGGCATGCATACACGATGAAATACTTTCCAGTCATAAACAAAAGAATGAAATCTTATCCTCTGCAGCAACATGATGGAACTGGAGGTCATTATGTTAAGTGAAATTAGCCAAGCACAGAAAAACAAATGTCACATGTTCTCTCTCATGTGGGAGCTAAAAAAAGCTGATCTCATGGAGGTATAGTGTAGATTAATAGTTACCAGAGAGGCTGGGAAGGGTTAGGGGTTGTGGGGATGAGGGGTAGTTGGTCAATGGGCACAAACATACGGTTACATAAAAGCAATAAGGTCTATTGTTGTATATCACACAGCAGAGTGAACATAGTTAACATAATTTATTGTACATTTCAAAATACATAGAAGATTTGAAATATTCCCAACATATAGAAATGACAAATGCTCAAGGTGATGGATATCCTAAACACTAATTCGATCCTTACATACTGTATTCATGCATCAAAATAGCACGTATACCCCATAAACATATACAATTATAATGTATCAGTAAAACATGTTCTTTAAATTAAAAAAAACTGTCAATTCTGAATTCTTTACTCAGTGAAAATATCTTTCAGAAGGGAAGGCAAAATAAAATGGTTTTAACCATAAATATACTTGCACTATTCATGACCTGCAGACACACACTATAGAAAATAATAAAGAACACTTCTCAGATAGAAAATCATACTAAAGATGTGACTCTGAATAAAGAAAACAAAAACATCAAATATAGTAACTACATAAAAACATATAGAAATGGTAAATAAACATAGATATAAACGACTTAAATTACATTACAAAACAACTAGACTTAATAGACAACTATAGAACAGTCCATCCAACACAGCAGAATACATAATAATCTCAAGTGCATATGGAACACTCTCCAGGGTAGAACCTGCAAAAAAAAAATGAGTACCTTAAAAAAATAGAAAATCTATAAAGTATATTCTTTGTGTTACTTCACTCTTGTATTGCTATAAAGAAGTACCTGAGCTTGGGTAATCCATAAAGAAAAGAGGTTTAATTGGCTCATGGTTATGCAGGCTCTACAGGAAATCTGGTGCCAGTATCTGCTGCTGGTGAGGGACTCAAGAAGCTTACAATTATGGTGGAATGTGAATGAGGAGCAGGCATGTCACATGGTGAGAGTAGGAGAGAGAGAGGTGGAAAGTGCCACACTCTTTTAAACAACCAGTCTCACATGAACTGGGAGCAACAACTCATTGTCATGAGGGCAGCACCAATTTATTCACGAAGGATCCACGTGGCCCCATGACCCAAACACCTCCCACTAGGCCCACCTCAACACTGGCAGCTACATTTCAACATAAGATTTGGATGGGACAAATATTAAAAGTATATAATTCCACCCCTGGCCCACCAAATCTCATGCCTTTCTCACATTGCAAAATGCAATAATCCCTTCTCAATAATCCCCCAAAGTTCTAAGTCGTTCCAGCATCAAGTTTAACATCCTAAGTCTCATCTGAGACTAACCTCCTGTCACCTATGAGCCTGTAGAATCTAAACAAGTTATTTACACCTAAGATGCAATGGTGGTACAGGCCTTGGGTAAACATTACCATTCCAAAAGGGAGAAAACAACCAAAAGAACAGGCCCCACACAAGTCCTAAACCCAATGGTGCAGTAATTAAATTTCAAACTTCCACAGATCTCTAGGGCATGAAAAGAATTCAGCCAAGCTTTTTACTAAGGCATCACAAGGGTGAACTTTGCTCCAGTTCCCAATAACTATCTCATTCCATCTGAGACCTCAGCAGCCTGGACTTCACTGTCCGTATCTCTATCAGCATCTTGGTCACAACCAGCTGACCAGTCCCCAGGAAGCTCCAAACTTTCCCTCATCTGTCTGTCTTCTTCTGAGCCCTCTAAGCTCTTCAAACCTGTACTTTTTACCCAGTTCCAAAGCTGCTTTCACATTTGCATTATCCTTACATCAACAATCTACTTTTGGTACCAATTTTCTGTGTTCTTTCATTCTTGCATTTTTATAGCACCTTTATAGCACCGCTATAAAGATGTACCTGAGGCTGGGTAATGTATAAGGAAAAGAGGTTTAATTGGATCACTGTTCTGCAGGCTGTATAGGAAGTATGGTGCCAGCATCTGCTTCTGGTCAGGCCCTTAGGAAGCTTACAAAAATGGTGGAAGGTAAAGTGAAACCAGGCATGTCACATGGCAAGAGAAACAAAAAGAAGAAAGAGAGAAAGGAAAGGAAAGGAAGAGAGGGAAGGAGGGAAGAAAGAAAGAAGGAAAGAAGCAAAAAAGGAAAGGAAAGAAACAAAACAAAAGGAAGAGGAAGGAAGGAAGAGAGAGAGAGAGGAAGAAAGAAAGAGAGAGAGAGAGAAGAGATGAGACGAGACGGGGGGGGAGAGAGGCAGGGAAGGAGAGAGGGAGGGAGGAGGAAGGAGGGAGAGAGAGAGAGTGAAAGAAGAAAGAGAGAAAGAAAGAAAGAGAGAAAGAAAAAAAGAAAGAAAGAGAAAGAGAGAGAAGAGTGGGGAAGTGCCACACTCTTTTAAACAACCAGATCTTGTTTAAACTAGTGGTTAGAATTCATTCGTTATTATGAGGACAGCAGCAAGCCAATCATGAAGGGTCAGCCCTCATGACCCAAACACCTCCTACTAGGCCCACCTCCTACAGTGGAGTTCATCTTCCAGCATGAGATATGGAAGGAATAAACAATGATATCATCCTCTGAACACTGATATTGAAAAATAAAAGGTATTATATGAGAACACTGTGAAAAGCTGCATACCAAAAATTAGATGAAAAGAAAAAATCCCTAAAAACATAAAAACTACTAAACTGGCTCAAGGAGGTATAGAAAGTCTGATTAACACTATAACAAGAGTTTAAATTAGTCATTGAAACCTCCCACAAAGAACGGCCCAGGCATGAAGGGTTTCATTGATGAATATTATGAACTGTTTAAGGAATTAATAATAATTATTCATAAACCCTTCCAAAAATATAAGAAAGGGGAACATGAGCAGCTCATTCTATGAGGCCAGAAGTATGCTGATACAAAAACAAAAGACATGAAAAGTGAACTGGAGCACAACAGCCTCTATGAAAACAGATGCAAAACAACCACACTTCAACAAAATACTAGCAAAATATAAAAAGGATTAAACACCATAACTAACTAGTATTCATCCCCAATATTCAAGGGATTCTTAACCTATGGAAATTAATTATTTTAATGCTCCCTATTAAAGAATAAAACCACATGGTTATTTCAACAGTCACATCAAATGTTTTCATGTACGCAGACAGGACTTCCTGTTGTTTTCCCATTCCTGTTAAAGCATCATAAAAGGCACGATTTGTGGTGCTACTGGATGGGGTGCTACTTCATGCAAACTGGATATGTCATGTCCAACCATGAATATACTTAGCCATAAATGCTAAAAGATTGTAATTTGGTGTCAGAGACTTGGTGGTCAGTGACCACTTCCTTGGCAAGTGGTAAGTACAGACATCTGAAAGGATAACTAGGATTTAGGTAGGTATTGGATAAGGAGGTGAGTTACACACAGAAAAAGTTTCACTTAAAAACTCATAGACGCTTGAACACAGAAGATGGCTCAATAGGTCTGAGAAATAAACAAAGTCCAGAATAACTGGAGCTGAATGGAAACAAGGCAAATGACATGAACCATCTGTTTCTCTCTCGACAACTCACTGGGGCATTGTCTCCTCCCTATACCACCCACGTGGATTGTAAAAACATCTGTTCTTAAAACTTTCTTGTGCATCATGACAGCATGTAGCACCTGAATCCAGCTCAGTTAAATGAGGGCAGGACAGTCAACCACAAAACCCAGGTGGCCCAGGAAGCACATCAGGGAGACAAGACCTTGCTGTCAAAAGCAGAGGAAGTGAGATTTTCCATTGTGGCTAAGCCCAGAGCATATGAAATTTCAATGGGTACACAAAAACCATATAGGGTTTGGTTAAGCTGCAGATGCAGTCTTTGCAGGTTTGAATGGGGCCCCAGATTCTCCATGGCAAATAGCCTCCAGTTGAGGTTGATTGATGCTGGTCCTCCAAGGAACACACTTTGGGTGGCTTAGCTCCTATGCACCCTCCTCACTCATGCACAGCTGAAACTCACCTACATAACGCACCTTCTGAGAAGCATAAGTGACCTATTTCTCCTCCACTAATGTGTCTCAGTCCCTTTTACTAAAAAGGAATATCTGAAGTTGGGTAATTTGTAAAGAAGCAAAGGTTTATTTGGGTCATGCTTCTGATGTCTGTAAAGTTCAACAGTGGGCATCTGCATCCAGTGAAGACCTCAAACTGCTTCCACTCCTGACAGAAGGTGAAGATGAGCCGGTGTGTGCAGAAATCAATTGGAAACAGAAAGCAAGTTCTTTCCTAAAAATACTGCAGGAGTTTAATGATCATATTTACAAAGTGTTTAACACAGAGCCTGACACACCCTAGCTGCTCATGAGTTGGCAGCAATTATTGCTGATGTCATTCATGAAAATTGGACCTCAGATGGAGAAACTGCAGTGCAGAGAGTTTGAGAAGTTTAGGGACAAGAAAGACTTAGTGACTTAAAATCGAGTTCTAGGAACTGAGGAGAGCATCCCTGGGCATTTTACTGCCATCTTTTCCAATGTCTCAGAAACTGTTTCAATGTGACGTCAACCAGAGAGGAAAGCAGAGGGGTTTGCAGAACCAGGGGCTACAACTTCATCCACGGGAGAGTGATGTAGTAAGCGGGTGGGAAGGGGCAGCTGAGCTCATCTGAAGGGTGTTTAAGGTTTTCTGGCCCAGGGATCTTTGGCCATCTCTCCCTGCCCAGGGCCTCATTCTTCCACTGACCGGCAGGAGCTGGAGAGTGGCTTCTGAGTCTGGTTAGAGATCCCAGCAGCACCCAGAGGGGGAAGACATTGGAGAGACGGGTCTAAGGTCACTGGAGACACTGTTTGCTGCCTAGAGGGCTGCGACAGGCTCCTTGAAAACAAAATTCAGACACTTTAGGGGAAGAAAACACAGGATGGGAAGGCTCCTCACCAGGGGATTGTGGATAACAGAGACCAAAGCATCTACAAGGAGCCCAGCCCTACTGGAGGTGCCCTGAACACAGAGATCCTAGGGGTGTCTGTATTATTTTGCCAGGGCTGCCATAGCAAAGTAGCACAGCCCTATGGCTCAAAGAACACAAATGTATTTTCTCACTATTCTGCAGATGATGTTAGAATCTAAGATGAAGGTATCTACAGGGTTGGCTCCTTCTGAGCACTGGAGAATCTGTTCCATGCCTCTCCCAGCTTCTGCTGGCTGCGGAGGTGTTTGCTGTTCCCTGCCATGGAGGGAAATCACCCCAATCTCTGCCTCACATTCAAATGGAGTATTCCTCATGTGCGTGTCTGTGTCACAGTTTCCCCTTTTTATAAGGACATGAGTCGTGTTGGATTGGGTACGTACTCTGCTGCAGTATGACCTTTTCTTAACTAATTTCAACTGTAATCACCCTATTTAAATATAAAATCCCACTCTGAGGTCCTTGCAGTGAGGACTTCATTATACAAATTTGAGGGGACTGAAATTCAAATTCCTAACAGTGTGTCTGCCATGACTCAGGCCTCTCCTTGGGGCTCTGCAGGTGGGATGTGCACCACCAACCTCTCAGGTGGGGCATTACCTGACAGCCCAGAAGGACCCCAGGCCCTCTGAAAAATGACGTCTCTTTCATCCACCTTGAGGGACATGTTTTCTGGCTGTCCTTCTCATCCTTTGCATGCTGACATGGGAGACATCATCCTCTGCTTTTTAAAGAAGGACTCCTTCACCTTCCCAATCACCCCAAGTAGATGCCCATGCTGGTTCCACAGAATCAAACCACGGTGGGTTACGAGTTATATTAGCCACCAGCTGACAATATTCCCTGAATGTCCAGGATCCACCCATGCTCTCTGACCATCACCAGAGTGAGCAAATCTCTGATATGTGGGTAAGAGTTTCTCCCATGGGCTCCCAGCCGGGCTGTAAGTGAGGCAAGACCCCTTCTTCAGTGCACGGGGCTCAGTGCAGCTGCCTCCCTGACCAAGTCTTCCTGGGACACTAAGCTTATCAGTTTCTCTCCCCCAGGGACAGTTTTTGGTTGTCCTAAGCCTAGCTCAGCTCTGCTATGAACTTTGCATCCTAAGAGCCCATTAAACACCCCCTTGTGCCTCAATGGAATAACCTGGAGTAAATAGTGTGAGGTGCCCCTGCTTTCTGCTCCCAGGGCCTCTTCTCCTCGGTGGCACCAGCACTGCCCTATTGACCAGCAATCCTCACCTGCCCATTCAGGCCTCTACACTGCCTACCGTGAACAGTCACAGATCACAAACTGATTGCCAAATTTGTGCAGATCATCTTGACAGTTTCTGTGGAACTGGGTGCCTTCTCATAGAACCAGGAAGTCACAAGCCAGGCCAGCTCTAGAGAAGCAACTGGGGGAGTAACATGCATCACAGCGCCTGGACACAACAAAGGGATTTTGCTGTAGTCCTACTAGGACACATCCTAGTGATGTCTCTGAGAACCAGTCTTGGTCCCTGCAACAGAAAGCCTACTAAACAGGACAGTAGGCTGCAAGGTTGGGCACAATTTGTGCCGTGTGTGAGCCATGTAGATTGTGCATGTGTGTATGTGTGTACATATGTGTACATGTGCATTTAGTGTTGCAAGGAAGGGTTGTGTCAAATGTCCCAACTCAAAACTTTTCTGTTTTCCTAAGTTATCTGCTTCTATCTTTACTACCTTTGTACTATCATAAGAATAAGGATAATGATTAGGGTTGAAATAGGAGAAGGAATAATGTTTAATTATTCATTCTTATGTGTTTAATACATATCAAGCACTCTTCAAAACAATTCATATTTATTAAATCACTCAATACGAACTACTCCATGAGCCAAATATTGTCATTATCTCTCCATTTCCAGTTGGAGAATCTGTGATACAGATTTTGACACATGGGAAAGCTAAGGCAAAGAAAGGAAAAGGACTTTGCCCGATGTCAGAACTAGAAAGTGCCTGACCCAGGAGCAGAACCTGAGTCTTCCAGTCCCAGAGACCCTGTTCTTTAACAACAGCCTGTGGGCCTGTCACTGTGCTTTAAGGTAAAGCACTGACATCTCCCTAAGACTCCAGAAAGTTCTCTGTACTTTTTGAATCAAGTAACTCATACTTGCAGTGATTTCCAATGCAGTAGGAATTCTCTGGTGCTGAGGAGTCTACTAGGAATATAATTTCAATGCCTTTAAAATTTTTCAGTAGCCACATTTTAAAAGTAATAAAGAACGGGTGGAAGCAACTTTCGTACTATATTTTCTTTAACTGAGCTTACCCAAATATTATTTCAATATGTAATCAACATAAAAATATTGAGATATTTTATGTTATTTTCCTACAACCTTTTTGAAATCCGGTGTGTTTTACCCCCACATCACATCTTAACTTGAACTACCCACATTTTAAGGACTCAGAAGCTCCCTGGGACTCATGGTTGCTATACTGGACAGAGCAGATCCACATGAATGATGATCCATTTGGATCACAGCCCCTGCAGTACTTACTTAGAACCATCTTGGGGCAATGGAGAGTCCTATGACCCAGAGGGCCTCCTTAGGGAAGAATGGCTGTTCCATTTTCCAACCAAAGTAGAAATATGGCGGGCTCTCAGAAACCAGGGAATTTTTACAATGTGTTTCACACTTCTTCCCTTCTCAAAGACATTGACTATAACTTCCAGTTCGAAGATAAATCTGAGCCATCAAAGGCATTTTTTTCTATTGGTCAGTGGAATGAATGGCAATGGTCCCTGTGGATTGTGCTCCAAGGATCCCTTTCTGTGGGAAGATTCTTACAATAAAACCAACTAAAAGTAGGAAGTTATTGTTTATATGTAGATCTAGATGAAAGGGGGCTGATCATGAGGAATATAGTATTGAAGGTGAGTGTGTTGCTATTCTTCACAAAGGGCTATTTTTGCCTAACTCACAAGCATCAATCATTTTTATGAAGGTGTATTTTCCCAGAGTGGTCTTAGCAAGTTACATCCAACGCTGTATCAGGACCCACAAGCAAGGGTGTCAGAACTGACCTGCCTGAGCGGTCAGCAGGAACCAATGTGGAGACTCTGAGGTCTCCACACCACCAACCATGTCCAACCTCCAGTCAAGTGACAGGAGGAGTGGAAGCATTGGTTGGGAAGGGCTTGGAGGAGCTGCAGTGACATGCTCAGCCAAGTACAGGAGCAGGCATATTGGTGTCATGTGACCTCATCTTATCTCAGTTATCTCTTTTCACCAAACTCCAAGGTGCAATGTGTGGAGGCATCTGTCTGTACCCATGGACACCTTGGGCTTCACACATTATTTCTATTTCTAATGAACCAGTGTTTTGTTAATGAATTCATTTCATCACATCCTTAGTACTTCTAGGTTGGAAAAGCAATACATGTCTCTAAGATATTAGGTAGGAAATATTCTCCCGCCACTCGTATTTATTAAAGTTAAAATGCTTCAGTATCTAATGTGACAGTTGTCCAAATTCAATACCCTTCACCTTGTTAGAAATGGAATCCTGATCCTAACTTGTCTGGAGAGGAGGCTGGCATGAGGAGCATGACCACACATCTGGATGTCCCCAGTGTCACTGCTAACACACGCTCTTTTGTTACTTGCCGTGAAGGGAGCAGAGGGAGCATCCACACCTTTGTCCAAAGGACTTGGAGGACAGTGCACCTGATTAAAAAATGCAGGGCTGTGATAAGTGGGTTCCGGGTCCTGGATGAGGGAAGAGAAGATGAGGAGGCATGGGGTAGGAGGCAGGGCAGGGAGGAGCTGTAAGGTCAGGCTCTGAGTATGGGTGAAATCCTGACTCCACTCACTACTCTCTGGGAGGATTTGATAAATCTTGTAACCTCCTGATGTTGGTTCTCCCATCAATAAACTAAAGGAGAGGTCGTGTCTTAAGCGTATGCTTGCTGTGGGGCTACTGTGAATGTGTGGTTGAGGTGGTGCCTGCAAAACACTCTCCAAAGGGCCTGGCACGTATTAATGTCTCAAAGGAGTCATTCTGCTTAAGCTCGTGGAGGATGACTTTCCTCCTGTGTGCACTAGAGGGCCTTGTTTTGAGGACCCCAGTGACTTCCCTGGTAGGGCTCAAGCACAAAGGGCATGACTGATGCTTCCTCTGAGGCCCCTTCTATTGGGTAAAATTCATGCTCCACTCATGACACCCACCTGGCCCTTCTTCTGACCTTGAGAAATTGCCAATATGAAGCCCTCAGACTCAGAGCTCAGACAGTACCTCAGACAGACATGCTGTAAAGTGGAGAGCAGATTTGCATTCAAAGCTCCTCCCTTCTTGAGCTTCAAGAAGAGGATAAGACAGGAGCTCATAGTGTCCAGGTTCCACTGGGCAGTCTCGAATAGAGCTCTTGGAAGTCCCTCCAACCATGGCCTGGGTCTCCTTCTACCTACTGCCCTTCATTTTCTCCACAGGTCAGAACATCCCAGGGAATTCAGGGAAATGTTTTCACTGCTATTTTCCCATGAGCACCAGTCCTCAGGGGCATTCTTTCCAGTTCTTCTGTGCATTCAGCATCATTCATGACATTCTGTTTACAGGTCTCTGTGCTCTGCCTGTGCTGACTCAGCCCCCGTCTGCATCTGCCTTGCTGGGAGCCTCGATCAAGCTCACCTGCACCCTAAGCAGTGAGCACAGCACCTACACCATCGAATGGTATCAACAGAGACCAGGGAGGTCCCCCCAGTATATAATGAAGGTTAAGAGTGATGGCAGCCACAGCAAGGGGGACGGGATCCCCGATCGCTTCATGGGCTCCAGTTCTGGGGCTGACCGCTACCTCACCTTCTCCAACCTCCAGTCTGACGATGAGGCTGAGTATCACTGTGGAGAGAGCCACACGATTGATGGCCAAGTCGGTTGAGCCACAGTGACACAGATGAAGGGGAAGTGAGGCCAAAACCTCCCACCTCCCCTTTCTCCTCAGGGACTCAGAGTCAACAGCCCTGGGTTCCTCTCCAGTACCCTGAGACCTCTGACTCTCCTCCCTCCAAGACACCCCTAGGCAGAAGCAGATGCAGGCCATGACTGAGGCCATTTTGAAAACTCATCTTTCTGTTTCCTCCACAACAGCCTGTGGGGACCATGCTGGGAGAGACCAGAGCAGCCCAGGCAGGAAAAGGACCTTGAGAGAGTGGCTAGGATGAGATGACCGTGTCCCAGTGTCTCATTGTGCCCTGTGCTCTATTACCAGGCTCTGCCCCAGGAAAGGACATGGATCTTGACCTGTCAGCCATCATTTATGAGAGTTCAATTTTTACATTTTTTAAAATATAAAAACTACAATCTCCAAGATGCTAGGAGCAATTTCACTGAGTCTCATCATGGAATTCTGACCTCCCCCAGCATGTCCCCTGTTCCTACAATCTCCTGTTCAAGACCAACTCAACTCCATTACCCAGACCAGCTGCTGGATGATCAAGACAGGGCTGTGAGAGCCTAAGAATCTTTAAGGTCCACGATGAGAACACGTCAAGAAGGATTTATGTTGGAACTTCCTTCCCCATGGATATTCACATCAACAGAGAAGATATCTGAGTTCTTGCCTACACCTATGAATACCTAAGACATGAAGTGTGTGTGTGCATATGGTGTGGGCAGCACTTCCTCACTCAACACCAGAGAGTGTCTGAGGACACTGGGTACAGACATGGAGACAGGGCATATTTTTATACACTCAATTAAGCCCTCGTCCTTCTCTGCTCACCAAGGAGCCACCCAACAAGGCCACAGCAGGAAGAGAAGTTGATTTCCATGAAGAGCCTTCCCTTTCTAAGAGTCCTGGAAACCCACTGTCTAGTTGTGGAATCAGAGGCAGAGCTCTGGGGCATCTCCACCATGGCCTGGACCCTCCCCTGCTCACCCTCCCGACTCTCTGCATAGGTGCTTCCTCCCAGGGAATAAGCCCCATGGAACCAGGGGTCAGCCTGGCCCTGACCTTGAGCTCAGTGCAGGGAGTGATGCAGGGTGTGGGGCTATGGGAATGAGACCCTAATTCTCAGTCTCACGTCTCCTGTCTCCTCTTGCAGGCTGTGTGGCCTCCTCTGAGCTGACTCAGCTGCCTGCAGTGTCTGTGGCTTTGGGACGTACGGCCAGGATCATCTGCCAGGGAGATAGCATAGGTGACTCTGATACAAACTCGTACCAGCAGAAGCCAGGTCAGGTCCCTGTGCTGGTAATTTATGGTGACAGCAACCAGCCCTCAGTGATTCCTGAGCAATTTTCTGACTGCATATCAGAGGACATGGCCACCTTGATTATTAATGGGGCACAGGATGGAAACAAGGCTATTACTGTCGCTCGGAACAGCACTGCTTCTCATCTCACAGTGACACAGCATACAGTGAAGTGAGATGCAAACCCCTTCCCATCTATGTCATTCTCTCCCTTCAACCCCAAGAGGACTGTGGTCACAGCCATCAGCAGGTCTGGCCCAGTTCATTCAGATTTGAGACCCCCAGGCTGCCCTTCCCTCCAGTCCTCCAGGCAGGTTCATTAGATGGTAAATCAGGGGTGGATACACAACTATTAAATATCATCATGTTCCAATTTTTCATGAAGTAGAGGAATGATTGAACATGTTAAGTAGAAGCACAGAATAACCAAAAAAGGACTAATTGAGCTTGTGTACAGCTAATAATTGCAATGTCTGTCACTTTAAAAACATACTGGATGTGATTAACAACAGATTAGATTATGTAAAACAAAAGATTAGCAAACTTGATCATGTAGCACTAGAAAATATTCAAAATGCAGCACATAAAGAAAAAACAATGACAAAAATGAAAAAGCATTATCGGATATTCATAAAGAAAATGAAGGTGAGTTATAGGACAACTTCAAACAGCCTGAGGTTGACTAGGAGTAATGGTTCACGCCTATAATCCCAGCACTTTGGGAGGTCTAGGAGGGAGGATCTTTTAAGACTAGGAATTCAAGACCAGACTAGGCAACATAGCTCTATAATTTAAAAAAAAAAAAAAAACTTAAAAATTAACTGGGCTTCGTGGCTTGCACCTGTAGTCGTACCTACTTATAAACCTGAGGCAGTAAGATTGGTAGAGCCCAGAAATTCAAGACTGCAGTGAGTGAGCTATGATCATGCCACTGGACTGCAGCCTGGGCAACAGAGCAAGTTCCTGTCTCTAATATAGGGTCTCAATCTGTCATTCAGGCTGGAGTGCAGTGGTGCAATCATGGATCACTGCAGCACTGACTTCCCAGGCCCAAGTGATCCTCCCAGCTCAGCCTCCCAAGTAGCTGCGAATACTGGCGTGCACCACCATGCCCAGCTAATTTTTGTTTTTTCTGGAGAGACTGGGTCTCCTTATGTTACCTAGGCTTGTCTCGAACTCCTGGACTCAAGCAATCCTCCAGCCTCAGCCTCCCAAAGTGTTGAGATTACAGGGGTGAGCCGCTGCACCTGGCCTAAAAAAAAATTTTTTTTAATACAACAACCTAAGTATGTATAATTGACATCCATGGAATGTAAAAGGTATGGGTGGGTAGAAAAGAATATTTGAATAAATAATAGTCAAATGTGCTCCACATTTGGTAAAAACCAAAAACTGGTATATCCAAGAAGTTCAACAAAACTGAAGCACAGGAATCATGAAGCAAATGACTCCAAATGACATAATAGTCAAATTAGTAAAATCTGGTGATGAAGAGCCACTTAAAAGTATGATTCTAAGAGTACATTTCTCATTAGAAGCAATGTAAGCAAGAAGACAGTGGAGCAATAATTTTAAAATACTGAAAGAAAACAGCTGTCAACCTTAAATTCTTTATCCAACAATAATAACTTTCAAAAGTGGAGGATAAATATAATGTTTTCAGACATATAAAAACTTACAGAATTGATTACTATCACTCTTGTCATTAGAAATGACAAAAGACACCCCTAGACAGGGGGAAAATCATACCAAATTGAAATATGAATTCACACAAATATCAGATAATGCAACTCCATTTGAATATATAATCACATTTGAAGACAGATTTTAATAAGTGATATATGTATCACAAAGCCTAAAGTAAACATTAAACTTTTTTATAAAAGAATTATGACTAGTAAGCTGTATTAGGATTCTCCACAGAAACAACATAAATCAGATATGCATGTATGTTATACGTGTGTGTATATATATACATATGTGTATAGTATATATATGTGTGTATATATATACATGTGTATAGTATACATATGTGTGTATATATACATGTGTATAGTATACATATGTGTGTATATATACATATGTGTATAGTATATATATGTGTGTATATATACATATGTGTATAGTATATATATGTGTGTATATATACATATGTGTATAGTATATATATGTGTGTATATATACATATGTGTATAGTATATATATGTGTGTATATGGTGAGAGAAAAAGAACAAGAGAGAAACTAATTTTGAGGAATTGGATCATATATTTGTGGTAGCTGACAAGGATGAAATATGTTGGTCAGGCTGAAGGCTGGAAATTCAAGTAAGAGTTGATGTTGCAGTCCTGCATCCAAATTTAGCAAGGCAGCACTTCAGGAAACCTCCACATTTGTTCTAAAAACATTCAGCTCACTAAAGAGTCCCACCCACATTGTGAAGAGAAATCTGCTTATACAAAGTTTACTAATTAAAATGTTCATCACATCTGAAAGTTATCTTCATGTCAACTCCTATACTGGTATTTGATAAAATCAATCTGGTGCATAGCCTACCCAATCTAACACTTAAAATTAACTATCACTTAACCCAGCAAGGAAATAAAAAGATAATTTAAAAAATCAATCAAAAAAGGAGACAGCAAAAGGGAAAGAAAACTAACGAACATATGGGACAAATATAAAATAAAGAGCAAGAAGATCCTTCCAGCTCAGCCTACTGAGTTTCTGGGACTACAGGAAGGTTTGTAGTTCTCCTTGAAGAGGTCCTTCACATCCCTTGTAAGTTAGATTCCTAGGTATTTTATTCTCTTTGAAGCAGTTGTGAATGAGAGTTCACTCATGATTTGGCTCTTTGTCTGTCTGTTGTTGGTGTATAAGAATGCTTGTGATTTTTGTACATTGATGTTGTATCCTGAGATTTTGCTGAAGTTGCTTATCAGCTTAAGGAGATTTTGGGCTGAGACAATGGGGTTTTCTAGATATACAATCATGTTGTCTGCAAACAGGGACAATTTGACTTCCTCTTTTTCTAACTGAATACCCTTTATTTCTTTCTCCTGCCTGATTGCCCTGGCCAGAACTTCCAACACTATATTGAATAGGAGTGGTGAGAGAGGGCATCCCTGTCTTGTGTCAGTTTTCAAAGGGAATGCTTCCAGTTTTTGCCCATTCAGTATGATATTGGCTGTGGGTTTGTCGTAGATAGCTCTTATTATTTTGAGATACGTCCCATCAATACCTAATTTATTGAGAGTTTTTAGCATGAAGTGTTGTTGAATTTTGTCAAAGGCCTTTTCTGCATCTATTGCGATAATCATGTGGTTTTTGTCTTTGGTTCTGTTTATATGCTGGCCACTTCTCAAAAGAAGACATTTATGCAGCCAAAAAACACATGAAAAAATGCTCACCATCACTGGCCAACAGAGAAATGCAAATCAAAGCCACAATGAGATACCATCTCACACCAGTTAGAATGGCGATCATTAAAAAGTCAGGAAACAACAGGTGCTGGACAGGATGTGGAGAAATAGGAACACTTTTACACTGTTGGTGGGACTGTAAACTAGTTCAACCATTGTGGAAGTCAGTGTGGCGATTCCTCAGGGATCTAGAACTAAAAATACCATTTGACCCAGCCATCCCATTACTGGGTATATACCCAAACGACTATAAATCATGCTGCTGTAAAGACACATGCACATGTATGTTTATTGTGGCATTATTCACAATAGCAAAGACTTGGAACCAACCCAAATGTCCAACAATGATAGACTGGATTAAGAAAATGTGGCACATATACACCATGGAATACTATGCAGCCATAAAAAATGATGAGTTCATGTCCTTTGTAGGGACATGGATGAAATTGGAAATCATCATTCTCAGTAAACTATCGCAAGAACAAAAAACCAAACACCGCATATTCTCACTCATAGGTGGGAATTGAACAATGAGAACACATGGACACAGGAAGGGGAACATCACACTCTGGGGACTGTTGTGGGGTGGGGGGAGGGGCGAGGGATAGCATTGGGAGATATATCTAATGCTAGATGACGAGTTAGTGGGTGCAGCGCACCAGCATGGCACATGTATACATATGTAACTAACCTGCACATTGTGCACATGTACCCTAAAACTTAAAGTATAATAATAATAAATTAAAAAAAAAAAAGAAAAGAAAATGTCTCTAGACAGCTTGGTTCCTGAGCTGGGAATCAACCGTCTTTTCTCTCCCTTTCAACCCAGAGTGTGGCAGGCGCGCCCCCTACAGGCAGCTAAAAGAGCTGACTGAGATGCCGTCTCCATAGGGAGGGATTTGGGCTGAGAATTTGGGCTGAGGATTTTCCCATGCCCTCCCTGGCAGGCTGGTCCCAGGACACTCAGAAGACTTACTGTTACAGGTCCAGAGCATTTCTCGTCTTCCTTTTCTCTCTCCTTGCCAAGTGACCTTGGAATTGTTCCTCCCCATCTCAGCCCCTTCCCTTTTGTGTTAAGTGCAGTTTGCAGATTTTGTGTTCCTAGGTCCTGTATCTGTAGAATTTTAGGGAAAGCAGTGCTGGTCACCCACATGGAATTCAAGACAGCGAGCCCAGGACCAGAAACACAGACAGCAGTGGGGGTCCCCACAGAGCAGCATGGTGGGCACCAGGTGGAGGTAAGAAACCAGGAACCACTCCCCTGAGTGTCTTCAGCCCCAGGTGAACTAGGGAGGGGTCAGTGGGCTGGGCTCAACCCACCGGGGACTCTCCTGTCACTGCCCCAGCAGCACCATCCTGGAAGCCCCTATATGTGCTAAGCAGCTGCCAAAGAACTTGATTAATTACCTGTAAATTTCCCTTCACCACACCTGACCACACATGACTCCTGCCCCCAAATTACTAATTTATTAAAATGGCACAATTAGCCGAAATGGCCTGAATCCAGGACCCCTTTCAGGTTTGCCGCTGACCTCTCAGGTCCTCACACATGCCAGACTCTTTCCACAGGGGCCTGACTCCACTGTTTCCAACACAAATCCCAGGACTCATTTTTCTCTGTCAGTCCTGACAGCAGTTCCAGAGACACTTCCCCATTAAGATGTCCCCAGGCTCTTATAATACAACCTGTCTGTTATTTTCTGCCTAAATCTTTTTAATTATCCCCATAGCATTTACAACTGTAGGAATCTTTGCCTATTGTTAATTTTATTAATTGATTGGTGTTAAATATTTACTTAATTGGTCATGGATGCTTTTTTACCACAGAATCACACATAAAAAACAGACACAAACAGCTAAGGGTGTATTTCTCGCTGCAATAATACCCACCACTTTCACGAAGACACCAGGGTCTTTCTCACTTTTTGTCCCACCATCCCTATGATATTGGCTTTATTTTCATCCCTGCTGATGTGTGACCTCAGGGTGGCTGCTGCAGCTCCAGCTATCACTCCCATATTCAAGGAGAAAAGGGCCTCATGAATCTAGTGCTCTTTCACAAGAGCAAAGCTTTCCTAAGAAGAATTTCACCCACTGATCTCACACCCCACTGATCAGGCCTGAGTCACATGGTCAATCCCAGCTGAGCAGGACCTGGGAATCACAGGCACCAGTCTTTTCGGTGAATATAGAAGACAGTGCTCAGGTGGAAGGTGACAGGGACTGTCTGCTGGGTCTGCAAACCCAGTTTTCCTGCACAGCCAAACCAGCACGATGAACAACTCACTTCAAGAAGGCTGTGTCTTGTTCCTGCTGAATTCACCGCATGGAACGTGTCCCAGACCACAGTGGGTCTGGATTAACATTTGATGGGTGGATGTTCTTCTGTCTCTGACTTTGGTGCAGGAGTCACCACTGTACGCTGGTCCTGCATCCACAGCGGGGACCAGTAAGAGCCAGTCCCTGAGTCCTGTGATCCCCGCCCTGCATGCCAAGCCCTGGTATTACCCCCATGACCACCCACCGCCCAGACACATGTGCAGGCAGCCTCAGATGGACCTTCCTCCTCCTCTTCCAAATATTCATGTTCATATTGTCATGAGTAATCTGCACCCCTCGCACCTGGTATTGAGGCAGGCATGAGTCACAAAGAGAAGAGAAAAATTTCCTCCATTGGCACCAGCAGTCTGCAGACCAGGGAATCAGGGACCTGAACAGAAGATTTTAATTATACACCCGGATCCAGGAGGCCCTTGAGCCTCCAGCAGCCAGTATGGAGCAGCCACCAGGGGACAGAACAGAGTCACCTGGCAAAGTCACTTGGAGGTAGGGTAGACCTGGGTGACAAGGAGATGCTGACATGCAGGGAGGGTCAGTGACCACAACCTGAGATCTAGAAAGGTGTCGTTTTTCTACAGCATCATCCTTAACATCGAGTACAAATTCTCCAGGCTTTGTGTTTCTCAGCTTTGTCTCTGGCCAATGTTGCATATTTGACACAGGTGCAGACACTTTGCTTCCCCCTACACACTGGCCCACTCTTCTGTGCTAAAACGCTGTCATTGCCACAAACGCCATCCTCCCCTGTGGGCACATGTGTTTCATCACCCTCCTGTTTGCTCTGAGAGCCCCCTCATTCTGCTACACAGCAAAGTTTTCTTTCAGCATCTAAGCTGTACCTGACCATGACCACATACTGGGGGTACATAGGCACAGCACCTGTGCCCTACCCTAGGAGCTCACAGCCAAGGCCAGGAACTTACAGCATCTCCTGAGTCTTTCAACACTCCGTGTGCACATGACAAGGGTGAAGTTTGATTGTGGAAAGCACCACTCAGAAGCAATGGCAGGTCCCTGCATGTGTGCCAGCCTTACGGTGTCACCTGTAGAGTGGGGTCATGAGGGTCACTGCACTGGGTTGAAAAGTGCCCTCCAGAGGGGGAGCTAGAACCACACCTAACTTCTGGATTTTGCCACAAAATATTTAGGGACAGGACACCCCTGGAGTCCTCAATTACCCAAGTTATTCTGAGCCAGTATTCAACAGAGGAAGTACCTTAGATCTCAGAATAATCCCTCAGTCGCCATTGTAAGTCAGTCCCTGGCCATCTCCACGCAGGACAAGGAATGGCCACATGGGCAGGACATCATACTACCTGGAAAACGCACAAAGAATTCCTCTCAGAGTTCTGCATGGCCAGATCAGCTCAGGAGTGAGGCCATAACACAACCTACAGTGACGATGTCAACCCAGATGATGGGACCAGAAGGAGAATGAGAATTCTGTGTGCTGAGGGTGGGTCTTTAGGGGCCCCCTCTCTCTCTGTCCCTTGGGGCTGAGCCCTTCTCTGGAAACCACACAGCTCCTCCTGCAGCAGCCCCTGACTGCTGATTTGCATCACGGGCCGCTCTTTCCAGCAAGGGGATAAGAGAGGCCTGGAAGAACCTGCCCAGCCTGGGCCTCAGGAAGCAGCATCGGAGGTGCCTCAGCCATGGCATGGATCCCTCTCTTCCTCGGCGTCCTTGCTTACTGCACAGGTGCTGCCCCTAGGGTCCTAGCCACTGGTCCAGTCCCAGGGCTCTGGGTCCAGCCTGGCCCTGACTCTGAGCTCAGCAGGGCCCCCGCCTGTGGTGGGCAGGATGCTCATGACCCTGCTGCAGGTGGATGGGCTCGGCGGGGCTGAAATCCCCCCACACAGTGCTCATGTGCTCACACTGCCTTAGGGCTCTTTCATCCCTGGATCTGTGTCCAGGCCAGGCACGTGGGAAGATTTACTTGGAGTTCAGCTCCTCAGTTTCAAGCCTTTTCTCTCCCGTTTTCTCTCCTGTAGGATCCGTGGCCTCCTATGAGCTGACTCAGCCACCCTCAGTGTCCGTGTCCCCAGGACAGACAGCCAGCATCACCTGCTCTGGAGATAAATTGGGGGATAAATATGCTTGCTGGTATCAGCAGAAGCCAGGCCAGTCCCCTGTGCTGGTCATCTATCAAGATAGCAAGCGGCCCTCAGGGATCCCTGAGCGATTCTCTGGCTCCAACTCTGGGAACACAGCCACTCTGACCATCAGCGGGACCCAGGCTATGGATGAGGCTGACTATTACTGTCAGGCGTGGGACAGCAGCACTGCACACAGTGACACAGGCAGATGCGGAAGTGAGACAGAAACCAGCCACCTCGGCCTGGCTCACAAGACCCTTCCCTCTCTCCTGCCCTGTCACACTGAGCAGGAGGGAGCCTTCCATGTGGAATGGAAGTTTCCAGTCCTATCCCTGCCCTTATGTTCCTGAGAGACGGGAGCAAGTTCCTGCCCACCTCTAGGCTCAGCTTATCCCAGAATAAACTGAGCTAGTCATTTTGATGATCAAATGCCAGCTCCCAAAAGACCCCAGAAACCCTGATATCTAAGTAGCACCGACTCTATTAGTATCAAGGGAGACTAGCCCTAGGGTGGAATCATTTTAGTGTCTCAGAAGGCACAGGGCAATGGAAAGTGTTTATGAGGTTTCAGGATATGCACGTGAGCAGTTAAAGGCAGGTCTTACAAGGAAGGAACCTACTAGAATTGGGGCCCATCTGTGACATCATAGCACAGCCTGGTGGACACAGAGAAGGGAAGGTCCTGAATCAAGTCTTGATCAGTAAATATTTATTGGATAAGTGAGCAATTTACATAGGTGAGAACTGTGTGCTCTCTTGAGCAGAACACTTACCTGGATAATTGGTTTTCAGGAATTCCCTGAAGCAATGAGTGACATTCTTTATTGTTTTCACCCTCATCCACCTGGGAAAGAGTATCCTGGAACCAGCAGTTAACATTGACACAGCTGGTCTCGGTCCTCAGCACAAACATTCATTGCAGGCTGAAAAGTGACAACGGAAGAGAAAGGAGTTTATTAAATCCCTAGACACAAACAAATCCATAAGCAGAGATGAGAGATGCGGGCTCAGCTGGCCCAGTCCCACAGGGGTCATTCCTCTTGTGATGGAAATGACCACATGAGGGTCCCCCAAGCGGTGTTGGGGGGCAGTCATGGGGAACTGGCCTCCCAGGGCTACCTGCTGCTTGGGCTGGGCAGAGGTTAGAGGGATGGAAGTCTGGTCCAGTCCTTCCCAGCAGCATCTCCAGGCTCCTCCTCCCTCTACTGGGGCTTCCCCTCCACTCCCCAGAACCATCATTGCTTCCTCATCTCCTGTCTCCTCCCTGCCCCAAGGCCCTCCCTGTGCTCACCCTGGCTCCTCCCCCTGCTCCATGCCCAGCCTCTGCAGAGCAGCCCAGGCCCAGAGACTTGGGCAGAAGCTTCCGTCCCACCAGCTGCAGAACCTTCCCTACAGAACCAGGCCAGTCCCTGTGTCTCATATTTGTAGAGATCCCAATCACCCTCAGAGATGACGGGTGGGAAACCAGCCCACAGTGACCTAGGCTGTTGGGCATATGGCCTTCAAGCTGGCCTTCAAGCCCACTTGGCTGCATCTCCTTGGCCAACTCCAACATCCAGGCTGGGAGTCTGGAATCCTAGTTCCCCTGGCCCATTCACTCCCACTAGGGTTGCTTCTAAACTCCCTGGGCCTCAGCTTCCTAGTCTGCCCACTGGAAGCAGCGACAGGCATTTTCCAGGGCTGCGGTAAGGGCCCTGGAACACCCTCTCTCACCCTCTCTCTCCCTTTCTCTCTCTCTCTCTCTCTCTCTCTCTCCCCCCCTCCCCCTCCCCCTCCCTCTCCCTCTCTCTCTCTGCCTCTGTTTCCTCCTCAGTAGTGGGAAGACCCCCTGTCAGGTGGGCCAGTCCATGACATCTACAGAGGGAGCAGGAACCTCTCCTATTTCCTGGAGGAGAGCTGGGGTGGAGGCTGCAACCCAGGATCATCAGAGGAGCTGGGGTCTTCAAGGTTCCTAGGGACCCCTTAAGCGGGGGTCAGAGTGGCTTCAGCGGTCTTATTGCTCGGTCCAGACAGAAGATGTTTCCAGTTGTGAAAAACGACTTCAGGGACAACAAAAACAGAGATTCGCCTCTCCAGACACCAGTGGTTGGTGTGCCTGGAGTACTCCTCGTACCAGGCAGGGGAGAGAGTCCTAGACAGAGGAGGTTCTAAGTGTCACCTAGATTTCAGGCCTCGGGGCCTGTATTGGGTAGGTGATGTCACAGTGAGTTGATGCTCTGTAGCCCCTTCCCTAGGAGGTGGCAGAGGGAAGAGCTGGTGGTCCTCTGAGGTGTGAGTGAGTCCAACCCTGAGGGTCTTCCCAAGCTGGAGGTCCCTGGGTGTAGACGGAAGAGGTTCTGGTCAAAGAGGCCTGGTGTTGAATCCTGGTCCATTTATTCATTTGGTCAAGAAATATTCATGGAGGACCCAATATGTGCCAGGTGCCAAGCCAGGTGACTGGGGACACAGTGTTGAGTGGGACAGTTGGCTCCTTCACTGCTAGAGGTATTATATTCTCAAGCCGAGACTCGGCTCTACGATTGTATGTCAGATATATAGCCTCTATGTGCATGTCTCCAGAGACTGGTTTCCTGGAGTTCCAAGTGACAGCCATCACTCACCTCGAATGCAAAAATTAAAGGAGCATCCAAAAACCTAGTGACCCAGATAAATAATACTTAATGCAATATTTTCAAAAATCAAAATTAATGCCCAACAAACCCACAATGAACAAAATTTCAGGATCTGACTCACTCACCTCAGTGGTTTTGTTCTTGGTCCTACCCACAGTCCCACAGGTGAGTGAGTACCCACAGGGATGCAAAACCAGAGTCAGGCCCCTGCACCGCCTTCTGCCCGGCCACCAGAGCCCTCCCCTGGGTCTTGGCCTTTCTCTTCTGAAGAGCTCCAGCCAGTTCCTCCTCAGGCTTCCTCTACTGCTGGTCTCTTCTGCCCCCTACTGGATTCTCCCCTTACAGCTGCACTCCAGGCAGCTGGTGGAGGTTAAAGAACAGAAACCTCCCAAAACTCCACCCTCCAGTTCCAGGCTGGCTCCACCTCATGTCCAAAAAGGCTGGTCCTCCAGGTCTTTGATTGCTATTAGTAAGTCCCAAGACACAGTCTTTACACCAAGTCGCTGTGTGCCTTGGGCAAGAAACTCTCCCTCTCTGAGACTGTGTTTCCACACTGGTAGAAGTAGCTAGAAGACCTCCCTGCCAGGTTGGCAAGTCCACTCTGTGACATCTACAAAGGGAGCAGGGATCTCTTCCATTTCCTGGAGGAGAGCTGGGGTGGAGGCTGCAACCCAGGATCACCAGAGGAGCTGGGGTCTTTGGGGTTCCTGAGGACTCCTCAGAGGGGGATCAGGAGCTGCAGAGCCAGCTTCTAACTCTGGGGACTCAGAGATCCAGAACCTTTGTCATATCCCCAGCCAATACTTTGTCATCCTGTGCCTCAGACTCCCCCAGATCCCAAGAGTGAGAAGCTCAAGATGAGACAAGAAAGACCAGCCAGCTTGAATTTAGGGATGGTGGGGAGTGGGGAGCTGGGGACCCCTGGACCTGGGGGAGAGGAGTCTGCAGTGCCTGCAGGTGGAGTTTCTGGGACCTGGGGGATGGAGACTGGGCAGGGGACTGACCAGCAGAAGGCCAAGGTGGGGGATACCCTCAGACATGGAGCAGGGCAGAAGCAACTGGATGGGGTACATCCCTCTGCTTTGGGAGAGAAGGGCCAGGGCGGGACCCAGAGAGCTCTGCAGAGGCACCACAGACCCTCAGCAGGGGGTCTGCCAAACAGGACAGCTGGACTTGGCTGCTTCTGCCCAGGCCTGGATCCAGCCCTTGCACATCTCAGGGCAGGGGATAGGCCTGGGTGGCCAGAGCTGCAGCTGCACCTGCTGGGGAGGCCTAGTCCAGTCCTCCAGGGTCCCCAGACAGACTCGGATTTCCGACTGCAGCCACCATGGAAGGATGTGGTCTGCGGTGACGATGTCTATCCAGAGGCCATGGCAGGTGCAAGGGTGGGGGTAGGGGCAGCAGCTGGGGATGCTACATTTAGGGACAGCCCCTTTTTATCCCCAAGACCTGGGACTGTCCCTGAAAGGAACCACAGCTTCTGGGTCCTGAGCAGTGGGTGAGTGTCATACCCACAGAGGGGCTGGAAGGGAGCAGCTTCAGCCTAGACTCCCAGGGCAGACCCTGCCCCAGCCCCGAATATCCAAGGAGCCCAAGATCAGAGGCAGGAATAGGCCAAGCTCCCCAGTGGAGAAGCTGTGCTGGACCAGGGGTTTCCCAGGGCCCTCCCTTGTGCCCTGAATGATGTCTGTTAGGGCACCTACACCCTGTTACTGCTCAGTGCCTTGCCTATTTTGAAGGACAGGGATGTGTGGTGATTATTTGTATAATCCAGCCCCCAGCACCTGGTCCTCAAAAGTTACCCAAGCAATGTGTATAAAGATCCAGCCTGGAGATCTTTGAAAACCGATTCGATGAGTCGAACCATTAAGTCATGATCACCATCCTCAACTTCATCTCTTTCTTCCTCCTCCTCCTCATTATCATCACCTTCAAGAACTGTTAAGAGTCTGAGACTTCATCCTATTTGCAGACTAAAAAGTAAGCCTGCCACAGTGCCATGGATGCTGGCAGAAGATACAAGACTCCTGGGTCAGAGACAACGAATAATCTGTTTTTCACAGCAATAGCAGTTGCCAAGGTATCAGCATTGTCTTGCACCAGTTCCACAAGGTGATGCAAAGAGGGCCAGGTGACATCTGCATGCCAGAGCTCAGGGATCCCAAATATTTCATACTTGACAGTAAGCATATATCTGTGTTTTGCTCCAAAGAGAGGCATTCTCTGTACCTTCCGAGGTTGTTCACTCCACAAACACTCTTGAAAAGATAATCCACAATCAGTGCCTTTGCCCGAGAGACATGCAGAAATGCAGAGATCCATAGTAGACCACTGTCTCCCAACAACCATCAACTTTATCAATGAAATGAAGTCTCAGGCTATTTGTCTGTTACCATAGCCCACAAAAATGTCTGGCTTGATTGTCACCAAATGTATCAAGGAAGTTAAGGAGTATCTGACACAAAATGTGAACCAAGCAATTCTCAAAGGAGCCTCCCAGGAAATTCACTTTAGGAAGTCCTAGGAGGCTCCTCTGAGAGTTGCTAAAACAAAACATTGAGAGTCCTAGAGGGCTGCAGATCTGAACTTGAGCAGATATTTTTAAAGATTTTGTGGCAGAAAAAGAAACTGGAAAGCAAGAGGGCAGACCCTCATTGCAGTTCTGTAATGTAAGGGGGCAGAGCAGGGGCCTTTCTCACCAGAGTATGGGGTCCTGAAGATCTCCTCAAACATTTTTATACTAGGCTCTCAGGGCAACAGAAAAGATGGGAGCGATGAATGGGGCGTAAAGGAGTGCAAATGACACAAGGGGTCACATGAAGCAAAAGAGGTTTATTCAACCAGATTTAGTCCATGTTTAATTGAGCCACTCCTTTGTGCCAAGCTCTGGGTTTTCCCATGCACCAAGCAGTGTGTTACCACCTAGACCCAGAGAGCCATGTCATCATCAGCAAAGCACGCCCTAGTGTCATGCAAGGACCAGGCCTCAGATTCCGACTCCAGACCTACTGCCTCTTGGCCCTGTGACATTAAAAGAGTAGGGAATCAGCCTGAGCAGCATTTCCTCATCTTCAAATGTGGAGGACAGTAGATGATCTTAGCTCCCAGGATTAGTGCTTGTAAAGCAATAATAATGTAATGCATTATTATTGTATTATGCATCATATTCCCATATTATAGTCAAAAAGGACCCCAACTTAAAGCACCTGCCAGCCCTCTCCTCCTCCACCACTGCCGAATGGAGCCAGGCACGAGTATTCCAGGTGGACAGACGAATAGAAATACAGGGGACGAGCCCCTTCCTAGATCCTAGCGCAGCTTGCTCCCTACTTAAGGAATGATATTGGACCCTGCATTCATCTTCTCTGGATGGTAATTTTCTCACCTGTAAAACAGAGACACTGGCCCCAAGGACACCCCACAAGTAGTTGTGAATCCCAAAGTAAGAGAAGAACAAAAAAAGAACCAGAATTTATTCAACACCCACTGAGTGCTTAGCAAACACATGGTTTCTTTAACTCTCATAAGCTTCATGCTGCAGAGGAACTCTCCCCATTTTACAGATAAGGAAACTGAGGCCCAGAGGTAACCTAGGTCTAGATAGACTCCACATTTATGACTTCACCACTCTTCCTTGCCTGAAGGATATAGAATCACTCCCTGCAGGGCTCTTGCCTGACTCAGGAAAGGGCCACAGGATAGCCAGCCAGGCTTAACCAACCCAGCCAAGAAAGGGCTGGTCCCAACTGGCTGGAGTGCAGTGTACAGGCACCCAGCCTGGAAGACTGATCAGAAAAGAAGCCACAGCTCCAGCCCCAGCCCCAACCCCCTGAGCTCAAGCCCTTGGGGACTCCTGCTGGGCAGCTCTCTAGGCCCTAGGGAGATGCTCCACAGACCCAGGCTGCCCTTTGGGAAGTGGGGAAGACAAGTGGGTCAGGTGTGCACCACCCAGGGGCGGGGCCAGGCAGCCGGCTGTGGTGGGAGGCAGTTGAGCCCTGGATTGTGACCGCTTCAGGGCAGTTGGTAGATGCCCCTCTGGGAGAGATCCCCAGGGGTGACAGCCATGGACCCTGGAAGGGCCTGGGCTAGGGACAGGGACCAGAGCCAGTCCAGGGAGAGGACAGAGCCAATGGACTGGGGTGTACTGTAACAGCCCTGCTGGCGAGAGGGACCAGGGCACCGTCCTCCAGGGAGCCCATGCTGCAAGTCGGGCCAGAGGTGCCCCTGAACCTGAAGGCCAATGAGACCCAAGACAGGCCAAGTGGGTTGTGAGACCCCTGAGGAGCTGGGCCCTGGTCCCAGGCAGCGCTGGCCCCTGCTGCTGCTGGGTCTGGCCATGGTCGCCCATGGCCTGCTGCGCCCAATGGTTGCACCGCAAAGCGGGGACCCAGACCCTGGAGCCTCAGTTGGAAGCAGCCGATCCAGCCTGCGGAGCCTGTGGGGCAGGTAAGGGGCAAGAGATTCCAGGGGATGTGGGGGTCCTGCAGCAGAGCTGGGAAAGGGTGACCAAGGGGAGACAAGCCAGAGGAGTGAGGAGGAAGGTTAACCCCTAAGAGGGGCCTGGGCTGACACTGGCTTTAGTAATGGGTTGATATTTTGTCCATCACAGATTTGTTTGAATTACTGTTTTTAATATCATATTACGATATTATTTTTCTTGATTTCTGAGTTTTCTGGCGCCACTTAAATTTTCACCAGGGTCAGTGCCTCAATCACCTAGTCCTAGTCCTCTGGGTAGGGAAGGAACAGAGGCAGGGACAGGACATCCACAGGGGGTGGTGGCCACTGTCCCCACAGGGTGCCCAGGCCTGTTCCTCCCCCTCCTCCTCTCTGCCCATGTGCCTCCTGCCCAGTGAGGGCAGGGGCCACTCCCTGGAGAAGGCAGCAAGGGCTTGGTTTGGTCTCCCCCAAGGCTGTCTGTTCACCAACTTGCACATAAATGCTTACTGGGGCCAGGCTCAAGGACACAGGGAGGGTGGGATGAACCGAGGGGAGCTGTCCAGTCATTGGAACAGGCCCACGGCCCATGTTTGGAGCAATAAAGGGAGAGGGGATCTCCCTCTGGGATGATGCCCAGGCTGGTCTCACAGATCGAGGGGCACTGGCTGGTGATGGGTGCCCCCAAAAGACAGAGCAGCGTCAGAGGAGAGGAGAGCACAGGATGAGGCTGGGAGCTCCTGGGTGACTGGGAAGGGGAGGCAAGAAGACCATAGGGTCCGTGCACCATTCCCAGTCCAGGACGAGTCCTTGGATGGATTTAGGTAGATTGATTATCAGAGTCAGATTTGTGTTTTTGGAAAAATCAGCACCGGATTGGAGGCTGATGCGACGCCCGATTAGAGGAGGGAGGAGAGGGGGTGATGGCCAAGTCCAGGGTAGGTGGGGATCCTGGAGGAAGCCGTGCCTTGGGGATGGGGAGGACACTCAGATTCAGAGCACCCAGGGGCCCAGTTTCCTATGAAATGGGAGCATGAAGTTGAAGTGAGGGCTGAGCAGAGGGGAGCAGACACGCTCGGGGACTGTCTATGGGCATTAAAAATGTATAACCATTTTAGCAACAGGCGGCGAGTCAAAAAACAAAGTGTGTTTATCTAAACTGGGCAATTCCACTTCTAGGAATTTATCCTAAGGGTTGGTTGGGGGAATAATCAAAGCTGTAACCAAATCTTTATAACAAGGGTGGTTAGCTCAGCATTATTAGTGATGGGAGAAAACTGGAAAAAATCCAAATATCTACCAGAAAGGGTGTGAAAAAACACAATTGTATTTGGGGGACTGTTGTTGTTTTTGTTTTGAAACAGTCTTGATCTGTTGCTCAGGCTGGAGTACAGTGGCGTGGCCACAGCTCACTGCAGCCTCAACCTCCAGGGCTCAAAAGATCCTCCAGCCTCAGCCTCCTGAGTAGCTAGGACTACAGATGCAGGCCACTACACCTGGCTAATTTTGATTAGGATTATTATTAGTTTAGAGACAGAGCCTCGCTATATTGCTCAGGCCTGTCTCAAATTCCTAAGCTCAAGCAATCTTTCTGCCTCAGTTTCCCACGTGCTGGAATTACAGGCGTGAGCCACTGCACCTGACCCAACTGTGTTTTTAAAGTATATATGCATTTTCAAAAACCTGTCAGAAAATATAGAAAAATGTCAATGGTGTGTCTGGCTGGCTGATGGGATTTCACCTAATTTTAATGTGGCTTTATAATTTTCTGGTTTTGTGAAGTTGTTCACAAAAAGAGACATTTCTTCTAATATAATTTTTAATACAACAGTAATGTACTCATGTGCATTACTCTTTTTGTAATGAGTATATTACAAAATGTAATGACTTTTGTACATTACTCTTTTTTCTTGCCAAAAAAAAAAAAGATTAAGCAGAGAAGTATATAAAGTAAAAGCAAGTGCTTCTGCTTACCATCTCTCACCTCTTCCCAGAGATAGCCACTGTCAGGTTGGTCAATATACTTCCAGAACTTTTCCTGTGTGTGTGTGTGTCCCTGAAAACACACACACACACACACACACACACACACACAGTTGGTGCTGGGATTTTATTTTGCAAAAGTAAGAGCCATATTCTGCATATTACCAACTTTTAATCTATTATTGACACTTTCTGTATCAGTCCATATGGATTAACCACATTCATTGCTTATAAACTTTGTTTTATAAGCAAAGTTTAGATGAGCCAGAATTTATTTCCACTAAAAAATCTAAATGACAAATGATGCTGCAGTGGAAATTTGTGTGTGTGTGTGTGTGTGTGTGTGTGTGTGTGTGTGTGTGTGTGTATGTGTACAAAGTGCACTTATATATCTCCCCAGGATAGATGCCTAAAAGTGGAATTGCTGGATCAGAGAGAATGTACTTTTGAAATCTTATAGGTAGTGTTTCCAAAAGTCTGTGTCCACTCACTCCGGTGAATGGTAGTGCCTTCGCTCCTACATTCTTACCAATAATGCAAAATTGTTGATCTTTTTATATTCTGCCCATCTGATGAGCAAAAAATTGAATGTGTTTATGGTTTTATTGTGTATTTTATTACTGGTGAAATTATTTTTTATATTTTTATTTATTGGTTTTATTTCGTCTGTGAATTAACTGGTCATCATGTTGCCCGCCTTTCCATTCAGTTGCTTTCATCTTTTTATATATCAATAACATATTGGGATATATTTGGGATTTTAACCACTTGTTTAGTGTATGTATTGTAAATATTTTTCCCTGGTCTGTTTTACGGGTCTTTTGTTTATGGGGTCTCCCACCATAAAACTGTGGTAAATTTTTATGTGTCGAACTGGTTTAATCTTTTCTTTATGGTTTCTGTGACCTCCACCATGTGTAGGAAGTTGTCTTTATTTCAATATTATAAACTCATTTTTCTGTTTTATTCTGGTACTTTTGGTGTATTGGTGTTTTATTTTTTTTTCTTTACTTCCCCTGGAGTTTATTTTTGTGGATGTAGGAATAAGACCTTATTTTCCAAATAGGAAAGCCAATCATCACACATTTGTTGAATATAAATGCAACTTTTCTCAATTACTACATTACTGATTTATTACATTCTTTCTGTGGTTCTCTTGGTTTATTGAGCTATTCCTGCGCCCACCCTGTTTTGATTATTTTAGCTTTATGGTATGTTCGGTAACTGGTAGGGAAAGAACCCGTCATTGTTACTTTTTCTCAAAATAGTCATGTCTATTATCTGTCATTCTTAGAGTTGGACTGCAGAATTGGTTCTCTAATTTTCAAAAATCATTCTTGTGTTATGTGGTAATATCACAGAATATGGGATTAATTTGAGAACTGCTATCTTTATAATGCTCAGTGTTTTTGTTCAGAGACATGATGTACTCTCCATTCACTCAGATAAGTGGTTTAATATTTTATTCATGCAAATCTTGCACACTTTGTTTTTTATTCATAAAGGGTTTGTAAATATAATTTTATTGAAGTTATAAATTTTTTCACAATTTTATATCGTAAATGATTACTGTTTCTATAGCAAGGAACCCTATTAACTTTTCTATGTTGCTCTTGTATCCAGACACTTTAACTCTTGTATTAATTCCAGCAGTTCTTCAGCTGATTCTCCGTGTGTGTGTGTGTGTTTGTGTGTTTAGTTAACTATCACACCATTTGCCAAGAACAATTTTCTCTCTTTTTCTGTAATATTTATACCTCCTTCTCTCCCCCTTTTATGTCATTTCATTGGCTGGAATCTATACAATATGCTGAATAATAAAAGTGAGACTAGACAACCTTGCCTTGTTTCTGATTCTTTAAATGTTTTGCCTTTAAATATGAAGGTTGCTGTAAATTTGGGGAGATATTCTTCACTGAGTTAAGAAAATTTTCTTCAGTAACTTAATAAAAGGCTAAATGTTTGCTTTCTTTATATGAGAAACAAGTGTTGAATTTATATTACTATTATATTAAATTCTGTTTCAAAAATCTTCTGCACATGTCTTAAATACAAATGTATTAAATACAAGCTGCTGCTAAGATGAAAGTTGCTGGCCCCATCACAATGGGTATCTTCCAATGTGAATAAATTGCCTTGGGGAATAAAATCAGATTTGGAAAAACCTGAGGATGGTTGCCATCATAAACTCTTAGAGTGTGACCTGGGTGTTTTTCTTTTTCTCTGTAGGATGTTAATAGTATCTTGTGTCATGCTAGGATGTCTAGGACAGAGGGCAATACAATGAGGGGAAGGCATTCTGCGATGTCCCCAGGCCTCTGGCTTGAAGAGTAACTTGCTGAAGTGAGGACTCTGTGGAGGAGCAAGTTATACAGAAAGAAGTTTAGTTGTGATCTGTTGAGTTGGAGGTGTCTACAGGGCATCCAAGCAGACATAGGTTGAGGAGGCAGAATATATGTGAATCTGGAGCCAAGAAGAGAGGTAAGGGCTGGAAATAGGGATCTAAGACCCCTGGACAGTTGTGAGTGTGCACAATGAGGGTCAGATGCAGAGAAAATTAGGAGACTACAGAGAGCAGAACCCAGGGTGGGGATCTGGGAGTCAGCAGTTGGGCATGGGCCTGGTAGAAAGGGAAGCCAAGGAGGAGGAGAGGGGGCAGTCTCAGACACCAAGGAGGGGAGAGTGACTAGAAAGAAAACCTTCTTGCAGAGACATAGGGGATGGGGAAGAACTGCAGACTGAACTGGGGCAAAGGACTGTTGGCCTTAACCAGAGAGATTTGAGGGAGAGATGAGGCTGAGAGCCAGGGGATCCTGCCATGTCCCAGCATAAAAACAGTACCTGACACAGATGGGTGCTTGGGAGCTGTTGTCGGATGAATGAGTGGACAGATGCATGGATGGACGGATGGATGGAAGGATGATAGATTGATGGACAAACAGATGAACAGATGAATAGCTGGATGGACAACTGGATGGATGGGTAGACAGAATGATCTCAGAGATCAGAAAAAGCTTCATGCACTAAGTGGGACTGAACCGCGTCTCCATGGGTAGAAAGCAGAGGAATCTCCACTTGAGTCAGGAATGACCCAGTGCTCTCAATCCAGGGAGAAAGCCAGCCTGGCTTCACTGGGGACACTTGTGTGGGGGACTCAGAGGCCCTTTAAATGAGGCCAGACGAGGTTGGACAGGTCCAAGCCAACTCAGCACTCCTCTGCCACACTGCACAGGAGGGGATGTGTCACTCAGGGAGTTGCTGGGACCTATGGGTCCCAGTGTTGTCATCAGCACCGACAGCCTCAGAGAGGAAAGACACACACTGGGGTAACTCCAAGGCTGTGTGTGGCACTTGCCTTGGACAGCAGACAGGCACAGGGACACCTCTAGGGGGCTGGCCACCCCCCTGCCTCATGTCTAGGTCCCAGCCCCGCCCACTGCAACCCTGTGCCCGTCATGCCCAGCAGGCTCCTGCTCCAGCCCAGCCCCCAGAGAGCAGACCCCAGGTGCTGGCCCCGGGGGTTTTGGTCTGAGCCTCAGTCACTGTGTTATGTCTTCGGAACTGGGACCAAGGTCACCGTCCTAGGTAAGTGGCTCTCAACCTTTCCCAGCCTGTCTCACCCTCTGCTGTCCCTGGAAAATCTGTTTTCTCTCTCTGGGGCTTCCTCCCCTCTGTCCTCCCAGCCTTAAGCACTGACCCTTACCTTTCTCCATGGGGCCTGGAGGAGGTGCATTAGTCTCCGGGTAACCGGCAGGAAGGGCCTCCACAGTGGGAGCAGCCGGATGCAGCCTGGTCCCGGGGCCTGAGCTGGGATTGGGCAGGGTCAGGGCTCCTCCTCTCTTCCAGGGCAGATGTCTGAGTGAGGGACAGAGGCTGGTTCTGATGAGGGGCCCTGCAGTGTCCTTAGGGACATTGCCCAGTGACTCCTGGGGTCAAGGACAGAGGCTGCTGGGGTGGGCCTGGGAGCTGCTGAGTCTCATAGTCTAGGGGAGCAGCCCCAAGAACAGCTGAGGGTCTAGGCTGAGGACTGGATGCCAATCCAGCCTGGGAGGGCCACACGGCCTGGTGACACAGAGGTCACCCCAAGGGGAGACCAATGGAGGGCACAGAGAGGGCTCTGGGTCTAGGCTGCAGCTCTGTGGCCTGTGCTGGGTCATGAGGACATGGGGACACAGAGGGACGGGTGAGACTGGGTGAGGTGCCAGAATCCAACCCTCCCAGGACAGTCACCAGAAAGGAGACAGTCTCTTAGGGCAGAGATGTGTCTGTCCCTGGAGCCCCGTCACCTCTGGGGCCCAGTGTCTCTCTGTTCACGGATCGGCCTCCTGCCTTCCTCAAAGGGCATGTTAGACTCAGGAAATGACCAGAGGGGAGTGAATGAGGGGTGCAGAGAACTCCATGGCTACCAGGTGAAGTTTGGGGTCATCACAGGCTGCTGGGGTGGGCCTGGGGGCTGCTGAGTCTCATAGTCTGTGGGAGCAGCCCCAGGAACAGCTGAGGTGAAGGGTTCTGTGGTCGGGCTTGTGGAGACAGGAAACATCTCAGAGCCTCAGAGGAGCCCTGAGGCTTGTCTAGGTGGAGCCCACTCCTTGCCAGGAGAGCCAAGTGGGCTGGGCTGGGGCAGAGCCCGGTGCCTGTGAGGGATAGGAAGCTCCAGTTCAAAGCAGGCTTGGGTCTCCCCACACACTGCCTGCCAGGACAGTCCTACAGGATGAGCAGGGGACCCACAGTTCACGGAGGAGGCTCTAGGTCCTGGAAGAATAAAGTGGGTGATGGAGGGGGGTATAGGGATGGAAATGAGGGATCCAGGGGTCAAGGCCAGATTCTAAACTCAGACTCCAGAGATCAGAGAAGAAGGAACACAGCCTGCCCTGGGTATATGGAGAAATTGAGGCTGTAGAGGAGAGGGGCTGGGCCAGGACACCTGTGAAAGGTGACTTGGGAGGGCTCCTAGGAAGGCACAGAGCTGTCTGCTCTCCACAGGGCATGAGTGGAAAGGATGGGGAAAGAAGAGGAGAGAACCCCGGGTGGACCGGATGGCCACACTGTGAACCCTCCCAGAGACTTTAGACAGAGAGAGGGGCTCCACAACACCCCGGTATTCTGTCTGCCCTCTCTCACCCCCTTCCCTGTCCACACAGGTCAGCCCAAGGCCAACCCCACTGTCACTCTGTTCCCGCCCTCCTCTGAGGAGCTCCAAGCCAACAAGGCCACACTAGTGTGTCTGATCAGTGACTTCTACCCGGGAGCTGTGACAGTGGCCTGGAAGGCAGATGGCAGCCCCGTCAAGGCGGGAGTGGAGACCACCAAACCCTCCAAACAGAGCAACAACAAGTACGCGGCCAGCAGCTACCTGAGCCTGACGCCCGAGCAGTGGAAGTCCCACAGAAGCTACAGCTGCCAGGTCACGCATGAAGGGAGCACCGTGGAGAAGACAGTGGCCCCTACAGAATGTTCATAGGTTCCCAACTCTAACCCCACCCACGGGAGCCTGGAGCTGCAGGATCCCAGGGGAGGGGTCTCTCTCCCCATCCCAAGTCATCCAGCCCTTCTCCCTGCACTCATGAAACCCCAATAAATATCCTCATTGACAACCAGAAATCTTGTTTTATCTCATTTTTTTTCTCACATAAATTGCTAGCCTCCCCGGGGTTCTCAGTGTGGGGTACAGGGAATTCTGCACCCAGTGTGAAAATCACCCAAGGGAGGAGGCTCACAGCCTCCCTGAGTCATCTCCCCAGAGGGTCCTTCCTCTCCCAGTCACCCCTTCTCCAACTCTCCACTGTACCCCTGAGCTACCAGTCTGGCATCAGTTCAGACCAGTCCCACACCCTCCTAAATTTTACTTCTCAATAAATACCTGATCATGTAAAACGCAGCATTTCTAATGTGCAGTCTCTGTCTGGTCATGTGTCTGGGCTGAAGGGTCACTGCTCAGGGACAGGGGGCAGTTCCAGGTGAGATCCCATGTCTCCGTCATCCCACACCCCACCCAACCTGCCAGGGAACCGGGTGAGCTCCCTGTGCCAGTGGGAACTGCAATCCAAGGCACAAAATTGTCCTGCAGTCCTTGCCCACCTGGGAAGGGACAGGGGCCCAGTGAGAGGTTTGCTGGCGCCCTGTGGGGAGATTCAGGAGAAATGAAGGGGGTCCCCGGAGACCAGATGAGGGCTAGAGGCAGAAATAATGGAAAAAGGACACCCTTGACTCAAGGCCACGGTCTCAGCAGGAACAGAAGGTGAAATTCCCCATTGCATACGAGGAACCAGTCAGGAGAGTGTTTACTGGGTGAGGGATAAATAACTGTGCTGCCACTGGGAACTTGTAAAAACATTGGGAAAGGAAACATGCAAGTGTCTTTCTAAGACTTGTACAATGGACATTGGCTAAGTAAACATACTGACAAGTCCTGCACTAGGGAACCAGTTTAATATGATGAGCCACAGCATATCCAAAAGCATGTTGATCTCCTTCTTCACCTTTAGAAGACCCAAAACACTCTGAAAGATACCAGCGTTTCCTGGAACTAGTTTGTGGAATATGGGGTGAGGTTGATGCACATGATGTTACGGGTATATGATCACATGGCTGTGGGTTGGGGATCAGGCTCAAAGTTAACACTAGCGTGGGGCTGGATGTCAAGCATGAAGGGTGTGGACCACTAAGTCAGGCCCAGGTAGAGTTAATTTCTGATTGGTTTGTGGCTGGAGCTTGATGATGGTCAGTCTGCAGGAGCAGGAGGATGTGGGGAAATTGGGAAAATGAGAAAAGTCACAAATCCAAGCTCAAACTCTGCATCTATTGATTGCCTGGGGGAGGCTAATCAGAGTTGAATTCAGGATGAGCTTCAGGGCTGGGTCAGACTGAATAAGAGCTGAGTGAATGTGGGCTGATGGCTCCAGGCAAGTCCTGGCCTCCACTAGGAGTCAGATCCCACAAACCCTCCTGCCCGCAGAGCACCCTCTCCCTCCGTAGCTCATGGTGGCGCAGCCTCCCCACCCCATCCCATGTACACCTGCTGCCTCATCTCAGAGACACTCATTCCAGTGTCTCTGACAGCAGATGATGTCAGCCTCCTGGGTGTGGAGACCCCAGCTGTCTTGGAGAGTCCTCAGTGCCTGGGTACTCTCAGACCCCCTGTCTCTGCCTCCAGCACATCAGAGACATAGCAGCTGCCTCCACCAGAGCTGCTGGGTGATCCCAACAGGCCAGGGACAGAGCCTGCAAAGACAGGAATCTCTGCAGTCACAATGAGGCAAAGAAAGAGCCCCTTAGAGCTTGATCACAGCCACCCCTGATCCAAATCCCAGCCTCTCATTAGAAGGAGGCTTGAGGGTTCTGTTGCCACAGCACCTGTCTGAGCCCATTTCATGGAGGGGAAAACTGAGATGACCAAGGGCCAGATCCATAGTCCTGCTGGGCACAAGGCCATCCCCAGCAGCTGCCTAATCTTTGACTGTGTTATAAGTTTCCATTATGGAAAACTTTGAACACATACATAAGGAGACAGAGAAATAATAATGCCCCCAAGTTCCCATCACCCAGCCCCCCCAATAAGCAATTCACAGACATTACTGACCCACCCATAGCAGAATAACCCCTCCATTACACAATACCAGACATCACATCTTTTCAGCTGTAAATATCCCATTTCTATGCTGGAAAGATATGGGCTTAAAAGTAACTGCAATATTATTACCAAACCTAAATAGAAATTATCACTAATTCCCTAATATCAAGAAATAATCACGGGCTCCTCAAATCCCTCACAAATGCCAGAAGCGTATTGACTTAGTTAAGTGTTGGTGCTGTGGTTATTTTGGGGTTTTGGGTGGTTTATTTCAGAATTCAATATGGCATCAAATGGTGATGGGCGCATGTGCTGTCAGGCCAGTTGTCACTGGTGAATATTTCCTCAATTGCTCTAGTGCTGCCTGGCAAGGCAGGAGCTGCAGGAGTTGAGAGCTGTCCGGGGACCTTCCCACGGTTGGAATACAGCCACACCTCCCAAAACAAGAACCCAGGGCTATCATCTACTTCTTTTTTTTTTCCCCTGCAAAATGGTTCTAGCATGGAGGGACTTAACTGGATTCAGACTAGACATTGCAAAATAGCTTCCAAGGACAGGGAGCTGCTAACAGCGAGATCACCCATGTCAGATTCTCACTCTTGTAGTAATGTTAGCTGCATAGGATGGTCAATAGCTACATCCCTCAGAAGGGAAGGAAGGCAGAGGGATGAGGCTTCAGTTCACCTCCTTCTCATGAGTGCTGCAGAGCATCTGTGAATTCAGAGGTCTGCAGCTGGGCTCTGTTCACCCAGGAGTGTGCTTCATGCTCTAGGAAGGAGCCACTTTGCACACAGATGATCCGGGGCCCAGCCATCCTTCCAGGGTGAATAATTAATGTCTTCTCTCATGGTGAACTCTAGGATTCAAGCCATCTAATGTTTTTGAAGCCACTGTCATTATATTTAATTGATGATGACAGGTGGCCACCAATGATGAATATTTTCCCAGGGGGAGTCTCCCTAAGTGGCTTTAGACTTCCTCACATGGCCCCAGGGGATTAAATGGCTCCTGATTACTCAGAGGATAAGAGGTTCTGTCTTATCATGTTCCTTTCTTATTTGTCTTATGTGTCTTTCCTGCCCCAGGCCTGGGATCCCCCACTGATCTCCCTTCCCTTAGTGAGAGGTGGTATTTGGAGACCACATTCTGGAGGCTCCCTTATGTCCCCCATTTGAAAAAGACAACGGCAGCCACCACCCCAGCTGTCCCACCCAACATGAGGCCAGATTCGGGGTGCAGGGATGCTCCCAAGGTTACCCTAACAGATGTGACTGGCACTTCATATTGGGACCAGCCAGGCCTCACTGACCAGGCCTATCCAACTAGAACTACTCCAGAAGGTGGGGCTGAAACCCACCAAGGTTCCCAGAACACTGCACTCTAGGGCAATCAGCCTCTGCATGGGAGGAGAGGGGCACCCTCTGCACCACCCCATGGTGTTACCAAAAGTTGAACCATGGGTTGGTTCAACTTTGCAGAGAAGAGACCACCTAACCCATCTGTGGAAATTCACTCCTTAGCGATACTGATGCTCCCTAAGAAATTCAATCCTGGGCCTGAGTGATGGTTGGTGCAAAAAACAAATTCAAGATCCCAGTGTCCTCCAGAAGCCTGGATTTCCAGGGATCCTGCTGTGAGTCACAGGACGTCACCGGTCCCCTTCTCTTTGTGGGTTGAGTGTGGGGGCCATGTGGACTCCCTCATGAGCAGATGCCACCAGGGCCACTGGCCCCAGCTTCCTCCTTCACAGCTGCAGTGGGGGCTGGGGCTGGGGCATCCCAGGGAGGGTTTTTGTATGAGCCTGTGTCACAGTGTGTGGTATTCGGCGGAGGGACCAAGCTGACCGTCCTAGGTGAGTCTCTTCTCCCCTCTCCTTCCCCGCTCTTGGGACAATTTCTGCTGTTTTTGTTTGTTTCTGTATCTTGTCTCAACTTGTGGTCAGCCTTTCTCCCTGCATCCCAGGCCTGAGCAAGGACCTCTGCCCTCCCTGTTCAGACCCTTGCTTGCCTCAGCAGGTCACTACAACCACTTCACCTCTGACCACAGGGGCAGGGGACTAGATAGAATGACCTACTGAGCCTCGTCTGTCTGTCTGTCTGTCTGTCTCTCTGTTTGTCTCTCTGTCTCTCTGTTTGTCTCTCTGACTGTCTGACAGGCGCAGGCTGGGTCTCTAAGCCTTGTTCTGTTCTGGCCTCCTCAGTCTGGGTTCTTGTCGGAACAGCTTTGTCCTTGGGTTACCTGGGTTCCATCTCCTGGGGAATTGGGAACAAGGGGTCTGAGGGAGGCACCTCCTGGGAGACTTTAGAAGGACCCAGTGCCCTCGGGGCTGATGCTCGGGAATCACAGAGCTGGGACCCAGAGCCAGGATCCAGACCCAGAATGAGGTAGGAGGTGGAGGGGCTGCCCTGGGCGTCTGGGGGCTGCCAGGGACTGAGCCCTGAGCCAGCCTGAGACTCAGGAAACCCCGTCAGGAGGGAGAAGGGAGAAGCAGACTCTGGACACCAGAAAGCCAGGGGAAGGGTCACAAAAGGAGTGGATGTGACGGAAGGGCGGGCTCCTGGGTCTCTTCAGAACATATCCCCTGTGCCCAGGGGGATCAGAGGGGCAGAGTCCACTGCGTGAAAGCCCCACTGCTATGACCAGGTAGCCGGGACGTGGGGTGGATGCCAGAAAAGACTCCACGGAATAAGAGAGAGCCCAGGACAGCAGGCAGGCTCTCCGATCCCCCCAGGCCCTTGCCCCATACACGGGCTCCAGAACACACATTTGGCTGGAACAGCCTGAGGGACCAAAAGGCCCCAGTATCCCACAGAGCTGAGGAGCCAGGCCAGAAAAGTAACCCCAGAGTTCGCTGTGCAGGGGAGACACAGAGCTCTCTTTATCTGTCAGGATGGCAGGAGGGGACAGGGTCAGGGCGCTGAGGGTCAGATGTCGGTGTTGGGGGCCAAGGCCCCGAGAGATCTCAGGACAGGTGGTCAGGTGTCTAAGGTAAAACAGCTCCCCGTGCAGATCAGGGCATAGTGGAAAACACCCTGACCCCTCTGCCTGGCATAGACCTTCAGACACAGAGCCCCTGAACAAGGGCACCCCAACACCTCATCATATACTGAGGTCAGGGGCTCCCCAGGTGGACACCAGGACTCTGACCCCCTGCCCCTCATCCACCCCGCAGGTCAGCCCAAGGCTGCCCCCTCGGTCACTCTGTTCCCGCCCTCCTCTGAGGAGCTTCAAGCCAACAAGGCCACACTGGTGTGTCTCATAAGTGACTTCTACCCGGGAGCCGTGACAGTGGCCTGGAAGGCAGATAGCAGCCCCGTCAAGGCGGGAGTGGAGACCACCACACCCTCCAAACAAAGCAACAACAAGTACGCGGCCAGCAGCTATCTGAGCCTGACGCCTGAGCAGTGGAAGTCCCACAGAAGCTACAGCTGCCAGGTCACGCATGAAGGGAGCACCGTGGAGAAGACAGTGGCCCCTACAGAATGTTCATAGGTTCTCAACCCTCACCCCCCACCACGGGAGACTAGAGCTGCAGGATCCCAGGGGAGGGGTCTCTCCTCCCACCCCAAGGCATCAAGCCCTTCTCCCTGCACTCAATAAACCCTCAATAAATATTCTCATTGTCAATCAGAAATCTTGTTTTATCTCATTTTTTCTTTTCTCACATATAATTCCTAGCCTTTCCTGGGTTCTCAATTTGTGGTGGAAAGAACCCTGAACCCAGTGGGAAAGTTGCCTATGTGAAGGGGTTCTCAGTTCCCTGGGCATCTCTGCAGGTAAGGCCTTCCTCACCCAGACACCCCTTCCTCAGCTCTCCACTGTACCCCTGAGCCACCAGCCTCGCCTGGCTGGGACCAGGGGGGTGTCACACTCTCCTAGATTCTGCCTTTCAACAGAAACCTAACCACGCATCACACGGCACTTCTCGCATGCCTTCTGTGTCTGCTCCAGTCTCTGGGCTAAAGAGTTGCTGGTCCGGGACAGGGGATAGGTCCGCTCTTGGTCAGATGCCAGGTCCCTGCCATGGCATCCCTGACCCTATGCAACAAGCCAGTGACTCTGGTGAGCTCTCTGTGTCAGGAGAATCCATGATCCAGAGTTTCATATTGTCCTGCAAGCATCTGGTGGGCTGTAGCTCTTGCCAAACTGGGAAATACCATGGCCCAGCATCAGGATGCAGGACAGTCCGGAGAGGGAAATCAGGAGAAGTGAAGGGGTCTCTGGGGAGCCCAGATGTGGGCTAGAGGCAGAAGTAAGGGTGAAGAGCACCTATGAGTCAATGTCATGGTCTCAGCAGGAACACAGTTGAAAATCCCCATTCCACACAAGACCGTTTAGCAGGAAAGGAGTCCATACTTGTGCTGCCACCAGGATGTCCTGAGAAGCCTTGGAGAATGAAACATACAGGTGCATTTCCTAGACTTGACAATGCACGTTAGCCAAGTAAAGGCAATGAAAAGTTCTCTACTAGGGAAATAATTTCCTGTGGTAAAGCTTAGCTTATGTAAAGTCACATTTATCCATCTGGCACCTCTAAAAGCCCCATAATATTCTGCAAGATACTAGTATGTCATGGAAGTAGTTTATGAAACATAAAGTGAGATTTAAGAACAAAGATGTTACGGGTGTATGATAAGATGGCTACAGGCTCAGGGTCAGGCTCGAGGAGTGAAGGAGGCCGTGTCAAATTCATGACAAGAGTTGGAGCTGGGCCAGGCTGGGTCAGGGCTGTGTGAATGCAGACAGAGGGCTACAGGCAAGGTCAGGCATCCATGAACACTCAGCTCCCCCAGACCCTCCTGCCCACTGGGACCTTCGCCCTCCCTTGGTCACAGTGGTGGAGCCTTCCTACCCAAACCTCTATGGAGGCCCTGGATGACTGTGCGTTCTTAGTGCCCACGCAAACTTAGACTCCCTGTCTCTGCCTCCAGCACATCAGGAATGTGGCAGCTGAGTTCACCAGAGCTGCTGGGTGGTCCCGACAGGCCAGGGACAGAGCCCGCAAAGACAGGAAGCTCTGCAGTCACAATGAGGCAGAGAAATGGCCCCTTGGTGCTTGATCACAGCCACCCCTGATCCAAATCCCAGCCTCTGAATTAGAAGAAGGCTAAAAGGTTCTAGTGGCCACAGTCCCTGTCTAAGCCCATTTCACAAATGAGAAAACTAAGACCACCCAAGGAGGGCCAGTTACGTAGGCCTGCTGGGTACAAGGCCAAGGTCTACTTCACACCCAGCAGCTGTCCAAAGACTGAGCTGTGTCATAAGTTTATATTATGAAGAACTCTGAACATATAAATAAGGAGACAGAAAAATAACAGTGTCCCATGTTCTCATCACCCAGCACTCAAAATAAGCAATTCACAGATGATGCCGACCCACCCACAGCAAAATAAATTCTCCCTTACACAACATTTAGAAAGAAATACAAGACATCAGATCTGTTCAGCTGTAAGTACTCCATTACTGTCCTGGAATGACATGGACCTTAAAATAACTATAATATCACTACCAAACCTAAATAGAAATTATCACTAATTCCCTAATATCGAGAAATAAGCAGGGTCTCCTCAAATGCATCAGAAACACCAGAAGTGCTTTGGCTTAGTTACATGTTGGTGCTGTTGGTATTTGGGGGTTTAAGTTTATATGAGGAGCAATATGACATCAAATGGTGATGGGTGCATGTGCCATCAGGCTGGTTGTCACTGGTGAATATTTCCTCAATTGCTCTAGAGCCTCCCGGCAAGGCAGGAGCTGCAGGAGCTGAGAGCTGTCTGGAGAACTTCCCCTGGCTGCTATACAGCCACGCCTCCTGGAGCAGGAACCTAGGGCTTCCCTCAGCTTTTATTTTCCTGGAAAATGATTCTAGCATGAAGGGGATTAACTTGATTCAGATTGGACATTGCAAAATAGCTTGCAAGGACAGGGAGCTGCTACCAGCAGAGTCACCCATGTCAGACTGCCACTCTTGTAGTAATGTTAGCTGCATAGGATGGTCAATAGCTACATCCCTCAGAAGGGAAGGAAGGCAGAGGGTTGAGGCTTCAGTTCACCTCCTTCTCATGAGTGCTGCAGAGTGTCTGTGATGTCAGAGGTCTGCAGCTGGGCTCTGTTCACCCAGGAGTGTGCTTCATGCTCTAGGAAGGAGCCACTTTGCACACAGAAGATCCGGGGCCCAGCCATCCTTCCAGGGTGAACAATTCATGTCTTCTCTCATGGTGAACTCTAGGATTCAAGCCATCTAATGCTTTTGAAGCCACTGTCATTATATTTAATTGATGATGACAGGTGGCCACCAATGATGAATATTTTCCCAGGGGGAGTCTCCCCAAGTGGCTTCAGACTTCCTCACATGGCCCCAGGGGATTAAATGGCTCCTGATTACTCAGAGGATAAGAGGTTCTGTCTTATCATGTTCCTTTCTTATTTGTCTTATGTGTCTTTCCTGCCCCAGGCCTGGGATCCCCCACTGATCTCCCTTCCCTTAGTGAGAGGTGATATTTGGAGACCACATTCTGGAGGCTCCCTCATGTCCCCCATTTGAAAAAGACAACGGCAGCTACCACCCTAGCTGTCCCACCAAACATGAGGCCAGATTCAGGGGTGCAGGGATGCTCCCAAGGTTACCCTAACAGATGTGACTGGCATTTCATATTGGGACCAGCCAGGCCTCACTGACCAGGCCTATCCAACTAGAACTACTCCAGAAGGTGGGGCTGAAACCCACCAAGGTTCCCAGAACACTGCACTCTAGGGCAATCAGCCTCTGCATGGGAGGAAAGGAGCACCCTCTGCACCACCCCATGGTGTTACCAAAAGTTGAACCATGGGTTGGTTCAACTTTGCAGAGAAGAGACCACCTATCCCATCTGTGGAAATTCACTCCTTAGCGACACTAATGCCCTCTAATAAATTCAATCCTGGGCCTGAGTGATGGTTGGTGCAAAAAACAAATTCAAGATCCCAGTGTCCTCCAGAAGCCTGGATTTCCAGGGATCCTGCTGTGGGTCACAGGATGTCACCGGTCCCCTCTCTCTGTGGGTTGAGTGTGGGGGCCATGTGGACTCCCTCATGAGCAGATGCCACCAGGACCACTGGTCCCAGCTTCCTCCTTCACAGCTGCAGTGGGGGCTGGGGCTAGGGGCATCCCAGGGAGGGTTTTTGTATGAGCCTGTGTCACAGTGTTGGGTGTTCGGCGGAGGGACCAAGCTGACCGTCCTAGGTGAGTCTCTTCTCCCCTCTCCTTCCCCGCTCTTGGGACAATTTCTGCTGTTTTTGTTTGTTTCTGTATCTTGTCTCAACTTGTGGTCAGCCTTTCTCCCTGCATCCCAGGCCTGAGCAAGGACCTCTGCCCTCCCTGTTCAGACCCTTGCTTGCCTCAGCAGGTCATTACAACCACTTCACCTCTGACCGCAGGGGCAGGGGACTAGATAGAATGACCTACTGAGCCTCGTCTGTCTGTCTGTCTGTCTCTCTGTCTGTCTGTCTGTCTCTCTGTTTGTCTCTCTGTCTGTCTGACAGGCGCAGGCTGGGTCTCTAAGCCTTGTTCTGTTCTGGCCTCCTCAGTCTGGGTTCTTGTCGGAACAGCTTTGCCCTTGGGTTACCTGGGTTCCATCTCCTGGGGAATTGGGAACAAGGGGTCTGAGGGAGGCACCTCCTGGGAGACTTTAGAAGGACCCAGTGCCCTCGGGGCTGATGCTCGGGAATCACAGAGCTGGGACCCAGAGCCAGGATCCAGACCCAGAATGAGGTAGGAGGTGGAGGGGCTGCCCTGGGCGTCTGGGGGCTGCCAGGGACTGAGCCCTGAGCCAGCCTGAGACTCAGGAAACCCCGTCAGGAGGGAGAAGGGAGAAGCAGACTCTGGACACCAGAAAGCCAGGGGAAGGGTCACAAAAGGAGTGGATGTGACGGAAGGGCGGGCTCCTGGGTCTCTTCAGAACATATCCCCTGTGCCCAGGGGGATCAGAGGGGCAGAGTCCACTGCGTGAAAGCCCCACTGCTATGACCAGGTAGCCGGGACGTGGGGTGGATGCCAGAAAAGACTCCACGGAATAAGAGAGAGCCCAGGACAGCAGGCAGGCTCTCCGATCCCCCCAGGCCCTTGCCCCATACACGGGCTCCAGAACACACATTTGGCTGGAACAGCCTGAGGGACCAAAAGGCCCCAGTATCCCACAGAGCTGAGGAGCCAGGCCAGAAAAGTAACCCCAGAGTTCGCTGTGCAGGAGAGACACAGAGCTCTCTTTATCTGTCAGGATGGCAGGAGGGGACAGGGTCAGGGCACTGAGGGTCAGATGTCGGTGTGGGGGGCCAAGGCCCCGAGAGATCTCAGGACAGGTGGTCAGGTGTCTAAGGTAAAACAGCTCCCCGTGCAGATCAGGACATAGTGGAAAACACCCTGACCCCTCTGCCTGGCATAGACCTTCAGACACAGAGCCCCTGAACAAGGGCACCCCAACACCTCATCATATACTGAGGTCAGGGGCTCCCCAGGTGGACACCAGGACTCTGACCCCCTGCCCCTCATCCACCCCGCAGGTCAGCCCAAGGCTGCCCCCTCGGTCACTCTGTTCCCACCCTCCTCTGAGGAGCTTCAAGCCAACAAGGCCACACTGGTGTGTCTCATAAGTGACTTCTACCCGGGAGCCGTGACAGTGGCCTGGAAGGCAGATAGCAGCCCCGTCAAGGCGGGAGTGGAGACCACCACACCCTCCAAACAAAGCAACAACAAGTACGCGGCCAGCAGCTACCTGAGCCTGACGCCTGAGCAGTGGAAGTCCCACAAAAGCTACAGCTGCCAGGTCACGCATGAAGGGAGCACCGTGGAGAAGACAGTGGCCCCTACAGAATGTTCATAGGTTCTCATCCCTCACCCCCCACCACGGGAGACTAGAGCTGCAGGATCCCAGGGGAGGGGTCTCTCCTCCCACCCCAAGGCATCAAGCCCTTCTCCCTGCACTCAATAAACCCTCAATAAATATTCTCATTGTCAATCAGAAATCTTGTTTTATCTCATTTTTTCTTTTCTCACATATAATTCCTAGCCTTCCCTGGGTTCTCAATTTACGGTGGAGGGAATTCTGCACCCAGTGGGAAAGTCACCCAAGGGAGGAGGCTTACAGCCTCCCCGAGTCATCTCTCTGGAAGGTCCTTCCTCTTCCAGTCACCCCTTCCCCAACTCTCCACCATACCCCTGAGCCTCCAGCCTGGCCTCAGCTCAGACCAGTCCCACACCCTCCTCAATTTTACTTCTCAATAAAGACCTGATCATGTAAAACCCAGTTTCCAATGTGTCGTCTGTGTCTGGTCATGTGCCTGTGCTGAAGGGTCACTGCTCTGGGACAGGAGGCAGTTTCAGGTGAGATCCCATGTCCCCGTCATCCCACACCCCACCCAACCTGCCAGGAAACCGGGTGGGCTCCCTGTGCCAGGGGGAACCATGTTCCAGAGCAGAAAGTTGTCCCTGCAGAGTGGTCCCTGAAATGCAGTTCTTGCCCACCTGGGAAGGATGTGGAGCCTAGTGAGGACAGAGTGGTGGCCCTGAGCAGGGCATCGGGGAGAAACGAGGAGTGTTCCAGGACCCCCTGCTTTGGGCTAGAGACAGAAAACCCTTGAGCCCAGGCCAAGATCAGAGCAGAAACAGGGTTGAACTTCCCTGTCCCATCCATGATACCCAGTTAGGAGACCATTTACTAGGTGCCATCACCTTACGTTACATTACAACATTACGTGATTGTGCCATCACCCGGGAGACATGAAAAAGGCTGGAAAATGGAACCCTTCAGTGTAGTTTACACTTTCACAATGTACGTTAGCTATGAAAGATGCTGACAAGTCCTGCAGTTGGAAAACAGTTCATGTTACATAACCTTGCAAGTCAAGAATTCTATTCAGTGTCCCAACCCACTTAGCCCTAGAGCGCTCTTCAAGACACTGGTGTTCATGTCACTAGTGCTGGGACATGGGCTGAGGCTGAGGCACACAGATGATTCGTTGTGATCAAATGGGTCAGGCTCAGGGTTAACACTGGCCAGGTCAGAAAGAGAGCATAGGGCTGAGATCTCAACCATGAAGAGTCTCGAATTCTAAAGTCAGGGGACGCAGTAGAGTTAGATTATGGTTATGGCTGGAGCCATGATGGCCAGCCTGTGTGAGGGTAGGACTCAGGTGGACTGGGTCAAATGAGAAAGGCACCATCCCAAGCATAGAATCGGCATCCATTGGTTGTCTGATGGAGGCTGTGTCAAAATCATACTCGCCCAAGAATCAGGGCCAGGTCACACTAGGTCAGGGCAGGGTAAGTGTGACTTAAGGGCTACAGGCAGGTCAAGTTTTCATGGGACTCAGCTACCTTAGACCCCTCCCCACCAGGGCCTACTCCCTCCCTCAATCATGTGGTTCAGCCCCTCCATGTGCACCTACACCCTGATGTCAGAGACACAATCATCCCAGGGTCCCTGACAGCGAGTGAGGTGGCCTTGGGAGATGCACTTCCCAGCCCTCCTCATCAGTCTTGGGCACTGTCAGGCCCCTTCTTGGTGCCTCCAGCACATCAGCGGTGTGGCAGGTGCCTTCACCAGAGCTGCTGGGTGGCCAGGCCAGGCCTGAGACAGAGCCTGCAAGGGCAGAGAACTCTAGGGCCATAGTGGGGCAGAGAAGGGGTTCCTCTTGGAGCCTAATCATAGAACCCCTGCCTCAAGTCACAACCTACAAGTTAGAAGGAAACTTAAGGGTCCTGATTCCCACCACCCTGTCTGGCCCCATTTCATAGATGTGAACGCTGAGACCCCTATAGCAAAGAGGACCGCTTTGATCTCCACCTTCTCAATGGCCCTGCTGGGTAGGATCCCCTCTGGATGTCCCCTGGTGCTGTCCCAAGACTAATCTCTCTAATTACTGCCTTGTAAGATATTACGGAAACTGACAGCAAGAAAATAAAAAAACAGGATAATACAGCTCATGTTGACCCACCCACAATCAAGTAACCTCTTTTACACAGTTGTTTGAAGCAAATTGTAGACATCATGTCCATTAGTCTAAATATTCCATTTGTGTCTCTAAAAATATGGACCCCCCCCAAAAAACTACATTCTTACAAACCTAAATATAAATATCTAATTCTTTCATATCAAAAAAAGAATGTTTCCCATCAAATACTTCACAAATATCCTATGCTTCTTTCACTAGACCTGTGTTTGTGTTGTTGTTATTCTGTGGTTTTCCATTTCATTTCTATGAGGATTCAATATGGTTTGAAATTGTGACTGGTGACTGTGTTTTTAGACCTGTTCTGTCTGCAGGTATCTTCCTCATTGATTTTTAATTTCCTTGCAAGGCAGGAGCTACAGGAGCTGGGGGTTGGTCCCAGGACCTTCCCATGGTCAGGATACAGCCTGTGGCCTCCCCAAGCTGGAAACAAGCGCTCCTCTCTGCTTCTGCGTTTCCTGAAAATTGGTTCTTGGCCAGAAAGGTTTAACAAGGCTCAGTGTGACTTTTCAGCAAGACCGCTTGGCTACTGGGCTCCCATGTGGGGTCATCTATTTGTGACGTTAGCTGGGCTTCACACTTTGTATCCAGTGCCATTAGATGGTATATGGATGCAAGGTGACTGCATTTCAGTTCGACCACCTTTTCCTTCTACTGACTGTCTGTAAAAGGTGTGCCCTCATATGTTCTTTGCTCCTCTGGGAGTGTGATTCTTATTTCAGTAAGAAATAGCATAGACATGTTGAGTCTTTCCTTTCATTTAGCATCTTAATAATGATGACCATGTTGCCTGCCATCTCGTGAAGATGAACAATTATTTCATGGTGAGCTCAAAGTTATGTTACTGTATGTGACTCACTTGAGTCCACCATGGTTCTATTTCATTGATGATGACAATGACCCACCGTGGCCCACTCAGTGCCTCTTCTGGTGGCCCCAGGATCCTCCTGAAGGAACCCAGGAGACCTCGATGGCTTTCCGCTCTCTGTTCACAATCTATCCTGGGCACATCTTTCTCCTGCCTTGTGCCTGGAATTGCCCATTAACCCCAAGTGGACTAGTCCCCATAACTGGGAGGTGGGATTTAGTGACCACACTTGGGGTGCTTCTCACACAGCCCTTTTGAGTCAGACACTCCAGACATACCCAGAAATGAGACAAGACCCTGAAAGGGTAACAGGGGCTTGCTTCCAACTTCTCCCTGGAGGTTGAGGCTGGCATTTCATACTAAAACCTAGTGAGACCCATCCCAAACTAAGACAACACAAGGAGGACGGAAGTGAGACGCCCTGGAGTTGTGGTTGTGGTCACGTTGGAGCTTCCCATGACTGCTGACTCTGGGGCAAGCTGCCCCTCCTCTAAGGCACTCACTGGGGACACCTGAGGACGCCTCCTGCTCTTACCCTGTAGTCACACCAAGAGATCAGGGTTACAACAACCCTATAGAGAATCCCTGTCCCCTTCCATGTCACTTCACTCCTTCGTGAAGCAAATGCCCTCAAGGAGCTCATTCCCATTCCTGGGTCACAGTCACCTGGAAAACCTGATCCAGACACCAACCTCCTCAGGCCTCGCCATTTCCAGACGTCCCGTTACTGCATACGCTTGGTCGACTGTCCCATCTCAGCTTGAGAAGGGCAGGCAGGTGTGTGGACTCTGCTGAGCAAATGCCTTCCAGGGGCAGTGGTCTGGCTTCCTGCACCATAGCTTCAGGTGGGGGATGGGGAGGGGGAGTTAGGGGCCCCAGGGAAGAGTTTTTGTATGAACCTGTGTCACCGCATTTTGTATTTGGTGGAGGAACCCAGCTGATCATTTTAGATGAGTCTCTTCTTCCCTTTCTTTCCCTGCCAAGTTGGTGACAATTTTATTCTGATTTCGATCTTTGTCTGTGACTTGCCACAGCCTGTGGTCAGGGTTTCCTTTGGGACCTCGGTCCTGGGAGGCTGATCTCTCTCCTCCCTATTCAGACCCCTGTATGCCTCAGCTGGTCACTGAGACACCTTCATCTCCTCTGACCCCAGAGGCAGGGAGCTCCAAGACAAGGCCACACTGGTGTGTCTCATGAGTGACTTCTACCCGAGAGCCATGACAGTGGCCTGGAAGATAGATGGCATCACCATCACCCAGGGTGTGGAGACCACCACACCCTCCAAACAGAGCAACAAGTATGCGGCCAGCAGCTACCTAAGACTGGCACCCGACAGTGGAAGTCCCACAACCTCTACAGCTGCCAGGTCACGCATGAAAGGAACACTGTGGAGAAGACAGTGGCCCCTGCAGAATGTTCTTAGGTCCCCGACCCTCACCTACCCACGGGGGCCTAGAGCTGCAGGATCAGGGCATGTGTCTCCCCTCCCACTCCAAGTCATCCAGCCCTTCTCCCTGCACCCAGTAACCCTCAATAAATATCCTCATTGTCAACCAGAAATCCTGCTGTCTGTCTTCATTTCTTATCTCATATTTAGTTTGCAACCTCCTTAAATTCTAAGCAAGGATGAGGAAAATCCAGGTGCCCAGTTTATCGGGTGAGAAGTCCATGGTGGTGCCATCACCAGGAACTTGTGGAAAGGTCTGGGAATGGAAACTCACAGGTGAATTTCACAGATTTTCACAATACAGGGTGGCTAAGTAAAGACACTTACAAGTCCTGCAATAGGGAAACAGGAAGTCCAGAATCCTGCTCACCATCCCAGCCAACTTAGTGAGCCCTAGGATGCTCTGCAAGATACTGGTGTTCACGTCGCTAGCTCTGGAAAGTGGGGTGAGGCTGGGGCACACGGGTGATCAGTTATGATCAGATGGGCTTAGGGTGAGGTTCAAAGTTAACCAGCACGTGGCTGAGATCTCAACCATGAAGTTCCCAATTCTAAAGTCAGGCTCTGGGGTGGAGTGAGTATGTGCTTGGTGTGTGGCTGAGCCTGTGATGGTCAGCTCGTGTGAGGGGAGGACTCCTGTGGACTGAGACAAATGAGCAAAGACACCATCCCAGGCACAGAACGGGCATCCCATGGTTGTCGGGGAGAGTCTGTGTCAGAGTCTCATTCTGGACTAGAGTCAAGGCTGGGTCACGCAAGGTCAGCACAGGGTGAACATGACCTAGGGGCTATCTATAGGCAAAGTCAGGCTTTCACGGGATCTCAACTGCCCCAAACACCCCCATCCCACCAGGCCCCACTCCCTCTGTCACTCACGTTGTTCCGTCCCCTCACCCCCTGCACCATGGTGCACCGGCAGCCTCACTCAGAGACACCCTCATCCCGGGGTCCCTGACAGTGGGCAATTTGGTCCCTTGAAGGCCTTGACAGGCTCGGTTAATCCATAGTGCCCGGGCTGGGACCCCCACTGTTTCTGGTTCATCAGGGACATGGCAGCAGCTGCTGGATGGCCAGCCAGGACAGGAACAGAGCTGCAAGGCCTGGGGGCTTTTTCCACAATGATACACAAAGAGAGGGGCCCCTTTGGAGCTCAGTCCCAGCCACCCCTGCCCCAAATCACAGCCGTGAGCTGAATTGAATTTCAGGTGCCCAGAGTCCCTCAGCCTCTGTTTGACCCATTTCACAGCTATGAAAATTCAAGCCCATGGGAGACACTGTCCCAAGCTTCACCCTCTCTATAAGTTGTACATTTTTATGATGAAGATCTCTGAACACAAAAATAGGGAGACAGAAGAATAGTAATGACTCCAAGGTTCCCATCAGCCAGTCCGCAGCATCATCCATTTTCAGATAATGCGGACCCACCCACAGCAGAATAACTAAACTACTCCTTCAAGCAAGGGTGTGAAGCAAATGCTAGTCATCACACACACAACTGGAGAGAATATCAAGGATTTCTTGACATCAAAAATAGTTAATGAGAGTCTTATCAAATGTCTTGTGAATATCATTGTGTCTATTTTTGTCGACTTTGTGGTGCTGTTGCATATTTGTGATTTAATTTCATTTCTATGTGGATTAATACTTGACGTTATCATTGGTGAATGTGTTTTTAGACCCATTCCATCTGCAGGTGTCTCCCAAATTGCTCTAGCTTTCCCTGGCAAGGCAGGAGCTGCAGGAGCAGAGAGCTGGTCCCGGGACCTCCCACAGTCGGGATGCAGGCGCCACCTCCCTGAGCAGGAACCCAGTGCTTCCCTCAACCTCTCTTTTCCTGAAAAATGGTTCTAGCATCAAGAGGCTCAAGGGGGTTCAGGCTGGACATTGGCAAACTCGCTTCCCAGGACACGTGGCTACTTCCAGCAAAGCCACCCATGTTGTGTTGTCATTCTTTCAGTGACATTAGCTGCATTTGATGATCAATAACTTCGCGCCTCAGATGAGAAGGAAGGCAGATGGTCAAGACTTCGGTCCACCTCCTTCTCATGAGGGCTTCCAGAAGGGAGGGCACAGCAGCTGCACCGTGCGCTCAGGAGTGTGCTTCATGCTTTGGGAAGAAGAAAAAATGTACATTCTTCCCTTTTGTTCACCACTTTGATAACTGATGATCTGGTGCCCAGCCATCCTCCAGGGCGCACAGCACAATGTAGTACCGGAGTGAGCTCTAGCGTGTGAGGACATCTGACATGTGGGCTCCACTGCAGATATACTGAATTGCAATGACAATGCGGCTACAAAACATAAACATTTACCCACTGGGCGCCTCCTCAGGTGGCATCTGATTTTCTCCCATTGCCCCAGGAGCTTCCATGGCTCCTGATTTCTCGGAGGATGAGAGGTTCTGTCTCATCATGTCCCTTTCCTGCCCCAGGCCTGGGATCCCGCACTGACCTCACCTCCCTTAGCAGAAGGTGATATTTGGAGACCACACTCGGGAGCTCCTTTATGTCCCTCACATTTGAATAAGGCAGTGGCAGCCACTACCCCACCTCACCCACCAAAATGAGACCAGGTTGAGGGGTGCAGGAGATCCTTCCATTTTACCCTGGAGGATGGGGCTGGCATTTCCAGTGGGGACCAGCCAGGCCTCACTGGCCAGGCCCATCCCAACTAGGACAAGCCCAGGGAAGGCTGGGCTGAGGCTCCTGGAGTCACAGATAGGTTCATGGGAAGCTTCCCAAGACACCGCACTCTAGGGTAACCAGCTTCTTCCTGGAGGGAGAGGGCACTCTCTGCATCACCCCAGGGCGTCACCAAGCAGTCAGTGTCGAGTCAGCTCCACCAGGGAGACCATTTATCCCTGACCATGGGAGTTCACTCCTAGTGACACAGTGCCCTCCAATAAACTCATCCCCATGGCTGCATGATGGTTGGTGGGAAAACCAAATCCACTGTCCTCCAGGAACCAGGATTTCTAGGGATCCTGCTGGTCACAGGATGTCAGCTGTCCCCTTCTCTCTGTGGGGGTGAGTGTGGCAGCCGTGTGAACTCCCTCATGAGCAGATGCCACCAGGGGCTGTGGCCTCAGCTTCCTCCATCACAGCTGCAGCGGGGGTTGGGGGTAGAGGCGTCCAGAGAGGGTTTTTGTATGAGCCTGTGTCACAGCACTGGGTGTTTGGTGAGGGGACCGAGCTGACCGTCCTAGATGAGTCTTTTCCCCCTCCTTCCCTGGTCTCCCCAAGGTACTGGGAAATTTTCTGCTGCTTTTGTTCTTTTCTGTATCTTGTGTTGACCTGTGGTGATGCTTTCTCTCTGGAGCCTAGGCCCTGGTCAAGGACCTCTCCCCTCCCTGTTTAGACCCTTACCTCAGTGGGTCACCAAGACCCCTTCACCTCTGACCTCAGATGTAGGGCACTAGACTGGATGACCTACTGAGACTCATCTGTCTGTCTGTCTGCCAGAGCCAGGCTGCTTCCCTAAAACTTGCTCAGTTCTGTCCTCCCCCACCTGGGCTTCTGTCTAACGAACTTTGTGCAAGGGAAACTGAGGCCCCATCTCATGAGGGAGAGGGAACAAGGGGCTCGAAGGAGTGACCACCTGGTGGACTTTAGAAGGACCTGAAACCCTCAGAGCCAAGATAGGGGAATGAAAACTCAGAGTCTCAGGGCCCAGTCCCCTGGACTGTGGGACTCTGGATCCAGGCTGGGAACAAGGTAGGAGGTGCAGGGGCCTCTCCAGGTTTCTGTGGGCTCCCAGGGAGAGAGCCCTGAGCTGGCCTGGGACCCATGAAGCCCTGTCAGGAGGGACGGGAAGGCTCTGGACATGAAGGAGCCAGGTGAAGTGTCACGAAAGGCCATGGCATTCAGGGAGGTGGCTGATGGGTCTCTGTGGGAGGCACCCCTAGAAGCAGGAACCCCTGAGTTCACCGACAGGCATATCCCAAGGCAGAAAAACTGTAGATTGGCCCTAAACACAGAGAGACTCTAACACAGACTCCACAGACAAAGAGCCCAGGACAGACAGACAGTGGGACTTGGGTGAGCAAAGGCCCTGACTCCACTGCAGAAGATCCAGGAGAGACGGATGTGGGTACAAACAAGAGCTCTTACGTGAGAGACCCACTCTCCCCCAACCCAGAGCAGCTGTGTCAGGTGAGAAAAGTTTCCAGAGTGAATCTAACAAGAGGCTCACAGAGCTCAGAGAACACAGCCAGAGCCGGATCACGTCAGGATGACAGGGTGAGGCAGCGCCAGGCAATTGAAGGTCCACTGTCTATACAAAAGCCCAAGTCCTTGGAAGATTTCCAAACAGGCGATGGGCAGGGGCCAAGCTCAGAGGTTTTCTGACTGACAGAGTTCTTTTAGGAACATGATGTCACACCCTTCTGAGACAGTGTGGACCACATCTGAGAGGTCCTGCACTGGTACTGGGGGGCCTGAACACTCCTCATGCACTGAGGTCAGGGGCTCCCCAGGTGGACACCAGGACTCTGACCTCCTGCCCCTCATCCATTCTGCAGGTCCGCTCAAGGCCACCCCCTTGGTCACTCTGTTCCCGCCCTCCTCTGAGGAGCTCCAAGCCAACAAGGCCATGCTGGTGTGTCTCATAAATGACTTCTACCCAGGAGCCATAGAAGGAAAATGGCACCCTAGTCACCAAGGGCATAGAGACAACCACACCCTCCACACAGAGCAACAACAACTATGCGGCCAGCAGCTACCTGAGCCTGACGCCCGAGCAGTGGAAGTCCCACAGAAGCTACAGCTGCCAGGTCACGCACAAAGAAAGTACCATGGAGAAGACAATGGCCCATGCAGAATGTTCTTAGGCCCCCGACCCTCACCCCACCCACAGGGGCCTGGAGCTGCAGGATCCCAGGGCAGAGGTGTTCCCTCCCACCCCAAGTCATCCAGTCCTTCTGCCGACACCCAATAAACCCTCAATAAATGTCCTCCTTGTCAATCAGAAAACATGCTGTCTGCTCATTTTTGTTTATCCACTTTCCATCCTAAATTTTTTTATCTCCAAAGATCAACAGAATCCTTTGGACTTGTGACAATGCAGCCTGGGACCATCTTCGTGTTTCTCTGAGCCATACTTTTTCCATCACCTTATCCCCATAGAATGTTCCAGAACAAGGAAATAGTCTTCAGAAGGAACCAGACATCTTCATTCTTACCCACGTCTCTGTTGTGCTTCCTGCTGCCCTGTGAGCACGTCCACCTCTGGCTGCCCGGGGACACACCCTCCTTACATCCCTATGGCCCCGGGAGAACATCTCAGCTCCCTTCTTTGTTGTCCTCGGCCCTCACTGTCCAGATGCCATCCCTCTCTCAAGGTGTTTGTCCATCCCCCTCCAAGGCCATGTGGTCACCCCACCTGTATTTCCCCTCATCAAAGCCTAGAGCATCTCCCCTTCTCCATGGGCACACTCTGTTCCCGTCATCCCAGGGACCCTGCCCTCAGCCCCCACAGGCCCTCCCTATAATAATCACTGATGGGATGCTTACCCCCTGGACCCTGGTCACTCACCCCACATCCCCCTCTGGGTGCCTCTCATCCCACATGTGTCACCGGATGCCCCAGCTGTATTCAACATTCCTAGGGGACAAGGGTCGGCTCTGCTCCTCACTGACACCATTATGAATGCCTAATGTCCTGCTGTGCACAAGTTGTCAATTGACTGGTGAGTTCAAAGTCAGATTCTGGGGTTATGCCAGGAGCTTGGGTGACGCTGATTCTTCTTCTGAAGAACTCAGCATGGGATCTGAGCTATAATACACACACACGTGTACACACACACAATGCACATAAACACACATGTCCATGCTGGGCATCCTTCTGGGAGGATCAGGAAGGTAGAAGGGGCTGCAGTCAGGCCCAGGTCAGGACATGAGCAAAGCAAAGCTGAGACCTGCTGTCTCCAGGCTTTGGGACTAGGGGGTCGCCCCTGGATATGGGAGGGTGGGGCAGGGTTTTCTGTCCAGGCCAAGAGGGAGACAGGAGAAGATGTGGACGGGATTCTGATCAGGGAGCAGCAGGCCACATCTCAGCAGTCAGGGGAGGCGCTTGCTGTGGGGAATACTGTTGGGGACTGCATGGTGCCAGGAGTGTGTCCCAGGTGTGAGCTCTTCAGGTGATGGGCCCAGACCAGGATGCAGGTCCAGGCTGTGTGTGTCCAGGCCCCACACTGCACATGCCCATCCACTGTGGGTGCCCCCCGTGCCGGTGACACTCCAGAGCACAGGCTGTGTGGGTCACCCGTGCATGTAGGGGACTGCAGAGCACACACATGTGGGTGTGTGTGTAAGCCGGGGGAGCTGAAGTGGACAGCAGAGATCCCCCACACGTAGAGCTCCTGGAGGAAACCACACTGCCAGTGAGGCCTATGACCTCCCTTGAGAAGCTCTCCTCTGGGCCATTGCAGCTCTAATCCAGCACACATGGCCTATAGGTAGGAAGCTGTCCCCATGGGTTCAGGAGGCGGACTTGGGCAGTGATCTGTGAGCTGCTCCTTCAGGACAGCTGGGCCAAGGATGCTGGAGCTCAGACCTTGCAGTGGGGTCTGTGTCCCTGTGGTCAACGTCATTCTTCCCACAACCCCCAATTCCCATTCCAAGCCCATCCCATCATAACCTCCAGTGCTGAGGATGTGGGGGGCATCAAGGACCCTCCCCACCATTCCCAACTTCTCAAAGAGGTCCCAGCTGCACCATGTCAGTGGCGTCACCCAGCCGCTCACCTCCCCTTCCTCCCTGGCATTCCTGACACCAGCTGATCCAGGCCACCCAACTCCTCAGAAATGCAATTACCTGGGAGACAATTCCACACACAGACCTGTCAACCCTTCCCATGACTGAGGTGGATGAACCCCTAAGCCCCCAAGGAAGTGATATTCAGGTCAGTAGAAGGTGACCCCCTTCACCCCACCTATGGCTCACCCACCCATGAGAAAAGGGGGCTGGACCCTGGGCCTTGTGAGCAGCTGCAGGGGGTTGGGGGGGGGTGGCCTGGGTCGGGTGTATCAGGAGGGTTTGTGTGCAGGGTTATATCACAGTGTAATGTGTTCGGCAGTGGCACCAAGGTGACCGTCCTCGGTGAGTCCCCTTTTCTATTCTTTTGGGTCTAGGGTGAGATCTGGGGAGACTTTTCTGTCCTTTCTGTTCTCTCTAGGGTAGAGGTCTCAATCTCTCTGGGGTCTGCCACCATTGCCTTTTTTCCTGGCCCCAAATTCCTCCAGCCTGTCCCTTCTTAGGCACCTGGTGGGGCATGATGGGAAGATCCCAGTGACCTCTTAATGCTCCCTGCTCAGGCCTGAACCTGCCGCTGTCACTCAGGGGGCATTCTCCCCTGGGCTCTGGGATGTTCTGCTCCCTCGCACAGAGTCTCCAGTCCCCAAAGACCAGCAGAGCAGGGGCTCAGGCTGGGGCACCAGGGCCATGGGACAGGGGAAGGATGCTGGAAAAAGTTCAGCTTCCCAGGGTTCTGGGTCCCAACTATGGGGCTGCTTTAAACACCAAGAAGGGAGGCCTTTGACTGGGGACTTGGGGAAATGAAGGGGGACAAGGATGGAGGAAGAATGTCCTGTGAGGTGGCGCCAGGGTGCTGGGTCCCTCCTCCTCCCCCGGGACAGGCAGGCTGCCATGGACAGGGTGGTTCTCAGGACACTCAGTCCAAGGTTAGAGCCTCCCCATCCCACCCAAAAAGAGAGACCCCCAAAGCAGATGCTGAGGGAGGCACTCCTGGTGGGCGCAGGTGACAGGGACCTGTCAGGACAGACATTTGTCCTAGGACAGCCAGATCTCCCAACGACAGGGAGACCCCATAGAGCAGACACAGCGCCAGGCTCAGAACAGAAAATATACCTCACATGCAAGCCCTCCATCTCCTGGACTCCCAGGACCCGGCTCCCAGGACTGACATCCCCTCCCCACCAAGGGGCCTCTGTGGGAAAGTGGGGCAGAGACTGCAATGATGGTGCTGGGGGATATGTGAGGAAGAAATTCACTTGTCAAAAGGGAGGAGAACCTAAAAACAGGACACAGATGCCCTCGTGAACAGACCCAGAGGAGGGACCTGGCAGGGGATGTTCAGACAGAGACGTCCCCCAAGGAAAGACGAGGGCCCAGGGCTGAACCCAGCCAGCGTCGGGGAGCATAGGTGAGGTGAGAGCTGGCTGATAAGGAGGGGAGAATCTGGAGAGGAGGCTGGAGCAGAAGAGGCCTGATTCTCCTCAGTCCTCAGATGCTGAGGAGTTTCCCATCAGGAGGTAAGCATCCCCGCCACCGCCAAGTTGACCTCAGTACAGCAAGGGCCCAGCCTGAGGTCCCTATCCTGGGCCTTAGTCCTTCACCCACCTGAAAACTGAGGCCAGGGGCTCCCCAGGTGGACACCAGGACTCTGACCCCCTGCCCCTCATCCACCCCGCAGGTCAGCCCAAGGCTGCCCCATCGGTCACTCTGTTCCCGCCCTCCTCTGAGGAGCTTCAAGCCAACAAGGCCACACTGGTGTGCCTGATCAGTGACTTCTACCCGGGAGCTGTGAAAGTGGCCTGGAAGGCAGATGGCAGCCCCGTCAACACGGGAGTGGAGACCACCACACCCTCCAAACAGAGCAACAACAAGTACGCGGCCAGCAGCTAGCTACCTGAGCCTGACGCCTGAGCAGTGGAAGTCCCACAGAAGCTACAGTTGCCAGGTCACGCATGAAGGGAGCACCGTGGAGAAGACAGTGGCCCCTGCAGAATGCTCTTAGGCCCCCGACCCTCACCCCACCCACAGGGGCCTGGAGCTGCAGGTTCCCAGGGGAGGGGGTCTCTCTCCCCATCCCAAGTCATCCAGCCCTTCTTCCTACACTCAATAAACCCTCAATAAATATCCTCAGTCAACCAGAAACCCTGGGTTTTGTGTTTTGCTTCTGTTTATACATTTTCTACCCTAAATTGGTCCAACCTGCAAGATGAACAAAATTCTTTTAGCCTTGTGGGAATGAAGTCTGGATTGTTTTTGAGGGGTAGTTCCACCATCACCTAGAAAGGCCCAGAGAATATTCCAGAACAGAGCCTTGGGCAGCAGGCCCCAGGACTGCCCCTTTCCCATACGTGCTGTGTTTGTGTGGACATGTCCACCTCCAGCGGCCTGGGGCGACCGCTCCTTGGTTCCCCATGGCCCAGAAGAACGAGTACCCTCCACGGATCATCAGGCCTCACCCCTGGACAGCCTCCCTCTCTCAAGGGGTCCCTCCTTCTGAGGCGGAAGGAGCCTCTCCAGTCCATGGGCCCTTGGTCTCCCCTACTCCTTAGGGGCCCACCCTGTTCCTGACTCCCAGGACCCTGCCCTCTACCCCCACATCTATCTCTGAAGCAGGCACAGACTGGACCCTGACCCTCTGGACCCAGGTCACTCACCCCACAGGCCAGCTGGGTACCCCTGGTCCCACATGTGTCACCAGTGTCCCAGTTATACTCAAGTCCCCTGGGGGATAAGGGTCAACTCTACTCTCTCTCACCCCTAAGTAACCAGCCCAAAACTGACCACACCTCAAGTACCTAATGTCCAGTTATCCACGGATGGTCAGTGGGGCTGGGGAGGTCAAAGTCAATCATGAGATTCCAGAGTGGTGCCATAGACGTGCCTGTAAACCAATTGGTCTTTTTAAGAGCTGTATGTGGGATCTAAGAACCGGGTTGATGATTGTCCCAGGAGGTAGCACAGGATGGGGGGCCTGGGCTATGAGACAAACACACATACATACATGTTCACAAACATAAACACACATGAACACCTCATAGGCACACAGGTATTCACAAACAAACATGCCTGCATGCAAATACATACACACACACTCTCCTGTGCTATTTAGAATCATTACCACATGGGCATCCCACTAGGGGCTGTGCTGGGCATCCAGGACCCTCCCAGGGAACTCGGATCTCCATAGGGGACCAGCTCCACCTTCCCTGTGGCATAAACAGGATTCTCACTTCTTCCATGGTGACAGTCTCCAAAGGAGCTGAGCCGGGACACATGGCTTCCTCCAGGACAGAGAGTAGCAGGGGACCCAGATGTGATGTGCAGACATGCCTCCTCCCTCTCCCCTCTCCCTCTGGGGGTGAAGGGATCCCTGACTTCCAGTAAAGTGTGCATCCATGCATGGAGGGGCCATCCCCCTCACCCTCCTATCGGCCAGACCTGCTTCATGACAGGGCCACTGGACCTGGGCGCCCAAGCTGCTGCAGCGGGGAACGGGTCGGGTGTGTCAGGAGGGGTTTGTGTGTGGGGCTGTGTCACTGTGTGCTGTGTTCGGAGGAGGCACCCAGCTGACCGTCCTCGGTAAGTCTCCCCGCTTCTCTCCTCTTTGAGATCCCAAGTTAAACACGGGGAGTTTTTCCCTTTCCTGTCTGTCGAAGGCTAAGGTCTAAGCCTGTCTGGAGGTCTGGAATCTTTGCCCCTCCTTGCCTGGGCTCCTGCCCTCTTCTGTGATTCTGTCCTCTGTGGGTCCCAGTTACGGGGCTGCATTAAACACAGTGACAGGAGGCCTTTGACTGAGGACTTGGAGAGATGGGGGAGGAAATGGCAGGAGGACAAAGATAGAGGAAGAATATTCCGTGAGAAGGTGGCCCCACAGCGCTGGGTCACACGCCATCCCCCAAGACAGGCAGGACACCACAGACAGGGTGGTGGGTCTCAGAAAACTCAGGCCCTAAACGTGGATGCTTACCAATTCCTCCACTGGAGGAAGACCTCAGAGCAGATGCCCAGGACAGGGACTTCTGGTAGGGACGGTGACTGGGACGGGTGCCTGTTTGTCAGGGAAAACCCACTGGAGAGTCAGATCCCCCAGATAACTTCTCACGACATGGAGACTCTTTCGAACAGACAAAGCTCCACGTTCAGCTCAGGGAGTAAAAAAAAAATGCCTCAAATGGAGGCCTTTGATCTACTGGAATCCAGCCCCCAGGACTGACACCCTGTCTCACCAGGCAGCCCAGAGGGGTCTCTGCAGGGAGGTGGGGTGGGGGCTGCAATGATGGCACCAGGGAGATGTGTGGGTAAGAAACCCACTCCCTGTGAGAGAGAAGAGCCTGAACCCAGGACCAACAGCTGCCCTGCATGAAGAGATGAGAACAAGGGGAACTGGTAGGAGGTGTTCAGACAGACACCCCCAAGATAGACAAATACCCAGGGTGAGATGTGGTCCTGGACTCCATCCCATCCAGTGTGGAGCCAGCACCGGTGGGGGTCTATAGGTGATGGAAAATATGAAAAAGAGACAGATCCAAGAGGGGGTCTGTGACCCCCAAGAGTGGGGGCAACTCCCATCTGACAGCAAGTGTCTCCACTCACCGCTGACCTGACCTCAGTCCAGCAAGGGTCCGGCCTGAGGTCCCTGCCCTGGGCCTTAGTCCCATACCCACTTCAAGACTGAGGTCAGGGGCTCCCCAGGTGGACACCAGGACTCTGACCCCCTGCCCCTCATCCACCCCGCAGGTCAGCCCAAGGCTGCCCCCTCGGTCACTCTGTTCCCACCCTCCTCTGAGGAGCTTCAAGCCAACAAGGCCACACTGGTGTGTCTCGTAAGTGACTTCAACCCGGGAGCCGTGACAGTGGCCTGGAAGGCAGATGGCAGCCCCGTCAAGGTGGGAGTGGAGACCACCAAACCCTCCAAACAAAGCAACAACAAGTATGCGGCCAGCAGCTACCTGAGCCTGACGCCCGAGCAGTGGAAGTCCCACAGAAGCTACAGCTGCCGGGTCACGCATGAAGGGAGCACCGTGGAGAAGACAGTGGCCCCTGCAGAATGCTCTTAGGCCCCCGACCCTCACCCCACCCACAGGGGCCTGGAGCTGCAGGTTCCCAGGGGAGGGGTCTCTGCCCCCATCCCAAGTCATCCAGCCCTTCTCAATAAATATCCTCATCGTCAACGAGAAATCCTGCTCCCTCTCTTCTTTTCTTATCTCACACATAATTTGAGGCCTCCCCTGGGTTCTCAGTGTTGGGTGGGGGAATCCTGGCACCCAGTGAGAAAGTGGCCCTGAGGGAGAGGCTCATAGCCTCCCGGGGTGTCTCCTGGTGAAAGAGGCCCGGATAGGAGAAGTCTGATCACTGAACACCAGTCCCTCTGCCCTTTCATTCCTCCCCCTTCTCCTCAAAGCATAGCCCCCCACCTCCCTGCCTCCTGCCTGGATGGAGTTGTCTCTGGCTGGGACTCCAGTTACACCCTCTATCTCTGCCCTAACAGAGACACCCTTCACCCACCATCTCTTTTCCCAGCCTGAAAACCCTGCTCCAAGCCTGGAGCCTCTTTGCCCCTGGCCCTTGCCCCCGGAATGCCCTCCTCCCTCTGTGCCCAGCTCAGCTCCCACCCACCCTCACCCCCTCCCTGTCATCCCTGAGAGCCAGACTGTCCAGGACACTCCAGCACCACTGACTTCTCAAGCTGTTCAATGAGGGACCCACCTCGATTCCTCACCTGACAGCAGGTTCAGACACTTAAGAGGAATGGGAGGAAGCCAGGAAGGAGACTCACACGAAAGGCCTACAGGAGGCTCGGGACACTTGGAAAAGATAGGCTCTGAGCTCCCTAGGAACCAGTGCAAGGAGGGTAATAAGCACTTCACCACTTCTGTAAATTTAAACAAACCCTTTGCTGAAGGGAAGGTGGTGTTCTCAATGCTGGGGCCAGTCATCTCGTCACAACTAAAAGTGGGAACATGTTCTATCCAAGGCCTCAGTAGTAATGGGATGTGAACCTTGACACACGCACAGGTAACTATCTGGCAGCCCTTAGACATGGTGATTCTCTCAAGTGCGTGAACAGAAAGTCACTGGCCGTCTTTGGGAACATCATTTTTGGGAACACTTCTCCATTGGATCCCGGGCCTTCACTGGAAAACCAGGTCCCTCATCAGGACTTTCTCTGTGAGGTTCCCTGAGTCTGGGGCTCCAACTGCTCTCTGAGAGGAAGGGGTGGGGGAAGAGAACACGACCCAGCCCCACCCAGCCCCTCCTGCATGGCCCCTCCTCTGTAGAGTGGGGGCACCTGCAGGGGTCAGGCCTGGGTTACTGTGGGTGGGGCCTGGGAGGGGCCCTTGTGGCATCCTGGGGAGTCTCTCCCACGGCTCCTGTTTGACTTTCCTGTGGCTGCTGGCTGTTATCACAAATGACCCCTAATTTAGTGCCTTAAAACATCACACACTGACTCTCTCCCAGGTCTGGAGGTCAGAAGTCCAAAATGAGTCCTTGGGGGCTAAAATCAGGGTCCCAGCAGGGCCGGCTCCTTCTGGGGACTCTGGGGAGAATTCGTTTCCAGGACTTTTCCAGCTTCTAGAGGACAACCTCAGCTCCTGGCCCCTTCCTCCAACTTCAGAGCCTGAGCTCAGCATCTTCAAATCTCTCTCTTGCTCTTCTCTCCCTCCCTACCTTCTTCTCTCCCTCTCTTCCTTCTCTCTCTCTCCGTCTCCCTCCATCCCCACATCTTGTCCTCTCACTCTGACCCTCCTGCCTCCCTCTTTCTTCTACAAAGACCCCAGCTTGGACCCACCTGGATAACCCAGGAGCATTTCCCACCTCAGGCTCCTAATTGACATGACATCTGCAAAGTCCCTGTGGCCACACATGACACATAGACAGGTCCAGGATTGGGACACGACTGTCCCCGCGGGGCCTAATTTAGCCGACCACAGCCCCTTTCCCGAGTTCCTCTCCCTTTCTCCATGCCCTGCCCAGTCCAGGCTGAGCCACTCCTGGGGGGCCGTCCCAGCCCAGCCCAAGCCCTCCCTATCCCTGGTCTCTTGTGGCCCCTTCTCCTCCTGGGGTTCCAGGAAGGCACTGGGAGTTTAGCCACAGCTCTAGGGCACTGTCTTCCAGCAGGCCCCCTGAGACTAAATGCCCTCCAGGCCAAATCACCCTTGGAGGAAGATCCTATTGTGATCCTCACTCTAGGATGGTGACATCACAGCCCAGAGAGCCTGAGTGACCTGCCACAGGTCACAGTAGGGACTCAAACCTGGTCCACCCAACTGCAGATCTCAGCTCTGGACCCCAGGTGCCTGGCTGCCCTCAGCCCACCTGGCCACGCCCACCCACTTCATCCAGCTTCCTCCCTGGAGAGCTCAAAGCCCACTGGACCCAGGCCCCCATCCCGGGACCCGGGATTCAAGTGACAGAATTATTGGACCAACAAGGGATGGAAGGGGACGGGGCCTCAGGTTGGAGTAGCCAGATTCCTCATGCCCCTTCTCCTTCCTCCGGGTCAAATATCAGGGTCAGGGCACTCGGAGGGAGGGACCATGAGAGTCCCCTTTTCCTAGAGACCCCATCTCAGTCCTGGTTCTGGATCCAGGGCTTACGGTGTCCCCCACCTCCAGGAGAGTCAGTCCCTGGCAGGTGGCTCCCCAAGCCCAATCCCCTCCATTCCTGGTCCCAGTTGCTCCCTCAACATCCAAAAATTCCTGACATCTTCAGTCAGGGACTGCTCTCCCAAGGGAAGAGCACATGGGGCTCTGGGTCTGGGGCTGTGGGAAAGAGGAACCCCGGTCCTCTCGGGGCCCAGCACCGAGCGCAGTAGGTGTTCGAGGGGGGCTGAGTGGTGACATGTGAGACTCTTTGTAGAACCCCAGATTCAGGTTCGTGTACCTGATATGCAGCGGAGGTCAAAAACTGACACAAGTGCTTGGAGATAGAAAAAGATTTATTTCATTTGGCTAAAGTAAGAAGACAAGAAAGCAAATTCCTCCACTCCATGTTAACAAAAGGATGAAGCAGGGAGTTTTTATGTGGCTAAGGAGTGAGGGAGGTGGCATTTCAGGGGAAAAGTCTGTGTTTATTCAGTCTCAGGTAACATCTTAAGCAACTAGACTTGCGGGCGACAGCGGCTGGTCTCTACGTCCCTAAAGGCATTCACTCCTGCAAAATACTTTTGTGACTCTGAAGTTATCTCCTCCTTCTTGACAAAGAAACAGGACATCTGCAGCTTATGATCACATTGTGTGAACAAGGGATGCTGGGCAAAAAGCAAGCAGTTAACTTGTACAAGCAGGCAAGGGCCAAATCAGAATTTTCTTTACTTCAGTCACAAAAATGCTGGGTACTGAAATCTCAACTCACCTGGTGTCACTCCCAGGGCACAGGCTAGGACAACACGCACCCGTCCCTGGAGAACTCTGGGCTGGTTCCCCCTTCTCCCCCTGCTGACCCCCTCTTAGTCTACCTCCGCTCCTCCCTTCCCCCACCAGAGAACCTCCCAGGGTTTCCATTTCCTCCCGGATAACATAACACGTGCTGCCCTGTGAGGAGGTGCTAAAGTCAAGAGCAAGGTGGCAGGGGGCTTTCGAGCAAGAGGCGACCTGACTTCAGAGACCCTCAGTCCCCAAGACAGACGCATGCCCTTTGAGAGAGCAGCCGCCCCAGGCACACGCAGGCTCTGGGCTGTCAGGATGGGAGCACGTGGTCCTCTTCCACCCACCTCCCGAATCTCCCCTGCTCCCCGCACCCATTTCCCTGTGGCCCCCATTTCCCTGTGGTCACTGTAATCGGACCCCACTCCAGTCCCCTTCCCCACTGACTCTGGGAGCTGGGGTTGATGCTGGGGCTGGAGCAGTGACCAGCCCATGGTGACCCCGGCCCCATCCAGGTACTAGGCCACTGGCCACCAATCAACTATGGTTTCCCAAGCACCCATATGTGCCCAGCCTGGGCTTGGGACCCAGACCTAGTCCTGCCTGGCCCACTGCAGCAGTAATGGTGGGCTCTTCCTGGAGAGAACCTGGACCACAGTCTCTCTGCCTCAACATCTCAGTATGAAGGGCCAGAGACCCTCCTGATGGTCACCTTAGGAGCACAAATGTGGTCCTGCCAGGAAGAAGTAATAAAATGTGAATGCTGCCTTCCTCTGGCTGCCCCTCCCTCTCTCCTGCCTTTTACAAGTGGTAATCAAGGGCTCCTGGCCTCCACGGTCCCCTCCCTTCCTGCCTCAAGCCCAGCAGTCTCACCACCACCCCATCACAGCCCCAGTGGCCTGCACGTGGCTCAATCCAATGGTCCCCTCACTGTCCTCCTTCTGTTGACCTCAGGATGGGCTTGGCAACTCACATCATTCTCGTCATCTTGAAGCCCCTCACCCACCCACCCCCACCCCCACCCCCCGCCAAGGTCCTCTCTTCTATGGTCCCCTCCCACTTTGTTCTGCTGCTGCCCCATCAGGGCCACCGGCAGCTAGCACCCTTGGTGACTCTTTCTTTCACTGTGTGATTCATGAACTACCGGAATGTAAAAGGGTTCCTTGCTCCTTCCCCGGCCCCAGCCCTCAGCCCAGTGGTGCCTCAGGCTTGATGGCTGCCCAGGGCTGCTGACCACGCTCTCCTGGTGCCGCCCTGCCCAGCACCGATCTGGGACACCACGGGAGCCTGGAAGCAGGGGCTGCACCCCTCACGTCCTCCGATGTTCAGCCAGGTGCTGGGCTGGGTATCACTGAGCCCCTCGATGGCCACTGCTCGACAGTGGAACTGCTCCCGGCTCTGCTGAAGATGCTACCTCACCTGCCACCTGGCCCAGGGCCACTTCCAGGGAAACCCTGCACTGGCGTCTGTCCTCTCTATGTCATGGGATCCCAAACCACCCCAGGAGGCACGTGTCCATGTCCCGCACACCTTACAGATGAGGAGACGGAGATTCGGAGACCAGCAGCCTGCCCGAGTCCCACAGCTGCCCAGGGCTGCACAGATGGTGGGCACTGGGACTCTGATCCAAGGTCAACCCAGAGCCAGCCCCTTCCCTAAGGCGTGCAGAGGAGGCTGAGCCTGCCCAGGTCCTGCAGGTGTTCAGGGCAGCACAGTGGTTGCCCAGGCCCCTGACCTAGGCCACCCTTCCATCCTGAGGCCGTGCCTGGGCAAGGCCAAGAGATGGTGCTGAGTGCATGAACCCCCTTGTGGCTCTGTGGGATGGGCAGACCTGGGCTCCTCATTCTCTGTTGACTCAGTGGGTGAAAGAGGCAGGCAGGAGGGCAGCCATGGGGGTGCCCTCTGAGTCTACAAAGCAGAGCCAGGACAGGTGTTCATGTGCCCATTTCACAGATGAGAGGACTGAGGCTCCGATGGGAGGGGTGATGACCCACCTAGGGTCACACAGTAGGTTACCGGCTGACCCATGCCCGCCTCTTTTCATGACTCCTCGGCCCTAAGGGCTTTTCATTCATTCATTCATCCATTCATTTGTTCAGACTCACTCATTCATTCATTCAACAAACTCTCAGCTGTGGGCCAGGGGCTGGTGTATGCAGCCCAGGACCACCTGCCCTAGAGGAGCTCACAAGCTTGGAGAACGACATGGAGACACCACTGCCCCCACCCTGTCAAGTCTCCAAGGTTGGCACTCTGCCCAGGGAGTGTCTGGGGCAGCAGGAGCATCTCCCCACACTCAGGAAAAGATTTAACTGAAAGAACCATCTGAGAGAGCCCCAGCTGTGATCCTTGGGCCACAGTGGGAACATCACAGTCCCTCACTGACCCTCACAGTGACCCTGAGGCCTAAAGCTGCCATTGCCCACCTCACAGAGGGGACGTGAACCATGATGGATGCACCAGCGCTGCCCAGGCTCCACCCAGTTCAGGAGTAGCCGAGTTGGGCCTTAGCCCACGCCTGTCTTCACATGCCACTGTGTCTAGCTCAGACCGGGGCCAGCCCCTCACGAGTGATGGCCTCATGACACCGAAGGAGGGTTGGTCTGTGCTGGGGGAACCCCTCAAGGTATAGGGAAGAGTGTCACAGTGGGGGATGGGGTGAGAGGAACTCGTCCTGGCCCTGGCCCTGCTTAGCTGCAGCCTGGGCTGAGGGAGGTGTTCTGAGTCAGATCAGGGAGGGGCCCTGTGGCTTCCTCTACAGCAAAGCCAGAGCCCAGAATAGCCTGGGAGGGGGTGCAGGGGCCCTGCTGGAGGAGAGGGGGGTGGCTGCTCAGGGCCCTGCGGGAGGAAAGGACTGGGAGCTACTATGAACTGAGTGGGTGACTCTCCCATCAGGCCCAGCCTCCTGTGGGGCCTGCAAAGCCACCAAGAGAGTGTCCCCAGCCAGGCCTGGACAAAGGCACCATTACCCTTCAACCCCCATATTCACTGAATCCAGGGGCAAGAAGGGGGACATCGACACTCACCTGGGAACAAGCAAACCAGCTCAGATGCCCCATAACGAGGCCACCAGATCCCAGGCAAGCCCCCATTCCTCAACACAAAGGTCCAAAATCAAGTTTCCAGCCAACTAGAACATGCGAATTTTGGGGACATAGAGGAAATAATCACCATCCACTCGCAATGCCCACTGCTAATGACACAGCACAATGCTGAGGATGTTGCTCCTCCCTCCCGACATGTCATCCTCTTCTCCAGAGTCTCTGTCACACCAGGGCCAGGTTCTGGATTCCCCACCCACCCCGCCTGCAGGACACGAGTCCTTGATGTTGACCCCACACCCTGGGCTCCATCCCTGACCTAAGGACCAGCTTCTACGGCCCTGAAAGAGTCGTGTGTCATGACTTGACACTGGTCCTCTTCCCTGTGCTGAATGAGACGTGAAGGAAAAATGACCCCAAATCTGCCCAGGATCCCCTGCGCCACACGTGAGATGCTCCAGTTCCCTCGGGGATTCAGAAGCATCCCTAGCTGGCATCAACGGAGGCCGGGAAGACTAGGTCTTTTCCCAAAATGCTTAGTTATGCAAACACCTCAAAAGGCACCCGTACCTCTTGTAACAACCCAAGCGTGAGGACTCCCTCTTTCTGGGGTGATCTGGGGAAACTGCTCTCCTACATGGTCATCTTGAGGATTGCAGATGGGCCACGGAAATGTCAACACAGTGACATCAGCAGGGGCAGTAGGGTCAGGATCAGGGTCAGTCTTTGTCACTTGGTCACTTGGGACCACATCAAACCTGACCCTGTTTGGCCAGTAATTTCACAAGGGTGGTCTCCCCAGGAAACACGTGGGCTGGGCAAGGTCTGAGGGGAGGGGGATGACCTGCATCCTGCATTTTCCAGGACATTCCCAGTTTGTGCCACTGACTCTGGAAGCTGAGGTGGATGCTAGAGCAGTGTCCAGCCCCTGGTGACCCTTAGCCCCATCCAGGTCCCCAGACCACTGGCCACCAATCAGCTGCAGTTTCCCAGGTGCCTATGTGTACCCAGCCTCAGCTCGGGACCCAGGCCTGGCCGTGCCTGGCCCATTGTAGCAGTAATGGTGGGCTCTGCCCAGAGACCCAGGCCTGGGCTGCCTCCAGGACCCCCACCCACATCTATCAGAGAGACTCGTGAAGTTATTAATAGTGCCCCTTCCACTCCCAGGAACATCCCAGTTTAAACAACAAATTTTGGTTGCCCAAGCTCAGAGTAACTGTTTGCTAAATGACTGAATGACGTTCTTCATAATGGCTAATAATGAGGGGGAGGAAGCCAAGCCCAGCCACCTAGCACTATGGTAAGCAGTGCTGGACATTACAATGGGGGCCAGGGGCCAGGAGAGCCTCACTAGGGGCCACATCCAGGCAGTCACCATGACATTCCTGGTCCCCTGCCTGGAGCCCCTAGAAATGAGCTCACTCAGGCCCAGCTCACAACACAACCAGGGGTGGCCCTAATACCATCTCCCACTCAGCAACAGCACACCACGTCCAGAGACCGGCAAGGGACAGCTCCTCTGGGCAGCCCTAGTTCCTGGGGAGACCACAGGCAGCAGGGAGAATGCCTCCTGGCTTTGGGACAGGAGCCAGGGAGGGGCTGGGTGACTTCTGTGGCTGGCAACACAGAGCCCCCGTGTCAGCTCCAGGAAAGAGTAGCCCACAGCCAGGACGACCCACCAGGGCACCCGCAGTGTGCCTCTTTCCATACAGGCCATCCTTCATGGTGACTCTCTCTTCCTATAGCAACACCAACACCCTTGATCTGGCCACGGGTCCCTCCTGCTTCTCACATCAGGTCTGATGTTCACTGAGCATCCAATGTGCCAGTTGCCGTGCCAGGCACCAAAGCCTGGACCCCTCACAGGTGTCACTAGGATGGGCCCTCCCTGCCCACCCAGTTCCCAGCCTGTGCAGGGACATGTTGGGACTTTCTGACTATGGAAATGATAGAGGAGAAAGGGGCCTCATCTTCACAGTTTCAGGCCAAAGGGGAGCCTCCCACTCAGACCCCTAGACACATCCTCTCCTGACCTGTCTGGGGAGGAGGATGGGAAGTGGTGGTCAGACTTGGCCTGGGCTCCCACAGGGGACAGAAAGTTTGCAAAGGTCTGGGCAGCAGAGAGCAGCTCCCAGAAGGAAGGGGTGCTGGTCCCCAGGGGCTGCTGGGCAGAGTAGCTGAAGAAGGTGAGACCCCAGACCGGCCAGGTAAGTAAGCCCCCTTCTCAGGGGCTGCCCAGAGCGAAGTCACATGTTCAGCTCTCTTCTGAGGACCTGCTGCTCCTGGAAACCCAGCAGGGTTAAGGCAGGCACAGCCAGGTTCAGACAGCTCATGTTTGCGGGAGAGGGAAATCAAGTCAACAGACAAGGAACAATGTCATGTAGGAGGCGGGATTTGTGCTGGGGAGAAATAGGGCAGAGGATGGGGGGTAGGGAGCACCTGGCTGGGGTCTCACGGGGGGCGACGTCCCAGGGGCTGGAGGCAGCCAGCGACTGAGGAGCCCTGACTAGCGCCAGGCCCCTGTGGCTGGAGTTAGTGGCTCGAGCTCAGCCTCAGTTTCCCCTCTGTGCAGCTGGGTTGATAATAATGGAAACTGACTCTCTGGGTGGGGGGAGGGACAATCAGATGGAAAATAGATGTTTTGTTTGTCTCTGCCGTTGGTTGTTTTCATCCTTGGGCTGTTCCAGCCCCAGACAGCCTCAGGCCAGCCCCCTGCCCATGCTGGGCTCCCCACCGGCCCTGGAACCCTCACCCCAGTGCAGCTGGCCTGGTGAAACCAAGAGTGCCTGAGGCCCGAAATAGCTGGGAAACCCCACCAAGCCTCAGCCCTGGCAGCAGGTGCCTCCTTCTCCCCAGGGTGGGAGGCAGGGGGGCGATTCAGTTTCCAAAGCTTCCACCAGCCCAGCTGGAGAATGGTCCTGTGTCCCCGCACCAAGACACCCAAGCCCCGTGCCCAGGCTTGAGTTAGACAGGGTCTGGAGATCATGGTCAATCAATGATCAGAAGTAGCACCTTCTGCTCCAGAAGCTTCTATTCATGCAGGCCCTACCCCCTCCTCACAGCTCCCCAGGAACCGTTCTAAATGCCAGGTTCAGAGCTGTGCCCAATTGGGGGGCACAGCCAGACACTTGGAGCTCAGAGGGGCCTGGGGTGGGCAGGGCTGGCCAGAGCTGGACATGGGACCCTGCTGATCACACTCCACCTGCTGCCCCCAGGTCTTGGACCCTTCAAGGGAGCTGGGCCAAGTAAGGGGATGGGAAGGGAAACAAGAACCCTTCCAAGAGCTTCCCTGGGAGCCCAGAGCCTGAGGCAGTAACGAAGCTCCTGGAAGCACAGCTGCCAAGAGGACTTCCGGGGTCCCTACCCAGTGGGCAGGACCTCAGACTGGTCAGTCACTTATTTGTGTGTCTGTCCATCCATATATCTGAACATGCACACACACACACACGCGCGCACACACACACACACACACACACTCATCCTTCCACAAGCCCCGAGGCCTGGCCTGTGCAGGGCTCTTGACACATGGTGTCCCAGGCAAGGCAGGACTGCCCCAGCCCACCCCCAGGTGAGACCTGGAGTGTGCCTTCTCATGGGAGGAGGGGGCTGTGGCCTTGGGGTGCCCCATTCCCTGTCCAGTCTTCCCCATGCTGGGTCTAGATGCTGAGGTCAAAGAGAGGTTGACAGGTGTGAGGAACAGGCCACTGTGGTGAGGCTTAATGCCCCCTGTCCGATGACCAGATCCTACCCACTGCCCCCGTTACAGACCTCCCTGTCTTTCTCCATGTGGAGGAAACGTTCCCAGGATATTCCAGGGCTCCAGGTTCTGATGAGAGTATGGGAGGAGACCAAGTACCCAGCCTCAGGGCCTGGGTTCACCCCTGCAGACGGCAAATCCCATCCACCTGTGGGACTTCACCAGCTCATTCTTAGAGGACACCAGCCTGGAGCTCCCTTGGCCCAGGAAAGCCAGGAGCCAGGCCCGCCACACGTAGCCATTGCACATGTCACCTGACACATAAGATGCGAACTGTAGGGTGGGCAGGCCAGGGATGAGTGCCCCCACCTCTGCCTTCCTCCCCACAGGCCCACCCACGAGGCTGAACAGGGTGGCCCTAGACCCAGCACCATCTTCAATCAGCTCATCCACTGGCATCCCCCACCACCGTCCCCTCAACATGCACAGGATGCCAGCCACCCAGGCCAGTTCCTGAAGTAAAGCAAGCAAGGGGGGGTACTTGTCCCCGCCCAGCCCAGAGCTCAGATTGCAGATGAGACCCCCTTGCTTGAAGAAGACAAGGGGCAGGAGATACTGGGGATTCCATGTGGTCATCAAAGGTAGCCTGGTGGCAGCAGCAACCTCAAACAGGCCTAGGAGCTGGATCAAGGACTGAAGGGCAGAGAGAGGACGGGTGTGTTAGGGGTGAGTGTGAGCAAAGGTATAGGAGTGACCACAGCATCCCTTCTTCCCACAGGGCCACAGTAGTGCACAAGGGCCCTCATGGAAGCACCCTGAAAGCTCACCTCAAAGGCCCCATACTCTGTCCCCCACGTCACCTGGCCTGCCACCCTACTTAATACCCAGGAAGTCCTTGGAGTCTGTGCCACATGGATGGGCTCCAAGATGGACCAGGCTTCCAGGGGGGCAGGGAACAAGGGAGAAAAGAGGTCTGGGCCCTGCATAGGACACAGGTAGTGACCACCCGGTGGAGGAGAGGGAATGAGCAGAGGATGCTGGGAGCCAGGCCCAAGGCAGGGCCCTGCAGGGTGCACAGTTCTCTGGGTTGGACGGTGGACCAAGGCCATGAACATTCATGCTGGTCCAGGCCAGTGGACCAGAGTGCCCCAAGCCCCAGAGCTCTGCAGAGGGGCAGGGGCAGGGCCCAGAGAGAGCAAGGCCGAGAGTAGAGGCCCTAAACCTCAGGTCTGACCACATCTGCAACTCTACAGGTAGCTGCATCCTGTGTTGAGACGCTATTGAGTGGCCTTATCGTCCCGTACCATTTATAAAACACGTGGACACATGTTATCCACCTGAGCCACTCAGGGATTCTGTGAGGCCACAGCCAGAATCATGGTCCCATTTCACAGGTAGGAAAACTGAGGCCCAGAGCAGTTAGATCCCAAAAAGCCAGAGCCAGCTCTGTGGTGTCCTGACTTCCAGCCCAGGGCCTCCCATCTGACAAATGGAGAAACAGACCAGGAGAGAAAGGGATCTGCCCGAGCTCACATAGGCGCCCCTGTGTGGAGGGGCCCATGTAGAGGGGCCCATGTGGAGGGGACCTGTATGGAGGGTGGCATGTGGAGGGGCCCACGTGTGGAGGGGCCCATGTGTGGAGGGGCCCGTGTGGAGGGATCATGTGTGGAGGGGCCCGTGTGGAGGGATCATGTGTGGAGGGGCCCATGTGGAGGGGCCTGTGTGGAGAAATCATGTGTGGAGGGGCCCATGTGGAGGGGCCTGCGTGGAGGGGCCCGCGTGGAGGGATCATGTGTGAAGGGGCCCGCATGGAGGGGCCTGTCGGTAGGGTGCCAGGTAGAGGGGCCCATGTGGAGGGGATCTGTTGGAGGGTGCCTGTGTGGAGGGGGCCTGTGTGGAGGGGACCTGTGTGGAGGGGCCCGTGTGGAGGGCGCTGTGTGGTGGGACCCGTGTGGAGGAGCCTGCATGGAGAAGACCTGTATGGAGGGTGGCTGTGTGGACCACTGCCCTCTGCCAGAGACCAGATTGTTCACTTCCTCCACCATTCCACAGCTCCAGCCCCATTTCAGGGGTGCAGAAAAGAGGCCTGAAAGCAGCATGGATGAGAGTTAGGGCTACAGGCCCTGATGGCCATTCCTTCCCTGTGCCTTGGGAGATGCAAGGAAGGAGGGTGGCTGCAAAGGCCTGTGGGAGCCCAGAGCACTGTTCTTCCCAAAGGGGCATCTGCCCTGGGAGCCCAGACCTCAGTGTCAGACAGAGAAGGGGTCCCCCCACCATGCTCAGCCCTCATCAACCCTTGACCTTGAGCAATCTGCTTCTCTTCTGTAGCCCTCAGTTTCCTCATCTGCCCAAGGGGGTGATAAGAGTCCCTCCCCACAAGGTAGGTTTGCGGATTGAGATGATGCCTAAGCTGTGCCTGGCCTATGGGGACCCTCACCTACCCTCAGTCATTGCTCTTGCCTGGGCCTGCGGGTGACACTGTGTGAACCTGGGCAAATGCCTTTGCCTTCCTGGGCCCAGCCTTCCCTCTGGTCAAGGAGGAACTGGGTCAGGGACCCCGAGTGCCAGCCATTCAGGAAACCAGCAGATTCCTGGGTGAAGGGGTTGGCCAGGGAGGCCTGAGATGGGAGTAGGGTGGGGGCCAGGCCAAGGGATGGGGTTGGGGGATGCGCTTTCCCAGCTCTGGTGGCCCTGCCTGCAGCTGGCCACCCCTGGAAATCCCCAGGCTAAATTTAACCCCAAGTTGGCTGAAACCAGAACTCAGAGTGACAAAAGGAGAAAAATAAGAGGAAGAGAAACTGAGCTCATGGCCACCCGGGCATGGGATGAGTGACAAACAGGCCCAGGTGTGGCCCAGGAGGAGCATGGGGCAGTTTCAGGGCTGCTGCTGGATGTTTGTGCAGCTCACAGGTGGGGGCAGTAGAGCCTGCGCCCCACCCCACCCCCTCCTAGTCCAGCCCCTGGGCCTGATGCTGCCCCCTGGCTGCCTCCCCACACCCTGAGCTCCATCCTGGGTCCCAGGGTCCACCAGAAGGCATCTCAGAACCAGCCAGCAGTGGCCCTGATTGTCAGCAGGACCCCAGGGAGGGGGGTGGCCAGGACAGGGCTCTGAAGCCCCCACCCCAGGACCTTCCCTGGGCAGAACGAGTTGGTGAGGGAGTGATGAGCAACCACAGGCCTCCTAACTTCCCAAGCTGGCGATTCTGAGAGGCCTCAAGGCTGAGACACGGTTCAGCCTTTTAGGCCCTCCTGAACGTGTCCCCTGTCTCCACAGCCTGGGAATGCACTCTCTTTTGACCCAGAAATCCTGCTCATAAGAATTTATCATGGAGATGCCAGAGAGCCAGTGCATGTGGATGTTAGCCAGGGAGCTAACAGCAAAACGTGACAGAAAAGAGCCCGAGAGCAGATGCCAGCCTCACATCCACATCCCCAGATGGCCTTGGAGAAGGGCCATAGACAGATGTTCACAACAGGGCAAGAAGAAGTGAGGAAAGAAGTTCCCATCTTTGTGATAAGCCCATGATTTCATGCAGAAAAAGATCTGGAAGGCGCCATACCAACGCGCTAACAGGGCCTCTTGGGCAGTGCAGGATCAGAGACTTGCTTTGTATTCTTATTTAATTTTTCCTGTTTTCAGATTTTATAATCGGAGAACAAAACATTAAGCCAATTTAAGATGTAAGATCCTATAAAAATGCTGTATTCGATGATGCGAATGGCATCTGAAAAGCCTTGAACATATTATCCCAAAGAGGCCACCAGATAAGACGTGACCTGTGTGTGCATGAATCCCTGCATTTTTATCCATACCTAGATGCACATCCGTATCCACATCTATTCCCCGGGGCTACCGGTTGCGGGGGTAAACTGTAGGTAATATTGGTTTTCATTTTGTACATCTAACTTTTTTCATTTTTTGACAATCATTATACATTTATTATTATGAAAAATAGAAGGTTTTGTCACTTAAATCAACATGTTTATTCCAATTCACTTAACATTCAGCAAATATTTCTTGTGTGTCTGCTACACCCACAACAGTCAGGGTGCAGGGTTTGAGATTACACTGATGAGAAGACAGAGTGTTCTCTCTTGAGGAGTAGTACAATGGGGGATTATATGGAAGAGGTCACTACGATCCTAACATGGATTCGCATCCTGTATGTCTTAGGTGCTGCCCAAAGCCCGAAATTGTCTCACAGCTCCAGCCAGCTCAGAGGCAGGAAGCCCAGGGAAAGTTGCTGAGTCATAAAAATGGAAAGAGAGGGCATTCCAGGGGGGATGAGTACCTAGCAGCCGACATTTAGCAAAGAGGATTGGAAAATGAACCCCCCCTTAAAATACAGTTAAACACAGAGGAGGGAGCAACTGCAAACAAAAAGTTTAAGCGATTTCTGCAAAGAGCAATAAAAGCCATAGAGCAGCTTGGGACAAGGTCAGGTCAGGATGAGCAGAAGTTGGGAAGGAAAGAAGGAAGCCAGGATGGACTTGGAGAGTTTTTACCAGTTCCTCAGGCAGGAAGAATTGTATGGTAGGTCAGAGCATATTTCTAGGAAGACCTCGGTTGACAAATTTCTCTGCCACTGAGAGATGACAATTTACCTTGGTAGCTAATCTCTCTCCTCATGTTCCCATCTATTTGATATTGATTTAATATGAGTAGCTACCTCCCATGTGTATAATAGGAAATGTATGGGAGAATGCATATTAATTCCTGAATAGAATATCTGGTTCCATGAATGATGGAAGTTGGTTTAGAATTTATTATTGGAAACTCACCCTGCACTACCTATAGTTGGTTTATTTTAATTATACTTATATTCATTATATAGTAACTCATATATATTTGTCATTTCTTTTCTTATATTCAAAAAGTCTCTACATAAATAAACTCTGCACCTATGGTCATTGCTGGGTATCTGTTCTATACACAGCAAGGAGCCAGACGCCCTATCTTACTTGTTCACTTTCCAGCTTCTCCTTAGAAAAAAAAATACAAGTTTTTAACCCAATTCTATGAGTCTAGTACTGTGACCCAAAACCCAAAGGGCAGGAACTCAACAGCCACCTCTCCATCCTGCCTGCCTCCCAACCCACATTCCCCTTCCAGAACCCTCACTGATGAGGGAAAAGATGATGTCTCCAAGAGGAGCAGCCCGTTCACACATCTTCAAGCTTCATCTCCCCAGCAGCCATCCAAGTGCCTGACCTTCAAGGCTCTCAATAAACAGTCTGAATGAGGAAAGAAAGGGAGGGAGGGAAAGAAGGAGGGAGGGAGAAAGGGGTAGGTGGATGGATGTATAGATGGGTGAGTGATTGATGGGTGGATGAGTGGGTGGATTGGTAGGTGAATGGATGAGTGGATAGTTGGGTGGGTGAGTGGATGGCTGGATAGATGAATGCGTGGACTGGTGGGTACATGTGTGGGTGGGTAGTTGGATGGGTGAATAGTTGGATAAGTAGGTAAATTCTAACCATGAGAAGCACAGATTGGTATCTGGCAACTCTGTGTAGAGATTAGATTCCAATTCCTGCTCTGATCCTGACTCGGGTGTGATCTTGGGCCCTTTCCTTAATGTCTTGAAGCCTTTTCCCTTCATCTGCCCTGCCCATCTCACAAACTGCTGGGAAGAACCCTGGAAGGACATATGTGCACGAAGATGCTTTAGAAACCCTAGCAAGCTTCTCAGGTGTGACCTTAGCATTGGAGGGAACTTGAAGGTCATTGGGCTGACTCTCCCGATGGTTGGATCACAGTTCATGGTAAGAGCCTAAGCTTAGAGTCCAGACAGACCTGGGTTTGTGTCCTGGCTCCACCACTTGTCCGAGTGTGACTGTCCTGCCTGTGTACTCCTCTGTGATGTGGAGGTGATGATGGTGGCAGCTTCCCCTCAGGGCTATGTGAGGATTCAGTGGGATCATCGTGGAAAGCCCTGGGCACATCACCCAGCAGGGGTGCCACGACGAAACCCAAGGTCTGCCCTCCGGGGTCCCAAAAAAGAGGCCCAGTCTTGCCTTTCCAGAGCAGGGTACCCTAGAGGCCATGGGATTGAAGGAGAGCTCTAGGATGTCCAGCTCACGGGTTCACAAAACCCTGAAAAGTGTCTGTATAAATGCTCATTGCAGGGAAAGATCTGTGGCTTTATACAGAAAGAGGCCATGACACATAAAGGGTTAACCACAGTCCATCTAATCCGGGACTCTCACTTAGGAAACTGAGACCTATGTCCTGTCCAAGGGCACTCTGTGGGTCAGGGGACAGCAAAGCACAGACATTCAACCCAGCATGGAGGCCCCTCCCCACCCAGGAGCAGGAGCCTGCCTTGGAATGCCAGACCTGAGATAGGATTACTGCCACCTGGGAACAGCATACACTGGTGAGAGGCAGGGGCAGGGAGAACACCACCACAGGGGCAGGGAGAACACCACCAGGATGGGGAAAGGGAACCACAGGGCCTACTCTTTTAATTAAGCAGTAGAATTGTAAGAAAATTGCAACTTTCTTTTAAAACCTGTCTTTCAAGGTTGTTAAAATGGGGTTTTAATAACAAAACTGTGGGAGAAAGAGGTGGCTGATGTCAAAAACATCTCAACCCACTCCCCTGGGGGACCTGCAGTTCTCTAGTTCGTGAGTTTCTGCTAACAAAAAGCACACTAAAAGAGGGGCCAAAACAAATGGAAATCAAGCTTATCAAACACAGATGACATGGAGTTGACCAAAGCATCTAGAGCTGAGATTCCAGGAAGCAGATCTCTCTCCTTTCTCTGGGACCATCCTAGGAGAGGTTCCAGGGCCCCCTGGCACAGAGGTGCCACCAGCGACCTCAAACTTCAGGCGCAGGTGGGGGCAACAGGCGTAGTTGAGGCTACAGGGACACAGGTGTCAGCACAGCATACGAGAGGGCCACCTTGTTTGTTTTCTGACTTCCTCTTAAAATACAGTTTATCGCCCTTGATCTTTAGTTTCAAATAGTAACTATTCACAGTAAACAATGTGACACAGTAAACAACGTGTACAGAAAAACAAACAGGAGAAAACAATTTGCCCCTTGTACTTCACCCAGAAGAGCCACTGCTAATATTTTGATGTATTTCCTTCTATTTTAGTTGCAAACTGTAACAACCATTAAATAAATAAATACGATGAATTTGTAAAGTTTACAGAGTAATAATAGGAGTGATGATTGCACAACATCGTGAATGTACTAAATGCCACTCAATTGTACACTTTAAAATGGTGAATTCCACATGATGTGAGTTTCACATCTATTAGCCTCCTGGGCTAGGAATACTGCCTAGACCTCAGGAACCACGGAATTCATCATCTCTTTCCTTTTCCTTAAAGTTTGACCTCCTGTGTGTGCCCTTCAACAAACGGTTTTTCAGCTTGTCCTGCTTTTGAACTTCATACGGATTGAAGAAGACCATGTGTATTTTTCATGGTTTGCTTCTTTCTCAACACTGTCTCTTTGATATTGATGTTGATGAATTACTCATTTCACTGCTGACTAGAAGCCCACTGTGTGGAGGTCCCATCACTCAGCTGTCCACTCTGCTGCCACTGACACATGGGCAGTTTTGCCCAGGAGCAGGGCATCAGAAACACCCAATTGGAGTCCAGTGTGACAGTTTGTCCAGGGCCTGTCATTGTACAACACATCATTTCACTTTGTTTTTCAAACATAGTGAATTCTTTCCTAATTAAAGAAGAAAAGAGTATAAAGAGAAAGTTTCCAGTGCAGCCTGGAGATCTGTACTGGTTGTATCTGGAATTCCAGACTCAGCCTTGCATTTCACATAGCAGATAGATGATGATGATGGAGAAGGAGAAGAAGAAGGAGGAGGAGGAGGAAAGAAGGAAGAAGAAGAAGAAGAGGAGGAGGAAGAAGAAGACGAAGGGAAGAAGAAGAAGGAGGAGGAGGAGGAGGAATAGACAGACTGACAAAGATTCTCTACGGTTGTCACTTAACAACATATCCATGCAGGTGTGGATAAACCTGGGTGCGCATCACACTGGGAACAAGCAGCTCCAACAACACTGAGGCAGCCTCTTCCCAAGTCAGCTGGACAATTAGGCTGCTTTGCTCAGGTCATTCACTGTTCTGAGCAGGACACAGCCAAAGCCCCTCGCCCCCACCTCTGTGCAAGGATCCAGTGACTGACTTGGGGTTGACCCTCTCTGCAAAGATCAAAGGTCATGCCTGTCTAAGGCCTTGGACGCATGTCCCAGACTGACTTCCAGAGAAGAGAGCCTGAACTGCCCTGCTGAGTGCCCAAAGAGGCCCCCCTGCATCCACGAAAGGTACCCATGAGGGTGTGGAAGGAGAGGCATCCACAGGAACTGGGCTCCCACCTGCCCCACCTGACCCCAGCTCTACACTGAGAATAGGAAAGATAGAGGGGCCCCCAGGGCCTCCTCCAAACTCCCCAGAGCATCCACTGTGAGGTGACCTGAACCAGGCCCCAAGCTCCCTCCTCAGGGAGGCCTCAGACTCCTCCACCTCCGCAGCCTCCACCGTGGCTGCTCTGTGTCTCTCTCTGGCAGCACCAACCACCCCCACTGCTACTGACACCACCATTGGAGAAGGCTCAGGGCTATGAGTTCAGCCTCTGGCTGCTCTGGAGATCTAGGGAGGCAGGAGGGCTGCAAGTGGGGGCTGGGAGAGCTATTCCAGGTCAGGGGTCTGTGGGCTGGAGTCTGTGAGGTGTGCACATGTGGGGCTGAGGGATGGCTGGAGAGGCCCTGTTGGTGGCCACTGTCTCCACCTTCAGAGCCCAGGAAGGAGATTTGGCCCCTCCTGCATCAGATAATCCCTAGCTCCTTAGTTCCCAAGTCTTCAGTCCCCAGCCTGGCTCTCCTGGGGTGGCTGCCCTTGCTGTGGGAGGCTGGGGGGATCTTCAGCCCAGCACCTCCAGCAGCAGGGCCTGGTGCCCCCAGCTCTGCACTGGCCCAGGTCTCAGATCCTGGGCTGTCAGCCCCTCATGGGTCCCAGGTGCCCAGCCCAGCTGCCCCAGGAGGCAGGGGGGTCTGGGGGACACCAAAAGAGTCTTAGAGAATGGACCTCACCACTCAGCCACACAGAAAAACTGAGGCCCAGAGGGGACAAAGGACTTGTCATGGGTCCAGCTGTGAGCCTGGCTGCCAGTCTTAAGGCCCAGTGCTCCCCCACAGGATGCTGTCACACACACTTGGCCCTGATGAGGTCCCCTCTTAGCTGGGATCCAGCCCCATGACCAGCACCCCGAGGCTGCAAAGGGTGCTGGGCTCCAGCACCCCAAGACTCCACATTGACCACTCTGAGCAGAGGAGCCCTTGGGTCTTTGGGGAGGTTAGAGAGCTGGCACCCCCACCCCAGTCTACCCGGCCCCGGGGTTCCTCTCTGGATAGGGGGCCCCAGTGCAGTTCACACAGGCCCTGCACGTGTTCCTTCCTCAGGGCATGCGTGGCTGAAGCTTGCTCAACACTAAACATCCCAGCCCAGTTTATTGAATGTGAGGGATACGCAGGGTCTGAGCAGAGCAGCCATCCCCTCCTGCCTCCCCTCCTTCCAGCGCTAGAGCCAGAGTGACTCCACTGTCCTGTGCCCACCCCCAGACCAAGGAGCCTCAGGACCACTCTTGGGGCAGGGAGCTCGAGGCTATAGGAAGATTGCCCCAGAGCAGGATGGCTGAGTGTTCAGGAGTCCAGCCATGTGGTAACCGTGCACTGCAGTGTCACCTGAACAGGGATGTCACCACGTGAAGGCATCCCAGCTGCATCCTTGGCTGACATATCCTAACTGTGCCTGTACAAGGGGCTCCACACACACACACATCCACACACACACACACACACAGTCACACTTACATACCCATTCATGCTCACACATTTATCCACACACATTCATACTCATTCACACACACACACGCATTCACACACTCACACCCACTCACATGCACTGGCCAGAGCCAGAGTCGATAGCGCCCTCTAGTGGCCACTGTTGTCCCTTCTCTAGAAGGTCTCTGTCTTATCAGTCACAACCCCCAGGAGTCTTCATCCGGAAATCCCAGGATGCACAAGTCTGGCAAGATCATTATCTCCTTTCACAGAGAGGGATGTGACCTGGCCAAGGTCCCTCATCAGGAAAGTGGTACAGCCCTCCCCTCCACCCACCACCAATGGTCCGGGTACTCAGATTCCGAATAACTCCAGCTCCTGAGGCCCTGTCAGAGCCCAGAGGCTGGGCCCTCTCCCAAGGGAGGGGCTGGAGCAGAGGATCTGGGGGCCCTTGTACACCCACCTGTCACATACACAGGGTGCACGGTCCCCCGGGAGGGAAGAAGACACCTTGGGGGAGAGGAATTTCCAGGCCAGAGAGTCCCAGAAACGGCTCTCCTCTGTGCCAGGTGGGACGGGGTATAGGAGGGGAGGGCCTGCCTGGGCTTTAGGAAAACACAGAAATGCCAAGAACATTGACACACAGCAGTAACAAATGCTAGCCTGCTGTCAACTATCACAGGCTTTTACTGAGAGGAAAATACAACTGATCAGGTTAGATTCCCCTCCGTTTCCCTCCCCCTTTTCCCTGAGAGAAACCCAGTGCTGCTCACTCCACATGCAGCCATTCAACAGCTCTGGATGTGGCTTTATGCCCAGGGGACCCAGTGGTGGCCTCGGGGGCCAAGCCCTGGAACCAAGTGCCATTGGGTGACATAGGCCTGGAACAAACACCACGTGATGCTGTCATTTGTGATGTGATGAGTTCTTTACGAAAAAGACAGGGTCAAACGGGAGACTGTGACAACTGCTGGTTTAGCTGGATGGTCAGGAAGGGACACCCCTGAGTCAATGAGGGGACCGGCCAGTTGTGGAGGTGCCTGGGGAGGAGCGCTCCTGGCGGCAGAAACAGCAAGTGCGAAGGCCTTGGGGTGAGACTCTGCTGACGAATTGCAGAAACAGCAAGGAGGCCATGTGGCCAGATCCAAGAAGAGAGGAGGGGTGAGGGAGGGAAGGGGTAGAGGGAGCTGGGTTGCAGGCGGGGGTGGGGGTTCCTTGGGGCCTTACAGACCATGCTGAGCAGTTTGCATTTGTTCTCAGTTTTCAAATGCACCTGAACAACATCATGTGGAACCTGTCACGCTCCTTCTAACTTGCTACATGTATATCTCTAGTACTAGGAGATGCAACTAGATAAATAAGACAGAGCTCCATGGTTCAACATACAAATAGACGCTGGTCCCGGCCCATCCCCAGTGGATGGACATCTGGGCTGTCTGGGTTATTCATTCACAAACACAGGCCAGTGAGCCCCTGCATGTCCCCGTGCATACATCATGCCTCCCAAGGACACACACTCACCCTGTAACTAGAGGGACACACGTCTATATTTGGGTTTACTATGAACTGAGTTCTCCCCAGAGCAGCCAGACTAATGCACAGCCCAGCAGGGCCACCATCTCATGCCCCACAACCACACCCTGCCTTGGAACTGTGGACGATTGGGATGTTCCTATCCCCAGAGAGCACAGACATCTGGCACCAAATGAGAACCAGGTAAAGCCCAAGGGCGAGGCCCAGCCCGCCGGGCGTCACTCGAAGGTCACCAGACCCTGCCACCCTGATGCCCATTCTGCTCCTGCCTCGTTGACCTTGGCCTCCCTGAGCCTCAGTTTCCCCATGGTTTTATTCAGAGGTTGCAGTCCTGGTCCCTACTCTTTTGAGTCTGCACAGACTGGGGCCCTTCCCAGCACTGCTAGCATGGGGGCAGAGACCCTTGGTGGCCGAGGAGGGTGAAGTGGGCCACCGGAGCCGGGATGGGATTGCAGGACAAGAGGGGGCCACCGGGTTGGGTAGTGCGACCCCCGGAAAGCACAGGGAGCTGTGCCCCTCCACAGGATTCCCGCCCTCAGAGCCCCTCCCCTCTGTGCCCCAGAGCAGAAGCTGAGCCTGGGCTGTGTCCATGGTAGAGGAAATGCTCCCTCCATTGGGAACAGCGTGGCCGGCTTCTGGGCTTGGGGAAGGAGAGGGAGAATTCTGGGCGGGCGATAGAGGGGCCCAGGTTCCCTCTGGTCATGACCTTGAAGTTGCCCAGGTGACCAGGAAGGAGGAGGGTGCTCCTCTCTGTCAAGAAGATCTGAGCTTCTCTTCCCTAGAATCAGCTACTCTTCTATCCCCCTAAAAATGTACAGGAATTTTGCACGTTGAATGAATGGATAGTTTACTAACCAGTTTGGGAAGAATTGACACCTTTCAATCCATGAATATCCTCTGTCTTTCCCATTAGTATACTTTAATAATTCTCAAGAAAGTTGTACAATTTTCCCCATAAACAGCTTGGACATCTCTGTAGATGAACCCCTAGTTTACTGATATACATTTGTTGTGAGTTTTTGCAGGGAGCGGGTCGGGGGAGGTGTTTGTTTCGGTTTTGTTTAGAGACAGGGTCTGGCTCTGTCACCCAGGCTGGAGTGCAGCGGCACAGTTTTGGCTCACTGCTGCCTCAAATTCCTGAGATCAAGTGATCCTCCCACCTCAGCCTCCTGAGTAGCTGGGACTACAGGCATGCACCACCATGCCTGGCTAATTTTTAATTTGAAATTGTTTTGGTAGAGACAGAATCTTGCTATGTTTTCCAGGCTGGTCTCAAACTCCTGGGCTCAAACAATCCACCCGCCTCAGCCTGCCAAAGTGCTGGGATTACAGGTGTGAGCCACTGTGCCCAGTCCAACTGATATTTTTAATGTGATTGTAAATTGTATCCCTCTTTAATATTATTTTCCATTCATCTGCTGATGTACAAAAATATATTAAATAATAGGCTTATATATTTGAAATCAGATCTGGTAAATTTGCTACACTTTCTCATAGTTCTAAAAGTGTATCTGTGCAGTCTGTAGGATTTGCTGCACATTTAAACATGTCATCTGTGAATGGTGACAATTTTGTTGCCATCTTCTCAATTCCTACACCTTTCATTTTTTTCTTTCACCTTACTCTCCCTGCTGGTATTCAGTACAATGCGGCATCCTTGTCTTGTCACAAAGGATGTTTATATACAGTTCACTATTAAACACGATGCCTGCTGTAGGTTCCTTGCAGGAGTCTCTCACCAGATTAAGGAAGTTATTTTACATTTCTCGTATGGTAAGTAGTTTCTGAAAATCATTCTTCAGATTTTATTCAATGTTTTTTCTGCATCTTTTATTGTGATTTTTTTCTCCTTTAATATTGCAATTTGTCATTCTTCTAATGTCAAACCGATTTTGCATCCTTGGAATGCATGGACCAGACTTGTCCATTATGTACTAGCCAGCACTATATGTGGCACTACTGTGATTAAGGCATCGTTTATTCTTCAGAATTGTTTTATTCTCTGGAGGATCTTGTGTAAGGTTGGAATTTCCTACCAGTGAATCTCTCTGAGCCAGTTTTGGGGTTGTTTTTGTTTGTTTTGAGACAGAGTCTCGCTCTTTGGCCCAGGCTGGAGTGCAGTAGCGCCATCTCAGCTCACTGCAACCTCCACCTCCTGGGCTCAAGTGATTCTCCTGCCTCAGCCTCTGGAGTAGCTGGGATTACAGGCTCGTGCAACCACACTCAGCCAATTTTTGTATTTTTAGTAGAGAAGAGGTTTCATTGTATTGGCCAGGCTGGTCACAAACCCCTGACCTCAAGTAATCCACCCACCTCAGCCTCCCAAAGTGCTGGAATTACAGGCATGAGCCACCGCACCCTGCCTAACCCAGTTTTGTTTGTGGGAATATTTGTCACTATGTATTCAATACCCTTAGAAGAACTGAGATTTTCTACTTCTTCTTGAGTCAAATATATGTGTTTGATTAGATTTTTCTAAGAATACTCTCATTTCATCTCAAAGTACTGGCATAATGTTGTTAAAATTGACTCTATTACCCATTTTAGGTATTCCACATCTATAAAACAACCCCCCGCCCCCAGCCCTGTTTACACTCGATATGGGTGATTTGTGCCTTCTTTCTTCTGTTTTTATTTTGTTTTGTTTTGTTTTGATATAGAGTCTCGCTCTGTCACGTAGGCTGAAGTGCAGTGGTGCAGTGGTGCAATCTTGGCTCACTGCAACCTCTGCCTCCCTGGTTCAAGTGATTCTCCTGCCTCAGCCTCCCGAGTAGCTGGGATTACAGGCGAGTGCCACCACACCTGGCTTATTTTTTGTATTTTTAGTAGAGACAGGGTTTCGCCATGTTGGTCACGCTGGTCTTGAACTCCTGACCTCAAGTGATCCGCCCACCTCAGCCTCCCAAAGTGCTGGAATTACAGACATGAGCCGCCGCACCCACCCAGTCCTTTCTTCTGTTCTTGATAAATTCACCGAATCAGTTTCAATTTCTGTAATATTGTAAAGGAACTAACTGCCACTTTCTTGCTGCATCATCCCACTGAATATATGATCTACTTCTTTAATACTTGTTCTTCCCTTTCTTATTTCCTTCAACTTTTCAAGATTATTTTACTGCATTTTTCTGAGATCTATGCATAGCTCATTCTTTTTCAGCTTATTTTCTATAAAATTTCTATACATATTTTAAGGTAATCAATTTCCCTCTATGTACTACATTAGCTGTATCTCACAAGGTTTTCATGTAATGATTTCATTATTGCTTAGTTCAAAATGTGACCTAATTTCCAATTTGAGAATCTCTCTAAATCACTGGGAACATATTTCCTCATTTCCAAGCATATGAGGATGTTCTAGTTATATTTTTGTGACTGATTTCTAGTATTTTGCTTACAGAACATATGTGGAATGTTTTGGTCCTTTGAAATTTGTTTAGGCTTGTTTTACAGGCCCACGTATGGTCCATGTCTTAGTCCATTTGGGCTGTTATAACAAAATCCCATAAAATGGGTGGCTCATAAACAACAGAAATTTATTTTTCATAGTTCTGGAGGCTGAGAAGTCTCAGATCAAGGCACCAGCAGGTTCAGTGTCTGGTGAGGACCTGTTTCTTAGTTCACAGAGGGTGCCTTCTTGCTGTGTCCTTATAAGATGGAAGGGACCAGGCAGCTCTCTGAGGCTTCTTTTATAAGGGCACTAATCCCATTCATAAGGCCCCTGGCCTCATGACCTAGTTGCCTCCCAATGGCCCCACTTCCCTAACACCATCACATTAGGTTTCAACATATGAATTCTGGGAACACAAGAATTCAGACCACAGTAGTCAATTTCTGCCCGTGGTCCTTTTCTTTTTTTTTCTTTTCTTGTTTTTTTGAGACGGAGTCTCACTCTGTTGCCCAGGCTAGAATGCAGTGGCACTATCTCAGCTCACTGCAAGCTCCGCCTCCCAGGTTCAAGCGATTCTCCTGCCTCAGCCTCCTGAGTAGCTAAGATTACAGGCATGTGCCACCATGCCTGGCTGATTTTTTTTGTATTTTTAGTAGAGATAGGGTTTCTCCATGTTGGTCAGGCTGGTCTCGAACTCCCAACCTCAGGTGATCCATCTGCCTCGGCCTCCAAAAGTGCTGAGATTGCAGGCATGAGTCACCGCGCCTGGCCAGTCCTTTTCTGCTTGAAGAGAATATACATCCCATAACTCTGGATGCGATGTTCCATAGATAAGTCCATTAGCTCAAGTCGATTAAGTCTTCTAATCTTCTGATATCTTCTTCAAGTTATTTCAGGTAATGCTTCTTGGCCATAAAGTTTTAAAATTTGATGTCAACATAACTATACCAATCTTCCTTGGAGTGGAAATTTCATGGTATCTTTTTAGCCATTCTCTATCTTAGCCCACCATTCTGGAAATAGGAGCTCTTCTCTAAAAGGCTTTCTTCATGCATCATTTCTGAAACGTGCCCTTATATTATGCAAGAGTTGTGTCTGTTCTCCTTGCATTTCCAACAGTTTAGTCACATCTCTGTGATGGGATTTCTTGGCCTTTTCTGCACAGTATCTGAGGCAGGGGCAGCACAGCCGGGCGCCCCTCCCCCATGCTTCCAGAGCACACATGTAACATCTGTTATAGACCATGTCAGAGAGCCATCCTGCAGGTCCCAGAAACATGACTCAAATGGCCTCAGACAAAGAGGGAGTTATTGCCTTGCATAACTGGAAATCCAGACGTGGGGCACTCAGAGCCGCCTGAACCCGGATGCCCAGCCCTGTTTCTCTGGGATTCTCTCCACCCTGTCTTCATCTCCGCATTGGCTGGCTTCCCTCATGGAGGCAAACAGCTCCGGCAGAGCAGGGCCTCACCCCATACATGAAGCCATCCAAAGGAGGAGGAGGTCGAGACCAGAATCCCAGGAGATGCAGAGAGGCCTATTCCTGATGACCAAGACCAGGGCTGAGGCCTACTGGCCTTCCTCAGGGCAACCAGGGGCAGGGTGGTGCAGGCCTCGGGCCTAGGACAGGCAGATGATCACCCCCACCCCCATCCTGCCAGGCCAGGGACAATGGAGATTCCTGAGCAAGCACAGCTCAAGAACCAACCAAAAATTCCAGCAAGAAGAACACACTTGGCAGAACTCTGGGGAGATGCAGCAGGAACCAGGTCCAAGGCCTCTGGTGTAAGGGTCTCCCCACCTGAGCATGGGGTGAGGAGTCCATGCTGGGGACAGCACAGCATCAGGAAGTTGGGGCTGTGGGCAGACCTGTCCTGGCTCTGTCTGTTTCTTGGTTCACAGAGGGTGCCTTCTTGCTGTGTCCTTATAAGATGGAAGGGACCAGGCAGCTCTCTGAGGCTTCTTTTATAAGGGCACTAATCCCATTCATAAGGCCCCTGGCCTGACAGCCAGGTCCCTGCTCTGTCTCCTGCCTGGAGTCCTGAGGACTTCCCTTGTGTCCACTCTCAGCCTGATTTTCCCACCTCCTTGCCAAGCATGGGCATCCCCTCTGCCCCTGCCCTGGCCCTGCTGCAGCTGTTACAGAGGGAGGAGACCATGGGATTTGGGTCATACCTTGGTCCAATTTCAGGTCCAATCATTTCCACCAGGGATATTTGGAAAGATATGTAACACCTTTCGGGGTAATGGCTACTTCAAGTTCATATGTACCATGTTTTGTTGATTTGAGGATTAAATGAACATGTAGGTGAATGGCCTGTCATGTTACTGGGTACAGGATATGGGCTCAGCACTGGTCACCCCTTCCCTTCCTTTTGGTTCAGAGACAGAGCCTGTCCCCTAGTCCTTAAGCACTGGGGGCTGACCTCACATACACTGCAGATCACCCAGAGATACACAGGCCAGCATCCACATTAGGCTGAGCCCAGAGGGATGGAGTCACAATCACACAGGGGAAAAGGCTGAAGAAAAGGGAGGGTTGGGCCAGATGTGGGTGGGGTGGCTCACACCTGTAATCCCACCACTTTGGGAGGATGAGGAGCGAGAATTACTTGAGGCCAGGAGTTTCAGACCAGCCCTGGCAACAAAGTGAGACCCACTTCTCTATTAAAACAATTTTTTTTTAAAAAAATCAGCCATGCACTTGTAGTCTCAGCTGCTTGGGAGGCTAAGGCAGGAGGATCAGCTGAACCCAAGAGTTCAAAGCTGCAGTGAGCTATGATCACACCCAATGCACTCCAGCCTGGGCAAGAGAAAAGAGAGAAAAAAGAAAACAAGAAAGAGAGCGAGAGAGGAAAGGAGGGAGGGAGGGAGGAAGGTAAAGATAGAGAGAAAGATAGAGAGAGAGAAAGAGAGAGAGAGAGCCAGATAGATTGAGAGAGAGAGAGAGTTGGCTTTGGGGCCTGAAGAAGGCAGGATACCCATTACAGGACCCAATCAGAGTTCCTCCACCAAAGTCACATGATTGAGCCTTTTTAACAACCAGAACTCACGGGACAATCACTATGGCCACAGATGTGCAGCCTGTGAAAGATGAGTGGCTGCAAGTCACACCACCAGCCATGAACACAAAGCCTGGTGGGCCTTTATGGCTGGAGGCAAGATGTGCCTCAGTGGAGTGGGCCACGTGGACGCATCTCCCAAGTCACACACAAGGTGGCCAGTGCTGAATGGGAACAGACAATGAGAAGTCTCTGCAGCAAGCCTAAGCTCCAGTGCAGGTGTCTCTTCCACTTGGACCTTATAATCTGGCACATTCAGTGAAATCCAGTATCTGTGGAGAGACTGGGGGTGCCACACGGAGCATCTGGCAAGCAGCAGAAGAATCACCGTGCAGACCTCTAGGACGTGGGAGCAAGTCTGCACCCTCTTCTGCAGGTGACTCTGCTTCCTCTGAGAAACAGCTTCCGCTCACCACTGGGCCTTGGTGGAAACTAAATGCCTACCCATAGGACACCAGGCAAGCACCCAGCCTGAGCTTCCCACCATGACCTGGGTGCCCTGACCCATGCAGCCAAAGCAGCAATCAATCACCAGAGGAAACTGCCTATAAGAGCCCAGGCTCAGTCAGGCCCAGAAGGGACAAGCAAGTGTCATGAGCAGGTGGCTCAGATCCCTCAACACCTGCTCCTCAGACTCCATCCAGCCTAAGGCTTCCTGGGCTGTTCCTCAGGACCAACTGACTGAGGAAGAAAACACATGAGCTTGATTACAGCTGGGTATGCACAATGTGCTGCTGATCCCTGAAGGTGACCAGCTGCAGCACTACTGCACCACTCGAGCTGCCCTGAATGACACAGGGAAGGTTGGCTTGCCCAGGGGCTGGAGACTGATGGGGGTATTTCGCTGGCAACTTGGTCTGGATTGAGAGATGGCAAATAACACAGATGATGGTGACTCATGAGGAGTTGCTAGAGGTTTGGCTGGTTGGTCAGGGACTCAGAAGGATCAATGATCAGATTTGAAAATTAATGACAAGGAAGGGTGGGAAGAGGCATAGGGATGGGCCCCTCATTATGGACACTATGAGCAGACACCAGCATTGCATATGAATGCTGACCACATGGCACATGAACACTCTCTGCAGAAGAGGCCTCGATAATCAGGTGGACAAAATGACACATTCCATAGATGTCAGTCAACCTCATTCCCCAGCCATCCCAGTATTTGCCCAGTGGGCTTGTGGACAGAGGGGACAGTCATGGTGGCACACGTAGAGGCTGTGCATTACCTCATGAGCATGGCTGCTATGGCTTGGATGTGGTTTTTCCCCTCCAAAATGCATGTTGAAATTTAGTCCCCGTTGTGGCAACGTTGGGAGGTGGGACTTCATGGGAGATATTTGGGTCATGGGAGCAGATCCATTGTGAATAGATTAATGCCTTTCCTGGGAGTGAGTTATTGGTCTCACAGGAATGGCTTACTTCCCTCGAGAGCAAGTTGTTAAATAAGAGAGTCTGGCTTCCTTAGTTTCTCTCTCTTGCTTCCTCTCCCTCCATATGGTCACTTTGCCTGCTCCCCTTCCATCTTCTGCCATCAGCTGAAAAAGCCTGAGGTCCTGACCAGATGTAGCTGCCCAACCTTGGACCTTCCAGCCACCAGAATCATAAGCCAAATAAATGGCTTTTATTTATAAATTACCCAGCCTTGGTTATTTTGTTATAATAACACTAAATGGCCTAAGGCAGAAAATCTCCCTCTTCCTAAGGTTGACCTGGCTACCACTGACAAAAGTGGCCAATCTGTCAAGGGCAGAGACCAACACCAAGACCCTTATATATCATTAATGTCGGGGGCCAGCCAGCCTCCTGCTGGCAGATTAATTCCATTGATCTCTTCTACCATGGAAGGGGCACAAATTCTGGATATGGATTTGCCATCCCTGCTTGTAATGCTTCTTCCAGCATCACCAACCCTGGACTCCTGAGATCCCTGGCCACCATCGTGTCATTCCCCACAGTGCTGTGTCTAATCAGGGAACTGATTCCACTGCAAAGGAAATGCAGCATGGAATTAACTGCTCTTACTACATACCCATGCCCAGGCACGGCCAGACTAAAAGTGGAGTGACTTACTGAAGACTCAGTTGTGGCACGACTTGAGAGATGGCACCCTGAAATATGGAGGTCCTATCTTAAGGGTACAGTCTATGCTTTGACTCAAGACCATCAAGTGACAGTGTTTTAACGGTGCCTGGGATATTTTTAAATCAGGTATGGTAAGACATGCAGACAAGGAAATGACTGGTATAAAGAAAAGATTTGTTATACTCACAGATCTCAAGAAAAGGGAACAAACCACGCCACACAGGGCCACACAGAGAAGCAGCAGCATTGGTCAGGAGGCAGAGGGGAGGGGGAGAAAACAGGCAAGAACCTCTATTGTGGTTTCCACTGGGAAGGAACAGGGGAGGCAAGGTAAGCAGGTTTAGGATTGGCTAGTTTGAATAATTTTGGTGGGCTCTGGAGCACAGGAACAACTAGATACCTACTTGTCTGGTACCTGGTCTTGGAGTGATGAGGGCAGGTGGATAGCAGCCCAGCCTGTGAGAGCCCAGGAAAGAAAGTGCTTCAGGGCCGGGCGCGGTGGCTCACACCTGTAATCCCAGCACTTTGGGAGGCCAAGGCGGGTGGATCACAAGGTCAGGAGATCGAGACCACCCTGACTAACATGGTGAAACCCTGTCTCTACTAAAAATACAAAAAATTAGCTGGGCATGATGGCGGGTGCCTGTAGTCCCAGCTACTCAGGAGGCTGAGACAGGAGAATGGCATGAACCCAGGAGGCAGAGCTTGCAGTGAGCCAAGGTCGTGCCACTGCACTCTAGCCTGGGTGACAGAGCGAGACTCTGTCTCAAAAAAAAAAAAAAAAAAGTGCTTCAGGGTATGGGTTCTGGATTGGTTGGTTTGCACAAGAAAGGCTCACTGTTTGCCATCTCTAAGAATTAGCTAACCCTGCAAGGGGCAGTGCCCCAGGGTCAGCAAGGCCCCAGATGTCAGATCATCAGAAAACAGAAAATAAAAGAGCATGGTTAATACACACAGTCTCCCCAGGAGCCACAGTACATGGGTCTGAGAATAGATGGATAGAAGTGAGAGTGGCTTCTTCCACAAATAATCCTCCTAATACGCTCAAATAAGGTTTGCTTGCTATCCGAACATTTGAGCTCTGCTGCTTTGAAGATCTTAGTTCCCAAGAATATAATGCCTCTCCCAGGGGACACCACAATGGCTCCATTGAGTTGGAACTAACAGTCAGAAACGGGGGCAACTTTACTGGAAGGACTGATTGGTGCTAACGAGGGGAAATTGGGCTGCTGTGTCACATAGTGGGGGCAAGAAGGACTTCACCTAGAACCCCGAGTACTCATCATCTTAGTACTTCTGCCTACTCAGACCCTTCAAGAATGAAGGTTTAGATCTTCCCACCAGATAAAGATCTGTAACCAGCTGAGGTTCTAGCTGTGGAACAGGGAAATATCAAATGGGTAGTGGACAAAAGAAGTCACAGATAGCATCTGTGGCTCATAACTAGGGTTTACCAGGTTTAGTAAACGAAAATACAGACGTCCAGTGAGATAGTAACTTCAGATAAACAACAAATAGTATTACTAAAAGTACTATTTGTATGTCCTATGCAATATTGGGGACATATTTATGCTTAAAAATGCATTCACTGTTTGGACATCCTATATTTTATCTGGTAATTCTATTCATGACCAAGTAAAAAAGCACATTTTTTTACTTTGCTTGTCATGTGTGGTATATGTATGTATTTGGAGTTATTAACCATTTATCTTTTCTTATTATGAGTTGTTAGCAGAGTATTCAGTGAAATTGTGACTAAAGATGAAGATAAACTAATATAGTTAGCTGTGGATGCAGTGGCTCTTGGGAGCCTGCATCTCGCTTGGAGGAGAGGGTGAGAATTTCGTTCATATAAAGGATAACTGCTTCTTATTAGACGGAAACAGAGTTGTTTTTTGGTTCCTCAGAAGTTCAAATGTGTGTAGAAAGATAAATACGGAAGCTAAGTAGGAAAGCGGGTGAACTCTGCCAGTTATCAGCGGAATGTTCTAGCTGCAAATTGCCCCTTTCTCGCAAGCTCTAGGAAGCCGGCTGGTAAACAGCGCCCTCCTTTGCCCGCCGCTGCAATGTTAGGCTTTGCCAAAAGAGAGCACCTGGGGGAAGCTGCGAGGCCACCGCGGCGAGAAGGTGCTTTCCTGTTTCCCTGCTGTCCTTTCTTTTTATTCCGCACAGAAGCCATATATATATATATATATATATATATATATATATATATATATATATATATAGTGTACATTTATATATTAGGCTTTTAGGCCATATATATATGTGTGTGTATATATGTATATGTATCGCTACATATATATACTATATATACATATATACTATATATACTTTCTACACACTATAAATAGATAGTGTGGCACATCTATATATTACACATTTAGGCTCTTTATAGATATGTACCACCACATATATAGTGATACATTTATATATATATATATATATCGACTAAACAGCATTTAGGCTGTTTCCAGCTTTTTGCTACCACAAGTAATGCAGGAATTAGCAAATAAGATCTTCCAGATAATACCCAGAGGCAGGACTGCTGGATCAGGAGGAATGCACATTTTCAGTTTTACTGCCCTCTAATGTGGCTGATGAATTTACACCCTACTAGCAATGTGTGGGTTCTGTTTCTCTAACTCTTTACCACACTTGATATCAGCAGACTTTTCCATTTGCACCACGCAGCTCTTACTACAACCCTCCTTTACAGCTCTCAACTAACCCAGGCAGGCAGCATGCGTGGGCCAGACACCAGGGCAGTCCTCCACTGCAGTTAGATATTGAGTCTCCCTCCTGTGACTGGGCAGACGAAAAGGACTTGTTCACTCTTGTTTTCTCTAACACAGCGCTTCACACACAGAGTTCTTTTCCAGTTATGTGACTAATTCAATAAACTGCCTGAGCCTTAGTTTCCCAATCCTTGTCATTAAATGGTCACTGTGCCCACTGGTGTGCTGGGAAAAGTTTAACAACTAACAGAGTAGCAAGGGCGGTGGGAGTCCTAATTTGTAGCATTTGCCCATTTCCATGGTATAAATAATCCCACCATGGCTGATTTCAAGCTACCAAGGTGCCCCACTGAACACAGAGTTGGGAAGAGATGCTCTTAAATCATCAGCTCTCCTGAGCTGGTGCAAGCCAGTTGCGGGACACCACTGGGCTTTTTGCAACCCTGTTTCTTAATTCTCAGTTCTGGGCAGGCTGTAGTCGCCTCCCCGTGCTTCTGTACAAGTAGACAGCGACATCTGGTGGCAAAGTCAAGCAAATCCCAGACCATGTAGAGAAGGGCCTAGAGTATGGGAAAACAAGAAACACCCCTCTTCTCCCACCAGCACCCCCACGAAAGGTTCCTGTCCTCTTCCTCAACCAACCCTGGGACCCATCAACTCCAGCAAAAACTCAATGCCTGGGGAGTTCCTACATGGGCAGCCTGCAGGTCTCCCTTCCTGTGGCAGCTGGGGTAGAGTGGCATGGCTCCTGGTGTTGGAATAAGCAGTGACCTCGTACAGCAGTCATTCCCACTGCCTGCCTGCAGACCCCTTGCCTTACCCCTGGTTGAGAATTATCAGAAGCGTCCCTCAACCCAAAGCAGTCACCACAGCACTCCTAGAACAAGAGTTACTCAGCTAGTGTGACCAGAGCACTGGTTCACCATGAGCGCTTCCTCCTGGAATTTGGACAACCATCTCAGGGCCTTTCTTTGGTCAATTTCCTTCTGATTCTGTGTGTAAGACTTGTGTGCAGAATCTCAGTGGCCTAAATATCTCAGCCTATGGTAGGATAGGCGGGGAAGTGAGGGTGGCCCCTGCAATAGCAAAGCCATTACACTTAGCCTTTGGCCACTAAAACCCCCTATGGCAGCAACAGGCTGCTGACCACCGAACGTTCACCTCCTTTTCCATAGTGTATTCCTTTTCTTGAGACAGGGTCTCCCTGTATCACCCAGGCTAGAGAGCAGCAGTGCATCCATAGCTCCCTGCAATCTCAGACTCCTGGGCTCAAGTGATCCTCCTGCCTCAGCCTCCTGAGTAGCCGGGACTACATGCACACACCACCACACTTAGCTAATTTTTGTATTTTTTGTAGAGATGGGGAATCTCATTATTTGCCTAAGCTGGTCTCGAACTCCTGGCCTCAAGGAATCCTCCCACCTTGGCCTCCCAAAGTGCTGGGATTACAGGCATGAGCCACCACATCCAGCTTCCATAGTGAACTGTTAAAGAAGGCATCTGTTTAGCCCAGGACTCTACTTTCCATATCCCTAAAAGGGCAATGTGTGAAAAGATTATCTGTGCAAATATAAAGTCCCTGGCTGCTGCTTCTACAGACAAGCTCCTACTGCATCCTCAGGCAATCACCTTTCCACCCTGGGGCTGATCCTCCAGACCTGCACCAGCCCACCCACATACCCCTGGGCAATGATAGGCCCTTCCATGGACCAGCTTCTGCTCACACTCTCTGGCAAGCGTCTTGGCCTCTGGCAGGCTACAGCTCACAGCAAAACCATGCTCTCCTGGAAAAGTCTGAATCTCAGCCTTGCCTGGGGTCCCATTCTCAAGCTCTTAGTTCCTTCACTCACTCCGCGTGAGTCGGTAGCTGCTTTCTGAATCTGCTACTCATGAACGTTGTACAGTCCTGCTTTATCCTTTTCATGAGCTCACCACTCTTTATAGTTTAACAACTCTGAAAAAATCCCTGTTCAAATTACTGGTGTGGTTTGCCTCCTGAGTCTACCCTGGTTGACACAATATCTCAGCATCAAAAGATGGCATGGAAATGAAGGTCATCTCCGAACTGCTACTATGATAGACCTTCAATCAAATGAAGTCAAATGAAGCCTTCAGGCATTCATCTTGCAGAATGCAAACAGTCAGCTGCCACAGGGAACTGCAGAAGGCAAGCGTTGTGACCAAACCATAAATGCTGGTCAGCCCCATCTAAATCAGGTTAAAATGGGGATAGATATCAGCCAGTGAGAACACAGGCAGCTTTCTTTGGAATGGCCACTTCGGGGGTGGTGGGTGAGCAAAGAATGGATGCAGATGCTCTCTCCTCTCCAAGGAGCAATGTGGACTTCAAAGCCCACAAAGATTCGTGAGATTTATTCCTAGAATAAGTACCCTAGAGAAGCCCGCCCAGCAGAGTATAAAAGAAATCAAGAATTTCCGGTGGACCCAGAACGTGTCACAGCTTGGGGCCAAATAAATTACACTCCTGCAAATGCCTCGGGCCTAGCTCCAGTAAAAAGTGACAGGACAGCCATGTGTCCAAAAGCTAGTGCATTGCACAGCAAGGAGGAAACCAATTTCCTTTAGCCTTTGCTCCCCTAGAGACGTCATATGACCAGAGTGAGGTTGGACACTCAGCTCTCTATCTTTTCAAATAATTCCCCATCTCCAAGTTCATGGAAAGAGAGAAAACCATCATGTCACCATAGCGATGACTCCTCTAATGATGGTTCAGAGTGGAAAACTTCTGACTTCAAGGATGGCCTCATACAGGATGGACGTGAATGCTGGTCCTCAAAACCCCAATGTCACATTTTTAAAAATCTGACCATCCCTCAGTCAGTGTCAGGGGTTTTCATGTGGGAAACCTCAAAGAAGGTGAGAAGGCAGGGGAGGTGTAACCCACAGTAATTATTAATAAAACCAACATTCCAGGACAAACTACTGCTAAGGAGGTTGAATTTTTTTTCTAAATGATCCTTCACAAGTAAAATAAGGAACTGGAGTCCTTGGACTGATCGCTATATTATGCTAAATGGATGACAGAATACAGCTCAGGAGTCAAAGATCATAAGCTTCCAAGTGGCCACAGGGACAATAAGCCTTTCAGCCCTTGGGTAATAAAGTCAGACAATCTGGTCCAGCAGCCAGAAGATGGCTGAGCTGGAGGAACATCGATGATGGGACAGTCCCAGCGTCCGCCCTCTCTGCTGGAAGGACATTAGCTGCTGAGAATAACTGGATCCAAATTGTTAACGTGACCCCCCACTGCTCATGGGGATGAAGAAAAAGATCTGGGGTGATTGGAACCTTACAAAGCAGGGACACAGATGCTTTATGTCTTTCGAAGGTCTAGTTGTAAAAACAAGACCCGAAAGCAGCCTCTCGGTCTTTTCACTGCTGGCCAGCAAAACTGGGAGAGGACTATGTTGTGATGTCCCCAGGATATCCTTCATGATTGCCACCAAGATCTGCTGGGATAGGTGCCCAAGACCTGGAAGGAACACTAAACTAGAGACCCAGGGATGCACACACCTTGCATGTTCTCACAATGAGGCTAAACCAGACTCATCACCGAAGAAATGCCAGCCAACAGCCTGTGGACATGGATGCAGATTGACTATTCCAGCCCCTCAGTGAACAAGCTCCAAGTGTGTTTCCTTGTAAAGCAGTTATACAGGTCAAAAATCACTTCATCACAAATGAAATACGGTCAAACTACCACAAAACACAGGGCTAAAATATCTCATCACCGGAGGGTGCCAGAGACCACCAAATATAATCCAGATTCAAGGCAGTCCATGTGAAAATTGCCCACCAGGTGGCGGAAATGCAGGGAGACGGCCAGCATGTACAGATAATTTGTTTCCCGGGTCCACACATTATCTGATGAGAGTGAATCTGACCCTAGAAGAGAACTACACAACTACTTGGTTGCATTAGGGTTCAACAAGACTGTGCACGCTCCAAAAATTCTCAAAAAGGTCAAATCCAAGTAACAAGGGTTTTAGCCTATGAACCAAGGTGTGGCTAGAGAAAAGATTGTTTGAATTTGAAAAGAAGCTAGGAGGTTGACTCACTGGGGCATCTATCCTTGAGTCTTCCTGCAGTGGGAGGCAGAGTGAGCGGTCAGCTGGGCATCCACATCTAGAGTGTTGAAAACCTCCTGGGGGTGGAGACGGGGGACTTCCACTTCCAGAATGGGCAATTGTGTGTGTGTATAAAATATTTAAGATATATGTATTTATTTAAAGTCTCTAGAAATGGCCTTAGGGCATACAGCAAATAAAAAAACATTTAATTCAAGAACATCTATTAAAACCTGGCAAGAAATGGGAGGGTCTGTGGCATTTCAACCACGACCTGCTCCATTCCTCCCACTGCCAGCAAAATGTGACAGAAACTCCACTCCAGGTGGGTACAGCCAAGGACACAGCACTGTCTCCACCCAGCTCCCAGTCAAGGGCTATGGTATTTTCCCAAGAAGGAAAATCCATCAGCATTTTTCTTCCCACCCCAGCTACCTGTTGCAGAGACTAAATTCCAGGTGATTGTAGTAATCGGTTGAGGCTCTCTTCTTTTGCTCAGCCCCTACTTGTGGGACAAAAGCCCTGCCTTGGGTGCAACACACTGAGAATACTGGCACCATCAACCAGCTCATTTGTAAAGTAGAGGTTCCATGCTATGAGAAGCAAGCTGGGAATACAATAGACTCTCCAATAAGCACCCACCTCCTAAAGCAGGGGTGTCACTCAGAAAGTAGCTACCTACCACTGTCCCCACCCAGCCCCAGAGCCATAGCCAAAAGCTCCTGAAACATTTCCCCAAGAGGAAAGGCAGGACATAGAGAGCTCTAAAGCCCTTCCCGAATGAACTGACTTTATTTGCAAATGAGTACAAAGTTCAACATTAAGGGGACTTTCAAAACAATGAAGCTTGGGCAAAAAGCAATTGAGAGGAAACTGGTAAGTTCATTAGTGACATAAACTAGACCATAGGCCAGCTAGTTTATCAGAGAGAACCAGGAAAAGACATGGCTAAAAACAGACCTCTTGGGGTCAAAGCAAACCTCAAACACTGACCTCAAAAACTATCCCTGCAAATGAGCCTCAGTTTAATTGGATAAGTCATCTCAATAAAGGTGTTTTTTAAAGAAAAAAAACAGCAATAACAATTATACATTCTGGTCAACATGGAGTAACAGGAGCTGGATTTATTTTTAGGCCTGGAATAATTTTAAAAACAACACAAAATATTTAAGTCACTGGACATCAGGCAATGAAAGATAGTGGTTTATAAGAGATGAGAAATGAATAAGATGAGCCCCACGATTGCCCCAGATTACTGCATGGAGAGTTTCCAGTCTGAGGCTCAAGGAGGAGAGAACGTAACCACAGCCCACTGGCCTCCCCGAGTTGAAGAAACAGAGCTGCTTGGGATCCCAGGCCGCTGGAGTTCATAGGGCAGAGTACCAAAGAGGAGGGAGCTTAACAGAAAGAGAACTCTGCAAATACGAGAGTGTAAGTATTATACTGAGTAGTGATCAGTGTATGCATATGAGGAATGTACCTGAGGCCAAGAAAAAGACTACCCAAAAGCATTGAACAGAACAATCCCCAGAGAAAATTCAGGGCTGAAAATAATGCCTGACCTCATCAACAAGTACAGAAAATCTCATAATTCATTAAGCATCAGGTAGAGTACTCAGAGGAGTCTTCCTGATCTGTGGACAAAATTAACCATAGACTTAATGCTGTTGTGGTCTCATGTAAAAATGTTAAAAGAAAGCTGGGGATAGATTAAACTGTTTCAAAATAATTTAACTGTGTACCAGAACACAACTTAAGAATACAAAAATATCTAGCACCTGCAAAGATAAAATGCACAATGTCTAGCATTCAACTACAAATTAACATGCAGGCAAAGAAGTGGAAGAATATGATCCATAGTTAGGAAAATATCAGCCAGTCAAAGCTGATCCAAAATTGACATAGGTAATAAATAGATAAGGTCATTAAAGCAGTTATTATAATACTATTCCATATGTATAAGGAACTAGAGGAAGGATTAAACATTTTTGGCGAATGCACAGAAGGTTTTTTCTAAAACCAAATTAAACTTATAGAAAACAATGTGATGAAAAATACACTAGATGGAATTAATGACAGATTAGAAACTGCAGAAGAAAAGATTAGTGAACTTGAAGGCAGAGCAGTAGAAATTATACAAAATTATCAGAGGGTTAAAGGACTAAAAAAATAAAGAGAACATCAGTGACCTGTGAGATAAATGCCAGTGGTAAAATATATATGTGGTTAAAGTCTCTGAAAAAGAAGAGGGGATTTGAAAAAATAATGACAGAAAATTTTCTTAATGTGATGAAAACTGTATACCTACGGATTAAAAAAGTTCAACCAACCGTAATCACAAAAACATGAAGAAAACCATACCAAGTCACACTATGATCATCAAATTTCTTAAACCAACTCATCTAAGAGAAAATTTTAAGTGGCCAGAAGAAAAAAAATACATTATATGCAGAAGAACAAAGAAAAGGATGACAGCAGATTTCTCAGAAAAACAATGCAAGTGGCCAGGTACAGTGGCTCATGCCAGTAATCCCACCACTTTGGGAGGCCGAGATGAGAGGATAACTTGAGGCCAGGAGTTCAAGACCAACCTGGGCAACATAGCGAGACCCTGTCTCTACAAAAAAAAAATTTTTTTAATTAGCTGGTGTGATGGTGCATCACTGTAGTCCTAGCTACTCAGGAAGCTAAGGCAGGAGGATCACTTGAGCCCAGGAGTTAGAGGCTGCACTGAGCTATAATCACATCACTGCACTCCAGCCTTAGCAACAGAGTGAGACCCTGTCTCAACAAAATAAAAAATAAAAGACACAATGCAAGTTAGAAGAGAGTGGAACAATATCTTTAAAGAATTTAAAGGAAAAAAGTTCATCCTAGAATTATTTACCTAGCACAAATATCTTTCGAAAAAGAAGGCTGAGATTTTTTAGACGTACAAAAGCTGAATGTATCATTGAATTTTCACTATAAGAATTTTTAAAGAAAGTCTTCAAGCAAAAAGAAAATGACATCGCATGGAAATCTGGGTCTACACAAAGGAGTAACGAAGGGTGCCAAAAATGGAAACTATATGGATAAATATACAGACTTGTTCCTAATTATTTAAATCTCTTTAAAGAATATTAAACTATTTAAAGGAGAAATAATGACATTCATAAATTAAAATTTAACATTTATAACAAATGTAAAGTAAAACATACAACAATATCACAGAGGCTAGAGAGGAGAAATGAAGTACAGATACTGGGAGATCAGTTCCAAGACCACCCAAGGATACCAAAATCTAAGGATGCTCTAGTGCCTTATATAAAATAATGTAGTATTTGCATATAACTTAAGCACATTCTCCCATATACTTTAAATCATCTCTAGATTACTTATAATACCTAATACATGTAAATTATCTGTAAATAGTTGTTATACTGCATTGCTTTTATTATTGTATTATTTTTAGCAATAAAATATTTTTTAATTTTTAATTTTAATTTGGGTGGGTACCTAGGCAGGTATATGTATTTATGGGATACATGAGATGTTTTCACACAGGCTTGCAATGTGTAATAATCACATCTTGTAAAATTGGGTATCCATCCCCCTGAAGAATTTATTCTTTGTGTCACAAACAATTCAATTACACTCTTTTAGTTATTTTTAAATGTATAATTAAATTATTACTGACTATAGTCACTCTGTTGTGCTGTCAAATTTATTCATATCCATTCTTTTTAACTACTTTTTTGTACCCATTAACCATCCCCACCTCCCTCTCCCCTTCCCACCCCCATCTCATCCTCTGGTAACCATCCTTCTACTCTCTATCTTCATGTGTTCAATTGCTTCGATTTTTAGATCCCATAAATAAGTGAGAACATGTGTTTGCCTTTCTGTGCCTGGCTTATTTCACTTAGCACAATGACCTCCAGTTCCATCCATGTTGTTGCAAATGACAGGATCTCATTAATTCTTATGGCTGAATAGTACTCCATTGTGTATATGTACCACATTTTCTTTATCCGTTCATCTGCTGATGAACACTTAGGTTGCTTCCAGATTTTGGCTATTGTGAGCAGTGCTGCAGCAAACATGGGAGTGCAGATATCTCTTCAATATACTGATTTCCTTACTTTTGGGTATATATCCAGCAGTGGGATTGCGGGATCATATGGTAGCTCTATTTTTAGTTTTTTGAGGAAACTCCAAACTGTTCTCCATGGTGGTTGTACTAATTTACATTCCCACCAACAGTGTACAAGGGTTCCCTTTTCTCCGTATCCTCTCCAGCATTTGTTATTGCCTGTCTTTTGGATATAAGCCATTTTAACTGGGATGAGATGATATCTCATTGGAGTTTTGATCTGCATTTCTCTGATGATCAATGATGTTGAGCACCTTTTCATATGCCTGTTTGCTATTTGTATGTCTTCTTTTGAGAAATGTCAATTCAAATATTTTGCCCATTTTTGGATTGCATTATTAGATATTTTCCTATAGTCGTTTGAGCTCCTTGTACATTCTGGTTATGAATCTCTTGTCAGATGGGTAGTTTGCAAACATTTTCTCCCATTCTGTGGGTTATCCTTCACTTTGCTCATTGTTTCCTTTGTTGTATAGATTTTTAACTTACTCTGGTTCCATTTGTCCATTTTTGCTTTGGTTGTCTGTACTTGCAGGGTATTACTCAATAAATTTTTGCCCAGACCAGTGTTCTGGAGAGTTTCTTCAATGTTTTCTTATAGTAGTTTCATAGTTTGAGATCTTAGATTTAAGTCTTTAATCCATTTTGATTTTGTTTTTGTATATAGTGATAGATATGGGTCTAGTTTTATTCTTCTGCATATGGATATCCAATTTTCCCAACACCATTTATTGAAGAGATTATCTTTTCCCCAGTGTATGTTCTCAGCACCTTTGCTGAAAATAATTTCACTGTAGGTGTGTGGATTTGCTTCTGGGTTACCCATTCTGCTTCATTGGTCTATCTGTCTGTTTTTATGCCAGAACCATGCTGTTTTGTTTTATATAGCTCTATAGTATAACTTAAAGCCAGGTAATGAGATTCCTAAATTTTGTTCTTTTTGCTTAGGATAGTTTTGACGATTTAGAGCCTTTTGTGGTTCCATATACATTTTTAAATTGTTTTTTCTACTTCTATGAAGAATGTCATTGGTATTTTGATAGGAATTGCATTGACTCTGTAGATTGCTTTAGGTAATATGAATATCTTAACAATATTGATTCTTCCAACCTATGAAAATTGAATATTTTTCCATTTTTTGGTGTTCTCTTCAATTCCTTTCATCAGTGTTTTATAGTTTTCACTGTAGAGATCGTTGACTTCTTTGATTAATTCCTAGGTATTGTATTTGTGGCTATTGTAAATAGGATTACTTTTTTATTTCTTTTCAGATTGCTCACTGTTGACATACAGAAATGCTACTGATTTTTGTACATTGATTTTGCATTCTGCAACTTTACTGAATTTATCAGTTCTAATAGTTTTTTGTGGAGTCTTTAGGTTCTTCTGAATATAAGATCATCTATAAACAAGGATAATTGGACTCCTTCCTTTCCTATTTGAATGCCTGTTATTTCTTTCTCTTGCCTAATTACTCTAGCTAGGACTTCCAGTAATGTATCAAATAACAGTGGTGAAAGTAGGCATCTTTGTCATATTCCAAATCTTAGAGGAAAGGTTTTCAGTTTTTCCCTATTCAGTTTGACGCTGACCATGGGTCTGTCACATATGGCTTTCATTATGTTGAAATGTGTTTCTTCTATACCTAGTTTTTCAAGGGTTTTTATCATGAAGGCATGCTGAACTTTATCAAATGCTTTCTCAGTATCAGTTAAAATGATTGTATTTTTTTTCCTTCATTCTGTTGACAAGATCTATCACACTGATTAATTTGCACATGCTGAACTATCTTTGCATGCCAGGAATAAATTCCTCTTGGTCGTGATGAATGATCTTTTGTTGAATTTTGGTTGCTACTATTTTGTTGAGAATTTTTGCATCAATTTCATCAAAGATATTGGTCTGTAGTTTTGTTTTGTTTTTTTCAATGTATCTTTGTCTGACTTCATCAGGGTAATGCCAGCCTCGCAGAATGAATTTGAAAGTATTCCCTCCTCTATATTTTAGAGTAGTTTGAGTAGAATTGATATTAGTTCTTCTTTAAACATCTGGTAGAATTCATCAGTGAAGTCATCGGGTCTTGGGCTTTTCTTTACTGGGAGAATTTTTATTATGGCTTCAATCTCATTACTTGTTATTGGTCTGTTCAAGTTTTAAATTTCTTCATGGTTCAATCTTGGTAGGTTGCATGTGTCTAGGAATTTGTCCATTTCTTCTAGATTTTTCCAATTTATTGGCATATGATTGTTCATAGTAGCCACTAGTGATCCTTTTAATTTCTGCCGTATCAGTAGTAATGTCTCCTTTTTTATCTCTAATTTTATTTTTTCTTAATGTGACTAAAGTTTTGTCAATTTTGCTTAATTTTTTTTAAAAACAACTTTTTGTTTCATTGATCTTTTGTATTGTTTTCTTCATTTCAATTACATTTATCTCTCCTTTAATCTTTATTATTTCTTTCCCTCTACTAATATGGGGTTTCATTTTCTCTTGCTTTTCCAATTCTTTAAGCTGCATCTTAAAGATTTATTTGAATATTTATTTGAATATTTTTTCTTTTTTTGACATAGGCACTTACAGCTATAAACTGCCCTCTTAGTAGTACTTTTGCCATATCTCATAGAATTTGGTATGTTGTGTTTATCATTTGTCTCAAGAAATTTTTTAATTCCCTTCTTAATTTCTTTATTGACCCATTGGTCATTCAGGAGCATATTGGTAATTTACACATATTTATATTGTTTCCAAAATTGCTATTATTGATTTCTAGTTTCATTCCATTGTGATAAGAGAAAATATTATATCTTAATATTATTCCAATTTTTTTAATGATTTAAGACTTGTTTTCTGACCTAACATATGGTCTATTTTGATAATGATCCATGTGCTTAGGAAAAGAATGTATATTCTGCAGCTGTTGGATGAAATGTTCAGTAAATGTCTATTAGGTCCATTTGGACTATAGTGCAGATTAAGTCCAATGTTTGTTGCTTTTTGTCTGGAATATCTGTCCAGTGCTGAAAGTGGGGTGTTGAAGTCTCCAGCTATTATTTTATTGGAACCTATTTCTCTCTTTAGCTCTAATAATATTTGCTATATATATCTAGGTGCTCCAGTGTTGGGTATATATGTATATTATATCCTCTTGCTGAATTGACCCTTTATCATTATATAGTGACCTTTGTGTCTCTTAGAGTTATTGTTTTAAAATCCGTTTTGTCTGATATAAGTGTAGCTATTCCTGATTTTTGGTTTGTTTGTTTCCATTGGCATGGAATATTTTTTCCATCCCTTTATTTTCAGTCTACTTATAGGTTGAGTATGTTTCTTGTAGGCAACAGATTATTGCATCCTTTTTAATCCATTCAGCCACTCTATTTTGTTTGGAGAGTTTAGTCCATTTACATTTGATGTTATTATTGATAAGAACTTACTCCTGCCATTTTGTTATTTGTTTTCTGGTTGTTTCATGATCTCTTCCTTCTTACCTTCTTGTTTTCGTTTTAGTGAAGGTGATTTTCTCTGGTGACACAATTTAGGTTCTTGCTTTCTATTTTTTGTGTATCCATTGTGGTTCTTTGGTTTAAGGTTACTATGAGGCTTGAAAATACTATCTTCTTACCCATTTTTTTAGGCTGATAACAAGTTAACACTGCATAAACAAACAAACAAAAAGAAAACTAATGAAGACTGTACACCTTAACTTTGTCCCCCTGCTTTTTTACTTTTGTTGTTTCTATGTATATCTTATTGTACTGTCTATGCCTTGAAAAGTTGCAGTTATTTTTTGTTTGTTCATTGTTTAGTCTTTCTACTTAAGATAAGAGTTGTACACCACAGTTAGAGTGTTGTAATATGCTTAATTTTCTGTGTACTTTCTGTAATAGTGAGTTTTGTACCTTCAGATGATTTCTTATTGTTCATTGATGTCATTTTCTTTCTGATTAAAGTACTCCCTTTAGCATTTATTATAGAACAGTTCTGGTGTATTAGACTGTTCTTGCACTGCTAATAAAGACATACCCAAGATGGAGTAATTTATAAAGAAAAGAGGTTTAATTGACTCACTGTTCCACATGGCTGGGGAGGCCTCACAATCATGGCAGAAGGCAAAGAAGAGCAAAGCCACATCTTTCTCACATGGTGGCAGGCCAAGAGAGAATGAGAGTCAAGTGAAAGGGGAAACTTCTTTAAAAACCATCAGATCTTATGAGACTTATTCACTATAATGAGAACAGCATGGGAAATATCCGTCCCCATGATTCAATTACCTCCCACCAGGTCCCTCACATGATGCATAGGAATTGTGGGAACTACAATTCAAGATGAGATTTGGATGGGGACACAGCCAAATCATATCATTCTGCCCCTAGCACCTCCCAAATCTCATGTCCTCACATTTCAAAACCAATCATGCCTTCCCAACGGCCTCCCAAAGTCTTAACTCATTTCAGCATTAACTCAAAAGTCCACAGTCCAAAGCCTCATCTGAGACAAGGCAAACCCTTCTGCCTATGAGCATGTAAAATCAAAATTAACTTAGTTAATTCTTAGATACAATGGGAGTATAGGTATTGGGAAAATACAGCCACTCCAAATGGGAGAAATTGACCAACACAAAGGAGCTGCAGGCCCCAAGCAAGTCCAAAATCCAGTGGGCCAGTCAAATCTTAAAGCTCCAAAATGATCTTTGACTGCATGTCTCACATCCAGGTCATGCTGATGCAAGAGGTGGGTTCCCACAGTCATGGGAGGCTCCAACCCTGTGGCTTTGCTCCTCCCTCCTGGCTGCTTTCCTGGGCTGGCATTGAGTGTCTGTGGCTTCTCCAGGTGCATGGTGCAAGCTGTTGGCAGAGAATGCCACAAAGATATCCTCGGGAAGAGCAACCCCAAGACACATAATTGTCAGATTCACCAAGGTTAAAATGAAGGAAAAATGGTAAGGGAAGCCAGAGAGAAAGGTCGGGTTACCCACAGGGAAGCTCATCAGACTAATAGTGGATCTCTCAGAAGAAACCCTATGAGCCAGAAGAGAGTGGGGGCCAATATTCAACATTCTTAAAGAAAAGAATTTTCAACCCAGACTCTCATATCCAGCCAAACTAAGCTTCATAAGTGAAGAAGAAATAAAATCCTTTACAGACAAGCAAATGCTGAGAGATTTTGTCACCACCAGGCCTGCCTTACAAGAGTTCCTGGAAGAAGCATTAAACATGGAAAGGAACAACCAGTACCAGCCACTGCAAAAACATGCCAACTGGTAAAGACCATCAACGGTATGAAGAAACTGCATCAATTAACAGGCAAAATAACCAGCTAGCAACATAATGACAAGATCAAATTCAAACATAACAATATTAACCTTAAATGTAAATGGGCCAAATGCCCCAATTAAAAGACACAGACTGGCAAACTGGATAAAGAGTCAAGACCCATTGGTGTGCTGTATTCAGGAGACCCAACTCATGTGCAAAGATGCACATAGGTTCAAAATAAAGGGATAGAGGAAGATCTACCAAGCAAAGGAAAAATTTTAAAAATGAAAAGAGCAAGGGTTGCAATACTAGTCTCTGATAAAACAGACTTTAAACCAACAAAGATCAAAAGAGACAAAGAAAGCCACTACATAATGGTAAAGGGATCAATTCAACAGAAGAGCTAACTACCCTAAATATATATGCACCCAATACACGATCACCCAGATTCATAAAGCAAGTCCTTAGAGACCTACAAAGAGATTTAGACTCCCACACAATAATAATGGGAGACTTTAACACCCAACTCTTGGTATTAGACAGATCAATGAGACAGAAGGTTAACAAGGATATCCAGGACTTGAACTCAGCTCTGGACCAAGCAGACCTAATAGACATCTACAGAACTCTACACCCCAAATCAATAGAACATACATTCTTCTCAGCACCACATCTCACTTATTCTAAAATTGACCACATAATTGGAAGTAAAACACTCCTCAGCAAATGTAAAAGAACAGAAATCACAAAAAAACTGTCTCAGACCACAGTGCAATCAAATTAGAACTCAAGATTAATAAACTCACCCAAAACTGCACAAATACATGGAAACTGAACAATCTGCTCCTGAATGACTGCTGGGTAAATAACAAAATGAAGGCAGAAATAAAGATGTTCTTGGAAACCAATGAGAACAAAGACACAATGTACCAGAATCTCTGGGACACATTTAAAGCAGTGTGTAGAGGGAAATTTATAGCACTAAATGCCCACAAGAGAAAGCAGGAAAGATCTAAAATCAACACCCTAACATCACAATTAAAAGAACTAGAGAAGCAAGAGCAAACAAATTCAAAAGCTAGCAGAAGGCAAGAAATAACTAAGAGCAGAACTGAAGGAGATAGAGACACAAAAACCCTTCAAAAAATCAATGAGTCCAGGAGCTGGTTTTTTGAAAAGATCAACAAAATAGACCACTAGCAAGACTGATAAAGAAGAAAAGAGAGAAGGATCAGATAGATGTAATAAAAAAGATAAAGGGGATATGACCACCGATCCCACAGTAATACAAACTAACATCAGAGAATACATAAACACCTGTAGGCAAATAAACTAGAAAATCTAGATGAAGTGGATAAATTCCTAGACATATACACCCTCCCAAGAGTAAACCAGGAAGAAGTTGAATCTCTGAATAGACCAATAACAGGCTCTGAAATTGAGGCAGTAATTAATAGCCTACCAACCAAAAAAAGTCCAGGACCAGATGGATTCACAGCCAACTTCTACCAAAGGTACAAAGAAGAGCTGGTACCATTCCTTCTGAAACTATTTCAATCAATAGAAAAAGAGGGAATCCTCCCTAACTCATTTTATGAGGCCAGCATCATCCTGATACCAAAGCCTGGCAGAGACACAACAAAAAAACAGAATTTTAGGCTAATATCCCTGATGAACATTGATGCAAAAATCCTCAATAAAATACTGGCAAACTGAATCCAGCAGCACATCAAAATCTTCTCCACCACGATCAAATTGGCTTCCTCACTGGGATGCAAGCCTGGTTCAACGTATGCAAATCAATAAACATAATCCATCACATAAACAGAGCCAACGACAAAAATCACATGATTATCTCAATAGATGCAGAAAAGGCCTTCGACAAAACTCAACAGCGCTTCATGCTAAAAACTCTCAACAAACTAGGTACTGATGGGACGTATCTCAAAATAATAAGAGCTATTTATGACAAACCCACAGCCAATACCATACTGAATGGCCAAAAACTGGAAGCATTCCCTTTGAAAACTGGCACAAAACAAGGATGCCCTCTCTCACCCTCATATTCAACTTAGTGTTGGAAGTTCTGGCTAGGGCAATCAGGCAAGAGAAAGAAATAAAGGGTATTCAATTAGGAAAAGAGGAAGTCAAATTGTCTCTGCAGATGACATGATTGTATATTTAGAAAACCCCATCATCTCAGCCTAAAATCTCCTTAAGCTGATAAGCAACTTCAGCAAAGTTTCAGGATACAAAATCAATGTGCAAAAATCACAAGCATTCCTATACACCAATAATAGAGAGCCAAATCATGAGTGAACGCCCATTCACAATTACTACAAAGAGAATAAAATACCTAGGAATCCAACCCACAAGGGATATGCAGGACCTCTTCAAGGAGAACTACAAACCACTGCTCAATGAAATAAAAGAGGACACAAAAAAATAGAAAAACATTCCATGCTCATGGATAGGAAGAATCAATATCGTGAAAATGGCCATACTGCCCAAGGTAATTTATAGATTCAGTGCTATCCCCATCAAGCTACCACTGACTTTCTTCACAGAATTAGAAAAAACTATTTTAAAGTTCATATGGAACCAAAACAGAGCCTGCATATCCAAGACAATCCTAAGCAAAAAGAACAAAGCTGGAGGCATCACACTACCTGACTTCAAACTATATAAGGCTACGGTAACCAAAACAGCATGGTACTGGTACCAAAACAGATACATAGACCTATAGAACAGAACAGAGGCCTCAGAAATAATACCACACATCTACAACCATCTGATTTTGATAAACCTGACAAAAACAAGAAAGGGGGAAAGGATTCCCTATTTTTTAAAATGGTGCTGGGAAAACTGGCTAGCCATACGTAGAAAGCTGAAACTGGATCCCTTCCTTCTACCATATACAAATATTAACTCAAGATGGATTAAAGACTTAAATGTAAGACCTAACACCATAAAAACCCTAGAAGGAAACCTAGGCAATGCCATTCAGGACATAGGCACGGGCAAGGACTTCATGACTAAAACACCAAAAGCAATTGCAACAAAAGCCAAAATAGACAAATGGGATCTAATTAAACTAAAGAGCTTCTGCACAGCAGATGAAACTATCATCAGAGTGAACAGGCAACCTACAGAATGGGAGAAAATTTTTGCAATCTATCCATCTGACAAAGGGCTAATATCCAGAATCTACAAAGAACTTAAACAAATTTACAAGAAAAAAACAAACAACCCATCAAACAGTGGGCAAAGGATATGAACAGACACTTTTCAAAAGAAGACATTTATGCAGCCAATAGACATGCAAAAATGCTCATCATCACTGGTCATCAGAGAAGTGCAAATCAAAACCAAAATGAGATACCATCTCACACCAGTTAGAATGGCAATCATTAAAAAGTCAGAAAACAACAGATGCTGGAGAAGATGTGGAGAAATAGGAACACTTTTACACTGTTGGTGGGAGTGTAAATTAGTTCAACCATTGTGGGTCTTAAGAAAGTGTGGCTATTTCTCAAGGATCTAGAACTAGAAATACCATTTGACCCAGTGATCCCATTACTGGGTATACACCCAAAGGATTATAAATCATGCTACAATAAAGACACATGCACACGTATGTTTATTGCGGCACTATTGACAATAGCAAAGACTTGGAACCAACCCACCAATGATAGACCGGATTAAGAAAATGTGGCACATATACATCATGGAATACTATGCAGCCATAAAAAAGGATAAGTTCATGTCTTTTGCAGGGACATGGATGAAGCTGGAAACCATCATTCCAAGAAAACTATCACAATGACAGAAAACCAAAACCAAACACCACATATTCTCACTCATAGGTGGGAGTTGAACAATGAGAACACATGGACACAGGGTGGGAAACATCACACACCAGGGCCTGTTGGGGATGGGGTGCTGGGGGAGGGATAGCATTAGGAGAAATACCTAAGGTAAATGACGAGTTAATGGGTGCAGCAAAACAACATGACACATGTATACCTATGTAACAAACCTGCACGCTGTGCACATGTACCCTAGAACTTAAAGTATAATAAAAACATTTTAAAAATCATCCATATAACCAAAAACCACTTATACCCCTAAAGCTATTGAAATCTGGAAAAAAAAAAAAAAAAAGATGTCCCTTAACCACACTATCCAGGGCCAGATACAGCCTATGTTCCACTGGAAGGTCAAGTGAGTATGAAAGTTTAGGTTGCTGTCACTTATGTCCCCTAAGCTGAGCTATTAACCATTAGAGGCCTCTGCCTGGCCTGCATCACCAAGCAGGAGTGGCTGGTGACAATGCCACCAAAACAATGCCACTAATTGCTAACCAATGGTGGAGTTTTTATTTTGGGTGGCCCCTACTCAGCTGAAGACTGCATGCCCATGTGACCTTACTTTGGGGTGTTTATTGGGTCACGGCTTCTTACAGTGGGACATGTGGCCCTTTGAAGTACAATCTTTGGGCAATCTCGAGGGCTTATGCATCACTGCGCTTCTAGTGGGCAGCTGCAGCAATGGAGCTGTGGACTCCTTTCTTTTAAGAGACTTTTGTATCAGAAGAGAAAATACAGGCCCTTTATTCCAAATGTAAAGGGACTCCTTTATATCTGAGATTTTTATCCAGATCATTCACATAATTTTTAAAAATTGTCCTCAGTTATTAGAAGCATCATTCTGGGTGGCCTGGGCAGGGGCTCTGAAGATTGAGCACCTGTTTGGGGATCTTTCCCTTAGTGCTGTTATTGAATTAGGAAGCCCACACAAAACTTTGTCTTGGTCACACTTTGGGTCTATGTCTGGCCAAAGGCAAAGGATGAATGAGCCATCTGGTCACTTCCAGAGGACACTTGCTGCTCCTTCCTTTCTGGAAGTCATAAAACATGCATGCAGATCCAGAAAGCTCTGATTCCTTTCCTTTTTTAGATTATCTTTCCCCTGGTTCTTTTTAAGAATCATACATTGTTTAAAAAAAAAAAGAATCATATATTGTTAACTACAAAAGTTTTGCATGCTCATTGTAAGAACTGAAAAATGCATAAAACCTTAAAGAATAAGTTACTATTCTTCCCCCATCCATTCCTATCTTTCTGAAGTAACCAGAAGCTGTGTATCTTTCCTCCCCTTCCTTTTGTCTTGTCTTTCTCTCTCTTCTTTTTTTTTTTACAGAGTCTTTTCTCTCTTGCCCAGGCTGGAGTGTAGTGTGCAATAACATGATTTCGGCTCACTGCAGCCTTGAATTCCTGGGCTCAGGTGATCCTCCCATGTCAGCTCCCCCAAGTAGTTGGGACTACTGGTGCATGTCATAACGTCTGGCTAATACTTGTTTAATTTTTTGTAGAAACAGGTATTACCACGTTACCCAGTTTAGTCTCAAACTCCTGGACTCAAGTGATTTTCCTGCCTTAGCTCCCCTAAAATTCTGGATTACAGGCATGAGCTTCCTCCCCTTTCTCAGTGCTTATGCAAACATACGAACGCATATGTAGAATTTTTGCATTGTCTTCACAAAAAGTAGGATTATATCAAACACATTACTCTGCAGCTTGATTTTTAACTTAATATATTAGAGTCCTAAGGTACAATAGATACAATACAATAGATACAGACCTAGCTCATGTTTTAATCAGCTACATAGTTGTCATACAAACGTGTACTATTCAGCTCTTCCCTATTAATTGACACTTAGATTGTTGCCAGGTTTGTTTGTTTACTGTGTTGGTGCTTTTCATTTGTGTGGTGTGGATTCCCAAAATTGAACTTGCAGAGTCAGAAGGACATGTTTACATTTTAATAGCTATCGCTAAATGGCAATCCCCAAAGGTTGTTGACATCTGCATTTCACACTGGCAGCATATGAGCATGCCCTTTTCCCCAAGCTCTCCCCAGCCTTGACAGCTGCTTGTTTAATTTGTGCATGTGCCAATCTGATGGGAAAGCAGTGATGTCTCGTAGCTTTCATTTGCTCTTCCCAAATGCTATTGATACAGGAGTTAAGAAGAAATCACTTACCCAGATAGTAAGGGTATGGAACTCCTTGGTAAGGCTTTTCTCATTAATAAAAAGCAGCCCCAAATTATTTTCTTACAAAGAACAGCCTGTAAATTCAAGCTGCAGCCACAGATAAGCAAGATGGGAGCTTGCACAGGTGAATACTGGCAGGAACTAGGGACTAGACATGTTCAAGACGACAGCTCCATATTCCCTTCACTTTGTCAGCCACGTGAACAGTAAAGAGCAGACAAGATGGCACCGGGCAACTGGTAAGCTCAGTTGCATAAGATTACTTATTATGCAATGCTATGTAAACATCATACCTGATTGAACCAATCTGTGAGCCTTATGTAAATCAGACACCACCTTCTCCAGCGTACTTATAAAATCTGCTGCGGTCCACTATCTCCCGCTTTTCAGACATCTCTCTCTCACAAGGAGCTTCTCTTCTCTCTCCTTTCTCCTATTAAACTCTCCACTCCTTAACCTACCCACATGTGTCCATGTCCTCGATTCTTTCTTGGTGTGAGACAACAAAACCCAGGGTATACACCCCAGAAAATGTAGCCATTTCAGTTGGGGGTTCTCATCTGGGATTGGGATCAGAACAGAAGGTAGAATCATTGGAGTGGTAAGTATGGAGTGAACCTCAAAATCTGTCCTTTCATTCTGAGGCTCTCAGCCTGCATTTTAAAATCAAATTAAATCAATAACATGTATACATCAGCCATTTAAAAATATGATTATCATGGCTACCCTTCTTAAAGACTCGGATGTCAGGCTTACTGGGGAGAATATGGAAAATCCCCCAATACTCACAGGTCATTGGGTTCATTGGCCATGCTTTGAACAAGCTTCCTTTCATGGAGAACCTAACTATCATGTGAGGCCAGAAGTCCTGGAGCAACTAAAAGTTTCCAACCAGGGCACACCCTGGTGTTATTCAAAGGTTTCTGGACTAACCCAGCTTCTGACAGCCCATCTGGGTGTTAGTAAAGGATCCGCAGCTATCTTGTTGCAGAATTTTCCTCCTTTTCCTATCTATAGTCGCTATGTCTCTATCCTCTCTGTGTGCTCAGTGTGTGGAAAGTTTTACAGTTCAGGGAAGTAATCATGTTTGACAAGATCAGGGAATGTCGTACTAACCAGGGATATAGCTCAAGGGAAGGCAACTCTGTGATTTTCTATGAACAGAGGGTCCCCCCACACACAGTGAGCATCTCTCTCTGCCCTTGGTCTGGAGAGCACATGGCATTTCCAGGTCTCTCTCTGCCCTTGGTCTGGAGAGCACATGGCATGTCAAAGTCACTCTGCCCTTGGTCTGGACAGTATATGGCCTTTCAAGGTCCACTGTGCCACCTAGTGGAATAGGGATCCTCTCCACGAGGCACTTTGTCCGTCCTTCACCGAAACAGCCTCACTTTCCAATTCTCTCCCCTTTTTATGCCTCTCTACTAGAAACCAGGCTTCATGCTACTTCTGTAAATGGGAAAAATCTGCTGTCAACAATTAGGAGTAAAATATCCTCCAAAACCGAATTTTAGTCTCGGTACTGTCCCATCAGCAGCAAAAATGGCCATTTGGTCCTTATGTTCTCTTAAGGCACCTATTCTATCTCCAATTAGTATGGCTTCCAGTCTCACTTATCTGCGGCCACCTCCAACCATGCCACCAGCTCTTCCACCTCCACCATCTCCAAAATTTCCCACTCCCCCACCTTCACTCTTACCCCTACAGGAAATGCCCAATGGAGGTGATGCCACTAGGGTTCAAGTTCCCTTCTCATTGCAGGACCTTAGACAGGTAAAGGGAGACTTAGGCCAATTTTCTAATGACCCTGATAGGTATATAGAAGCTTTCCAAAATTTAACTCAGGTACTTGACTTCTCACGGAGGGATGTTATGCTGCTGCTAAGGCAAACCCTAACTGTGGCTGAAAAACAGGTAACTCTGCAGGTGGCAGAGAATTTTGGAGATGAGCAATATGTCTCCTATAACAGGCAAAAATGAAAAAGAGAAAATAGGGAAAGTGAAGAAATAGGGAAAACACCATTGTCAATAGGAAGGAAAGCAATACTTCTTGACAAGTCTAATTGGAACCCCAGAATTTTCTGTGGTATTTGACCTTCTTTCACAGTTTAAAATGGCTTCTATCTTCTTTTATAATGTTCTTCCAACCTGGGAAAAGTCAATTTTCCAAACCTTAAAATGATTGGCTTAGAGTTGAGCTAAGGGGAAGAGAACCCAGAAGCCTGACATGCTAGCAGAGTAAAAATTTCTTACCAGTCAGACTTTTGGCTCCTCTCTCCCTGTGCAAACCAGTAAAAGGGATAATAAGGATCATTGTTTATATTCTCTGTAAAGTTTTAACTAATGAAAAAGGATTTGTGAGTTTGGTCTTAAGCTGTAGCCAATCTGGTGTGCTTTGTGTGTTTTTCTGTATGGTTCTGTCAAAAGAAAGGGTACTTTAGGTTAGGTTACAGACACAGGAAACCAAAAGCCTGCTGTTCAAGCAAGCCAAACAAAATAATCAGTAACAAACTTGGTTACAGGCCACCATCTTGTTTCATGTCCTTGGGAACATGACCTGTAACCACATGGCAGTACTTTGTTTTAGTCTCTGCCATTTTACAATGGTGGCTGTCTTCTTGTGCTAAGTCAATTCCTGGGTGAGGGCCACAAAATCAGATAAGCCAGTTTGTCAATCTGGGTAGTGCCAGCTGATCCATCTAGGGTAATGTTTATAAAATATCTTAAGCACTGATCTTGAGAGCAGTTAAGGAAGGGTCAAAAATCTTGTAGCTTCCAGCTGTATGACTCCTGAGCCATGGTTTCCAGTCTTGTGGCTAGTTTTTTGGTCTGGTCCCCAAACAAGAGGGAAGTATATCTTAGGAAAGGACTGTTATCATCTTTGTTTTGGACTACAAACAGTGAACCAGGCCCCTCCCAAAGTTGGTTCAGCCTACACCCAGGGATGGGCAAGGACAGCTTGGGGGCTGGAAACAAAATGAAGTTGGTTGGGTCAGATCTCTTCTACTGTCTCAGTAACAATTTTTTAAACACAGTTTCAAAAGCGCTTATCACCCCCTTAAAAATACTTTGTACACTCGCGGTTAAGTCATAACCTAATTAAGGCTTGTTGGCTTCAACTGTGAGGTTAATTTTTGTAAAGTTCAAAAACCAAAAATTTTAACTCCTTGGCATGGCTAAAGTTGAGTAACAAAAGAATTAAAAGAATTTTCTTAAAGAACACTCAGTTTAATTAAAAGTGGATATTCAAGTTATAGGTATATTTAAAAGACCTTTATATTTTTCTCTTCTTAAATTTTTCTGGGAAAAGGGTTTTTTTCTCCATCAACTGAATTATTTTTCTCCATTCTTTGTCTTGACACTTTTAACACATGCACAAGAGGCCCTAAGATAACTTCTGGTAACATGGGATTCCTTGGGAAAAACAGAGACCACAGACTCCATTTTGGGGGGGAAAACCCTCTGTTTTCCTCATAAAACCCCAGGAATTAAAAGCAGATAGTTCCCTCTCAAAATCAAAGGCTCTGTACTATTTTGCATTGTGTTATCTGACAGTTTTAAGTTTGAGGGGCATCAAATTACTGCACATTACAGAGACCTTTGGTGTCTAATAACCAGGTAAGGAAAACACTTTAAGGGATGGCTAATAGTAGTTATAAATCAGAGAAGCATGTTATTGGCCACCTGAAAGATATGGAAATATCCCCACCCCCCACTGAGAGATGAGGCTCCTGTGGGAAATGGGCTGATTACAAAATAAGCCAATTGTCTTTGGGTTGCCTTGCAATGAAATGCATAGTAGAGGCACTGCACACTGTCTTCTCCCATAGAATCTCCCTCCTTTTGGGGATCCAAGATCCAGAATAAAATGGCACCCTTAATTTTGAGGATCTGCCTTTGCCTTCAGCTGTGCTTGCTTATTTTGCCCTAGAAATGCATGCCTTCCTGGCACTGTTCCTCCAAGGGCTCCACCCTGAAGCAAGTAATCCAATTAAGAAATTGGCAAATACAAAAATCGTACAAGTGTTGAATCTTCTGTTTGTGGTCGCTATAAATGTGTTGTGTGTAATGTCTATAAAAAGAGCTCTAATTGATTGGCTTAAAGAAAAATAGGCACTTAAGTCAAATATTTTTTAGTTCATATGACTTTAATCTTTAAGAAACAAAAATAGTCTTAAGGGTTATTGGTAAAATGCAAGTGTCATCAAAATTCAAATAGGTGGTCTAAATCATACAACTTAGATACTAGGTTTGCTAAATGTTCCAAGGTTGTATTACTGGTTGCTTTACAGATAGGTAAGGCCTTGGACACGTAGAGTTAGATACTAGAAAGAGTCAAACCTTATCTGTACTTCTATCTGGGTCCTAGGTTCCACACCTGGTAAATAATTACAATCACTTACTAACCAGGTTTTTCACCAATGTAAAAATTGCTAAGAGTTAACAGCGCAACATGTATTTGAGATGACTAAACAGTTTTATCTGCAAAGTGTATAAAAACAGTAAAGTATGTCTTTTAGTAAAAGATTACAAGAAAGCATAGAAATGTAAATTTTGCCTAGGGATAAGGGATTATCTTAAATTTGATATGATAAAGGTAAAGGTTTAAGTAAGTTGTGGAAGATTGTAAAAATTAATCTTGCAAAAAATGTGTAAACATTAACTAAATTCAAAATGGTATCTTATAGTCTTTTCACAGATTGAACATTGAAATAAAAGCACAGCAAAGCTGTCTTAAGACAATCATCTTCCCTTTAGCAAAAGGGGTTATAAAAGGTTTCTATAGATTTCACCTCATGGTTACATTGGTTAAGATTAGATGGAATTGTCTATGAGGTTTCATTAGAAATTGGGGTTTAACATTAATAAACTAATGCAAGGGAAGATTTTGGCTTTGAACAGGATTTCCATGCAGTAGTAAAGGCTAATGAAAGGTTTTTGCTTTTTGAGTCATCATTTTGGCAAAATAAGTAATTTACGGTAATGTGGAATTCTATTTTGTAACATCAAGTGTTTTAAACCTCTAACACTTAACAGGCATTCCAAAATCAAACTTCAAGTTTCAAAATTGTCTTTCCTGATGCCTGGCATTCTGGATGGTTCAGAGGGCCCCTGAAACATTCAGAAAAGAGGTGTACAGGATTGTTTGACCTGTTTAGTCACATGAAATTGCCAAATGATGTCCAATTCTCTTTAAGTTATATTTTGGTGAATACTAATATATGTTCCAAAATTGTATGGGATTTCTAAAATTCTACCTTCTGAGTATATGCTATCAATCATAATTAATGGTAAAGTTATTGTAAACCATGGAGATAACTGAACTTCATCAGTCATGTTTTTAACTGTAACTACCCTGGAAATTTTGTCATTCACGGACAATTGTTGTCTTGCTTTGTTCCTTCTCAAAAGATGGTTTATAATCAAGCTATATTAAGGACTTTAACACATGTTCTCGAATGCAGGTTTTTAATAGCTTTGAAGATTGTAACATTGGAATAGAGAAAGAACATACAAGGCTCATGAAAAACTGAAATGTTTACAAATGTCAAGCAAAACAAGAGTTAACTAAATGGCCTGCCCTCAGAAAGTTAAAGCAATGTTTTTGACTTTTGCTTGGAATATTCCTGATCCTTGTTTTGTTTTTCAGAGTCAAGGAAGCTTGTTTTGAACTATTTGTGGCCTTTATTAATTGAGTAAGGTATGCTGCTGTGAACAAAATTTGGAAGATGTTTGTTTCTGTCTAGTTCCTCTAGAATGTGGAAACTATCTGTGAGTATTCTTAACATATGGCAATATAGTTGTTTAGATCAATGCAATACAAATCCATTTTTTTTTTGCAACAGGACACAATTGGAAAAACTGGCTATTTTATCAAGGCTTTGACTGGACAGGTATGCTTCCCTTTAAGGAGTCAATCTTGACCTGCAGAGCCAATAAAAGCCCCTTGGGGAAGACTGGCCTCATACCTTGTCTACACAGTCCATGTACAGGGTTTCTGACCTGTGGTCAGTAAAGAATGTCACTTTCTAACAGGTCCAGGAGCTCACAGGTATTTGAGGAGATGAACCCATGGCTGGGCTCAGCTCTAAGGGATCCTATTTAAGATTCCTTGTGGAATAGAGTTCCATCAAAGTCAATCCAAAAGGCCCATGTAGAGATAAGCATTGTTGCTGCACTTTATGCAAATGATCAGGCCAAATATAAGACTGAAGTTTATTCTACAAACAACACAGTCCTATAACCATTTGTGAAGTGAGAACTGGAGAGAAAAAGATTACGCTCCAAAGCTTACCAACATTTGTCATTAAATCCTAGTCTTACAGCCGGGCATGGTGGCGGGCGCCTGTAGTCCCAGGTACTCAGGAAGCTGAGGCAGGAGAATAGCGTGAACCCAGGAGGCAGAGCTTGCAGTGAGACAAGATCGCGCCACTGCACTCCAGCCTGGGTGACAGAGTGAGACCCTGTCTCAAAAAAAAAAAAAAAAAAAAAAAAAAAAAAAAAAAAAAAAAACAAGAAATGATCTTGTATGGTAAATACTTGTCTCAAAGAGAATGCTTGGTTGTTTAAAACATGGATGTTAAGGACAAGTCACTAGCTTCAAGCATGTTGTAGATGGATCATGGAAGTAATGAAAGGATTAAAAGGATGATAAATACTTGTCCTTAAATGAAGAGTTGGTTGTTTAAAAAGAAGGGTCTTTAGGACAAGTCAGAAAGTTTAAGCATGTCTTAGATGGTCTGTGGAAGTCATGAGGGGATTAATAATTGCAGGAAAGATTTAGCCAAAGTTAACACTGAAGTTACTGTAGCCACCCAAATTCAATGCCACTTATTCTAAAAAAGAACGTTACTTTTATATTAATGTTTCAGCAGCATCTGGTGGAAGGAAACCAGTATCACAACCCATTGGAATGACTGACAGCAATCAAACTCCAAATGGTGCTGCAGATCAAGCCACACATGGACACATCTTTCTTCCAAGGACCCTTAGATCAACCCAGGAGGAGTCCTAGCTGCTGTTACCCACATGATGGCCCCTTTCAGCAGGAAGTAGCCAGAAAGAGTCATCATCCAATTTCCCCAACAGCAATTAGGGTTAACACTCCAGAGCGGGGAGTGATACAGGAGGTAAGAAGAAATCACTAAGGCAGATAGAGCAGACAGTATGACACTGATCAACCAGAAAACCTATTTGCATAATAAGATCAGGGTGAGACAACCAGGCTTCCCTGCATGCTATGTGAATGTCATACCTGACTGAACCATTCTGTGAGCCCTATGTAAATCAGACACCACCTTCTCCAGCCTGCCTATAAAACCTGCTGTGGTTGGCCACCTCCCCCTTTTTGGATGTCTCTCTCTTGCAAGGAGCTGCTCTCCTCTCTCTTTTATTAAACTTTCCGCTCCTTAACCCACTCAGACATGTTCATATCCTGAATTCTTTCTCAGTGAGAGACAACAAACCCCAGGGTATATAACCCAAACAATGTAGCCATTTCACTATGAGGTTGAGCATCTTCTCATGAGTTTCTCTGTTGTTTCTCGTCTTCTGTGAATAGCCAGTTTATTTGGCCATTTTTGAATTGGGTTGTTTGACTTTACTTTTGTCAACCTGTCATTTCACTAATGATTTTTCCAAAGTACCAGTTGTCTAGACCAGTGTTCCTCAATCTCAGCACTACTGACATTTGGGGCCAAATAATTCCTTGTTGTGAGGCATCTGTCCTCACAAGCATGCTTAGAAGTATCCCTGGCCCCTACTCAGTTGTGACAACCAAACATGTTCCGGAGATTGCCATATGTCCCCTCAGGGGATGGTGGAAAATCACCATTGGTCTAGACTCTGCTGTTGGTGGCTTTTTCTTATTTGAATTTTTGTTCACTTTTAAATGTCAGCATTCTCTTTTCCTGTCTACCTTCTAGATTTCCTAGCTTGCTTAGGAATGTTTTTCTCTCTTCAAGACTATACAAATATTATTCTAAATGTTCTAACATTTTTATGTTTTTTAATGTTTGCATTTCTAGAATATCTAGAATTCACCTTTTTGTATGATGAGATAGGAAAAGTCTAGCTTTATTTTATTCCAGTTATTGAGCAAATCAGTCTTTTCCCACTGAATTGAAATGTCCACATTTGCACAGATGAAAACTCCTTTCTGAAAGCATGTGTAAGCTTCTGCCTGCTGGGCCCCCCACAGGAAACCGAGAAGCCTTGATCTTTGTTGCTGGTGCCCTGGCTCTTACAGGAGATTAAGGTAGGGGAAACATACACTTTTTGTTTGTTTCTCTTTATCAATTTTGGCCCAGAGATCTTTGAGAAAGTATTAAATATATCTTCCGCTCCCCAACCCAAGTCTGGCTATTGTGACTGTTGTATTATTCCAGAAAGGGAACAGGGAGGAAGAAAGAATCAGAGACATGTGGTTAAAGTCATCTTCTTTCTGGAATCTCTTCGTCTGGCTTGTTTTTTGTTGTTTTGTTTTTTAGTGAAAAGAGGGTGACTTTCTTCATCTGAGAACATTTTATAAATTTCTTTCAAAGTTCTAATACCCTTCTACCTACCTACCATTGATACCTTCTATAAGAAAGGTCAACTATACACATAGTAGGCCCTCAAATACTTACTGAATGAATGAAGTAAGATTAACTTAATGTGATTCAGGTGTTCTGGTTTAAGCCTCTCTGATGTGAAGAAACTGCCTGTAAAATGCAGATACTGCTGGTGGCAGTAATAAGTTCACTTGTTGCATGGAAAGTATTTCTACCAACAAGTTGTCATCCTTAGGTCATGCTAGGCCCAGGTAATTAGGGAAATCTCTAATATTGCCTTTTGGCCTACCTGGTCTGGGGATCAGGGCTGGGGACCCTGAGTAGAGAGCACTTGGGTTAATTAGAAGGACACTATAGCAACAGCAATGTGACTGTCCTTTTGGAAGCAGCAAGGCATCTATTAAGCTTTGCCAGTCCTGATTGATGCATACATTCACTAAACCACTTCTCTCCCTGACCCTGCTGGAAACCATGGTACTGCTTAACTATTTGGGTACGGGGGGGAGAGGCAATCTTATTTTCACATGAGGAGAAATGATTTAGTCTTGCAGTTTCATAGCTGGAAGGGACTGTAGTCTCCACGGGCCCTCCTCTAACTTAGGGGGTAGCAGGTTCCATTCCTAAAAAGAAGGGAGGAATGGACTTGGGAACAACTGAAGGTCGTCGATTTGAGAGATCTGTGTCTTTGGAGCAGTCTGGTATCTTGTATTCCACTGTGACTTTTTGGTTTTGTTTTTAGGCTGTAATGATGAGCAATCATGGAACCATAGGAAACTTCTTCCTGGCTGGCCAAAATCTATCATGGTTGCCAGTGAGCAGGCCTTGCATCCACTTTGGAAGGTATGTGTAAGCTTGTCTGTTACTTTGATTTAGACGTCTAATCCCCAAAATAATGTGAAGTTGCTAAATCAAGAATGTTATTTAATTAGTAGTTTCCTTAACTTTCAAGTAGTTTACCTAAATGTGTGCATTCAACTCCAGTTTAGTTCAGTAATTATATAATAGGTGCCCAGTGTGGACAAGGCTGTGTTGTAGGTTCCACAACATAGATAGGAAATAGCCCTGTCTTCTGTAAGCACACAACCCAGAATGAGAATTAGACACATATTTAACTAATTACAGTAATTACATCGCTGGACAATATGTCTAATAGGAGGTGCGTGGGCCAGGGATGGGTGAAAAGGAACCAAGGGCTTGCTGGGTGGAGGGAGTACGTATTGCAAGATAGGCAGGATCTTACTGAAGTGGGGTTATTTGAGCAGGATGTGGAGATGAAATCAGTGTTTGCCAGGTAGATTAAGTGAGAGGGCATTCAGGGCAGAGAGAACAGCATATGCCAAAGAACGGAGGTGTGGAACAGCATGAGGCAGGCTGAGAGGGCTAGAAACATTTTTTGTTGTGTGTTTAACTTATTGATTATGCAAAGTTATTCTGTCCAAGAATGACTCAAAAACCCCATGGCAGTGGAGGCAGCTGCCCGCACTGTATCTATGATGTGGGTGGTGGTGGGGGTGCCCTAGGGAGGAGGAGGATGTGAGGACCCATGCCAAGTTTGAGCCAGGACTGCTTTATAACTTACTATGTAAAAATATGTATGCATTTCCCACATAGGAGTGTAAGGAATATTTAGAGAATTGTGTGAGAACCAGGCCTTTGTTGAATAATTTATTGAATGTCCTCAGTTTCTCACATTGGGGTAACACTTGATAGAGAGAAGTCTTGCCTCAGGAGGAGAAAAGTACCTTATTCCAAGGCAAGAAATAAGTGCAATCATTAACTCTGCTGAATCAAACAACCTAAAAGAAATAGCCTTGCCTTGGTTATCTTGGAGACTGGGGGAAATCTTTTTTCCTGGTGTTAACTCTCTGAATGATGTTTTGGTTTTCTTCCTTTGTAACCTCAACTTAGAGAGATTGACACGGCAAAAAGATGTTTGTAATGGGCCTCCTACCTTCATTTCTTTTTTGGCAGAGGAGTCTAGCGATGCATTTCTATTCCTAGGCTGTGAGGCTCCCCAGTCTTTTGTCTGAGCCACTCTTTGGCCTTAAAGTTGTATTTTCTGTATCCAGAAAAGAGGAAATCTGCTACCTGTGTGACCTTGTATAACTGCGACAGCTGTAAGGATTTTCAGAAGTCCTGAACATGCTTTAACCTCCCAATGTTTATATACATTATGATTTATTAATTTCTGTACTATGACTTTTTTTCATTATTACATTAATTGCTTTACGAACAAAACATATTATGGTGTTATTAAAGGAAATTAAAACCAAAGAATAATTTTACTACTCTTTCTGCACTTGTATATTTCTTCAATCAGCACACATCTGATGAGTGTCAATAGCTCTGGTCAGGGACCCCAGCGACCAGCACACTGCTTATTTTTGCATTCAATTCTGAGCCCCCATCTTGCCTGGCTTAGCTGTGATGTCTGAAACCCTCAGACTCCACCCTCCCTACATGGTCACCTGGCTCCCAGGCCATCGCCCTCTCCTTCCCCTGCTTCACCAGCCCCTGCTCAACTCCCTGCCTTGTTCTTTCCCATCTCCCCAGCTTCTTCATACTGGAGGTCCCCAGGGCTTTGACCCTGACCTCTCTTCTCCAATTGCACTCCTCACTTGGCAATCTCATCCCACCTCCTAGCTTTAAATGCTAATTGGAGGGTAACAACCCCCAAATTTACATCCATAGGCCAGATCTCTCCTTGAACTCCAGACTTATGTTGTCTGGCTGCTTGTTTGACACCTGCCCTGGAAAGGCCTCTCAGGGCTCTCCCCCTGAACATGCTACAAAGGGAACTCTGGGTTTTCCTCTGTAAATCCTCTTCTCCCGTAGTCTCCCCATCTCATTCACAGCAGCCTCCTCCTGCTTGCTCAGGTTGGCAAACTTTGCATCAGCATAGGCTCTTCTTTTTCTCTCATACCCAACATGCAATCCATCAGAAAATCCTGTGCTCGATCTAGAAGATACTTGGAACCTGACCAATTCTCACCAACTCTACCCCCAGGGCCATGCTGCCGTCATCTCTCATCTCAGTTAAAACAGCCTCTTTGGGTTCCCTGCTCCCACCCTAGCTTCTCTGCATGAAGACTCCACAAAGCAGCTAAAGGAGCCTATTCTAACTCAAGGCACACAATGGCACTTTCCAGCTCAGAGCCCTCCAGCGCCTCTCCATCACCAAGAGTGAAAGCCCAGTTGCTTACAATGGCCTACATCAGGCTGCAGGGGATCTGCACCTCCTTCCCTCTCAGGCCTTGCCTCTTAGGATGCCTGTCCCCAGCTCTAGTCAGCATCCTTCAATGTTTCTGCCATGCTTCCACTTCAGGGCCTGTGCCTGGATGCTCTCTCTGGATATCCCCACGGGTCCCTCCCCTCACCTCTTCTGGTCTCCCTTGGCTCTCTCTTATGCAGTCAGCCCCGGCCGCCCTGTTACTCAGGGTTCCTGGCCACTTCCCCACCTTTCTTTGCTATATAGTGCTTATTGCTGTCTGTTATGCTATAAAATCATCCTCTAATTTATTGTGTTGTTTCTCTTCTTTCCAAAAGCATGTTGGCCTCATGAGGGCAGGGATGGGATTTTTGTCTATTTCACTCACTAATGTGTCCTTAACACCTACAATGGGCCAGGGGCAGTGGCTCACGCCTGTAATCCCAGCACTTTGGAAGGCCGAGGCAGGTGGATCACCGGAGGTCGGGAGTTTGAGACGAGCCTGATCAACATGGAGAAACCCCGTCTCTACTAAAAATACAAAATTAGCTGGGCGTGGTGGTGCATGCCTGTAATCCCAGCTACTCAGGAGGCTGAGGCAGGAGAATCACTTGAACCCAGGAGGCGGAGGTTGCAGTGAGCCGAGATCGCACCATTGCACTCCAGCCTGTGCAACAAGAGCAAAACTCCATCTCAAAAAGAAACAAAAAACAAAAAACACCTACAACGGTACCTCACCTATAGTTGGCAATGGACCCTAATGCATATGAAATTAATAATGACTTTTTTTTTAAGATGGAGTCTTGCTGTGTCACACAGGCTGGAGTGCAATGGTGCAATCACAGCTCACTATAACCCCCATCTCCCGGGATTACACGTGCCCTCTACCATGCCCAGCTAATTTTTGTATTTTTAGTAGAGATGGGGTTTTACCATGTTGGCCAGGCTGGTCTCAAACTCCTGACCTCAAATGATCCACTCGCCTCAGCCTCCCAAAGTACTGGGATTACAGGCATGAGCCACCGCACCCAACCATGAATGACTTTTTACTCTACCTTTTCATTTAATAATGTAATAAGAATATATTTCTAAGTCTATATAAACACAGATAGAGATACTTTATATGCAGTTGCGTGGTACTATATCATATAGATATTTCATTATTTATTCACTGCATTACTGGGCAATTTAGACTATAAATAAGTTTTCACTATTCTGATACAGTCAACATTAACAGTAAAAATAACCATTACTCAAGCACTTATGTGCCTCTTCTAGATTTTTTTGCTTTATATTTGTCACTGCTAAGATGTTTAGGAAGTAGATTGGTGGCGGTGGTGGCTTTGGCAGCTCAGGACCGAGTGCAAGTAACATAGAATCAGCATGACTCTTCAGAGGCTCTTCAGGTTCTCCTCTGTCATTCTGTCAGCAGTCTCAGTCCATTTGTGGAGGAACATCAGTGTTACAGCAGTGGCATTTAATAAGGAACTTGATCCTATACAGAAACTCTTGTGGACAAGATTAGAGAATACAAATCGAAGTGACAGACATCTGGAGGACCTGTTGATACTGGTCCAGAGTATCAGCAAGAGCTTGAGAGGGAGCTTTTTAAGTTCAAGCAAATGTTTGGTAAAACAGACATGAATACATTTCCCAACTTCAAATTTGAAGATCCCAAATCTGAAGTCATCGAAAAACCCCAGGTCTGAAGAAATAAAGTGAAATTAATCTGGTAATTTATCATGGGTCAATTGTACAACTAGTTAGAAGTTTCAGAATAAACATACATTTCATAACGGTCAAAAAAAAAAAGATGTTTAAAGCATGTATGTTCCCAACTGTCTTATTAGTACATTTTACCTTTTATATTTATTTTGAAAAACTGTTTTCTTTAATGCTTTTGGGTTTTTTTTTTTCCAAGATCTCTCTGCTGCCCAGGCTAGCATGCAGTGGCACAACCATGGCTCACCACAGCCTTGACAACTGCTTCAATTGATCCTCCCACCTCAGCCTCCCAAGTAGCTGAGACTACAGGTGCATGCCACCATGCTCAGCTAATTTTTGTATTTTTTTGAAGAGACAGGGTCTCACTATGTTGCCCTGGCCGGTCACAAACTTCTGGGCTCAAGCAACCCACACACCTCAGCCTCCCAAACTGCCAGGACTATAGGCGTGAGCCACCACACCTTGCCTGCTTTGATTGTGAATGCTACTTTATTTCATATTAGTATCATCGATGCTGTTTTATTTTTGTTTTCATTTACCTAAAAGACTTTGTTGTTTTCAGCCTCTCTTGATAATTTGGGTTTAAATGTGTCTCATGTCAGCAGCATAATAGTGAGGTTTTGGTTTCTATTGCAGTGGTTACCTCCACTCCATTCAAAAGTTATTATTGGTTTAGGAGGTATTTTATTCATTGTAAATGCTTCTAGGAGTTTTTATTTTGAAAGTAACAGGTGTTGATTAGTTAAAAAAAAAAAAAAAAGTTACAGCCCAAGCATAGAATTTGAAATTTCCTCCCTACTCCATCTCTATAACCAATAATTCCAGCCCCCAGAAATATTGTTATATCCACTGGTAGAATTACTCCCAGGCAAATATAAACATACGTGCACAAGTGCAATAGACATAGATAAAATTTTAATGAGATTATATTTATTGTTTACCTTATTTTTATGACTTAATAAAGCTACCCTATTATTTTTGTATGCTATGTTATATTTCATCATATTCATGTACAACAGTATTCTAACCAGTCTCTTAATCCTAGATGTCTGTTAGATTGTTAAATTTTTAAATTACAGTATTTCAAACAAATTACACTCCTACAAATATTTCTGCATTAGGGAATTGCAAGTAGAAGTTTAGTATCCATTCTCCAAAGTGCTTGAGACCAGAAGTGCTTCACATTTTAGATTTTCTCAGATTTTGGGATATTTGTATTATAATACTAGTTGTGATATAGGACAGGCAAGCCCCAAACAGGGGCCTGGCCCATGAAGGCTCTTGGCTTTGCCCAGGAAAGAATCCAAGGGCAAGCCAGAGGTAGAAGAAAACAGTTTTATTGAAGAGGCAGTGTTACAGCTCCATACTGCTCTTGCAAAGCAGGGATACCCCATAGGCAGAGAGGAGCAGTTGAGGGCAGTTTTGCAGTCACATTTATACCCACTTTTAATAACATGCAGATTAAAGGACAGTTTATGTAGAAAGTTCTAGGGAAGGGTTAGTAACTCTTGGGTTTTCAGGTCATTGCCATAGAAAGGGGCGGTAACTCCCCGGTGTTGCCATGGCGGTGGTAAATTGACATGGCACACTGGTGGGTGTGTCTGATTGGAAAGCTGCTTCCACCCTGGCCCTGTTTTAGCTAGTCCTCAATCTGGTCCAGTGTCTGAGCCCAGCCTCTGGAGTCCAGTCCCACCTCCTACCTCAGTTGAGCATCCCAAATTAAAAAACCCAAAATCCAAAAACGTTCTAATGAGTATTTCCTCATGTTAGTGCTCAAAAAGTTTCAGATTTTGGAGCATTTCAGATTTCAGATTTTCAGATATAGGACGCCCAACCTGTATATCAGTGGAGCACGTGAAGAGCAGCAGCAGCAGGACAGTTATTCTACTCTTTTCACTTCCTTCCTTGTTGCCTGGCTTCTAATTCATCATCAGAGATTATATGGAAGAAACATTAATGGGAATTCTGCCCAGGGAATAATTCCTTTTGAGAAAATGTGAAATTCAGTGAGAATGTGCATTTGTGAGCATTAATTCTTGGAGTTAGACTAAAAGTTCTGATATGTAGTCCTCTTTTGATTTTCAGATAGGTATATCTCTTTTGGCCTTCAATATTGGCAGTAGCCATATTATGGACCTGGCTGGGATAGACGCATCTTCAGGAATTGCTATTGGGGCTGGTAAGTGGAATGTAAGTAATATTATTTGCAGCAACAAACCTCCATCTTTATCATTATCCAAATAAAACTATATAAACATAAAAATTTGCTTTCAACTTTGAGTAAATATAAAAGAATTCTTGTGAAGTCATAGAGGAAAGAAGCCAAGTCTTTGACTTGTCAAAGGGATTCTGCTGATTTTCATTCTACTTAGTAAATTAATGGAGAGAGAATGTTTACATTCCAAGGAAATAGGAATGCAGTGAAGAAAGAACTGTTAGTAGATAGGTTAAGAAAAGATCATATTTAGCCGGGCATGGTGGCGCCTGCCTGTAATCCCAGCTACTTGGGAGGCTGAGGAAGGAGAATCGCTTGAACCCGGGAGGCAGAGGTTGCAGTGAGCCGAGAATGCACCACTGCACTCCAGCCTGGGCAACAAGAGCGAAACTCTGTAAGAAGAGAAAGAGAAAGAGAAGGAGAAAGAGAGGAGAAGGAGAAGGAGGAGAAAGAGAAAAAAGGAGAAGGAGAGAGAGAGAAAGAGAAACAAAGAAAGAAAGAAAGAGAGGGAGAGAGGGAGAGAGGGAGAGAGGGAGAGAGGGAGAGAGGGAGAGAGGGAGAGAGGGAGAGAGGGAGAGAGGGAGAGAGGGAGAGAGGGAGAGGGGAAGGAAGGAAGGAACCATATTAACATTAAACACATATGCAGATATATATGTATATGTGTGTATATGTGTGTGTGTGTGTATACAGAGACACACACACACACATATATATACACATATATATCTGTATGTATATATTCTGCCCTTTGCAGTACATACTGAGAATGGGCTCAGCCAATGTCCTTGAGATATTCAACTAGGAACTACAAATCTTCTGATTAATCTCCCAGGAGTACCAGGTTTTAACCTTATAAATATTTGATTATTTATTTAATTTGTGGCATATCTTCATAAAAAAGGATGAGTTCATGTCCTTTGCAGGGACATGGATGAAGCTGGAAACCATCATTCTGAGCAAACTATCATAAGGACAGAAAAACACCGCATGTTCTCACTCATAGGTGGGAACTGAAGAATGAGAACACTTGGACACAGGTTGGGGAACATCACACACCGGGGCCTGTCATGGGGTGGGAGGCTGGGGGATGGATAGCATTAGGAGAAATGCCTAATGTAAATGATGAGTTAATAGGTGCAGCAAACCAACACGGCACATGTATACATACGTAACAAACCTGCACGTTGTGCACATGTACCCTCGAACTTAAAATGTAATTTAAAAAAAATTGTGGCATATCTTTGTTATAGGAAATAGAATTTATTCTCCTAAATTATAAATGATTTTATAATTCTTTGGTAATTAACCTATCTCTGTATAAACCATTTGACATTTTAGAAATAAATCAGAAAGCTCCATCCTTTCTGAGTCTCACCTTTTTTCTCAGACTATAAAAAAATAAAGAATACTTCTGCAGTCAAAACCTAGTAAGAAGCCCTGGCCTTCACCGCCATTTACCCGTCAGAATTTTCTGGGGTTTGTTTGTTTGTTTTGGTACCTGGTAGTCATCTTAGTAAGATTGTGTTATACTTTCCATAGTTTCCATACACATTGTTTCAACATAATCAACAGACCAAATGCAGAGAAGCTGGTGGAAGCCCAAGGCTGTGGAGGCTGCTGGAAGACAGCCTCCCAAGCTTTAGAGATGCAGGCCTGACCAGAAGCAGGTGCAAATTTTCCTTCTTGATTATGAGGTGGGGAAATCAAGTCCAAACATTATTCCTATGTAATCCCTTTTGTAAGTCAAATTTGTTTTCTCCATGAGCCACTTGGTTTTAAGTTTCCCAAGTCATTTAGTGGTCTTGCTGCAGTCGTTGAGATCTACCTGTGGCCCCTTCCTGGAATTGGGCAGTGTTTTGAACCCCATCTGCCTCTTCTAGAAAGGTTCCCACCCAATTCAGCAGTCCCAGTGAGGTCCAAGAATGCCATCGTCATTCTTTCCTAACTTGTATGCTGTGGATCAGGCACAGAGACAGTACTGGTTCCTGCTTTAGAAGCTGAGCTTGGCCAGGTTTGGTGGGAGCCACAGAAAACCATTCGGTTCATTCAAAATGGTTTCACAAGCCATCTTTACATCTTTGGAGTTATCTACACATTTTACCATATCTCATCCCAAATCCTCAGTTCCTGGTGAGGGGGTGACAAGATGTAAGAATGTACCTCCCTCAATACAGAGCAACAGGGCCATTTTCTCTCATAACCAGACCAGTCTGCTCTGATGGCACCAGAATGACAAATGTGGCTCAGTTCTGAGGGCCTGGGTGGCAGGCTCTGAAGGTGGGTGGAACAGCTGCAGGATGCCGCTCCTTCCAAGAAAGCCTGTGGGCTGAAGATCTGCTAAAAGTCTACATGTGGGCAGCAAGGAAGAACAGCCCCAAGCCTGGGGCCAGGTAAAACCCCACATCAAGCCTCTAAATTGGATTTCCTGGGTCACGTCCTCATGTGACTAGGAAGCAACCTTAGACTTGGACGCCACACTCCAACGTTGGGAGGGGCACCTTGCTGGCTATAAATCTCCAGGTGACAAACTCCAGCACAGGGAGTCAGATCACCTACATGGTAGGCCTGGAGCTTGAAGAGGTGTCTCTGCGAAGAGCACTCTGGGCACTTCGAGATCTTCCCACAGCTAGAAGCTAAGCTAGGAGTGAGGATTCCCAGGAGAAGGTAAGAAGGAAGTTAATAGATGGAGGGCACAAGACCTCATTGGGTACATCAGGAAATAACCACTTAAGCACAAGTGTTCTGATGAGTCCAAAGGTACTCTGGTTCCTCTTGACCCAGTGGGAGGCAAGCTTTACAGAGAAAATCTCTGAACTCCAGGGGCTGGAGGAACCTGGGGCTTCGGTGATCATCACAGGGTTCTGTGAGAACCAGCTGCCTGGTCTCTCAGAATTTTCAAGTATCTTCTTTCTTCACATATTTAACTCATCTTATTCCTTCTTTGTAAAGAAAATCAGAGCCAAACTTATTTAATTTCAATGGTATGGAATGTTAGTATAGTTTATTTCCCTCTTCCCTGAATGGTTATTTTTCTTTCTTTTTTTAAACTATCTTTTAAATTTAATTATAAACCACCTTTATTCCCATCTGACAAATAAATTAAAAATAAATGCCTTGAAAATCAGCTCAAATAACCATCCCGAATTAAGAATGTATCCTTTTACAAGTAAAGATCATGTTCCTGCAAATTAAGTTTCTGTGCTGGAAAATGTATCCAAGCACCTTTATTGGTAAGGTCCCCAGTAATGACACATTCATTAGGCAGAAGACAAATAGGAAATAAGCTTCCTTTTCAAGCTTGGCCTAGATGAGATCCTGATTTAATTGCTCTTTTTCTTCTTGGTTTCAGGCTGTACTTCTGCTCTATGGCATTGGTTGGATATTTGTTTCTGTTTATAATAAGGCTCAGGTAAGTGGCCATTATCACTCTATTATTTACAATATGTTTCCTTATAAATATAATGTGTGTACTAAAAACATCCTAGAGGAGAAGTTAAACTTTCTCAGTCTTTTGATCCTTGTGCTGACTTCCCCAAATCCTGAGATGGCTGAAATACCATCAGTCTGTTTGGGGCAAACAGACACCTGTAACTCTCCACTATTTAACTCTGGACCTTATTCAAGAGTTTACCTCTTAAAGATTTTATAGTAAACCTTTTAAAGCTCTATGAAAAAATAAGACCTAAATAAATGAAGAGAAAAGCTATGTTAATGAATGAAGACTCAATATCCCAAAACTCTTGGTTATTCCCAAATTGATCTATATTGAATGTAATTCCAAATTTATCCAAACAGTCTTTTGAGGAATTTGACAGGCTGATTCTAAAATATATGCAGAAGAGTAAAAGTAAAAGAATAGCAAAGATACTCTTATCAAATAAAAAGACTTGCCCTACTAAATATTAAGACTTACTATAAAGTTGTAATAATTATACTGTGTGATTTTGACACAGGGATAAACACTGATAATTGGAAGAGGGGAAAAGCCCAGAAACACCACATATATGGACACTTGACTGATGACATTGATGCACTGCAGGTAACTGAAGAAAGGAGGGCCAACTGACTATCATATGGATAAAAAAAATTAGATTCCTACTGTATACAAAAATACTTTTAGATTGATTTAAAACCTGAACATAAAAGGCAAACATTTTTAACTTTTATAAGTATAGAGTATCTTTATGTCCTCGAGATAGAGAAGGATTTAAAATAAGACATAAAAATCTCAAACCCCTGGCTGACAACTAAGCACATATGCATGCATGAGACCCCAGGGATACCAGTTAGAAAAAAGCAGAAACTAGAATGAGATCTATTCTGGAAAGACATAACTGCACCTGGTAAGATTTGTGAGTTAATCGTGCTTTCAACTGAGTACATTCTTCAACTCACACAATGTAGGCAGTAGAAATCGGAAGTTTTACTGGTTTCAGGGGTCAAAGGACAAAACTAAGGACTAGTAAAGCAACTGGAAATGTATGTGGGAGCTCCAAAAACAAAGGAACCAAAGAGAGAGTGAGCCCCCAAATCGGAGTATAAATTTTGTTCAGATTTTTGGCTGACTGCCAAATTACACAGGTACAGGGGAAACCTCCAGAAAGCCAGACTGAATTAGCAGCAGCTGGAAGCTGATTAAGAAAAAAAAAAAAAAACAAGCAAAAACATCAGCTGCTGCACATTACAGAGTGGGTATGGGGGATGGCATAAAACATTTTGCAGTTTTGAGTCCAGTAAAGTTAACTGCCTACTAAAACAAGAAACAGCAAGCCCCAGAAAAACAAAACAGACTGCTACATTGTATTACATATGATAGCCAGTTTTCTGCCAAGAAGTACTAGACATACAAAGAAATGGGGAAATAAATGTAACCCACACTCCAGGAGAGAAAAGTCAATAAACAGAAACTGACTCTAGGCTCAGATGTTAATTTAATGAACAAAGACTTCAAAACTGCTATTATAAATATGTCCCAAAAGTAAAGGAAAATGTGATATTAATGAATGAACAAATAGGTCCTGTTAACAGATAACTTAAAACTATAGACAAGAACCAAATGGAAAATTTAGAGTTGAAAAGCTAGTAACTAAAATGGAAAATTTACAGAATTTCAACAGCAGATTTAAGGTGACAGAAGAGAAAACTAGTGAATTTAAATATCATAAGAATTACCCAAGAACAAGGAAAAAATCAAAGAAAAAGAAGCAAAGCCTCAGAGATATGCGATAGAATATCAAGCAGTCCAACATACATGTCATTGGAGTCACAGAAAAAGAATAGAAGGATAAGAAAAAATTTTTTTGAGAAAATGACTGAAAACTTACCAAGTGTGGCAGAATATGTTACTTTACAGATCTGAGAAGCTTACAAAACACCAAGTAGAATAAACACAAAGAAAACCACACCTAGGTACATCATAGTGAAGCTGCTGAAAGCAAAAAAAAAAAAAAAAAAAGTTTTGAAAGCAGTAAGAGAAAAATAATGTACATACAAGGGAATAATGACACACTTAATCGTTGACACCTCATCAGAAACTGGAGGTCAAAAAACATTAGAATGACATATGCAAATGCAAAAGGAAAGAAAACACTGTAAATCAATAATTCTACATTCAGTAAAAATGTTTTTTAAAATCAAGGCGATTGAATAAGTAATGGTTTTTTAGATAGGCACAAACCATAGAAAAAGAAATTGATATTTTGGACTTCATCAAAACTTAAACTTTTACTACGTGATATTATTAAGAAAATAAAAAGTCACCTGGGGCCTGCCACCACTACCACCAGTGCCTGCACACTCCACTCCACTGTGGGACCTGAGAACTAAGGACCAACTTGCCCAGGGCTCCCCTGCCACCATCATCACCACCAACACAGACTGCACAGGGGCCCAAGTGCCAGTCCATCACTGCCACCACCCAGGTGAGCCATCAGGAAGCCTGTCACTTAGGAGCCTGAGGACAAGCATCCTCATTTTCAGCAAAGCCTCACCACAGTCTTCAAAAACAACATAAGCCACTTGAGGGACTTGAAGACACCACTAATGTTGCTTATAGCTGAATAAATCATAAGGAGTTTACACTATGGCACCCACCCAAAACCAAAGCCAAAGGATCCTACCCAACCAACACTATAGATACAGGTATAAGAAAAGTCTTTCCCTATGAAAGCTACTTCACAAAACTGGAAGAAGCAACCATTGCACCAGATGCACACATTTCAACATAGGACCCAAGAAACAAAAAACCAAGGAATCATGACACCTCCAAAGGAACACAGTAACTCTTCGGTAACATACCCCAAGAAAAAGAAATCTATGAAGTGCCTGAAAATGGATTCAAGCTAATGTTCTTAAGGAAACTGAGTGAGATATAAGAGAACACAAGCAATATGAAGAAATCAGGAAAACAATTTATAATCTGAATGATAAATTCAATAAACAGATAGATATTTTTAAAAGAACTAAGCAGAAATTCTGAAACTGAAGAATTCAATGAATGAAATAAAAAATATAACTGAGACCTTTAACAATAAACTAGACCAAGCAGAAGAATTTCTAAACTTGAGGAGAAGTCATTTGAAATAACCCAAAGAAAAAAGATTTATAAAAGCCTACATGACACATGGAACACCATTAAGTGAAAGAATACTCAAATTTTGGGAGTTCCAGAAAGAGAAGAAGTGGGAAAGTCATAGAAAACCTATTTAATAAAATAATGCCTGAAAACTTCCTAAGTTTTAGAAGAGATATAAACAGCCAGATAGAGACAGCTCAAAAAATTCCCAAATAGATTCAACTCAGAAAGGTACTCTCCAAGGTACATTATAATCAAACTGTCAAAAGTCAAAGACAAAGAGAATTCTAAAAACAACAAAAGTGTCAAGTCACATATAAGGGACTACTCATCAGACTAAAAGCAGATTTCTCAGAAGAAATCTTCCAGGCCAGGAAAGAATGGAATGATATATTCAAACTGTGGAAAGGAACAAAATTGCTAGCCAAGAATACAACACCCAGCAAAGCTATCCTTCAGAAATGAAGGAGAAATAAAGTCTTCCCCAGACAAGCAAAAACTAAGGAAATTCATCACCAGTAGACTAGTTCTACAAGAAGTAAGAAGTTTCTACCTCTGGAAGCAAAAGGACAATATTTACCATCATGAAAACACTCAAAACTAAAAAACTGACTCAGAGCAGATAGACAAATGAGAAAAAGGAATCAAATTTTACCACTATATAAAACCACTAGATCTCAAAGATAAACAATAAGAGAGGAAGAAAGAAACAAAGGATATACAAAACAATCAGAAATTAATTAATAAAATGACAGGAGTAAGTTCTCACCTAACAGTAATAAACTTGAATGTAAATAGTTTAAATACCCCCATTAAAAGATATAGACTGGTTGAATAGCTATGCTGATGTAAGACAAAGTAGACTTCAAGTAAAAGAGCATAGATACAAAAAAAGTCACTATATAATGACAAAGAGATTAACTCAGCAAAAGGATATAATGATTATAAATACACATGTACCCAATACTAGTGAACCCAGATATAAAAAGCAAATATTACTAGAGCTGAAGAGGAGAGATAGAGCCCATACAATAATTGCTGTGGACTTTCACACCCCAATTTTGGTGCTGGACAGATCATCTAGAAAGAAAATCAACAGAAAAATTGCACTTAATCTGGTCTACAGACCAAATGGGCCTCACAGACATTTACAGAAAATTTTATCCAACAGCTAAAGAATATCATTTGTCTCATCAGGACATGGAACATTCTCCAGGATGTATCATATGTTAAGCCACAAAACAAATCTCACCAAGGATTTTAAAATTGAAATTATATTACCTATCTTCTCAGACCAAAATGGAATTAAACTAGCAATCAATAATGAGAGGAACTGTGGAGACTGTACAAATACATGAAAATTAAATAACATGCTCCAGAACAACCATTAGGTCACGGAAGAAATTAGAAGCAAATCAAAAAAATTCTTGAAACAAGTGAAAATAAAACACAACATACCAAAATCTATGAGACAGAGCAAAAGCAGTGTTACAAGGGAAGCTTATAGCAATCTTTCTGCACCTATATCAAAAACATAGAAATATTTTAAATAAACAACCTAAAGATCCACCTCAAGGAACTAGAAAGCAAGACCAAACCAAACCCAGAATTAGAAGAAGGAAAGAAAGAATAAAGATCACAGTAGAACTAACTGAAATCAAGACAAAAAAATACAAAAGGGCCAGGCACGGTGGCTCCTGCCTGTAATCTCAGCACTTTGGGAAGCCGAGGCAGGCAGATCACTTGAGGTCAGGAGTTCAAGACCAGCCTGTCCAAAATGGTGAACGCTGTCTCTACTAAAAATATAAAAATTAGCTGGATGTGGTGGTGGGCACCTGTAATCCCAACTACTCAGGAGGCTGAGGCAGGAGAATCACTTGAACCCAGCAGGTGGAGTTTGCAGTGAGAAGACATTACACCACTGCACACCAGCCTGGGCATTGGAGTGAGACCTAGTCTCAAAAAAAAAAAAAAAAAAGATCAACAAAAGGAAAAGTTGGTTTTCTGAAAAGACAAAATTTACAAACCATTAGCTAGACTGAAAATACAGAAGACTCAAACAGATAAAATCAGAAACAAAAAGGAGATATTACCATTCTATGGTAATTTTCTGATACCACAAAAATACAAAGGGTCTTTAGAGGTTATTATGAACAACTATATGCCAACAAATTAGAAAACCTAGAGGAAATGGATAAATTCCTGGACACATATAACCTACCAAGATTGAACCAGGAAGAAAGAAAACCTGAACAGAGCAACAGTGAGTAATGAGATTGCATCAGTGCATTAGTCTGTTCTCACATTGCTATAAAAAACTACTGGAGACTGGGTACTTTATAAAGAAATTTATTTGACTCACAGTTTCAAGGATGTACAGGAAGCATAGCTGGGGAGGCTTCAGGAAACTTAAAATTATGGAAGAAGGCAACGGGAAGCAGGCATGTCTTACATGGCCAGAGAAGGAAGAGAGAGTAAAGGAGGACGTGCTACATACTTTTAAACAACCAGATCTCACAAAAACTCACTATTACAAGAACAACAAGAGGAAGTCCACCTCCATGATCCAATCAACTCCCACTGGTCCCTCCTCCAACATTGGGGATTACAATTCAACATGACATTTGATTGAGGACACAAAGCCAAACCATATCATTTTGCCCCCTCCCCTCCCAAACCTCATGTCCTTCTCACATTGCAAAATACAATCATGCCTTTGCAACAGTCTCCCAAAGTCTTAAGTCATTCCAGCATTAACTCAAAAGTCCACAGTCCTAAGTCTCATCTGAGACAAGGCAATTCCCTTCTTCCTATGAGCTTGTAAAATCAAAATTAGTTCGTTACTTCCAAGATACAATGAGGGTACAGGCAGTGGCTAAATACTCCCATTCCAAAAGAGAGAAATTAGGCAAAACAAAGGCTACAAGCCCCATGCCAGTCCAAAACCCAGCAGGGCAGTCATTAAATCCTAAAGCTCCAAAATAATCTCTTATGACTCTAACATACAGGCCATGCTCACACAAGGGGTGGGATCCCAAGGCCTTGAGCAGCTCCACCCCTGTGTCTCTGTGGGGTACAGCCCCACAGCTGCTTTCCAGGCTGGCATTAAGTGCCTGTGGCTTTTCCAGGTGCACAGTACAAGCTGTTGGTAGATCTACCATTCTGGGGTCTGATGGACTATGACCCAATTTTCACAGCTCCACTAGGCAGTGCCCCAGTGGGGACTCTGTGTGGGGGGGTCCAACCCCAGATTTCCCTTCAGCGTTGTCCTAATAGAGTTTCTCCATGAGGGTTCTACTCCTGCAGCAGACTTCTGCCTGGACATCCAGGCATTTCCATACATCCTCTAAGATCTAGGTGGAGGCTCCCAAGCCTCAACTCTTGCCCTCTGCACACTTACAGGTTTAACACCATGTGGAAGCCACCAAGGATGATGGTTTGCACCCTCAGGAGTAGTGACCCAAGATGTGTCTGGTGCTCTTTTAGCCATGGCTGGAGCTGGAGCATCTGGGATGCAGGGAGCAGTGCCTCAAGGCTGCACAAAACAACAGGTCCCTGGGCCTGGCCCACAAAACCATTCTTCCCTTCTAGGCCTCCAGGCATGTGATGGGACAGCTGCCACAAAGGTCTCTAAAATGCCTTCCAGGTATTTTCCCAATTATCTTGGTTATCAACATTTGGTTCCTCTTTACATATGCAAATTTCTGCAGCCAGTTTGAATTCCTCCCAGAAAATGGGTTTTTCTTTTCTACCACATGGCCAGGATGCAAATTTTCCAAACTATTACACTCTGCTTCCCTTTTGAATATAAGTTCCAGTTTCAGATCATCTCTTTACTCACACATAACAAAAGTGGCCTTGGCTCCATTTCTCAATAAGTTCCTCATCTCCACCTGAGACCTCCTCAACCCAGACTTTATTATCCATATCACCATCAGCATTTCGGTCACAACAATTTAACAAGTCTCTAGGAAGTTCCAAACTTGCCCTCACCTTTCTGTCTTCCTTTGAGCCCCCCACACTCTGCCCATTACCCAATTCCAAAGTCACTTCCACATTTTCAGGTATTTTTATAGGAATCCCCCACTTCTCTGGTACCAGTTTTCTCTATTAGTCCATCCTTGCACTGCTATAAAGAAAACTACCCAATAATGGGTGATTTATAAATAAAAGAGGTTTACTTGACTCACAGTTCCACAGACTGTACAAAAAGCATGACTGGGAAGGCCACTGGAAACTTAGGCAGAAGGTGAAGAGGAAGCAAGTATGTCTTACATGGCCAGAGAAGGAGGAAGAGAGACTGAAGGGGGAGGCACTACACACTTTTAAACAACCAGATCTTGTGAAAATTCACTCACTATCATGAGAACAACAAGGGGGAAATCCACCCCCATGATCCAATCACCTCTCACCAGGTCCCTCCTCCAACACTGGGGATTACAATTTGATATGAGATTTGAGCAGGGACACAAACCCAAACCATATCAATCAGTAATAAAAATTCTACCATCAAATCTGAGGACTGGGTGTCTGCACTGCTGAATTCTACCAAAATTCCCAAGAAGGACTAACACCAGTTCTCCTCAAACTATTCCAAAACATTGAAGAGGAAGGAATTCTTCCCAACTCATTATGTGAGGCCAGCATACTCTGGCCAGAGTGTCAGTACTCTGTCTGGTACCAAAACCAGACAGAGACACAATTTAAAAAAAAAAAACAAAAACAACTGCAGGCCAATATCCCTCATGAGATACAAGAATCCACAATAAAATAATAGCAAGCTGAATCCAACAACACATCAAAAAATACACCATAATAGAGCAGGATTTATCTCAGGAATGCAAGGGTTGTTCAACATGCACAAATCAATAAATGTGATACATCCCATCAACAGAATGAAGGACAAAATCTATATGATCATCTCAATAGATGCAGAAAAAGTATTTGATAAATTTCAACATCCCTCCATAATAAAAACTTACATGACAAACCCACAAAAACTTTATACTGTATGAGGAAAAGCTAAAAGCCTTTCCTCTAAGATCTGGAAGAAAAGGAAGCCTACTTTCACTGATCTTATTCAACATAGTACTAGAAGTCCTAGCCAGAGTAATTAGGCAAGAGAAAGGAATATAGGACATCCAATTCGGAAAAGAGGAAGGCAAATTGTCCCTTTTTGCAGACAACATGATCATGTTCATATGTATATGTACATATATACACATATATATATACCTAAAGATTCCACCAAAAATCTCTTAGGGTACAGGTAGTTAGGCATGAGTGGGAGAGGAGAGGGCTCTCCCCCCACACCCACTAGAAATGCTGGGAATGCTGGGTGATGGTTCAGCAATTGTCACATTGCTTCTCTAAAAATGATAATTCAGCAGCGCCAGGGAGAGGCCATTTCCTGATGATCCACACCTGTTAATATCAAAATGTTAACTGAATGCAGACCCCAGGGTAAGCAACTTTCTGGGCATGCATGTTAAGAGTAAAAATGGTGAAGTATGATCTTCCAGGGGCACACTACAACAGAAGAGGGAAGAAAGCCTCAGATGGGCATGTGTATAACCCCCTAAACATACTGTGCAAGCTCAATCCCAAAGGGTAAGGAAAGCACTGGGTACACAGAAAGCCCACTTTAAGGGAAGAATCATGGGAAAGAGGTGAACTTATAAAAGTCCTAGGATCACAGTTAAACAGAGCACTTGACCTTCTCCCTTTAACCTTTAAGGGCCCTCTTCCAAGCGCACTTTCCTTTATTTCCTGTTCTAAGGCCTTTTTGAATAAACCTCCATTTACACACTGGAATTTGCCTTGGTCTCTTTTTCTGCTTTATGCCCCTCAGTGGAATTCTTTCTTCTGAGGTGGCAAGAATTGAAGTTGCTATGGACCCTTATGGATAGGCTGCTGGTAACTCAGGGTAACTCGGACCTCTGCCACTGGTAACATTGGAACTGATAAATTCAGTGATGTTCAGGATATAAAATTAACATACAAAAATCAGTAGCATTTCTATACACCAACAATGAACTAGCTGAAAAAGAAATCAAGAAATTAATTCCACATAGAATAGCTACCAAAAACATAAAATACCAAAGATGACATTTAATCAAGGAGATAAACTATATCTACAATGAAAACTACAAAATGCTAATGAAAGAAATTGAAGAGGACACCAAAAAATGTAAAGATATCCCATGATCATGGATTTTAATGAATATTGTTAAAATAACCATACTACTCAAAGCAATCTACAGATTAAAAGTAAGTCCTATCAGAATACCAACATTCTTTACAGAAATAGAAAAAAAATGATAAAATTTGCATCGAACCAAAGACTTTGTGTAACTAAAGAAATACTGAGAACAAAGGACAAAATTGGAGGCATCACTCTACCTGACTTTAAAATATACTAAAAAGCTATAGTAACCCAAACAGCATCATATTAGTATAAAAATAGACACACACACCAATGGAACAGAATAGAGAACCCAGAAATACATTCACATATTTACAGCCTACTGATCTTTAACAAAGGCATCAACAACATACATTAGAGAGACAACACCCTCTTCAATTAGTGGTGCTGGAAAAACTGGATATCCATATGCAGAAGAATAAAACTAGATCCTTATCTCTCACCATATATGAAAAGCAACTCAAAATGTATTAAAGATTTAAATGTAAGACCTGAAACTATAAAACTAGAAGAAAATATAGGAGAACTGCTTCAGGACATTGGTCTAGACCAAGATTTTATGAGTAACTTCACCACTATGCAATCTATACATGTAACAAAGTTACACTTGTACCTCATAAATTTATACAAATAAACAATTTTATAGGTAAGATTTAATAGGTAAAACTTTATTTTATGGGTAAAGCACAGGCAACAAAAACAAAAATGGACAAATGGGACTATGTCAAACCTAAAAGCTTCTGCACAGAAAAGGAAACAATCAGCAGAGTAAAGAGACAGCCAGTTAAATGGGTGAAAATATTTGCAAACTATTCATCCAACAAAGGACTAATATCCAGAATACACAAGGAACTCAAACAACTCAACAGCAAAAACCCCAAATAATCCAATTTTAAGATTAGCAAAGTATCTGAGTACACATTTCTCAAAAGAGGCCATTTAAATGGTCAAAAGTATACTAAAAATCTTCAACATCACTAACACTCAGGGAAATGCAAATCGAAACCACATCTCACCCCAGTTAGAATGGCAATTATCAAAAAGACACTAGCAAATGCTAGTGAAGAAATGGAGAAAATGGAACTCTTATACACTATTGGTAGGAATGTAAATCAGTACAGCCATCACAGAAAACAGTATGGAAGTTTCTCAAAAAACTAAAAATAGAAATATCACATAATCCAGCAGTTTTGCTACTGGGTATTTATCCAAACAGAAGGAAAGCAGTATGTTGAAGACATACGTACATCTGCACACCCATTTTACTGCAGTGCTGTTCACAATAGCCAAGATAATGAATCAGCCTAAATGTCTATCAAAAAATGAATGGATTTTTTAAATGTGGTATATTTACACACTGGAATACTATCCAGCCAAAAAAAAAAAAGAATAAAGTCTTGTCATTCCCAGCAACATGGATGATCCTGGAGGAAATTATACTAAGAGAAATAAGTCAGAAACAGAAAAATACATATCACATGTTCTCATTTCTATACGGGAATTTAAAAAATTGAGCTGATATAAATGGGAAGAGTGGGCGGTCTGGAGAAGATAGAGGTTGGTTAACAATCTGAAGTTACACAGCTGATGGGAGGAATAAGTTCTAGTGTTCTGTAGCACTATAAGGTAAAGATAGTTAAAAACAATTAGTGTATATGTTTGAGAAGCTAGAGAAGAGAATTTTGAATGTCCACAACACAAAGAAGTATTACATGTTCAAGGTGATCATTATGCTAATTGCCTTTATTTTATCATTCCATATTGTATACATGTATTAAAATATTATTCTGTATCCCATAAACATATACAATTATTACGTGTCAATTAAAAATAAAAGAAAAAAGTAAAACTAGTCTAGCTAGAGACTGGGAGAAAATATTTGTAAAACAAAAATTAATTCAAGATGGATTAAAGACTTAAATGTCAGCCCTAAAACCATAAAAACCCTAGAAGAAAACCTAGGCAATACCATTCAGGACATAGGCATGGGCAAAGACTTCATGTTTAAAACACCAAAAGCAATGGCAACAAAAGCCAAAATTGACAAATGGGATCTAATTAAACTAAAGAGCTTCTGCACAGCAAAAGAAACTATCCTCAGAGTGAATAGACAACCTACAGAATGGGAGAAGATTTTTGCAATCTACCCATCTGACAAAGGGCTAATGTCCAGAATCTACAAAGAACTTAAGCAAATTTACAAGAAAAAATCAAACAACCCCATCAAAAAGTGGGCGAAGGATATGAACAGACACTTCTCAAAAGAAGACATTTATGCAGCCAAAAGACACATGAAAAAATGCTCATCATCACTGGCCATCGGAGAAATGAAAATCAAAACCACGATGAGATACCATCTCACACCAGTTAGAATGGCAATCATTAAACCTCTGGGGACTGTTGTGGGGTGGGGGGAGAGGGGAGAGATAGCATTGGGAGATATACCTAATGCTAGATGACGAGTTAGTGGGTACAGCGCACGAGCATGTCACATGTATATATATGTAACTAACCTGCACATTGTGCACATGTACCCTAAAACTTAAAGTATAAAAAAAAAAAGTCAGGAAACAACAGGTGCTGGAGAGGATGTGGAGAAATAGGAACACTTTTACACTGTTGGTGGGACTGTAAACTAGTTCAACCATTGTGGAAGACAGTGTGGCTATCCCTCAAGGATCTAGAACTAGAAATACCATTTGACTCAGCCATCCCATTACTGGGTATATACCCAAAGGATTATAAATCATGCTGCTATGAAGACACATGCACATGTATGTTTATTGTGGCAGTATTCACAATAGCAAAGACTTGGAACGAACCCAAATGCCCATCAAGGGTAGACTGGATTAAGAAAATGTGGCACATATACACCATGGAATACTATGCAGTCATAAAAAAGATGAGTTCATGTCCTTTGCAGGGACATGGATGAAGCTGGAAACCATCATTCTGAGCAAACTATCTCAAGGACAGAAAACCAAACACTGCATGTTCTCACTCATAGGTGGGAATTGAACGATGAGAACACTTGGACACAGAAAGGGGATCATCACACACCGCAGCCTGTCATGGGGTGGGGGGAGGGGGGAGGGATAGCATTAGGAGATATACCTAATATAAATGATGAATTAATGGGTGCAGCACACCAACATGGCACATGTATACATATGTAACAAACCTGCACGTTGTGCACATGCACCCTAGAACTTAAAGTATAATAAAAAAAATAAAAAATAAAATATTTGTAAAACATATTTACAATAAAACACTTATATCCAGAATCTGTACATATTTAAAACTTGTAACTCAGTTAAGAAGAAGGTTTGAACAGATGTTTAACCAAAAGATATATACAAATGGCAAATAATTAAAAGGTTATTAATCATTAGGGAAATGCTAATTCAAATAAGATACCAAGCTGGGCATGGTGTCACACGCCTATAGTCCCAGCTACTTGGGAGGCCAAGGTGGGAGGACTGATTGAGCCCAAGAGCTCAAGGCCAGTTGGAGCAACAGAACAAGACACCATTTCTAAACTAAGTAAATAAATAAGATACCACTACACACTCTATTTTGTATTCTTTATGAGCCAGTCAGATGGGTTGGGTGCAGCCACAGGAGGAGACATAGAAGCTCAGAAAAAAAAAGTTTATTATACTCACAGGTCCTAGAGACAGGAGGCATGGCATGCCATGCAGGACCACATGGGAAAGACATCAGGTGGTCAGGAGGAAAAAGACAAAGGGAAGGGTTGGGATACTGCCTTTATTGAGGCTTCTGCAGAAAAGGCAAGGCAGTGCAGAATGAACAGTTTACTTTGTTATGGCAGCCCTAGCAAAGATATAAGTAGTAAGTGTGAAACAGCTTGGGAAGCTTGGGACCTTGCTAAAAAAGTAAGCCATCTACGATTTAGAGCCAAATCAAAGGTGAAAATAATAAAAGCTACAGGTATTTAGAAGAAGAGGGCATATGGTTCTTGTGAAGTCCCCAGGTAAGTCTTGATAAAGCAGGTAGAATTTGAGATAGAACTTAAAATAGACATGTTTGAGGTCAGTGGACAAGAACATATGAGAATAGTCAGGATAGAAAGTGGAACAATATTCATTAGTATCTATTCACCTACCATGAGCCAGGCACTGAGCTATGGTCCAGGAATATAGTGAACAAAAAGGGCATGGTTCTTGTCGTCTTGGTGTGCACAGCCTGAGATACAGCAGGATTGTATGGGACACCAGCATGCACACCGGCAGTGTTGGCACAGGACAAGTCACAGAGCTGTGTAGTCAGGACCTGTCTCTCTTGAACACTGGCTATCTTTGTACTATGTGATTAAGCACTTGATTTTGCTCTATGATTATTCCATAAAAGGGATTTGTCATCATTACCATTCTCAGCTGGATTTTCTTCTGCATCAAATATTGCACAAGAAGCTGGATTCCAAACTCCTGGGAGACAGTGGTGTTTATTCTCCTTTCTTATTTCTCCCATCTTAACAGATGCCAGGGGCAGTGACTCCCCATCTTGAATTCTTGGGCTACTCCCAGAATCAGCCATGTCTCTAACAACCAGAACTTGTGAGCAAGACTCATCCCCCTGGGTCTGCCTCTTCAGCACTCACTGTTGATGGTGACTTGTCTCATTGCTTGTACAGGTGGTGACAGTGCCAGAATATTTCAAGAATAGGTTTGGTAGCTATCAGAGTGAGATCCTTCTCTCCATTCTGTATTTATTCCTCTGTATCTTCAATAAGATACCAGTGAGTTGTGTAAAATCCAGCCCAAGAAACAGAACCAAGAAAAAAAAGCAAGAGGCAGGACTCAAGATTATGCTGGATTTGTCCCAGCGATTTACTCTGGGTCCTCTAAATTACTTGTTGGCCTTTGTTGTGAAGCCAGAGTAGAAAAAAATGACTTCACATTCACAAAAAATAAAAGAAGCATCTTCTTTACCTCCCAAGCCTAGGTTACAGGTCCCTCCTCTGTATTCCCAGGAACCTTGGGCTTACCCATCTCATATCAGTAGGTCATGTGCTTAAAAGAATCCAGGAATTTTCACCACCTGTACAAAACTTAAACTTGTTCTGGCTTTTAAAGGCTGTCCTGCGGAAGCCCCAGTCTACCTTTCTAAATGGATCTCCTTATTTCCTAATGGTTACACACTGTGCTCTAGTCACACTGCTTGCCTCATTGATTCTCAAGTCCAGCAAGCTTATTCCAAATCAAAACCCTCTAGACTTGCTCTGTACTGTGTCTGGAATGTTCTTCCCTCAGATCTTGCATGGCTAACTCCTTGTATTATTCCTTGAAAGAAAAATAGCACTTCCTTGAAGGGGCCTTCCAAGGATGCACCCAATTCATCTCTACTCCATTACTCAGGTCTTGGTTTTTGTCTTTAATTAGAGACAGGGTCTTGCTATGTTGCCCAGGCTGGAGTGCAGTGGCTATTCATAAATGTGATCATCATTCACTGCTGCGGCAGGCCAGGTCTCACTAACGCAGGCCTCTGTAACAACTGTTTCAGCACTGACTGAGTGGTTAAGTTAAATATTAAAAGCTGATAGAGCCAGTGCTCTAATACAAATGCTGGAATGTAACAAAGGCTCACCAAGAGTTTTGTCCAGGCCTTTCCTGGGCCTTGAAGCATGATGAGATAAAAAAGGAATTCTTAAAAGGACCCATTTAGAATTAAGCAAGTTTCATTGGGGGTCTGAAGAAACCCCCCAGGTCTCCACAAACAAGTTTATTGGAGGTCTGCAAGAACTCATCAAACCTCCATGATTTAGCAGGAGACAAGATAAGGGTAATTGCCCCAGCACCTGGGCCCATTTAGATTAAGAAAATTTACTAAGGCTCCAGAGGAAGGTCTTCAGGACTCAGATCTCAGTTACAGAATAAAAGTTAGCACTTATGTCTTTAGATAAATGCACACTTACACGTAGACATATAGCTTAGAAGGCACATAAGTTCTAGAAAACTGTAATTTTGAGTTAGTCCAAATTTTGATAATTTCCAGGCCTTCTCCCTGTAACCAGTTACATAAATAAAAAACTCTTCTTTCCCAGTTCATCTGCATCTCATTATTGGGCCACGAGAGTAAGCAGCCTGATCCTCGTTTTGGTCTAGGAACACTTGAACTTGAACTCCTGGGCTCAAGCAATCCCCCTCCTGAGCCTCCCAAGAAGCTGTGATTATAGGTGTGCACCACTGCACCCAGCTTCACTGCTGTTTTTATTTTCTGTGAAATGCCTGCCACCATGTGAAAGCAATTTATCTGCTTGCTTATCTGGCTTCTCCACTTCAGTGCAAGCTTCCTGAGACCAAGGGCCTCCTGCCTTGTTCACTGCGTTACCTTCCCCCTGTACTGAGAACATGTTTAGCACATAAGGTACTTCATAAATGTTTTCTGAATAACTGGAATAGTGGCACTTATCACACTGCATAGAAAATGCCTATTTTGTGGTTTGTCTCCATTAAACATAAGCTCTTGAGGATGGCAACTGAGTTTTGGTAACTTGTGTCTTCTGAACACTGCTGAGTGTCTATGACATGGTTGGCACTCAGTAAGTAGTTAGTGAATAAATGGATAGATGAATCTGTCCATTTTATCCCTGGCTTTGGAGATCAGAATAACAAAGCAAGGGGTTATCCAGTTAAATGATGTGCAGATGTTTCAAAATCAGTGTCAACTGAGCCAGGGGTCAACAAATCTGGTCAGCAGGCCAATCTGGATAATGATGGGCTTTGTGCAGCTCTGAAGCTAAGAATGATTTTTATAGTTTTAAAAGGTTGTAAAAAAAAAAAAAAAAAAAAAAAGAGAGATGGTATGTGACCAGCAAACTTGCCTTTACAGGAAAAGTTTGCTGATCCCTGAGAAGTCATTCCCGTTCCCTTTTTCCAGTGGTGGAACTGTAAAAACAACTAACTCTCTGAACTAATTCCCTCTCTGAAGCTCCAGAGTGGAAGAGGCTAAGTTGTGCCACTGGAAGAATGGGGTTAACTCAAGCCCTAAAAGTACTAACCTTGGCTGAACTCATGGGGCACAAGCCTATGCTCAACAAAACGGATGAACCTTACCCAGTGTCCACTGGTGATGTAGTGCTATTCAGATACCACCTCTGGTAGATGGCTTCTAAGGTCAGTGTCTTTGTGGAATCACTGTGGATTCAGTTGGAAGTGAAAGTGCAGCCTGCTGACTCCGTATTCATTTCAGTTGGAGGTTTGCTCTTCTGCCGTGTTCATGAAGATAGTTTAGGAAATGGGTGTTTAACTGATCACAATCTCGCTGAAAATTGCTGGCATTCATACCATCTCAGGTGAGGTTACTCTAACCACACAAGTACTTACATTGGCACACTCTACTTAGTGGATGACAGAGAAGTCATTCTACCTAAAGATAGAGAAGTCTATCTCTGTGAATGACAGAGATGTCATTCTACCTAACATCTCTGCAGTTTGTAGAAAAACTCTTTATAGAGTTTGTAGACATTGAAGCAGCAGTCTCCAGCTTTTGCACTTACCCTAAGTCTGTAAATGACATTGCTAAGACCTGAGGAGACTGAACAATGAAAAGAACAGAGACGGGGGGCCTAAGTAGTGTCCTCCCACTAGAAATCAGCTTGGGCTGGCTGGGTCCCTCCCAGGGGTCTGACAGGGACAACAGCGATTATGTCTGCGGTGGGGAGGGACACTGCAGGCCACCAGGTAAAAGACTGGGAGCACAGAAGACAAATGATGGGGAGGCAGCAGCCATGGGCCACCTGGTCAGGCCTGATCAGATGGAATCTTTTGTAGGGGCAGTTCTGTCCTAGGCAGCTACTGCCTAGGTTCTGAGAGTGGAAGCTCTCACCACTCCTTCTTTCCAGCAACAGTGCAAATCTCAGATGCTGGGTGTTTCCCTGGCAGTTCACCAGAGACCAAGGGGAAAGAATCAAAGTGAGGCACAGAATGCCCTCAATCAGTGGTTCACAGTGCAGAGGAGTGGGAATTGGATTTTTCTTCCCAGAGGGCACTTGGTAATGTTTGGAGGCATTCTGGGTTGTCACAGCTGGGCCAGGGGGAGCTCTGCTGGCTGTTAACTGTTGCTTCCAGGTCAGGTGCAGTGGCTCATGCCTATAATCCCAGCACTTCAGGAGGCTGAGGCAGGAGGATCCTTTGAGCTCAGGAGTTTGAGACCAGTGTGGGCACCATGGCAAACTCTGTCTCTACAAACATTTTTAAAATTAGCCAGGTGTGATGACACACACCTGTAGTCCCAGCTACTCAGGAGGCTGTGGGAAGACTGCTTGAGCCTGGGAGATCCAGGCTGCAGTGAGCTATGATCATGCCATTGCACTCCACCCTGTCTTAAAAAATAATGATAAAAATTTTTAAGAAAGGGAATTAAAGGGAAATTAGGAAATTGTGACACAGAAGGGCAAGATAAGAATCCAACAAGAGATCATGAAGGACATTAAAGAGAGAAAACAGGATGGACTAAAACTAAGCATAAGTCACTCACTGAATTAAAGAGATCAAGCGCCTGAATGTGGAGAACTGGGGGTGTGGTGGGGAGTATACAGAGTACTTGATGTGGGAGTAACTTTCAGAAGAGTGAGTCAAATGTGGCTTTCTTTCTCTCTCTTTGCCTGTTCAGGTGGTTTGATAGCTGTGGTTTATACCAGCATCTTGAATGCTGACATTATGCTTTGGGGATCAGTCATGTTAATAGGCTTTGGGAAGTAAAACAAGATGACTGGGTACCATGGTGGAACCTTTGGCTCTAGAGCTGCCTGGGCCATCAGCATCTTTGTCTCACAGATGAGGATGATACAGAAGGACTGGGCTCTCGGCTAAACCCCAACCTTAACCCTGGAACCACAGCTCTAAGTGAAAACAGCTGACCCTGTTTTTCCACCCAAATATTGCCTTTTTGGCCTGCTCCACCCCTATCCTGTGCCCATAAAAAACTTCAGAGGCAGAGCAACACAAACAGCTGAGTGTCAAGGTATAAGCGGCTGAGTGACAGACAAGCAACTGAGCGTCAGAGACTATAAAAAAACACAGCTAATTTCAGACAGTGCAGTTTTGGAGAAGGGTCTGACCAGAAACGGTTAGGCTTTAGGAAAAGATCACTTTCCCATCCTTTTTCCAGCCAAGTGGGAGGTGCCAGCCATCTGGCTACATGGGACCCCTAACCCGAGGCTTCCCTGGGGACTGGGAGGTGTGCGCAGCTCATTGCTGCCTCGCTTAGCCCTTGAACATGGCACACGCATGCAGCAGACACGCCCAGGCTCCTAAGCAGGGAGGGGAGGGGGTGAGCAGAGGAACCACCACACACCATGCCTGCCCGTGGCTGTTGGGGTGAGTGTGGGGATGGCACCTCTAAGAAAAAACGGGAATCACATTGTTCTGAATTCCATATCTAATGGCTAGGCCAAACACTCATTCTACCTAACATCTCTGCAGTTTGTAGCAAAACTCTTTATGAGAGAGATAGAAGCCAGTCAGGCACGGTGGCTCACGCCTGCAATCCCAGCACTTTGGGAGGCCGAGGTGGGCAGATCACCTGAGGTCAGGAGTTCGAGACCAGCCTGGCCAACATGGTGAAACCCAATCTCTAGTAAAAATACAAATATTAGCCAGGTATGGTGGTGGGTGCCTGTAGTCCCAGCTACTCAGAAGGCTGAGGCAGGAGAATCACTTGAACCTGGGAGGCGGAGGTTGCAGTGAGCCAAGATTGCACCACGCACTCCAGCCTGGGGGACAAGAGCAAGACTCCGTCTCAAAAAAAAAAAAAAAAAAAGAAAGAAAGAAAGAGATAGAAACCATTTGCAGGCATTAAAGAAGAAAAGATACAAAGATATCACAGCAAAGTCTGCAGATTTGGGCCGACGCCTGTTAGGGCAGTCATGGATGGAGTTTAGTCTTGGGGCCTTCCAGCAACACTGAGGAGTGGCCTCAGTCAGATGCCTTTGGTTCCCCAGGACCTTATTCCCATCCCATAAGACAGTTTGACCACCGTGAAGGAAAACAGCCACAGAGCCAACATTCTTTTCACCCAAAAGAGACATTTCGTCATGTACTCACTTGTCTGACGTATCCAGGACAAGCCTTCAGATGAGATGGGATAGTTCCCTTGATCCCCTTCATGGGCAGAAACTGGAGTGGCTCATTTCACTCAGCCCGGCGTTGGCCACTCCTCACAGGAGACAGCATGCAAGCGAGAGTGTGCAGGAACCAGAATGAACAAATGCTGGAACCGCCAATCACTCCTCTCTGCTAGGAGCAGGTTCTGTGCGGGCCGAGTAGCGTCGTCCAAGCATGTTACAACCAATGCTGTTTCAGCTCTTATGTCTGGAAACAGCCAAGTGCCAACCGGCTTGGTGGAGGGTCAGGGTGGCAGCCCCTGCCCTCTCAGCACCTGGGTTCTTGTCCAATGTCCAGGAAGAATCAGGTCACATGAACCATTTGAAAGGGGATGCATGTGGAGGAATTTATTGGGTGGTGGGTGGCTCTCAGCAGAAACGGAGGCTGGAAACGGAAGGGGATGATGGGAAGGGGATCTTTCCCTGAAGCCCAGCCATCTCCAGCCAGGCCCCTCTCCACAAAGCTGCACCATCTGAAGTTAGCTGCGTCTGTCCACAGTCTCTGATGCTCAGTTGCTTCTCTGATTGCCGCTCAGCTGCTTCTGTTGCTCTGCCGGCTGAAGTCTTTTTGGGGCACAAGATAGGGGCGGGGCAGGCCAAAAAGGCAACATTTGGGTGGAAAAACGGGGTAAGCTGTTTCACTTAGGGCCACAGTTCCAGGATTCAGCGGGGGGTTTAGCTGGGAGCCCAGCCCTTCTGTATCAAGGAGACTGAAGCCCAAACACAACCCAACAGCATTGTTGAAAGTCATGCTGAAAGTTGGGGAGGATGTTTCTGCTCACTTCAAGAGAAAGACGAGTCAAAGCATGGGAGTGGAAATGACAAACTCTAGTGCTTTGGTACACTACACTCCTCCTCACTTCTGGGCCGTCATCAGTGTTCTTCCCTAGTTAGAAGGCCACCTTCTTTTTCACCACTCAATTAAATCTATCCACCAAGGTCAACAGAAGATCCACCCCTAAAGATATAATTCCACCATTAATCCATCAACACAGCCCTCTTCTCTGGAGCTCACATCACTACCACACAAGTCAACATATTTAAACACATAACGTAATTGTTTATTGAGTGTTTCACATAAATAATCATACTCCCTACATCCAAAACTTCTGAAGAACCAGAACCATGGTACTCCCTATGCAAAGCACTGTCTGATGCATTAAGTAGATTCATGCATCACTAAACGGCCAGGACACATTCTGAGAAATGTGTCATTAGGCAATTTCTTTGATGTGCCACCATCATAGAGTATGCTTACATAAACCTAGAGGGTGTAGCCTATTCCTCCTAGGCTGCAAACCTGTACATGTTATTATACTGAATATTACAGGCAATTCTAACACAATAGTATTTGTGTAGCTAAACCTAAAAAAGGTACAGTAAAAATATGATATAAAAGATAAAATGTGGGCTGGGCACAGTGGCTCACCCCTGTAATCCCAGCACTTTGGGAGGCCGAGGCGGGCAGATCATGGGGTCAGGAGATCGAGACCATCCTGGCTAACACGGTGAAACCCCGTCTCTACTAAAAATATAAAAAATTAACCGGGCGTGGTGGCAGGCGCCTGTAGTCCCAGCTACTCAGGAGGCTGAGGCAGGAGAATGGCATGAACCCGGGAGGTGGAGGTTGCAGTGAGCCAAGATCGCGCCACTGCACTCCGGCCTGGGAGACAAAGCAAGACTCTCAAAAAAAAAAAAAAAAAAAAAATTACCATGAACTTACACGTAGACTCATGGACCAGAATAAAGAGCTGAGAGAGAGACTCCTGTGTTTACTGAATTTTTTTTTTTCCAAGACGGAGTTTTGCTCTTGTTGCCCAGGCTGAAGTGCAATAGCGCAATCTCAGCTCACTGCAACCTGTGCCTCCTGGGTTGAAGCGATTCTCCTGCCTCAGCTTCCCAAGTAGCTGGGACTACAGGCGTGCACCACTACACACCAGGCTAATTTTGTATTTTTAGTACAGATGGGGTTTCACCATGTTCACCAAACCGAAATTTAATATATATTCAAGCGGGCTCAACAAGTCAATGAGGGAGAGGCTAACTCTTTGATGATGCTGGAAAAACCAGCTTACTTTTGGAGTAACAAAATTTCATGTCTCCCTAACACTTAAACAAAGGTGGCCTTCAGATGAATTAACGACTTAGTGTGACAAGGAAAACTACAAAAGAAAGGAATGTTAGAGAATATTTTTGAGACAGCGAGGGAAGTAATCATATCAGTTTATCACGTTACATATAAGGCCTTTTTTTCCTGAGACAAGCTCTCACTCTGTCACCCAGGCTGGAGTACAGTGGTGTAATCACAGCTCACTGCAGCCTCAAACTCCCCGGCTAGCAATCCTCCCACCTCAGCCTCCCAAGTACCTGATGTGTCTGGAATTGGTGGGTTCTTGGTCTCACTGACTTCAAGAATGAAGCCGTGGACCCTCGCAGCGAGTGTTACAGTTCTTAAAAGTGGCGTGTCCGCAGGTTGTTCCTTCTGATGTTCAGATGTGTTTGGAGTTTCTTCCTTCTGGTGGGTTCGTGGTCTCGCTGGCTCAGGAGTGAAGCTGCAGACCTTGGCGGTGAGCGTTACAGCTCTTAAGGTGGCACGTCTGCAGTTGTTGTTCCTCCGGCTGGGTTCGTGGTCTCGCTGGCTGCAGACCTTCGCGGTGAGTGTCATAGCTCATAAAGGCAGTGTGGACCCAAAGAGTGAGCAGTAACGAGATTTATTGCAAAGAGCTAAAGAGCAAAGCTCCCACAGCGTGGAAGGGGACTGCAGCAGGTTGCCACTGCTGGCTGGGGCAGCCTGCTTTTATTCACTTATCTGGCCCCACCCACTTCCTGCTGATTAGTCCATTTTACAGAGAGCCGATTGGTCTGTTTTACAGAGCGCTGATTGGTCCGTTTTGACAGGTTGCTGACTGGTGCGTTTACAACCCCTGAGCTAGACACAAAAAGTTCTCCACATCCCCACTAGACTAGCTAGATACAGAGTGTCCATTGGTGTATTTACAAACCCCGAGCTAGACACAGAGTGCTGATTGGTGCATTTACAAACCTTGAGCTAGATACAGAGTGCCAATTGGTGCATTCACAATCCCTTAGCTAGACATAAAGGTTCTCCAAGTCCCCACCAAATTAACTCGATACAGAGTGCCGATTGGTGCATTCACAAACCCTGAGCTAGACACAGGGTGCTGATTGGGGTATTCGCAATCCCTTAGCTAGACATGAAGATTCCCCAAGTCCCCACCAGGCTCAGGAGCCCAGCTGGCTTCACCCAGTGGATCCCGCGCCGGGGCTGCAGGTGGAGCTGCCTGCCAGTCCTGCGCCGTGGGACCGCACTCCTCAGCCCTTGGGCGGTCCATGGGACTGGGCGCGGTGGAGCAGGGGGCGGTGCTCGTCCGGGAGGCTTGGGCAGAGCAGGAGCCCACGGCGGCGGGGAGCGGGGGAGGCTCAGGCATGGCGGGCTGCAGGTCCCGAGCCCTGCCCCGCGGGGAGGCAGCTAAGGCCGAGCGAGAAATCGAGCACAGCCGCTGCTGGCCCAGGTGCTAAGCCCCTCACTGCCCAGGGCCCGGGGGGCCTGCCGGCGGGCCGCTGGGAGTGCGGGGCCCGCCCAGCCCACGCCCACCCGGAAGCCGCACTGGCCCGCAAGCACGCGCGCAGCCCCGGTTCCCGCCCGCGCTTCTCCCTCCACACCTCCCCGCAAGCTGAGGGAGCCGGCTTCGGCCTTGGCCAGCCCAGAAAGGGGCTCCCACAGTGCAGAGGCGGGCTGAAGGGCTCCTCAAGCGGGGCCAGAGTGGGCGCCAAGGCCGAGGAGGCGCCCAGAGCGACCAAGGGGTGGGAGGGCTGCCAGCACACTGTCACCTCTCACTGAAACCGCAGGTGCTCACAACCAGGCCCGGCTATTTTAAACTTTTTTTTTTTGTAGAGATGGCATCTTGCTATGTTGCCCAGGCTAGTCTCAAACTCCTGGCGTGCAGCAAATCTCAGCCTCCCAAAGTGCTGGAATTACTGGCAGGAGCCACCATGCTCAGTCAGTAAGAACTTTTTAACAAAGAACACTATAAACAAAGTTGTCAGATGACAGATTAGGGAAGATTCTCAGAAATGTTTATAATGGACAAGACACTAATAGTAAAATCAACAAGAAAAATGAGCTCCAATAGAAATGTGAACAACAGATGATGACAATTTACAGAAAAAGGACGAGGCGTGTGGAGCACAAGGTCAGGAGTTCGAGACCAGCCTGACCAGCATGGTGAAACCCTATCTCTACTAAAAACACAAAAAATTAGCCGGGTGTGGTGGCGGGTGTCTGTAATCCCAACTACTCCGGAGGCTGAGGTAGGAGAATCACTTGAACCTGGGAGGCGGAGGATGCAGTGAGCCAAGATCGCGCCATTGCACTGCAGCCTGGCCAACAGAGCGAGACTCCATTTCAAAAAAAAGAAAAAGGAATTTCAAACAAGCGTAACTTCTAACAAGCACATAACTCAGAGGTATCAGGGAAATGCGATTTGAAGCCACAATGCACCTGGCAAAAATGAGAAAGGTCTGTAACACCAAGCATTGAGGATGCGGATGTTTAGGGACCCTCGTGCAGTTCTGGAGAAGGTCTAGACTGCAGCTGTCTGTTCTAGGGGGCAATCTGGGAGGATTTAATAAAATTAAATATATTGTACTCCATTACCTAGCAATGATGTTCCCCAGAATCTACCTAAAACATCCTCACAGGAGTTCATAAGAGAATATGTGTGAGACATTCATCAAATGTTGATTGTGTCCATTACTGTAAAGTGGGTAGATGACATGAGGCGGAAACATTTTGGAGTGTTATGCAGCGGTTACAAACAATAGGCTAGATGCACCCTATGGATTGTGAAAATGTACTGAGTAGAAGAGCGAGAAACAAGATGAGATCTGGAGCACAATACGTGGGTATTCTCTATAATGTCGTTATCTTTTTTATTTGTTTGTATTCTTTCCCATCTATTTGTTGTGTTTTTATTGTGCTACTTTACCTAGAAAATTTTTAAAACTTTCTATGTTTTTCTTTTTCATTTCTTCTATAACCATAACTGGAAAAGTTGCCTCTGAGACTTCATGTCTGACAATAAGTGAACTTCCTGAACTACCTCCCAATTAAACACCTAGGAATGCCGGGCGAAATAGAGAAACATTTTTTAATAGTCACAGAGGAGCTCATCAGAAAGGAAGAAAATCTCCAAAGGCTGAAAACAAAGAAATAACTGAAATCAAGAGAGCTAGGCTGACAGTGATGCTAAGGGTGCACTGGTGGCATTTACCAAGCTTGGTTTCCAAAGTCTTAGATTTGAGTGGCCAAGTGAGAAAGGAGAAGGGCCAAACATTCATGAGTGAGTGGTGAAGAGTAAGCCCTCCAGTAGAACTTGGATTCTTTTTTTTATATTTATTTTTTTATTTTATTTTTTGAGACGGAGTCTCGCTCTGTTGCCCAGGCTGGAGTGCAGTGGCTCGATCTCTGCTCACTGCAAGCTCCACCTCCCAGGTTCATGCCATTCTCCTGCCTCAGCCTCCCGAGTAGCTGGGACTACAGGCGCCCGCCACTACACCCGGCTAATTTTTTGTAGCTTTAGTAGAGATGGGGTTTCACCGTGTTAGCCAGGATGGTCTCGATCTCCTGAGCTCGTGATCCGCCCACCTCAGCCTCCCAAAGTGCTGGGACTACTGGCGAGAGCCACCACGGCTGGCCTTTTTTGTTTTGTTTTTTTGGGAGAGTCTCACTCTGTCACCCAGGGCTGGAGTGCCTTGGCCTAAAGGGCTCACTGCAGCCTCGAACTCCCAGGTTCAAGCAATCCTCCCACCTCAGCCTCCCAAGTAGCTGGAACTACAACTGCACACCATTACACCTGGGTAAACTTTATTTTTTTTTATTTTTGCAGACATGGGGGTCTCATATGTTGCTCAGGCTGGTCTCAAACTCCTGGGCTCAAGTGATCCTGCCACTTCCATCTCCCAAATTTCTGGGATTACAAGCGTGAAGAACTTGAATTTTTGAAAGGTCTCAGTGGGCTAGGAGAAAATCTGGCCACTAGCAAAGAGAAATAACAATAGAAAAAAAAAGTGCCTTAACCTGGGCTCCAGGAGATGGAAAAAAGTCTTCTCTGAGAATTCATAATGGTGAGCCTGCTGTCCTATATATTTGGGTTTTTTAAAATTTAACTTTATGGTAAACCCCATGTGAACAAGTAAACATAAAATCATCTAAAATTTGGCCGGGTGTGATGGCTCACGCCTGTAATCCAAGTACTTTGGGAGACCGATGCGGGCGGATCACAAGGTCAAGAGATCGAGACCATCCTGGCCAACATGGTGAAAGCCCGTCTCTACTAAAAATAGAAAAATTATCTGGGTGTGGCGGCACACGCCTGTAGTCCCAGCTACTCGGGAGGCTGAGGCAGGAGAATCACTTGAACCCGGGAGGCGAAGGTTGCAGTGATCCGAGATCACGCCATTGCACTTCAGCCTAGGCAACAGAGCAAGACTCCATTTCAAAATAATAGTAATAATAATAATAATCTAAAATTTGTTATACTCTGGCCTGGCAGGGATAATGGCAAATTCTGTCTGCGGGGATGCAAGCTTGCTGTAATTGGAATGCTTACATCCCTTCCAAAATTTACATTGAAACTTAATCTTCAATGCATCAGGAGTAGGAGGCAGGGCCTTTAGGAGGTATTTAGGCCGTGAGGGCTCTATCCTCATGGATGGTACTACTGTCTTATAAAAATGCTGGATGGAACTAGCAAGGCCCTTTTTTCCCTCCTGTCCCTTCCACCATGTGAGGAAACTGTCTTCAAGGCACCATCATGGAAGCAGAGATTGGGCCCTCACCAGACACTGAATCTACTGACATTTTAATCTTGGACCTTCCAGCCTCCAGAACTGTGAGAAATAATTTCTATTGTTTATAAGTTACTTATTCTAAGGTATTTTGTTATAGTAGCAGGAACAGATGAAGACAGCCCTCAACCAAAATCTTGCATGATTCCCATAAATAAATTGCTGCTCAAGTTAAGCCCTCAACCCAAAATTAGAAGACATGGAAGAATGAAACTACCATGAGGAAGAATCAGTACAATCAGTTACCCTCAAATGTCAGAAAATTGAAGTGTTAGATACTAAACACAAGAAATAAAAGTGGAACTGAAAATATTAACAAAATTTTGTCAGACAAGATCAGTCAGACTTGAAAACTCAAACCTCTAAAAGTGGAAAATAGATTTATTGAAATGTCAAATTCAGTAACTGATTAAATAGCAGATTACACACAGCTGAAGGAAAAAAATTAGCAACCTGGAAGATATAACTGAACAAACTCCCCAGAACACACACAAAAAGTGTAAGTGTAAAAGAGAAACAAAGTGACATGGAAGACTAAATGAGTATCAAAATACATGTCAGTGGAGTTCCAGAAGAAAAGGAAAGAGAAGCAATATTTGAAGAGAAAGTGGCTGAAAATGTTCATAATTTTTGAAAGAGCAAAAATCATCAGAAATCACAGAGCAGCTTGATAGTACATTTTAAAATAACTACAAGCTTGTATTTGGATTGTTTGTAACACAAAGGATATATGTCTGAAGGGATGAATACCCCTTTCTCCATGATGTGTTCATCTCACACTGCATGCCTGTATCAAAACATCTCTTGTACCCCATAAATATATATACCTATTATGTACCCACAAAAATTAAAAATAGAAAACTTTTTTAATTTTTGAAAAGAAATCACAGTGAATCTGAAGCATAAATAATTTTATTTATTTATTAACTTTTATTTTAAATTTAGGGGTACATGTGCGGGTTTGTTATACAGGTAAACTCATGTCACATGGGTTTGTGGTACAGATTATTAACACCCAGACATTAAGCCTAGTACCCATTAGTTATTTTTCCCAATCCTCTCTCTCCTCCCACTGTCCACCCTCAAGTAGGCCCCAGTGCCTGTTGTTTCTTCTATGCGTCCATGTGTTCTCATCATTTATCTCCCACTTATTAGTGAGAACATGGGTATTTGGTTTTCTGTTACTGTATTAGTTTGCTGAGGATAATGGCCTCCAGCTCCATCCCTGTTCCTGCAAAGGACATGATCTCATTCTTTTTTATGGCTGCATAGTATTCCATGATGTATATATGTTGCATTTTCTTTATTCAGTCTACCATTGATGGGCATTTAGGTTGATTCCAAGTCTTTGCTATTGTGAATACTGCTGCAGTGAACATACAAATGCATGTGTCTTTATGGCAGAATGATTCATATTCCTTTGGGTATATACCCAGTAATGGGATTGTTGGGTCAAATGGTAGTTTGGGTTTTAGGTCTTTGAGAAAGTTGCCACACTGCTTTCCACAATGGTTGAACTAATTTACACTCTCACCAACAGTGTATAACCATTCCTTTTTCTCCACAGCCTTACAAGCATCTGTTATTTTTTTACATACTCTGATGGGTGAAGCCACAGGGGCAGAGCAGGCAACTTCCATGGGAGGAATTTGCTGCCGTGCTTCCGACAAGGTCAAAGTGTAGAACACTTTCTATTGCTAAGTAATGTGCAGGAGACATCTCTAACCCTAGCTCATCTTTTAATCTGCCCCTGAGACATGCCTATTTTTAAATACAAATTCCTTTCCAGTTTTAACAGAGAGGAGCGCTCTGTTTCCATGTTCCCGGGTTTGGTCTTCAGCTGTCAGGCAGCCCTTTGTTAGGTATCTAGGTGGTGCTTCCTCACGGGTTAAGAAATAGCTCCCTGGCAGGGCCGGGTGCAGTGGCTTACACCTGTAATCCCAGCACTTCAGGAGGCCGAGGCAGGTGGATCACAAGGTCAGGAGATCAAGACCATCCTGGCTAACACGGTGAAACCCCGTCTCTACTAAAAATACAAAAAATTAGCTGGGCATGGTGGCGGGCGCCTATGGTCCCAGCTACTCGGGAGGCTGAGGCAGGAGAATGGCGTGAACCCCAGAGGCGGAGCTTGCAGTGAGCCAAGATCGCACCACCACATTCCAGCCTGGGCGACAGAGCAAGACTCCGTCTCTAAAAAAATAAAATTAAATAAAAATTTTAAAAAATTTTAAAAAGTACTGAGCATTTGTAGCCTCTAGTCAGTTCTTTAAAATTTTCAGCAAAATTTAATAAAATACATATATGAACTTAATTTGTTGAAATCTTTTATATCATGTGCTATACTTATCTCTCTGAAATTTTTAAATATATTACCCCTCAAGAAATTAATATTTGCCATGTATTATGTGTTTTAAGCCTGACTGCCCCAAACGTACCCTCCAAATTTGCTGAAAATTCATCCATTATCCAGTAACAGGCAAACAGACACTTGGTTTTATTTGTTCAGAAGTTGAAGTGTTTTTCTATGTAGCTCAGTAACACTCGTTTGTGTTTAAGCATATGGCTGTCTTCTCTGCTCCCACACTTAAAATGGGCATCTGAATTTAAACTAGGGAATAACTAAATTAATAGCTTATGGTTTGTAGATATTTTATTGGCAAGAAGAAAAAACTCACCAAATTGTCATTGACTGTTGGTTCAATTCACTGTTTTTTTCTTACAGTCTTACTTGTTTCCCTGTTGCATCCCTATTATGGAGATGAGTTAAAGAGAACAATTGTTTGCACACGTGCAGGCATTTAGGAGTTACCTGATGCCACCCACTATGGTAGTCTCCCTGCTTGCTGTTACAAACCAAACTAAAATGTTAAGCCCTCCAACTGACTGATGGACCCCCCAGCCAGCCAAGGGCATTCCAAAGTAAAGCTGAAAAACCAGTTCAGGCTATTATGGAAAGTGGTGGGGGTCGGGGAAAGGTGGGACATACCTCATTATATCATCCTGTCTTTGGAATTCATGCACAACTGACCAGCATTATCATTAAAAGAGATTTTTAAGATTGGCAGGGCATGGTGGCTCATGCCTGTAATCCCAGCACTTTGGGAGGCCGAAGTGGGTGGATCACCTGAGGTCAGGAGTTCAAGATCAGCCTGGCCAACATGGTGAAACCCCGTCTCTACTAAAAATACAAAAATTAGCCAGGCATGGTGGTGTGTGCCTGTAATCCCAGCTACTTGGGAGGCTGAAGCAGGAGAATCGCTTGAACCTGGGAGGCAGAGGTTGCAGTGAGCCGAGATCACGCCACTGCACTCCAGCCTGGGCAACAGAGTGAGACTCCATCTCAAAAAAAAAAAAAAAAAAGATTAACAGTATAGATTTTTTTGTAGCAATAAGACACCAGATTCCAGCCTGACACTAGTATAGCATCACATGATGGATAGCAGGCCCTGAGACAAACCAAAGTATTTTATCCCCAAAATATATTTATTTGACATATTTTGAAATGACCCTGCAAAGCTGTCTCTCATGGGGGAAATCTGAATTCTGTAGAGAATTCCCTGTTCTTCACAGGTCTTTCCCTTGATCCAGGAGAAAATTATCTAAGAGCCTGGCATGTTTTTTGGTCTGATAAGAGCTCTGAAGCCTGCTACCTGGAGGCTTCACCTGCGTGATAAAACCTTGGTCTCCACAACCCTTTATCTGAACCCAGACATTCTTTTCTATTGATTCCAGGTCTTTAGATAATAACTCTTTTAACCAATTGCCAATCAGGAAATCTTTGAATCTGCCTATGACCTGGAAGCCCCTCCACCTTTCCTGCTTTGAGTTGTCCCACCTTTCTGGACTAAACCAATGTACATCTTACACATATTAATTAATGTCTTATGTCTCCCTAAAATGTGTAAGACCAAGCTGTGGCTTGACCACCTTGGGCACATGTTCTCAAGATATCCTGGGGCAGTGTCACAGGCCATTGGTCACCCATACTTGGCTCAGAATAAATATCTTCAAATATTTTACAGAGTCTGACTCTTTTTATCAACAATAATTGGCACCCAACATCGGGCCTCAGAGCCCCCAAAAGAGTTGCCCAAATCTGAAGCTAAGGGACCAGCAGGAACCCACTGAAATATTGACTTAATGAAATTGCAAAAAGGTTTTAATTTTTAAATTCCATAATCTCTTTCTTTTTGAAATTTTTCAAGTTGGTATCTCAAAAGTTCAACTTCTGCTGTACCCCTGCTGCTTCAGCTCTTTCTTTCTTTGAGAAGGCCTGGGATGGTAACTTTTGTCAGCTCCTGTGTGTGTGCTCCTATAACTTTTTTTATTAATAGTCTAAAGTAAGGGAGAGGATTTTTGAAAACAGGCAAATCTTACAGGATCTGCCACTGTCTGTGTGTCTGTTATGTCTACATGTTTATATGTGCCATGTGGAAGTGATGTTTTACTACCAAACTATATAAAAGAGCTCTAATCAGTTGGCTTAAAGAGGCCAGGCACAGTGGCTCAGGTTTGTAATCCCAGCACTTTGGGAGGCCGAGGCGGGTGGATCACTTGAGGTCAGGAATTCAAGACCAGTCTGGCCAACATGGTGAAACCCCATCTCTACTAAAAATACAAAAATCAGTCTGGTGTGGGGCGCATGCCTGTAGACCCAGCTATTCAGGAGGCTGAGGCAGGAGAATCACTTGAATCTGAGAAGCAAAGGTTGCAGTGAGCCAAGGTCAGGCCACTGCACTCCAGCCTGAGCAACAGAGTGAGACTCCATCTCAAAAAAAAAAAAAAAAAAAAGAAATAAAAAGAAAAAATTGGCTTAAAGAAAAGTAAGTGCTTGTCGACTAACAGACGGTAGCTCAGATGCCTTTTACTTCACATGATTTTAGTAATCTTTGGTAAGATTAACTTGGCAAATTGAAGCTCAAAATTGTCTCCAGTTCTTAAGAAATTTAAAGTCATGTTATGTTAAATTAAGTAATCCTGGATTTTCCACTGGGAATTTGGATTACTAAAAATTAGAATAGTTGGAGAATAAGATATGTTTTTGGTGAGGATGTAAAAACATGAGGATATGGTTTTGCTAAAGAAAATGTATTTTTTTCTAGTTTAGAGACCATTTAAGGGTCACTTTAAAATAAAATTTAAAAAAAATTGTTTCACTCTGTTGCCCAGGCTGGAGTGCAGTGGTGCCATCTCGGCTCACTGCAACCTCCACCTCCCGGGTTCAAGCGATTCCCCTGCCTCAACCTCCCAAGTATCTGGGACTACAGGTACACATCACCACATCTGACTAATTTTTGTATTCTTAGTAGAGGTGTGGTTTCACCATGTTTGCCAAACTGGTCTCAAACTCCTGACCTCAAGTGATCCACCCGCCTCGGCCTCCCAAAGTGCTGGGATTACAGGCATGAGCCACTATGCATGGCCTAAAATAAAGAAAAAATTATACAGACTAAATGGATAAAGAGAAAAATAAAAGAAAGGGTGGAGAATGGATGTGGTCACCCATCTTAAGGAGCTGCAGCTGTGCTGCATTCAGTTACTAAAAGTTAGCAGTAGAATTTAAAGATGGATCATGCTCCCAGGAAGTTGGTTCACTGGATGCATAAGGAAATACAAGCTATAACCACAAAATAAGTGATAGAATTTTTAAAAATAAAGAAAATGCAAATTAATAAGGAAGAAGGAAAATATTTAATCCCTTGGTTATTGTTATCTGTAATAGCTGAGATGAAAACAAAAGAGAGTGCTGGGTTGGGCCTTAAGACTGGCCCAAGCTCAGATGTGGGTCTCTCTCAGCTCAGGCCACTAGCCTCAAAGTGAAACGGGAAAGGTTCCCTTGTCCCCCTCTCAGGGCATGCAATGGGGGCGTGGCTCATTTCTTCAGTGCCCCACTGCTCAAACCTCTAGGGGAGCATACAGACGGGCAGCCTGTGGGGCTCCCACCCCACAGCAGTGTCTAGGGGTGAATGTTTACAGCTGAAGCCCCAGTGGGCGTGTGTTACAGGGTGCTCTGTTACAAGTTTGCGGCCTATAGGCGGCTTGTGTAAACCCTCTCAATTAGGCCCTCTACCTTGTCACAAGGACAGAGGGCTTTCTGTATCCTGGGTTCTTGCCTTAGTATACCGGAAGAATCAGATCACACGTGGGCTTGGATAATGGGTGCAAGGTTTTACCGAGTGGAGGTAGCTCTCCACTGATGGAGGATCCAGAAGGGAGATGGTTTTCCCCTGTAGTTGGGCCACTCAGCAGCCCCGGCTCTCCTCCGACTGCTCCAGCCAAACTCCGCATTGTTCTGCTTGTCATGGCCTGCCAGCAAGCTGGCATCTGCCAGCGTGCTCTTCCACCAGCGTGCTCTTCCACCAGCATGCTCTTCCACCAGCGTGCTCCCTCGACGTCCTCTTGCCATCCAGCTGCTTGTGTCTTCTTCCGGTGATGTGCTCCTCTCAATGTCTGGCTGCCTGTGTGTTTGCCTGCTAGGGTCTTGGGTTTTTATAGGCCCACGATGGGGACATGGCAGGCCAGGGTGGTCTTGGGAAATGCAACATTTGGGTGCAAAGGCAGGAGTGCCTGTCCTCACCTAGGTCCATGTGTGTTGAGCCCCAGCCAGGGACCACACCCTCCTCTACCCAGCACTTCCCTTTCCCTTTTCATTTAAAGGGACCACGCTCTTCCCTTCCCAGCACTCCCATATCAAAAGCTACCCACAAATGGAAACATTAAGCCAGGGTGACAAAAGGTACCTCTGAGGTATGTAATTACCAAGAAGGTAGTCAATGTAGGGGAAGGGCAAAACCAAGTAACTATTAAAATAAGAGGGTATAATATAAAGAAATTGTACCATTTGGTAGATTGATATCATCAGCTTCCTGAGAAACCTTTGCTAAAATGGACTGTAAGAATAACTACTTTAAGGACAGTATCTTTAATTTTAAATGCTACAGAATGAAAGAGCATCTCTGGGTTGATGCAGGACCCATAGCTCACTATTAAACAATTGCGGCTGAGTTTATGTGATCCAAATGCCCAGGAGGTTATTCCTGAGCAAATGGCCAGCCTAGTGAATTGGATAAATGCCCATGTAAGATCTGTTTACCCTGAGAAGGGCATTTCCTAACTCTCCCTATAAAATGCCAAGTGGAGCACCCCAGATGAAATAGCTGATATGCTTTCTATACAAGCCATCTAGGACTGGCTTTATCATGACCAGGATATTCACCCACTGAATATGGCTATTACCCAAGTTATGGTAAATGCTGTAGTTAAGGGGGTCCCTTCCACATGGACACCCCAGGTTATAACCAGAAAGGGTTCCCAATCTAGACTCCAAGAGAGGGTTCTTAGACCTCATGCAAGAAAGAACTTGGGGCAAGTACATAAAGTGAAAGCAAGTTTATTAAGAAAGTAAAGAAACAAAAAAATGGCTACTCCATAAGCAAAGTTATTTCTCACTTATATGATTAATAAGAGATGGATTATTCATGAGTTTTCTGGGAAAGGGGTGGGCAATTCCTGGAACTGAGGGTTCCTCCCACTTTTAGACCATATAGGGTATCTTCCTGATATTGCCATGGCATTTGTAAACTGTCATGGCACTGATGGGAGTGTCTTTTAGCATTCTAATGCATTATAATTAGCATATAATGAGCAGTGAGGATGACCAGAGGTCACTTCTGTTGCCATATTGGTTTCAGTGGGGTTTGGTTGGCTTTTTTTTTTTTTTAACCACAACCTGTTTTTTATTTATTTATTTATTTATTTATATTTTTTATTTTTTTTTAGATGGAGTCTTGCTCTGTCACCCAGGTTAGAGTGCAGTGGCACCATCTCGGCTCACTGCAAGCTCTGCCTCCTTGGTTCACGCCATTCTGCTGCCTCAGCCTCCCGAGTAGCTGGGACTACAGGTGCCTGCCACCATACCCGGCTAATTTTTTCTATTTTTCAGTAGAGACGGGGTTTCACCGTGTTAGCCAGGATGGTCTTGATCTCCTGACCTCGTGATCTGCCCACCTCGGCCTCCCAAAGTGCTAGGATTACAGGTGTGAGCCACCACACCCAGCCACAACCTGTTTTTTATTAGCAAGGTCTTTGTGACCTGTATTTTATGCCAACCTCCCATCTCATCCTGTGACTTAGAATTCCTTAACCTCCTGGGAATGCAGCCCAGTAGGTCTCAGTCCTTTTTCTTTTCTTTTCTTTTCTTTTTTTTGAGATGGAATCTTCCTCTGTTGCCCAGGCTGCAGGGCAGTGGCACAATCTCGGCTGTCTGCAAGCTCCACCTCCCGGGTTCAAGCGATTTTCTCTGCCTCAGCCTCCTGAGTAGCAGGGATTACAGGCACCCACCACCAAGCCCGGCTAATTTTTGTAGTTTTTAGTAGAGACAGGGTTTCACCATGTTGGCCAGGCTGGTCTTGAACTCCTGACCTCAGGTAATCTGCCCACCTCGACCTCCCAAAGTGCTGGGATTACAGGCGTGAGCCACCGCACCTGGCTGGTCTCAGCCTTATTTTACCCAGCCCCTCTACAAGATGGAGTCACTCCACTTCAAATGCCTCTGACTAAGTGACATTACTTCTGCAGAACAAATTTGCTGTTCTTCATGGGTCTTGCATATGCTAATAAAACATTCGGCTTAAAAGAAAAATAGGAAAGGCAAATGGGAGTCAAAAGACTCTTCTAAGATGAGTGGTTATTAAGAAATGAAATAAAATGAAAATTGATGGGGTTAAAACAAAGGTCTTTACAACACTATCAAAGGTTATAATAGCTTTGATAGTGGCTATTATATATAGCTTGGCTATAATAGTCCTCTAAAGACAAACCAGGTTACAATTCCCTTCCTGATGTTTTTAGTTGATGCCCTAATGGAATAGGTTTCTTTTTCTGTTCTGACACACAAGTTCTCTTCTGATTGTCAAATTATTGGCTAAAGGGAGCCCCTGCTGGTCCCCAACATTATAAAGCCCGACACCAGTTTTTAGTTTTCTGCTTTCTGCATTTGCTCCAGATTGGAGAAATTTAAGAAAAATCAAAAGACACGGAGTTAAAATGAGAGAGCTGACATTGCCTGGGGCAATGTTGAGGCAAATTACGATAATGATTGACAAAAGGGCCTGAGGCCCTTCACCCAGCCCCCCTGCTGGAAACCCAGATTCACTCTCACCAGGGAAGATAAAACGGTCTGGGATAGAGAAGAAATGTTCCTAGAACAAGAACGTAAAAATATAAGGGACCTGAAGCTATCCCTGCAGTAATGGAAATAATGATGCCCAAAAGAGTTCCATGAGAAAACAAATGGTTTATGTAAGATCTTGCTTCCTGGAAAATGCAAGGAGAAGATACTTGCAAGCAGGGAGCTTCTTTTCCCCCTTAGGATTAACACTGCATGAGGAGCTGCTAGATTCTACAGTGCTTGATAAATAGCTCTTCCCTGACTGACAAAGAGCTGCTTAGTTTGCGGATGGCCGTTCCTAGGTGAACAACTGACATCCTATTTGGAAGGCTGCTACTCTGATTGTGAAGTATACTTTTATGAACAGAATTTACCTTTCTTGCTACCTGAGTTCCCCTAAATTCGGTAACTATTCATGAGTATCCTTATTTTATGGCAATATACTTGTTTGCATAAGTTCGGTTAAGAGGACATAATTGGAGACACTGGTTATTTTACCAAGGCTTTGACTAAATAATATATTTTTAGGAGTCCCAGCAAAGCCAACTTGAAAAGAGCCTATGTGGCCAATCAATTCTTGTTGAACTTTATGCACATAATTAGGCCAAGTATAAGCCTAAAACTTAACTTACACACAAATTGGCCTTACCATGATTTCTCTTTAGTGGAAAAACAGGGCTAGAGAGAGAAAAATTATGTTTCAAAAGGAAAACTATTCACACACCTGTTACTAGATTGCAGCCCTGACCTTTGTTTCTGAGCACAGATTAAATCATGAATTATTTCTTGGCTATAACAGTCCTCTAAAGACAAACAAGGTTATGATTTTCTTTATGTTTTTAGTTGGCATTCTAATGGAAGAGGGTTATTTTTCTGTTCTGACACACAAATTCTTTTTTGATGGTCAAATTATTGTTATTTAGGTCACATAGCTTTACTTCTTCTGAGGAAACCAGAATTATGGTATTCTGAAGGCTAGAGACAATTTGACAAAGCCCGTGAATCTCCCTCATTTGAGATCCTGCTGGGCCCGATGTGTTTTTCACTGCCAATGCCCTGCTGCTAAAACTATACAAGCACCTGGCTGGGCACGGTGGCTCACGCCTGTAATCCCAGCACTTTGGGAGGCCGAGGCAGGCGGATCACAAGGTCAGGAGATCAAGACCAGCCTGGCTAACACCGTGAAACCCTGTCTCTACTAAAAATACAAAAAAAATTAGCAGGGCGTGGTGGTGGGTGCCTGTAGTCCCAGGTACTTGGGAAGCTGAGGCAGGAGAATGGTGCACCGATTTCCACATGCAAAAGAAAGACTCTGAAACCCTACTTCACACTATGCACAAAAAGTCATTTAAAATAGATCAACAGCCTATGCCGGGCACGGTGGCTCATGCCTGTAATCCCACCACTTTGGGAGGCCGAGGTGGGCAGATCACGAGGTCAGGAGATCGAGATCATCCTGGCTAGCACGGTGAAACCCCGCCTCTACTAAAAATACAAAAAATTAGCCGGGCGTGGTGGCGGGCGCCTGTAGTCCCAGCTACTCAGGAGGCTGAGGCAGGAGAATGGCATGAACCCGGGAGGCGGAGCTTGCAGTGAGCCGAGATTGTGCCACTGCACTCCAGCCTGCGCGACACAGCAAGACTCTGTCTCAAAAAAACAAAAAAAGAAAAAGAAAAAGAAAAAGAACGTTAAGGGTTGATGAATGCCTGTCCACCTTTATTCCTGTCTGGCTCAGAACATTTAAATTATGTCTTTTAGCTCTAAGTCTCTTGGCTGTAGGAGTCCCACTTAGAGACAGAAGGGACCCATGGCAGGCAGCCACACCACCCCAGCAATGCTGTGGGACGAAATAAAAGTTTGGTGGCTTGCTGTTTTCTCTGGGAAATCTTGGCCAGAAGGAGGAGAATGTAAACCAAAAATAAAATTCTAAGCCCTACAACTTACTGATGGACACCCCTCTTTACCAAGGGCATTCCAAAGTAAACCTGAAAAGCTAGTTGAGGCCATGGTGGGAAGTAGAGGTCAGACATGCTTCATTATTCCCTCCTCTTTTTGGAATTCGAGCATAACTAACCAGCATTAACATTAAAACAGAGATCTTAAGACTGACAATACAGACTTCTTGTAGCAATAAGACATCAAATTCCTGGCTGACTCTAGTATAGCATCACATGACAGATGGCAGGCCCTGAAATAAAGTATTTTAGCCCCAAACATGCTTCTTTGACATATTTTGAAATGGCCCTGCAAAGCTGTCTCTTCTGAAGGAAATCTACATTCTGTAGAAAGTCCCCTTCCCTTGCCAGGTCTTTTCTGTGACCCAAGAGAATTAACTAAGAGTCTGGCACCTTTTAGGTCTGATAAGAGCTCTGAAGTCTTCATCTACATGACAAAACCTTGGTCACCACAATACCTTATTTTAACCCAGACATTCCTTTCTATTGATTCTAGGTCTTTAGGTAATAACTCTTTAACCAATTGCCAATCAGGAAATCTTTAAATCCACCTATGACCTGGAGCCCCTCCACCTTCCCTGCTTTGAGTTGTCCCGCCTTTTTGAACTGAACCAATGTACATCTTACATATATGGATTGATATCTTATGTCCCCCTAAAATATATAAGACCAAGCTGTAGCCCCACCACCTTGGGCACATGTTCTCAGGATCTCCTGGGGCTGTGTCATGAGCCATTGGTCACGCATATTTGGTTCAGAATAAATCTTTTCAAATATTTTGCAGAGTTTGACCCTTTTCATCAACACCATGTTTTGCAAGAGAGTCATTGAGCAGGTGGGTGTTGGCATGGCCACCGCATGGACCAGGGTGATGGGTTGCCTTCACATTGTAGTTGTCTTTGCAAGTGTTGCCCTAGAAGGTTCTATTTCACCTCATGGGTTTACACCCTGGCATCATTTGCTTTCTGAGACATGATTGTCTCCAGGCCAGGGTTGATCCAAGCTCCTTCTTGCTCATGGAGGCAGAGAGCTCTTATTTGTTTTCCTCCCTTTGTAGTGTAATCTGCTTTTAGCCATGCCATAGATTATGCAAAATTGTAAATGGTTCTCTCTCACACAATTTGGCTGTAGGAAAATATTATTCTGTGGCCTCTGTACACGGACGCGTCATGCTTAGAGATTTCATGCCCACAGGGGATGCATAGCAGTGGGCTCCTTCCACCTTCCCTGCAATGAGGAGGTAATTATTTGACCATCTCTTTCAGCCACACTTAACACCAAAGATCCCAACTAATGGCTCGATATTTTATCAATAAGACTGAAAGTGTAGCTTGTCAGATATTTTCTTTCTTTTTATTTTTGAGTCTTGTATTAAATCTTGTTTCCCCTAACAGCACTGCATAGCTGGGCATCGCAAAAGCACAGCACCGGAGGCTCTGTGATCTGGTCCTGCCTGCCTCTCTGGCCTCACTCTCTGCATGCACAGCCCTAGGTCCCAGCCACTCCAAACGCTCACAGTGCTGATTACTGAATTGTCGTGTACCTTCTCTGGCCTTTCTTCATTGGCAGAGACTGTTTTCTTTGCCAGAAATATTTTTTTACTCCTCCACCTGGCCAGCGCTTCCTCCCTTGAGTTCAGTCCTCTAAACCAACCTGCCAGTGCTCCCTGCACCACCCAACTTAACAGGACTCAGCTTAGCACCATGCATGTGGAAGGAGAGCACTAGGCTTCAGGGATGCCAGAGCTGCCTCTCTTTGCTCTCCCTGGGAAGGGCATGAGCAAGAGGGCAGGCAGTAATGGGACTCTGCCTCCCACCTGGGATGCCAGCCTCAGGGTATTGGAACCTATCACCACAGAAAACTGGAGGATCCAGTCAGTGGCTCTCCTGCTACCCATGGTCTGAAGTTGCGGGCACATTGCACATACTTTCCTGGATTAGAGAACTCTCCAAGCCCTCCCTCCTGCCCTGCTTCAGAGAGCATGCCAATTTGGCTTCTGCCCATCTCCAGCAATGGTTCCTGTGGATCCTCTGCCTAGCAACAGGATTTACCAATGGATCAGTGGCAGGGCAGAATAGAAAGGAACCAGGGATGGCTCCCAGAGGATGTTTTACCTTAAGCAACCAGAGAGATGAAGGTGCCACATAGACAGATGGAAAACTGTTATTTAGGACACATTTGGAACTCAGCTAGTCAGGGGAGCAAGGATGAAAATGGTTTGTCTCATCACCCACCTTCCTGCCAGGTGACTCCGGTGGGCTCCTCTTTGGTAGGGTGCCTTCTGGAGGCTGACTTGTGGGATGGTGATTGGCTTCTTTCAATTGGGGGTCCATCGGGCCTATAGCCCCTCGAGCTGCATGGAGAACAGCAACGGCCCTTTGCTCATCTGCAGCTTACAGCACTGTCTCCACTTCATCTTGATGCTGCTCCTGGTCAGTCTCAGCATGCTAGGGATCTCCTTACTCACAGACCCAACTCCTGATAACCAAGTAATTGCTACTAGGTAGGGTGCTCTGGGGTGGACCCTAATAGCACTTTGGAAGGCCGAGGCAGGCGGATCACCTGAGGTCAGGAGTTCGAGATCAGCCTGGCTAACATGGAGAAACCCCATCTCTACTAAAAATACAAAAGTAGCCAGGTGTGGTGGTGCCTGCCTGTGATCCCAGCTACTCGGGAGGCTGAGGCAGGAGAATCACTTGAACCTGGGAGGCAGAGATTGCGGTGGGCCGAGATCACGCCATTGCACTCCAGCCTGGGCAACAGGAGCGAAACTCCATCTAAAAAAAAAAAAAATAGGGGAATTCCTGCATTCTCTTTGGAAAGAGGAGGGCTGGGGGTGGCACTGGAGTGAATTAGAAATAGGAGGGTAACCCTGGAAGGGCCCGGCTTAATGAAACAAAGCTGAACTCACCTAATGCTCTGCAGTGATCTGTCAATTAGGTGTTCATTTAGATAGAGAAGTTTGGCTTTTAAAATGCAAATTTTCTTTGGAAGTATTAAGTTCACCAACCTCAGTATGCATTAATGCAATCAGGGCAATCCCAGCTGCTACCCACCCAGGGGGAATTAAGCCAATGGCAAGGGGGAGGGGTGGTGTTGTGGGCAGCTGCCTACAGCCTTCTCCTCATGAGCCATTTCTTACCTCCCAGGAGGCAGGTGTCAGTCACCCCTGTTTTGAATATTTATTACAAAGTCTGGGTTCAGAGAAATTAAGTAATTTCTCCAAGGTAACAAAACTACTAAGTGTCAGGCCTGGGCCCCAACCTGGCTCCAGAACTCATGCTGGCTCCACCAGGTTGTTATAAGTTTAGATAAGTGTGAACAGGGCAGGAGAGGGCTCTCCCCTACCCACTAGAAATGTCAGGTGATGGTTCAGCAGTTATCACATTGCCTCTCTAAAAATGATAACGCAACAGCACCAGAGAGAGGCCATTTCCTGATGTTCCACACCTGTTAACAGCAAAATGTTAATTGAATGCAGGCCCCAGGGAGAAGCAACTTCCTGGGCATGCAAGTTAGGAGACAAAAATGGTGAAGTATGATCTTCCGGGGGCACACGCCACTGGAAAAAGAAAGAAAGCCTCAGACGGGCGTGCATATAACTCCCTAAACACAGTGCGCATGCTCAATTCCAAAGGCTAAGGAAAGCACTGCGCATGCGGAAAGCCCGCCCGAAGGGCAGAATCATGGGAAAGAGGCAAGCTCATAAAAGTCCTAGGATCATGGTTAAATGGGGCACTTGACCTTCTCTCTTTAACCTTCACATGTCCTCCTGGGTCTCTTCCAAGCACCCCTTCCTTTCTTTCCTGTTCTAAGGCCTTTTAAAATAAACTTCCACTCCTGTTCTGGAACTTGCCTCAGTCTCTCTTTCTGCTTTATGTCTCTCAGTCAAATCCTTTCTTCTGAGAAGGCAAAGACTGAAGTTGCTACAGACCCATATGGATAGGCCACCAGTAACTTGGGGTAACTCGGATCCCTTCCATCGGTAACAAAGTCACCCACTTTGCCAACTTAGCAGGACAGGGACTTGGCCCCAACAGAAAGCAGCAGGAGAGAGGGTCCTGAGGGTTCAGCCAGCAAGCAACAGGGTCTGAGGTTCAGGGAGGACCGCAGAAGGGACTGGGGACAGAAGACCTGTACCTTTCTACCAGCTTCACCCAGGGTCTGGATAAAAACTGGCACTTGGAAGACTGCAAGCCCCAGGGTCCCCCAGCTCCATCGTGGGGATTTTCCCTCTGGCCACCCCATTTTTCTGCTCAGCATTTTCCATTTGGTTCATTCCTCTCTTGCACACATAGCCCTGCTGGAAGAGGGGCAAAGCACATGGGGAAAGGAGCTGGCTGCTCACACCCCACGTGATTGCCACCTGCATCAGTGACACACATGGGAGACTTCCCTGCTCCTGGCACTTTGAGAAGCTGGGGGTGGGTGACTTTCTATTTCCTGTTGCTCAGGGTCTCATCCGTTTTCTGTATTCTTTTCTGCTGTTCTCTTACTCTCAACTTCTTGATGTTGCTCACTTCTTGTTTAGTCAGCCACACATTTTTTTGAGTGTTTCCTACCTGCCTGGCTCTAGAGAACACAAAGAAAGTAGCTGCTGAAGCCAGGCACGGTGGCTCACGCCTGTAATCCCAGCACTTTGGGAGGCCAAGGTGGGCAGATCACGAGGTCAGGAGATCGAGACCATCCTAGCTAACATGGTGAAACCCTGTGTCTGCTAAAAATACAAAAAAAATTAGCTGTGCATGGTGGCACGTGCCTGTAGTCCCAGCTACTCAGGAGGCTGAGGCAGGAGAATCGCTTGAACCCGGGAGGCGGAGGTTGCAGTGAGCCGAGATTGTGCCACGGCACTCCAGACTGGGTGACAGACTGAGATTCTGTCTCAAAAAAAAAAAAAAGAAAAGAAAAGAAAAAAGAAAGTAGCTGCTGAAAGAGGAAGGGGAGAGGAAGATAAAAATGAGTGTTTATGGGTCAGTGACAACGTGCCAGGCCCTGGTCCACTGTGCATGGCACCTCTGCTCACCACTGTCAGGGAAGGATGACTCTGTCCCCGACTCAACGCAAGCTCAGAAGCCCACAGGCACTGTGCAACCCTTGGCCCTGGCTCTTCCAGTGACCTCATCCACAGGAAGCTGATTGTGTCCTTGAGAAGGCAAAATGTGCACATATGGCATCACCAGGAAGCAATTAAAGGCTAAGCTGAGTCTCTGTCATCAACACAGCAGAATCTGAGTCCCAGAATTCTAGTCTGAGAGGTGGGGCTCAGGCTGGGGAGGCAGCACAGCCCAGCAGGGCTCCTAAACATCCCTGCCATGGTTTAGCAGGAGAGAGTGTGGGCCAGAGCTTCAAATACCCTCCACTGAGGCTGGGGTAACAGGTTCCAATGTATCTACTCTCCTGATCCCAGCCCTTAAAACAAAACAAAACCACAACAATCAGCTGGGTTTTGTTACTTCCCCAAGTTCGCAGATATGTTTTTAGGAAGAGGAAAAAATGACAGACCAGAAGGGAAAGGGAGTGCCCCCCTTAGGGTCCGCAAAGGTGCAGCTGAACTAGGCCCTAGGCCCAGGTGCTGGCTCTTCTGGACTGAGCTAGCACCGTCTCTGATGCCCATAGAGGGCTCTGGAATGAAAGCAGCTCTGGGGCTGCCCTGTCCTGTGCATCCACATGACAGAGCTTCTCCCAGCACCACCATCAGAAGTAGACCCCAGCGTGATGGGCAGCTGCTCCCCATATGAAGAGGTTCACATTCCTGCACCCTCAGACGGGGAAAGAGCTCTGAGCTTATTGCCTCCAACTCCTGCCTCACAGCTGAGGGACACTGAGCCCCACAGCAGTGTGTCACCCTTTGCCAAGGTCACACACCACAGGGTGCCAGAGCCAGAACAAACTCCAGGGTCCTGATTCCTACACTTTCCCATCCACATTCCATCTTGTGTTGGAGTCTAACAACCAGATCTCTTTTCAGTCCTTTGAGATCCTGGTGTCCAGCTGTGGGCCAAGGTACTGTGTGGTCTTCATGGCAGGGTCCCAGGTGGTGACGCACCCCTCTCCTCCCTCCATGGCTCCACCAGCTCTGTTGGAGTTTATGCATCAGCCAAGAGGAAACGGTAGATCAGGATGCAGAGACACAGGGGAGCAGAATCCCCATCCCCGCAGCACAGCCAGATGAGAGGAGGTTCCAAAGTCCTGTGTGCAGTACTCAGCACCCCTTGGCCCCACACTCTGCACCCTCAGAAATGTCCCTCCAGGCAGGGGCCCAGGCATTCACTTGTCCTGAGACACCTCATGGGGGTGTTCAGGGCAAGTGGAGGCACCTATGAGACAGCCAGGTGGAACCATCTGGGCTGGTGGGACGGGCATGGGAGAGGACAGAAAATGCACTGGTAGGCTCCCAGAGGTGCATATAAGGGAAACACAAGGGGTACGAGGGCCACCCCATGGGAAGTGGAAGAGACAGTGCAGGGGCAGAAAAGCAGAAGTACTTTGTTTCCTGGAAATGTTTTAGGGAGGGGGAGGTGGTGAGGATCCATTGAGGGAAATGCTGATGGCTGAAGAAAGATGAGGCCTGATGACTGGTAGTTGGGTTCCTACACATGGAGACCACGTTGTGCCCCACAGGAGCAATCTGGTGGTGTGGTGTCGGGGAGGGTGGAGGAATTGGGTTACAGAGCCTGTGCAGGGATTTGGAACCAGAGGGCTCCTCAGAACGGGAGAAGGAGATGGTCTGTAAGGACCTGTTCGACTCCAGTGAGGGTATGAGGGACAGTGAGGGAGGAAAGCAGTCCCACATAGGAGGACGCCCAGAGTGGGGAAGCAGGTCTTGGGGAGAGCTAGGTTTCAGTCCGAGCGAGAAGGGAGAGGATGTTCCAGGAACAGGCTGAGACCCTGGGGCCTCCAGAAGGCTTGAAAGAAAGGTTTCAGCAGATGGGGTCAGAAAAGGAGTGTTCAGGGCCATAGGGGGAGGGTGACCTGAGCTTCTTGCAGTCCCTGACGCAAACAGGGATAAAGGACATAATGAGATTAGTCCTGAATCTGAGGCAGAGAGTGATGAGGAGACTGTGAGTTTGCGGGAGGGAGGGGAGGGCCTGGCTGGGAGAAGGCTGGGTTCTAGGTTCCCTATAGTCCTGCCAGAGAAAGTCAGAGCCCAGAGAGTCAATGGCTCCCTCCTGACACCTGCACAGGGAAGTGTACACCTGGCCAGGGTGGGTGCTCTGTAGACTGCTGTGGGGTGAGGGAGCAGCTTCTCCTGGGCATAGGACTCAAGGCACCTGCAGGATGCAGGGCTCCAGGCTCCCTCAGTGCCTGCTGATGGCTCTCCTCTGAGAGGGGGTAAACTGGCTTCCTGGGTACCCACAATGTACAAGGCACTTGTTCTCAGTAGGATGCACCAGGAACTGTCAGAAGTATACCTATATGTGACAGGCATGATTACTACCCCGATTTTAGAGCTAGGGAAACTGAGGCACTGAGCAGTTAATCAATTTGCCCCAGGCCCAATAGATAAACAATCAGTGTAGAGCTGGGGTCTCAACACAGCAGGCTCCCTCCACAGTGTGGGCTCCAAGCCACACTGGCTGTCCTGCTGCCATCATCCAGCCTTGGCTATGTTTAAAAAGAAAAACAATGTCAGGCGCGGTGGCTCATGCCTGTAATCCCAGCACTTTGGGAGGCTGAGGTGGGTGGATCACGAGGTCAGAAGATGGAGACCATCCTGGCTAACACAGTGAAACCCCGTCTCTACTAAAAACACAAAATATTAGCCGGGCGTGGTGGCATGCGCCTGCAGTCCCAGCTATTTGGGAGGCTGAGGCAGGAGAATCACTTGAACCCAGGAGGCAGAGGTTGCAGTGAGCTGAGATCGTGCCACCACACTCCAGCCTGGACAACAGAGCAAGACTCTGTTAAAAAAAAAAACAAACCCTCAGCCAAATTAAATTTAACAGACTTTAATTGAGCAAAGAATGATTTGTGAATCAGGCAGCCTTCTGAGCCAGAGTAGGTTTAGAGAAACTCCAGTGCAGCCACTTGATGGAAGAAGATTTATGGACAGAGAAAGGAAAGTGACACAGAAAACAAAAGTGAGGCACAGAAATAGCCGGATTGGTTACAGCCCAGCATTTGCCTTATTTGAACATGGTTTGAACAGTTGGCCCTCTTTGATTGGCCAAAACTCACTGATCCGCACCAGAGTAGGTTACAGTCTGTTTATACCTCCATTTAAGTTATAGTTCACTATGTACAGGGAAACTATGAGGGCAAACTTAAAAATATGTTAGGAGGAAGCTTTAGACTAAATTTGATGTAATGATTCCCCTCTTTCGGTCATGCTCTCAATTTTGATAGATTGACCAAAACTGTAGTCATTGATGTCACTATCGCCATTGTAAACATACTTATTTGGTCTCAAAACCTACGGAAATAGCAGAAGAGTGGATTTTGTAAGGCGAGAACAAGGACATCAGATTATTTTTTTGTAAGGGTTAGAGTAGAGAGTACCTCCTCATGCTGGAATGTCCAGTTTACAGGAGAAAAACAAAACCTGGTCTGTTCTGATATATTTGTATCTTTAAAGTCTTAGTTCGATTATATCAAGTTTACCATAAGTGACTCCATTTTGGTTTGATCTGATCTGTTGGGGTTAGTACAGGAGCTCAGTCTAAAACAATGGTCTTTCATAATCTCGTTTAAGAATTCCTCCCTTTTGGTCACATTCTCACATAGGTGAGAGTCTGACCAAAACTTACAGCCTTAGCACCACTCTCAGTTACCATCATTTTGGGTTTCCAGTCTCAACCCATCATTCATAGGTTACAGTGCCCTCATGGTCATACATTTATTTGAGCTCTTGTCATTCCAGTTGAAGAGACACCATCTGAAATTCTAGAGATGGCTGCAAGCAAATATTTAAAACTTTTGAGAGAATACAGTGCACCAGTGGGGCTACTATTATGACTATCAACAGGATAATACACAGAGTTTGGAGTATGCTCCTTAGCCAGGGTCCCCATAAACCAAACCACCTAAAACCAAATAGATCAAAGAATGAGCTAGATGAAGAGTCTACTCGCTTTAACCAAGCAGCCCGTTCATTCATTTCTTACAACCAAATCTCTATAATACCTGATTTATTTCTCCACAGGAAACAAGAAGTGCCACCAACTGCAGAGATACTTCTCTGTTTAGCCAGTAAATAATCTAGAGAAATTCTGTTATTTAGCATAACTTTCACAAGAGAATGTATTTACTGATTGATTGATTGATTGACTGATTGACTGAGATGGAGTCTTGCTCTGTCACCCAGGCTGGAGTGCAGTGGTGTGATCTCAGCTCACTGCAACCTCCACCTCCTGGTTTCAAGCGATTCTCCTGCCTCAGCCTCCTGAGTAGCTGGGATTATAGGCGCCCGCCACCATGCCCAGCTAATTTTTTGTACTTTTAGTTGAGGCAGGGTTTCACCACGTTGGCCAGGCTGGTCTCAACCTGACCTCAGGTGATCTGCCTGCCTTGGCCTCCCAAAGTGTTGGGATTACAGGCATGAGCCACTGCACCTGGCCTTCAAAAGATAATTTCAAGCCTGCTGTGTAACCATGGCCTTTACAATAGAATCTGCTGTAGAGCCTATCATCAGGGATACATTTCTAATCATTGCCTCATTTACTCCAAACCATGGAAAAAGAGACCTAAGAAATGATGCCCATCTAGAAGAATGAAGGATCGTGGAAATGTTCTCTTTAGCATGTGATGCATCAATAGGTTAAGAGGAGTGAATGAATATTCTGCTTCTGACTGCTTATGAAGCAACACATGTGCCACTAAAATTTCTTACCTACATTGGCCTTTTATCTTCCATCTATCAAGACATAAGTTTGTCCATGTATAAGGCTAGCTGTAAAATTCTTCATTTAAAAGTATACCCCATGCGTGCACACAAAAGACCCCCTTTTCACTCCTATTGTTTGCAGAGGCATAAGCAAGGAAAAAATTGAAAGATAAGAGTCTCATGTTAGCAGAGAAGTCTTGATTCATGATCTTGGAAAAAAGCTGTCCTCATCAAGGATGCTGTCTACTTCTGGGGAGAAACTTCCCTGGTTAGCTTTACCTAAGGTTTCCAATGGATGTACAGTTCCAAGAGTCTGGAGGGGCCCTTATGAGTTGTGAGATTAAAAACCCAAGATTCAAGATCTGGAAGTTTTGCTGTAGTGTGGATGGCAAGTGCAGTCTTTCTCCAATTTTCTCAGAAAATTCAATCTTCAGGTTCTAGATTGTGAAGATGTTGATTGTCCTGTCAGTGGACCATGAAAAGCTTTCTTTACCTGAAAATACACTTTGGCATAATGACCTACTGTTATATCAGCCCTCTTGCATGCACGAAAAGTTTTTATACGACCAGAAAACATGCACTGGAAATGACAATGGAATGAAATCCCTCTATAAAAATTTAAATGACTCTCCATGTAGCAAAAATGTACCTGAAGTTTTTATTATCTTTCCAGGAATGTGGGTTTGACAAACTAAATATTGGTCATAAACTATTTTAGCAATTTAGAACAGTCATCACATACACATATATATATTTAATTTGAATCATTTTATCTCTTTCACGATTAGTCATGGAATGCAAAGCTTTTAATAACAAAAGCTTTAAGGACTCAGGAAGGATGAGGTGGGCATCCAGGTTCTCCATGAGTCCACACTTAACACTGAACTTACGTCCTCTTACATACCAGCTGTTTCTCCAGTGTAGGTGCATAGCACTGATAACTGATAGGTTATCATAGGTAATTTGACCTGGACCATGGAATTCATTTGAACTGCGTATCTAAACAATTAATTGATTTAGCATAAAAATCTGGCAAAGTACCTTCTTGGTATTCAATTTTTTTCCTGCTTGGGTAGCAGTTTTATAAACCAGTCAGTCTCTTTATTAGAGTTCAGGAATTCTTACCCAGTCCAAATGATTTGATCTGAAAGTTATCAGAAACCTGTATTCGAGAGTGTTTGTCAGGGTCCTTTTCATCCCTTCATGAAACTCCTTAAAGACACCATATTCTAAGACTTTGTGTGCTTGTGAAGTTTTCAGAAACTGCATCAGAATTAAGCAATTAACTGTGGAAATAACTTTAAATGGTCATAGTTAAAGAGACAATTTACAAGGAAATTTGGTTATTTCTGTGGCTTATAATAATTTAACGTAATAACCATAATTATGACTGATAGCATATACCCAAACATTAGAATTCTATAAACGCCATATAATTTTGGAATATATATTAATAACATAGTCACTAAAATATAACTTGAAGAAGGTTAAACATTATTTCTTATTTGACAATGCCTCCCATGTAGTTTAACATGTCAAATAATTCTATTTATCTTTCTTTTGGATGCTTCAGGAGCCTTTTTTATCATCCAAAAGTTAAAGATAAAAAATACTTAATTTTGAAGGTGAAATTTGATTTTGGGAAGCCTGTAAAATATGTCAAAGGTTTAAAACATGTAACCAAATAAGATCACAGGCTACCATAAAATAATAGTCATTTATTTAGCCAAAGTGATAATTAAAAGATTTTTTTAAACCCAAAACCTACACTCTTTGATAGAGGATACTCAGTTTTCCAAACAGTCAAGAGACCTGAGAAAGACCCCATGAGATAGAATCTGTCTCTTCTCTTCTCTCTTTTTTTCCTTTTTGCTGTTTACTTAAAAGATGAACATAAATATTTTACTATGCCTTATTGATACTACACAATATTTTTGTTCAAAAGAGAAAACCAAATTTTACTTTTGTATTAGTGTATTATCAACACTAAAGCTAATTTTTATAAAATCTTATAAAAATTTATCAAATCTGTCATTTTTAACTACACAAGATTTTCATAAGCCTTTTGCTTTACGTTTTCTCCCCAACTTTCTATGTTTATCTGGTTTTATCTATTTTTTACTCCTCAATTTGAAATCTTTAGTAACTTCAAACTAAAAATTTTTAACAAACACATTTTTATGCCTTTAAAACTTCCTAATCAAGGCATAACTTACTTTTGTTTAGATAGTCTTTATACAGAATTGTTTCTCTCATATCTAGTATTTTTAATTACATATATTAACTATAATTTTAACTCTTAATAACCCTAATTTCTAGTGAAAACCACTCCAACCAAAAAGTAATTTTGAACTGTTTTATATTAGTATTTGTAGAAAAAATTACAATTTTTTAGAAAGATGTTTCTTCAAATTACTGTTTATTAACAGATCTAAATATGTTTGGCTTTTCTATACCATGTTAATAAAAATGTCAAGGTATATAGGCTTAAACTCTTGTTTAATAATTAATATTTCAGGTCGGGCAAGGTGGCTCACGCCTGTAATCCCAACACTTTGGGAGGCCGAGGCAGGCAGATTACAAGGTCAGGAGTTTAAGACCAGCCTGGCCAACATAGTGAAATCCTGTCTCTACTAAAAATACAAAAATTAGCCAGGCATGGTGGTGAGTGCCTGTAATCCCAGCTACTCAGGAGGCTGAGGAGGGAGAATTGCTTGAACCCAGTAGGCAGAGGTTGCAGTGAGCCAAGACCACACCATTGCACTCCAGCCTGGGTGACAGAGTGAGACTCTCTCAAAAAATAATAATAATAATTAATATTTCAGTATTTTAAGTAATAAATGACTCAGACATTTTGTGATTATCTGTTACTTTGGCATAACATGACTTTAAGATTTTTAATTACTAAAAAGAATTTTGAAACTATAACCCAAGTACCATCCCTAATTGTTGTAGAACTCTTAGTTCAGCTAAAGATGGGGGTCCTTGTCACACGGCCACAAAAAAATTAGGCTCATAGACAATTTGAAGGATGAGGATGGCAGGGTTTATTGAGTGAAAAGGAAAAAAGATAAACAGGGATTCTCCACAAAGCCAGAGTTCTGCTAGTGTGCTTCCCACCTCACAAACTGAATCCCAGGTACCACCCAGGAAGAGGAGGGGCCAGGCTCCTCCCCACTGCAAATGGCACGAACTTCTGTGGCTCTCATAACATCTCCCCCAGGTCATCTGGGGTCTCAAGTAACCATGTAGTACCAAGGAGGACTATGAAGGTCAGGGCCTGTCTGAGTCCTGAATTTACATACCAGGTGTAGAGGCCAGGACAGAAGACAGCTGTAAAGACTGTGCCTAGAGGATCCAACCCCTTTCCAAAATAGCCAGTAGGCAAGTAGGGAAAGCAGGGAAGAAGGGTCACATTTGGCTTGATTCTGACTTGTAGCTGCTGGTCTGGGAACTGAGAACATGTCTCCAGACCTCATCATGGACACTTATTCACATCCCTAAATCCAGAGGCTCTAAACCAAAAAAAAACATAAGTTCACAGTCAAGTCAAGCAGGTATCTAATTATATTTAACTGATAATTGTGAACTCATTCCTGTTTCGCCAAAAATAAACCAGCTTTATTTATCAAATATTATCACATACACATAACACATATAGACATACAAACACACAAAGGCAGATCTTATAGCTTCCATAAAGGATTTTTATTTGACAGATTTCAAATAGTTTTTCTTTCCCCCATACAGACTATAAATCTTCCAGTTATCTGTTTCACTGCCCTAAGCAATTGTTAACTAGGCAACAAATTTGCATTTCTAAAGGGACAGCTCTTACATGAAACAAAAAAAAATTATATTTCATAAGCACAGAGCTAAGATTTTAGGCATAAATATTGTATCATCATTTGCTCAAATCGAGGGAAAAAATGGTACATAAGTGAAAGTTGATCAAGATAAAGTGGCCAGAAAAGCACCTTAAGCAAAGGCATGACTTATTATGTAAATTTAAAACAACGGCAAGAGTTTCTATTGTACATAGGCAGACTCCCTTACAAATGGAGGTTTCCTTTATAGATGTAAATTTCTTTTACAAAAGGCTTTTAAGATTGCCACTTCAATTCCAGAAAGGTGTATTTTAGTTCAGTTGGTGTTCTTTTTAACTTATCTACTGTTTCTTAGCTAAAATTACTAAATTCAGGGTGGAGCCTCTTAAGGAATAGGGCAAAGAGAGCATTCTGTATGCCTGGACTTAGCATGAATAGATCTGAAAAAGAAGCAAGGCTATTTTAACTGAGGGTCTACCTTTTATAAATACTTTATCTAGGATATCTTTCATTTCACCTTTGGGGCAGCATAGCAACTAAGCCAAAAGGTTAGCAGATTTAATTTTTCGTATCTATTAGTAACTTAAGCTTTTTATTTGCCTTTTTAAAAGTCTTTAAATAAAAATATTGCAATCTTTTTAGAAGCTTCTGCATATCAATAGACATCCCTAGATGAGACTATATTGGGAGACCTCATTTTCAAATGCACTTCTTCAAGTGCAGGGTTGTTCATTTGGAACATTTCACTGTAACTTTAAATTATCTTTAGTAAGATTTTGCCATTTCTGTAGTCCCAGCTACTCGGGAGGCTGAGGCAGAAGAATGACGTGAACCTGGGAGGCGGAGCTTGCAGTGAGCCAAGATTGCACTACTGCACTCCAGCCTGGGCGACAAAGCAAGACTCTGTCTAGCAAAAAAAAAAAAAAAAAAAAAAAAATGCCATTTCTGTAAGCCTTTGCTACTACTAGCACCCTCTAGGGCCTAATACTGATACACAGATTAGCCAGAAGGTACTCAGCTCTTTAGAAATAAAGGATCCCATTTTTACCTCAAATATTGACTTTGGCTCTCAGGTCCCCTCAAGCAACTATGTCAGTGATTTTTTTCCATACCTAAGTGTACAGGAAAAAAGAAACAAAGGAAGTAGAAAACACAAAAATCCCTGTGGACTTCCAAAAGCCAAAGTTTACACCCCCTGCAATATTGCCATCTGCTACTGGTTTCTTTCTGACCCAGTCAGACAAAAGAGGCCCCTAACTGTATCCAAGCCAGTTAATTATCAGATACAATCCAATTGTAGACTCAGTTCAGTTTCTGTCAGAACTTCCAAACCCAGTGTTGATCAAAAATTTGCTCAAACAAACTCAGAGAACTCAAATCTCTGAGCAAATCTGTGGAGCCTCACAATCTGAGGGAGAACTTACCAAGATCCCCAGTTGCTGTGAGAGAGCAATGGAAACAACAGGCACAGTGGGTAACTTGCTTGCTCACTTGGCACTTTGGGGGTTACTAGAAGTTCTAGCTCAGATCCCACTTCTGACACCATCTGTTAAAAGAAAAACCTTAGCCAAATTAAATTTAACAGAGTTTATGGGTTTTTTTTCCTGAGGATCAAGGCAGACAGGAGGAAGAACTAGATAGCAGCTTTCACTCAAACGGACCAGAGCAGCATGTGGAGTCTCTAGAACTATTGCAAGAATAATTCAGGAAAGCCAAGAGAACCCACAGACCCTCTTAAGGAAGTGGATTGCTCCTGCAGGACCTGGGAGACACCCCAATTACCGTGAGTGCCCAAACTGTGGGAGTGAGAAAGGGAGATTATCTGGCCCTGAATACACACCCTCACTGGGGAACCTGAAGTCTAGATCACAGGAGAAGATTCTGACAATACCTGGAGCTGAGTCAATTTAGAGAGCCGAGGGAAATACGGGGGTAGGGGAAGCAGTGGGAAAAGCTCTGTGGGCTCTCTGGGTTCCCAGCGAAGCCATTTCTGAGTTGTCTCACAGGGTTACCTGGAGAGGGCTGCCAGAGGAACTGGGAAAAGGCCACAGAGAGAAGGAAACCTCCAGCTGAACTTTGCAACAATTCCAACCAAACAGGAAGTCTCCTGGCCAGAACTCAGGGGAGGGCGCCAATCCAGTGTGCAGACTCCACAGACAGGGAAGCCTAAAAGCCCTACTTGCTTTCGCAGCTGGGGGCTGGTAGCCTGGGGAAAGTTCTTGGCCCTGCTCGCAGACTGCGTGGAAACAGACTCAGTGCTGTTGTGGGGTGGGGCACGGTGAGAGTGAGACCAGCCTTCTGGGTTTCATGGGAGCTGGGTGAGGCCTGTGACTTCCAGCTTTCCCCCACTTCTCTGACAACCTGCATGATACAGCAAAGGCAGCTACAATTCTCCTAGGAGCATAACTCCATTGACCTGGGAACCTCACTCCCATCCCCCACAGCAGCCGTAGCAAGATCTGCCCAAAGAGAGTCTGAGCTCAGACATGCCTAGCCCTGCCCTCGCCTGATGGTCCTTCCCTACCCACCCTGGTAGCTGAAGACAAAGGGCATATACGCTTTGGAGTTCGAAGGCCCCACGGCCCCACCCACCACCTGATCCTCCCCATACTACCACAGCTGATGCTGTCTTGAAAGTGTCACCTCCCAGCAGGAGGCCAATCAGCACAAAAATAGTGCATTAAACAACCAAAACTAAGGACCCTCACAGAGTCCATATCGCCCCACTGGCACCTCCACCAGAGCAGGTGCTGGTATCCACAAAAAGAGACCCACAGATGGTTCACATCACAGAACTCTGTGCAGACAACCTCCAGTACTAGACAGGAACCTGGTAGACCTGCTGGGTGGCTAGATCCTGAAGGGAGACAAGAATCACTACAGTATGGCTCTCAGGAAATCACATCCCTAGGAAAAGGGGGAGAGTACTACGTCAAGGTAACACTTTGTGGGATAAAAGAATCTGAACAACAGCCTTGACCACTAGACCTTCCCTCTGACAGAGCCTACCCAAATGAGAAGGAACCAGAAAAGCAACTCTGGTAATATGACAAAACAAGTTCTTTAACACCCCCCAAAAAATCACACTAGCTCATCAGCAGTGGATCCAAACCAAGAAATCCCCAATCTGCCTGAAAAAGGTGTCAGCGAAACTAAGCTTCATAAATGAAGGAAAGACCGTCTTTTTCAGACAAACAAATGCTGAGAGAATTTGCCACTACCAAGCCAGCCCTACAAGAACTGCTAAAAGGAGCTCTATATCTTGAAACAAATCCTGGAAACACATCAAAATAAAACCTCTTTAAAGCATAAATCTCATAGGACCTATAAAACAAAAATACAAATAAAAAGCAAAAAAACCAAGGTATGCAGGCAACAAATAGCACAATGAATGGAATAGTACCTCACATCTCAAAACTAATGTTGAATTTAAATGGCCTAAATGTTCCATTTAAAAGATACAGAATCACAGAATGGGTAAGAATTCACCAACAAACTATCTGTGGCTTTCAAGAGACTCACCTAACACATAAGGATTCACATAAACTTAAGATAAAGGGGTGGAAAAAGACATTCCATGCAAATGGACACCAAAAGCAAGCAGGAGCAGCTATTCTCATATCAGACAAAACAAACTTTAAAGCAACAGCAGTTTAAAAACACAAAGAGACACATTATATAATGATAAAAGGCCTTATTCAACAGGAAAATATTACAATCCTAAATACATGTGCACCTAATACTGGAGGTCCCAAATTTATAAAACAATTACTACCAGACCTAAGAAATGAGACAGACAGCAACATAATAATAGTGGGGGGCTTCAATATTCCACTAACAGCACTAGACAGGTCATCAAGACAGAAAGCCAATAAAGAAACAATAGATTTAAACTATACCCTGGAACAAATGGACTTAACAGATATTTACAGAACATTCTACCCAACAACCACAGAATATACATTCTATTCATCAGCACATGAAATTTTCTTCAAGATAGACCATATGATAGGCCACCAAACAAGCCTCAATAACTTTAAGAAAACTGAAATTATATCAAGCACTCTCTCGGACCACAGTGGAATAAAACTGGAAATCAACTCCCAACGGAACCTTCAAAACCATGCAAATACATGGAAATTAAATAACCTGCCCTTGAATGATCATTGGGTCAACAATGAAATCAAGGTGGAAATTTAAAAATTCTTTGAACTGAATGACAACAGTGAACAACCTATCAAAACCTCCGGGATACAGCAAAGGCACTGCTAAGAGGAAAATTCATAGCCCTAAATGTCTATATTGAAAAATCTGAAAGAGCACAGACAATCTAAGGTCACACCACAGGAACTACAGAAACAAGAAAAAACCAAACCCAAACCCAGCAGAAGAAAGGAAATAACCAAGATCAGAGCAGAACTAAATAAAATTGAAACAAAAATATTCAAAAGATAAATAAAAAAGCTGGTTCTTTGAAAAGATAAATAAAATTGATAGACCATTAGCAAGATTAACCAAGAAAAGAAGAGAGAAAATCCAAATAAGCTCAATTAGAAACGAAATGGGAGAAATTACAACTGACACCACAGAAATACAAAAGATCATTCAAGGCTACTATGAACACCTTTACATGCATAAACTAGAAAACCTAGAGGAGATGGATAAATTCCTGGAATGATACAACCCTCCTAGCTTAAATCAGGAAGAATTAGATAGCATGAGCAGACCAATAACAACAGCGAGATTGAAATGGTAATTTAAAAATTACCAACCAAAAAAAGTCCAGGGCCAGATGGATTCACAGCTGAATTCTATCAGACATTCAAAGAAGAGTTGGTACCATCCTATTGACACTATTCCACAAGATAAAGAGAGAATCCTCCCTAAATCATTCTATGAATCCAGTATCACCCTAATACCAAAACCAAGAAAGAATGTAACCAAAAAAGAAAACTACAGACCAACATCCCTGATGTACATAGATGCAAAAATCCTTAACAAAATACTAGCTAACTGAATCCAATGACATTTCAAAAGGATAATTCACCATGATCAAGTGGGCTCCATACCAGGGATGCAGGGATGATTTAACATACGCAAGTGAATAAATGTGATACACCACATAAACAGAGTTAAAAACAAAAATCACATGATTATCTCAATAGATGCAGAAAAAGCATTCAACAAAATCTAGTATCCCTTTATGATTAAAACTCTCAGCAAAATCGGCATGCAAGGGACATGCCTCAATGTAATAAAAGCCATCTCTGACAAACCCACAGCCAGCATAATACTGAATGGGGAAAAGTTTAAAACATTCCCTCTGAGAACTGGAACAAGACAAGGATGCCACTCTCACCACTTCCCTTTAACATAGTACTGGGAGTCCTAGCCACAGCAATCAGATGAGAGAAAGAAATAAAGGGCATCCACATCAGTAAAGAGGAAGTCAAACTGTCACTGTTTGCTGATGATATGACTGTATACCTAGAAAACCCTAAAGACTCCTCCAAAAAGCTCCTAGAACTGAAAAAAGAATTCAACAAAGTTTCTGGATACAAAATTAATGCACACAAATCAGTAGCTCTCCTATATACCAACAGCAACCAAGCTGAAAATCAGATCAAGAACTCAACCCATTTTACAATAGCTGCAAACAAATGAAATACTTAGGAATATACCTAACCAAGAATGTAAAAGACCTCTACAAGGAAAACTACAAAACAGTGCTGAAAGAAATCATAGATGACACAAATGGAAACACATTCCATGCTCATGGATGGGTAGAATCAATATTGTGAAAATGACCGTACTGCCAAAAGCAATCTACAAATTCAATGAAATTCCCATCAAAATACTAGCATCATTCTTCACAGAACTAGAAAAAACAATCCTAAGACTCATATGAAACAAAAAAAGAGCCCACATAGCCAAAGCAAGACTAAGCAAAAAGGACAAGTCTGGAGGCATCACATTACCTGATTTCAAACTATACTATAAGGTCACAGTCACCAAAACAGCATGGCACTGGTATAAAAATAGGCACACAGAACAATGGAACAGAATAGAAAACCCAGAAATAAACCCAAATACTTATCTTTGACAAAGCAAACAAATACATAAAGTGGGAAAAGGACACCCTATTCAACTAATGGTGCTGGGATAATTGGCAAGCCACATGTAGGAAGATGAAACTGGATTCTCATCTCTCACCTTACACAAAAATCAACTCAAGATGGATCAAGGACTTAAATCTAAGACCTGAAACTGTAAAAATTCTAGAAGATAAAATCAGAAAACCCCTTCTACACCTTGGCTTAGGCAAGGATTTCATGACCAAGAACCCAAAAGCAAATTCAATAAAAACAAAGATAAATAGCTGGGACTTAATTAAACTAAAGAGCTTTTGCACAGCAAAAGCAACAGTCAGCAGAGTAAAGAGACAACTCACAGAGTGGGAGAAAATCTTCACAATCTATACATCTGACAAAGAACAAGTATCCAGAATCTACAGCAAACTCAAACAAATTAACAAGAAAACACAATCCCATCAAAAAGTGGGCTAAGGACATGAATAGAAAATTCTCAAAAGAAGATACACAAATGGCCAACAAACACATGAAAAAATGCTCAACATCACTATGATCAGGGAAATGAAAATCAAAACCACAATGTGATACCACCTTACTCCTGCAAGAATGGCTGTAATAAAAAAAATCAAAAAATAATATATGTTGGTGTGGATGCAGTGAACAGGGAACACTTCTACACTGCTGGTGGGAATGTAAACTAGTACAGCCACTATGGAAAACAGTGTGGAGATTCCTTAAAGAACTAAAAGTAGAACTACCATTTGATCCAGCAATCCCACTACTGGGTATGTACCCAGAGAAAAATCAGCCATTATACAAAAAAGATATTTGCACATGCATGTTTATAGCAGCACAATTCGCAACTGCAAAAATGTGGAACCAACCCAAATGCCCATCAATGAGTGGATAAAGAAACTGTGGTTTATACATACAATGCAATACTACTCAGCCATAAAAAAGGAATGAATTAATGGCATTCGCAGCAACATGGATGAGAATGGAGACTGCTATTCTAAGTGAAGTAACTCAGGAATGGAAAACCAAAATTGTATGTTCTCACTCATAAGTGGAGCTAAACTATGAGGATGCAAAGGCATAAGAATGACACAATGGACTTTGGGGATTCTGCGGGAAAGGGTGGGAAGGGGATGAGGGAAAAAAGACTACAAATTGAGTGCAGTGTATACTGCTCAGGTGATGGGTGCACTAAAATCTCACAAATCATCGCTAAAGAACTTACTCATATAACCAAACACCACCTGTTCCCCAATAACCTATGGAAATAAAAAAATTAAAAATAAATTAAAAACAAATTAAATTTAACAGAGTTTAATTGAGCAAAGAACAATTCATGAATCAGGCAGCCTCCTGAGCCAGAATAGGCTCAGGGAGACTCCAGTACAACCACATGGTGGAAGAAGATTTATGGACAGAAAAAAGAAAGTGGCATACAGAAAACAAAAGTGAGGTAAAGAAATGGCCAGGTTGGGTACAGCCTAGCATTTGCCTTATTTGAACATGGTTTGAACAATTGGCCCCCTTTAACTGGACAAAACTCAGTGGTTGGCACAAGAGTAGGTTACAGTCTGTTTACACCTCCATTTAGGTTATAGTTCATTATGTAGAGAAACTTTTAAGACAACGTTAAAATATGTAAGGAGGCAACTTTAGGTTAAACTTCATTTAACTGCTGTGTGGGATGGCATTTGTGCCTTTGGGCTGTGGGGTTGAATGACCAGCTGCTTTTTCCAGACTGGCTCCCACACCTCTTCGGTCCCAGAGGCTGATAATGGTATAATTAATGGGCATTTGAGAATAGAGGCAAGGATGTGGTCCTCAGGACTTCTCAGTCCCAGCATAGGCTATCTGTGTTCCTGCCCCTCCCCTTGTAACAGAGGCTCCTCTGTCCCTGTCTGATGAGTTCCTTCATTTCTGCTTCCTCCTCAGCCTCTGCTGCAGGGGTGGGAACACAGGAGACACTGGCATGGAGGCTGCCCAGCAGGATGACACCCAGAAGACGTCACAATGCACACTGCTGGGAGCCTGATCTGAATGAACACAGGGTCGTCTCATCTTCCAGGAGGGAATGATTCCCAGGAGCTGACCATGGTACTAAGCCAGGTAAGCAGGCCTCAGGGGACAGGCCAGCGCTGCATGGACATCTGGGTGATGTTCAAGCCCCTCAGTTAGGTGTTTCCCCTAGTTTGGCCTAGAGAAGTGAATGGCAACCTCCCTGTGATTTCTAGGCTCTCCTCCTGGACAGCACCAAAAATGTGCCTTCAAGGGCCCCAGGACAGCCTTACTGTGGGCCAAGTGCAGTGAAACTGGGAGTTGCCTCGAGAAGACACTCCCCAAGAGATTGCCAAAGAGAATGGTGCCTATTTCCATGACTCAAAGGGCTTCCTCTGTCCTCCAAAGAGCGGTGTTTGGAGCGTAGAGGTGAAATGTTCAGAGGATCAGGGACCATCTGCCCTAGACCCATAGGGACAGAGAAGGGTGAGCAATTACTGCAGCACCCCAGGGAGGGTCAAGTTCTTGTAACACCACCTCCGCCGGCCAGTTACAGGGATCTGGGCATGCTAAGGTCAGTTCTTTCTTATTAAGAGTAAGCCCATGGGTCTTCACACTGGACTCGTGGAGGCTGAGATGTTGTGAGTCCCTACACAGGCTTCCCTCCTGTGCCATGGCCTGCCTGCCTCCTGACCTTTGCCTATTCCCTCTGTTCTAGATGTAGGCAAGGAGACCAAGAGCTGCACCTGGATGATCTGGGACATGTTCTGTGGACTGGAGTCAGGAGGGCCCCAAAGTGGCCCCAGCAAAGGCAACAGAGGAGGTAGAGCATGGTGACACGTTGCAAAGTGCAAAGGCGCTGGCCCTGGGAGAGGCAACTGAGAAAGTAGAGGTTGCTGAGAAGACGGAAGGTACAGAGTGGGGCAACATGTCAGACAATCCCTACTGGAGGAGAGTTGTGGGCATCAGTGGGATCATCCTGATCATGCTCAAGGTCCTTGGCGTCATCTACTTTGCCTGAAGCAGCTGGGCTGGGGCCGTCCAGGAGGAGGCAGAGCTGCTGCTTCTCCAGGATCATCATGAACAGGGACAAAGCGTTTCCTACTGGGAGACCCATGGGCCTGGGACCAAGGATTACATTAATAAAAATGTTCCCTTGGTGTCATGCATCAAGGGCTACCAGCAGCAGCACACACATGCCGTGTGGCAGGACAGAGCAAAGTCCATTCGCCATTACAGAAAGTATGCAAATGAGAACATCTGTTCCTTTACAAAATGAGTCATTTTCTCCAAATGGCTGCACTGCATAAACACTTTCACTTTAAATTTAATTTTGGCTTTTCATCTCTATATATATTTGGAATTTTTGCTTGTGTTTACTTCACTGTCACCAATTCTTTCATGTACCCAACTTCCATTGCTTGGTTCTCTCCTTATTTTCCAAGGTATGTCCCTGCTGGCCAAGATGCCGAGTTGTGGAAGCCCCACCCCACCCCTGCAAGGGAATCTCACCTGTAGGTGCTCTCCAGCACTGATGACCACACAGGCCATGGGGAAACAGGTGCCAGGGATGGAAGCTTTGGCCCCTGCCTGAACCTCAGTGGGACTGAGGCAGGCTCTGCTTTAATAGAACAGGCCTCCCCACCACTCAACTCTGTTTAGCTTCTGCTGTGCTGCATCCCTTGAGGGCAGATTAAGAAGAAACTCCCTCCAGGCCAGCTCTCCCCAGTCACACTCACAGCCTGCCTGGCATCGTGACATTCTTGGGAGTTGGCCCCCTAGGTTAGATCCACTTGAGCTATCAGATAGAGGACACTCCTCAGCCGTGTTTCCATAGGGGTTCCCTAAACCTCTCCTTCACTTTTCTTCTTCCCAGTCCAAAATAAATGATTTGTGTCTTTAGGAAAAGTTCCAGGTGCCTTGAAGTTATTTCATCATGAGAATCACGCTCTGAAGGTATATTCACATGACCAGCCCTCATCCTTTCTCTAATCCTTCAGCTGACACTTTTGAGTGTCTAATATGTGCCAGCCACCATGTCGAGCTCGAAGAAAATAACCGTGAACAAAGCACAGGGGAACTTCTCTCTGGAGTATATGGTGTATGGTGGAAAATAAGCAATCACAGCAATAGCCAGCATTTCATGTGTCCTGCTGTCTTCAGGCAAGCCCAGGGTAAGTGCATTATCATATTCAAGCCACAGAACCACCCTTGTGGAGGGACAAGAATTAGCCACGTTTCACAGGATGCAGTGTGTGCACTGCAAGAGAATCCAGCAGAAACCTCCATCTAGCCTCAGAGTCAGGGAAAGAGGGAATCAGTTGGATGGATAACAGAAGGGACATGTGTGAGAAGACATGCAGCAAGAGTACAAGGTATGTTTGAGGATGCTGAGATACGGCATGTGCATGGAGAACAGTGGGAGGGAGGGAGTCGGAAGCCTGACCAGCAGGCCTTGTATGCTTTGGGGGCCTACGTCCCTGGAAGTGTAGGCAAGGAAGTGATAGGATCAGATTTGCTTCCTGCTGCTGGGAAGATAAAAGTGAGACAGGAACACCCACCAGGACACTGCTAGAGCAAAGCAGGCAAGTTGGTGGCAGAGAGGTAAAGAGGTGGAGACCTTTGGAGGGAGGGGCCAGGGATGACTCTCTGGCTGGAGCAGGTGAATGAAGGGGGCACCTGCTTCATTCAATGAAGGTGAATGAAGAGTAAGTGCAGGTATGGGGAAAAGATGAACTCATTTCTGATATGTAGAATTTGAGCTGCATGAAGATGTTTATTGCCATGTTGATAATATTAAGTCTTCTAATCCATGAACATGGGATGTCTTTCCATATATTTAAGTCTTCAACATCTTTCAACACTATTTTGTTTTCAGTGTACAAATCTCACACTCCTTTTGCTAAATTTATTTCTGAGTATTTTATTCTTTTTGATGTTATTGTAAATGAAACTGTTTTCTCAATTTTGTTTTTGGATGGTTCATTGCTAGTATTTGGGAATACAATTAATTTTTGTATATTGATTTTGTATCCTGCAACCATGTTGAACTTATTCATTAGTTCTAATCATTTTTAAGTGTACTTCCTTGGGAGTTTTCTTATACAAAATCATGTAATCTGTGAATACAGAATTTACCTTTATTTATTTGCAATCTGTATGCTCTTTCTTTTTCTTGCCTAACTGCCTAACTAGAACCTCCAGTACAATGCTGTATAGAGAGGTCTTGTTTCTGATATCAGGGGAAAGCAATCAGGTTTTGCTATTAAATATAATGTCAGCTGAGTTTTTGCAGATGTTCTTTATTATGTTGAGGAAACTACCCTCTTTTCCTAGTTTTCTGAGAGTTTGTTTTTCATCATGAATGGGTGTTGAACTTTGTGGAATGCTTTTTCTGCATCTATTAAGATGATTATGTGACTTTTGTCCTTTATTCTACCTATATCTTATATTACATTAATTGATTTTCATATGCTAAACCAACCTTGCATTCCTGGGGTAAATCCCAGCTGGTCATGCTGTATAATGCTTTTTATATGCTGCTGAATTTGGTTTGCTAATATTTGGTTGTGTCTTTGTTTCTATAATCATAACAAATATTGGTCTGCAGTTTTCTTTTGATATCTTTGAGTGGTTTTTGTTTGTTTGGCTGGTGTGCAGTGGTGTGATCTCAGGTCACTGCAGCCTTGACCTCCCATGCTCAGGTGATTCTCCTGCTTCAGCCTCCCAAGTAACTGGGACTACAGGCACGCACCACCACACCAGGCTAATTTTGTGTTTTTTGTAGAGACATTGGAATGACAGGCATGAGCCATCGTGCCCAGCTGATATCTTTGGTTTTGGTATCAGGGTAGTATTACACTCATAGAATGAGTTGGGAGATATTTCTTCCTCTTCTATTTTTTGGAACAGTTTGTGAAAGATTGGTATTAATTCTTGCCTGGAGACATTTAAGGGTAGATGTTAAGTTGAACATAAGAATCCAGAACTCAGGAGAGAGGCTGGGGCTGGAGTCCCAGATCTGGGGGAGACAGGGGAGAGAGATCAGGCCCAGCTCAGAAGGGAACCTGGTAGAGAAAGCCCAAAGCCAGGCGGATGAGATTGCACAGGGAAAGTGGGAGAAGAGAGAGCCTAGAACAGAGGCATGAGAAGCATCAGCACCACTAGCCATGTAAAGAAAGAGGGTTCTACAGAGGAGACCAAGAGCACAGGGTCTTGCAGCAGGGAGTTTGATGATCTTGGCCAGAGCCTGTGGAAGGGGTAGAGCCAGCCTGCTGTGTTAAGGCAGGACTGGAACATGAGGAAATGGACATGAGGAAATGTTTCCTGAAGGAGAAAAGGTTTCCTCTTAGGGGGCCTTTTTTAAAGTTTTATTTTGAGACAGAGTCTCACTCTGTCACCCAGGCTGGAGTGCAGTGGCATGATCTCAGCTCACTGCAACCTCCACCTCCTAGGCTTAAGTGATTATCGTGCTTCAGTCTCCCAAGTAGCTGGGAATACAGGCGTGCACCATCATGTCCAGCTAATTTTTGTATTTTTAGTAGAGAGGGGGTTTTGTCATGTTGGCCAGGCTGGTCTTGAACTCCTGGCCTTGAGTGATCTGCCCACCTCAGCCTCCCAAAGTGCTGGAATTACAGGAATGAGCCACTGCACCCGGCCCTCTTAGGGGCAGCTTTTTTGAGAATGGGGATGAACCTGAAACCCCAGCTGGGCCCAGCTGCCTGTCCCTTCCACAACAAGAGGCCCTACTTGGATTCATCCTGTGATTCCAAGGACAATAACTTCCCTGTGTTTCTTCTGGGAAAGTGAGGGCCCCTGGGGCTCACTGAAAGGACTGCAAGAAGGGGCTCCCTTTGAGATTCTGGCTTTGCTGAAAGGTTTATTCTGGGAGGAGTGGGCACCTCACAGGAAATATGACTGCCAAGGGGTGATGTGAATGAGGGAAACCTTCGAGAGAGAGAGAGCCTCAGAAAGCTCCTGGAGAAAGAGTAAGGCTCCAGCTCAGACCCAGATGAAAGGGCCCAGCCCGGAAGCTGAGTTCTGCTCTAGCATCTCCTCCAACAGAGGCCAGGACAGGCTGCTTCTCCCCCGAAACGAGGAGATCCATTGCCTCACTAGACCATGCAGAGATGAGTAGGAGGAGATTAAGGAGCTCTCCCAGTCACTCCCCAACCTCAGCCCCATGCCCCATAGCCCCCTGAAGCTGGGCTTCTCCCCTCCTCCACCTCTCAGCCCACCTCTCTCTCCTTGCCTAAGCTCCCAGCCTGCTTGTCACCTTCACTGCAGGGAAGGAGCCCAGATGAAGGCACAGGCAGAAGAGGGCTGCCCTGGGGGCCACATACACCCAAAGGGAGAGAATGGAGGGTGGGATGGGCTTCAGGCCAACCTGGGGGCGTGCTTGAGTGACTTCCTTGCTTTGGAGAAGAATGCGGCTGTTTGGGGTAAGACGTTAACGAGGAAACCAGAATCTACCCCTGTCCTGAGCACTCATCCCTGGGGGAGCCTCTATGACTGAGTCACCTTCTCCACGAAGAACCTGCATGGGGTTTCACCTATCACCTTCCTTCCCATCACCCAGGGTGGGGAAGGGACAGACCTGGCTGAGCAGAGCCACACCCAGCCACACCCCAGGGGTCAATCACTGGATCTTCTGAAACCTGGGTGGTGCCTGGCGCATCTGGGTTCCTTCCTTCCCCAGCCCAAGTCCCTGCCCCCAGCCTTGTCTCTGGAGGGCTCAGCCCTACTCTCTACCTTCTGAGGGGAACTCTTGGCCCCAGGAGAGAGAGCACAACTCCAAGGCCACCTCCCACCCATTCCCCGCACTGGGTTCAGCCTGTGCCACCCAGACCCGGTGCTTCTGGGCCTCGCATTTCCCCTCTGGCAGGAGAGCAAGAAAAGATGTGACTGTGCTCCAGGAACAGAAAGTGCCATTCGGACCCGAGATAAAGAGACTTAGCACATTTATTCACTCACAGAGGTGAATGAAGGGCTCAGGGTTTGAACTCGATGACACTGATGGCGATCCGGGCTGCCCGCTGTAAGGCTTCGGCCACTTGAGGCTTTTCGTAAGTCTCCACCTCCATGGCACGGAAAGTGGGCACGTGCGTCTGCAGGGCCTTGCGGCCCTCGGGGGCCTCTGCCAGCATGGTAAGGGCCTTGGTGGCATTCAGGCGCGCTATGGTCATGGGGGAGTGCAGCAGCTCCAGGAGCAGGCCGATGGCTTGTGCCTCCAGGGCCGCATACTTCCCTGCAGGCCACCAACACAAGGCGTTCCAAACAGCCCAAGGGGCCCTCTTCTCACCCCCTCTCACCCTAGCCCTCTCCTGACCCTCCTCCTTGTGCAGTCTCAAGGGGTTTATGCCTGGTTTATGCCCCACCAACATGCCCTCACCCTCAGGGCTCTTGCACCTTCGCTGAGTCCGGCCTGGGCCTGGCCTCTTCATCTCCTGCCTTTCCGGCCTCAACTGGCTCCTCTCCATCCACCCTCGTATCCTGCCCAGGAGTTCAAGACCAGCCTGGGCAACATAATGAGATTCCATCTCTACAAAAATTTAAAAATTATCCAGATGTAGTGACAGGTGCCTACAGTCCCAGCTACTCAGGAGACTGAGCGGGGAGGATCACTAGAGCCTGGGAGTTTGAGGCTGCAGTGATCGTGACATCGTACTCTAGCCTGGGTGACACACTGAGACACTGGCTCTTTAAAAAAAGTAAGCCCAGCTGGGCGCGGTGGCTCACGCCTGTAATCCCAGCACTTTGGGAGGCCGAGGCTGGTGGATCACGAGGTCAGGAGATTGTGACCATCCTGGCTAACACAGTGAAACCCCGTCTCTATTAAAAATACAAAAAATTAGCCGGGCATGGTGGCGGGCGCCTGTAGTCCCAGCTACTCAGGAGGCTGAGGCAGGAGAATGCGTGAACCTGGGAGGCGGAGCTTGCAGTGAGCCAAGATGGTGCCACTGCACTCCAGCCTGGGCGACAGAGCGAGACTCCATCTCAAAAAAAAAAAAAAAGTAAACCCAATAGTTCATATATGTTGCCAATATTTCTTGAGCACCTACTCTGCACAAAACACACATGGTTCCTGAGAGATGCCCTCCTCAACCATTCGCTGCCCCTTTCTGCTGTCCTTGCCGGCCCTATGCTCCTGCAGTGCCCAGTGGACTCTCCCCTTTGCTGGTGGAACCTCTCAGCCTGGGCCCTGCCAACTCCCATTGTCCTTGGGATTGATCCCAAGCCCTTCCCAGAGGCGACTTGTCCCCTGTGTTTGCCCCACCCATGCTGGGCTTCTCCTCCACATCCCTCATCACTGCCTCCCAGGGCCTGGCACGTGGCAGGGGCTTCAGGACCCTCAGCTGGAGTGCCAGCTTGGGAATAAGTGGCCTCATCTCCCTGGGTCTCAGCCTCTTGTGTCTCGAGCCCCGTGGCCCTCCAAGCACTCCTACAGAAAGCCTGGACCGAGAAGGACACTGGGCTGAGGCTGCCCCAAGATAAACACGCAGGGGGAGCCCCTGCCACCGTGCAGTCAGCATCCTGACTACACCAGTAAAAGGAGGGGCTGTGGACTCCAAGAAAGCCCCAACCTCTCCCATCTGCATACCTCAAGCAGCATTAGGGTCAGGTGTGCAGGGCCTGGGAGGACCTGTCTTTGGGAGGCTGATTGCAAATCCAAGCCCAGATGGTCCTCCATGGAACTCAAAGGAAGCACAGGGCCCCAGGCTGGTGGGTGTGTAGGGGCCAGAGGGAAAGTCAAATGCTTTCAGGGGTCCTGGGAGTGCCACGCCCCAGTCTGCCAGGTGTGGAAACAGCCCAGGGTTCTTCCATGAGCCCAGGGTTGGGTGACTTAGAGGGGAAGCCTGACTGGCTGGGAGTCCCAAGGTAGGGGGCTCGGGGGAGATAATTCTGAATTTGCCCCCTCCTCCAGTTTAAGAAAAATAATTAGGATGAATAAACACCATAGAGTCAAGGGCTCCAGGGTTTGCTTAGACCTCAGGGTAACAGAATCATGGATGGCAAACTAATCAACCCTTGAGTCACAGCTCACAAGGGGCCTGGGTGGGAGGCGGGAATTCCAGGCCCAGGGAACAGACTGGTGCGAAGGCACAGAGGTCCTAATGTGAGTGACTGGTGAGGGGCCACTGTGCTGGGGAGAAGAGGGAGGGCTGGGCCTTGGACCCAACCTTGAAAGGACATCAGTGATAGGCCAAGGGGAGGTTTTTTTTTTTTTTGCAAAGTGTGGAGTTTGGGGGACGATACCCAGCCCCTGAGTACAGAAAGCTCATCACGGCTGCTAGCCTGCTAGGGTCTCCCTCCCTGCGGCACCCCCCACCGCCTCACCTTCAGTGATCACTGTGGCGAACATCAGGGCACCGGCAGCGTTAGACTTCACATGCTCCACTGGGTCTTTCAGCAGATGGACCAGGATGGGGATGACGTCAAAATGACACACCTGTTTCTTGCCCTCTCGAGATATGCTGGGGCAGAGAGGGAACAGAGAGGGGCTCTGCTTGGAAGGGAGAAGAGGCGCAAGGCCCAGGAGTGCCCCAGGGAGACACAAAAGAAATAATTGTGTGGGGGCTACCCCAGGTAGTCCCAGGACTGGTCCCCATGATCCAGGACTGGTCATGGCAGGGATGCTGGGCTGCAGAGGAGCATTGGTGTGAACGCGGCCCACTGCCAGTGAAGACCACGGGGTGACAGGGCCTCACTCTGAGCCAGCACACAGAAAAGAAATAGGGCATGTTCTCCGTGGCCCCAAAATGGGGAACAGCAGGACCCAGGGGTGTCAACCACAGGGAGACCTGTTTTGACTTTGCCTAAGAGCCAGAGCTGACAGTGATGGGCCAAGCTGCCCCCAACAGCAGCAGCTGCCGGGCACTGGGCAACTGCAGCTAAGGACTCAGACCAGGTAACTTTTAGGCCACTTACTCTGGCACTGAATGAAGTTGTGGAAATGAGGATGATGAACTCCCCAAAAGTTTCCTGAGAGAGGGTCAATTCTGTCCCCTAAAAAGAAAGGGCTCCCTGGGCCAGGAAACACTGTTCACAAGCCCCACAGGAATGCCACAGTGCAAAGACCCCTGTGTCACTTAGTTTAATCAACCTTTCCCAAATGTAGCCACCAAAGAACCCTCATTTTTGTAGAGCTCTTAATGACCTCAAAGACACAGGTGTTCCCTGGGAACACAGATTGGGAAATGAGGTTGGCCAGCCACTAGCTGTGACACTGGGAGCCTTTCAGGGCAGTGGGCCTCAACCCCGAAGCCCATGATCAAAGTTGCAGAGTCCTGGGCCCCACATGCAGGGATTCCCTGATTCGTTCACACAGCAAGACACTGAGACAAGAGCGATGCAGGGATTCCCCGATTTGTTCACAAGAGTGGGGACAAGAGCAGGGTTTCTCCAGCTCAGTGTTCTTTAGGGCCAGATAATTCTCAACTGGGAGCCAAAGCTCCCCCGCTGCAAACCCTGGGTTTAGGGCAGCAAACAGAGGAAAGCCCTGTCCTCAGGAGCTCCCCTCGGGGATGACACACAAAGTAACGGCAGGGATGGTGGTCACAGTGGACATGGGAGGACAGGGGACAGCAGGGAGGTTACAGTTTCAGAGAGAGAGAGCTCTCTCCTGGAAAGCCACTCTCATGGTCCCACAGAAAGGGGACCTCTGAGCAGACCTAAGAATGATGGGGCTGGGACAGGGCCCAGGAATCTGCATTTTCACAAACCTCCCGGTGGCTTGGGTCCGGGGCCCCACTTGCAGAAATACTGGCCTGAGCCTCTAGTGAGACTCTCAGAAGAGAAGCCAGGACTTAGGGAAGGCAAGAGGGTCTCCACTAAAGAGACATAGCCACAGCTAAGGCAGAGACTCTGGGGTTCGGTGACCAGCCTGTCCTCGTGAAAAGGGGCCCAGTGTGAGAACACACACCGCACCCTGCCCCCTGCAGCTTTGAGGCTTTGGGCTCCCTCAGTTTCCAGGCCAGGATGTAGACTGTGATCCTGTGTGACCTGGTGTGAGACACAAGACACTGCCTCCTTTTCTCACCTGTGAAGGCAGACATCACCTCCCTGGAGGGTCGCCTAAATGTGAGGTTTGTAGACAACGCCTGGCACACAGGAGGCACTCAGTGACCGCTGGGTGTCATGATCATCACCAGTGCATCTCCTGTGCTGGCCTTCCTCATGGGGAGGGGGTGCACAATCATCTGGCTTTGTCCAGGCTGAGGGGTTTCCTGGGATACAGTACACTCCCAGGCCAACGGGATGGTGGTCACCCTAGGGGAGAAGGTCATCCTCTGTCCCAGCTCCCTCCTACCCCTGGGCACAAGCAGGCAAGGGGAAGCAGGCCCAGGGTGGCCGCCCTTGAGCTCTGGACCAGTCCAGCTCAGGTGCCTTCTCCCAGCCTTGGTAGAAACCCAGCCTAGGCCAGGCCTCACCTGACATTAAGGAGCGCACGGGCGGCCTTGCTGCGGATGTTCTGGTTGGCGCTGAGGAGCTTCTGCTTCAGGACAAGCACCACATTGCTGCCCAGGGCCTCGGTGGCATCCTCCTGCAGGCAGAGGACCAGTGTGTCCAGGATGAACTCCTGGAACTCCTCCTCCTCCACCTCCACCTGCAGCTTCCATACCAGTGAGGAAATCAGACCTTTGCTGATGATCTCTTGGGCCCCTACAAGGCAGGAAAGGGCACTGAGGGCGGGCTGGCCACACACCCACCCACCCATGCCAGTTGGCCTGCAGGGCTCAAGGAGGGTCTTGCAGAACCAGTGGGTGGGTTTGACAAAAGGACTTGCAAGTGCCACCCCCACACACACGTCCCGCCTGGCCAGGGGCCTGAGCGACCAGCAGGCAGCTGCAGTGACAGCCATGTCAGGGGCTAAGGGCGGAGGCTCAGAGAACCCAGGAAGGACCAGTCTTTTGTCGCCTGTGTCTCAGGGGGCATCTACCATAGCAAGCGCACAGCAGCTGGAGAGGCAATAAGCCACCCCTCGGAGAGCTGACAGCTCACTCCTGCAGGGCCCAGGCACACCAGGAGACCTCCACTCTTCCCTCCCCCTGCCCCAGAGTTGGGGAGCCAGCCAAGCCCCCGCTTCCCATCCACCAAAATATTTCAAAGCTGCTGGAGACCCCACACTGGTCTGACCAGCCCTGGAGAAGAGCTTGGTTTTGACTCTGAGACAGAAGACCTAGAGTGTAGGCCAGTGTCACACTCACCAAAAAGAGCTGTGCCCCAACTAAAGGTGACGGGAAGCCATAGGCTCTCGTCTTCAAGGGACCTGGGGCTCTGTGGGAAGGGGGCTCCACATGGCACAGCTGGGGTGCAGGTACTGGGAGAAGCACAATGAGGCAAGGCTCCCCCATAAACAGGCCCCACCTGGCTCCTCCCAGCTCCCTTCCCTCCTGAGGAATGTCAGCATGTGATTGCCTAGAGAACCCAGCACGAGTGGCATCCTGAGCCCAGGACGGTGGGCAGAACAGCCCTCCTGAGTCACTGAGATGAGAAGCACAGGGAATGTGCACAGTGCCCTTCCCTACGGCACGCAGCTGCCCTCGCCACTGCCCTGCAGCCCACTGCCTACTGCAAAGCCATCTACAGCCCCCAGGGAGGTGGCCACCAGAAGACACCTCTTTCTTCCGCCCTCCCCAGCTAAACCCTCTAATTTACTCTAGAGAGAGAAATAAACAGGTTGATTAGCCTAAAGGTCTCCAAGTGCCAATTAGTACCAGGGATTTCCTCTTTGAAGACATCACCCCAACCTTCTTCCCCCACTCCCTGAGGACATCAAACAGCAGGTGCCCAGGGTGATGGGGTAGAAAGGCGGAGCAGGGTGCTGAGTGGCTCTTACCGCCCCCCACCATGTCTCATAATGTCCAGCAGCTCTCCATGCCCCATCCCCCAGGTCCTCTGGTGTCAGGTGGCTTCCAGTGCCCCTGGCCAGCTTCTCACTGTGGTATCAGATGGAGCAGCTAGATCTGCCCTGTTTGTTCTCAGGGCTCTGACCACCCAGGAAAAGTGGGTTCCTGTTGCTTCTACTGTGTTGGCCTTTTTTATTTAATATGCACAGATTGCAAAAAAAAAAAAAAAAAAAAAAAAAAAAGCCTAGGTCTCATTTAAAACATATCCTTTCCAATCTGTGTGACCTTGGACAAGTTACTTAACCTCTCTGAGTCTAGTTTCCTTATCACTGAAACGGGCCTACCTGGCAGGGGGTTGTGGATGAAAACGTGTTCCACGTGCTGTGGATTTCTTCATCCATGTAAGGGTCTGTCCCTGTGTGCCCAGAACATCTGGGCCTAGGGTGGCAAGAGTCTCCTGAATTCCACCAACACTGAGTCCCAGCTACAAGCAAGGGCCTGCTGGAGGCTGAGGAGTAGGATACAAGACAAACGCTGCACAGCCCAAGCCCTGCAGATCCCATCAGTGCAGAAACCCCCCAACCCTACCACCCCTCCCGAGGCCTGATCCTCTCTCTCTCGCAGCTCCCTGCTTTGCCCATACCACACACCTGGCCTCCTGCTCCCGCTCTGCTTCCCCTCAGGTTCTGCCCACGGTCTCCCTACCCACTCCTGGCTATAGATTCAACTCAGTGGTGACCTGGACGGCCCTCTTCCAGCTCACAGCAGGGAGGCGACAATTTGACCTTCTGTTAATTTTGCTGGCAGATGGAAGGACAAAGTTCTGGGATGGGGACACTTGAGCAAAGACCTGGGGGTAAGGAAGTTGTTAATTTTCAAATCAGGGCTAGATTGTAGCCTCGTCTCACCTATCTGAGCTTCCCAGGAAATCCCTGGGACAGGTGTCATTGCTGAGTCAGGATGGGCACAAGTTAGGGGAGGAATATAGAAGGAGTTGAGGTCAGAAAAGTCAACATTCAAGGTGATCACCTCCATTACCCACCTCTCCTTGGTGAGGAAACTGAGGCCCAGAGAGGCAACTTGAATACCTAAGGTCACACAGCAGATGGTGGCAAAGCCAGGCGGGACCCTCAGCCCCTTGGGTTTTGTTTCTCAGGCATTTGTCTTGTACTTCTGCTCCTAGAAATGCTTAGCACAGGGACCGGGGTTCATTTTGAGACAGAGGGAGAAGATTAAAAATAAAACGCGTGCCGGGTGTGCCTTTCTGCTCGTTCACTTTGCTTCTTTTCAGCTAAAAGAAGAGTCTCGGGCCTGGCTATTTATAACTAACCCAGATCTGCGATGGCTTGCTCAAGTGGGGGTGGGGCACACAGACCCCAGGGAAACAATCGGGGAAATCCACCCAACTGGGCGGCAGCCTGAGCGTCCGCTGGGGGTGGGGGGTGGTTGCAGAAGAGGTAGGACAGGTGGGGCACAGAGAATCAGCCAGATGGGGTGGCACCAGAGCAGGCCAGGCTCTGGGCCATCCATGGTTTAGAGACAAGCAACATATGCCCACCCCACCCCCGGGAAGTGGGAAAACTAGTGGAATAGTCAGCTGGGGACAGGTCACTACAGAACAGGTTGACATGTGTGTAGACCAGGAATTCCAGGGTCCTAGGGGCTCTGGAGGTGCACAAAGGGAGGCCCCGGGGAAGCTGGTTCTCATGGATGTGGAGGAGAGCCCAGAACAGCAGGGCTCAAATGTATGTGTTTGTGGGGAGTCCCCGATCTGGCCTGGCTGATATGTAGGGGCTAGGATGGGTTCAGTGGTTGATGAGCCAAAGAGATCCAATGGGATTGAGGGGTCACGGATGTCCATGGTGTGGAGCCCCAGTGGTGGAGTCTGGGTCATTTTCTTTGTGGTGGGGCAGGGCGGGTGCTGACACCATGTTGAGGGGCCACTCCTCAGCCAGCTGTGCCTGCTGGGTTGGGGAGGTGCTGAGTGGGCTCAGTCACCACCATGGCCCCCTTCCTCTGGCTACAGCAAAGCCCCAGCTGTTGTCTCCCAGCCAATGAGGGCTCAGGACAGAGCACCAGCACCCAGGTTCTGGTCGCAGCCACACCCTTTCCTGTTAGGGGACTGCACATCCACACATGGCATCTGGGGCCCACCTTGCCGCAGGTGACCCACCTGTCCAGCTTTAGCCTTGCATGGCCCTGTGCCCTGAACTCCTGGCCCACTGGGCCTGCCTTTGCTCCAAGGGGTGCTTCTCTGTCCTCAGCTTTCTCGGCTTCCAGGTAGCTGGGAGCATGGTTAACAGCTTCTTCCTTTACCACATGCTCTCTTCCCGTGCCTCTGGTACCCTCCATTCTCTGGTTCCTGACCACCTCCCCAACTGCTCCTCCATCTTTTTGGTAAGCACCATCTCTTCCTCCAGTGGTCCCCACCCTCTCCCCTTCTCTCATCTCCCTGGGTCCTGATAATGCCCCGCCACTGTCTCCTAACATGCTCTTGGTCTCCCTGCCATCTCACAGCCACAGCAGACCGTACACTGAACTCAGCCTCACAGACTGACTTCTGTGCTCACTCCCACTTCCTCTGGACTGACTAACTGATGTTTTTGTTATTTTATTATGTCCAGTAGGACAACTCACATTGTCTGTGGGACCACGCCTACTGTAAACAGGCAATTAAAAACTTCTCCTCCTCCTTCTCAAATTTAAAAGACTAATGTTAAAACTCTCGAGCAGTTCTTAGGCCAACGTCCCTGATCCTACTGCCCCAAGCTGGCATCTGTGCATGGGCAACGACCCTGGCCCCAGCCACACTGGTCTTCTCTGGGTTCTTCCTGGCCTCGTGCTCCTTCATGTCCTGCACCGTCCCCGCCTTGGAACTCACTTCCCTCCCACCCTATGTCACTGGCCACCTCCACGCCTGCTATGGCCTCATTCCAAGCATCTCTTCCTTTGGGAAGCTGGCCCAATGCCCAATGCTCCCCCACTCCACATGCCCCCAGAGCCCCAGTGGGTCTCCTCAGATAGCCTCACATGACTGTAAGGCCCAATCGTTGTTTGCTTTCTGCCCCTGCCCTACAGGCAGAGGGTCTGCCAGAAAAGGGCCGGTCTGAATCCTAGAACTGTGCCTACAACTATACCCTGGTGGAGGAGGCTATCTGTAAGTGACTGCTGCATGAATACAATATTGGTTTGATGCCAGGTGAGATGTCCCTCTCTTACTTTGAGGTCAAGTCAGGGAGGTGTCAGCCAGCCCCAGTGGACCCCTCCGCAGGCTAGCCTCTGCTCTGGACCACTGGAAAGGGCCATCTCACTGTTGCATGTGGGCTTACCTCTGCAAACAATTCAACTCTGACCCCCAGACTCTGCAGTGGAAACAGCCTCTGGCTATCCCAAGACATGCTAATATGCATTTCCTATAAACATTAACCCTCAGAGCCACCCTCTGACCACAGTCTGTTACATTCCCTTTTGACAGAAGAGGAAACAGAGGCTCAGCCAGGTAGCACAGCTGCCGGTCTCTGTGTGGTCCTCCTGGCAAGAGGTCCAGCCTGACACAGCCTGGTGGTGTGGAAGGCAAGCACAAAGGGTAGCTAGCCCCTCAGCCATTGGCTGAATTCCCTTGGTCCTCACTGGACACCTCCAGTGAGCACTAAGTTCGCCTCCATGATGCCCATAACAAATATACGTCCTGTTCCTGACAGTTGAGGCAGCACCCTCACAGGTGGCCCATGACCCTGCAGGTACGTAACGCAATGGTCTCCATCTCACAGAAGAGGAAACATTCCTAGGGAGGTTATGGGATGATGCTGAGATGCCACAGTGTCCAGCTGGCAAAGCCAGGCACATGCCCCTGCCCCTCCACCACAGAGCTATGATGGAGAGACCGCTCCATGGACCTCTGCCATGGTCAGGTCCAGGGCTGCTGCTCAAAGAATGGCATGATCCACACCTTACAAAGGTGTGAGGTGATAAGGAACGCGTTAGCTGGGAAGGCATTTGCACTTTGTCAGGGATGCTCTAGGATACACAAAGCTTCAGATTTACAAAGATGGAGAAGAGAGACAGGAGCATTCATGTCTTGGCCCTCTGGCTTGAGAGTCTTTTAAGCATGGAACTGAGGGACTCCTGGCCCTGAGGTCCACAGATAGGCTTTGAAATTGAAAACAGAATTTTGCAGCCTGGGTTCAGCTGCGTTTTGCTGAGGGTCTGATGCTTTCCACCAGCTTCCCAAAAGCGCCAATCAGTGGCCTTAACTGAACTGGCTCTCTCACGCTTGTCTGGGCTGGGGGCCAGCTCCTCGGTCCTTCTCCCTTCCTTCCCTCCCAAGGCCACCCTTCCGTGTGCCAGGATTGCCAGGGACGCCAAAGAGCCCCTAGACACTGGGCGGTGGCGGCGGGGGGCGGCGGCAGAGATGACTAATGCTCCCTCCCATCGCTGCACAAACCTCACCGGTGTAAATCGTTAGGGTTTGCATAGGCCTTTCACACGTTCTGAAGGATTGGTGAGACAATCCAGGAAAGCAGGTGCCACTAGCCCCACTTTGCAAACAGAAAGGCTGAGAGAGGTCAGTCGGTTGCCCAAGGACGTAGAGCTCACAAGAGGCCGAACTGGGTTTGAACCCGAGTGGAGAGAAGGCGAGCCGGGACTGGCTGCAGTAAAGAGGGCCAGGACCATGGCTGGGCTCAGGCTTGGTTTCCCGGGCTGCCAGAGGTGGCCCCTGGGGCTCGGCTACCAGGCCTCAGCGCAGCGGAGTCGGTGGAACGCCGGCGCGGGGAGCTCTTGCGGGACTGCGGCGCGCGCGGAGCTGCGACCCCGCCCCTGTCCGTCCCCATTGGGCTACTGGCCCGTCCGTCAGCTGCCTGTGCCCAATGGACAGAGGGCCGGCGCTCGTGGCGGGGCGGAGGTGCCCGGCGCGTGGTGCCCGGCGGGCGCGCGGCACCCCCCCGCCCGCGGTTGGCCTGGCAACGGGCTGCGCTCGCGGCTCCGCCCCCTGCCGGCGGCGGCGCGGCGCGGGGCGGGCGGACCCGCGGACTGGCGGCGGGCGGCGGGCGGCGGGCGGCGCGGGAGGGCGGGCGGAGGGAACCAGGCCGGCCGGAGCGTGTGCGCCGCCCGCGGTCCGGTCACGTCCCCGCGTGGGCGCCGCTGCCCGCGTCGTACGGAACGAGGGCGCCGCGGCCCCGTGCTCGCCGCCCCGCCCCGCCCCGCCCTGCCCGGAGCAGCTCGGCAGATGCTCTGTGCTGCGGCCCGGAGGTGAGTGAGCCGACCCGCGGCCGGCCGCGCGCCGCTGAGCCTCAGGGGTCGGGGGCACGGCCGGGGCATCCACCTTGCCCCCACTTGGGACTCTTCCCAGGCCTTTGTGCCCCGGATCCGCCAGGACGCAGCGTCAGGGATGCCCCTCAGGGGTGGGGGACACCAAGGGCGGGGACGCCTGCGAGGTGGGCAGGGGGCGGCCTCTGGTCGGGCAGGTGCTGGGGGAGGGATGCGCCGCCAAGCCGATGACCCCGCGGGAGGGGGCGGTTGAGGACCCGGGAGGGTGGACAGAGGGCGCCGGGGATGCCGCGCGGGGCCGCCGGGCGCCCCCAAGCAGCGGCTGATGCGGAGCCCGGGCGGGCCAGGCGAGCTGCGGGAGCGGCGCTGAGGCGGGTCTCCCTAGGGGGAGGATCAGGGAGGGGCGGCCGGAGCCGATGCAGGGCCTTGCCTGAAACCGAGGAGAGGGCCCCAGAGGCCTGGGCCCGAGGACCTGGGCCCGCAGACGGACAGCTAGCAGTTCTCGGTCACTGCTCTTGCAGCGAGCAGGTTCCTCACAGGCATTTAGAGGAAGAGATGAGTATCGACCTGCTGCGATTGTAATACGTTCCCGGCTCAATATTTTTTCCCTTAAAAGGCGGTGGGGGTGTTTGGGGGAGGGGAGTGAGGGCCTCAGGGCTGGCGCTCCGTATCCTGCGGGCGATCCGAGGGGGCTCTGCCTTTAGGGCGGTGCTGAGCCTTCCTGGGTGATGATGGCAGGATTCGGCCTAGGCCGAGAATGGGGGCTCCTGTTAACTGAGACAAGAGGATGATGCCAAGCGAGACCAGCGTTCCGCGTAGTCCGTGTTGGGGTGGAGGGACCCGCCTGGTAGAGAGGTCTGTCTTGCTTGGGGAGACAGCTGAGCCCCTGACCGGCTCCTTTCTGCCCAAGTGATTTCCCTGCCCTGGGGATTGAGCTCTCTGGAGAAGGCTCCTTGGCCAAATTCAATTAAGCAAATATTTATTGAGTGGTCACTCCCCCAGAGCTTGACGCTGGGGTGCACCGGGTGGGAGTGGACTGGGCCTGCCCTCCCAGGACTGATTGACCACCGCATAGGGGAAAACGTCTCTACTCGACCAACCCCGCTTGAGTGCAGGTGCAGGGGCCTCGGGAGGGACCTCAGAGTGGTGTCCTGGGCTGGGGGGTCAGGTGAGCTCGTGGGCAACATGACATTTGAACTGGAGCTTGAAGGACATGGGCACAGCTAAGCTGGGCATTGTGGGCAGAGAGGAGAGAATAGACCGAGGCACTTGGGCAGTTAGGTCTGATGGGAGCACTTAGCATGCCTGGGGAGTAGGAGGAGGTATGGCGGGAAAGGCCGGTGGGGGCTGCACGGGGCTGAGGGAGCTGGGAAGTGGAATGACCCCACTGCTGGTTAACTGTGGCTATGGTGGAGACCACGGCTTCCTCATCTGTAAAAGCGAAGCAGTTCCATGACCCCATGAGCTGGGGTGGGCCTGGAGAAGAGCTAGCTTTAAAGACTGGGGAAGGCTCCTTGCAGTCTGAGACTGTGCTTCCAGGCACTTCTCCCTCGGGCACAGCCAGGGCACTGGGTAACCACCCAGGCAACCCCCTTGTTAGGATTGAGTTGCCTGTTTCGGGGATGATGCTTAGCTAGTGACTCTGTGCCTCTGGGATGTGGATGTTTGAGAGCAGTAATCGTGGCAGCCTGGGAGCATCCATCTACGGGGTGCAGTGGGGGTGTGGATGGCCTGGCGGTGCTTGGATAAAATATGCGCCTTGAGCAAGCCTCATTCTCTAGGAATGAGGAGATGCTGGCATCTGGTTTAAAAGTCTTCCTGTGTGTTCCTCTAACTGACGTTGATTTTCTGAGACAGGAGGTGAATAAGACATAATTTCTCCCCCTCGGAAATTGGTGTCACTTTCCCCCCTAAGTCAGCTCCCTCATTTCTGGGGATGTTTTTGCTCTCCCTCTGAAGGGGCTGTTTGTTACTCATCTTTGTAGTGTGCCTACCCTCCCCACCCAACACACACTTGGCTTTGGCCAAGGCCCAGGTTGATGCAGCGAGAACAGGGCCTGCCCTCGTGGGGTGTGCAGTCTGTGCTGAGCAGGGTGAGCTGCTGTGCTCTGTGCCTGTCGCCTGGACTGTTGCAGGGACCTGGCATGTGACTGTGGGTTTGGGACACAGGGAATGGATTCTTCCCTCTGTCCCCAGCCTCTCAGTCCTTTTGTTTTCTAGAATCTCAGGAGGAACCTCAGAGACCTGGAGGCCCCACCAGAGTGGCCAGAACCTGGTGCAGGAGTATGGGTGGGGTCTCAGTCTGGCCCTCAGGAGCTTCTAGAACAATTCCAGGAATTTGCAGGTAACTGGATTGACTTCACAAGGGCTGCCCAGGGCCCCCGCAGAGAGGCCAGTGGGACAGGAATGCTGAATATAGCAATTCAGGAATGCTGAATTTAGTCATCTTGTGTGTGAACACATGTGTGCGGCTTCCTCCCCTGGAGGCAAGGAAGGCAGCCCTGTGCTGTCTGTCCCACGCTAGCCTCAGAATACTTAAGACGGTGTGTGGTGGCAAAGGCACTCTCACTGCTGCTGACCATGGCAGGTGCACGGGCACACTGGAGGAGGCAGGTCAGCATGCTGCTCTCCCGAACCCTCCAGCAAGGAAACCTGGGGTAGCCAAGCCTCTGAGCACCTGTGAGCACTGTGCTTGGCTGGAAGGAGCACAAAGCGAAATGAACAGAGGCGTCAGTGCAGATGCCAAGGGTCAGCCCCAGGCAGAATCCCAGAGCAGAGGCTATGCTGCGGCCTGGGCAGAATGAAGAGGGACGTGGGAGCACCCAGACTGTTGTGGCTCCGGGGTGGTGAGGTGAGCATTCCAGTCTAGGTGGCAGAAGACCTGGAGTCAGGTCCTGGTCCCACCATCCTAGGTCCAGCCCCTTTTTCTCTGAACCTCATTATCCTCATCCATACCCAAAGCCAAGAGTGCCCTGCCCTGTCCCCACACCAGCCCCTGCCACACATTTTGGCCCTTTCGTGCGAACACCGCCAGGGGAGGCGCTTCACAGGATTGAACCAACAGGGACCGCTTGACAGATCCTAGAGCACATAGGAGGAGACATCAGCCCTCTGGACTGAGCCGGAGGAGCAGAACCTCACGCGATTCATCCATTCATTTGTTCAGCTAACATTTACCAGCGCCTGCTGCATGCCAGGCACTGTGCCAGGTGCAGGGGTACAGCAGGGACGTAGCATCCACTCACAGTGCTCACACCAGACGGGCAGGGGTTGACAGTAACACATGTTACTAAGTGCTGCACTGTGGAGAACACTAAAGCAGAAGGTGGGGGACACGAGATGGGGGTGGGGGACTGACACAGTGCCATGCAGAAGTGCTGGGTGAGTGGTGTGGCTGAGCAGGGGAGAGACAGCAGGTGCAAAGGCGCTGAGCAGACACTCCCTGGCCCCTGGAGGCCCCACCAGAGTGGCTGGAACCTGGTGCAGGAGTGTGGGTGGGGTGTCAGGGCCAGGTCCTGCAGGACTCAGTGGGCCCCAATGAGGCAGGAAGACCTTGGCAGGGTTGGAGCAGAGAAGAGACTGGAGCTGCCCTCCCAGGAGGAGCTAATCTACACTTTGAAAAGATCTCTCTGCTGAGGTGGGAAAATAGGCTAGGGTGGGGTAAGGCTGGGGGCCATGAGGGGCTACTGCAACATCCCAGGCAGAGAGGCTGCTGACCCAGGGGTGGGAGCTCTGGAGGCCCTGAGAAATGCAGGTGGGAGATTTGTTTTTTTAAAGCTGCAGCTTTTAAAGGACAGCTGCAGTTTTGGTCTGAACCAGTAGAAAGATGGAGCTGGTATTGGCTGAGAAGCAAGATACAGAAAAACCCATTCTGGAGAGGTGGGGAATTAGGAGGTGGGTCTGAGACCTGGAGAGCCATTGATGGGCACATGTGGCCAGAGGGAGAGCAAGGCTGGAGGTGGCAACCTGGAGCCCCTGGCACTGAGGTGTGTGGCAGGCCGGGGACCACGTGAGGTCACTTAGGGATCAAGGGTAGGTAGGATCAGAAGAGGCTGAGCTGGGCTCCTGGGCCTCCACTGTGGGGAGGATGAGTTGAGAAGCATCGAGAAAGAGAGATTGAGGATTGACGGGCAAGTGAGGTGGAAGCACAGTCACAGTGGCGCCTCGGGAGGCTGGAGAAGAGCGGGTCCCAGAGAGCAGGTCCCCTGTGTCAAGCAGGCAGGGCATGCCCAGGGACTGAGCAATGCAGGCACAGCTGGCCACATGATTTTGGGGGCCCCCATTTGAAAATTATTAAGGGCCTGACATGATGGCGCACACCTGTAATCCTATACTATGGGAGACTGAGGTAGGAGGATCACTTGAAGTCAGGAGTTTGAGACCAGCCTGAGCAACATGTAAGAGCCTGTCTCTACAAAAGTAAAACTAAAATTATGCATTCCAGAACAGCAACAGCAGAGCATTAAAACTGTATGGATGCCCAAGTGAGTGCCCAGGAAGCTGGCTGGTCACAGGGACCTCAAGGATAATATTGGGGATGTAGTGGCCCCTGTGGAGAAGGAAGGCCTGGAGGGTGGGCCCGCAACCTGCCTGCTGCCCAGTCCCCACAGCATTTCTCCTCCCTTCCCTGAGTGGGCGGGTGGGTTGCGTTGGACTTTCAGGGCCGCTGGAGTCAGTCACACCCAGCCTGTGAGCTTCACCTTGGCACCATGGCCCAGGGAACCCAAAGTGAAAACTGCAGCAGGCAATTGCCTGCTGCAATTCTTCACTAAATGTCTTGCTTCTTGCCCCTTGGTCTGTGGACCCTTGGGCAAGAGGCAGCAGGAGGCACATCTTGAGGTTGAGGTTTAGATGGTCCCATCAGCAGGCCCTGGACCTACATGGCCACAGCTTCACACAGCAATGGCTTCTTTGCGTTCATCTCTTTTCCAAAGGAAGCTGCCACATCACAGAGTTTTGAGTTATTTGCTTCTAAATTAAGGTATAACTCTCTTTTAGAGACGTCCCTGGAGAATCCATCAAAAAGTGCTAAGAAGCGAGACTGTTAAAAGCCACAGTGCAGGGAGGGGCCTTACACATAGTGTCAAGCCCGGGGGTGTTCCTTCTAGCAGCCTCCAACCAGAAACACACCCCGTCCCCGAGGGCTCAGCCAGGCCTCTCATGGCCATGGGGGACCGTGGTTGTGGTTAGAGCAAACCTTTCAGGAGACCCTTGGCCCCTGGGATGGAGAGCTGCCAGGACAGAGGTCCCTTTGTGAGGTCTGCCCCTGTGAGTCACGGAGGCCAAGGTCCTTTGTGAGGTCTGCCCCTGTGAGGTCTGCTCCTTTGTGAGGTCTGCCCCTGTGAGTCATGGAGGCCAAGGTCCTCTGAGGTGTGGAGAGTGGACCTCATGTGCCCAGTGCCTTAGTAGGTCTGGGCAGCCCCGCATCTGGGCAGCATGGTCCCTCTCACCCTGGTTGGTCATAGGAAGGGTGGCTGAGGAGGAGGCTGTGCTGGAGGCTGGCATGGCAGTGAGGGCTGGCTCTTAGGCTGTGGCCCTGCTCCAGACAGGGCTGGTGGGGCCTCTATGTAGAACAGCGCCATGTTCCTGACCATGTTTCCTATGCCCTTTCCTGCTGCTATTTTTTTCCCCTTAGCACTCGCCACAGCGTGACCTGCTCCCTATTTGATTCATTCATCGTATGTGTTTGTGTAAGCTCCATGAGGGCAGGGACGTTGCGGAGTCACCATTGAGAATCGCCACCCAGGGAGTCGCTGTGGAGGGACTGAATATTCGCAGACAGTCATGCCTCAGTGGCCCTGTCCAGCCCCTTTTGCCCTAGGGCTGAGCTGTGTGCTCGTGCGCTGCAGAACCCCTGCTCCAGCTCAACCCTCTGCTCCTAAGAGGTTGTACCTTTGGGTCCCCAGAGATGTGTCTCTGGGCCTCAGGTTTGGCCACCAAACACAAACCACCCTCAGGTGGATGCTACCAGCTGGGCCCCGTCAGGCCCAACTGTGGGTTACTCTCAAGCCAGAGGCAGGTGGACAGATGCCTCGGGCTGACGCCGGGCCACTCAGTGATGCAATGTGACTCAGTGGGGCCTTTGTCAGACACGGGGATTCACAGAGTGATGACCTTCAGAGGCATGTCTATGGAAAACTGTCCTAAGGGGATGAGCCAAGACCCTGAAGGTAGTAAAGGAACATGATGATGGTAGAGTGGCCTTTCCAGGTGGCCCCTGTGCCCCAAGATCAAGGAGTGGCCTCTCAGGCCAGTAGAGGAGCTCAGGGCAGGGGAAGGCACCAGGCCTGGGTAGAAGTCCAGCTCTGCCTGTGATGGTGACCCTGCGAATGCTTTCCACTCTCTGGGCCTTCCTTGCCTTTGAGTTGGAAGCTCTGGGCTGGGTCAAGTGTACAGATAGTTTCCTTCCTTATCTCAACTCTGGAGTGACCGTCCAAAGCATGCTGTGCTGAAGAGGATTCTAAGGCTGTGCTGCAGCCCAGAGGGAAAGAGTCATGGTCGATTAGTGATGTCTGCAGCGGGCACGGGAGGCAGGATTTAGATGAGCTTGCCAGTGACTGGTGAACCTCACCACTGTACCCCCTCCTATCTAGCAGCTTTAACCCACCCTATCTCTCCTTACATGCCCCTTCCTTAGTGACACTGATGCTAACCCCTTATTGGGAAGGACTGGCCTCCGTCTTCCTGAGTCCCATGAGCAGCTCAGGTCATTGCTTGCTGACTGTCTCTTCTCTCATTTGATGCCTCACTCCCTGTAGTGACCTCAGGGTCCAACCCCATGCTTCGTTCATGGCAGCCTCTTTCTGTACACTGAAGAATGAATAAGTGAATGAGTGGTAGAGACTCAACCACTCTACAAGGCCGGGAGCCTCCTCTTGGATGTACACCTGATGTTGATCTCTGTTCCAGCAAGGAGCCCCTAGAAGCCTTCTTGGAATTGGGAGGCTGGATGGCCACGGAAACAAGGTGCTAAACCGTGTGGTTTCAGCTCCAGGTGTTGCAGGAGTGGGGTCAGCAAGGGAGGAGGGGGCAAGGTGACTAAGGAGGGCTGAGGCATGTAAAGTACCAGGCTCTGTGTTTGTGGGGCCCGGTGGTCCTGTCTGACCTTGGCTATGGAGCAGCTAATCAGGCTTCCCCAGAGGCAAAGCTGGGAAAACCTTCCAAGCTGCCAAGAGGGGCCTTCTGAAGACCCTTCTGACTATGGGTGGGAGAACTTGGCACCTACAGCCTTCACCCTGACCCCAGCAGGCCCTGACCCCCTGTGAACTGGTGGTACCTCACCCCTACTCCTCTTGCACCCCCACACTAGTGGCCCTACCCCTAACTGTGGCCAGGCCAGGGGAGGAGCAACTCCACCATGAGGGCTTGGCCCTCATGCCTCCTCCTGCCCAGCTCTGCATGGCATGTCCCTCTGGCCTTAGCTGCCCCAGCTGCATGTGGCCTCAGGCCAGCCCCACCCAGCCCTCTTGCTTCCTGTGGCCCTGTAGAGTGGCTACCAGGACCCCTGCTGGTGAGGGCGGGTGCGGGTGGCCTGTCTCCGAGCTGGGCTTTCCTCCAGCATGGTCACCCCCTCACCCGCTCAGTTACCTCTGATATGCTGTGCAAACATATTTCTCGATGAAATGCTGGGAAGAAAAATAATTAGAGTGTTGCCTCCATTATCCAATTTCGGATTAATCAAACTCTCTTTGTCCTCGGCCAAAATCTATTCATTTCCCTTAAACACTGGGCCAGTGCCAGGCATTGATTTCCTCTATGATAACACCACGCACGCAAGCACAGCCATGCCCAGCCTTGCCCCACCCCGTGGCTGGGACACAGAGGCACTGGTGGGGCTGCCCTTGTCCCCCCAACACTGCCCACCTCCTCCAAGGAGTCTCCTGGCCACACTGACACCCCCATCTCTGTCGTGGCTCCTGGAGTGCTTGGCCTCAGTCTCCAGTGTGTTTGTCTTGCCACGCTGGCTGTTCTGGGGCTCTCCCTCCTCCCAGGATGGTGTGGAATGGATAGAGGAGGTGTGGAGGGTGTGGCCACTGCGGTCCCCAGGGACCACAGGGAATGGGCTGCAGCCCCAGGCTCTGGGTGGGCCAGGGTTTGGGGGATTATCCCCATCACTGGCACAGGAAGAAGGCCAAGGGTGAGGGCCAGGGCTTCTAAGGGGGCTGAGGGGCCATGCAATGTATGTGGGGTGGGAGCACACTTGCAGGGGTAGCAACAGAAGCCCAGCCCCAAAGGGCTTACAAGATGAGGGGACATCCTGGCTCCCGGGCCTGAGGGCTTAGTCGTGGGGCAGCATCAGGATCGGCCAAGTCCAGGTGGGCGGGGGCTGTGCGTCTACCCGTGTCCACCCAGGGAAGGCCACGGGCCTTTCCAGAAGACCTCCCAGAAGTCCCCAACTATCCCCTCCGTGAGCCACGTTGACCGATTCCTCACTCAGTCACTACGAGGGCCTGGGATTGATTTATTGGCACCTGCTTGGTGCTAGGTCCATGTGGGCACATGGGATACATCAATGAACAAACAGACCAACAGTCCCTGCCCTATGGCACAGTGGGAAAGAGGTGGGCGATAAACACTCTAAGTAAATTATACAGTGTGCTAGAAAGGGACCATGCTTGGGGCAAGGCAGCACACGTGGTGTGGCTGTGTGCGAATATGGGGGTCATTTTCCATCGTAAATAGGATGGGCAGGGAGGCCTCCTAAGGAAGGGACATCTGAGCCATTGGATGGGGAGAGGGCGCGGAAGCGAAGTCCACTTGGCTTTCTGGACAAAGAGTTTTCCAGGAGGAAGGAACAGCCAGTGCACAGGCCCTGAGTTAAGAGTGAGGGATGGTGCTAGAGAGGCAGCTAGAGGCAGCATGGCAGGAGTGGGGGAGGGGGAGCATGGGCGTGGGAGTCAGAGAGGCCAGGCATTGCACAGCCCTGGTGCCCTGGCTGGACTTTGACTCGGGGTCTGCCCATGTCAAGCAAGCGTCGGGAGCAAACATGAGAAGGTTTCAAGCACAAGTGAGACATACTCTGCCTCATTTTTACAAGGATGCCCCTGGCTGCTGGTGGAGCACAGGGCACAGGGGGCTGGAGACAGCAAGACCAGAGAAGTCATACTGCTGCAAAACAGATGAGAGGCTGGGGCTGGCTAGCGGGAGTGAGTGGTAGAATTCTGGACAGTCAGGGCAATTAAGGGTTCCCCTGAGGCTGGCTGGGTCCAGCCACAACCTGTGGTGCCAGCCTCAGTTCTCAAGGAAAGGGACGCAGGGAAGGCGTGCTGGGCATGTAGTGGACACCACTCATGCCCCTAGGTCCCCAAGGTAGGGGATGGGATTGTGGGATGCCACACATGGAGGCAGAGGGCAGGAGGTTGCAGGGCCTCAAAGACCCAGAAGGTGAAATCAGATTCCCCACTCAAGTGAGGGTTTGATGGAGTCAGCAGTTTCCTTCCCTGGGGAAACTGGGGAGCCAGGAGCCTGGGGCTACGGCTCTCTCCAAGGCAGCAACCTCTTTGATTTGGCTCTTAATGAAGGCCCCACTTCTTCTCTGCTGTCATGGCCACCCTCTCCTCCATAGGTGGAACCTTTGCATATTGATTTATTTATTTACTCCTGGCCCAGAGAAATATCTGGCTTGATTTCCTCCTGAGTCAGTGTTCCTCAGGCGACACTATCACCCTTTGTCTGGTCAGCCGTGGTGGCTGTGGGCCAAAAGACAGGACAGGTGGCTGAGGGTGTCCAGAGCCAGGACAGCACAGGGTTACAGGGAAGGGCCTCCCTGTTCATCTCATCTCCCCGGTCATCTCATCTCCCCTTCCTTTAGCAGAAGGACACTGGGAGGCCCAGCCGGGGCATAGCCTGGGGTTGTCTGTAGGATGGGGACACTGTGTTCACTAACCGTAGTCCTTCCTCCCATCTGCTCGGACTATGGCTTCAGGATAGGCAGAGAGCTTTGAGGAGGCAAAGAAAGGAGGACCTGTTTCTAAGGTGAGACCCGTTGCGGATCTGCAGGTGCAAGGCCCATCAGGCAGGTTGTGGGGAGAGTGTAGAGAAGCCAACCCAGTGGCCTGGGCCCTGGTTACTGTGGAGTGGCTGCAAAGAGCCCACAAACACGGAGTCACATGTCCTCAAGCCATGAATCAGTGATGTCTTTCATGTGCGTATGCTCTCATTTTTCAAACACTGCAAAAGCTATTGTGATAAATGAAATGCAGAGTCATTTACAAGCCTTGAGGAAATCTTGGCGCGCAAAAACCCTTTTTACCTCTGTCATCAGCACTCACTGGATTAATGGGTGCTCTCCCTTCTCACTGTAAAGCATGCTGGCTTGTGTCAGTACAGGGTTGGCCCTCCAGGGCAGCGGGCACTCTCTAGAACCCCCTTGCCCTTCCACATGTATCCCTTTGAGTCCGTTGTGATTGTCCCAAACCTATTTGTGCCAGTTGTACTCATTGTAATCACAGCCTGGAATACTGTGTAAACTGGTGGGCTGTGACTGTATAGAGGGCTTCTGTGGAAATGAAAGTGGTTGCTTTGGAAAAGCCTCAGTAAAAGCCGTGGTTAGGTTTGGTGTGGGCAAGCCAACCACGAGTTTGGGGACAAGGAGTATAACAGCCTAAAGTTCAGATTCCGGGTCCTTTGCCACCTCACTTGTGTTGGAAAAAGTAAACGAGATGTCACGCAAGGTGTGCTGTGGTTTAAGCAAGAAGTGGCATAACCCCAGAACCGGAAACTCTGATTTAGGAAGAGTTTGTGTCTCTGAAAATTGACAGATATATGAATGTATGTTTATCTGAGTTAAGTGAAAATAAAGTACACGTGTGTCATTTCTTAGGTCTTCCTGCTTTAATTCACTTTTCAGTAGATCAGCCAGCCAGCAGTCTCAGGTTTGATTGCAACTTTTAGCCATCAACAGTTATTAGAAATATATGTTATAGGCCAATCAGGTTATAGGCCAATATGTTATAGGCCAATCAGGTTCATGCCTGTAATCCCAGCACTTTGGGAAGGAGACGCAGGTGGATCATTTGAGGTCAGGAGTTTGAGACCAATGTGGCCAACATGGCAAAACCCTGTCTCTACTAAAAATACAAAAATTAGCCAGCCATGGTGGTGGACACCTGTAATCCCAGCTACTTGGGAGGCTGAGGCAGGAGAATCACTTGAACCCAGCAGATGGAAGTTGCAGTGAGCCGAGATCGTGCCACTGCATTCCAGCCTGGGCAACAGAGTGAGATTCCATCTCAAAAAAAAAAAAAAAAAAAAAAGGCCAGGCGCAGTGGCTCACGCCTGTAATCCCAGCACTTTGGGGGGCCGAGGCGGGCGGATCACGAGGTCAGGAGATCGAGACCATCCTGGCTAACACAGTGAAACCTCATCTCTACTAAAAATACAAAAAATTAGCTGGGTGTGGTGGCGGGCACCTGTAGTCCTAGCTACTTGGGAGGCTGAGGCAGGAGAATGGCATGAACCCAGGACGCGGAGCTTGCAGTGAGCCGAGATCGTGCCGCTGCACTCCAGCCTGGGCGACAGAGCAAGACTCCGCCTCAAAAAAAAAACAAAAAAAAAAAACACCCCAGAAATATATGTGTAATAATGTCGGAATCTGCAGGTTGGTCTTTTTCGTTGTGTTTTTTTGTTTTTGTTTGTTTGTTTATTTGTTTTGAGTCTCGCCCTGTTGACCAGGCTGGAGTGTAATGGCGCGATCTCGGCTCACTGCAACCTCCGCCTCCCAGGTTCAAGCTCCTGTCTCAGCCTCGAAAGTAGCTGGGATTACAGGCGCACACCACCACACCTGGCTATTTTTTTTTTTTTTTTTTGTATCTTTAGTAGAGACAGGGTTTCACCATGTTGGCCAGGCTGGTCTTGAACTGACTTCGTGATCCACCTGCCTCAGCCTCCCAAAGTGCTGGGATTACAGGCATGAGCCACCGCGCCCGGCCTCGTTGTGTTTTTTTGTTTATTTTTGTTTTGCATGTGAAGGATCATTCCATAATACTTGGAAAGGTTGTAAACCAGGAGTCTACAACAGAGCCAAGGCCACAGGGGCCAAGTATGAGGAGGAGGCTGCTTGATGACACTGCAGAACTCCCACGGCAGGCCAGCCTGGAAGCCCCTCTTTCCCCAGGACTAGGATTCACAAGGCCCTTGGAGCCCCAGCCCACCCAAGCGGAAGAGTCCAGGGACAACCTGCAGGGAAGTGTGAGGTTTTCTAGCATAAGAGGACATGGGGGATGGGCCTGAGGACCAGGAGATGCTGGTTTCACAGAGCTGAGGCTAGCTGGGCTCTCAGCCTGGGGTGTGCAGAGTCCACAGTGTCTTCCCCCCAAACCTTGCCCCCAGAAACTCCCATTTTAATTCAATAAGGTGTGAAGTGGTCAAGATCATATTAAGGTGGGGCGTGAGCTGGCTGGGATGGGAAAGGGCACGTGGGAGACTGGGAGACCAGGCAGGAGGCTCCAGGGAAGTTGGGAGAGTGAAGGAGGAGGGTGGGCAGGAGAAGTTTCAGGAAGAGGACTCTCCACACAGACAGAAGGAACTGGAAACCATACCAAAGGAGGGGTCCTTAGGGGCTAGCCTGCAGCTCGGAGAGGGGCAGGTGTGATGCACATTTGAGAAATATTTGTGGAAAGCAGAAGCAAGAGGGCTGTGGGAGGCCTGGGGTATTGGGGGTAGTAGGGGAGGGTAGACCCAGGCAGAGGGGTCCCAGGGGAATCCAGTAGAGCTGGCCCACAGAGTCCCAGGGATATCACGGGCTCCAGGAGGAGGCCATGGGTCAGCAGCGACCTCAGGTCCTGAGGCCTGTGGACTGCAGGGTGACCCCTTTGCAGGCTGCTGGGAAAGGTCATTTTAGGTAATGCTCTCAAAAGGGAGTGCTGGGGAAGCTTCCGAGCTCTGTACAAATATTTTTTGGTGTTCCTCCATCTATCCATCCATCTGTTCTGCGAATCTTTCACAGAGCACCTGCTTCGAGGGAAGCAGAGCTGGTGCTTGGGGGAGGGAGGGTAGAGCAGGAGCCCAGACCAACCTGCGGTGGGTACCCTGGGGAAACCACACACAAGCCATTGGAGGCGAAGGTGGGAGGAGGGGATATGGGCCAGATGTGGTCAGGGAAGGTGCCTGCAGGAGGAGCCGGCAGCCCTGAGGCTGAAAAAGGACCAGTTTGTGGGGCATCCCTTCCATTTCTTCCCCAGGGGAAGTCCAGTCCCACTGCCGAACCAGCGGCACACCACACCTGTTCAAGGTCGCGCGGGCCAGGTGGCAGGCCCAGACTGAGTCCACTGGGGTTCCAGGGATCCTGATGCTGCAGTAGTCAGGGGTCCTCATCAGAGAAGGAGGTTCTCCCTGGGCTTCACAGGGCTGTGTTTTCAGCCAGGTGGGGTGGAACAGGGCACTGTGAGTGTGGTGGGTGGGAGATGCAGCCAGAGAGGCAGGAACCTTGCTTCTTGTGGAGTTAACAAGGAGGGAGGGGTGAGCTATGCAGGCGATCTTTCCCCAGAGGGCAGTTCCTGGGAGGGTAGCTTGTCCCTACCCATGTCCAGTGTCACTGGCATTAAGGCAAGTGGGGTTTTTATCTTCCCCGGAAGATGTGGCTTTTTAGTCCAAAAATACAAGCAGTCCCCAACTTAGGATGGTTTGACTTGCAGTTTTTCAGGTTATGGTGCAAAAGCAATAAACATTGAGTAGAAGCCTTACTTTGAGTACTCATACAACCATTCATTCTGATTCTCCCTGTCAGTACGGTATTCAGTAAATTCCACAAGATACGGGTTAGATTCTTTTGTCTACCTGCAGGCTAATGTAAGTGTTCTGAGCACATTTAAGGTAGGCTAGGCTAAGCTGTGAGGTTCAGCAGGTTGGGGGAAGTCAACACATTTTCAACTTAGGATGGGTTTATCAGGACATAACCCCATCCTAAGTCAAGGAGCATCTGTAGGTGTTGTATCAAAAGCCTTAAACCATCAGGCCTTCTTGCAGACAGCCACACTGGCCAGGATGAAGCAGCATGGGGAAGCCTTGAGCACTGGATGTGAACATATCCTTGCTCATTTTTGCCTTCATCCCCACCTGGTCCTGAGCACCTGCGCTTCGTGGCCCATGATGCAATGCAGCCTTGAGAGCTGCAGCCCCGCCCTTCACTACCCCAAGGCCCAGTGGGGAGCTGGACAGAGAGCCATTCAGTGGGGATGCCACAGACAGTGTCGTGCTGGGAAGGCAGGGAAGTCAGGTCCCTGCTCTCCCAGATGAGTGTGGGCGTGGACACCAACCCTGGCTCACTTGCCAGAGGACGCACTGTCTGCGGTTTTGTGGTCACCCTACCATCGCATGTCCAGGTGACATCGCACGTCCAGGTGCCATTGCACACTGGAGGTTATGATGCAGAAGTGCTGCTCCAGGAGGCCATACCAACCCCCATCCTGTCCTGGGTCCCTTGGGGCCACCTGCCACTAGGTGGGGAGCCTCATCTGGAGCCCCTGAGTTTTCTGGAGGCAGCTCTCAGGCTGGAACCCCCACCTCAGATAGGTGGACATGGTTTCCAGGCAGCTTCTCCCCAGGCTAAGCCCGTCTGCTGCATCTGCGGGGTCAGCTCTGGGAATCACCCCACCCCTTGATGTCCTCAGCGATTCCTCACTGCTGCCATTCTACATTTTTCTCTGTGTCCTCTTCTCCATGGTGCTGAGCTTTATTTGAAATGGCCTGGCTGCCTTATGTGCTCACCATCTCCCCAGCGAGAATACAAGCTCCTTGACACACAGACTCAGCTTGTTCCCCACCATGTCCCCCTGTCCCCAAGCAGGGCCACACACAGTGGGGCTGGATTCTGGGAGAGCAAAGTATTGATCATAGCAGGTTGAGTGACTGATCAGTTGCCCATACAGATCTGAGGGTGGAAGGCCTCAGGCCTGGGCGCACGTGCTGGGTGATTTAGGAGCAACGGGAGAAGCAGTGGAGGATGCTCTGCTGAGCAGACAAATGGAACTGAGCCAGGGAGAGGGTGACCCACTTTGCTGAGATAAGAGATGGGCTCCAGCCTGAGGACAAGGGGTGCAGTGTTTATACCACAGCCCAACAGCCTCCATCCCTTCAACACCAGTACCAGTGCCTCCGCCCTGGTTGTCCCAGCTTGTCCCAGCAGAGAGGGCCTCTGGCCCTGGTTCCCCATGTACCCCACTTGTGTCCCCAGGAGGCACGGGCAGTGGGGACAGAGCAGGGGGCTGCAACACCATCGAACCCTAGGAGGTGGCCTAAGGCCACAGCTATGAGTGGCACTAACCCTTCCCCAGAGGAAGGTAATCCTTTTTGTTTCTCTCTCAATCCTTCTCCTTCAAGGAGAAAATCCCAGTTTGGTGCCAACGTGGCTCTCACACCCTCCAGCAGGCGCTAATCCCCGCTGTTTAAGCAACAGCCAGTGGCCTTGCCTGGCCCCTCGGCAGGGTCCCGCCCCTGGCTAGTGGCAGAAGCGGTTCCTCTACACTGTTTTGTATTTAGATTACTTCTGTCTACGGCGGGTGACCCTGGCTTTCCACTGAAAGTAGGACTATGAAGTCATTATGAAGTACATTTTTTAAGTAAAAAAGGCAGTCAATTTAAAGAAAAATGCTGAGTAAAAACAGCAAGTGATACCCAGGTGTGGCCAGGTTAGGCAGGCTGCAGTCCCGTGGGGCCCAGTTGGAGGGCTTGGTGGGAGCAGAGGCCTGCAGACTCCCAGCCAGGCCACCCCGGGAAATCACCTCCATCTTTGCGCTTTGATTTCTACAGCCGTAAAGCCGAGGCCACCTCCCAGGCCTGCTTTTAGCATGAGATGACGTGTGTGAGCAAAGCACTCGGCCCAGCAGTGGCAGCAGACGGGGTGGCACGGAGGTGCAGCTGTCCCCTGCGTGTCTCCAGCCACGGGCCTCTGGACCTAGGTTCCCTGGGCACCTTCCTCTCCTCCCAGTGGCCTCAGCCACCCGAGCAGGCACACTATAGTTGAGGAAAGCACAGCAGAGCCACAGCTGGGACCCAGAGTCCCCTCCCTGACCCCACCATGCCCAGCTTCCCTGAGAAAGACCCTCCCCGGGGCCCAGCCCACAGTTGCCCCTGACCTCCCATGAAGATGTGTGGAAATGGCTCCATGAAGAGCCTGTGAGGACACTGGACCATGACCAGACCACTGGAGAGAGGGGAAATGCAGTCATGGGGCTGCAGCATCTGTGGAGCCCACTTCCCACTGGGTGGGGCCAGCATGACAGGATTGAAGGCAGTGGGACAGAAGAACTGGGCAACACAAAGGACACCTGGCTCCTCAGCAACAGAGAGCTGCCACCGAGGAGGCCCCTACAGGTCCAGGCCAGGCCCTGGGAAACCCATGATGGGACACATGGCTGGGGCAGGACAGGGAGTGTGCAGCTTGTCAGCTGGAAGCACATGCGGCTCCGATAAGTCGGGCGTAAAAGGGCAGTGGAAAGTGCTTCCTCATTCGGCGAGGAGGAAACCTGGTAATCTGCAATGGCCACAGGCACAGGCTTTTCCAGACCTTCGGTTTCTAAAATAGTATCATGGTGGGAGCTGATGTAGGGACGGCGGCTCCAGAGTTGGGGGCAGCACCCACTCTTTAAGAGATGATAGAATGAGCATGGTGGCTCACACCTATAACCCCAGCACTTTGGGAGGCTGAGGCAGGAGGATTGCTTGAGCCCAGGAGTTCGAGACCAGTCTGAGCAACATAGTGAGACCCCCATTTCTCCAAAATTAAAAAGATTAGCTGGGCGTGGTGGCGCGTGCCTGCAGTCCCAGCTACTCGAGGCTCAGGTGGGAGGATCGCTTGAGCCCGGGGGGTTGAGGCTGCAGTGAACTGTGATGGTGCACTGCAGCTGGGTGACAGTTAAAATAAGATAAAAATGCCTCAATTGAGCTTATAACCGCCCAAGGGGTTCACCTTGCCCGCTGCCTAGACAGAGCCGATTCTTCAAGACGAGAATTGCAATAGAGAAAGAGTAATTCATGAAGAGCTGGCTGTGCAGGAGACCGGAGTGTTATTATTACTCAAATCAGTCTCCTGGAGCATTCAGGAAGCAAAGTTTTTAAGGATAACTTGGTGGATGGGGGGTAGCCAGTGAGCCAGGAGTGCTGATTGGTCAGAGATGAAATCATAGGGAATTGAAACTGTCTTCTTGTTCAGTCTGTTCCTGCTCAGTCAGTTCCTGGGTGGGGGCCACAAGATCAGATGAGCCAGTTTATTGATCTGGGTGGGGCCAGTTGATCCATCAAGTGCAGGGTCTGCAATATTTCTCAAGCACTGATCTCAAGAGCAGTTTAGGGAGGGTCAGAATCTTTAGCCTTCAGCTGCATGACTCCTAAACCATAATTTCTAATCTTGTGGCTAATGTGAGTCCTACAAAGGCAGTCTAGTGCCCAGGCAAGAAGGAGGTCTGCTTTGGGAGAGGGCTGTTACCGTCTTTGTTTAAACTATAAACTAAGTTTCTCTCCAAGTTAGTTCAGCCTACACCCAGGAATGAACAAGGACAACTTGGAAGTTAGAAGCAAGATGGAGTCAGTTAAATCTCTTTCACTGTCTCAGTCATAATTTTGTAAAGGCGGTTTCAAGCTTGGCCTGCAGGTTCCCATACTCACGCAGCAAGTCAAGTGATCTGAGTTATATGAACCATCTACACGCCCAAAATGTGGGTTCAGGGTACCCCAGTGCGTTTCCTCCTGCTGGTCCCTGCATGCTCTGAGCTGTGGGCTGGCTTGGGGTTGGAGCCTTACCCACTCTGCCCCACATCCTTGTGTGAGGAAGGGCCTGTGGTCACAGGCATCAGTGAGCCTGGAGATCTGTCACTGCGCGGGCCTCCTCCCTCCCCAGACCAGCTGCTGGGTGCCAAGGTGGAGCTGGCAGGTACAGGAGCCGCGGCTGCCTGGATAAAAGGCGTCTCAGCAAACTGGGGTCAGGATGGGGGTGGGGCAGTGCTGAGTCATAGCCCCGCTTGGGGCATGCCAGGCAGCTCAGCCTCCACAGGGGACTCCAGGACAGGGTGAGTGGCAGGTAGGCGCAGGCAGCCCTGGGGTCAGCTCCGGTAGGGTGGAAAGGACTTGTTGGTCTGAAATGGGTTCCATGACTCCTGTTGCCACCCCAAGCCTGGGACAGTGGACACCACTGGTCCCCACATTGAGGCTAGAGAGTCCTGCAGGTTCAGGGTGTGTGGTAGGTATCTGGGGAGGGCTGGGAGCCCATCGGGCATTAGGGGTGTGGCCTTGCTCTCCCTTGCTGGCCCTGTGGCCTGGGCTGCCTGCCACCTCTTGGGGTCCTAGCTTCTGTTACCAGCAAAGGTGGCCATCTGAGTGGCTTCTATTGGGCCTCAGGCATGACTGCCTGTGCCTCTCCCCCAGTCACAGTCTGGGTACAGTTCCGTCTCCTCAACAAGCCTAAACTATCTCCCTGGGGGCAGGGTCTGTGTGTTGAACCATCACTTCGTCTTGGCTCACTCTTTCCGTCGCCCAAGCTCAGCATGGGGCAGGCTTTCCTGGGAGGTGAGGAGGGAGGGAGGCAGGTAGCTAGGGACCTGGAGAGTGAGGGGCTGGACTGCCGTCTCTGAGGAAGTCAGGCACAGTGATGAGGGAGCTGGTCTATAAGCTGATAAGTCTTCCCGCCCCTGGCTTAGCCGGCTTGGGCAGTGAGACCTTCGGTGACCTTGGCTGTGGGCTGTCTTCTTCTGCCTCAGCCGGGGGCACTGACTCTGTGCTGTGCTGGCTGTTGTGGAGGAGGCCTTGAGCAAAGCTTTGGGGACAGCCTGGAGGTTACGGGCAGGGCAGGCTGGCTCCCATGGCCTGGTGTGGTCCTGGCGAGCTCAGGCTATGGTGGGTGTGACCATGGGTATTATGTTGCCCCAGCTCTATGCCTAGCAGCAGGCTGAGCCTCCAGGGATTGTGCCTGGGGAGGGAAGTGGTTCCTAGAGTGGAGGGCATCCAGGATGCAAAGGTCCCAAGAGAGGTGGCAGCACTTTCCCTCCATGACCATGTACCCATCCTGACTCAGGGCTATCACTCAACATCTGTTACAGGAACAGACTTGAGAGGGCCACGTCTGGAAGGAGGGTGATGAGGGCAGGCCGGGCCTGCTGGACGGTGGGTGAGAAGGGAGGGTCTTGAGGGGGATGTCCATGTGTGGGCTGAAGGATCTGTCCCGAAACCACAGGAAGCAAGCGGCCCTCAGCAGAGGGTTCCTGAGTGGGCTCAGGGCTTGGAGATCGTGCCTTAGGAATCTTTGGGTAGGTGAGTCAAGGACCAGGATGGAGCTCCTTAAGAGCCTACAGCCAAGAGATGCTAGTTTCCTGAGGCTGCTGGGGAGGAGGCAGGCAGGTGCAGACTCTGGCCTGAGCACAGCCCACTAGGGCTTCTTGGCCTCTGGCTGCCAGCATGTCGAACCTGGTGCCTGGCCCTATGTCGCACTAAGTCCTAAGCGACCTCCTGGTGAATTTGCCACACCCTTCACGCTGCAAACACTACACATCTGCTGGGGGCGGGGGCCAGGGACTGGATACTAGCTGGTGTTCACTGATACAGTCCACTCATCTGTACTGAGCCCTGGCCATAAGCACAGCAGGGTCCTGTACCACAGGGACAGCTGACAGTCCCCCTTTCCCAGTACCTGCCACTTTCTCCTAATATGTCCCCTCTCCAAGAGCAGCCCCTGCTTCAGCCTACTGGCTGGTCCCTGGAGTTCCCTGATCGTCTCCCTGTTCCCACCCAGCCGCCACTCCATCACCAGGCACTGTGCACCGTACAGCTCACACATCTTGCAGAGCCTCACTGCATCCACTTCCCCCAGCCCTCACCTGTGTTGCTCCCCTTTTATCACCTGGATGTTTGCATCCAGGAGCCTCCTCTGGTCTGGCTTCAGCGCAGCAGCCAGAGGGATGCTGGTCACACAGGGCAGGTCATGGCACTTCTCACCCAAACCCTGGCTGGCTCCTGACTCGCCCTTAAGTGACCTCCTACCCTCTTGGCACCAGCCACATGGCCTCCTTCCTGCCCCTCAGACTGGTCAGGCATGCTCCCACTTCAGGGCCTTTGTGCCGGTGGTTCCCTCATCCCTGATGCCTGCTTGCCTCCCTCCTTCACCACCTGTTCATACTCATCTCTTACCAGGAGGCCAGCCCCACCCACCTTTGCTGACTTGCAGCCCGCATGTGCCACCCCCAACCCTGCCCACCTGGAGCTCCATTTCCACTGTAGCACTGGGCACCTTCTGCCACTTGCTGCTTATTTACTGCCTGTAGTCTGACTCCTGCCCTCCCACCTGAGCAAAAATAGGGAATAGATCTTCATCTGCCTCATTCAGCAGCCCCAGCCCAAGTGCCAGAATCAAAGCCATGGTTTAGCAAGTAAGTGTGGGATGCTGGAGAGCCCCTGACCCATCTCCCTTCTGCCCCAGTCGCCTCAGCCTAGCTCCACACCACAGCTGGTTCCTCCTCTCCAGGGCATCTCTGCTCCCAGGATGCCACATGCAACCACATGCAGATGCCCACATGCACCAGTACACATGCAGCTGCACACACGCACAACCACATGCAGACAGAGGCATGGACCTGTGCATGCACACCCAAAGATGTGTACATGGACCTGCTCACAGACATGTACATGGATCTGCGCGTGCACATGAACAGACACATGCACACACTGGCATACAAGCAACCAGACACAGACACATCCATGCACCTGCACTCTCACAGACACAAACAGGGACCTATGCATACACGCACACATACCGCAATGGACCTGCATACACATAGGCACCTATGCATACACGCACACATACCACAATGGACCTGCATACACACAGGCACCTATGCATACATGCACACGCACCACAATGGATTTGCACACACACAGGGTCCTATGCATACACACACACACCGCAATGGACCTGCACACACACAGGGACCTATGCATACATGCACACACACCGCAATAGACCTACACACACACAGGGAGCTATGCATACATGCACACGCACCGCAGTGGATTTGCACACACACAGGCACCTATGCATACACGCATATGCACCGCAATGGACCTGCATACACACTGGCACCTATGCATACATGCACACACACCACAGTGGACCTGCATACACACACACGCACCGCAATGGACCTGCACACAGGCACCACATACTGCCACAAACATGCAGGTACACACATGGCTTAAAACCTTTCAGTGGCGTCCTGTTTCTCTTCAGTGAAGACCAAGGGCTCAGTTGGACTTCTGGTGAGCCCTGCCCCTTCCTCTTGCCTGGTACCTCTCTCCTCCTCTCCCTCAGTCCAGCCACTCTGACCTTCCTTCAGTTCCCCTTTGTGTTAGGGATGGTTTGTCCCTTTCATCCCTAACACACATCCCCACACACCGCAGGGCCTTACAGCATGTTCCTCCTCTGCCTGGCACACTCTTTTCCTGGCCCATTCCTCTGGTATTTCTAGCCATGCCCAGAGGCACTGTGGTGGGGGGTCCTGGGTGTTGAGCTCTAGTGATCCATCAGTGGTTTCTGGGCCAGGGAACAATGTGGTCATCAACTCTTGGCCTTTGTCTCTTGGCCAACCATCATCAGGTTCCATCCTGGGACTTGGGGAGTCCTAGCATGTCCAGTAAAGCCCGGGTTAGACTCAGAGAGAGGGCTGGCTAGAGCCTTGTGTAAGAGCCAAGAAGTCAAGCCTCAGAATAGGTGGGACTGTCATAAGGTCCCATTTGAACCACAGCCAGGCTCCCAACGCAAGGCTTCCTTACATCCGTGCACAGCCCTGTCCCATGCGTGGTGCCCCTGCACAGGGCGCTCATACCCCCAAACACAACACAGCCCCACAGAGCCGCAGGGAGAATTCTGGGTGGGGCCTTCTGCTTGTTTGGTTCAGGTGATCTGAAAGACGAGGGTCCTCAAGCAGGGGACCTCCCCTTGGTTGTGACTGTTCGTCACTGCCCCATGCAGGTGACAGACTTGGCCCTGATGCATGTGATTGCTACCTGGCCTCAGTTTCCCCTTTCCTTGCACATTGCCCTGTCGTTGCCGGCGCACACTGATCGAAGACTGCATGAGCAGCCCTTAGCTCCAGGCTTCCAGACAACAGCAGTTCAGGGCCCAGGCTGCCAGCCCAGTGTCCCCAACCTGCTCTCCTGATTCCCCAGCCTTGGAGCCAGGGAGCACATACATCCCAAAGCACAAATCACACATCCTTGGACAGAGCAGCTTCTCTGCCCACCACTGGGGACAGAAGGGGCGCCTGGCTGTACCTCAGATTTTCAAACGTGGAATTGAGAAGAACAGTCATGACAACAGAGGACACCTCCCACTGGGTTGGACACTGCCTTCTGAAAGGAGCATGTTGGCTTCCTGCTGGAATGATGGTGCTGGTAGGGAGAACCCTGGGTCCCCAGGCAGTGGGCTGAGGGCTTTGGACACCTTTCCACACCTAAGGGGCTGTCAGGTCGTCAGCAGGGACAAGGGAGCAGCCACAGGGTCTCCATCCTCCATGCGCTCATGGTTCGTGTGCATATTACACATATCATGTACATGTCATCTTTAAGCAGATGTTCTGCCCACTGTGTGCTGGAGTGGGAGGGTCATCTCAAGGCTTCCATTCTCAGATGTAATTTTCAGCCTCACTGGGATTGGGCTGAGTGACTGTTTAATCACTGCCCTCTTGGCAGAGATGTTTCTAGGGCGTTCCCTGGTGCACTTCTCATCGGTGGCTGCCTGGTGAAGCGGGAAAGTTCCTCAGCCTCTCCATTGATTCCTTCCCTCCCTCCCTCCTTCCACCAACCAGTGCTTACTGAACACCCACTGTGCACTGGGCACTGCTCTGTTCCCAGTGGGGAACGAGGCCAGGACGGGCCCTCCTCACCCGCACTCTGGCTGGGGGTAGGGGCGACGGCAGCACACAAGGTCATGTAGGTCACACATTAGCTGAGGGCTGCTATGGAGGAGGAGGACAGAGGGCAAGGTGACGCTCACAGCGACAAGCACAGCAGGGCAGTGACTGCTACTGGCTGTCACTCTCTGAGGACCAGGCTTGTGCTGGACGCTTTACTCTTCACAGATACCTGTGGCCAGTGAGGGACAGGCTCTGAGATGGGAGTAAGTCGCCAGAGGCCACACAACCTGGGAGAGGCAAGCAAGGCATGAAGGATGAGACCACCCTGAGAGTGGTGGGGGTAATATCAGGGTCTGACCAAGGGAAAGAGGCGGCATTAGAGCCTCTGGCTGTCAGAGGCTGGCAGGGCTAGGGAGCAGGTGTGAGAGGCCACCACCACTGCCAGGAGAGACCAGAACCTCTGCCCAGGGAGAGGACAGCCCACCAGGGGCCTGCTTCAAAGCAGGATCGCCAGGACTAGTGGTCAAGGTCTGTGAGGGGCAAGGGACAGTGAGGGGCACGGATGGCTGCTGGGAGGATGAAGTGCCATTTGCTGAGGGTTTAGCAGGTTGAGTTTCAGATGCTGGTCACACCCAGGAGTTGAGGGTGGGGCCTTGGCTGTTGGGGTCTCTCTGCCTCGGGCCTTCCCACCCCAGGGCCTGTCACAGAGTTGATGGGTGGTATTAAAGGGGCGAATGCTGCCTGTGGCAGGATGGGGAGGCTGCGTGGGTCTCCGGACAGGGACATAGGTCAGGGAAGGAGCAAGAGGGGTGCGTGTGAGTTGGGTGGGGCCTGGTGCCACCCTGGGCTCACAGCCGGGGAAGAAGCCTGAGCTTTGAGCTGCCCCTCGTGTGGGGAGGCCTGGCCTAAGCACCCGGCAAAGTCACAGGGGCATCCTAGGGTGTGCCCCTCCCTGCTGGCAGGAAAGGTGGATGGGGAGGCCCTGACTCGCGGGGTTGGTGAAAGATTCTGCCTGAGGCCTCTAGGCCACCCTGCCTTGCCCTGGCCTCGGTGATTACTACTACCCTTGGGAGCCACTGTGACATCTGGTCTCCCAGGTGGATTTCCCCGCAGCACCACGTGCAGCCCCCAGCTCCTTGGTCTCAGCCCAAGCCCCCCTCTACCTCCTTCTGCAGGAGTGAGGCAGCCCCTGCCCACTGTGCTTAGGCACCTCACGGTGCTCCCACAGCCTGAAGCCTCCACCTTGCTCTGGTCCCTGCCTATCTGCTGGCTCCTGGGCTGGCCCATCAGAGTGCCCTCAAGGGAAAGCAGGGGCCAGGTCTCCCTCCTGGTGCTTTTCCTCCCTGTGATCAGAAGTGACCCAGCTCCTGCGGGGGTAATGAGAGTCAGGGAGGCGCTCAGTTATCCCAGGGCTGGGCCGAGGCCTGGCCACCCGTGTAAAACAGGGCAAGGCTGAGCTCTATCAGTGCTGTCTGGGAGAAGGGCCCCAGGGGGCATCACAACAGGGTGACCTTATTGAATCCTAACTGGATGCGGTAGAAGTGAGTCCAGCATGGGGGCTGGGTGGGCAGAGGCCTCGCACACACCCTCCTCTCCCTCATGCACCTGGCTTCAGGTGGACTGTCCAGGCAACAGCAGACATATGTGTTACACCATGGTGTGGGCCCTACAGCGCCCCATGGAGGAGAGGGGGTTGGATGGATTGTTGCCGGCTCATTTTCCAAGGCCAGTCTCTGCTGCTTTGCTTTCAGAAGAGCTCCCTTTCACTGTCCAGCCTGAGGTGGGGCTGCGGGGAGGAGGCTCACGCTTTTCTCTGTGTTTGGCAGGTGAAGGGCTGGATGCACAGTGGGAGCCGGAGGCGGGGGGCTGCAGGGAGCACACCAGCGACCGGCCCTCCAACCCTCCAGCCACTCAGCAACATCGCCACAGCAACCAGCAACCAGACGGCAGCAGCCGAGGCAAACACAAGCGGACGGCTTCCCACCGTCGCCGAGGACAGGGAATGACTACGGCAAATCAGGCCACTTTGCCAACTAGGGAGGTGGAGTGTCACTAGTGGGGAGGGGCGGCCACCGCCCGCTGCACAGAGCGCCATGCCGGCTGGAGAAGAGGCGCTGGGGCAGGGGCTGCAGTGTGGCTCGGCCTCACCCCCCTGCTGGCACTGAGTGCCTCCAGGGCAGCTGGGCTCTTGTCTGCCTGGTCTCAGTGTCCCCTGTGGCAAGAGGGAGAGGTGCCCCATCCCGTGCTCCTTGTCTGGGCCCGCTGCTGCCAGACCATGGGATGTCGGCAAAGCTCAGAGGAAAAAGAAGCAGCCCGGCGGTCCCGGAGAATTGACCGCCACCTGCGCTCAGAGAGCCAGCGGCAACGCCGCGAAATCAAGCTGCTCCTGCTGGGCACCAGCAACTCAGGCAAGAGCACCATCGTCAAACAGATGAAGATCATCCACAGCGGCGGCTTCAACCTGGAGGCCTGCAAGGAGTACAAGCCCCTCATCATCTACAATGCCATCGACTCGCTGACCCGCATCATCCGGGCCCTGGCCGCCCTCAGGATCGACTTCCACAACCCCGACCGCGCCTACGACGCTGTGCAGCTCTTTGCGCTGACGGGCCCCGCTGAGAGCAAGGGCGAGATCACACCCGAGCTGCTGGGTGTCATGCGACGGCTCTGGGCCGACCCAGGGGCACAGGCCTGCTTCAGCCGCTCCAGCGAGTACCACCTGGAGGACAACGCGGCCTACTACCTGAACGACCTGGAGCGCATCGCCGCAGCTGACTATATCCCCACTGTCGAGGACATCCTGCGCTCCCGGGACATGACCACGGGCATTGTGGAGAACAAGTTCACCTTCAAGGAGCTCACCTTCAAGATGGTGGACGTGGGGGGGCAGAGGTCAGAGCGCAAAAAGTGGATCCACTGCTTCGAGGGCGTCACAGCCATCATCTTCTGTGTGGAGCTCAGCGGCTACGACCTGAAACTCTACGAGGATAACCAGACAGTAAGTGGGGCCGGGGGTTTTCCTCTGCTTGTTCCTGCTGTCGTGGGTTCCTGGAAGCAAGAGGACTCGTGAGGTCCAGGACAGTCTGCAGCCAGAAAGGGAACCAGGCGCAGGCCTGGCCCTGCTGCACGATAACTGAGGCAGCTCCAGCAAGGTGGGGGCAGAGGGAACAGGGTGTGGAGTGCAGGTGTCATGTCCCATGCCTGAAGTACTCAGGGTGTGGAGGCCACAGGGCAAGAGAGTGTGAGGCTCCGCCGGGCATCCATGATCAATCCATGTGATAGTTTGGCAAATCCATGAAGCTCCTGCCAGCACCAGTCTCCTACCAGCATATAGGTCCAGGAACAGCAGCCACCCCTGCAACCCCATCTTGAGTCTGCAAATCTGGCAGAGATGGGGTTAAGAGCTGTTTAGAAGGGATAATCCCAGGTCCTGGTGGAAAGGGGACGACGTAAAAGCAGGTGTTGGGATTCTTTCACAGTGGCATGGGCGCAGCCCGAGGGAGACCTGGACCCAGTGTGAAGCGGTGGGGGCTTGAGAGTGGAGTTGCTGGAGAGGGTGGGGAGCCGGGTGAAGCAGCAGGGCAGTGTGCTGAGGCCCAGCCAGGACAGAAGGTCTAGCACACGAAGGGGGCCACAGCCAGGAGTGGCAGCGGTGGAGGCCGTGGCAGGCAAGGGAGGGGCTGTCTTGCCCAGCAGGATTCCCTGAGCACAGATTTCAAGTCTGCCCTTAAGAGAGAGGCCTTTGACCCTGGGGATGGGGGAGTGGGGGCAAACAAGGAGTCACGAAGTTGTGGGTACCCTGGGGCTAGGGGAGGGTGATGCTGGGAGACAAGGGCTCAGCCTCTCCACTTGGGAGCACTGGCCTCCGAGGTCACTCCTTGCTTCACCCAGTCCTAAGGCAAGCTTTATTCTTTAGGTTCAGCGGAGAGCAACAATGGTTCTAGCTTTGGACCTGTGCCCCAGCCAGGGAACCTGGACAGCTCTAGGCAGTGGCCATGGTGCTAGGAGCCTGAGTGTTCTGAGAGAGAGGATCTTTGGCTTTCCTCAGGCAGCTGGGGAGGCGGGCTTGCCTCCCTCCCCTCCTCGCATCAGGGGTCTCCCTGGAACTGTGCCTAGGTGTTGATGGTGTGCCTGGGGGAAACGAATGACGGACGGGCAGGCAGGTGTGTACGCAGGCGGCTGCGTCCACCCTGTTCCCAGTGTGTATCTGTGTGCTCTCCAGGGTTCTGGCCCCTTACCCTGTGGTTGCCACAAGTTCAGCCCCATGTGTGGTTCTGGGCAGAGGGGACATCTCAGCAGATGAGTGAGGTCAGGCTCCCTTGATGAGGCATGGCCGTGGGCAGAGCGCTTGGGGCTGAGAAGCTGCAAGGCAAAGTGAGGTGCTCAGGCCAGACCCTTGGGACAGTGCCATGGTGGGTCTGCCAGTCACACGGGCTTGCGCCACTGGCCTCACCCATCACCACAGTGGCAGGCGTGGCAAATTCCCCGGGCACCAGGCCTGGCTCCCAGTTGCATCCTTTGACAGGCCGTGCCCACAGGTGTGCTGGACACAGGAGGCAGGATACCTGGGTCCTGAGTCAGTCCAGTTTTTCATGGAGGGCTTTGGCTGTCATGTTTGCTTTCTGAACTTGTCAGTGAGGAGATGACCCAGGTGTCTTCACAGATGGGCCCAAGGCTAGGCCTTTGCCTGCCTGCAGCCCTCTTGGCTCTTACTGGCCTGTGCCTGCCACCTTGCTGCCTCTCTCTCCTCTCCTTCTGCTCTAGCCGTGGTCAGCTTGTTTTGCTCCAGCAGTACTGCTCTGTCCAGCCTTAAGCTTGTAATGATCCTGATCCCTGCCTCTCGTACCCCTGCCCTTATCCTCCAGGTCTCATCCCAAGTGGCGCCTCCTGGGAGGCCTTTTCTGACCTAGCCCGGCACCTGCTTACTCCTCCATCTAGTGATGTGTGAGTGAGCTCCTCGGGGCAGGCCCTAGATGGGCTGGGTGGCCCCTGTGGGGCCTCACATCTCTAGCTTTCCCTCTCCCAGGCCTGTCCCTGGGGAGAGCCATGGTGGGCAGCCATGGGCAGGGACAGCAGCCACTGGCCTGGTCTCAGGGATCCCTGTGAGGTTCCAGGCATTCAAGGCACTTTCTAAAGGGAGGGGCTGGCAGCCAGGCTGGCACACCCACCACCATCACCCTGGTTTCTGCAGGCCTGGGGAAGTGGTTGTTCACCAGAAAAGGAAATTCTTGATGAGAAACCCAAGCGAGGCTGGAAATTCACTGGATTCCAAATGATTCTGACCTTTCATGCTCTACCAGTAATATCTGGAGATGGAAAACAAACAGGCTGCAGAGGAAAGACAATCCCCTCCCGCGATTCCTCCCGCAGGCTGGGCTGGCCCCGGAGGTGAGCTGGCCCCCAGAGTGGTGCCGGCAGTGAGGACAGCCCGTCTCCAGCCGGGCCAGGGCCAGAGCCAGTGCTGGCACGGGCTGGCACAGGGCTGCCACTCTGCTCTCTCCTTTTGGAACGTGCTGAACTGTCCTCCCTGGGCCCTGTCAAAGGCAAGGCAGCCAAGAACAGGCCATGCTCGTTTTCACAAAAGCCGAATGAACCTTGGGGCCCAGTGCCAGGGCTCTGGACACGGCTCCTCCATAGCCCTCCTTCCGTGCTCAGCTTCCAAGGCCTCATCTTCCCTGATGCTGGCAGTGCCTCCCCACCCCCACGCCTGGCGAAGGAGCCACAGCCCCCCGGCCCACCCGCTGGCTTCTGCGTCAGCACGTTGCCAAGGAGAACGTCAGTGTCTCTGGGCTCCCGGGTGTGAGGGCTGCAGTGAGTGCAGGGCAGCACCTCAGAGCAGGGAAGGCAGATTTCCGGGTGTCTGTGGAGCATGGCAGCGAGCCACATGGGGAGCCACGCCCCTCCATGGCCACGGTTCCCACCCTCGTCCGAAGGAATTGGCAGTCCCTTGCCCTGACTAGGGCCAAGTCCTGCAGGTGTGTCAGGCACCCCAGTGCCCCCAAGCCCAACACCCAGCTGGGGCTTCCTCAGGCAGCACAGGAGGCCTGAACACAGCCCAGCAACACAAGGGGGTTTTTCTGGCGCACCTGTCCCCTGAATGATCCTGTGGGGCAGCAGCGCCTGTTATTTTTGTCACAGATCGAGGCACTGAGGCTCAGGCACACAGCTGGCGCTGGCGGGCCCCCAGCCCTCAAGTCCACAAGGACAGCTCCTGAGAGGCCATGTGTCACAGGACCCACCACGGGCCTCCCACTTAGCCAGAGCCATGGCAGAGGCTCTGCCCCTCGTCTTTAGTACATTCACACAAGGGTCAGTCAGCAAAGACAGTCACTCTGCTGCCCTAGGAGGGAAAGGCAAAGTGGAGAAGCTGGCACCTACCAGCCCACACTGAGGGACAGACACAGGTGGCTGTGACCAGCAGAGCCTGGGTCTTCACTCGGCCCCACTGGAGGCACCTGAGGGGGTAGGTGGGCACTTGTTGCCCAACCTCTGCCCTTGCGGATCAGCTAATGGACTCTGCTGGCCACCAAATGGTGTGGGATCCTTCAGAAGGCAAGATTAAAAGGTCTAGTTGTAAAGCATCAAATGTTCTCATGTGGAAACCCACAGGGAGCTCACTGCCCATTTCCCGACGGAGCTGTCAGCATTCCCAGCCCTGTGGCGGGTCTGTTTTGCACCTGTGATGGACCTGCTGTGCAGGCTCAAGGCTCAGGCTGGGGCCAAGTATGAGGGTGAGCACAACTCTCCCAGCAGCACAGGGAACTGGGGGACAAGGAGGAGGCAGTCACACCAGCCCAGCTACAGCTTCATTTCCACAAAGCCTCTGCTACCAGGGATACCTGCCCTGTCTTTCTAGAGCTGGCAGGCAGCAGTTCCCAGCAGTGTCCCCATTGTGCTTTCATCTAGGACCCACAGTAGTCACTTGGGCCCCACAGGCAGGCTGGGTCACAGCAGGGTTCACCGTGGGAGGCCTGGTGTCTCTGCCACTTATCTGAGAGACAGCTGGTCAACATGTTATCAGTGAGGGTATCCAGGGGACGGGGGACATAAGAACATGCCTTTTGTGGGGCAAGTTCTGCAGGTGGCAAGTGCTTGAGCAGCCAGCCTCCAGGCAGGTGGTCTATGCCTGGCCCTGGATAGTGGTCCCTTGTCCTGGGGCCATTGGCTTCCTGAGGAACCCCTCCCCACTCCAGGGCAGGTCAGCAGCCTCAGCACACCACGAGGGCAGGTCCACACCCACCCGGCACAGCCTGTGCTCTGAGCAGAGGGCCTGGCACACAGTGGGTGCTCTGCAGACTTTGTGGAGCGGGCGGGAGGCGGTAGGCTTGGGAAGAGCTGGAGCTCCAGAGCCCTGGCTTCTGGGTGCAGAGCAGCTGGGACACTCAGCCCTTCCCAAGGAGACCCTATGGGTGCTCGTCCATAACAGGAGTGTATGCAGTACCCTGAGGAGGGGCTGCCCAAGGCCGTCCTGTGAACACAGCGTGTTCCTGCCACCCTAGCGCTGTGGTTTATCATTTAGCCCAAAAAGGGTGCTTGTTTTAGTGCTTTTAAAATGGAGTTTAAACATTTGTGCCATAAAATGGCGTGTTGTGGGTGAAACAAGGTGTTTCCAGTAAGACAGGCTTATACCTATTGATGACAGAGCTGGTTATATTTGCCCAAGGAGGGAATTACAAATGGGCAATAGCCAGACACAGATGATACCCTCTCCCCAGCATACCAGGGCTTAGATTGAGAAGGGACCTTATATATCCTTTAGTGTTCCTAACCAGCCGGCTTTGCAGATGAGGAAACTGAGCCTCAGAGAGGTTCCTTCACATACCGCAGGGCTGAGACTCTGGCTCTCAGGGAGGGTCCTGGCACTGGCCCCTGGGAATTCCAGTGGCCCCCCTCTTCACCATACTGGTCCCACATCCTGTGGGTGCTGGGGTTCTCCAGCAAGGGCCTTGGGGGTATAGACTGGGTTCCACCCTTGGAGCTGCTGTGTAGCCAGCCTTCCCTCAGGAGAGTGGAGGACAGTGACACCTGGGCTTGGGAGAGGTGAGTGGCTGTGAAGGTTGACACTCCCCTCGTCCCCTTGTCTCCTGGCCTAGTCAGTGGCAGGACCACAGGGAGCCCTAGCAGAACATGGCCTCACTCTGCCTCCTGTTCCTGACCTGGTCAAGGGCATAGCTCCAAGCCAGAAGGCCTGCCGCCCTTTTCCCGACACACACAGGTCTCCCAAGCAGTTCCTTCTGATCTTGCAATGTGCCAGGGCCACATGCAGTTTGTCTGCAGCATCCTCAAGTTATCATGACCCTGGAACAGCAGAGCCTCCTGACCAGATCCAGAGGCAGGGCCAGGCTGGCACACTGGGCTCCCAAGGACTGGACAGCCCCCATGGCAGTGCAGCTTGAGAGGCTCCACAGGGGTGGGAGACACAGAGGACCAAGCCCACAGCAGCACCCTGATGGCACCTCGCATGGCAGGCATGGAATTGGGAGCAGGGCTCAGCTGGCCACATGATATCCCCAGCCCGCATCCCTCTCTAAGCTTGGCCTGGCTTCCTCTCTATGGCCTGTTATCCTACCCGAGCACTGGAGCGATGGGGCCAGCCTCAAGAGGGCTGGGCACACACCTATAGCTGGGCCACCCGTGGCCTAGAGGCCCCACCAACACTTGTGAACAGCCCCTGCCATCCCTTCAGCACCGGCTCCCCGCATCCAAGTTCCCTTGCCTCATTGCCCAGGACTCAGCCTTAACTGGGGCTGCGGCCACCTCAGTGGGCCTTCAGCCGCTCTGAGCCTGTGGCCAGTGCTCAGTGAATGATGGGTATCTGCTCGCCTAGGGTCCCAGGCTTTATGCGTGACCCCATGGGATGCTGGCTCAAGCCCAAGATGGGAGGGGGATGAGCAGGGAGGGGTGGAGAAGGCAGCATGTCCTGGCACCTATTTGAGGCCCTTGCTAGCACTTCAGTCCTTGGGTTAGCTCCTTCCTTCCTCTGCTCCCAGGGAGGATGCAGCCACAAGGCCCCTGTCAAAAGCAGCTGCTCCTTTCCTGTCACACTGGGAGCTTCCAAGGGTGGGGCCATTTCTTAGCCCGCCTTGTGCAGTGGCTCCTTGCCCTGGGTAGGTCCTTGGTCAGAGGTCAGCCACAAGGCAAGAGGCGGCAGGGCCCTGGGCTCAAGCCCTGCTGCTTGGGCTGCCCCCACACCTGCTCTGCCTGCAGGGCCTTTTCCTTTGGCCCCCAACTCCTCATCATCATGAACCTGGTGGCTCTGTCGTTCAGTGCATCAGCCACCCCTCCATGATGGTCACCTCCTGCTGTGTCACTAGAGGCCATTCCCAGGGCACAAGCTGTCACTGAACACAGCAGTGCAGCAGCCAGGAGGCCAACCCCATCACTCTGTCTCTTCCACCATGATGACGTTGTCAGGTGCCTTGGCAGAACCTCCATGGGGATGCCCATGGTGTTCCTCAGATCTCTCAGACAAGTGTTCCTGCCACAACAGGAGGTCAGCCAGCGTGGGCTCTGCTGGGGCCTCCTTTATGGGAAGGCAGGAGTCAGTCTCTTGCCCTAGTGCTGGTAAGCCTTGAGGGAGGAGGGAGGAGAGAACAAGAGAGTTCTCTTCGGCACCATGCCAGGCAGGGCTGCTTCCTGCAGAGGAGAGTGCTGAGACCCAGGGCTAGTGGTGGCAGAGCCTCCCTCTCTGCATGCCAGGGCAGTGAGGGGCTAGAGCTGGCTCATACTGGCTCACAAGAGCTAATTTTTCAATTTTCAGGATGTTTGTGAGCTGTTTGACATTATATTTGTGGCTTCAAAGCAGCCAGGTAGGAGTAATCACACCCCAGGAACTGGCAAATACTACAAAACAGTTCTACTCCTCCCCAGCCCCCGCCTCCATGCCAGTTGTTAGACCTTTACCAGTGCACCACAGCCAGTGACTCCCAAGCATGGCGGGGAGAGTCTGCCAGCCAGGCTCAGTCACTGGTGTATGGCAGGATTGATCCGCTACTGCCATCTTACTGAAGAACCCGACAGTGTCCTTGCCTGTCAGTCTCCCACTGTGCTTCCCCAGTGACTCCCAGCTCTGACCCTGTGGCCGCGTGGGTTGCATCTGTTCGTGTTTACCCCGCTGGAGAAAGGGAATTTGCCAGAGCGGCTCTTCACTTGCCTGCCTCCCTCCCGCTCTTCCTCGGCAGATTTAAGAGAATCCTACTCCACAGAGAGCAACCTTGCATTGGCTAACACGAGACCACAAGCTGGGGGCCATCTGATGTTCTCCATCTGAGAACAAGCCCTGTGGCATCCTTGCAGGAAGCAGTCCTTGTTCACCCAGTATGTGTGGGCCCTGGGCCTGACAAACTCAGTCTAGGGACAGAGGCAGTCCTATCCCTTCCTCCCTCAGGTCAGCTGGGGATGGCATCAAGCAGGCCCTGGAGGACCTGTGTAGCCAGGGCTGGCCTCAGGCTGGCTTCCCCAGTGCCTACAAATGCTGGCCGCATGCTCTCTGTGACTGGCCCTGAGCCTGCCCTAGGAAACAGTTTTCTAGGTGCAGAGAAGCCAGGAACAGGTGCCTCCTCTGTCCCAAAGACCAACATTTGCAGGAGAGACGGGGGCCTAGACGTTGGGAGCAGGCCTGCACAGATTGGGATGAACGTGGGGGTGGTGATCTGATCTGGACCTTGCAGAATCCAGTCAAGGCTGTGGGGGAGCAGTGGGGACAGTCAACAAAGGCAGGACTGAGGGGGCTGTCGGGGGCCATGGAGAGCACAGAGCTATGCACAGTGCCCTGCAGCGGGATGACGGAGGACCAGGCGGTGTAAGGTCTAAGCAGGCAGGGCAAGGTCGCAGGCACAGTGTCCAGTCCCCAGTGTGGCCCAGGGTGGGTGTCGCTGCCTGAGCGCCCTGTGATGACGGAGCCAGGGTTCAGCCCCAGGACTGTGTCCCTCCCAGTTTATACACCTCCTGCTCTGCCTCGTGATCAGGCTGGATGCTCACAATGATACCCTGTCTGAACTGTTCCAAGAGCTTCAGGGCAGAGCTGCTTCCCACCCCACATCCCCTCAACCTGCATCGGCTAGGCTTGCCCAGGCCAGTGGGTAATTAATTTCCTGAGCGCATTAGCTCTGCTCAGTACACACACATGAGAACAGCTCTGGGTTTTAAGACACAGATTACTATTGTTTTAAGGGATTTGTATAATCCAGTAACTGAAAAACAATTTTCCACTATCTAGAACAGACTCCAAGGTGGAGGCTAAGAGTGCTGGGGGCCTTGCTGACTTGGGGATCCCTAGTAACCAGTGTAGATGGGGGGATCTGCCACTCAGGGGAGTCCTGTGACTGGCCATGAACAAGACAAGCAGTGAGGACAGGATGCAGCAGCAAGGCTCTGTGCTGACCGGATGCATAGCCCTCTTCACCTGAGGCCCCACTGGCTCAGTCTAGTTTCTGGAGGGATTGGAATGACAGTCAGCTAGGGTGCATGGCCCTGGGCATCTCAGGGGGGACACCCAGTGTTGGCCAGGGCAGAGTGAAAGGTGTTTCTTCTCTCTGCATGTGGCTCCCGTCTGGATAGTGGACAAGCTTAGGCCAGCCCAGGAGCCTGGCTGCAGCTCACCCTAATCCCTGCTTCATCACACCTCGTGGTGGACATGTCCTCAGCTCAGGTACTTTCTCTAATTTCATTAATAATGAAACCAGAGTCGACTGGGGGCCCTGGGCCTTGTATCCTAAGGTTCCCAGCCCAGGCCGGCCACGGCCACAGCCCCACACACCTTTTCCTGGCCTGTGGTGACCAGGGGAGAAGCACAGCAGCATCCTGACCAAGGGGGCCCAGAGCCTCGAAGGCAACTTGGCTCAGCTGGAGGAGTGACTATGGGCAAGGTCCTGCCCCACAGGGCCACCCAGCTCAAGCAGTAACAACCCAAATATGTTTTTTTAAAGGATGAATATTTTTGAAAACCATCTTTTTGGCCATAGGCAGAGGTTCCCCACTGGGATCTCTCCCCACTACCCCCAGTTTCTCATGTCCCTCCCAGGAAAGAGCCTGAGCCTGCTGCAGAGGGGTTCACAAGCCCTTGAGCCTACAGGTGTGGGTCCGAGGCTGCAGTGCCAGCGGCTAGGAGTGCAGAGTGCACCCACCTTGCTGAACAAAGCAAAGGCAAACCAGGCAAGGGTGTCGGCCTTGGGTTCCTGGGGATCCTCTGGAGCTGAAACTAGGAGGGGTTTCTCACACTGTGCTTTCTTCGCATGGTGATGGCGTGCAAGCTCCTGGCCAGGCCTGTGTCTGTGTTGACAGCTTCCAATCTACAACACACCTGTATCATGCTGTTTGTTAATTTCCCTTCAGCGACTGACACTGGCTGGTGGGGAGCAGGGGTGCAGGTTACTTAAAAGCAGCAAGATTTAACACAAAAACAAATAGGAGACAGTTCTCAGCTGAAACAGAAGTGGACTGGGGCTTTGGAAGAGGCCAGTCCTCCCAGTTGGGCAGGAGAGCTTATGGGGTCAAGGTGAGAGCAGGTGGGACCCAGGTGCTGAGGGTGCCCACGGCCTCCCTTTCTGGGTCTGGGTGTGAAGCCAGGGAGCAGGACACAGGAGCTCCAGGCCCTTTCGGAGCAAATGCTCCCACCATCTTGGAATTTTCTGTCCCAGGACTGGGAGTCTTTGAGCATTGTTAAGGCACCACCTCCAGTCACGTGACTCCCGCCACATATCACACTTACCCTGGGGCTCTGCCTCCTCAGCAACTTTGACCAACACCCTTGGGAATACAGAGGCTCCCATTTGGACCTAAGACCCTGCAAGTCAGTGATGGTTGAGATCTGGTGAGAGCAAAAAAGCAAAACAGAGTGACATGAGGGTAAGGGGGGTGGCGCCTTGGGCCTGTGCTGGAGAACAGCAGCCACCCACCTGCAGGGCTGGACAGGGGTGCCAACATCCTGGAGGCTGCACACAGACTTCTGGGAGAGCTCTGCCCAGTGGGTGAAGCCCAGCTGAGGCATGAGAAAGTGCTCTGTGTACAGCACCGTCTCCATCTCACACTGGGCCCTGGCACTGTGGGTGGGGCCCTGGCCTGGCTGTGGCCCAGGGTAGTCATGTGGACTTGTGTCCATCTGGACTGCCCAGGTGAAGACTGGCCCAGCAGCACAGTTCCTGAGCTCCTGCCCCTCCCCTGGCTAGTGAGGAGGTAGGGCAGTTCTGGAAGTACTCTGAAGGCTCAGGCTGTAGGATAACATGTGTGTGCTGGCTGACAACAGAATAGTGGAAATGGAAGGCCCAGAGACGTGAGCGGTTGGCAGAGCCTGGCGCAGGGCATGCTGGTGCACTGCATGCACAACCTCTAAGCCTCCCAGCCCGAAGGGGCTCCCCACCACACAGATGAGGAAACTCGGGTTTCAGGAAAAGTTGTCCCTGTGGCAAAGTGGGGGCCTTCTGACCTGGACATCCCGCTGCTGCCCAGGGGAATGGGCAGGGCTGGGAAGCAGCCACCCTTGCCATTACTACGGGTCACCCCACCCCCTCCACACTGCACACACAGGGAAACCAGGGAGGGCAGACAGGACTGCCCAGGCAAGGTGGCAAAGCCGAACTGCTGCGGAAGGCAGGGAGCAGCACGCTCAGCTGTTTCTGGCAGGTTCAGAGCAAGGGCTTTTCAGGCCATTAGGGCCTGAGCTAGGGCTTTAGCGGCAGCCTGTTATCTTGTTTAAACAGCCCTTGCTGTTTGAGGTGCCAGGCTTAGCTGGTGCTGTTACTATGAGCACTACAGTTGTCACCAGGCATAGTTGCAGGGGGGAGGGGGCCACCGGCAAGCAGAGGCTCTGACTTCTGGACTCGGCTGGAACACACCCCTGCCCTGGCCCCCATCCCAGAGGAGCCCCATCTGTCGCTGGCCTGGGACCTACAGGCCTGAGTACTCTGTAAAATGGGCCCCTCCCAAGCTGCCTGTGCCCTCCTGAGCTGCCTACATGGGCAGCTGAGCAGCCCTGTGCGGGTGGGCAGGAGCGGTGGCCTTTCTTATCCCCAGGGAAAAGTCGAGGGCCTCATGAAAACCCAGGGCCTGAGAGTGTCTGAGGACAGGAGTTGTGGCCACCCCAGGTTGTCAATCCTCCTGTGCCACTCGAGAGTCTCCACTTCAGCCAGGCAAGTCCTGTGAACTGGGGGCCTCTGTCTGCAGGTGGCAGCAGCTGGGGTGTAGGGAGCAGAAGCTGGGGCGGGAGCAGGGGTCCCAAGCACAGTGTTCCAGCAAGAAGCACCGGAACCCACCAAGGGAGCGCAGCAGTGGAGTCGGGTCCTGGGCCTCTGCACACAGAACCCCAGGGGGTTGGCCGCAGGGTGTGAAAATCAAACCCACATTTTCATTCACCAGAATACGGGATCAGATAGTTCCTGATCGTTTTAAAGCCGGAAGAGCACCTGCTTATCAAATGCCTCTTCAGTCTGTTCTGCCAGATTGACCCATTGACCGACGAAGCCACAGTGAGGAAGGACACAGACCAGCTGTCACTGGAGGGCCAGCCCAGGGCAAGGCCTGCTGCGGGGGAGGAAGGCCCAGCCCGAGTCCCTTCAAAGCCTCCTATAGGTGCCCATCACCCACCCCAGCCACACCCTAGGCATCCACAGAAGTGGCGGGTCTGGGTGTGAGGCCTGTGCCCCCCGCCCTGATCCAGCCCATCTGTGGGCCAGGAGCAGGTGCATCTGTGCAGAAGGGTGGGGCCAGGGGCACACAGGTGGGGAGCAGCCAGGCAATCCCAACCCCTGCCCCTGTACACAGCTGCCACACCAAACGCCTGCAGCATGTGCCATCTGGCCTTGCCTGCCATCCACCCCGTGCTGGGCAGAGCAGGGGAGAGCGGTCCCCAAGCAGACAGCACTGCTCATAGGCAGGCCATGGGCAATGAGAACAGGGGCCAATGGTGCTAAAAGCTGTGCAGCAAATTAAAAGGGTTGGGGTTGTGACTAGGGCTTACTTCAAGTGAAGGAGTCTGATAGCTGACCAGCTACACAAACCCAAAAGAGCAGCCCATGCAGGGTAGCACAGCAAAGGCCTCGAGGTGACAGAGACGGAAGCAGGAGTCAGGAGACAGCCGGGAGAGGCCTGGATTACACAGCCTGCCATGGAAGGCACTGGAGGGTTTGCACAGGGGGCAACCCCAGAGCAGAAGCAGGTAGATGGATCCTGAGGAGACATGACCATGGTAGAATGGGAAGGAGATTGTCCAGGAGGTGCCCTCATGGGGCAGAACTCAGAGCCATAGCCCAAAACTGGACCCTGCATGCAATGTCCCAGGGCCCCAGCTTCCTGCCTCATAAGCTGTGTCATGGCCTAGGACCTTTCTTCCCAGGCAGGAGTCAGCTCCACCTGCTCTCTGGCTGGCACAGCCTGGTGCTGGCCACCCCAAGTGTTAGCATCCTCTGCCTGCTGGAGAGGTGGTGTCCCTATTTGGGGACTCAGTACTCTGAAGTCAGGGTTTTGCCATGCTCTTCTCTGTCCTTCGAGGCAGGAGACATGCTGTGCATGCTACAGGAGCTTAGGAATTGTCTGAGGGTGACCAGTGGGGGTCCAGAGGAAAGGTGCTAGGAAGACATGGAGGCTTCCAGGGGAGGCTGGGCCTGAAGCTCAGCTCCATATCCGATGTGTCATCGTGGGAAGAGCAGTGTCTTCATGAGGCCTGGACAGTGCCTGGGTGGGAGATAGCTCCAGCCTCCTTGGAAGACCTATTGACCACGTTTCTCTTGTGACGCACTTCACTGTCACCCAGAATAACTGCTGTCTCACAGCTACCAGGACCCGAGCCTCTGGGGTAAGGTAGAGTTCAAGGAGAACCAAGGCAGCCCAAGTGAGCCTGGCAGCAGAGCCGAGGGCAGCCCCACCAAAGCCACGGAGCCAGCCCTGCTGGCATCCAGAGGCCAGGGTGGGCCTGCCCTCCCATGGCCCCGAGCTCTGCCCCCACCCTTTAGGATTGCACCCTGCCTTGTTAAGGGATCAGCTGCTGCTCCTCTCAGGTCTTTTTGGGAGTCCTGAATCTGAAGTGAGCCTGGGAGAAAGGGAGTCAGACAGGAGAGGGGTGGGTGCTGAGCCAAGTGAGGGTCTCAAGACCAAGGGGACCCCAGAGCATGGGTACCCAGGGCCTACACTTGGGAGGCCTGTGGCTGGGCCAGGAGGATGAACCAGTGTGGAGTTGAGAGCCATGGAGTGGCAGAGAATGGGTGCCAGGAGCTGAGGTGTTCAAGCTGGAACAGAGCCCTCCGTGCAGGCAGGGCCGAGCCTGTCTCCCTCAGCATCTCAGATGCTCACAGAACCACGGGGGCAGCAGGGTTCAGTGTTAAAGGCCAGGCTAGAGGAATGGAAACAGCTGCCCCAGCCCTGGAAGCTGTGGGAGTGGTGGTTGCCCTGCAAGAGAAGGCTCAGAGCATAGGCAGGCCTTCTGCTGGGAGGCAGGACCCAGCAGTTGAGCAGGTACCAGCCCCCCACCTCTCAGTTCCTGAGGCTGGCCGTCAGCACCATGTGCCCTGTGCTGTCCCCGCAGACTGGCTCCAGGGACAGACAGGAGCTCACTGAGTCATTAACCCTCAATCCAATTCTCCAATCTGTCAAGGTAGCATTGAGGTTTGCGGGAGGAAGAGGGAAGCACTAACCAGATTGGACTGTAAGTGACCCTGGTCATCCAGCTCTGTCCCCAGACACCTCCCCATTTCCTGAGGCTAGTAGCAGTGGGAGGATGACCAGGCCTGAGGGGTGGTTCGGGCTGTCTGGTGCTTTCCTTGGGGCAAGGGTAGTGGGCCAGGCAAAGGGGCCTAGGCAAGCCAGGTAACCCCTCTGAGCACCACTTTCCACATCTAGAATGGAAATGTTTTGAGCCTCGTGAGCCCAGGAGCCTCTCACAGTCACTTCTCGGAGGTGAACAGAACTGGAGGGCATCACGGCAGCCCCCACACAAGAGGAAGTCCAGACTGACGAGGCCACAGGGTGACAAGAGCGAGCCACGTTCTGGGGCCCTCCCACCAGGAGGCCCACCCCACCCATGGTGCTCCAGCCAGGAACAGGTCACCAGAGGTCCTCCCCTCTCCCCTGCCCACTGCCCTGTCTCTCAGGGCACAGCAAGGCAGGTCCTTAAAGAGACAGAGGGAGAGCAGGGTACCCTCGCTACCAGAGACCCTCTCCCACCACCTGAGCAGATGGGCAGTAGACAGTGTTTGGCCAACCAGGCTGTGTGCCCCTGTGGGCACCTGCCCCAGCTCAAGGGTCAGCAGCTTCACCTGCCACTGGTCTGCTGTGGTGTGAGACTCTGAGGGTGAGGGTGTCCACCCTGGTTGTCATAGAAACAGCAGTGCGTCTGCAGAGAGTTCATGCCAAGCTCAGCAGAGGGAGGAAGCAGCTGGCCTGGGAGGCAGCTGTTGTCATTGACTCCTGAGAGCTCAGTGTTGGGAAGGACCCAAGGGCCCACCACACTCTGAGGCTGGCGAGCACACGGGGCAACTCAGGCCTCCCTGCCCACCATCTTTCTTTGGGCAGCTGCACCATGTTGTCTGTCCTCTTGTCCACTTGGGGTCAGCGACGATTCCATCTAGGTGCTGGGTGAACCAAGCACAGGGGTGCTGCCTCAGAGCCACTTCGAATGAGGGGGTAGGATAGCACTGGGATTCCAGCAGGCGATCATCATTTGCTGGGGGGCCTGCGCGCCTTCCCTGTGAGCGTGAGCAGGAATGACTCATGCCTCCTCCACCTGCTCTCACACTGAGCCTCTGCCGGGGAGTGGCCTCACTGTCTGCCTGGTTTTTGTCTGTCTGCCCCTTTGTCTCCCAGTCCCATTACCTGTCATGCATCCTAAGCTCCTGAGGACAGAGAAGGTGGAGAGTAGCAGAGCCAGAGAGGCTCTCCTGTGACGTGGCTGGCTCTGTACCGAGCAGGGGGTGCGGCCACAAATCTCCAAGCCCAGGCCAGGGGAGAGAGGCAAGCGCACTGGACTCGGTTCCGCCTAGTGGCAAAGAGGCCCAGAAAAGTCTCAAGTGCTTGGGACAGGGCCCCATCTGCATGTGATGTGTTGGGGCCTCTGGAAACGGAGATGCCAAGGCAGTCTTCTCTGAGGTCAGTGGTGATGCCAGAGAGGTGAGGCTCAGGCCATTGCCAGCTGCACCAGAGACACCAAAGCACTCCAGGGTCCCCCAAGGTCACTTTAGTAGAACCCAGTGACCATCTTGGACAAACAGCTTATTTTACTGAGGCAGGAGCTGCGGCCCAGAGCAGAAGTGACATGCCCAGGGTCTCACTGCAGTTTGGTGGGAGAATTAGGTTTCAGAACACAAGACAGCCAGTACCTCCCAGGCCCCTTCCTCAGGGAGCCAGCAGGGTCGTGGGCAAGCGGCCAGGCTCCACAGGGCAAGCCCCTTTGGACTTAACCCTGTTTGTGACAGCCCTGGTCCCTGACAGTCCTCAGATCCCGGTGGCAGTGGGCAGTGGGCTGTCTGAAACCAAGGTGCTCCTTATTTCCAAACCAGAGGTGTCTGATCACAGAGTGTGTCACTAGGAGCATGTTCTGAGAAGCCAGGGAGCCTGGTGCCCAGGTTCCCATCCTTAGACCAGTCCTCTGTCCCTTGCAGCCTTAGTCTCATCCACAGCAAGACTGGAGCCTTGGGGGTAACCAGGAAAGGACAGGCACTGCCCCTGGCATTCATGCAGGGACCAGGAGGGCCAGAACACAGGCACCCTCAGCCTCCTGTCTTCACCCCGCAGCCCAAAGGAGGGCTGCCTGACCTCCGGGCCTCACTTCTCTCCCAGCACCAAGAAAGAGGTTCCCAGCTGCATTTCTGGTTTCTGAGGGGCCCTTCTGCTTCCCCAGCTGCCACAGCCCCAGGCCCTGCCTGGGGGTCTCTGGAGGAAGCAGAAGAGGCATCCTTCGGCCCCGCCCCAAGCACACCAGGCTCTAGGGCCCAGTGCTCACCAGGCCGTTTGCTCTTTGCCTCCCAAGACCGTGGGAGGTCCAGGGACCTGGTCAGTGGCAATGCCTTCCACCAGGTACATGGTTGAAGAGGTGCGGGGAGCATGCCAGGGTGCAGCCAGGAGGCCAGATGACCACAACCAGGGGTATGACAGCCCTGGACACAGCAGGTCTGTGGCCACGGCAGGAGGGCGAGATGGACACTTAGCAGGAGGCTGGGCTGAGCTCCTGGTGGAGTCAGGGTGGGACTGTGGCAGGGAGACCCCCTTCTCCAGCAAGGACAGGGCCACTTCCTGAGAAATGGAGCATCGGACAAACACCAGCGGGGTGGGAATGGCAAGTGCTCAAGGTAAGCACGATGCAGCTGCGACCTGTAGACTGGCTGCAATGGGGAGCCTGGCCAGGAGAAGCCAGAGACGGACACCAAGGTCAGATCCTGAAGCACAGAAGACCCTCAGTGGGGATAGGGACCTGGCTGCAGGGAGCAAGGTGGCCAGTGTGGACCCATCAGGAAGGCAGGGGCCTGGTCTGGGGACCCCACAGCTCCAGCTGGGCAGAGCTACCCCATGCTGTGCTGTGCCATGGAATACCAGCCAAGAGACCAGGAGCAGGGAGCGTTCTGATAGGAACATCCAGCTTTCAGGTCTGACGTGGCCCATTTTACCAGAAGAAGGGGACCTGCTCTGAGCATAGCAGCCCCCTCTGCCTGGAACCTCACAGGGCTCACCTCCAGGCTAGCACCCTGCCCCTGCGGCTGACCCTGGCCAGGAAGACACATGTTAGACAGCTGGCTGGACTTGGTGCCTGCTGTGGCTGCAACTCCCCTGGGAAGACAGCTGAGTGTTCTGACGTTGGCTAAACTGCATCTTTACAACAGCTGGGGCCCCAGCGCCACCTGGCCCTGTGCCCAGGCAAGGCCCTGCTGGTCCCAGCATCCTTCTCTCCCACAGATCTTACCCCGGCTCCCACCCCAGCACTCTGGCCAGCACCGCCTCCCTGTTTCATAGTCCCATCAACCCCTCACACACTGGCTCCCAGCTGCTGCCACCACCTTGAGCTGTCTCGGATAGCCTCCTGCCCATACCCCTTTGGCCTGAGGGTAGATGTAGGCCAAGAGCTTGCACCTACAAGCTTCCCCAAAAGGGAAGTGAACTCAGGAATTCCTGATGAGGATTCCAGGACTGGCTGGGGAAGCACGGGGTTGCAAGCGAATAAGCTATTTCCTTTGCGACTGATACCATCCTTGGAGTGGATTTCCTCTGGTGCCTTCCCTGTTCCACAGCTGCAGAGGCATCTAGCACAGGGGGCCAACACCACAGGCCCCTCCACTCGGTACACCTGCCAGGACCTCGGCGCATCATCAGATGGTGGGGCCCACTCGCCCTCTCCCCACTAGAGAAGTCTGGGAATGCCTGTGTCCCAGACCCCCTCGGCAGCACTCAGGATGGCCCAGGCAGGTTGCAGAGGCTCCTGCCCACCAGGCCTGTCACACAGAGCTCTGGGAAATGGAGATGGGCAGTCAGTGCCAGCCAAGGGCAGGCACCCGCTACCGATGGAGGCATGTTGGTCACTGTGTCAGCAGTGCCCCATGTCCCTCCAGCCACACCCTGCCCAGCAGACAGGCAGCCCCACCAAGGTGTCCCCAAGCTTCCACCACAAAGGGAGGCCCAGAGGGGTGAGAGGCTTGGCCGGTACTTTGTGAAAGGTGACAGCATGAAGCTCATCTCTGTATGAAACCTCTGCCTCGGCCCCTCAGTCAGGGTGCTGCCCTCAGAGCCTGGTACTCGGTGGCCCTGGTCAGGCCTGGTGGCTCAGCTGCAGGCTGGGTGGCCGCAGGGCTGGCCTGTCCATGGTGAATGGAGCGCATTCATGTCTACAACCCCGCCCCACAGCTCTGCTCTCGGCGTGAAAAAGCTGAATTCACGGTTCGGATGAACACTCCCAGCTTTTCTACAGTGGGCTGACTTGAGCTTCTCAGTCTGTAACAGAACTGAGGACTTGCTCTACAGATGAGGAAACTGAGGCCCAGGGTGGGACAGACCGGCCCCGGCCCCACCCTTCCCAGCAATGCGGCTGCATCCCCATGCCTCTGTGCCTCTGCCAGCCCCTCCTGCAATGCCTTCCCTTCCCCTCAGCCCCCAGAGGTCCAGTCAAAACGTCCTGCTCTTGTATTACCCCTCGCCCCCTGCATTCCTGTGGTGTGTCACCTGTCAGAGTTGTAGCTGGCCAGCACTATCTGCAGCAGTGCCAGCTGCTCACAGTCACTTGTGCCTGGGTGTGGGGACTAAGCTGTCCATGTGTATCCCACATCAGCCCTCAGCCCCCTCACGAGGGAAGTATGCTTACATATTCTGTGTGTGTGTGGTTATTTTTTTGGAGGGGGGACAGGTTCAGAACAGCTGGCAGAGCAGGAGGTTGGGCCTGCATTGGCCACTCCGCAGCTGCCACACCGGCTCCAGCATTCCCTCCTGCCTGTCCTCACCCACCTTGTTGAGAGCAAGGCTGTCTGCTTGCCTCCATCCCTCACACAAGAGCACCTGGAGAGCCTCTGCCCAGGGAGGTGAGGAAAGGGAGAGGGCAGTGGGGACTGCCATGAAGGCATCTCAGAAGCTGGCAGGGCTGGGGGTTCCAGGTCATCTGTGTCCCAGGGATGATGCTGGTTCCAGGAAGAGCTGAAACCTTAATGTCACGTGCATTTTATGTGAGGTTTGAGGCCCCTAGTTGGGCCAGCTGGCCTTGCTCTGTGCTGTGGCCACAGCAAACTGCATGGGGTCCTGTGGAGTAAGGGACCTAGTGGAGAGTGAGTGGACAGGGAGACCAGATGGGTCAGTACAGAGCCTTCCCCAGCCATGTGGCCATATCACACTGGCATCACCCACCTATTCCCCAATACAACACAGTCCGGGGGCCCCTCACCTGGCTGAGGTATGTGACAAGGCTCTGAGCTGATGGTGTACGTTCAGCCTGAGTAGGTGTTTGCATGTGGTTGCCCCCAAACCAGTGTGATTTGGGGCTGCATGGATCCAGAGTAGGGAGGTGACGGTCCCACCATCTCTGGGGTGTGTGCAAGGGTCAGGGTTTGGGAAGGGGTTGGACAAGACCAGTGTCCCTGAGGACTGCCTACCTGCTGGGAGCTGACATGGGAATCTGGGAGTGCGTCTGGCCTCCTGGAGGGGGTCTCGGGTTGCCCAGAGGGGAGCGAGGAGGAGGCCCAGAACATACCCCTTCCTAGAACAGGAAGGTGGGGTGACCCTGCAGGGTGGCCTCCCACACCTCAGTGATGCCTCGGTGACCCCTAAGGCAGAAGATGCGTGAAGCAGGCATGAGGCCCTGAGCACTGCTGGCCACCCCTGCAAATGGAGGGGCCCCACCTGAAGTTGGGGGCCGGGGCTCATGTTTGAGCCATTTTGACTGGGTCTTTTTCAGTTTATTTTCTAAACCTCAGTTTATTTGAAGCACAGTACATGATTGCTCACTTCAGGAAATTCTGTTCAAGTTTTCCTAGCAGAGTTACTCATTCCTTCATCTGTGCAAGGGGAGGGTGGTGGTCATAATCACCACCCTGATCCCCCTACCCCCTGGGCCCTGTGTGAAGATGACAAGGCAGTGCGGTTGGCTGAGGGCCTGGGCCAGGCCAAGCACACCAGGAAGGTGCCGCGCATGTGCCAGATGGGCCCTGAGGCCGCTGGGGTCCCACAGCAAACAACAAAACAGTCAAACAGGTGCCAGCCTCTGTCATGTGCTCACCACGTGCCCAGGACCACGTCTGTGTGTGCGTTTGCCTGGGTAAGCCTTGCTTCGTGAAGCTGCCATGACCTCCGTCTCCTCACTGAGGGGCACAGGGCAACAGGCTGCCAGGTGAGGGGCTGAGGGGCCTTCTGGGGGCCACTGGCCTACTCGAGGCACAGTGAGTTGTGGGAACGAGGAGTAACTTGGAGGTGGAGCTGCGGGTGCAGAGGGAAAAAGACACCTGGGTCATGAAGGGCTGGCCTGTCCGCCTGAGGGGCCCAGAAGTGCAGTGAGGGGATGACGTGGCTACGCGCCTGTGACAGGGCACCTGAGGACATTTGCAGTGCAGGAGGGAGAGCGCTTCAGAGCAGGCCAGTGTCCCTCCCACCCGGCCCAGTCCCTGGTCCCTGGGTAGTCACTGAGCTACCTCATGCAGGACCATGGTCTTAGCAGGACACCTGTGGTGGCCTGTGAGGCAGGGACAGGAAGGATGCCCCACTCTGGGCTCCTCAGGGAGCTGCAACTACAGTGCAGGATGGGCTGTGATACTCAGCACTGTGGATGTCTGTCAAGGCAGGGTGTAATGGACTGGAGGTCAGAACGTGTGAGGCCCTGGATGAGCCTCTCACCTCCCCACCCCCAGCCCAGGCGCTTGTCCCACACAGCTGCCTTGGATGTCATTAGCTGGAAAGCCGTGAGTGCCTGATGGGGAAGGAGTGGGGTGTGGGGAGGTGTTTAGGCTGTGACAAAGGGATGCTAACTCCAAAAACAGGCCCCCAGTCCAGAGGCCTCTTAAAATGCAAATATGCCGCACCTGGGAGGGGGACAGGCCCCTGGCTGAGATGAGGAAGCCTGGAGGATGCCTCTGTTCCCTCTCCCACCGCAGGCCCATGAGCTCTCAGACCAGCAGGAGGCTGATGCTGGAATATGCGCGCACCTGCTGGGGGATCTGTGCGCCTCAGCTCCAAAGTACAGGAGCTAGACTCCAGTGTCCATGTCAGGTCCCATCCAGCTGGGATGCAGGAAACCAAAGGCAGCCCTCCCATGACCCAGCACTGAGGGCCAGACCTGTTACCAGGAACGTTGGTAACTGGAAGAGCCTGGTACTTGGGGCTGTTCTGTGCCCCACAAACAGAGGGACCGGCTGTAAGGAGACTGGCCTGATGGGGAATGAGAGGGGCTGAGCCAGAGGTGCCGACACGGTATGTTTTAAGTAAGGTCCAGGTGGCTGCAGGCGGGATGGAAACACATCCACCATTCATCACATCGGCCATTGCATCTCCAGGCTAAGGGGCCACAGGAGCCTCCCAAAGAGCCAGGCTGACCTGGGCCCTGTGGCCAGCAAAGAAGTGTTGCTGGCTGAATCCCCATCTGCAGCATCGAGACCTCTCCCACTCCGTCCGGCTGAGCTGGCCCTGCATTTGGGTAGCCTTCCCTCAGCTGCCTCATGCTGGGACAGAGGGAAGCAGGTCTTCCGATGAGACCTCGCAGGTGAGAGGACGTCCCAGTGCCAAGGCGAATCACAGTGGGTGTGGCGTGGAGAGGGCCCACTGGGGTGCCAGTGGTAGCCACAGGGCAAGGCCCAGCAGCTTGGGGTTCTTCCCGTGTCAGCACCTTTGTGCCTTCTCACAACAGTCCCAGCATTGTACAGATGAGGAAACTGAGGCCCAGAGAAAGGAAATGACTTGTCCAAGGTGCAGCATGCACCGGCAGTGAGTAAACCCCAGACCCTGTGTTCATGGCCAGGGACATCTGCCCCTTTGTGTCACCAGGAGAACCTTGGTGGAGAATCAGGAGTGAGAGGCCTCACCACCCCCACAACTAACCAGGCGCAGGCTCCTCTCCACTCCCTACCTTGCCCCGGCCGCTGACCTGGGAATGTCCTTCCAGGTGCCGGACCTGGTCTGGCCAGCAGTCTGGCAGCCACGTTCAGGGGAAATACCCCAGACCCGCAGGCCAGCAAGCTGGAAGCCCCTTAGGGATGGGCTGTCAGCTCCCCTGCTGTAGTGAGAAAGCCACGGCCTGGGGCAGAGTCCCTTCCACAATGGCAAGTCTATTTGGACCTGTCTGAGCAGGAGCTCTCTTCTCACAAATGGCCAGGAAATGACTTCCACACCACCCCAGGGACTGCATCCAGCTGCCTGGTGGCTGAAGGCCTGGTTACAAATCACCTCACCATTCCCCGACGCCAAGCAGTGAGATTCCCACCATTGCACAAGCTTCTCACAGGAACTGTCTGCTCCGTGTTATTTATATAAATAAATGTGCAGACAAACCCCAGCCTCCTAGAAGGCGCCATCTTGCTGGTAAGCAGGCCCTGGAGAGAGCAGGATGGGCACTGGAGCCCTGGGCTGGCATCACAGCAGTGAATGGTGGTGTGTTTCTGCCTCCCTCTTCCCCGCCCCGCCCCACCCCCCGCGGCTGCCTTGGCAGCCATAGAGGTGAAGGCAAGGAGGGCTTCTTGCCAGAACAGGACACTGTGGCAGTTGGAAAATACCAGGCTCTCAACTGCACCCTGGGGAGTCAGCCCCTCTTGAGGCCTTGGGCCCCATATGTGAAGTGAGGAGCCCTCCCCCTTGCCATGGGGTCATGGTTGGCAGAGGCAGCTCCTCTGAATCCAGGGTCTGTCAGGCTGATGGAGGAAGTCACTGCAGGACAAGGGGGTGATGCACTACCATGGGGCAGGGCCACATGACTCCAAAGCTGCATCCAGCTCTACCCCAGTGGCCCACAGGTGGGCTGCAGCAGGACAATGTTTAACCCTGCCAGGCCAGGGAGGGCAAAACCCCATGCAGGCCAGGCCAGGCCAGGAAGGAGAACAGAGCCACATCCACCAAGGGCAGGAGGACCCAGGGGAGCCCACAAAGGCCAGATGGGTGCAGGAGGCACAGCCAGTCATGTTTTGCAGGGTGAGCAGAGCATGGACAGGTCAGAGGGCTATGAGGCCAGGCCCTGGAGGCCAGCAGAAGGCATGCTGGGGCTTCTTGCTTCCCATATGCATGCTTGAGTCACAGTTTCCAGAGCTACAGCTTCAAATAGACGGCTCTGTTTTCAGTGGTGGTGATTTGAGTGTCAGGATGCCGCTTTGCCCACCTGTCTGCACTCCAGGCTGCAAGAGTGCAGGCACCGCTGTGACACAGGCTCCCGAGGTCACCAGGCAAGCACCAGGGCCCAGGCTGGGCACTAGGTCAGAGGACAAGACTGGGCTTCTGGCCTGGCAACACCTTTCCCCACTGCCTCCTCTGCAGTTGATCTTTCAGACCCAAATATGAGGCTCTTCTCTAGGTTTGGCCTCCTCTCATCAACTTCAGCTGGTCAGGGTCCTGACTTTGTAACCGTCTGTGGTTCTTCAGCCTCCCGCTCTGTCTTGTCCCCCATCTCTGAGAGCTGCAGGCCTCTGGTCTAGGAACAAACCCACGATGCAGCTCCTGCCTCACTTGCTGGTCCATCAGCACCACACTGCCAGCACCACACTGTCCCATGCTGGGCCCTCTGACCTTCTTTATAGCCTTCCTGTTCTATAAAGATTACAGGATGGGCACCCACCATCTCCTAAGCTTCACCTCCTACTAGGGTGGAGCCCATGTGCAGTGAAGGCTCAGCCTGCGTCAGGGACGCTGGGATGGAGTGAGGCGGCAAGCTCAGGTGCTTCCCACGCTCTGAAGCTTCCTGTCTGAGCCCGGAAGTGAGGTATGTGGTTGGTGCCTCCTGCAGGCTTTCCTGACTCCTGCCAGACAGGGCCCAGCCAAGAAACAAGACCAGGAAACCAGGCGTCTACACAGAGATTTTGTTATTATTTGAGGCCCATCATCTCCTCGGTGCCCACTAAATATTAGTCAGTGTGGTTCCCATGGTTTGTCTCAAGGAATAGAGGAAACCAGGAAGCCTGAGCCTGAAATGCCTGCAAAGCAAGGGGAGTCCTGGGCACAAGCAGGGGCCTGAGCTGAGGGAAGGGCCCACACTCGGGAGATGTTTGTCTGTCCTGATGAGGCTGCCGCAGTGGCGGAATCCTGATAAGAGTGTACTGTGAGGCACCGTGCCCACCTCCAGCTGCCTTGTGAGATAAGTACCTGAGTTTCCATGACCTCTAAGTCAGGAACAGGAGGCTCAAAGAGGTGTCCAGGGTCCCCAAGGTCCACTGAGAGGCATCAGCAGGGAAGCAGTTTAGACACCATGGAAGGGGCTCCTAGTGCATTGGGACAGCTTGACTCACCCCAGGACTCACGGGGGCCACAGTCAGGAGTGTTTCATGGCGTTGGACAAGAAGAGTGGCTGCCTTGGCCTTGGAGAGAGGGGGTCCACGTGGTCTATCGGCCCCTCCCACTGCTGCCAGCTGAGCTCTCCCTACACACAGGTGCCCTGCAGAGGACCAGTCTGGTTTAGATCTGAGGCTTCAGATGACCAGTACACGTGAACTGTTTCCGCATCAGTGAGGTGGCCCTCCTGCTCCTCCTCTTACCTAAATTCCACTGCCTGCCCAGGAGGTGATGGGCTAAGCTGGGTATTAAAACCATCTCAACTGTCATCCCCAAGTGACCCATCAGGGCTCAGAGAGGCAGACCCAGGCCTAGCACCCACTCTGTGCTTGTCCCCTCACCCTTGAACCCCCAGGTCCATACCCTGCTGGTGGCCAGATCACGCCCTTCCCAACCCCGGAGGAAGCCCCCTACCCCAAAAGGACCCTGCCATCCCTGCCTGGCTCTATTCCTGCAGCCCCAGGACTCCCACCTCAAGCTCCATCACCTGGCATGAGAGCTGATGTGGACTCAGGGCGCGCTCAGCAAGTGTTTGCTCAGTAAATTAATAATACGTGCTAATGGTCATATCTGTTATTTAACTGATGCAAAATTTGGGGTCAGAAGCATAGCCCCCAATTACAGCATCATTTCTATGAGAAATGACAGCTCTGTTACCACAGTCCTCTATGATGTGGCTTCCAGGAATCCATTAGAGCTAATTACTCCCTCAGCAGAATGTGACATTCCTAGACCACCACTTATCTCACATTTGGGAATGTGCAGCCAGGTTCACTGCGGAGGCGCTGGCTCCTCTCTGCTCTGCTGGGGATGAGATCTTGTGTGTTGCTTGTCTCTGCAGAAAGGCCAGCACCCCCATCCCCAGACCTGAGGCTGCTCACTCCTCAGGACTCCTGTTATTCCGAAGCTCATTCTAAAGAAAGAGCAAGATTGGTTTGGAAAAACAGTCTTCCAGGTGGAGTGCAGGGTTCCAGGGTAATGACGGGTACCTCTGGGTATCCTTCCTTTCTCTGCACAGATGCTGCCAGAGCTGTTCCTCAGAGAACTCAGGGGCTCTGGAGAGCAGGGTTTCTATGCAGCATCCTCCTGGGCACCCCTGCCCTCAGGCAGCCTCCTTTGGGCCCACCCTGTAGGAGCAGCAAGCCAGAGCACCTGGTTGTGGGGCTTGGAGCACATATCCTGCCTCTCTGTGCCTCAGTTTCTTCATCTGTAAAACAGGAGTGGGCAGATGTGAGAACAGACTGGCAGCTCGTGTCCAGCTGTGGTTACCAGCGTCATTGTCACTGCAGTCATTGGTGATGCTGTTGCTTCGTGCCTGAGTCATCACTACCAGCTGCAGTTACCACTTGCATTACCACGGTCACTGGTGATGTAGTCTAGTCAGAAAAGTTCCTTTTTTTTTTTTTTTTTTTGAGACAGAGTCTCGCTGCGTCGCCCAGACTGGAGTGCAGTGGCATGATCTCGGCTCACTGCAACCTCCACCTCCCGGGTTCAAGTGATTCTCCTGCCCCAGCCTCCCAAGGAGCTGGGATTACAGGTGTCTGCCACCATGCCCAGCTAATTTTGTTGTTGTTGTTTTATTTTTAGTAGAGATGAAGTTTCACTGTGTTGGCCAGGCTGGTCTTGAACTCCTGACCTTGTGATCCACCTGCCTCAGCCTCCTAAAGTGCTGGGATTACAGGTGTGAGCCACGGCGCCTGGCCAGAAAAGTTCTTAAATCCAAAGCATCAGATCTAAGCCAGATTGGTTCCAGATTTTTGATATTTTGCTCATTGAGTTTATCTTAGAAGCAGGGGTAGCTTTTGCCAGCAGCAAATTCCAGGTAGTTACTCCTTTTAGAAGTTAGAATTTATTCATTTTGCAGGGAAGTGGTGAACTGGGGAGTCAGACAAGAGCATCATGCTTCTTAAAAGCCCAGACCCCTGGCTATAACACATCGAAGATTCTCAGAAGAGAATTGAGGAGCGGACAGGCGCCACACTCCGTTGTGGTCACTGCCTCTTCCTGGCCCACCACACTCCTGTCCTCTGCATGTACTGAGAGCTCTGTCCAGGATGCCAGGGTCCTGCCTCGGCAGAGAGGCGGTGCCAGATGCCCCACAGCAGCTGGTGGGAGTGCCCACAGCTGGAGGGCAGGGGAGGAGCCTGGCCTCTGGCTGGTGTTTCCTTCCCAGCTCTCAAGAACTGGAGACTTTGGTTACAGAAGTGAAGGCTGCTCCCTCACAGACTTCCTAGTGTCCGATGGTACCACATGGAAGGATCAGAGTTTTGAAGGACTGGGCCAGAACCCAGATAGGGCACAAGGCTGCCAGCGCCTGCATTGAGGGAGCTATGATGTGACGGGGGCTCCTGCAGAAGATGGCCTTCCTTGTACAGGTGTGGGGCAGCCTGTGGATGGGCAGTGGGAAGATGGGGGGTCCTCGGAGCTGGAGGTGCCCAGCGGTTTAGGAGGCTGTGCTTGGCACATCTGTAGCCCCAAAGCTATATGTTGAGATCACTGGCACCCAGAGGAGAGACCCAAAAGGGGCAAGAGAACATCTTCCAAGCACTTGCCACTGGCAAGGAGGGTGCTGCCGGCTATTTCCGTGGGAGGTGGGTGAAGACATTTAACCTGGGCTTCCCCAGCAGAAGGAGGTGCCATTGCAGGGACCAGTCTTGGGCTGAGACCCTAGCAAAGGCTTCCTCTGGCAGGGCTGCAGGTCTAGGGTCTGTCTCTGCCTGCTGCGGGCCTGATTAACGCCAGTACTTTCCTTTCCCCAGAGTCGGATGGCAGAGAGCTTGCGCCTCTTTGACTCCATCTGCAACAACAACTGGTTCATCAACACCTCACTCATCCTCTTCCTGAACAAGAAGGACCTGCTGGCAGAGAAGATCCGCCGCATCCCGCTCACCATCTGCTTTCCCGAGTACAAGGGCCAGAACACGTACGAGGAGGCCGCTGTCTACATCCAGCGGCAGTTTGAAGACCTGAACCGCAACAAGGAGACCAAGGAGATCTACTCCCACTTCACCTGCGCCACCGACACCAGTAACATCCAGTTTGTCTTCGACGCGGTGACAGACGTCATCATACAGAACAATCTCAAGTACATTGGCCTTTGCTGAGGAGCTGGGCCCGGGGCCCGCCTGCCTATGGTGAAACCCACGGGGTGTCATGCCCCAACGCGTGCTAGAGAGGCCCAATCCAGGGGCAGAAAACAGGGGGCCTAAAGAATGTCCCCCACCCCTTGGCCTCTGCCTCCTTGGCCCCACATTTCTGCAAACATAAATATTTACGGATAGATTGCTAGGTAGATAGACACACACACATGCACACACACACATCTGGAGATGGCAAAATCCTCTAAAATGTCGAGGTCTCTTGAAGACTTGAGAAGCTGTCACAAGGTCACTACAAGCCCAACCTGCCCCTTCACTTTGCCTTCCTGAGTTGGCCCCACTCCACTTGGGGGTCTGCATTGGATTGTTAGGGATAGGCAGCAGGGCTGAGGCAAGGTAGGCCAACTGCACCCCTGTCGCCTGGAGGAGGGCCAGCTCGCTGCCCGAGCTCTGGCCTAGGGACCTTGCCGCTGACCAAGAGGGAGGACCAGTGCAGGGTCTGTGCACCTTCCCTGCTGGCCTGCACACAGCTGCTCAGCACCACTTTCATTCTGGACCTGGGACCTTAGGAGCCGGGTGACAGCACTAACCAGACCTCCAGCCACTCACAGCTCTTTTTAAAAAACAGCTTCAAAATATGCAGCAAAAACCAATACAACAAAACGAGTGGCACGATTTATTTCAAACTAGGCCAGCTGGGATTCCAGCTTTTCTTCTACTAGTCTGATGTTTTATAAATCAAAACCTGGTTTTCCTTCTCTGACATTTTTTTTTTGTTTTGTTTTTTGGTTTTTTTTTTTTTTTGGCCAAATCTCGTGGTGTTTCGCAGAAAAAAATCCAGAAAATTTCAAATGCAGTTGAGTATTCTTTTTTAAATGCAGATTTTCAAAACATATTTTTTTTCAGGTGGTCTTTTTTGTGTCTGGCTTGCTGAGTGTAAAAGTTGTTATCTGGACGATCTGTCTCTCTGCTCCAAAGAAATTTTGGAGTGAGTGGCAGTCCTGCGCCAGCCTCGCGGGACACGTGTTGTACATAAGCCTCTGCAGTGTCCTCTTGTTAATGGTGGGGTTTTCTGCTTTGTTTTTATTTAAGAAAATAAACACGACATATTTAAAGAAGGTTCTTTCACCTGGGAGCAAATGAACAATAGCTAAGTGTCTTGGTATTTAAAGAGTAAATTATTTGTGGCTTTGCTGAGTGAAGGAAGGGGAGCAAGGGGTGGTGCCCCTGGTCCCAGCATGCCCCGCGCCTGAGACTGGCTGGAAATGCTCTGACTCCTGTGAAGGCACAGCCAGCGTTGTGGCCTGAGGGAGGCCCTGCTGGGACCCTGATCTGGGCCTTCCTGTCCCAGGGCCTATGGGCAACTGCGTTGAAAGGACGTTCGCCAAGGGCCGTGTGTAAATACGAACTGCGCCATGGAGAGGAGAGGCACTGCCGGAGCCCTTGCCAGATCTCCCTCCCTCTCTCCGTGCAGTAGCTGTGTGTCCGAGGTCAGTGTGCGGAATCACAGCCAAGGACGTGAAGAGATGTACGGGGGAAAGAGAAGCTGGGGATTGGATGAAAGTCAAAGGTTGTCTACTTTAAGAAAATAAAATACCCTGAATGGAGCCCAGCATTGTCCCAGTGTGCTATGTGTGTAGCTGACCTGTGGCTGGACTTGGTGCCATCTGGAAGGGCAGCCGGGGACACCTCCATTCTGAGGTCCCATATTCCAAACCCCACCCCTATACCTCCACACATTTAGGTAGAGTCATTTTGCAATGAACATCACAAATAAACATCACGAGAGGAAAGAAACTGCAAAGAGGGGAAACCTGCCAGGTCCATGCAGTCCTGGTGTGGAGGTCTGGGGGTGATGATGACTCCTGCCCCTCCCGCTGCCCCCAAGACCCCACCCAACACTGACCCAGGCTGTGCCATACCCTGGACCCCTCCCACCATGTGGACACCTCAGCCAATGTCAGAGTCATCCTGCAGAGTGGAAGAGGTGCCCTGAGGGCCTGGAGGGTTCCTGTGCCCCCAGTAGTGTAGGGCAAACCTTGTAGGGTTTTGGAGAGGAGGGGTCCCTGAGCATGCAGTGCTCGCTGACTGGCTTGTGTGGTTAGAGGTATCTGGATATAGTGGAAAAGTGCCGATCAGAAGTCAACGGAGTGCATTCACCGAGGGCCTGCTGCGAACCAGGCACGGAGCCGGGCTCCTTACTAATGATTTTATGTAACACCCCACCTCAGCAGGTTGCCAGAGGTGCCCATTTTACAGATGAGGAAAGGTGCCTGAGGTCAGGGAGCAGTCAAGCCAGGATTCACCAGGCCAGGGAGCTGTTGCTCCCACTGGAGGAGCAGAGACGCTGATCTTTCCTCCTGCTGGAGTCCTTGCCTGGCTTGGCACCTGCACAGGATGGAAGCCTACAGGGAGCAGCACAGAACCACCCTGCAGCCTCCTCCTCAAAGCAGGACCTCAAGCAAAGTGGGGGGTCGGCAGGCACACACACGCATGCATGCACACAAGCACATGCACACACGCGCAGATACGCACGCAGCCCTGGTGCTGTCACCGCCCCATCCCTACTCCTAAGCCCACGCAGGGACTCCCTTCACACCTTCCTACGTCACCAAACAGCCAGAACCCAGAGGGGCTTTTGTTTCTGAAGAAATAACGTGTGACTTAAAATCGTTGAGACTTATTTTGTGCTTTTAATGCCAACTGTGAAAAGAGCAGTAATTTCGCCGTGAGCATCTTTAATCTAAAAATACATGGCTAAAGGGAGAAAGGGATTGAGCCTCCCTTCCTAATGTGTGCAAAGATCAGAGGAGGCCTTCCCTGGAGGGAGGTTTCTCCCGGTTCCCAGAACCTAGCCAGGAGTCTCCAGTTCCCCCATAGGCTGCAGAGAAACCTCAGGCGCTGTCGACCTCTCTGGCCCCGTCCTCCCCTGCAGTTCACCTGCACTGGTTCTCCTCCTGAGCCTGCCTTGTTCCGCTCTTGCCCCCAATGATCCCTTTGCCTAGCATGTCCTTCCCCATCCTCACAGCTCAAAGTCACCTGGGCAGCTTCTTGGAAGTCTCCTCCTTCCCTGCATTCCATCTGTCAGGGCTCCAGGGTCGAGTGGGAAGGGGTGTTGGAAACTCCATTGAGCAGCTCAAGGCCAGCGCCTCTGACCCACCTCATTCCTCCAAACAATGCCCCATGGAGAAGGCGCATGCTGAGCTGGGATGGTCCAGGAGTCTTAGCCAACGGGAGGTAAGCACCAGGACTCACCAAGGTTGCTGGTGAGAGGAGGCTAGAGTAGGTGGCAGGGTGCCTGAAGGGGAGGACCTGGGGATGGCTGGGCCAGCCCTGCCCACTGCAGGTGACTAATCCCGCCTTGTCCTACTTCACGCAGCCCCAGCCTCCTTTCCCAGGACCCACCATCATGTGGCTCCCTGTGGGATATTGCCATCCTCACCTATAGCCCACGTGGTCACCCTGGTGGTGCAATGGGTCAACAACAGTGGTCACGATAATCCCAGCTCTCCTCAGTGACTGCTCACTGGGGGGCACACTCATGGGAGGCCAAGATGCTTGATTCCATTCTACAGAAGTGGAAGCAGAGACCAGGAGAGGCGATGACTTATCAGCATCACACAATGTGACCCCACCAGGCCAGGACCTGAGGGGCTTTACTCTGTCCACATTCCCCAGATCCCCACAGTGGCAACAGGCCCTGGCACCCTACTTCCAACGTCAGCCCTCCAGAACAAATGGTCCATCTGGCTCAGGGGACAGTGCCAGGAAGGGCTGCACTGCACCATGAGGACTTGAGGCAACACTGAGGCTGGACCTCACCCTGGATGAGCTCACCTCACCCAGATGAGCCTGACGAGATGGGGATGCCTGACAGGCCGGGAACCAAGAGGCCAGAGTGTCCCTATCAGTGACCATCATTCCTGCTAAGTCCAGGAATGGGGTACAACTACCCACCAAAGACTGTCAGGCTGAGGATGTGCCTGGGGTTCTGGTGCACCCTGCCCTGAGGGCAGGCAAGACAGAAAAGGGCCTGCTCCTCTAGGGCAGCTGGCCTCCACCCCTCACCCTGTGGCATCAAGGGGAGGAGGAGGAGGAGGCTGCTCTGGGTCCATCGAAGGAAGCTGGGTGTCCACGGGTGGCTGCTGAAGAGGGACAGGGTGCAGTGGTGGCCCACCCAAGGCCACTAGCCTGGAATGAGACATACGGCTCACTGCAGTGGGAGCACCTACTTTGCTTCTCCAGCAGCCCACGTACCTGGGGTTCAGATGACATTGGGTGCATTCTGGGTGGTATAGCTGTAGACCCCCAGATTTCTCCCTAGCTTAGATGCTATGACTCCAGGGATGTCCCCTGAACCCCCAAATGACTTGGATCAAACTGCATCCAGACATTTCACCCGCGGCACCCTCCCCTTCCCAAGCCCAGTTCTCCTTTCCAAGGTCACGGAGCCAATTTCCAGAGGCAGGGCCCAGGCGCATCCTTGCTGCCTCCCTCCTCCTCTCGGGCTGGTGCTCTCCTCCGGGCTGGGAGGGTCATCCATCTCCACCCCCGGGCTGCACACGTGTGGAGTCAGGGTCAGAACAGGCCCCATCATGCTGCTGCTAAAGCTGGGCTGGGGTCTCAGAGCCTGGCACAAGGAGAGGGAGACTGGAGGCAGGGCCAGAACAGACTCACAGGTGTGCCCAGTCAGGACCAGTGGGATGGTAGAGGGATACTTCCGGGGGACCCTGAGCTGTTCAACTGCACCCCAAAATCTGGTTAGAGAAGAATTGTCAATTTCAGCCACAGAACTCTCTCTCCCACAAAAATGAAACCTGTTTTCTCATGGGGTTCTACTCCATTCCTGGACTTAGCAGGAATGATGGTCACCGATAGGGACACTCTGGCCTCTTGGTTCCTGGCCTGCCAGGCCTCCCCCTCTCATCGGGCTGGGGAGCAGAAGCAGACCCTGTGCATCACTCAGGGCCCAGCTGGCAGGGAGCCTGGGCTGGCAGCCTGTGTGTGACATCTGTCTCTACAATCCTATTTTCTCCTCTCCTGACACGGCACCACCACGGCGCATGAGTAGCCAGCCTGGAAGGAACTTAGAGGAATGCGTGTGGGTGAGCGCAGCAGCTTGGGCCCAGGGCCCCTGCAGGGCCAGGGCCCACTTGGGACAATCCTCAGTCCTGGGGTGCCCCCTCCTGGTTACTCTGGGAAATCATGCAAGTCAGACTTGGCCAGAGCAAGGATTCTGAAACCACTCTCCCAGACACCCATGACACAGGGGAAGAAACTGAGGCACGGTGGCCAGAACAAAACAGGGGCCCAACACATACTGTCAAATGAATGAAGGAATGAGCAAGCAGGTAAGTGAACTGTAGCAAGAAGACAACCAGCAATTGATCCTTTAAAGTATGACATAAAACCTACTAAACAGCCAATATTTGTTGAGCGCTAGCCACATGCCAGGCGCCCTGCCAGGTGCAGAGGGTGCCATGGTGAAAACGGCCTTCCAGTGTGGCCACTGATAGGAAACCATACCAATGGCCACCAGCATTCACTGGGAGCCAGCTAAGCCCTGCTCAGAGACTGTCCCAGCTAAGCCACACAGGTGACACCCACGTTCCCACAGGTGATGGTACTGCCCAAGGTCACACGCTGGTAAGAACAGAGCCACTGAAATAGATGCCCTCGCCACCCCCCAGGCCCCCCACCCAGAGGCCCATGAAGGACACCACCTGGGGCACAGTCACACTCGCTAATCCAGAGGCCACGACACTCAGTGTACCCCCAGAACAGATCTCCTGGGCGTCTGCCACATTGCCTCCTTCCCTTCCTCCCTCTGCTCATTGTCCAACTGTCCCCTGCATACCCGGTGTCCCAGGCCTCCCTTCTGGGCCCTTCACAGATCATGAGCAGCACTCAGTAAACCCCGCGATGAAGGGCCGAGGCTCCCCACCCTGACCCTCACTGAGGCTTCTGTTCGTGAGCTTGTCAGTACCACAGCCCCCTACTCCTAATGGTGCGCCCAGTGTTGGTGGATGGCAGAAAAAGACAAGGGGAGGAGATGGGGAAAAGCAAACTCGTACATTTTAGAAGAAAATATGGCAGAATATCTTCATGAGTCAGGGTAAAGAAAGATTATCTTACACGGCACTCAAAAAAAAAAAAGGCCAGAGGGAAAAAAAATCATGAAATTGACTTCATTATTCAAATGAAAAACTGCTAAGGCTGGGCATGGTGGCTCACGCCTGTAATCCCAGCACTTTGGGAGGCCGAGGCAGGAGGATCGTGAGGTCAGGAGTTCAAGACCAGCCTGGTCAACATAGTGAAACCCCGTCTCTACTACAAATACAAAAATTAGCTGGGCATGGTGGCACACGCCTGTAGTCCCAGCTACTCGGGAGGCTGAGTCAGGAGAATCACTTGAACCTGGGAGGTGGAGTTTGCAGTGAGCTGAGACCATGCCACTACAGTACAGCCTGGGTGACAGAGTGAGACTGCATCTCAGAAAAGAAGGAAGGAAGGAAGGAAAGAAGGAGAAAGAAAGAGAGAGGAAGAAAGAGAAAGAGACAAAGAGAGAAAGAGAAAGAAAGGAAGGAAAAGAAGGAAAGAAAGAAAGGGAAGGGAGAGAAAGAAAGAGAAAGAAAAAGAAAGAAAGAAAGAAAGAAAGGAAGAAAGAAAGAAAGAAAGAAAGAAAGAAAGAAAGAAAGAAAGAAAGAAAGAAAGAAAGAAAGAAAGAAAGAAAGAAAAAGAAAAAGAAGGCCGGGCATGGTGGCTCACGCCTGTAATCCCAGCACTTTGGGAGGCCGAGGCAGGCGGATCATGAGGTCAGGAGATCGAGACCATCCTGGCTAACACGGTGAAACCCCGTTTCTACTAAAAATACAAAAAATCAGCCGGGCATGGTGGCGGGTGCCTGTAGTCCCAGCTACTCGGGAGGCTGAGGCAGGAGAATGGCATGAACCCGGGAGGTGGAGGTTGCAGTGAGCTGAGACTGCACCAGTGCACTCCAGCCTGGGCGACAGAGTGAGACTCTGTCTCAAAAAAAAAAGAAAAAGAAAAGAGAAAGAAAGAAGGAAAGAAAAAGAAAGAAAGAAAGAAAGAAAGAAAGAAAGAAAGAGAAAGAAGGAAAGAAGGAAAGAAAGACTGCTGCACCAGTGAATCAACAAAGGCACAGTGAGAAGCCAAGAAAACAGCCTGGTTTGAAATGATATTTGCAATGTAGGTAACCGACAAAGGGCTGGAATCCAGGATAAATTACACACTCCTTCAAATCAATAAGAAATGGAAAAACAACTCGGCAACAGAATGAACACACTCTCTCCAGAGGCACTGGGCAGGAGAGGAATCTGATGAGGTGTCAGGCAGAGGGAAGATGTTTCCTCTCACCAGGACAGGGACAGTAAAGCCATATCACAGTGAAACACCATAGCACATCCATCAGGCTGGGATATGCCCCGGGCTCTCTGGAGGCCAGAGGCTGGGCTGGAAGCAGTTGCAATATCCAGCAAAGCTGAAGGCAAACACATTCTCCCTGGCCCAGCGATGCCCTCCCTGGCAGATGCTCTAGGGGACTCTCCTTCCAGGGTACCAGGAAGCCCTGGGCAGGAACAGCCATGGCACAGTCCTTTTGCAGTACAGGAGTACAAACAACCAACAAGCCTGCCAGCCTGGGATGGGTGAGTGTATCATGATACATTCAAACACCGGAACAGTGTGCAGTGATGGAAATGAATGAAATACAGCCAGTGGCGCAACATGGATTCATCTCAAAATTTCTATAAATCTCTAATGTTATTTAGGTTTTTTAAGGTTTTGGAAGTAACAGAGGGATACATACAGCAAGATCCACTTACATAGTTTTAAAACATGCAAAACAAGATTATATATCGTCCATATGTAATTATATCTGTGGTAAAATATAAAGATATGCATTTTGGGGACATAGTCACCAGATTATTAGTAGCTCAAGGAAAGGCAGGAGGAAGAGTGCTCTGGGTGGGGGGAGGTTCACAGGGTGCTTGGACTGTACCTATGATTTCTTCAAATAAAAATTTCAAGCAAGTATAAAATATGGATATAGAATGTAAAGATTTGGCAAAGCTGGCTGGTGGTATCCAATGTTCCTTATCACCATCTCTGTACTTCTCTGAATGCTTTAAATAGGTCACAATCATTGTAAGAGGACTGGTTGAGAGCAGCAAGTCCCCTGTCTCCACACTCCAAGAATGAGGGGACTAGACCCTCGCTTATTCCTCAGGTTCCTGCATGGTGAGCACAGGGCATTAATTTAGCTCAACCCAGCACTGGTCCCCCATGGATCACCCTAATACCCCAGGGGCTCTCAACCCTGGGGCATGCATGACTGTCATTCAAGGTGCATTTTCAGAAATATGTGTGCAGGGCCCCACCCCCAGAGACTGCTCCTGGTGGCCTGGGAGAGGACCAGGGGCACGGTGGTGTTTTTAAAAAACCACAGGCCTAGTGTGCTCAACTCCCAGGCCAGATCAGCTGGAAGAAGATGTGCTTCAGGAGCCAAGCAACAATCCTAGACCCTCACAGGCTCTGCTCTGTTGGGCCTGCCTATCTGCACCTGATCCCGTAGTCATTTCTCTCTGAGCCTTAACCCAGGGAATGCTCACGCCTGGCCTTGAATGTTTGCACTCCATCCTTGGGCAGGACGCTGAGCTATACACCAGGCCAGTGTTTCCACTTCAACCTCATTTCTGGCCTCTGAGGCAGGTACTTTAGACATGGGAAATAACCTGTCCAGGGCACACGGGGAGTGAGGGGAAGGGCAGAGGGAACCCAGGTTCATCTGACTCCTGGGCTACAATATCTGTTTGTCCACCTTGAGCTAAGGTATCCGCTTCAAGGCCTCCTATCATGGCCCTTGAAATAATTCCCTCGTCTAAAAATACTCATTGCATCATGCGACCAGGCAGGTATCAATCTGCCATAAATCTTAACTCTCGAGCCGTGGTATCGGGTAGCTGTTACCCTGGACTCCCCATCTAGTCAGCAGGGCCAGTGGGACAGGAACTGTATGCAACATTGCCTCTGGGACGGGCCTTCTTTATCCCTTAAATGTGTGCTATGGTATTTCACAAAAGAAAACATTTACAGGACATCCCCTTTTAATCATCAGGGAAATATAAATTAAAACCAAAATGAGATACTACTACACACCCACCAAAATAGCTAAAATAAAAAGACAGAAAAAAATCTATGATTAATGAGGATATAAATCACCTGGAACTCTCATATACTGCTAGTGGAAGTATAAATTGGTACAAGTATTTTATTCATTTTTTTTAGAGACAGGATCTTGCTATGTTGCTCAGGCTGGAGTGCAGTGGTTATTCATAGGTACAGTCCCATTACTGATCGGCACAGGAGTTTTGACCTGCTTTGTTTCTGATCTGGGCTGGTTCACCCCTCCTTAGGCAATCTGGTGGTCCCCCCATCTCGGGAGGTCGCCATATTGATGCCAAACAGTGCGGACACCCGACTGGCGTAGGGCACTACAGCCTAGAACTCCTAGGCTCAAGCAATACACCTGCTTTAGCCTCTTGGGTAGCTGGGACATGGCATGTGCAGATGCAAGTATTTTAGAAAACCATTGGGTAGTACCTTCTAAAAGCTGAACATAATCTTACCCAGGCCAGCCATTCTCTTCTTAGGTATGTTTCAAAATAAATGCATATACATGTCCATCAAAAGACATTTATAAGGGTGTTCATAGCCACTCTATTCTTGGTAGCCATAAGCTAGAAACAATTCAGATGTCCGTCAGCAACGGAATGGGTAAGTAAACTGTTGTATACTCACATAGTGTAAATACCATACTCCAGCATAAACAAGCAAAAATCAGTAATACATCCCACACGTAAATCTCAGAAATAAAACGTTAAGCAAAAGTAGCTACAAGCAAGATATTACAAGCTGGATGTTTCCATTTATGTAAAGTTTTAAAAGGGGCATCATCTATGGTCTTATAAATTGAAGATACCATTTATCATTGGTAAGGGTAATACCCAGTATGGGCATGTGGGAAGTTTCTGGAGAGGTGGTAAATACTCTCTACATGTCTTGATTGGGGTGGCAGTTACACCACATGTTCACTGAAAACAACTTGACCAAATGTTCGTTTAGGATATGCGCTTTTCTTTTTTCTTTCTTTTTTTTTGTCTTAAGACAGAGTCTCGCACTGTCGCCCGGGCTAGAGTGCAGTGGTGCAATCTTGGCTCACTGCAACCTCCGCCTCCCAGGTTCAAGCGATTCTTCTGCCTCAGCCTCCCAAGTAGCTGGGATTACAGGTGCCCACCACCATGCCCAGCTAATTTTTGTATTTTTAGTAGAGACAGGGTTTCACCATATTGGCCAGGCTGGTGTCGAACTCCTGACTTCGTGATCTGCCTGCCTCGGCCTCCCAAAGTGCTGGGATTACAGGTGTGAGCCACCACACCCAGCGGATATGTGCTTTTCTAATATGTATGTTGTAATTTAATAAAAAGTGGACGATCTACACCCTGGTACATATGTGACCTGGAGAGGAGACCGACGGACAACTTGAGTGCCCGACAGATCTGTGTGCAGGACGCAAGCCTACCTCTAGGCACCTGGACCAGCTGCATGTATGCCTTGTACAGGTTCCCCCGGCAGACTGGGCTGGGGTCATTCAGCAGGAAGGACAGGGCAAGGACGATGTCGTGCTCTAGAAAGGCGTATCTAGGGAAGGGAGGGTGGACAGTGACATAAGTGAGACCATGCCCTGAGAGGCTCAAATTAGAAGAGTCAGGGTCCCTGCTGGAGTCTGATCCATGCTATCTGGGGTAGACCACATTCCTCTGGCTTTGTGGGAGCAGACAAAGGCTACAGGTGCGTGATCCATCTCACCTGAACCTCCAGGGGAGCGAGCTCAGCAGGCCCAGCCCACCTTGGCCCCTTGTTCTTCTGGTCTCCCTTGCCTCCACATCTATGTACACCAGTTATGCTTGTTGTTATCATTATATAAGTTCAGTAAATATTAGGCAAGCCAATTAGATGAGAAGAGGATTTTCTTTTTCAAATTTGTTTATGAGAAAAAGTTGAATGCTTTGGAAGGACTCAAAATTGAGCCCCAACTCCCAACCAAAAAAAAAAAAAAAAAAAAAAAAGGAGATGATTGGCTGGGCGCAGTGGCTCACACTTGTAATCCCAGCACCTTAGGAGACCTAGGCGGATAGATGACTTGAGGTCAGGAGTTCGAGACCAGCCTGGCCAACATGGCAAAACCCCGTCTCTACTAAAAATACAAAAAATCAACCAAGCTTGGTGGCACATGCCTGTAATCCCAGCTACTCAGAAGGCTGAGGCACAAGATCACTTGAGCCCAGGAAGCAGAGGTTGCAGTGACCTGCAACTGCACCACTGCCCTCCAGCCTGGGTGACAGAATGAGACTGTCTCAAAAAAGACAAAAAAAAGAGATGATTGTAAAAGATTCTAGATAGCTCACACCTAATCCCAGTGCTTTGGGAGACTAAGGTGGTAGAATCACTTGGGCCAGGAGTTCAAGACCAGCCTGGGCAACATGGTGAGACCCAGTCCCTACTAAAATGTTAAAAGTTAGCCAGGCATGGTGGTGTGTGCCTGTGTTCCCACCTACTCAGTAGGCTAAGGTGGGAGGATCGTTTGAGCCTAGGAGTTTAAGGCTACAGTGAGCTAGGATCATGCCACTAAACTCCAGCATGGATGACAGAGCTAGACCTTGTCTCTTAAAAAATAAAAAGATTCTAGGCCAGGCGCGGTGGCTCACGCCTGTAATCCCAGCACTTTGGAAGGCCAAGGTGGGCGGATCACTAGGTCAGGAGATCGAGACCATCCTGGCTAACACAGTGAAACCCCGCCTGTACTAAAAATACAAAAAAAAAAAAAAAAAAAAAAAAATTAGCTGGGTGTGGTGGCGGGCGCCTGTAGTCCCAGCTACTTTGGAGGCTGAGGCAGGAGAATGGTGTGAACCCGGGAGGTGGAGCTTGCAGTGAGCCAAGAACGCACAACTGCGCTCCAGCCTGGGTGACAGAGCGAGACTCTGTCTCAAATAAGTAAATAAATAAATAAATATAAATTAATAAATAAAAAGATTCTAGAAGGGTTTTGCATACAGGTTATTTCATTAATGTCTTTGAGTTCTTGCTCTACTTTAAAAAAACCAAAGCTGCAAATCAGACGATGTTATGAGTATGGTTTAAGCAAAAAAAATATGATAGGAAACACCAACCAGTGGTCTCATATCCGACAAAAAGCCTGGGTCCCACATGGGGATTGATGAATGCCTTATCATTTGTGTTTTGGGTTAAAATGAACCATTTAAAGGAAACCATTTCTTCAGTTCCTTGCTTTGTAATCATTTCTTTTGATTAACCAACTGACTGCTGGGCCTGAATGCATCTGAAAGAGGCCTTCTGAGGTCACGTCTCTGAGGGCTGGGTTCAGGAATGAATGAGAATGCATGTGCAAACCCCTCAGCCAAGTGCCCACAGGAAGTGCCCAACCAGCTGTGCCACTGCGGCATTTATTATAAATAAAAATAAATTTTATTTATTTTATTTATTTATTTATTTTCACTTATGGTGTGTTTTGAATCGTCTGGAAAAAGAAAGTCACCGTTGGACACACAAGTTGCAGGGGTCTTCCCTGACCACGGGGGCTTCCTTGGTCCGTGTCTAGTCACCCACTCCATGTCTCTCATGCTTTGATAGTCAGTTGTGTTTGCCTGTGTGCCTCCTCACCAGAGGCAAGCAAGAGGGCAGGGAACAGGCTGCCAGGAAGCTCTCTTGTCCGTGGGATGTCATGCAAATTAACTCCTCAAGGTGACAAGATGCCAAGCCCAGGGCTGCTATCCTCATTCCCCCTTCCTGTCACTACTTCTGTGGGTAGAAGAGGCAGAAGAGTTTCAACCTGGGCAGTTCAGGGCAGCTACTTAGAGCTTGATGGGCTCTGAAAGCTATTGACATTGGTTATAAGATCACCACTGACCTCAAGGGAAATTTAGAAGTTGGCCACATTTCTGAGAACGCTGAAGGAGTGCACGGGCCAGGCCATTATCAGGTCCCTGGTCAGGGATGGTCACTTCACCATGTCTTCCTGCCTTGCTAATGTGGGCACAGCCAGGACCCCTGGCTTAGGCACTCTAGGTGCTGCTAAACAAATCCTTACTACCATTCATTATAAGTAGGTTGATGCAAAAGTAATTGCGGTTTTTACCACTACTTTTAATTGCAAAACTGCAATTACTTTTGCACTAACCTGATAATTGCTCAGGCTTCAGGGACCTGTCCTCTCAGCATCTGTCCCCCCTAACTGGGGATTACTACCTAATGTCCACATCAGGTCCAGAAAAGTAGGGAGGAAAAACCAGCAAGAAAGGTGACTTGACTCCTGTGTGCCCCTAACCTTTTAAAGCACCTTGCCTGGGTCATCTAAGATCTGCAGAGTGAGGCTGGGATTAGGATTGTTGCCCAGATCACAGAGCAGGAAAGAGTGGGCCCCCCAAAAGGCTGGGGCTTGTGTCCCTACTTCACTGGTCTGTCTGCAGTGCCAGCCTGCCCTTCTTGGTACAAAGCATGTGAATTAGGGTGCTAGCCATGGCACCACCTCCACACACACATGCACGGTTCACACAGGGCCGGGGCTGCACACAGGATCAGCCACCAAGGCAGCGAGAGCTTGGGGACTAGCAGGGCTGAGTGACTTTGGGTTTTATGAGATGCCCTGCAGCCTCTGCCTCTCTGGGTTCAAGCAATTCTTGTGCCTCAGCCTCCTGAGTAGCTGGGACTACAGGCATGTGTCATCATGCTCAGCTAATTTTTGTATTTTTAGTAGAGACTGGTTTCACCATGTTGGCCTGTGTGCCTCCTCACCAGAGGCAAGCAAGAGGGCAGGGAACAGGCTGCCAGGAAGCTCTCTTGTCCGTGGGGTGTCATGCAAATTAACTCCTCAAGGTGACAAGATGCCAAGCCCAGGGCTGCTATCCTCATTCCCCCTTCCTGTCACTACTTCTGTGGGTAGAAGAGGCAGAAGAGTTTCAACCTGGGCAGTTCAGGGCAGCTACTTAGAGCTTGATGGGCTCTAAGTAAAGGTTAGGGGCACACAGGAGTCAAGTCACCTTTCCTGCTGTTTTTTTTCCCTTCAAATCCTGAACCGATTTGAAGCCTCTCTGAATGGCTGCCTGTTTACACCAAACAACCCCCAAGGCAGTCAGCACCTTGCCTTTCTTGTCTTTTCTTCCTTCTGGGCCTGTGCACACTGGGCAGTGGCCCCCTTTATCCGAAAGACCTGGGCCAGGGCTTGGGGGTGTTTGTGATGTGGGGTTCTGTTTTTTTGGGGGGTGGGGACGGGGGCTGGTGGGGAGAGGTTCCAGTGAAAACTGGAAAACCTGCTAGAAAAATTCTAAAAGAGCTGTAACACTGGGGTTTTGTTTCTAATACAAAGTAAAACTACTGATCGCCAGTCAAGAGGGTGAACCCAGCTGATGTGGGAAAGCACCTCCAACCACCCTCACCCTGTTGCCCCAACACCTAACTAAAATACTCTATAAAATTTTTTTTAAGTGTAAAAAGTGAAGCTGTGCTTACACAGGAAAAGGACACTTCCAGGTGCCAGAAACCAAGAACTCAGCCATCATGAACAGGAAGTGAGGCCACCAGACCAGATACTCACTTTGAGGATGTTATTTTAACACCCTCACAGGGACAGGAGCCAAAGCCACAGCCCCTGTGGGGATCTGGGTTGGGGAACTGGGCTCTCTGTAAAAAGCTAAGAAGTGGCAAAATTGTTGCAGAAGTAAGATCTGAACTTTCTTCCCACCTTGAAAGTGGGAAGCTCAGCTAGGTGCAGTGGCTCATGCCTGTAATCCCAGCATTTTAGGAGGCCGAGGCAGGCAGATCACTTGAGGCCAGGAATTTGAAACCAGGCTGGCCAACGTGGTGAAACCAGTCTCTACTAAAAATACAAAAATTAGCTGAGCGTGATGACACATGCCTGTAGTCCCAGCTACTCAGGAGGCTGAGGCACAAGAATTGCTTGAACCCAAAGAGGCAGGGGCTGCAGTGAGCTGAGATCGTGTCACCGTACTCCAGCCTGGGTGACAGAGTGAGAGACTGTCTCAAAAAAGAAAGAAAAGAAAGAGAGAGAGAGAGAGCGCTCAGAGCTTGGAACTAACATAAAATAAATAAAAATCAGTCTGGAACAGAGGGCCCCATAAGATCCACACAGAGGCAACCAAAACCACCCCACAAAGAGTCCTGCTCTGGCTAAATAGAAGCCCCTGCAAAAACTGATGCGGCAGACAACACTCCAGAGCACTCTAAGCAGCTCAAGTGCATCCACCCAGGGGAGAAGTGCGGCTCGCAAGCGTCACACTGGTTTCCAGAACAGCATCCCACCTGCCCACGCTATGGCTTGCCGTGATGTGGAGCACCTCGGTGGTCTTTATGCGCACCATACTGTTGCTATCCTTCAGCAAAGCTTTCAGGTTCTCCATACAGCCTAGAAAAAAAAAAAAAAACAAACAAACCAACCCTTGAATTTTTGCCAGTCTCAGAAACCAACCAACCCAGAAGTCAATAAGTGGGCCAGTTGGGGCAGGAATGTACCAGAGTTTCTGCTGCTTTGGGGCACTGGGGAATCATGTTGGTTATGCAGCATTTCAGAGTCACTGAAGAGGCTCATGTCTCATCCAACCCTCCTTGTGATTCTCCCTGCACACTTCCTACCAGTGACTTCTCACAAAGTCTGTCATGAGGTTAAGAAAATGGCCTTTGCCATTTCTTTGACCTCAGGAGAGATATGGGGTCAAATTATAACCCTGTGTCAAACTAGTCATATGACTTTGAGTGGGTTACACCTACGGATGCCAGATTTAGCAAATAAAAATCCAGCTTTGGCCAGGTATGGTGGCTTACGCCTGTAATCCCAGCACTTTGGGAGGCCAAGGCAAGCGGATCACCTGAGATCAGGAGTTCAAGACCAGCCTGGCCAACATGGTGAAACCCCATCTCTACAAAAATACAAAATATTAGCCAGGCATGATGGCAGGTGCCTGTAGTCCCAGCTACTCAGGAGGCTGAGGCAGGAGAATCACTTGAACCCAAGAGGCGGAGGTTTCAGTGAGCCAAGATCGTGCCATTGCACTTCAGCCTGGGCAAGAGAGCGAGATGCCATCTCAAAAAATAAATAAATAAATAAATAAATACAAATCTAGCTTTATTTATTTATTGGGCAACCCTAGACTTACAATCCTTCTCTGAACCATGCTTTTCTTATCTGTGGGTTGAGAATGGACTCTCCCCTGTAGGTGGCCTTTCTAAGGATTAAGATAATCCAGGCTGGGTGTGATGGCTCACACATATAATCCCAAAACTTTGGAGGCTGACCTGGGAGAATCAATTGAGGCCAAGAGTTCAAGAACAGCCTGGGCAACACAGCAAGATCTTGTTTATAAAAAAATAATAATAAGAAATTAGTCAGCCATGGTGGTACTTGTAGTCCTAGTTACTCAGGAAGCTGAAGCAGGAGGATCTCTTGACCCCAAGATTTCAAGGTTACAGTGAGCTATGATTCTGCCACTGCACTCTAGTCTGGGAGATGGCAAGACCCTCCCTCAATAAATAAACATTTTTTAAAAAGAACCCGGGCACCGCACCTATAGTGGAACTGGCCTGGAGTCAGGCTCAAACAATAGCAACCCTTATTACTGAAGTTCTACCCAGTGCCTGAAGCCATGCTAGGACCCCAGTCATGGTCACCTGTGCTGTGTCACGCTCACCTATGTTCATGGCCTTGTAGATACACTCGGGGTCATGCATGAGGTCACACAAGGCCATGAGGGCTTTCTGCCTCGTCTGGAGGTCCTCTGACTGCAGCTCCTCCTTCAGCTTGGGCAGGGCCCGATGGCCATAGGCAGTGGTAATCTGGGTGGCATTGATGTTAATGGGAAGCTCCAAGGAGTTCTGGGAATGGGCCATCTTTCCCCAACTACAGAGGCCTTTCCAAATGAAGCTCTGCAGAAACCACTCACTAAAAGAGACCAAAAAGCTGTCATTATTTCTATTATGATTTAAAAGCTACTTCTCATCTGATCCTCCAAACTGTGAGGGCAGGCAAATGGGTATTTTTACTTTCATTTTACAGATGAGCAAACTGAGGCTGAGAGCAATGAAGAGATTTGCTCAAAGTCCCAGTGAAGGTAAGTAAGTAGCAGCCCAAACTGCAAACTCCAGAGCCCTCCCACACAATAGTGCTTCACAGAAGAAACCACTGATACTTTCATCTGGATCTTCAGTCAAAGGCATTAAAGGACAAAACAAACCAAACAAGCAAACTCCAAGTTGGTCACTCTGTTTAGTGCTTACCTTGTGCCAGCAATAAGTAGTATCCAATTCAACTACCCCATAAGGAGGGGGCTGGTATTATCCACATTTTACAAATGAGGAAACTGAGGTTCTGGCCAAGGAGCTTACTGGAGGCCATGAAACTGGTAAGACTAGAAGCCAGTGTTCAAATCTGGGTCTAGCTCATTCACTGCCAGGAACCCATATTCAGATGCTTCTGACACATCCATGAAAAGGAATTAATGTTAAAAGGTGATTTATGGCCACGCGCAGTGGCTCACGCCTGTAATCCCAGCACTTTGGGAGGCCCGAGGCAGGCGGATCACAAGGTCAAGAGATCGAGACCATCCTGGCCAACATGGTGAAACCCCGTCTCTACTAAAAATACAAAAATTAGCTGGGCGTGATGGCGCATGCCTGTAGTCCCAGCTACTCGGGAGGCTGAGGCAGGAGAATCGCTTGAATCAGGGAGGCGGAGGTTCCAGTAAGCCAAGATCGCGCCACTGCACTCCAGCCTGGCGACAAAGCAAGACTCCGTCTCAAAAAAAAAAAAAAAAAAAAAAGTGATTAACTTTTATTGCCGACACACACACACACTTTCAGCAACTATGGGCAGTGTAGGTTAGTAGTTAAGAACTGGCTCCAGATTCAGGCCTGGGTGACCTTGGCAAGTTACTTCCTCTATCTGTGTCTTTCTGCAGCTTCAAAGGGGAGATGATAACAGTACCTCCTTCCCTGCCTCCCAGAGTTGTCATATTAACGAATACACGTAAGCCTGGCATACCAGGGCTTCAGCTATGTTGGCTGTGGTTATTATTACGGTTATTATCATGGTTAGTAGAATGGACAGGCCACAGGCCTGTAGGAATCTACTCCAGTAAAAGGTAAGCCAGATGCTCACGCGGGACACCAGATGACAACGGTAGAAGTGGGGGCCGGACTGGGAGGGACGTGGCCATGTTTGAGTTGAGCTCCCCTCACAGGAACGGTGGGTGCTGGAGACAGGGGCCTGCCTTCTTCTAAGCGGCGTGGGCTGGGAGAGTCCGGCCGGAGACAAAAGACCGTGATTTTGAGTGTGGGGACACGGCCCCGTGTGAATGGGACTGGGTGGGTCACTGGGCCCCCCTGTCCCCGGGCCCCTAGCCCACCACCGCCGCCTCACCTGCCTCCGCAGCCCTTTCTGCTTCCAGTAGCCCGCGCCACTGGCCAACCTATTCAGTTGCCAGGCGACATCGTTGCCAGGCGACTCCAGCAGCGTCCGCGGCGCCGCGGTCGACATAATCAGCACCCACTGCGCAGGCGCAAACAGCCCAAGGCTGCGGCCGGCTGCAAAGCGGGAACAATCATTTACAGGGTTGCTGTGGAGACCAAAGGCAGCTCAGCTTTGTTCAAAGTACAGAAGGGAAAGGAAGTGACTTATTTACGCCCTTCTCTGTACTGGGTACTTTGCATGCCTCTGATCCTCAGAGTAAATTCATAAGGTGGTAACATCTAGTTTAGAGACAAGAACCTCAGAGAAGTTCAGTCGTTTCTCCCAATTTTTTTTTTTGACGGAGTTTCGCTCTTTCACGCAGGCTGGAGTGCAGTGGCGCGATCTTGACTCACTGCAACCTCCGCTCCACTCCGCGCCACCGCACCCAACCCGGGTGCAAGTGATTCTCCTGCCTAAGCCTCCCAAGTAGCTGGGATTATAGGCGGCCGCCATCACACCCAGCTAATTTTTGTATTTTTAGTAGAGACAGGGTTTCGCCATGTTGGCCAGGCTGGTCTCGAACTCCTGACCTCAGATGATCCACCCGCCTCGGCCTCCCAAAATGCTAGGATTACAGGCGTGAGCCACTGCGCTCAGCCAGTTTCCCCCAAATTACATAGGCCTGATCTCAAGACTGCCTAGCCCTGCCCATGCCCCTTGCTCTTCAGGCTGACCGCCTGGTAATGACAAAGGTTAGCCTCTGCAGTGGACCCAACACACTGCTGGCCAGCGTAGCTGTTCTCAAAAGCAAGCCAGACCCAGCCACCACCTGCATAAAACCCTCCATGGCTCCCCACTAGTCTCAGGGCTGAGTCCAAACTCCTAGCCTAGTGCTCCAGTCCCTGGGTGATGGCCTCCTCCAGCCATGCCAGACTCTCTCTTAACCCCTCAAATGCCACCTCGCTCATGAAGCCTGAGCGCTCTGTAACACTAATTATTACCTCTTTATCCTTCAGGATGCAACTTGGTGAACACTTCTTCCATGAAACCTTCCTTCTCCCTGAAGGAGTGAAGTATGGGCCATCCCAAAATATGCTGGATTGGTATATTGACCATTTTGAGTGGACAACATTGGAAAAATAGTGGCCTCAGAAAGGGCTAACTGGGCCAGGTGCAGTGGCTCATACCTGTAATCCTAGCACTTTGGGAGGCTGAAGGGGGAGGGTTGCTTGAGCCCAAGAGTTTGAGGTTACAGTGAGATATGATCACACTACTACACCCCAGCCTGGGTGACAGAGTGAGACCTCAACTCTAAAATAAATAAATAAATAAATAAATAAATAAATAAATAAATAGATATAATTTTAAAAAAAGATACAAGAAAAGGCAAACAGATATGCTTCTTTCTGCATTCAGCAAGCCATAAAGATTCCTCTAGGAGCGGTACCCTCACTGTACCAGGGCAAGAAAATAGCCCTTGTCACCTGAGACTAAGAATTGGGGACTGCAATGGACCTGAATAAATATACTTAACCCTGTCTTCCACTAAGTTTATGCCCCTCATATTATCTCCTAGTGAATCCCCTAGAATTTACTGCCCTAGCCAGATCCCCTTTGTCCTGCCATTTCTTCTCAAATTTGTCATCCTTTGTCTAAAAAGTATAAAAGCATCTTGCTTTGGCCACTTCTCTAGACTTCACTCTGGTAAAGATCCCCATGCGCATGTAAAACTAATAACACTTGTATGCTTTTCTCTTGCTAATCTGCCCAGTGTCAGTTTGGTTTCTAGATCTAGGCAAAGAGCCCACTTAAGAGCTAAAGGAGGATTGGGGCCAGGTGTGCTGGCTTACGCCTGTAATCCCAACACTTTGGGAAGCCAAGGCCGGCGGATCACATGAGGCCAGGAGTTCAAAACCAGCCTGGCACACATGGCAAAACCCCATCTCTACTAAAAAAATTTAAAAATTAGCCAAGCATGGTTGGTGCGCACCTGTGGTCCCAGCTACTCGGGAGGCTGAGGCAGGAGAATCGCTTGAGCCGGGAGGCGGAGATTGCAGTGAGCCGAGATCACACTACTGCACTCCAGCCTGGGCGACAGAGTGAGACTCCATCTCAAAAAAAAAAAAAAAAAAAAAAAAAAAACAGCTAAAGGAGGAGTTCAGGGTGATCTCTAGCTCCTGCCAAATCCCCAAATCCAAATTAGTAAGTGACCCCACAGCTTAATCTTCCCTTCTCCTAAATCCCATTGGCACACTCCCTTCCCCTAATTCTCTATTTACTTCTCTGCTTCCCGCAGTGGACTCCAATTTCCCTGAGGGTGGACACCATGTCCGTTCTCTTTCCTTGTCTCCCCAGTGCTAGGCATATACCAGGAAGCTTTCAGTACATGTAGGACAAATGAATAGTTAATGGACTTGAATCAAGCTTTACAGTATAAAAGCACTTTCACCATCTCAGGTGATCCATTGAAATAGATAGTTGCGTTTATTTTATAGTTGAGTAAACTGAGGTGCGGAAGGTGGAACAACTCACCTAAGTTCACCCCCTAAGCCTCAACCTTAGCAGTGAAACTCACTAAAAGACATTAAACAGAGCCAGGTGTGGTGGCCCTTGCCTGTAGTCCCAAGGACTGGGGAGGCTGAGGCGGGAGGATTCCTTGAGCCTAGGAGTTCGAGTCCAGCCTGGACAACATAGCAAGACTCCATCTCTTTAAAAAAAAAAAAAAAAGACATCAAACACCAGCCTCCAGCACACTTAGCTTTGAATTGAAGATGACTGAGTTAGATCTGTGTACCAAGGCTTCCATATTGTGATGCAGAAAAGTTAAGGAGCTGAATTAAGTAGGTTCTCAAACTGAACCCCGGACTTCGAAGCTGGTTCCACGGTTTTATAAGGGCCACAAGAGGCCATCTAGCCCAAAACAGCTAACTTTCCAAACCGAAACTAGTTCAGAGGAAATCACTGACTCAGGTCAGCTTTTTATTAAGGAAATTAATTTTGTACCGTGAGCTCTAGAAGCCAGGCATATGATATTCAGACAGCACTGGATTCAGAACTATGCAGACTAAGGTCAGTAGATGGTAGGCAGGTCTATCTTCTGCAGCTGCAGGGTGCTTGACTCCAATTAAACATCAATACCACATCAGGAGCTCTTATGCCATAACCGCCCAACCTCTCCCAGCCGAGCTGATCACCAGAACCTGCGCGAATCTCTCCACGGTCAGCCCCACCCAGGGCTCAGGCTCCGCCCCCGGGCCTCCATAGCCCCGCCCACCGCCCACCCATCCAGCACCGCCCTTGTTGTCATGGTGATCTCCGGCTCTCCAGGGTGTCCAGGAGTCTCTCTGCTGCCAGCCCCGCCCAGACTCCAGGCAGGTTCTCGTTGCTATGGTGATCGCCGGTGCAAGCTGGATGCTTGGACGCGCCGCTGCCAGTCCAACGCAGACCCCGCCCACGACGTCGACGATTCGTGTAGCCCGCAGGTCCCGCGTGGCTCTCGTTGCCATGGTGATCGCCGCCGCTGGCTCAGGCGGACCAGGCCGCGCGGAGCCCCAGCTTTCACAGCCATCGCTGGTGAGTCAGCTCGCCCACTCTGTCCGACCCTCCCGGTCACCCAACCCCGTGCTGGCACATCCCGAGGCCAGGGCCGCGAGGGCACAGCGTCCGCGCCCACTTCCCGCCCCTATAACTTGAAAGCGGCCTGCGGCCCCGGGGCGTCCTCATTTCCGGAGCGCAAACTCTGGGCCAGGCCCGCGCTGGTTGTGGAGGAGAGCCAGGTCAGATGCGGGAAGACAACCGGACTCCGCCAGGACCACCCCAGCCCAGCCTGGAGAGGAGTCCGGACAGAAAAAGGAGACAGAGGGGCTGTTGAGGAGGCTCGAGGAGTCAGAGGCCTGGTGAAGTGAGGGTTTTCAGGGAAAAGGCCTAGTTGGCTGAAAGTTAAGGCCCCCAGGCCCACCTAGAGCCTTCGTCCTTTGCAGACTGGGAGCAGGAGACCCCTCCCCACTCTACTTCCACTGCCTGAGCTGTGCCATGCCTCACAGCCCAGTAAGGTAAGCTCAGAGGGGAGCTCCTCCTTGGTAGACACCTGTCAAGGGGAGACCCAGGTCTTCTGACTCCCAGGCAGGGTGGGGCAGGCCTGGTTCCCCCATACCATGCTGCCTGCTGTATGCAGATTGAGAGAAATGGCCTCTGCCCCATATTCCTGACAGAGAGGGAAGCCTGGATCTGGTTTTATTTATAATTCTTGAGACAAGGTCTTACTCTATCACCCAGGCTGGAGTGCAGTGGCACCTTCACGGTTCACTGCACCCTTGACCTCCCAGGCTCAAGCATTCCTCCCACCTTCCTCCCAAGTAGCTGGGACTGCAGGCACAGGCCACCATGCCCTGCTAATTTTTTTGGTTTTTTTTTGTAGAGACTGAGGTTTCACTTTGTTGCCCAGGCTGGTCTCAACCTCCTGGGCCCAAGTGATCCTCCCACCTTGGCCTCCCAAAGTGCTGGGATTACAGGCATGAGCCACTGCACCCAGCCTGGATCTGATGAAAAGTTAGGTGGAAACTCATGGGTGAATCCCCAGGTATTTGCACAGCTCCTTAACTGTCTTTCTCCTGGTTGGGTCCACAGGACTGTGGAAGAATGAGGTCCTCCCTGACACCTTTGGGGCCCCCTGTGAGCCGCGACCGTGTCATCGCCAGCTTCCCTAAGGTAGAGAGTCATTACGTCTGCAGTGCTCTCCTGGCCCTGCAGCCACATCAGCTCTCCCCACTCTACACTCATGCCTAGAAGTAAAGCAGGTGAATCAAGGAGGTCTGTCCATTGTCAGATTTACCTTGAGGAGCTGGGAGACTGGTCACTGACTGCCCAAGGTGGGACCGCAAGTTAATGGTGACACTGGGCAGCAGTGTGGCCTGGAGGTTATAAGGGCTGGGATTTTGCAGCCAGACAGTCCTTGATGTGAATCCTTCATTCTGATTCTGTCATTAAGCTGTGTGGCTGTGGGCAAATTACTCAACCTCTCAGAGCCACTGTTACATGAAGGTAATTCCTCTCATATTGGGTGCCTGGCTCATGGTATGCAGGAGCTCCCCTGCAGTCATAGTTGCTGTTGTTCTCATCATCGTTGTTGTTATCAAAACAGCATTCCAGTTCCATGACCCCAAATCCAGGGCTCTCTCCTCTTGCCATTCCGCCTCTATGAGCTTGAAAACTCACAGCTCTCTTGTGTCTGTATTAAAATCCAATATTAATTGCAGCAGGGAATACAAATTGAGTACAACCTCCATAGGGGGCAGTGGACAATATTTACCAATATAGAAGATGACCCTGCCCTCTAAGATCCAGCCATTCTGTTTCTTTTTTCTTTTTTTTTTAGAGACAGGATCTTGCTCTGTCACCCAGGCTGGAGTGCAATGGTGCCATCATAATTCACTCCTCTAACTCCTGGGCTGAAGCAATCCTTCTGCCTCAGCCTCCCGGAGTAGCTAGGACCACAGGCATGTGCTACCATGCCTGGCTAATTTTTAATTTTTTTTAATAGAGATGAAGTCTTGCTATGTTGCCCAGGCTGGTCTTGAACCCCTGGCCTCAAGCAATCCTCCCACCCGGGCCTCTCAAAGCACTGGGATTATAGGTGTGGACCACCACAACTGGCCTTGCTATTCTATTTCTAGGAATTTACTTGGCAGATATTCTGGCATGGGTTTACAATGTGCATAAGGATAGGGGTTGGAGCAGTTTGTAAGAATAGAAGATAAGATACAACGTAAACATCCTCGGAGAGGGGACTGGTTAAACAAGTAATGCTTCCTGGCACAGACATGAGGAAGAATGAGGCAACCTCTTCAGGAGCTGACATGCAACGAGAGCCAAAGTAAACCGTTAAGTAAAAATGCAGGGCATGGAACAGAGTGCAGTAGAGTGTGTGCAGCACACTCCGGTGTGTGAAAACAAGGAGAGGGAGAAATGTCTATTTGTTTATATATGCAGAAAATATTTCTGGCAGGATATATAAGCCCCTACTCTCAGTGGTTGCCTCTGTGGCTTCGGACAGGTGCAGAGGGATAGATCCTCTCCATGGAATGGCCTTTTTTGCATCTTGGATTCTGTGGCCAGGCTGGTGAGGAGGAGGTGACTCTAGACAGGTCCTGGGTATTTGGAGTATGTGGCTCTTCCTCCTTCCCCCTTCTTTACCTTCCTCCCTAAGTTCCTTCTTCACACACCTACAGAGAAAGGCTTTGTGTCTCAGACCTGTGGACAGTTCCCCATGGGTTTTCCATCTCAACAGAGGCTCAGGCAATTATTCTCTCTGCAGAGCTTGACAGTGGTAACTAGGGATGACAGAGACTGGTCTTTCTTGAGTCAAAAGGAAGGAAAGTGTGATTGGCACAAAACAGTCCAGGTATCATGAGATGAAGAACCTCATTGGCAGAGCAGACGGCGAGGATCAGAGTTAAGGAGGGTTGCCTGACATCACACAGCTGCTCCTGGTACCTCTGGGATTTGACCTGGCCGTGTCTGGCTCCAGAGCACCCTACCCCAGGGAAGCAGCTTAGGGAATCCATCCTGGTTTCACAGGTGGCATTCTCCCCTCCTGCCCATAATAGTCAGGGATCAAGGCCACTGCTGGTCAAGTTCATCCTGCACCCCAGGGCCCTGAGAAATTCAGTCAGGTTGAGCAGGGTCTTCAGACTGCTTGCCAGGCAAGTCCTTCCCTTTATGCCATGTGCCTCAGTTTCCCTGTCTCTGAAATCAGCTCACACTTCTTACCCTGCAGCCTTCATTATCACAGTCTTCCAGCCATCCTGTAATGACCATTGTGTCTGAGCCAGTCCCTAGCTTAAAGCTGTCATGGAAGCTGACAGAAAGAAGCAGCCAGCTTGTTCATGGTAGCTGCTGCTCTTCTGCAGGAAAGTAGACTATCAGGCTAAGCTGCTCACCTGCATTATTCAGTTACTCCTCCAACGACCACATGAAAAGGTGCTATTATGAGCATCCCTGTTTAATATTTAAGGAAACTGGAGCTCGATAAGTTTCTGTAACTTGCCCTTTGCCAGTCTCCTTTCACCATCCCTGCTGCCTCAATCACAGCTGGAACTGAGAGGGCAGATGGGCCAGGCAGAGCCCGAATCCATGGTTGAGACACTGCGGCTGAGGGAGGGGAGCTGTGGATCCAAGCAGTGTTCAGAGGGACAGAGCAGGTGGCTGTGGCTGTGCAGGGGTGGGGGGCGGGGGGCGGGACCCTTGCCATACACAGATCACACCAACAGCCTCAATGGTGTCCTTCTCCCCACATCCTTGCCACATTCTGTATTTAGCCTGGGCCAATCCAATGGCAAAAAATAATGGTCATCTTTAGTTTGTTTAATCTCATTTTTTTCTAATTACAGACCAGGTGAGGGTGGGTGGGGTACGTGCAGTTTTTTCTGACCCTGAGGCCCATGCTCTTAAACCACTGCTCAGGTCTGCCTTCCAAGAAACGTGGACAGCAGAAAGCGCCTCCTAGGACATTTTCCAGGCACATGTATGCATGTTTTTAAAACAAAATGTCATCAGAGATTCATAGAAGGTATGGATTAGAGACAGGGTCTCACTCTGTCACCCAAGTTGGAGTGCAGTGGCATGATCATAGCTCACTGCAGCCTCTGTCTCTTGAGCTGAAGCAATCCTTCCACCTCAGCCTCCTCAGTATCTAGGACCACAGGCATGTACTACTGCACCTGGCTAATTGGATCTTGGAGGATCTTGGCACCAAAAGAGCTCCACTCGTCTCGCCCTGAGAGGGTTGAGACCCAGAGCAGACAGGCCTGTCACATGCATGCAGCAAGGGAACTGCGGCCCCAGGTGAGACACAGATCTCCAAGTCCCTGCCTGGGCTCGCCCCTCTGGACTCACAAGGCCCCAGAGCCTCAAGGCTGAGGAAATAGAAGATACACATGACAAATGGGTCAGGGAAAGCTAATGAGGCTGCCAGCTGTGAGGCCTAGGAAGGAAGGCTGGGAAGATCATCTCCCCTCACTGCTTGGCTACGAGGGCGGAGCCACAGCTTTGCAGGATGATGTGTCCGTCTGTCTGTCTCTTTGCAGTGGTACACGCCGGAAGCCTGTTTGCAGCTCAGGGAGCACTTCCACGGGCAGGTCAGCGCTGCCTGCCAACGCAGGAACACGGGGACTGTCGGGTGAGCCTGCAGGGTGTGGGATGGGGGAGCAGGTGGCAAGAAGGAATGAGTGCATGAAGCACGTGAAAGAATGAACAAATGAAACACACACACGAGGCTGGTGCAGCCCTGTACAGGCCTGAAGATGACTGGGGTTTTCTTTTTTTTTTCTTTTTTTTTTTTTTTGAGACAGAGTCTCGCTCTGTCGCCCAGGCTGGAGTGCAGTGGTGCGATCTCAGCTCACTGCAAGCTCTGCCTCCCGGGTTCATGCCATTCTCCTGCCTCAGCCTCCCGAGTAGCGGGGACTACAGGCGCCCGCCACCACGCCCGGCTAATTTTTTGTATTTTTAGTAGAGACGGGGTTTCACCATGTTAGCCAGGATGGTCTCGATCTCCTGACCTCGTGATCAGCCTGCCTCGGCCTCCCAAAGTGCTGGGATTACAGGTGTGAGCCACCGTGCCCAGCCAGATGACTGGGGTTTTCATCTGGCTTCAGTTAACACACCTGCCATATGGAACAACTTTCCCTCTTCTAAGTCACGCAGGTGATTTTTCAGCCTCAGGTCTTGGTACAAGTTCATTTCCTCTGTCTGGAATGTCTTTCCTAATCCCCTCGCTTCCCCTTCCCCTTCCCCTTCAGGTCTCAGCGTGTCAAGTCCTCTGGGAGCCTTCTCTGACCCCCCACTACCCTTGCCCCTGGACTGGGGAGGGTACCCCTCCTGGGTGCTCTTGTGCCCCCAAGAACTTATCTCACAGAATTGCAGGCTGGATTCCTCACTAGACCTAGCCCAAGAGGGCGAGGGCTGTGTCTGTCCTCTTCCTGCCGCGGCAGCTCCTGCCACCACTGGCAGAGGGATTGTGAAATAGTCATTCCTTCTTTTAACAAATAGGTACAAGGGCCTGCTTTTGCCCCTCTTCCTAAGGAGCTCATAGTCTGCTCAGGGAGTTGGCTGAGCTCACAGGGGTCACAGAGGTGCGATGAGGCTGCCAGAGAGCGCAGCTAGAGGTTCCCAAACTGCACAGAGTGGGTGAGGCAGAGCTGAGATCAGAATAGCCGAAGTGGCCATGGTGGTGGGATGAGAGTAATGGCATCTGTTGGGGAATGCTGGTGCCATATCAGGTGCTTCACACAGATGATCTCCCTGATCCCTTATGGCAGCACTGGAGGTGGGGAAACTGAGGATCAGAGGGTACCTGCTGTAAGACCTTGTCAACACCTTTACTCATTCATAGGAGAAATGGAGTCAGAACGAAAGGGCCCTCTGGGAGCAGGGTAGACACAATCCCTGCTCTCACGGACCTGGCAAGGTGACCTGCAGCCCAGGTCACCAGGTGACACAGTGGTGCCCTCTTGCTGTCTGCAGGCAGAGGAAGTGCCTGTCAGATATTTACCCAGGTTGGTTGCTGTGACCATTTGGCTCCTTGGGGATGAGCTGCAAAAACTCTTAAAGTGTTGTCAACAGTCCCAGGAAGCTGGGACAATGGCACCTGTAGTCCCAGTTACTCAGGAGGCTGAGGTGGGAGGATCACTCGAGCCAAGGAGTTTGAGACTACTAGCCTGGGCAACACAGCGAGACCCTGTCTCTAAAAAAATAATAAACAGTCCGAGAAACGCCTCTGCACAGAGTGTAGGACACACAGAGGGTGAGGGTGGCGGCTGCTCTTGGGGAACAGTGACCCACAGAGAGCCCAAGAACCTCAGAGCCGATTTGCCTCAAGCCACAGCCCGGATGCATAGAGCCTCAGCCCTGTTCGGGGTGTGCCCCTTGGCCTGTCGGACCCTTACAGATCTCTAAGTGAGCAGGGCACGGTGGTGTCATGGTCAGGGAGTGCCTGCTTGCAAGAGGCCGGAGCCCACATCGGCGCACAGCCCCGGGGGTGCATAGGAGGGTGAGGGGCTGCCCGTCCCTTTTGCCGGGGTCTCCCTGCACGTGGACCCTGTGTCTGCACCCTCAGCACAGCTCCCGGACAGCACAGACGTGCCCACGGCTGTTGGTTGGTTACCACAGCCACACCCTGGCCTCCTGCCTCTGCCCCTCCACCTGTGACTCGGCCTCTTGTTATGCCCATTCCTAATTCTCAGGATGGGGACTTTGGCCAAATATGGTGAGGGGTGCAGCTCTAGGGGCAGCAGAGTCTCCAGCCTCTCCCGTCTCCCCTCTGGGGACTGTGAAGGGGGAACACAGTGTCTCAGCAGGGTGGCCCATCCTGTGTCCAGGAGTGAGGGGTGTCTCACCAGCAGAGAGCTCAGGGAAGGAAGGGGCTGTGAGTGTCTGAAGACACCCTGGAAGGCATGCCCGACGGCAACACGGCCATATTTCTCACAGGCTCAAACTCTCCAAGGTGGTGGTGGTTGGCGATCTCTACGTGGGGAAGACCAGCCTCATCCACAGGTACAAGGCTTCCTCTGCCCCTTTGGCCACCTCCCCCAGCACCAGGTTGTCATACCTTTGCCTGGGTGGCCCAGATAATATCAACATAGCAGAAATCATGTGGCTTCCAGGAACTGCTGTGCCTCAGCCTGCTGGGAGCCGGATAAGAGGGGGTGCAAGAAATCGGGGAGATGGCAGGGCTGGGCAGAAATTGTGGCGTCCCAGGAGCCTGGCGCTTGTCAGACTGTCCCCCTGGGGCCACGGGCTCTCCCCTCCACTGCCCTCCCTGCAAATGGCTGCTCAGTTTCGCTCAGTTTCTAACTCACAGCTTGCCTTCCGAGCTCCTGCAGCCTCCCTTTCCCCACATTGTCCTTGCTGGCTGCCCTGCCCACCCATGGCCTGCGTGGACCATCGCTTCCTGATGGGAAGTGGACCTTATTTGCCTAAAGACTTGCAGTGTTACAAGTGAAGCTTCCGGGCACATTTCTGTGAGTACACCCCTGTGACGACTTCCTCATCCCCCACAGGTTTTGCAAGAATGTTTTTGATCGAGACTACAAGGCCACCATTGGGGTGGACTTTGAAATTGAGCGCTTTGAGATTGCTGGGATTCCCTATAGCCTCCAGATGTAAGTTGCTGGTTCCCCCATGGCTCGTGGGCAGCTTCCTACAGGCACCTGAGAAAGGATTTGGGGAGCTCCTTCACTGTGTCCATGTCAAGGAGGACTAGTCTAGACAAGCAGAGCCTGGGGGTGTTGTGTGACACTTAGCTTCCTGGCTCCCAGAGCCCCCACATGCTCTGTCAGTCCCAAAGTTGTCTCATTTTGGTCATTGGCTCTGGGGAAGGTGCTCACAGCCTGACCTGCCCACCTGCCCATGACCTCCCCAATGCCCACCCCACTCCTCTTGAGGCCCTGGCTCCAGTCCCTCCCTGACCTAGGCCTCCTGTGATCCCACTCACCAGGCCAGCAGGGTGGCCTCCCGCAGGTTGCTGCTGAGCTCTGAGCCTCTGTTCCCACCTGTAAAATGGGGTCAAATCCAGTCCCTGCATGCCAGGCTTGGGCAAGGAGGGCTGAGATGGAGTACACAGCACCCACATCCTTCCTCAGGTCTGAGGCACTCGTCTTCCTCCTCACACTGCAGCCTTCACTCCCTCTCCCCAGCCTCACTTTCCTTCCACTTCTGTCTTTTTTTTTTTTTTTTTTTTTTGAGACAGAGTCTTGCTCTGTCACCCAGGCTGGAGTGCAGTGGCGCAATCTCAGCTCACTGCAACCTCCACTTCAAGCGAATCACCTGCCTCAGCCTCCCAAGTAGGACAACAGCTGTGTGCCCCCACACCCAGCTAATTTATTTTTGTATTTTTAGTAGAGATGGGGTTTTACTATGTTGGCCATGCTGATCTCGAACTCCTGACCTCAAGTGCTCCACCCGCTTCAGCCTCCCAAAGTGCTGGGATTACAGGTGTGAGCCACCGTACCCGGCCCACTTCTGTTTGTCTTCCTTGCTAGGCCCTGGGAGTCTGACTCACGATGGCCTCCACTGGCCTTACCCCTTCCCTCTGCCTTCCATCTGAGTGGCCCAGGGCCACTCTCCCACCCCTTACCCTCTCCCACCCCAGCTGGGTAGCTTCCCTCTGCCCCGGCACCTGGAGAATGCTGCAGGCCTGCCTGGGCTCGGGCCCTCACCTCTACTCTCCTGTGAGACCCTTCCGTGCTCCCCTACATGGCTAGCCCCGCCCCCCTCCTCTCCACTTGCCTGCTGGCATTCACCAAGCTCCTTCCTGGTGCCTGAGTTCGTTCCTCAATCCTCCATGCCCTGCCTGGACTGAGCCTTCAGATCCTGTGGATGTCAGTTCCTAACTCTGTCGAGATAGTGCCCCCTTCTCTCAGGACTTCCACAGCCCCAGCAAAGCCCTGGAGATGGAGGATAACAAATCTTGCCCAAGGGAGAGTACAGGCCAGTCAAGAGCAAAGGAGGCTGGGAGAGAACGCAGGGCTGCAGGACTGAGGGATCCAGAGAGCTGAGAAGAGCAAAGGGCCAGTGGGGGTAGCTGAGGTGGAGCCGGGAAAGACTGGCTGGGGGCTGGGCTCACCCGTGTGACCACAGGCCATATCTCATTAGAGGGCCCTGGACAAAACAGGGACACTGTCCTGGCTCAGCCTCTCATTGTCTTACATTGAGGCCTTTGCCAGCCTCCCTACGGGCTCATCTCTAGGCCACCACCACCAGCTCCTCCCCCAGAGTCTTCAGAAATGAAAGAAAATATGAATGAATTAATGAAAGAATGAAGCCCAAACTTCTGTGTCATACTGGATCACTTGAAAAAAATTCAGACCATGACCGGGCATGGTGGCTCACACCTGTAATCCCAGCACTTTGGGAGGCCAGGGCGGGTGGATCACCTGAGGTCAGGAGTTCGAGACCAGCCTGACCAACATGGAGAAACCCCATCTCTACTAAAAATACAAAATTAGCCAGGCACAGTGGTGCATGCCTGTAATCCAAGCTACTTGGGAGGCTGAGGCAGGAGAATTGCTTGAACCTGGGAGGCAGAGGTTACAGTGAGCCAAGATCATGCCATTACACTCTAGCCTGGGCAATAAGAGCGAAACTCCACCTCAAAAAAAAAGAAAAAAATCAGACCATAGATGTCTTGTTTGTGACTTGTCTACTTTGCAGTTTACTGAGAAAAGTTCAATTTTGATCAGTTGACCTCAAAAAGCGATGGATTGGGGAACAATTTTCCGACTCAGCCCTGCATAGTGACTACCTGCCTTGTTCTAAGCCAGGGCAGGTAGATCTCAGTAGGTGCTCTTTCCCCTCTTCTAGACTGTGCCCATGGCAGACATCATTAATCGATTGTTGTACTCTTTTCCATGGAGCCAGGGCTTTGCTTCTAATTTCTTCTCACTACTGTGCTCCAGAGAGCTGGAGCTAACTGCTGAGACCCACCTATTGCTCCAGTGTTAGGTATCTCCAACTCCTACTTTGGGACCTGCAGTGTGGAAGGTGAAGCAATGACCCAGTCACACCCATCACCCAACCAAGTGGCAGAGCCACTGCTGGAGGCCCCGCCTGGAGCCCCAGTGCCATTCACAGAGCCTTCTCTACAAGTGGACTGCTACATCTTCAGAGCGAGTCATGTCTTGGGCCGTATGTTCCATTTTAATGTCTCAGTCAGAAGGGAGTGAGCTGCAACTCCATCCATCCAGGCAGCAGAACAACTAATGCCACACACCCCCATCCACTAGGAATGAGAGAAGTCCACTGGGGGCACCCTAGGAAGAGATCATAAGGAGCTGGGGGTAGGGACATCTGGCTCACAACAGGCACTTCCTGAAGCCCATGCAGCTGGCACAGGCCCTTAGGGTCTCCCACCCATGGTCCCGTAGCCTGTTGGCTCAAGACACTGTGATTGTGTAGCCTGACACCATTTCCCTTTCTTTCTCACCCACCTCACAGCTGGGACACAGCTGGGCAGGAGAAGTTCAAGTGCATCGCATCTGCCTACTACCGGGGTGCCCAGGGTGAGCAACATGCCACGTCGGGGCTCAACTGCATGCAGCAGCGGGGTCCCTGCCGGGCTCCACAGTGGGAATCCCGAGTTCTCTGCACAGGCACCAGTTTTTTGTCCTCCAAGACCCACTGAGAAAACACCAGGCCACTGCTTGGGAACAGGGAAGCTGCCTTCATCCCCAGGCACTGGCTGACTTTGGCGATCACACCCTTTAAGGACCCTGTGGTAGTGGGTGCTGGCTTTAAGTCTCAGCCCCAGTTTCAGCTCATAAAGATGCTCAGAGATGAAAGTGCTTTTCCAGAGGCTCAGAGAAGGGCAGCACTGGACTCCAGGGGGAGGTCGGAGGAGGCTTGTCCTGTCTTAGCAGAGGGGGCTGGGCCAGGGAGTAGGAGTGAAAGGGGGACCACGGGAGGACTGGGAGGCCCCAGGTGGGGGCCAGCAGGGCCGGATGCTCACCACTTCCATGGCCAAGGGCAGCCAGGTGGTGCTGGGCAGGGCTCACCGTCAGCAGGGGGCGGCAGCATAAGCTCCGGATGCCTACCCCACCTTCCCAGGAAGAAGACAGAAATGGATTTCAGTGGGAGATGTGAGAGAACCTCAAAAGTATCCAAAACCAGACTCAAATTATAAGGCACCGATATGTCTACTCGGTAGTGGTGAAAAAGTTACAACATTTTCTTTTAGACTTAAAAGAAGCAAAAATAGGAAACAAACCAGGCAGCCCTCAGCCGTGGGTTGGAGCTCCAGCTCTGCCCTGGTCGCATGGCCTCCTGCACCCTTCGCCTCTTCGGGCCTCTCCTTGAAAGGATGCTTCTCCCCTGGGAATAAGAGGTGCGAGGCGCCTGGCCCACCTCTCCACATGGCAGCCTGGCTGCCGTCATCCCTTTCCTCAGTTTCCCCCTTCCTTTCTCTTCCCATCTGCCTTGGGAGGGGCGTGGGTCTCCCTGTAGCCTTCAGCCAAGGTGCAGAGGAAGCCCCTGTCCGGCCCTGGTCACACCCCTGGGGGCAGTAGAGAGCATTTGCCTGGAATGTTCTCCACATAGGGCTCCCCTCAGGACCCCAACAGGACCGGGGTGCGGCCAGTGATGAGAGGAGCTGAGGGCCCAGGCTGCATCTCCCGGTTTTCTGCCCACCTGGCTCCCCGGAAGTTGTTTCGCTAAAGCAGGTTGTTGCTAACCATCACTGCTGTAGCTGCTGTTGGTTGAAATGAAAGTTGGCCCTGGACTAACAGGTTTTTTTTTTTTTTGAGCCTGAGTCTCGCTTTGTAGCCCAAACTGGAGTGCAGTGGCGCAATCTCGGCTCACTGCAAGCTCCGCCTCCCGCATTCACAACATTCTCCTCCCTCAGCCTCCCGAGTAGCTGGGACTGCAGGTGCCGGCTACCACACCCAGCTAATTTTTTTGTGTGTGTGTATTTTTAGTAGAGACGGGGTTTCACTGTGTTAGCCAGGATGGTCTTGATCTCCTGACTTAGTGATCCACCCGCCTCAGCCTCCCAAAGTGCTGGAATTACAGGCATGAGCCACAGCGCCTGGCGACTAACAGCTTTTTAAAACAGCTGCTCTTGTTTAATCCTCACAGCAACCCTGAGAGCTACAGGTCTCGTCCTCGCCATTTTACAGGTGGGAAAACTGAGGCTCTCAGCAGTTAAGGCCCTCACCTGAGCTCCCTTAGCCGTAAGTGGCAGAGGGTGTCTGACGCTAAAGCCCATGCGCTCGCTCCACGCCTACCTTGTCCTGCCTCCCTGGATCCCACACTGAGGCTGGGCTGCCGGGTGCAGGCTGGAGGGTCCCGGTGGGGGACAGCCATGGGGTGTTTCCTCCTCAGCCTTCATTGTAGGAGGTTCCGGTGCTGAGTGCCTGGTTGGGGGGCTGCCCTGGCAGTTCCTTGGGAGCTGGGCACCTCCTGGGGAGCCCCCTTGCTCGCCTCGCCTGGCACTGATTGGCTGTTGGCTTTTTCCGGGTGTCTAGTGATCATCACGGCCTTTGACCTCACTGACGTGCAGACCCTGGAGCATACCAGGTAAGTCTGGGCTCTCTGGCCCCTGCAGTCTCCCTGGGCTCAGGAAGCTGCCTGGAAGGGCTCCCAGACCCTGGCCAGTGGACCCTGACCCCGTGGTGGGTGTGAGTGACCAGGGCCCCTTGTCAGAACCAGCTGCCCACGGACTACTTACTGTCCAACTGCCTTTATCGCTTGAGATTTGTCCCTATTCTGGAGGAGCCAGCACATGAGTGTGAGCCCAGCACAGCCACCCCCAGGCACGTGCTCAGAGGGGCCCCAACCTGCTTTAATACACTGCCTTTGCCATGTTGCAAGTCCGGATACTTTTTGAATGAGGTGCCCCACGTGTTCAGTTCACTGTGGGCCCTGAAAACTGTATAGCCAGTCTTTGAAGTGACATGAATTTGGCACTTGCAGTCTTGAGAAGAGAGAATTGGCAATGTGACCCATTCAAGAGGCTATCCTACTTCTGCTGGGAATCGGCCAGCTACTAGAGCAAAGCCCTCTCACCTTACCTTGGTCTGGGGCATTCACACCCAGCAACTTCCAAACCCCGTGAGGGAGGCGGGGGTGATGGTTCTAGTTGATAAACATGCAGGGCTCATGCAAGGTCTCACCGGGAGAGGCCAGAGGTGGGGCCAGGAGGGGTCTTCACCACCTCCAGCCAGTGCTCTGGTATTCCCACCCCTTTGGGTCCAGCCAACGCCCTTCCGGCTGGAGGTGCAGCATCCTGCTCAGCCAGTGTGGGCCAGGAAGCCCTCCTTGTCCCTCCCAGCCCAGCACTTCAGCCCTGGGGAGGTCCCAAGTGTGCCCTCTGCCCCCTGTTTGGGGTGGGAGGATGGGTGAATCTCTCAGCCTCTCTCCTTACACTCCAGGCAGTGGTTGGAGGATGCTCTGAGGGAGAACGAGGCAGGCTCCTGCTTCATCTTCCTCGTGGGAACCAAGAAGGACCTTCTGGTGAGCAGAGTGGCACTGGTGGTCTGGGTGGCCCTTGGGAAAATGCCTCCCCTTACAGCCCTCATTGGAGGAGCCATGGGGAGGGAGGGAGGCAGCACAGTGGGAAGCAGGCAGCTGCCTATCCCCCTGGGCCTCCCTGCAGGAGAGCCGGGACGCTGGGTCAACAAGGGCCATTTCTCCCAGTCAGGGGCCGCATGTGAGCAGGCCGAAGCAGACGCTGTGCACCTGGCCAGGGAGATGCAGGCCGAGTACTGGTCAGTGTCGGCCAAGACTGGTGAGTGGGCCAGGGCTGTCACCATGGTGGGGCAGAGCCCTGCTCTTGGGCCAGTCCTGTGGGGCCTGCCATGCAGTGTTTCCCTCTGTAGCCAGTCGTCTGTTCCCTCTGTGGCCCTGGTGCACACTGGCATCACAGCCCTGCTGTGCTGGTGCCTGGCAGCACTTTCATTGCCTAAGAGGAGCTGCGTCATCTCTAGAAGGAAGCTGGGAGGCCTGCCTCACGGATGGGGGAATAGTGACCCCAACCCTGTGTCATGCCGTGCTGGCCTGTTCTCCATAACCGGAGAACCCCATAACTACTCATAACTACCCCATAACTACTCATGAGGCACGTTCCATTTTAGTCCTGTGAAGTAACTTCCAGGGCCACAGGGTGGCAGGGCCAGGATCCAAACACACCCTCACCTGTAACCACTGCACTATCCTGCCTCTGGCCCTGAAATGCCAGGCATGTGACATCACCTGGCATAGAGAAGGGCCCAGTGACAGGGGCTCCCATCCCTTCCCAGTATCACTGTGGCTCAAAGACCCCAGCTCTCACTGAACTCACTCCCCACCGGGTCTACCCCTGGCCATACTGGGTCCCCAGCCCAAGGCAAGATGCCCAGCATCTTTGAGCCTCCATCTCATCTGGGAAGCAGGTGATGCCATCCATCTCCCTTTTTTGTGAAAAAACGTTTTAAATTACAAAAGCCAGGTGTATTTACTGAGGAAAACAGAAAATCCAAAGACACAAAGAGCAGATGGCAAACACAGGTTGTTGGGGGATGAAATGAAGTCATACGCAGGGCCTGGCACATAATAGGCCCCCAAGGCTCTGGGGACTCAGGAATTGGGCCCAGTAGTCTTTACCCTGTGTAAGAGGGGACAGCAGATATCTAGTCGGAGACTGGGTGAGCACTGAGGGTTGGCGTCACAAGTAGAAGCACCACTTTCAGCCCAGCGCAAACAACTGGCAGTGCCTTCCACTGCTCCTTTCCAACAGTGAGAACTGCTCTGTGAGAACCCTTCCTCCCTTATCAGAGTAACAGTGAGTTCACCGACAGCTCACTATGGACCAAGCAGGACTGCCCTATGCGGTTGTGCAGGTTGCTGGCTGCACAAGGGCAGTGTGCGTGTTAAGGGCTGGAAACCAGCCCGCTCTCTGATGGGCAGCCACCTCTACCTGGAGGAGGATGCATAAAGGCTCCATGTGGGGGCTGACAGCAAATCAATCCTCACAGCCCCACCGGACAGGTATGGAAAGTGACAGGAGGGCAGGCACATATCTGTCCTGAGTTCCACATCTTCCAACACTTGGGCCATAGTAGCATCTGATTGGAAGAGTAGATGCTGGGAAGCAAAGGCTCAGAAGTTTGAGGGAGTGGCCCAAGCAGGCAGTGGGGTGGGAGTTGGGAGGCTGGAGCCAGGTGGGAGGCCAGGCCAGTGGACCCTGCCCCTGGCACTGTGCTGCCTGTGTGAGTGGGTGGGGCTGTGCCCTCCTGGGGTCATTGTTACTGTCAGGGTGCTCTAGAAAGGGCTACGTGCCAACCTGAGGGTAGGCTAGCCTGGCTTTCACACCCAGATGCATTAAGGGGCAAGGAGAAACACTGATGAGGTCCCGGCTGTCTTGTGGGCCCACAGGCGAGAACGTGAAGGCATTCTTCAGCCGCGTAGCCGCCCTGGCATTCGAGCAGTCGGTGCTGCAGGACCTGGAGAGGCAGAGCAGTGCCCGGCTCCAGGTCGGCAATGGAGACCTAATCCGTGAGTATAGGTGTGACTGGGTTGGGCTGGGGAGTAGGCTGGAGGCCTAAAATCCACATGCGCCATCCTCGTCACCTGAGGCCTTGCCATTTCCTGAACTTGTGGCCCTCTCCTGTCCTTTGACCCTCCTCTCAGGGTGTCACTGCAGCCTCAGGCCTGTAGCCCCTCTGATTCCACCTGCCAGGTCAGACACCCTCCCTAGCCCTCCCTGTTCTCCTGACACATGGACCTCATGGGCATCCATGAGGTCCTCATAGCCCAGGCTGGGCGTCCCAGGCTCTGCAGATGTGTCCTGGCCCCGGCTCTCCCAGTCTGCACCTTTGCCCTCTCTGTTCCAGTGCCTGGAAGGCCCTCTCTTGGCTTGTGTCAGGCCATTCAGGCCTTGAACAGCAGGCCCAGAAGCTTCAGCTCACAGCTCTGACTGTCAGGGCCGGCATCCCCTGCCCAGTGTCAGCTACAGGATTCCTGGTTGATGCTAAATTACTTCTCCCCTCCTTACAGAAATGGAAGGGAGTCCGCCCGAGACCCAGGAGAGCAAGAGGCCCTCCAGCCTGGGCTGCTGCTAACTGGGGCCTGCGTGGAAGGCCTCCGCTCCCTGCACACACACGGACAGGAATTTCCGTGACTGTGGTGTGGAGACTGGAGCCCAAGCTCTGCAGCGTGTCGCCCTCAAGCTGTAGGCCCATGTTCCAGTCCCTCCACCCACCCACCGGGCTCAGCTCCAGGGCACAGTCACTTGTCCGTTGCAGGTTGGGCACTAGAAAAGGCCCCCACTGGCTGCCTGGGAGCCCCACACCACCGGGCCAGTGCAGGCACTGTGGTGATCCCATAAAAGGCCAGTCCATTTGCAGGGTCATCAGACAGTCACCTTTGGCCTCAAGAGGCCTCAGAACTGCAAACTCCTGCGTCGGTCTATACTACTCGGCCATGGCCCACATCAGCAGTCAACCCTGCACTCTTTCCCAGCGATCTTGGATGTGTCCCCAGGATCCGTCACAGTGTTCCAGGCAACCTGGACTTGTCAAAGTCAGCACCTGAAGGAGAGGCCACCTGCCATTCCCCCTGGGAGTTTTCTGTTGTCAGCAGGACTTATGGTTCTGGGTCTCAGAGCTTCAGGCCTCACTGTCCTTCTGCCACGGATGCTCAAGGTTCCTGGGCAGACCAGCACCTCTGGAGGACAATGGACAAAATGTCTCTTAGACCTGTTCTGGCTGAAGGGCTATCTCTGGCACCTCTGAGATCCCTAGGTCCTGCCCTCCTGGTCCGTGGGCCAGGATGTGCAGAACAACCACTCAGGCCTTTCTGGCCCACCTGGACAGTGCATTTACCTGTGTGCTGCGGGAGGCAGACTGCACAGCTGTCCTAGGGTAACTCACTCTGCAGCCCTTGAACATGGCACTGCCCTCCTCTGGCACTCATGCTGGGCCTGTGCCCACTGCTGCCTCTCCATCCCTCTCTCATTGGCCTATACATCTCTTAGGACCTTTGTAATGGTGTCCATGCACCTTTAGAGGACTTCAGAGGCCCTGCCAAGTCTAGCATGTTCCTGTCTCCAACACCGCCTCCTGCACATGCAGAGCAGACAGAAATACCCCACACATTCCCCAGCCTCTCTGCCCAGTATGCTCATCCACAGGGTTTTCTCACTGCTATGAACCAGCCCCACAGCCCCAGGCCCCTGTCACCTGGCTATGCCCACTCATCCCACCCGTCTCGTGCTGTTGCTTCCCGTAGATGGCGAGCACCTTGCAGGCAGCCTTCTGATCAGTACTGCTCTCCTAGGGCCTGGCACACTGCAGCTGCCCTGTAAATGTTCAGCTCAGCGATTGCCAAATACCAGTTAGGGAAGAACACTGGCATCTTTTTCTATTCATTCCCCCTTCAACATATTTTTTGTAGTTTTTTATATAAATGACTTTTTTTTTTTTTTGAGATGGAGTTTCACCCTTGTTGCCCAGGCTGGAGTGCAATGGCGTAATCTCGGCTCAGTGCAACCTCTGCCTCCCAGGTTGAAGCGATTCTCCTGCCTCAGCCTCCCAAGTAGCTGGGATTACAGGCATGCACCACCATGCCTGGCTAATTTTGTATTTTTAGTAGAGATGGGGTTTCTCCATGTTGGTCAGGCTGCTCTCGGACTCCTGATCTCAGGTGACCTGCCCACCTCGGCCTCCCGAAGTGCTGGGATTACAAGGGTGAGCCACCATGCCCGGCCATAAATGATTTTATTCATTTTTATGTTTTCTTTTGGGCGGCGGGATGGAGTCTCTGTCACCCAGGCTGGCGTGCAATGGCACGATCTTGGCTCACTGCAAGCTTCCCCTTCCGGGTTCATGCCATTCTCCTGCCTCAGCCTCCCGAGTAGCTGGGACTACAGGCACGTGTGACCATGCCGGGCTAATTTTTTATATTTTTAGTAGAGAGAGGTTTCACCGTGTTAGCCAGGATGGTCTCGATGATCTGACCTCGTGATCTGCCCGCCTCGGCCTCCCAAAGTGCTGGGATTACAGGCCTGAGCCACCGCGTCCGGCCTCCATAAATGACTTTTAAAGGGGTTGTATGTTTAGTGTGAACAAAGACAGTACAAAGCATATAAAATACAAGGTGAAAGCCCCCCCCCCGCCACATTAGCTGCGCCCCTGAAGTGTCTCCAGCAGAAGAGATGGATGAATGGAAGGACACACAGATGGACAGAGAGCAGGAAAGACTGTTAGCTCTGCTAACAGTCAGGACTATTCCTTCTGGACTCTGTGCCTTTGCCTGCACAGCTAGTGTTGATGGCTTGTTTGTTGTTTTCACCAGAGTGAGCTCCTTCTGGACATACTGCCTGGCAGCCTGCCTTCCTAGGGAGCTGGCGCCAAGGCCTCTCCCTGATGGCACACAAGGAGCCTCCTTCCTGTAGCAGCGCCCAGTTTTCATGTGGATGGATTGTAGTTCATTTGACCCTCCCCATCCGCGGGCCATCCGGCTTGTGTCCAGCTTTTAGCTCTTGCCAATGGTGCTGCAGTGGCCATTCTTGTAGTTATAGCTTTGCGTACTCAGGAAGGCCCTTCTCCCGACTGCGGCCCCCAGCCTGGTCCACTAAATGCAGCCTGTGGTCGGGCAGACAGCATTGGGGTCCATTAGGAAGACCAGGTTTGCTGGGCATAAGCTTCACAGGACGGGAGAACCTGCCCATGGTGGACTGTCGTTCTCCACAGCTCCCTTCCCTTGCCCCTTCGGGCCTCCAGGATATGTTTGCGGGGGTGGGTGTGGTGTCCAGCTGTTACCAGCTTCTGAGCTAGAGCTGTACTGCCTCACGTACACCCCCACCTCTGTAAATGGTCCTTGATTAAATCGTCCTCATATTACCTCCTGCAATGTGCCAGCTGATTCCCACACACCCTGACTGACATAGTTGTGGCCTCTCGAACTTTGATATTTGGCCTGGGAGGACAGAAGAGTAAGGTCGCCACGGAAACGCAAGGGGCTCAGTTGTCCCCCCACCCCAAGTTGATGCAGCATCTTCTCGGTCAGAATTGCTTCAGGGTGGTTTGCGCACCCTCACTTTGATGATTTAATGAAGACATTTCCTTCTTTCCCAGCATCGGGCAGTAAGTTTCCTGGGCAGAGGCACTTTCTGTTGGTCTGGTCTTGTGGGCCCAGGCAAGCAGCCCCCTGCAGCCAAGGTGCGGCAATGACCACAGTGACCGCGTCCAAGTGCTGCCGAAACGCCTTTTTCCTCTTCCCTGTTTCCCTGGACCCTTTCCTGCTCTCTGTCCATCTGTGTGTCCTTCCGTTCACCTGTCTCTTCTGCTGGAGACACGTACCTGAAGCAGGTCCTCTCCTGTCACTTCCTGGCTCCCCAGGGCTAGGTCCCAGGGTGCTCTCGCTCTGGCTTTCGAGGCTCCTCACCACCCAGCCCACCCCACCCCCACAGGCCCCTGTGCTCCAGTTTCATCCCTGGTCACAATGCAGTCTGCAGATGCCAGACCCCTCTTCTGTGCCCAACGGCTGGGACACCCCTACTCCCAGAGAGGCCTCTGTGGACACCCCCACAGCTCTCGCAGCACTTGATACCTTGAGTGTGATTGGTCACATCTGGGCTTTCTCCCCCACCCATCTGTGGAACCCCAAGAGCCAGGACAGTGACCTCATCACCTCTACTGTCTCCCCTAGCACCTCTGGGAGGAAGGGCCCACAGTAGGTGCTCAATAGATGTGTAAAGAAGGCAGGGAAGCAAGAAGGTTGCTCAAACAAGACCATGTTCCCAGCAGACAGATTGCACTCTGACCCAGATGCCACCACACGAAACTTACACCTGCCTGGGGAACAATCCTGTGCTTGGCTCTCCTTGGTGGCCAGGGACAGTTGTGCCTCATCCCTCACTTGCAAACCCCAGTCCTGTCTGACCCAGAGACCCTCACAGGGCATCAGCCAGTGAAGGCGGTTTGGGGCTGGAGGATATGTTCTGATCTTGGGAAGAGCTTGGTAGGAGCCAGCCACAGAAAGTTTCAGGGCAGAACTGAACAGGTCTCGGGAAGGACACTTCATGCCAGCTAGAGAGGCTCTGGGCACAGGAAAGAATTGGACTTCGGGCAGAAAAATGTTTGTGCTATTTAGTACTATGTAACAAATCACTCCAAAACTTCATTGCTTAAAGCAACAAGCATGTATTATTTCTCATGATTCTATGATTTGACCAGCTATTCTTCCGCTCCCTGCTTGGTAGCTGGGCCACTAGGATGACTCTCCCAGAGTCCAAAATGGCCTCCCTCATATGAGTGGCAGGTGGTGTGGCTCTACCTGAATGCTTGGCAGGGCCTTGCCACATGGCAGCTTGGGCTTCCTCACAGTGTGGTGGCTGGTTTCTAAAAAGGACTGTTTCCAGGCTGGGCACAGTGGCTCATGCCTGTAATCCCAGCACTTTGGGAGGCCAAGGCGGGCGGATCACGAGGTCAGGAGATAGAGACCATCCTGGCTAACATGGTGAAACCCTGTCTCTACTAAAAATACAAAAAATTAGCCAGGCATGGTGGCACGCACCTGTAGTCCCAGCTACTTGGGAGGCTGAGGCAGGAGAATCACTTGAACCTGGGAGGTGGAAGTTGCAGTGAGCCGAGATCTTGCCACTGCATTCCAGCCTGGGTGACGGAGTGAGACTCTGTCTTTTAAAAAAAAAAAAAAAAAAAAAAAAAAAAAAGGAGTGTTTCCAGAGACAAGCCCCAATGTGTAAGTGCTTATCAAGCCTCTGTTTACATCACACTTGCTATATTTGGCCAAAATGGGGCATTTTGGCCAAATGTCCAAAGTCCAGAGTCAGTGTGGGAGGGGATTTCATAAGGGTGTGAAGAACTGGAGGTCTGATGCATTGGGGGCCAATATGGGGGGGTGGGGTGCAATATAGGGAACTAAGGGAGAGAGTAAGATGAAGGGCTGTGTCCCAATGTCTGCTCCTTTTTTGTCCTGAGGCAAAGCAAGGGCTTTCTCCCTAAGCAACAGCTCCTTACCCTGACCTTTGCCAATGAACTCAGCATAGAGGTGCTTCCTCAAGAAAGCCTGCTTTAGCCTCTCCAGCTGGGTCAGGTTGCCCTTGATCCCTATCCTGGTCTCTTTACAATTCCCTTACCGTCCTGGTGGCCTTGGTGGTCTGCCTTGTTCACTGCTGCATCCCCAGCACCAGCCTACTAAGTAAGCCTTGGAATGAGTGCACGGCTAGTCTCACAGTGCAGCCTCACACGATGTTGTTAACTGGTGCTCTACACCTTGGATCCCAAGAGGGCGAGGCCAGAGCCCAGGTCACCCCTGACCCCAGCAGGCACCACCACCCACCACCCACTGGAACCCACTTGCAGTGGAAATTCTGACCCACTGTTCCCCAAAGCAGAAGTCATCCAGGAGTGGGGTGCCTCCTGGGGGAGTAGCAAGAGGCCACATTTATGGAGCACGCTCTTTGTGCCAGCCCCGTATGCAGTGAGGTGCTCTGGAAGCTCGTTTAACCACAGCAATGCTGTGGGCTCACTACCACCCCCGCCCTGTCCCCGCCTGACAGGTGGGGAGACTGAGGTGCAGACAGCTGAAGAGATGGGACACACCTGAGCACCTCCTCCTCCTCTGAACTCCTGGTCCCTCCCCTGCCTCTGCTGCCAACCCCACTTGGAGTCTAATCCCAGTGGGAATCTGCTGCAGGTGCCCTCACCCCTGGGGCTCAATGTCTCTCAGTCAGTTGCCCCAGCACACTGCCACCCAGGGTCGAACCCCAAAAGGAGTTTATTCGCATGGCCCCAACCAAGCTCAGCCCTCCTCAGGGTCCCCCAGCTGAGCCTTCCCCTTCACTGCCGCTCCCTGCACCCTCACAATGTGAGTCTATGATTCTGTCCTTCCCAGCCCAGCAGCCATGGTTGACAGAGGCTCCACAGGGACCGGAGCAAGGCAGTTGCTCTCAGCATCTTTCAACCCTGTCCCCTGGGTGCCTGCCTGCCTCCCCCTCCTCCCAGCCCTGCTGCAGGCCTCTGGAGTGGAGAGGAGGCCAGCAGGATCCATTCGACTCACATTTCAGCCTGGGGGATGGGATGGACCACTGTCAGACAAACCTCACTCTCTGGAGGGATGCAGGGCATCTTAACCCAGGAGAACTCAGGTCACCTACAATCTAGGTAACTGAATACTGAAATGGACAGAGGATCGGTTAAATTGACACGTTCACTCATTCATTAACTCTTTTTTTAATTAATTTATTTTTTTTTTTAAGGCAACACAGCCAGGGTCTCGCTGTGTTGCCTGGGCTGGCCTCAAACTCCCGGTCTCAAGCAATCCTCCTGTCTCAGCCTTCTGAACAGCTGGGACTACAGGTGCACTACTGCACCTGGCTTCATTGACTAATTCTCATTTTTTTTGAGATGGGGTCTCGCATTGTTACCCAGGCTGGAGTGCAATGGCGTGATCATAGCTCAGTGCAACTTTCCATCATCAAGCAATCCCCCCACCCCAGCCTCCCAAGTTGTTGGGACTACAGGAATGAGCCAGCATGCCCAGCTAATTTTTAATTTTTTTTTTAATTTCACAGAGATAGGGTCTGTGTTGCCCAGGCTGCACTAATTCTTACTTGTTCATGCATTCAGCTTTCCTGGAGCCCCCTTTCTGGCCCAGCCCTTTGCATTCTCCCATTCACTCCTCCCGCAGCCCACACGGCAGATGCCAGCCCGACCCCATTTTCACAGGTGAGCCAGGCTTGGCATGGGGCATAAGCCCTGGGTCCACACAGGCAGGGCTAGACTGGGAGGCAGCTCCCTCCAGCTCTTGAAGTCCTGGGCCCCCGGGGATGCTGACAGGTAGCCAAGGAATCCCAGGCTTGGAGGGGACTGCAGAGAGACACAGCAACCAAGGGAGCCCAGGACAGGGATGAGAGAAGACATGTGGGGGGTTTCAGAGGAAGAAACTCACAGCACAGAGAGGGACCCCTCCTCTCCTGAGGGAGAAGCGGCTCCTGGAGACTGGGTGGACCCTGGGCACCGCTCCCCGCCACACACACACACAGACACCTGCCGCTTCAGGCACTGTGTGAGATGCGATGCCCTCCCAGCAGTTCCCAGGCTCCTCTGCCATCTGCTGTGGCCTACCAATGTCATCTCCCATATGTCAGCCTTCCCCTGAAGGAAACTGATGAGCAGCCAGGACGTATGACTGTCACATGCTCCTTCCAGGCAGCACAGACCCTTCCTGGCCTCCTCCCCTTTGTCCAGGCACCCCCTCAGTATTCAGGGCCACCAGCCAGTGTCTAAGCCTGGGCCCCAGGAAGGTGAGGGAGCAGGCATGGGACTCCTGTCCCTGGGCACTGTCAGCAGGCTCACCCCTTGTCTTCTGGGATACATGGTGGGTGGTCTGGGAGGCAAACCAGGTCTGGGCTCCCTCTTCCCTGACAGGTGGTTGGCACCCCTAGCCTGAGGGTACACTAGGCCTCTGCTCACTGGAAGCCACAGCCTGGCACAACTCACTGGCCCTGTCTTCGGGAACGAGCTCATCTTGTCCCAGCAATTTCGCCTCCTGTGAAGGCTGCCAATGGTGGCCAGGAGACTCCGCTGGGATTCTCCTGACTGCAGGGACCTCATCAATAATTGATTCTGCAGAAGGCAGTGGAGTTCCTGAGGAGGGGCCCAGGTCTGGAAGGGAAGGTTCACAGCCCCAGTCACTCGGAACCTGGGACCAGCAGCTCCACAGGGGCTCGTTTCTCACTGGACAAAGATGGCCCTCAGATCTTTGCTCCGCACTCTGGCTGGGGGCAGGAATAAAGGACAGCTGTATTGATGGCCCAGTTTTCTGATCTTGCCCCCAGCTCCCTATGGTTGATAGATGACAGATGATGGATGACAGATGATGGATGGTGGTCACATGGCCACATCCCACTTGAAGGGAGCCCTCCTCTGGCCTCCAGCCTCCCAAGTGGGTGGGGACAGGGGTGGAGACAGCGCGGAAAAGGAGCAAGAAAGAACAAAAGCTCACGCAGGCTTTTAATTCGGGCTCAGGCAGATCTGAGGGCAGAAAGCCCAGCCATCTACAATGTCTTGCCTGATGGTACTGATTGTGACTCAGGAGGTTGGGCTCAAGTCTGGGCCCCCAGTTATTGCTATGTGACTTGGGGAGGTCACTCTCTGAGCCCGTTTCCCTGCCTCTTGTTGGGGTAATGGCTGGGGAGGTGGAAAGAAATCACGCTGAAGGACCTCAGTTCCAGGCTGGCCCCCTGGTGAGGGCTGGTTGGATAGGACCCCTGAAGACTGTGTGACCCTCATGAGCAGAGCCATTGCACCCACCCACAAGGGGCCTTTGGGTGAATTAGAAAAAGGTACCTTGGCTGGGTGCGGTGGTGCACACCTGTAATTCTGGCACTTTGGGAGGTGGAGGTGGGCGGATCGCTTGAGCTCAGGAATTCGAGAACAGGGCAACATGGCAAAACTGTCTCTACAAAAACTATAAAAATTAGCTGGGCATGGTGGTGTGTGCCTGTAGTCCCAGCTACTTGTGAGGCTGAGGTGGAAGGATCGCTTGGGCCCAGAAGCTTGAGACTGCAGAGAGCTGAGATTGTGCCACTGCACTCCCTCCTAAGCAACTGAACAAGACCCTTTAAAAAAAAAAAAAAAAGCAAAAAAAGAAAAAGCCACCTGTGCAGTTCCCCAAAAAGTAAAACATAGAATTGTCACATGACATGGCCCAGAAATATACCGTTCCTAGGTATATCCTCCAAAGAACTGAAAGCAGACTCAAACAAGTACATTGCCTTAGTGGGAGCCTGCCATAGTCTAGGTGGTTTTTAGAACAACAGAAATTTATTTCTCACAGTCCCGGAGGCTGGAAGTTCCAGATCAGGGTGCCAACACGGTTGGATTCTGGCAAGGGCCCTTTTCTAGGTCACAAACTGTAGAATTCTCACTGTATCCTCACATAGCAAAAAGAATTTGAGAGCGCTCTTCAGGGTTCCTTTAAAAGGCCACTAATCCCAGCCAGGCACAGTGGCTCACACCTGTAATCCTAGCACTTTGGCAGGCCGAGGCGGACAGACTGCCTGAGCTCAGGAGTTTGAGAGAAGCTTGGGCAACATGGTGAAAAAAAAACAAATTAGCCGGGCGTGGTGGTGAGCACCTGTAGTCCCAGCTACTCGGGAAGCTGAGGCAGAAGAATTGCTTGAACCCAGGAGGCGGAGGTTGCAGTGAGCTGAGATCATGCCACTGCACTCCAGCCTGGTGACAGAGCGAGACTCCACCTCAAAATAAATAAATAAATAAGGCCACTAATCCCATTCACGAGGACTCCACCCAGGACTTAACTACCTCCGAGGCACATTGAGGGTTAGAATTTCATATATATATATATATATATACCTACATATTTCCCACTTAGAGATGGGGTCTGACTATGTTCCCCAGGCTGGCGTGCTGTGGCTATTCACAGGCACAATCCCACTACTGATTGGCACAGAAGTTTTAGCCTGTTGCACTTTCTTTTTTCTTCTTTTTTTTTCAAGGTGGAGTCTCACTCTGTCCCCAGGCTGGAGTGCAGTAGTGCAATCTTGGCTCACTGCGGCCTCTGCCTCCCGGGTTCAAGCGATCCTCCTGCCTCAGCCTCCTGAGTAGCTGGGACTACAGGCGTGCACCACCACGCCCAGCCAATTTTTGTATTTTTAGTAGAGACAAGGTTTCACCATGTTGGCCAGGATGGTCTCAATCTCCTGACCTCATGATCCACCCACTGTGGCCTCCCAAAGTGCTGGGATTACAGGCGTGAGCCACTGAGCCTGGCCTACACTTTCTACCTGGGCAGGTTCACTCCTCCTTAGGAAACCTGATGGTCATCATGTTGATGACCCAGGAAGTCATCATACTGATGCTGAACTTAGTGCAGACACCTGACAGGCATAGTGCACTAAAGCCCAGAACTCCTAGATTCAAGCAACCCTCCCACCTCAGCCTCTGGAGTAGCTGGAACTACAAGTGTGTACCACAATGCCCAGCTAGAATTTCAACATACAAATTTTGGGGGACACAAACATTCAGTCCATTGTATACATGTACATACACATTCAAGTAATATTATTCATGCTGAGCGCGGTGGCTCACACCTGTAATCCCAGCACCTTGAGAGGCAGTGGGGGTGGATCACCTGAGGTCAGGAGTTTGAGACCAGCCTGATCAACATGGTGAAACCCCGTCTCTACTAAAAATACAAAATTAGCCAGGCGTGGTGGCACGTGCCTGTAATCTCAGCTACTCGGGAGGCTGAGGCAAGAGAATCGCTTGAAACTGGGAGGTAGAGATTGCGGTGAGCTGAGATCTTGCCATTGCACTCCAGCCTGGGCAACAAGAGCAAAACTCTGTCTCAAAAAAAAAAAACAAAAAAAAAAAAACAAGCAATGTTATTGACAACAGTGAAAAAGTGGAAGCCAGGATCGGTGGCACATATCTGTAGTCAGCTTCCTATCTAACAGGCCAGTCCTCAAGCACCTGGTTACCAGGAAGAAGAAACAAAAATTGTTAAAAAGCACCCTTCCTTAATGCATTTTATATCCATCTGTTAAAACAATTGCCATCATAAACTGATTCTGTAAGAATAAGACATACAAATGGAATCATACAATATGTGGCTTTTTGTGACTGCTTCTTTCACTTAGCATAATGTTTTCAAGGCTCATCCATGTTGTAGCATTTATCAGTACAATATTTCATTTCATTTTTTTCTTTTTCAGACAGCGTCTGGTTCTGTTGCCCCTCTGGAGTGCAGTGGCACTATCATGGCTCACTACAATCTCTGCCTATAGTGATGGTGCGCGTATAGTCCCAGCTACTTGGGAGGCTGAGGTGGGAGAACTGCTTGAATCCGGGAGGTGGAGGTTGCTGTGAGCCAAGATCACACCATTGTACTCCAGCCTGGGTGACAGAGCGAGATTCTGTCTCAAAAAAAAAAAAAAAAAAGGCCAGGTGCAGTGGCTCAGCCTGTAATCCCAGCACTTTGGGAGGCCGAGGCGGGCAGATCACGAGGTCAGGAGATCAAGACCATGGTGAAACCCCATCTCTACTAAAAAAATACAAAAAATTAGCCAGGCGCGGTAGTGGGTGCCTGTAGTCCCAGCTACTTGGGAGGCTGAGGCAGGAAATGGTATGAACCCAGGAGGCGGAGCAAGAATCCGTCTCAAAAAAAAAAAAAAAGACTGGGCACGGTGGCTCACACCTTTAATCCCAGCACTTTGGGAGGCCGAGGCAGGGTGGATTGTGAGGTCAGGAGATCGAGACCATCCTGGCTAACACGGTGAAACCCCATCTCTACTAAAAATACAAAAAATTAGCCGGGTGTGGTGGCAGGCGCCTGTAGTCCCAGCTACTCGGGAGGCTGAGGCAGGAGAATGGCATGAACCCAGGAGGCGGAACTTGCAGTGAGCCGAGATCGCCCCACTGCACTCCAGCCTGGGGTACAGAACGAGACTGCATCTAAAAAAAAAAAAAGAATGTCATATATTTGGAATCATACAGTATGTAGCCTTTTCAGAATAGTGTCTTTTCATATGGTAATAGGCATTTAAGTTTCCTCCATGTTTTTCCATGGCTTGTCAGCTCCTTTCTTTTTAGTGCTGATTAATATTCCATTGTCTGGATGTACCACAGTTTCTTTCTTTCTTTTTTTCTTTTTTTTCTTTGAGACGGAGTCTCGCTCTGTCACCCAGGCTGGAGTGCAGTGGCGCGATCTCCGCTCACTGCAAGCTCCGCCTTCCAGGTTCACGCCATTCTCCTGCCTCAGCCTCCCAAATAGCTGGGACTACAGGTGCCTGCCACCATGCCCAGCTAATTTTTTGTATTTTTAGCAGAGATGGGGTTTCAACATGTTAGCCAGGATGATCTCGATCTCCTGACCTCGTGAGCCGCCCGCCTCGGCCTCCCAAAGTTCTGAGATTACAGGCATCAGCCACTGTGCCTGGCCTTCTTTTCATTTATTTATTTAATTTGAGACAGGGTCTCACTCTGTCGCCCAGGCTGGAGTGCAGGGGTATGATCATAGCTCACTAAAACTTCAACCTCCCTGGCTCAAGCAATCCTTCCACCTCAGCCTCCAGAGTAGCTGGGACTACAGACACATGCCACAATGCTCAGGTAATTTTTTTATTTTTGGTTTTTTGTTTTTTGTTTTTTTTTTTTAGAGATGGGGTCTCACTATGGTGCCCAGGCTGGTCTCAAACTTCTTCTCCGTTATTATTTACTATTTATTTATTTTGAGACGGAGTCTCGCTCTGTCACCTAGGCTGGAGTGCAGCAGCACGATCTTGGCTCACTGCAAACGTCCATCTCCTGGGTTCCAGCGATTCTCTTGCCTCAGCCTCCTGAGTAGCTGGGACTACAGGCATGCGCCACCACACCAGGCTAACTTTTTCATATTTTTAGTAGAGACAGGGTTTCGCCATGTTGGTCAGGCTGGTCTTGAACTCCTGACCTCAAATGATCCACCCTCCTCGGCCTCCCAAAGTGCTGGGATTACAGGTGTGAGCCACTGTGCCCAGCCTCTATTCTTTCATCTGTTGACTGACACCTGCATGCTTTCCATCCCCAGGGCTTTGAGGCATGAGAAGTTCTGCATTGTCTCCAGCAGAGGGGGCGGTTGGGTCCCAGCCTGTTCTTCCAGTAAAGGGAAAGGGTGGCCTCCGGGAGGGGTTTGCTGGAACTTTTGCTTGGGGCCTAGGAACCACTTGGGCTGCTGCTGAGGGTGTGTGACGGTGTGTGTGTGTGTTTTGATTTTAAAATTACTTCTAGGCTGGGCACTGTGGCTCACGCCTGTAATCCCAGCACTTCGGGGAGCTGAGTTAGGAGGATCACTTAAGCCCAGGCGTCTAAGGCTGCAGTGAGCTAGGATTGCAATAATGCACTCCAGCATGGGTCACAGAGCGAGACCCCCATCTCAAAAAATATATAAGTAAATAAATAAATAATAGAATCATGTAACCACACTCAGAGAACAAGGGAAATTGAGGGGGAACATCACCAAAAACCCCACTTCTCTGTTATATTTTAGTTTCGAGATTTAAAAACATAATATGGATTGGGGATGCTGGAAATACTTGTTATCTAATTGTGGCGATGGCTTCAAAGTATACACAGATGTCAACACTCATCAAATCGCACTCCTTATGCGCAGTTTATGACACTTCAATTATACTTCAATAAAGTTGTAAAAAAAAAAAAAGCTGAGTGTGGTGGCTCACGCCTGTAATCCCAGTACTTTGGGAGGCTGAGGCAGGTGGATCCCCTGAGGTTGGGAGTTCGCAACCAGCCTGACCAACATGGAGAAACCCCGTTTCTACTAAAAATACAAAATTAGCCAGGAATGGTGGTGCATGCCTGTAATCCCAGCTACTCGGGAGGCTGAGGCAGGAGAATTGCTTGAACCGGGAAGCGGAGGTTGTGGTGAGCTGAGATCACGCCATTGCACTGCAGCCTGGGCAACAAGAGCAAAACTCCGTCTCAAAAAAAAAGAAAAAAAGATTGTAAAAAAAAAATTTTTTTTTTTTTTCAGACAGAGTCTCGCTCTGTCACCCAGGCTGGAGTGCAGTGACGCAATCTTGGCTCACTACAAGCTCCGCCTCCTGGGTTCACGCCATTCTCCTGCCTCAGCCTCCGAGTAGCTGGGACTACAGACGCCCACCACCACACCCGGCTAATTTGTTTTTGTATTTTTAGTAGAGTCGGGGTTTCACCGTGTTAGCCAGAATGGTCTCGATATCCTGACCTCATGATCTGCCCGCCTCGGCCTCCCAAAGTGCTGGGATTACAGGCGTCAGCCACGGCACTTGGCAAAAAATCTATTTTTTTTTAAATTACAAAAGATAGGTGGGTTGGCTTGTTTGTTTGTTTTTTCTTGAGACAGAGTCTCACTCCATCACCCAGGCTGGAGTGCAGTGGCGTAATCTCCCCTCACTGCAACCTCCGCCTACTGGATCCAAGCAATTCTCCAGCCTCCGCCTCTGGAGTCACCATGCCCAGCTAATTTTTATATTTTTGGTAGAGACAGGGTTTCACCATATTGGCCAGTCTGATCTTAAACTCCTGACCTCAAGTGACCCGCCCGCCTAGCCTCCCAAAGTGCTGGGATTACAGGCGTGAGCCATAGATAGGCGTTTTATTATGAAGAATTTAGAAAAGCATGATGATTTAGAAAATAAATGTCACCCACTGCTCATAGACAGCTGTGGAGCCCTTGGTGAAGCCCCCTCCTCCTGCTGAACCCCTCAGAAGGCTCCTGGGGTAGCGCTCAGGGCCCATCCAGCCTCCAGCTTCTGCAGCCAAGTTCCAGGGCCCACCTCTGCCCTGCCGGCCTCATGATGCCAGACTCAGCTAGCATCCTTCCCACTGAGGGAACAGCAGCTATCAGCATGAGGCTCTGCCTTCTTCACTGAGTCTTCTCCGCTCAGACTCCAGGGTCCCCATCATCTCCCTGGCCAGTCCCTTCTCAGTCCCTCTGCCTCTACTTCCCCCCTAGTCCAGTAACTGTCCCTTCTCCACCCAGCCTCACGCAGGCAGGGGGAGAGTCTCCAGCCCCGTGGCAACAAACAACATCGATTCACTGGCAACACTCCACTTTCTCTCTGAGGTCTTCATTGCTCCTTGGTGCAACAGGGTCACCCTCTGCCTGATGCCTGCTCATGGATGGGCTATGCGGACCTGAAGCCCTGTGCAGGCACCTCTGCTTGCCTGTTGCAGTCACCATCCCAAAGTCATCCCCATGAGCTGGCCTCCCTCTGTTGGGGAAAAGCTGGGTGTGGGGAGAGAAGCTGAGGCAGGGCTTGCATGTCTGCTAGACTTGCTGGCTCCTTCCTTCTAGCACTCTCATTATCTCAAGTAGCCATATGTTTCAAAGAAAATGCTAAACTGTCACAGCTGTAGCTCATTTGCTTGATACACCGCTTCCTTTCAATCCCCACATCCTCACCACCTGTTTCTTTGTTTGATCACCAATAAATAGCATAGGCTCCTAGGGCTAGAGGCCTTTGCAGCCTCTATACTAGCGTTGGCCCCCTGGTCCCACTTTCTCTCTTGCCTTTTCTCACTCCTTTGACTCCGCCAGACTTTGTCGCCCCCACGGCCTGGTGTTGGGTCTGATCACCCCAACATCCCTCATTCCCCACACCCACTCCATCTACAAGTCCCATGAGTTTTACTTCCAGAATGCTCCTGAATTCTAACCCCTTCTCTGGGGTACCTTGCTTCTGCCCTATTCTGGGTCACCAATGCCTTCCTCATAAACAATTGCCACAATCCCCAACCACTCCCCCTACTCCCACCTCCCACGCCCAACCTTCCATGCAACAGACCCCAGCAAGTCACCCCGCTTCCTGTGCGGTTGAGTACAGCAGCCACGGTGGCCATTGAAACTCACTAACACGAAACCAAACATTCAGTTCTTCAGCTGCCCCAGCCACGTTTCAGATGCTCAGTAATCACACGGGGCAGCTCGTGGCTGCCACATTGTGCAGCACAGATTACAGAACATGCCCATGGTACTGGCAAGTTCTATCGGACAGTGCAGGTCTAGAACCTTTGAGCAGCTTTTCCTTGCATTTAGAATAAAACCCAAACTTTGTGCAGGCCTACAAGGCCCTGCCTCACCTCTGATCCCACTTCCTACTGCCTACACCAGCCTCATCTCCCAACCTGGCTGCTCCTCAAACAGAACTTTGAAGCCTCCTTGTCCTTTGCCTACCTGGTCCTTGTCCTTAGGACCAGCTCAGGCATCACCTCCCCTGGCAAGCCTTTCCCCGAACTGTGCCTTCTCCCACAGGACACACACACCTTTGCTATAGCCGGGCTGTGAATGCCTTATCACTTCCTCCCCCATACACAGGCATCGCTCTCGGTGACCTATCTGCCCTCCAGGCCATGCACACATCTGGTTCCTCATTCCACCAGACCTGGTTGAGCACTTACTCTGAGCTCACTATATGAGAGACATAGGGGAACAAGACAAACAGGTCTGTGACCTTGCAGAGTTTAGATCTAGTTGGAACAGACACTGAGTGGGGGATTACAGAGTGTTATGTGTGTCTAAACCCCATGCCCATGCCCATGCCCTGCTGCATTCCTCCCTAGGGAGGGATGGATGATAAGAAAACTCTACAGGAAAGGCCCAGAGGCTCAGGATAGGGGTGCTTTCAGGGAAGTCCTGAGGAGAGAACAGTGTCCTTGGGGCCAGAAGAGGCTGTCCCACAAGGGAGAAAGCCACTATCTGGACGTGTCCTTGTGCCTAACAAAAAGCCATTTGCTATGCCAAGAGAACAGAGCATGCAAACTCAAACTAAACAGCTTCAGAGTTTACTTAGAGACAGGGTCTTGCTCTGTTACCCAGGCTGGAGTGCAGTGGCGTGATCCTAGCTCACTGAAGCCTCAAATTCCCAGGCTCAGTGCAATCCTCCCACCCCAGCCTCCTGAGCAGGTAGAACTACAGGCACGAGGCACCATGCCAGGCTAATTTTTAAATTTTTTTGTAGAGATGGAGTCTCACTATGTTGCCCAGGCTGGTCTTGAACTCCTGGGCTCAAGCGATACTCCTGCCTCGGCCTCCCAAAACACCAGGATTACAGGCATGGGCCACTGTGCCTGCCTTTATCATACCCATTTTAAAGAAGAGGCCATTGAGGGCTGGGTGCAGTGGCTCACACCTGTAATTCCAGCACTACAGGAGGCCAAGGCGGGCAGATCACGAGGTCAGGAGTTCAAGACCAGCCTGGCCAACACAGTGAAACCCCGTCTCTACTAAAAATACAAAAAACTAGCTGGGCGTGATGGCAGGCGCCTGTAATTCCAGCTACTTGGGAGGCTGAGGCAGCAGAATCACTTGAACCCAGGAGGCAGAGGTTGCGGTGAGCAGAGATCACTCCACTGCACTCCAGCCTGGGCAACAGTGTGAGACTCCGTCTCAAAAAAAAAAAAAAATAGGCCACTGAGGATGAGAGCACTGCTCAGTATGGCACTACTGGGATTCCAGCCCCTTTAGTGGCCAGGGCATCATTTGCATCTCAGTTTCCTCACATGCAAAATGGGCTATTTGCAGCCTGATGGGAAGGGGATGAGAAGGTCCGCTGGGTCCAAGGGACCAGGATGGCAGGAGGTTAGCAAGGCCTGCAGAGGGCAGCAGTGAGCTGCGCACCGCCCACCCAGCCTAGAAACTGGGGCCCATGGGTTTTCCAGGGCAGGAATGTTCTCCAGGGGCACTAATATTAACAGGCAATCACGAAATCGACCCCTACACACCATTTATCAGGTTGTGTTTTATGTTTGCCCCATCTGGGCATTTTATGCAGGATGCTCTCAACATTTTGTACCGTGGCCCACAGGACTGGGTGGAAGACAGGACAGCTCAGAGCAGGGAGTGAAACAAAATCTTTGATGGTTCTCTAGGGAAGCCTGGAAATCTGAGACAGGGCAAAGAGCAGGGAGTCTGATGAGCACAAAATTAAAATACCCAAACCAGCCTGCCGGGTCAGGGGAAAAGGAAGCAGGATTGGGCACATGAAGAACAGATGACAAAACTGAGGCTCAGAGAGGCTGAGAGAGACACTGCTGAGGTCACACAGCCAGGAGTCGGCAGGAAGCCCTGAACCCAAGCAGGGCTGGCCTGGCTACTAGCCTGGGCTCAGTCCTTTAGATTGGACTTCAAAGTATCTGCTCCAGATGACGCTGGCATTGGGAGGAGGGCATGATAATCCCTAACATCCACACAGGGACAACAGCACTTGGAGGCAGATGTGCTTCTCACTTCAAGGAAACTGAGGCAGAGAGGGAGAGGTGGTCAGGACTCAAGCCCAGTAATTCATTTGCCAAATCCTGTTTCCTTTTCCCCCAACCCAGCGGGCTGGTTTGGGTATTTTCAGTTTGTGCCCATCAGAGTCCCTGCAGAGTGCTCTCCACTGTGTCTCAGATCTCTGTGTCCCCAGAGAACCATCAAAGGTTTTGTTTCACTCCCTGCTCTGGGCTGTCTTCCACCCAGCCCTGTGAACCTCAGTGCAGGTTGGCCGCCCCCTTAGAGGGAGGCTAATCAGGGAAGTTCTGAGTCAGGTCGTCCTGGAAAAACTACATTGACCTCTGGAGCTCAAGAGAGGCCAGGGGACAAACACATGGCTCAGCACACAGGAAGGCAGGTGTGGGTATTGAGTGACCTGAGGGAGAAATCCCTATTTATCATCCATCATGTGGTCCTGCTGTGACAAACCCGTGTGGCAGCCACCCACAGCAGATCCACAACGTGAGAGGCCCGCTGAAACAAGGGTGCTGGCATTGGTTACTCAGCCTGGCCCTCCCTGCCTTGCGGGGTGACCTGCCTGGTCCTGGCCTCTCTGTGAGTTGGGCCCTGCTGGGTGGTCCCTAGTGTGCCCAGCCCTGAGGCTGGTGAGAGGCCAGGCTGTGAGGTGTGAGGAACTTACCTGCGTCTCCATGGAAGGTGCCCTCCGCATCGTTGGGCCAGATCTGCCTGGTCTTGCAGATGCCCACGATGGTGGCCTCTGACACGACGACTGGGCAGTGCCGGTGACGCTTATGGCACTGCGGCGTGGTAGGGGCAGAGGGGGGAGGTTGCTTCTGTCGGAGGACTGCTGCGAGTTCTGCCAGAGAGAGCAGCTCTTGTCCCGGAACATGAGGTAGGTGGTGGGGCTTGGGGACACGCGGCTGGACTGGCCGGAGAAGTCCTCCTGGCCGGAGGGGAGCCAAGTGTTCCTGTTCCAGGACTGCAGAACTGGCCCAGACCTCTGTATTGGAAAGGTCTTTATGGACCAGGGAGTCCGGTGTCTTTTTTACGGGGGACCCCTGGGCTGCGAGTTGCACAGTCCAATTCGCTGTTGTTAGGGCCTCAGTTTCCCAAAAGGCACAGGGACGGGGGGAGGGTGGCGGCTCGATGGGGGAGCCGCCTCCAGGGGGCCCCCCCGCCCTGTGCCCACGGCGCGGCCCCTTTAAGAGGCCCGCCTGGCTCCGTCATCCGCGCCGCGGCCACCTCCCCCCGGCCCTCCCCTTCCTGCGGCGCAGAGTGCGGGCCGGGCGGGAGTGCGGCGAGAGCCGGCTGGCTGAGCTTAGCGTCCGAGGAGGCGGCGGCGGCGGCGGCGGCACGGCGGCGGCGGGGCTGTGGGGCGGTGCGGAAGCGAGAGGCGAGGAGCGCGCGGGCCGTGGCCAGAGTCTGGCGGCGGCCTGGCGGAGCGGAGAGCAGCGCCCGCGCCTCGCCGTGCGGAGGAGCCCCGCACACAATAGCGGCGCGCGCAGCCCGCGCCCTTCCCCCCGGCGCGCCCCGCCCCGCGCGCCGAGCGCCCCGCTCCGCCTCACCTGCCACCAGGGAGTGGGCGGGCATTGTTCGCCGCCGCCGCCGCCGCGCGGGCCATGGGGGCCGCCCGGCGCCCGGGGCCGGGCTGGCGAGGCGCCGCGCCGCCGCTGAGACGGGCCCCGCGCGCAGCCCGGCGGCGCAGGTAAGGCCGGCCGCGCCATGGTGGACCCGGTGGGCTTCGCGGAGGCGTGGAAGGCGCAGTTCCCGGACTCAGAGCCCCCGCGCATGGAGCTGCGCTCAGTGGGCGACATCGAGCAGGAGCTGGAGCGCTGCAAGGCCTCCATTCGGCGCCTGGAGCAGGAGGTGAACCAGGAGCGCTTCCGCATGATCTACCTGCAGACGTTGCTGGCCAAGGAAAAGAAGAGCTATGACCGGCAGCGATGGGGCTTCCGGCGCGCGGCGCAGGCCCCCGACGGCGCCTCCGAGCCCCGAGCGTCCGCGTCGCGCCCGCAGCCAGCGCCCGCCGACGGAGCCGACCCGCCGCCCGCCGAGGAGCCCGAGGCCCGGCCCGACGGCGAGGGTTCTCCGGGTAAGGCCAGGCCCGGGACCGCCCGCAGGCCCGGGGCAGCCGCGTCGGGGGAACGGGACGACCGGGGACCCCCCGCCAGCGTGGCGGCGCTCAGGTCCAACTTCGAGCGGATCCGCAAGGGCCATGGCCAGCCCGGGGCGGACGCCGAGAAGCCCTTCTACGTGAACGTCGAGTTTCACCACGAGCGCGGCCTGGTGAAGGTCAACGACAAAGAGGTGTCGGACCGCATCAGCTCCCTGGGCAGCCAGGCCATGCAGATGGAGCGCAAAAAGTCCCAGCACGGCGCGGGCTCGAGCGTGGGGGATGCATCCAGGCCCCCTTACCGGGGACGCTCCTCGGAGAGCAGCTGCGGCGTCGACGGCGACTACGAGGACGCCGAGTTGAACCCCCGCTTCCTGAAGGACAACCTGATCGACGCCAATGGCGGTAGCAGGCCCCCTTGGCCGCCCCTGGAGTACCAGCCCTACCAGAGCATCTACGTCGGGGGCATGATGGAAGGGGAGGGCAAGGGCCCGCTCCTGCGCAGCCAGAGCACCTCTGAGCAGGAGAAGCGCCTTACCTGGCCCCGCAGGTCCTACTCCCCCCGGAGTTTTGAGGATTGCGGAGGCGGCTATACCCCGGACTGCAGCTCCAATGAGAACCTCACCTCCAGCGAGGAGGACTTCTCCTCTGGCCAGTCCAGCCGCGTGTCCCCAAGCCCCACCACCTACCGCATGTTCCGGGACAAAAGCCGCTCTCCCTCGCAGAACTCGCAACAGTCCTTCGACAGCAGCAGTCCCCCCACGCCGCAGTGCCATAAGCGGCACCGGCACTGCCCGGTTGTCGTGTCCGAGGCCACCATCGTGGGCGTCCGCAAGACCGGGCAGATCTGGCCCAACGATGGCGAGGGCGCCTTCCATGGAGACGCAGGTGAGTTCCTCACGCCACGTGCGTGGGCACACCTGCACGGGGGAGGAAAACCATAGACGAGTAGGGGATACAAAACAGAAGTTGGGAGGGAGGAGTGGATAGTTTTGAGTGTATCAGGTGCACTTGTGGTTCACGCGGATCCTGCACCCGAACAAACTCCATCCCCTCCTCCTTCCTGAATGCATACTGTTAGTGTTTGGAATGGAATTGGGTTGAGGATGGTCTTGTGAGGGATGGGAGGTGGTTTGTTCCTTTGGTTCTAGAGCAATGTGTTTGTGAAGTACAGCTTGTGAGTTGAAGGAAGATGCTTCAGGCAGTAACCTCCTTGCTATGTGCTCTCTCCATGCCGGGCAGTGAGGATGGCATAAAAGCCGGAGTCATCTCTAGCGCCCACATCGGATGCTGTTAGCAGGGACTGATTTATGTCTTGGGCATTCCCCGCCACCCCACTGATCCTGTTCTGGAGGGGTTATATGACACGTTTGTGAAACCTGAGATATGCTAGCTGCTCCTAGGCCATAGAAGTGTCAGGTTTGCTTGCTAACCAGCAGTCCTGAACACAAGTCACAGCAGGTGAGAATAGGAATTAGAAGGAAGTGAGGCGACAGGCAGTTGTGACTCAGTGGGCCACCGAAAATCAACTGCATGGAGATTTTATCTGGGGGTGAAGCAGAGCCACACCCGTTCTGATCTGCCTGGCTTTGATGGGAGGCTTCACCCATGATTATTCACCACCAGGCTCCTCCATGGTGGTAACCCAGCCCCATTTGCTGACCCTCCAGTGTGCTCCTGCTGCCTCATCTTGCCAAGGATAAGCACCCACAGGTGCTTATTTGGGGCTCCCAATCTGTGGTCAGATTCTAGCACTAAGATTAAAACTATGGGATTGTACGCCTAACTTCTGTGCTAGATGCAAATACCATCAGGCATTTTGGGTCATGGGACTATGTTTTGAGATCCAGACACAGTTTGCCATTGGGGTAAGGAAAGGGTGGGCTGGGGTGTGTGTGTGAGGCTGTCGGGAATCTTTTGGAGTCCTGGTCCCTGTTAAGCTCATCTGGTTTTCTGCTTCATTGATTTTTCTTTTTCTGCTGATGGAGGAGTTGAATGTGCTTGGTTTGTCAAAATCCTCTTCAAACGAGTGAGGCTATTTTTGGCTCTTAGAGCTGCTGCCTTTTTGTGGTGGGCACTCTGTCCTGTTTGTGTTAGGTACTTCCAGTTACTGATCTTCCATTTGCAGCTGGGGTTTCCTGTGGTGCACGGCTCCGACCTGCCGTCTGGCCGGGCTGCATTCCCTAAGTCCCTATGTGGGGGCGGGGTGGAAGGCTGTACTATTCAGAAGCCTGCTTTGCAGGCACATCAGCTCGTTCGGGGTCTGGAGGATTGCCTTGTGGTTACTGGGCACCAGCCTTGTCTGGCCAGCTGTTGGTCAGGCGAGCCAGCTTGAACTGGCCCTCAGTGCCATGGTGCAGGAGAGTTATTAATAAAGAAGAAAATGAGAGGTTTTTAGGGAGATGTGCAAATTGAAATTGATAGTCTTTGCTGGTGGAGAATTCTGGGTTTCCAGAACCTTGGGCCCAGCCTTTCCTACAGCTCCTGTAGACTTGGCCATGTTGGCCACATCACTAGACGCCGAATGCAAGTCAGTAAATGAATATAGGAATTATTATAGAGGGATGGAAAGCCCAGTGCCTTGAGTCAGACAGGGCAGGTCCTCAGGAAATGGCTGAGGAGGTAATTTTACCACTTGGACCCACTTTTAGGACTTGCTGGATTCTTCTCCGAATGTCCTCAAGGTCCCACAGTCTCTTTCCCATTAGGTTTTATTTTTTCCCCCTTAAATGTTTTGTTTGTTTTTTGTTTTTAAGAGACAGCGTCTGGCTCTGCCATCCAGGTTGGAATGCAGTAGTATGATCATAGCTCACTGCAACCTCAAAACTCTTGGGCTCAGGTGATCCACCACAGCCTTTTCAGCAGCTGGGACTGCAGGCTCAAACCACTATACTGGGCTAATTTTTAATTTTTTTTTTTTGTAAATACAGGGTCTTGCTGTGTTGCCCAGGCTGGTATCAAACTCCTGGGCTCAAGCATTCCTCTAGCTTCAGCCTCCTGAGTAGCTGGGGTTACAGGGATGAGACACCTCACCAGGCCTCTTAGACGTTTTTAGTAACTAAGGTCACTTAAACATTTTTAAAAGGGATTATTTTCCCTCAGACAGTTTTTCTTTTTTAAGACTTAATTTTTTTAGAGCTATTAGGTTCACAGCAAAATTGATCGGGAAATATAGCAATTTCCCACATACTCCCTACCCCTACACCCCCACAGCCTCCCCAGTTAACATCTCCCACCAGAGGGGCATGTTTGTTACAGTCCATGAACCTACCTGCATTGGTGCCTCATTATTACCCAAAGTCCAGAGTTTACATTTGGGTTCACTCTTGGTGTTGTACAGTCTATGAGTTTGGATCCTGTTATGTTTTAAAACTCCTGCTTCTTTTAGCCCTGGGCACCTTGACACTCTGCCTAGCAGTTTCCCCTGACGTGGGTCCATGTATGGCAGGCATGGAAAGAGGAATCCTCACTGGCTCAGCCATCTGTCTCTGCCTGTTTACTGATGTTCTTTAGAGGGCTGTGGAGCCTGCTGGTCTGAAAAGGAACAATGAGGAAAATCACTCATGGGGGTGGGTGGGGGGAGGAAGTCACCCTAATGCTCCGCAGTGGCAGATGTGGTGACCCAGATCTAATAACCTCGGAATCAGTCTGTTTGGATGAATGGACCGTCCCATTTCCAAGTTGAGGGCCCCTCAAGGGAGGGGGCTGAAGCCATCCCTGGGCACGGTGACAAAGTGCTTCCCATAGGGCCCCTCATGGGCTCATCTGTCGCCCTGGGGTGGGGCTGCCCATTTACAGGTAAAGACACAACTGGGAAGCGGCAAGGCTGGGATTCTGGGTCTCTGTGTGAATGCAGAGCTGTTCCGTTTGGCACGTGGTGGCCCTGCGGTGTTCTTCCCACTACCCCACACTGCTACCTGCAAAGCACAACTGGGGAGGTTCAGGGCGTCCTTCCAGTCTTTGCACCCTGGGCCCGCCTGTGGGGGTAATGATAGACGGCTGTGAGCCCTGCTGTAAAACTATGCAGAACCCGGCCGGGCGCGGTGGCTCAAGCCTGTAATCCCAGCACTTAGGGAGTCCAAGGCGGGTGGATCACAAGGGCAGGAGATGGAGACCATCCTGGCTAACACGGTGAAACCCCGTCTCTACTAAAAATACAAAAAATTAGCCGGGTGTGGTGGCCGGCGCCTGTAGTCCCAGCTACTCGGGAGGCTGAGGCAGGAGAATGGCGTGAACTAGGGGAGGCGGAGCTTGCAGTGAGCCGAGATCGCTGGGCTGCACTCCAGCCTGGGCGACAGAGCGAGACACAGTCTCAAAAAACAAACAAAAAACTATGCGGAACTCACAGAAGGAGAGTGTGGTTCTCTCTGTTTTTTTTGTTGTTGTTGTTTTTTTGAGGCGGAGCCTCGCTCTGTCGCCCAGGCTGGAGTGCAGCCCAGCGATCTCGGCTCACTGCAAGCTCCGCCTCTCGGCTTCACACCATTCTCCTGCCTCAGCCTCCTGGGTAGCTGGGACCACAGGCGCCCACCACCACACCCAGCTAATTTTTTTGTATTTTTAGTAGAGACGGGGTTTCACTGTGTTAGCCAGTATGGCCTCGATCTTCTGACCTCGGGTTCCGCCCGCCTCAGCCTCCGAAAGTGCTGGGATTACAGGCGTGAGCCACCCGCGCAAGGCGGATAGTGTGGTTCTTGCGATCTGGGAACTTACAAGTTACCGGAAGAGAGGGAGAGGCACACATGTATGTGCTCAAGGGAAGTGAGATCAGAGAAGCTTCCGGAAATGGCAGGACTGAAGAGGACTTGATCAGTCACCAGAAGTTGGAGGGCAGAGAGTAGCCGTTTGCCCTAAGGAAAAATGGCAGCAAAGGCCTGGGGCCACCCACGTCTGCCTTGTGATTCTAGGCTGTGTGCTTTTCTTTAAATGGTAAAATATGCTTAACTTAAAATTTACCATTTTTGTAACTTTTAAAAAGTTTGGTAAAATGCACATAACAAAAGTTACTGTCTTAACCCTTTTAAATTGTTTCTTTGGGTAAGGCCAGTCAAGTGAAGCAGGGGAACATTTTAACCATTTTTATCCATACAGTTCTGTGGTGTTGACTACATTCACATTGTTGTACGACCATCACTACTGTCCATCTTGAACTTTTTCATCTTCCCGACTGAAGCTCTGTACCCAGTGAATAATAACTCCCCATTCCCTGCCCCCAGCCCCTGGCACTGCCATTCTCCATCTGTGTCTCTGAATTCAGCTATTATAGATACCTCATGTAAGTCCAGTCCTGTGGCATTCGTCTTTTTGTGATTGGCTTATTTCACTGAGTGTAATGTTACCAATGTTCATCCATGTGATGGCAGAAATTGTGTGGATTTTTTTTTTAATGGAGTTTCACTCTAGGCTGGAGTGCAGTGGCGTGATCTCTGCTTACTGCAGCCTCTGCCTCCCCAGTTCAAGCTTCAAGAGTCTCCTGCTTCAGGAGTTCAGGATTCTCCTGCTTCAGCCTCCCGAGTAGCTGGGATTACAGGTGTGCACCACCACACCCAGCTAATTTTTGTATTTTCAGTAGAGACGGGGTTTCGCCATGTTGGCCAGGCTGGTCTGGAACTCCTGACCTCAAGTGATCCACCCGTCTTGGCCTCCCAGAGTGCTGGGATTATAGGCATGAGCCACTGCTCTGGGCCAACTGTGCTTTTTGAAGGCAGGAATAACTGGTTCATTTCTGGGTGTCCCAGGGAGCCTGGTTCTGAGCTTTACACATAGCACATACTGGAAGAGCCCTTCCTCCTTTTCATAGCCCATGGGGTCAGGACTGGGGACTTTTACTGATCATTGGAAAGTGACTTATCAATTACTCGGTCTTTTTCTCATTTCATCCCTGTAGTTTACTTTCTGAGGATCTTTTTTTTTTAAGTGGCTTAAAATACTTTTTTTTTTTTTTTTTTTCACAGTTCTCTGGTTGGCTAGGCAGTTTTCCTGTTGTGGGCCCACTGGGCTGAAATAGGACGGTCTAGTTAGCCTCACCCACACATTCTGTGATTGCAGGCTGATTGACATTGGGGAGGAGGGGCTGTCTTATTTGTGTTGCAGCTGGCTCGATATCAGTTGGGACAGCAGACGTTTCTCCTTCTCTTTCTCTCTCTCTCTCTTTTTTTTTTTTTTAATAGAGATTGGATCTCCCTATGTTGCCCAGGCTGGCCTCGAACTCCTGGGCTTAAGCAATCTACCCACCTCAGCCTCCCAAAGTGCTGGAATTACAGGCGTGAGCCACCACACCCAGCCTCCTCCTTTTTCTTTTTTTCCCCCATTGAGACATAATAATTGTACCTATTTAGAGGGTGTGATATTTTGATACATATCTGCAATGCATAATGATCAGATTGAAGTGATTAGCATATTCATCACCTCAAACACATTTATTATTTGTTTATGCTGGGAGGTCTGAGGAATTCTTGATTCAAACACCCAGCCCAATGTGCCTGTCAACTTTCTTCCAGGTGTCAGTTGTGAGACGGGACAGATCTTGTGTTTCTTCATGGACTTCATGTGAGTGGCTGCCCTGTGTTTTCACATTTTTATTAAGCAGCTTAATTTGCCCTTTGAATTCCGGTGATGAGTTGGCGCCAGAGTGACCACTGCATTGTTTTTCCCTTGGGTGATGGGCTGGACTGGCAACCAGTTTGAGTGAGTAACTGTGGGGCAGAGAAAGGTCACCTGGGCCTGGAGTTGGCTCCATCGTCATCTCTTAAGGCCAGAGCCTCGTGGCCACCTCTCAGTTGAGTACAGGCTCCTTTCCATGGATGGAGACAGAGTGGGCAGATCTGGGTGGAGTCTGAGGCCGCTAAAGGCATCAGCAGCACAGAAGCAGAGTCTAGATCAAATTTTACAAGCGTTCTCTGGTTCAGGAAGGCTGACTTGTTTTGGGAACAGAATGGAGCATTCTGAAACATTTCACTGAAGAAGGAGCTGGGAGTGCTGTTGATTTGACTGGGTTCAGGGGAGCATGCCTTATCCATGACTCCCTTTTGCTTAGTTTGTTGCTTCTAGCTTTATAGCCTCCTTCCTTCCTTGGTTGGAAGTCCTGTGGCTGGGAGGGCTTGTGTTTGTGACTGCTAACCTCACCAGGACAAAGAGCCCAGGTGAGCTATGTGCTTGAGCACACTTGGGAGAGGACACAGCAGTGCATGAGGCCCAGGCTGCAGCTCACCCCTGTGGTTTGAGAGGGTCCCCTGTTTAGAGTGAATGAATGGGCATCTTGGAAGCTTTCTCAGGTTACCAAAGAGTAGGTCTGAGTTTTGGCTGAGGCTGCTGCTTTTTGGGTCAAGACTCGGGGTGGTGGTGGATTAAATTAACTATGAACCCCAGGGAATATCTTGACCCTGACTGGAATACAACTGTTGTGGCTCAAGTAGGTTTTTTTTTTCCCCTTTTGAAAAGTGTAGTTATTTTAATTAAAATACAATATCCATGTAACATGTTAGAAGTTTGTTATTTTTATTATTGTAAAATTCATGTTATATTTTTTATTTTTTCAAGACGGGGTCTCACTCTGTCACCTAGGCTGGAGTGCAGTGGCACGATCTAGGCTCACTACAACCCCCGCCACCCAGGTTCAAGCGATTCTTCTGCCACAGCCTCCCGAGTAGCTGGGATTACAGCTAATTAGCCTAGCTAATTTTTGTATTTTTAGTAGAGACAGGGTTTCACCATGTTGGCCAGGCTGGTCTTGAACTCCTGACCTCAGGTGATCTGCCCCCCTCAGCCTCCCAAAATGTTGGGATTACAGGCCTGAGCCACTGCGCCCGGCTAAAATTTATATTATAAGATGCACCATTTTCTCCATTTTTAAGTGTACAGTTCAGTGGCATTAAGTACATCACCTTGTTTTGCAACCATCACCACTTGTCAATTTCTAGAACTTTTTCATCTTCCCAAACTGAAACTTCATATCCATCAGACTTTAACTCCCCATTCCCCCTCATCCCCAGCTCCCGGAAGCCACCGTTCTACTCTGTCTCCATGATTTTGCCTCTCCTAGATGCCTCGTGTAAGTGGAGTCTTATAATATTTGTCCTGTGTCTGGCTGATTTCACTCAAGCAGGGCTTTGAAGTTCCCCAGGGCGACACTCTCAGTCTTTTCTTTTTTTTCTTTCTTTCTTTTCTTGAGACGGAGTTTCGCTCTTATTTTGCCCAGGCTGGAGTGCAATGGCACGATCTCGGCTCACTGCAACCTCTCCCTCCCAGGTTCAAGTAATTCTCCTGCCTCAGCCACCCAAGTAGCTGGGATTACAGGCGCCTGCCATCACACCCGGCTAATTTTTTGTATTTTTAGTAGAGATGGGGTTTCACCATGTTGGCCAGGCTGGTCTCAATCGTTTGACCCCGTGATCCACCCGCCTCGGCCTCCCAAAGTGCTGGGATTATAGGCATGAGCCACCGCTCCTAGCCTAGCCCTCTCAGTCTTAAGACTGAGTTAACTCCCAGCTCTGATCCGTCACAAGGGTGTTCTCTTCCGGAAAACACCCGTTAGCAATGGCGATCTTCCCTGGGCCTTCACGCCCTTAGCTTTGAAGTGGCCCAGAGTATTAGTTTGCCAAGGCTGTCCCATAACAAGATACCAAGACTGGGTGGCTTAAATAACAGAAATATATTTTCTCACACTTCTGGATGCCAAAAGTCCAAGATCAAGGTGCCAGCAGGGTTGGTTCCCTGGAGGGCTCTCATTGGCTTGCAGGTGCCATGGTCTTGCTGCCTCTGCACATGGTCTTTTTCTCTGTGCATGAACTCCCCTGGCATCTCTCTGTGTCCAAATTTCCCTTCTTTTTTTGTTTTTGAGACGGAGTTTCACTCTTGTCACCCAGACTGGAGTGCAATGGCACAGTCTCAGCTCACTGCAACCTCCACCTCCCAGGTTCAGGCAATTCTCCCGCCTCAGCCTTCCGAGTAGCTGGGATTACAGGTGCCTGCCAACACACCTGGGTAATTTTTGTATTTTTAGTAGAGACGGGGTTTCACCATGTTAGCCAGCCTGGTCTCGAACTTCTGACCTTAGGTGATCCGCCCTCCTCGGCCTCCAAAAGTGCTGGGATTATAGGCATGAGCCACTGCACCCGGCCCAAATTTCCCTTCTTAAAAGGACACCAGTAAGACTGGATTAAGGTGGGCAGTAAAGACCCCTGCTTTAACTTAATCAGTTCTTGAAAGGCCTTATTTCCAAATACAGTCACATTCTGAGGTACTGGGAGTTAGAACGTCAACATATGGGGAGTGAGGCATGGTTTAGTTCGTAACACTTGGTGAGTCCGTTACTGGGCAGCAGAGGAAAGGGCTGCCAGGCAGAGGGAGATGGTGTTTGTGCCGGCTCCCTCAGACGTGTTAGGAGGAGTGTGAGCCAAGCGTCATGTGGTTTTAGGCAGCCTAGAGGGGCCTAGAGGACACTGAGCCAGGCATCAGGAGGGCTGCGTGCTAAAACTTCGTGTGCTGCCATCTCTCTCCACATCCAAAAAGTAGGGGTGGGAACAGGTCATTGCTAAGGTTCTTTCGTTAGCTTCTTTAATTTTTTTCTTTAAATTTAAAATTTATTACCTTTTTTTTTAATAGATAAAGGGTCTCGCTCTGTTGCCCAGGCTGGAGTATAGTGGCATGATCATAGCTCACTGTAGCCACAAACTCTCGGGCTCAAGCGATCCTCTCTCCTCAGCCTCCTGAATACCTGGTACTACAGGCGCGTGCCACCATGCCTGGCTAATTTTTAATTTTTGTTGAGACAGGGTCTTGCTTTGTTGCCCAGGCTGGTCTCAAACTCCTGGCCTCAAACGATCCTTCCCGCCTCGGCCTCCCGAAGTGCTGGGAATAATTATAGATGTGAGTTACTGCACACAGCCTGAATGTATTATTAACACAACTTTTTCCATCTCTTTTCTGTTTATCTTGGTTTATGTCTCCCTTATTAAAAACGAAGGCAACCACCTCTCCCTATCCAATCGCTCAAAGGTATTTATTGAGCATCTACTTTGTGCCTGGCACTATCTTCATGGAAATCCTTTCTTCCTTATTCATTGATTTATGGAAAGGCTGATCTCCAAGGGCCTTGTCTTTAAAACAACAACAAACAAACAAAACCTTTCTAATGTCAAAGCATTTTCCCCTGCGTATCTTTCTTTAACGGTATATTTGCAGCTGTTTCCTGTTAATCCTTTGTCTATCTGGCTTCCTTTTTAGGGTGATGGGATCCTTAAGCACAGAGTATGCCCTGCTGTAGTGTCCTGCAGGATGGGCCACACTCTGGCCCTTTAACAGTGTTTGATGTGACGATGCACCTGAGCCCATGGAGGTCTGTGTCTCGGGCCCCGTGGGTGTTTGCAGATTGAAGATGGAATGATACACACCATCTCTGAGATTTTTATTTGCTCAGACCTTCCCCTGTTCTGGCCCAACCCCGCTTAATCATGTCTAATAAGTGGTGGTGGGTTTTTGGGGGCCTAGTGATACAGGTGGCCCGGCGATGAAACGTTGGCTTTGGAGATTATCCCGCTGGTTCTGTTTCCTTCTTTGCTGGTGATTGGTACTCCCTGGCTCACCCTTAGAGAACTTCCCGAATCCTCAGACTGGGGCCTGCTAATTAGCTGTCTTGGGTTCTAGCTCTCACTGCCACGACTTTGCAAAATGACTATAGATGTGGATGGTGGCTGGTGCCCATGGGCAGAGCAATCAGCACATTCATAGACCCACCTTCCTGGGGCTGGGGTGTGAAGACCGGACACCCCACTGAAGTAGTAAATATGACTTTCATGGAGGCTGCTTCATGGGCCCTCGAAAGTTTCTTGTAAAGTGGCTGGAGCAGGATTATAATTATACTCCCTCCACTGATTGAGTCTGAGGGGGTATGAGACACTCTGGCCTGGAGTAACCTGCCCAAGGTCAAGTGGTTGGTGGAGGGGCTGGCGCTGCCTCTCTCCTCAGACTGAGTGGTTGTGTTAATCACATGAGAGCAGACACAGAATGACTTTGCGGAGGTGGAGGAGACCTGGATCATTTGCTCAGCAAACCGGTTTTGGGCACCTGCTGTGTTGGGCACAGATGGTGCTCAGTACAGTCAGGCAGGCCTTCCAGCAGGTCGGCTTTGGTCTGGTGGGAAGACAGCCTCATTAACCTAAGTGCCATGATAGAAATCAACTGACCCCAGCCTTTAGTCTGGGTCTTGAAGGTGTCAGCTGTCTAGGAACATGTTTCCCCTCTCATTTTGCAAATCTCCAAGATAGGGATTTCCTGACTCTTGATAGCTCCTTCTGGGACACTTTGGTAAGGCTTCTCCAGCAAGTTGTGTGGCAAGGGGCCCAAGAAGACAGAACTGTTGGAAGGGCGCTGCCCATCCATCTGCTTTTCCCACCAACAGTCAAGGGCTGTGAATGCTGACCTGCTGCTGACAGTGGTCTGTTGTGCAGGTTCTGGGAGGGGCAGAGGGACGAGGTCTGGCTGGGAAGATGTAGCGGAGATACACAGAGGTAGCCGGCTGTGTGTGCACAGGGCCAGGTGCAGGGCCCAGAGAGCCAGGTGAGTGACCAGGGAGCACTGGGAAGGAACCATCTCCAGGCAAAGCCAGGACACAGCCAAGGGGACCCCAGAAGAAGAGAGGGGAGCCTTGTGCAGCAGCCACAGAGAGAGAGAGCCAGGCAGAGCAAGGAATTGAGCAGCCCGGGGAGATCCTCTACTCAAGTGCCACTGTTGGCTCAAGAAGAGTTTTTGAAGATTCACTTCACTTTAAAGGCCTGACATGCTTCCGTGTTTAAAGTGCTGCTGGGGTCAGTTTGTATGCCCGTAGAGTAGGGAGAGATTTTCTGCACATGACGAGGTATTGATGAGCATTCGAAGCAACCTACAGGCAACATATGTTGACAGTGCAGACTTTGAAGGGAAAAGATCTGGACTTGCCCAGAGACCTGGCACTTGCCACTGTGTGGTCTTGCACAGGGACTTAATTCTCCCTTGACTTCTGTCAGCTGGAGAGGGTGACCCTTCCCCTTGGGGGCTTCGTGGGAGTAGCGGGTGCAGACCATCTGGCCTCCTGTCTGGTCTCATAGAGTCTCCTGTTCATGTATCTGATGTCAGTTGATTGAACATCACTTAGCAAAAAATCTTAAGAAGAAATGCATAATTTAGTATGGACATTTCACTCACTTGGCTCAGCCATTGTATAACCAGTATGAGCTCCGGGGGGACCCTGGGGTGTGTCAGGGCCCTCATTCTCCTCCTATAATCCTCCTGGGCTGAGTGGAGTTCTTACATTTTGAAGGTTATGCAATGGACTGCATGTTTGGATCCATCTGCAAATTCCCCTTTTGGGGAGAGGCTGAGTTGCCCTGTGCTTGAGGGAGCTGGGCAGATGGTACTTTGTGTAGCCTGCTGCATTTTGCAGAATGTCTTCTCTCACAGGGGTCCCTGTGGAGGAGTGACAGGAACCCTCTTAGCTGAGTGTTGGGAGGTTTTAGGTGGAGGGCTCAGGTCACCCGCAGGGGTCATTTGACTCCTACCTTATCTGGGTAGATAGGATCATCTTTGTCCCACAGTCCTTCCCAGTATTGTGAAGTGATGCATTGGCGTGAGCCCAGGGGTGCCAAGGGTGGGCTGGCAATGCCCACATCCAGTTCTCTGTCCCTGAGGCACGGAGGTGGTTGTGCTGGGCTCAGAGCCGCCGTCTGACTGGTTGGAAGCCCTGCTCTGATTTTGTGAATCACCCTAGTTAAGTGGAAGCTCAGCGTAGCCTGTTCCCTCTGTGGGGGTGTGCAGAAGCACTGTTTATTTTTGCCCACATCTTAGAGTGATAAATGGAACTCATTTATGAATTTTGACTTCCAAAAGCTTTCCACTTTCTCCCTTAGGAACATGGATAAAAATTGTCCACATTTGTTTTTGGAGACATGGATTGTTACCTGAAACCTACTTTTCAGATGGTCTTGATGTGAAAACTGTTGCCAGGCTGGGCGTGGTGGCTCATGCTTGTAATTCCAGCATCTTGGGAGGCTGAGGTGGGTGGGTCTCCATTTTTTTTTTCTTTTTTTTTTTCTTTCTTTTTTCTTTGAGATGGGGTCTCGCTCTGTCGCCCAGGCTGGAGTGCAGTGGAGCAATCTCGGCTCACTGCAAACTCCGCCTCCCAGGTTCACGCCATTCTCCTGCCTCAGCCTCCCGAGTAGCTGGAACTGCAGGCGCCTGCCACAACGCCCAGCTAATTTTTTTTGTATTTTTAGTAGAGACGGGGTTTCACCGTGTTAGCCAGGATGGTCTCGATCTCCTGACCTCGTGATCCACCCACCTCGGCCTCCCAAAGTGCTGGGATTACAGGCATGAGCCACTGTGCCCGGCCGGGTGGATCTCTTATTCCCAGGAATTTGAGATCAGCCTGGGCAACATAGCAAGACCCCATCTCTACAAAAAATTTAAAAGTGAGCTGGGCATGGTGGCATGTGCCCGTAATCTCAGCTCTTCTGGGGGCTGAGGCGATAGGATGGCTTGAGCCCAGGAATTCAGGGCTGGAGCAAACTATGATTGCACCACTGCACTCCATCCAGCCTGGGCGACAGAGCAAGCAAGACCCTATCTCTAAAAAGGAAATAAATAAATACACATAAAAACCATTGCTTTTTTTTGGCCGGGAGTGGTGGCTCATGCCTGTAATCCCAACACTTTGGGAGGCCGAGGCAGGCAGAACATCTGAGGTCAGGAGTTCAAGACCAGCCTGGCCAACATGGTGAAATGTCGTCTCTACCAAAAATACAAAAATGAGCTGAGCAGGCTGAGAGCAGTGGTTCACGCCTGTAATCCTAGCACTTTGGGAGGCCGAGGCAGGCGGATCACCTGAGGTCGGGAGTTTGAGACCAGCCTGACCAACATGGAGAAACCCCGTCTCTACTAAAAATACAAAATTAGCTGGGCATGGTGGCACATGCCTGTAATCCCAGCTACTTGGGAGGCTGAGGCGGGAAAATCGCTTGAACTCAGGAGGCAGAGGTTGCAATCATCCAAGATCGCGCCATTGCACTTGAGCCTGGGCTACAAGAGCGAAACTCCGTCTCAAAAAAAAAAAAAAAAAAAATATCAGCTGGGCATGTTGGTGCACGCCTGTAATCCCAGCTACTCAAGGAGGCTGTGGCAGGAGAATTGTTTGAACCCGAGAGGCAGGGGTTGCAGTGAGCCAAGATCTTGCCACTGCACTCCAGCCTGGGTGACAGAGCGAGACTGTCTCAAAAAATAAAAACCGGCCGGGCGCGGTGGCTCGCGCCTGTAATCCCAGCACTTTGGGAGGCCGAGGTGGGTGGATCACCTAAGGTCAGGAGTTCAAGACCAGCCTGGCCAACATGGTGACACTCCATCTCTACTAAAAATACAAAAAATTAATTGGGCATTGTGGCAGGCGCCTGTAATCCCAGCTACTCGGGAGGCTGAGGTAGGAGAATGGCTTGAACCCGGGAGGCGGAGGTTGCAGTGAACCGAGATCGTGCCATTGCACTCTGGCCTGGGCAACAAGAGTGAAACTCTCAAAATTAAAAACAAATTAAATAAATAAATAAATACCACTGCTTTTTTAATAACAGGTACAAATTTTAAAGAGAAATAAAAAAACATTGCCATCTTCAAATCTCCACAAAAATGGAAAGACAGGACAGTGCCAGTCAGCCACTTTCTGCAGTCACCATGATCCCTTCTCTCTCCTTCATTTTTAATGTGTGTTTTTTTAAATTGTAGTAAAATACACATACTCTAAAATGTACCATCTCAACCACTTCTCAGTGTGCAGTTTAGTAGTGTTAAGCCTCTAGTGTTTTATAAGTGGCAGAGTTGATGGGAAAACACTGATCTTCAGGAGGGGTTTTTTCAGTGCCAGCGTCCCTCTGGATGTGTAGGCAGATAAGAAGGTGGCTCGGACACAGTCCTTAAATAAGTGCCAGGAGCCAGCAGGCCAGGGTGGGAGCCGGGACAAGCAGGCACCTAAAGTAACGGTAACATAAGGCAGGTGGCGAGACTCTGTGGATGGATCAGTGCCAGGGGCTGTGCGGGAAGGGAAACCTTACATCTGTCCTGTTTCTTAGGGGACGAGGTTGTGGAGGGGAGGGTATTCCAGGCAGGGAATGTGGGCAAGAACTCGGAGGCTTGAAGCATTCAGTATAGTCGTCTCTCGATATCCGCAGGAAATTGGTTCCAGGATTCCCTTGGGCAGCAGTCCCCAGCCTCCTTTTTGACACCAGTGACCAGTTTCATGGAAGAAATTTTTCCACAGACTGGGGGTTAGGGGATGGTTTCAGGATGGGACTGTTAACAGCTCAGATCATCAGGTATTAGATTCTCATGAGGAGCCTGCACAGCCTAGATCCCTCGCATACATAAGCCACAATAGGGCTTCTGCTCCTATGAGAATCTAATACTGCTGCCGGCCTGACAGGAGGTAGAGCTTAGGCAGTAATGGAGCAATGAGGAGCAGCTGTAAATACAGATGAAGCGTCACTCTCCGCCTACCGCTCACCTCCAGCTCTGCGGCCCAGTTCCTAACAGGCCACGGACTGATACCAGTTCATGGCCCGGGGGTTGGGGACCCCTGCCCTTGGGGATCCCAGAATCCTTGGATGCTCAAGTCCTTATGTAAAATGCCATAGCTAGCTTTTGCATATAACCTATACACATCTTCCTGTACACTTTAAATCATCTTGAGATTACTTATAATACAGTCATGCACCACATAACGACATTTTGGTTATTGATGGTGGTCCCATAAGATTATAATACTGTGTTTTTACTGTACCTTTTCTACATTTGGTATGTTTAGAAACAGATACCACTGTGTCACAATTGCTTACGGTATTCAGTACGGTAACATGCTGCACAGGTTTGTAGCCTAGGAGCAATAGGCTGTGCCACGTAGCCTAGGTGTGTAGTAGGCTCTGTCGTGTAGGTTTGTGTAGGTACACTCTATGATGTTTGCATGAAGATGACATTGCCTAATGATGCATTTCTCAACATATCCCCTTTTAAGCAAGGTATGGCTTTATCTAATAAAATATAAATGCTTTGTAAATAGTTGTTACAGTGTATTGTTATTACATTTATATTATTCTTATTGTTGGTTATTTCTTTCCAAATAGTTTCATTCTGAGGTTGCTTGAATCTGCAGATGTGGAACTTGAGGCTGTGGAGGGCCAACTGTATGCTCAGAAAGTAGCAGGCTCTGGTTGGAGAGTTGGTATAAAATGTGGACAACAGGGAAGGTGAGGGATAGGAGAGTTGGGGTCATCCTATGTGGGTCTCCGAAGCCAGGCTGAGGGTGTTGTGCTTTCTTTGAGGATGATAGGGAGCCACTGAAGGTTGTTAAGCTGGAGAGGGGATGCCTTTGGAGCTTTGCCTTGGGAAGGTGAGTTTGGCAAAAGTGTGTGTGATGGTCCAGTGGGAGTCAGGTACCTGGAGCTGTTGTCTTGAGGGGCGGTGGGGAGGAATGGGGAGGGATGGAGAGGACAAGGAATATGAGCTGATTCTGGGGAGGGGGTGACAGAAAGGGAGGCTGTATGAGCCTGGGGATGGTGAGCGCTGTGCTGGCAGGTTTCAGGGCCTTTCGGAGAGAGGACCAGGCCAGGAATGAAGAGGAAGGACAGAAGCGTGGGTTGCGGAGGGTGTGTGGAGTGGAGGGCCGGAGCAGGCCCTTGGGCCTTGCGTCCTGGGGGAGGTCACGTGAGAGAAAGAAGTGGGGGAGTTTATGTTGCGGAAAGGCTAAAAGGAAGTGACTGTTAGGAGGTTATGGGATAAAGGACAGAAGCCAGGCTCCAAGTGAGTATAGGAGAGACCAGAGCACTAAATTGGACCACAGTGTCCAGCATTCTGGCAGCAGGGAGGAGGTGGGTGGGGATTCAGGATTAGGGTCCGAGTGCTCCCCGAGTGTCCACCGTCGGCCTGCTCTGTTCCGGGGCAGGGCCACATCTTTGTCCGTGTGCCGAGGAGGGGACTGGTGGGCTGGAGTCCCAGGGGGAGATTATTCCAAGTAGGGGCTCCAGAAAGGTGAGTGATGTGTTTGGGTCTATGGGAAGGTTGGTGACCCCCAAAGAGAGGTGGCTGGGTTACTGCTGAACAGCTATCAGGGTGATATGGCTTTGCAGGGGTCCAGTCCATGGGCCTGACATGTTGTAGCTATGCTTTGAAGGCATTTTCCTGGTGGGAGGCCACCGCAGGTAAGGGGAGTGAAAGGGTGGCTGTGGCGGCTGTTCCCTGTGGCTGGTGGCCATGGATAAGTGAAGAGGAACGTGATGCTGGGCACCATGCTGGTGGTGCCTGGGGCAGAGCCTGGCCTTGTGGGGCTGTGGAGCAGGGTGAGGATCTGGGATCTAGGACTGCTATGCACCGGGCCGAATCGTGATACCCAAGGGAGGCATCTTGTCGTGGAGCAGTTGCATGGGCCCGCCCTTGTTCCCTGGAGCAGCTGGTGAGGTACTGTTAGAATTTGGCCCTAACAGGACTGGGCACAGTAGGTCACACCTGTAATCCCAGCACTTTGGGAGGCCGAGGCTGGTGTATCACCTGAGGTCAGGAGTTCAAGACCAGGCTGGCCAACATGGCGAAACCCGGTCTCTATTACAAATACACAAAAATTAGCTGGACGTGGGGGTGCACACCTGTGATCCCAGCTACTCAGGAGGCTGAGGCTAAAGAATCACTTGAACCTGGGAGGCAGAGGTTGCAGTAAGCCAAGATCACACCATTGCACGCCAGCCAAGGCGACAAGAACGAAACTCCGTCTCAAAAAAAAAAAAAAGAATTTGGCCCTAACAAATGCAGGTTGTGATTATTAACATAAGTCTGGTTTCCTCTCTCATGGCATTTCTTTAGTGGCCAGATGGTGTGAGTGGCTCCAGAAGACTCTTCTCTTCTCTGTGCAAGAGCCAGGAAGGCTCTAGAAAGGAATGTCTGAGGAAGCATCGGAGACTGGGTCCCGCCATGCCTGTGTCATCTCCTGGCTTCCCCGGCCCTTGTGAGCCCCGCGGTTGCTTATTTATCCTGCTAAGGCCACAGTCTCAGGTTCCAGAAACTCTGGCAAGGAAGTCTGGGAAGGTTGATGGGGATGGGCTGGCGGGCTGGGAGAGGTGCTTTGTTTTCACTCCTCAGGAAGCTTGAGGCTTCTTGTGGAAGCGTCTGCTGCTTTGGGCTGGGCAGCTGCGCCCCCAGAAAGCCAGCTAGGGGTCTGCCGCCTAATACCATGGGTGGAAACTATTGCAGTCAGCTGTTGGGATGCAGGGGAAGGTATTGGTAGGACTGGGGTGCCCTGTCTCCTTTGTCCCCATGAGTGCAGGGGATAGATCTGAAAGGAGAGGGGAAAATGGATGTTTTCTTCTTTGTCTCTCCTTTCTCCCTGCTTTCAAGTCTGTGAATTAATTGGAGTCATTCCCAAGGGAGGAGGGTCACTTTATTGAATTTTAAGACAAGGCGGGGCCAGGCGCGATGGCTCACGCCTGTAATCCCAGCACTTTGGGAGGCCAAGGCGGGCAGATCATGAGGTCAAGAGACCATCCTGGCTAACACAGTGAAACCCCGTCTCTACTAAAAATACAAAAAAAAAATTAGCCGGGCGTGGTGGCGGGCGCCTGTAGTCCCAGCCACTCAGGAGGCTGAGGCATGAGAATGGCATGAACTCGGGAGGCAGAGCTTGCAGTGAGCCAAGATCCACCACTGCACTCCAGCCTGGGTGACAGAGCAAGACTGCGTCTCAAAAAAAAAAAAAAAGCAAGACAAGGCATATGACAGGGCATGATACTGACGAGACCTTGGACATCAAAGGCTGGAGCAGGACTTCCTCCTAGGGAACATCCTCAGATATGTAGATGTCACCGTGTGGGCTCAGACATCCAGGGTGGACCAGAGCCGGTGGCTTAGGTCTGGTGGTCTGTCCCTGACTGCACTTTTTTCAGAGCTGTTTTGGTTTGAAGCTCAAAGCGGGCTTTTTATTTATTTATTTAGAGACAGGGTCTTACTCCGCTGCCCAGGCTGGTGCAGTGGCACACTCACAACTCACTGCAGCCTCAACCTCCTGGGCTCAAACAGTCCCCTCATCTCAGCATCTCAAGTAGCTGGGACTACAGGCATGCACCACCATCCCCCCAGGTAATTTTTAAATTTTTTGTAGAGACAAGGTTTCACTATGTTGCCCAGGCTACAAGAGGACTTTAACTTTTTTTTAATTAAAAAAAAATTTTTTTTGAAACAAGGTCTCACTCTGTCGCCCAGGCTGGAGTGCAGTGGTGCGATCATGGCTCACCGCAGCCTTGACCTCTCCAGGCTCAGGCGATTCTCCCACCTCAGCCTTCTGAGTAGCTGGGACGGCAGGCACATGCCACCATGCCCAGCTAATTTTTGTATTTTTTTGTAGAGATGAGGTGTCTTCATGTTGCCCGTGCCAGTCTCAAACTCCTGGGCTCAAGCGATCCACCCGCCTTGGCCTCCCAAAGTGCTGGGACTCCAGGCATGAGCCACCATGCCTGGCCAAGGGGGCTTTTCAAAGGCTGGGCTGGGCTGTTCATTTGGAAAAAAGGTTGGGGATGTTTTCACTTCACCAGGACTTCTGCCAGTCAGCAGGCTGGTACATTAGGAGCCCAAGTTTTGCCTGGTGCTGGTGGACGGGTCTAGGCCTGAGAAGCCGTAGTCTCCTAGTGCTTGGTGCTGCTAAGCCCAAAGAACAGAGTGGTTACAGGAAATGGAACATTTAGTCTGGCAGAGGCCAAGGGCAGCAGGTCCCTACTCTGGCTGCCCATGTAGTTAAAAAGTCACACACGTGCGCAGCTGGTCTGATTAATGAGTTTGTTTTTTGATGTCACAGTTTCTGGGCACAGCAGAGCTGGCTCCTCTGCTTGGGGTCTCCTCAGGCTGCAGTTGAGGTGTTGGCCGGGGCTGCATTCCCTGCTGGGGCTTGGGGTTCTCTTCTAAGCTCACCTGGGTTGCTGGCAGTGCTTACCTCCTGGCAGTTGTAGGACTGAGTCCCCATTTCCTTGCTGGCATTGGCTGGAGGCCCCTTCTAGAGCCCACCCTGTTCATAGGCAGTTCACACACAGCTGTTTGCTTTTCTCTTCTCAGTGAATCTGGTTTTTTTGTTTTTTCGTTTTTGAGACGGAGTCTTGCTCTGTTCCCCAGGCTGGAGTGCAGTGGGGCGATCTTGGCTCACTGCAAGCTCCGCCTCCTGGGTTCATGCCATTCTCCTGCCTCCGCCTCCTGAGTAGCTGGGACTACAGGCACCCACCACCATGCCCGGCTAATTTTTTGTATTTTTAGTAGAGGTGGTTTCACCATGTTAGCCAGGATGGTCTCGATCTCCTGACCTTGTGATCCGCCCTCCTCGGCCTCCCAAAGTGCTGGGATTACAGGTGTGAGCCACCGCGCCCGGCCAAGTCTGGGTTTTTTGAAAAGCTCCCTGGGTGACTTGACTCTAGCCCTCAGGGTTCAGACCCTTCGGTTTCTGGGAGTCCGTGGACATTGGCTGCAGGTTTTGAAAGGCTGGCATCTCAAGAGGGGAGCAGATGAAGAGTCATGGGGAAGGTTCCTGTGCAGTATGAGGAAGGTTTAATTTTCTTGCCAACTTTTGAGATAATTATGTGTAAATCTTTTTTATATAGTTAAGATGTTGCTGTGTAGTTGGGTGTCCGGCCTTAGTTAATGTGAACGTTTCCATGTATTAGTAAATCTTGTGTAAATATTATTTTTAAGGGCCATATTATTACTTTGTAGTGGAGTTATGGTTTAATTTATCTAATTTTAATGAATTTTTGTTGGACATTTCGAGTGGTTCTTTATGCAGCTGGTTAGTATAATGTTTCAGTGAACTTCTCTCTCTTTTTTTAAATAGCTTCACTGAGGTAATTCATGTACCATACAATTCAACCCTTTAAAGCAGCCAATTTAATGGGTTTTGGTATATTACATTATTACTTTTTAAAAATTATGGTGAAATATATATACAAATTTGACATTTTAACCACTAAAAATTAAAATTATGGTAAAATAACATAAAATTTACCATTTTTAGCCGCACAGCTAAATGGTGTTAAGTATATTCCTGTCATGCACCCATCACTATCATCCATCTCCAGAACTCTTTCCACCTTGCAAAACTGAAAATCTGTACTCATTTCCACCCATTAAAGAACAGTGCTTCTTCCCCCACGCCCAGTCCCTGTAACCACCATTCTACTTTCTATCTCTAGGAATCTGACGACTCTAGAAACTTTATTTAAGTGGAATCATGCAGTATTTGTCTTTTTGTGACTTATTTCACATCATGTCCTCAAAGTTCATCTGTGTTTTACTGTGTTTCAGAACCCCTTCCTTTTTAAGCTTGAGTAATAATTCAATTGTTTGTGTGTGTGTGTGTGTGTGTGTGTGTATATATATATATATTTAATCTATCATTCATTGATGGGCACTTGGGTCATTTTAACCATTTTTAAATGTACAGTTCAGTGGCATTAATTACATTCAGTGAATTTTTTTGTGGGGTTTTTTTTTTGTTTGTTTTTGAAACAGGATCTCGCTCTGCCATCTCACTCTGCATCTGCACTGGTGCAGTAAGAGCTCACTGCAGCCTTGACCTCCTGTGATCCTCCCACCTCAGCCTCCTGAGTAGCTGGGACTACAGATGCACATCACTACACTCATCTGTCGTTTTTTTTCTTTTTGTAGAGACAGGGTCTTGCTGTGTTGCCCAGGCTGGTCTTAAACTCCTGGGCTCAAATGATCTGCCCGCCTTGGCTTCTCCTGAAGTGCTGGGATTACAGGTGTGAGCCACCATACTTGGCCAAGTGAATACCTTTTTATATGAGTTTCTGCCCATGATGGGGTGGGCCTCTGTCACTGGATTTACCAGGTCAGAGAGGTGGATGGTCTTAAGACCCTTGATGGCTGCTGCCAGGTCACCTTCCAGAAATCCTGCCCCAGTTTACCCTTGGCTTTATGGTTAACTGCCTGCTCTTTTTTGACTTTTTTCTTGCCTCCTTCTGTTCACAGGATTGTACTGAAGCAGTTCCATCAGGTGCTAAAACGTCTGAGCTGTGTGGGGCCTTACCCTCCAAAAATCCAAAATTGTGATGTGGGATTTTCATTCCAGAGAAGCAGAATCTGAGATTAAGGTTTGCTTTGGGTCAGAGGAGTCTGTGCTAGACTGGGCTCCACGGTAATTCCCGATTCCTTGATGACCCTCGAAACAGTCCAGCTTTGATAGGGAGGAGCCCTGAGCTGGGGTCACACTGGTCCACTCTCTCATTCAGGAAGTTTCCTGAGGCCACTGGCTGTGTGACACTCAGTTCTTTGTCAGCGCTGTGGTTCTTGGTAGGGAAAGAACTTACTGTCCCCTTGTCTGTTGTGAAGTTTGCTAGTTTATTGCTGTTGTGGGCTACTTGTAACTGAATCTGAAAAGCATTTTGGCTTCTCTTCTGTGCATCGTGAGTTAGGTCTGCCAGATAGCATTGTCCAGTTAATTCTGGCTCATGGAGTTCCTGCTTGGCTTTCATTGAAGCTCCAAGGAAGCAGAAGGCCATGGCAGAAAAGGATTTCTACAAAGGGAAAGGGACTTGCATGGCTGCACTTGGCTGGCAGAAGCTGGGCTGGGACGGGAGGACAAACACCTCCCTGTGCAGGCAGTGGGTTCAGATGGTCTTGGCTGGAAGGAGGGCAGATAATGGTGAGACCACGTTTGGAGGGAGGGCAGCATGGTGTCATGGGCTTGGGGAGGAAAGGAGAGGAATGGCCCCTTCTTCAGCACTGACTAGTCGTCCTGCACCGTGGAGGGTGTTCCGTCTTATTTTCCAGCGCTCACAACTAGGAGCCAGCAGTTCAGTTTTAGCCATCCCAGCTCATGGATTATGGAGCTGGGACCCACGCTTGCTCCTCCTCTTGCTCTGCGTTGCCCATCTTAGCTGTGCCCTTGGCCGCCACTCTGACTCCAGTGAATCACGTAGACTCCTTGGGCCTCTGAATTCCTGTCCGTAAATGATGAAGCTGAATGGCAGCATTTTTAAGATCCGTTAGTTTTGTGATTCTAAATAAAATTAAGTCATGTTGCTCTGAGTTCCCAGAAAATTATTTTAAGATCCGTTAGTTTTGTGATTCTAAATAAAATTAAGTCATGTTGCTCTGAGTTCCCAGCAAATTATTTGGAAATCCCTCTTGGTGGATGTCCCAAAGCAGCCTTCCTGTAGGATCCTGGTTGTGTCTGGCTTCCTGCAGTAATGTGGATTGGGGTGGATTGGCCTCTGTGTGCACCCTTAATGGGAACCAGGACACTGCTTTGCTGGCTGATTTGTTGTCCTCCCTTACTGCCCACTGGCCAGTCTACAGGTCACCACCAGGACTGGAACAGATTTCAGAGGCCGTGCAGGTTTCATCTGGGGCAACGTGCCAAAGTGCAGAGCGTGGGCAGCGGGAGGCCCTGCCGTCCGCGTGGATGGGGGAGACGGCAGCATGGGGGTGTCTGCCAGGGCGGAGGTGATGATGTGCAAGCAGGTGGTTGGCAGCAGGAGGCCTGGTAGTGCCAGCTGGTGTCTTGCCAGCCAGAGCACAGCCCCGCTTGGTCAGGAATGCATGTGCTGAGGCCAGCACTGAGATGAGCAGGCATGCGTGTGTGGCCACCCCTATTTCTGTGCTATAGTGGGAGGAGCACATTAGGTACTTTGAGGCCATAATTTACCTTTGTTACAGATGACCAATTCCCCAACAGCCTCCCAGCCTTTTGCAGGCCCCACCTGGGATCAGAAGGCAAGGTATCCTTCCTGCAGGGAAAGCCTGTTAGTCTTTCCTGAGCATTCTTAGTGCCAGTTGGAGTAGGGGCTGTCTTGGTACTGAGCTGGCCGGTGCTGGAGATGGGCTGGTCAGTCTGGAGGGCATAAGGACAGGAAGGATACCGGCACTGAACGTTGTCACTCCTGTGGGGGTACAGATGCCTCAGTGGAAGCCACGCTTTCCTTCAGAATATTGCATTTGGTGGGCCTGTCTCAAGGTGCACTTTGACTCCTGAAGACCCTCCTTCTCCTCCTCTCACGGATCTGCCGGTGTTCCCTCTCTGGAAGGCTTGCAGGAGAGACAGGATCCCTCCCTTTACTGGAACTTTGCACTTGGGTTTGGCTTTGTGCTTTGTAAGGGGATCCCATTCAGCGTCCAGGATCCGAGCCTTGCTCTATTTCTGCAAGGAGCTGGTGGTTGCTGCTCGCCAAGGGGATACTCAGACAGCCAAAGCCTAGGCAGGATCAGAAGCTCAGGCAGCAGAGCCAAGATTTGAACCAATAATTTTTTTTTTTTTTTTTTTACTTTACTCTACAGTATTGGGATTGGCTGAACTTTCCTTAAATGACCAGATAGTAACTAATTTTATGTTTGTGGCTGAGAGGCAAAATCGATGCTACTTTGTGGATACTTACATAACCATTTGGAATGTGAGCATGTGAAACTATAAAGAGCATTCTTAAGGCCTAGGTCACATGAAAACAGGTGGCAGTGGGCTGGATTTGGCCTGTGGGCTGCAGTTTGCCAACCTGTGTTTCACAGCGAGCTGCCTCCAAATGCCTGGTGGTGATGCAATCGATGACAGAGCCAGGTGTGGGCGTCTCACATCTGTGCTCAGGAGCTCACAGGAGCTTCTCTCCTATAGAACCTGTGAGGCAGGTAGGGTAGTCTTCCAAACCCCATGAGGATTCTTTCCTCAGAGAAGTTGCCGGAGGAGGAAAAGCTGGATGAGAGATGGTCACTTGGTTTCTAACTTCCCTTTCTCTTCCCTGTTTCCTGCTGCTTCCCAGGGCTGAATGAATATTCCCTGAAACAAGGCTGGCCATGAGCTAATAATCGTTGAAGCCAAATGATGGGGTAATGGGCATTCATGATGCTGTGCTCTTACTTTTGTATTTGTTTGAAATTTTCCAGGATAAAAAGCTAAGAAAATAGGCTGGGGGCGGTGGCTCACGCCTGTAATCCCAGCACTTTGGGAGGCCAAGGTGGGCGGATCACGAGGTCAGGAGATCGGGACCATCCTGGCTTACACGGTGAAACCATGTCTCTACTAAAAATACAAAAAAAAAGTAGCCGGGCGTGGTGGCGGGCACCTGTAATCCCAGCTACTCGGGAGGCTGAGGCAGGAGAATGGCATGAACCCAGGAGGCGGAGCTTGCAGTGAGCCGAGATTGTGCCACTGCACTCCAGCCTGGGCAACATAGCGAGACTCCGTCTCAAAAAAAAAAAAAAAAGTTAAGAAAATAGTCATTCATTGATTAAAGTTACCAAAAAACCCTTCCACATTGAGAGAACAGGGTGTTAAAACTCAGAAACCTTTTCAAGCCCCAAGATGAGCAAACTTGCTCCTCTTATTTCCTAGCAGCAGATGTTCCTGAGAAAGGGGTAGCTGTGCTTGAGCCATTCCATCATTCATCCAAGCCATCCATCTATCCATCTATTCATCATCAATCCAAGATCCAAACATTTATCTATTTATCTATCCACCCATCCATCCAACCAGTCATACAACCATCCATTTAACTATTCTTTATTCATCATCCATCCAACTAAATCTATTCATCCCTCTGTCATCCATTCATTCCTCCCTCCCTCCCTCCCTCCCTCCCTCCCTCCATCCATCCATCCATCATCTGTCTAACATCCAGCCAACCATCCATCCATTCAACATTGAACTATCCATTATTCACTCATCCATCCAAACATGCATCCATTCAGTCATCACCTATTCATCCATCCATTCATCCTCCAACCATTCATCTGTTCATTTGAAGTTGATGTGACACCTACTGGGGTCCAAGCACAATGCTTAGGCCTTGACTTTGTCCTTGACCTCAAGGAACCCATAGACATATATTAAAAACAGCTGATAAAGGGGTGCTGGGATGGAAGTGAGTACCAACCAGGCACTGAGAAGTGACTGACTCTGCTGGGTTAGCAGAAGGAAGACATTAAGGAGAGGATGGCCCATTAGTTGGATCTTGAATGGACTCAAAAGGAGTATATTGTAATCCCAGTACTTTGGGAGGCTGAGTTGGGAGGGTCGCTTGAGCCCAGGAGTTCAAAACCAGCCTAAGCAACATAGCAAGACGCTGTCTTTACAAAAAATTAAAAATTAGCCAGGTGTTTTGGTGCACACCTGTAGTTCCAGCTACTCTGGAGGCTGAGTTGGGAGGATCGCTTGAGCCCAGGAGTTTGAGGCTACATTGAGCTGTGATTGCACCACTGCACTCTAGCCTGGGCGACAGAGACAGACCCTGTCTCTGAAAAACAAAACAAACAAAAGGAGTATGTTAGGCCATTGTAGGGGAGGAGGAGAGGCCTTCTAAGCAGGGACTGTCACAAAGGAATGAAAGAGCCTAACAGCCTGGCCTGCCACAGGTTTCTCAGACACTTGGGATAGCTGGCATATGGTGTTGGGGTGAGAGACCAGCTAGTGATGATGTGGGGTGGTCTGGTGTTGACCCCCAGAGGCCAGAGAAGACTTCTGCATGGAGGATGGAGTGAGCATGGAGTGTGCGACTGCCATAGGCCCTGCTCAGTGCCCTACACCCCGTGTGTGCCTGTGACACCTGATGGCCTATGCACCCCATACACACAGCTGGACAGCAGACCCCGGCTGCCCTGGCTGAGGCAGGTGTGCCCATCTGTACCCACCTTTGCTTTGGCTCATTGGCTCCTGGTCTCCTGTTGCCGAGCACCTGTCTAGACAGAATGATGTTTTGTGTCTGTGCAAAACAGACACGCTGGAGCTTCGTGTTTGCAGAGCTTCATGCTTCAGTTGGTACCCCGTGAGGCTTGTGTGGGCAGCTGTTCAGAAACCTCAATTGGGCCCTCTGGCATTTGTGAGAACCTTGGGCTGGAACCCACCCGGCTGGCAGTGCAGGAGAGCAGCCCTTCCCCCTCGAGGGCCTTGTCCCTTTCACCTGTGCCGTGTCTGTGTGACACTGAAGCTCTGTCTGGTGCGGGTTGAAGTTTGTGACCCCCACTTACCAGGCCCAGAGCATGCATGGTGGACTGTGGGAGATAGTCATTGGGATTTTTCATTTGATTTTATGTTTTTTTTTTAATCAAGGTAAAATACATGTAACATTTACCATCTTAACCATTTAAAAATAACACAGTTCAGTGGTGTTGAGTATGTTCATGTTGTTCAGCCATCACCATCTGTCACTGAATGTTTTTGTCTTGTACAACAAAAACTCTGGACTCAGCCAGGCACTGTGGCTCATGCCTATAATCCCAGCACTTTGGGAGTTCGAGGCGGGCAGACCACCTGAAGTCAGGAGTTCAAGACCAGTCTGGCCAACGTGGTGAAACCCCGTCTCTACTAAAAATACAAAATAATTAGCCAGGCATGGTAGCGGGCGCCTGTAATCCCAGCTCCTCAGGAGGCTGAGGCAGGAGAATCGCTTGAACCCGGGAGGCGGAGGTTGCAGCGAACTGAGATCGGTCCACTGCACTCCAGCCTGGGCAACAGAGCGAGACTCCGTCTAAAAACAAACCAAAAAAAGCTTCTGGACTCATTAAATATAGGCTTTCCATTTCCCCTCCCCGCGGCAACCACTGTTCTACTTTCTGTATGGATTTGGCTAATCGAGGTACTTCATATGAGTGGATTCATATAGCCTTCGTCTTTTGTTCCTGGCTTATTTCACGTAACGTCATGTCCTCAAGGTTCATCGGTGTTGTAGCATGCATTAGAATCTCCTTTCTTTTAGCCGGGCGCGGTGGCTCACGCCTGTAATCCCAGCACTTTGGTAGGCCGAAGTGTGGATCACCTGAGCTCAGGAGTTCAAGACCACCCAGGACAACATCATGAGACCCCATCTCTACTAAAAATACAAAAAAATGAACCGGGTGTGGTGGCACACGCCTCTAGTCTCAGCTACTTGGGAGGCTGAGGCAGGAGAATCGCTTGAGCCCCAGAGGTGAAGGTTGCAGTGAGCCGAGATCACGCCACTGCACTCCAGCTTGGGCTACAGAGTGAGACTCTGTCTCAAAAAAAAAGAATCTCTTTTCTTTTTAAAGCTGAATAATATTCCATTGGTAGACACACATTTTGTTTATCCATCTCTCTGCCAGTAGACACTTGGGTTGCCTCCACCTTTTGGCTGTTGTGAATAATGTTGGCAGGAACATGGGTGTACAAATTTCGTGGCTTGTTTGCTAATTTATTTATTCATTTTTATTTTATTTTTTTGAGATGGAGTCTCGCTCTGTTGCCCAGGCTGGAGTGCAGTGGCGCGATCTCGGCTCACTGCAACCTCCCCTGCCTCCCGGGTTCACACCATTCTGCCTCAGCCTCCCAAGTAGCTGGGACTACAGGCACCCGCCACCACACCTGGCTAATTTTTTGTATTTTCAGTAGAAACGGGGTTTCACCGTGTTAGCCAGGATGGTCTTGATCTCCTGACCTTGTGATCCGCGCCCAGCCTATTTTTTAATTTTTTTAGAGATGGGGTCTTGCTGTGTTGCCCAGGCTGGTCTCAACCTCCTGGCCTCAGGCCATCCTCCTGCCTTAGCCCCCTGAGTAACTGTGATTACAGACATGCACCACTGCGCCCCTACTCAATGGTATTTTTCACATATCAGATTTTTACATTATTTGCCCCTCACCCACTTAACAGCTATTTGTTTTTCAACTAACTTCCTTTACTGTTTCAACAAATTTCCAATTATAGTAATTTTTACCCTAGAAAAAAGAAATTATGGGTTGAAGGTAAAACAAAAATACATATCTTGTGAATTATCTGTTCTTTTTCAAACATCTTAAAGACTTAGGCTGGGCACAGCAGCTCACACCTGTATTACCGGGAGGCTGAGGCAGGAGGATTGCTTGAGCCCAGGAATTTGAGAGCAGCCTGGGCAACAAAGTGAGACCCCATCTCTACAAAAAAATTTGAAAATTAGCTGGGCATGGTGGCATGGACCTATAGTCCTGGCCGCTTGAGAAACTGAGGTGGGAAGATAGCTTGAGCCCGGGAGGTCGAGGTTGCGGTGAGCCACAATTGTGCCACTGTACTCCAGCCTGGGTGACAGAGTAAGACCCTGTCTCAAAAAGAAAAAAAAAAAAAAAATTAAAGGCTTGAAAGATGTCATGATGTCATTTGATGGTTGTATATGTGCACGTATGTGCATTCAGGTGTAATTTACAGACAATGAAAGTCACTCTTGGTATACTGTTCTGTGAGGTGTGACAGCGTTCTGTAGCCATTACCTTCATCAAGATACACAGCAGGCCTATCACCCCAGAAACTTGCATTACCCCTTGTTCCTTGTAGGCATTTCTCCTACTTGCAGCCCACGACACCACTGATGTGCTTTCTCCCCTTACAGTTTAGCACTTTTCCGAATGTCATATAAATAGAATTGTACAGTGTGTAACCTTTTGGCTCTGGCTTTTTTCACTTTGATAATGCATTTGAAATTCATGCAAGTTGTGTGTACCAATAGGGCATTCCTTTTTATTACCGAGGATTATTTCATCCCACAGATGGGTCAGTACTGTTCTTCCCCTTTCTATCCCACTAACATCTTTATTCAGATGTAACATACATACCATAGAGTTCACCCGTTTAAAATGGACCATTCAGTGGTGGTTAGTATTATCTCAGAGTTGTGCAGTCATCATCACTGTCTGATTGCAGATCATTTTCATCACCCCCAAAAGAAACCCTATACCTATTAGCACTCTCTCCCCATCCCCTTCTTCTGTTAGTCCTGGCAACCACCAGTCTGCTTTCTGCCTCTGTGGATTTGTCTTTTCTGGGCTTTTCATAAATGGGATCACATGGTACATAGCTTTTGGTGACAGAGTTCTTAGAGCTTCTTTTTTTATTTGTTTGTTTTTTGTTGAGACGGAGTCTTGCTCTGTCGCCCAGGCTGGAGTGCAGTGGCGCGATCTCGGCTCACTGCAAGCTCCGCCTCCCGGGTTCACACCATTCTCCTGCCTCAGCCTCCCAAGTAGCTGGGACTACAGGCGCCCGCCACTACACCCAGCTAATTTTTTTGTATTTTTAGTAAAGACAGGGTTTCACTGTGTTAGCCAGGATGGTCTCGATTTCCTGACCTCGTGATCCGCCTGCCTTGGCCTCCTAAAGTGCTGGGATTACAGACGTGACCACTGCGCCCGGCCCTTTTTTTTGAGACAGTCTCACTCTGTTGCCCAGGCTGGAGTGCAGTGGTACAATCTTGGCTCACTGCAGCCTCCGCCTGCCGGGTTCAAGGATTCTCCTGCCTCAGCCTCCCGAGCAGCTGGGATTACAGGCGCCCACCACCACGCCTGGCTAGTTTTTTTTGTTTTGTTTTGTTTTGTTTTTTGTATTTTTAATAGAGACAGGGTTTCATCATGTTGTCCAGGCTGGTTGTAAACTCCTAACCTCAGGTGATCCACCCGCCTTGGCCTCCCAGAGTGCTGGGATTATCTTAGAGCTTCTCAATAGAAGTCCTATCTTCCAGGCCACATCTCACCCTCCAGGGGTAGGGGCTGGTGGAGCTGTTCTCACTCAGTTTGTCCTCAGTTCCTTCTTGAGCCTGGACCCTTCCCTCTAGATTTGGGGCTGCTCCTCTCAGAGTGCCCCAGAACAAAACCCCCTCCCTGTTCCCACTTCCCACTGTCTGCAGGACTCCCCTACCCCATAACCAGGGTCCTGCCAGCCCTACCCTCAGCCTCCCATAAGGGTCTGAAGTGGCAGGTGGATGGGAAACTGCACTCTCTGACCTCTGCAAGGGGACTGCTGCTTTCCCATGAGCTTCTCCTCTTTCCGTTGCTGGTTTCTTCTTTGTTATCTTTGCTGCTGGAGTGGCCAGACCCTGGGAAGCGGGCTGGAGAGAGGAGAGAAGCCATCGAGCCACATGGACCCCTACAGCCCGGAATCTGAGCTGTGGTAGGATTGGCTGCGATTGGGATTGGCAGACACACTGGGTTTGTACAGGAGGGGACCCTGAAGGATGGGCTGTGGTCAAAGTGGGATCCCTTCACTGTCCATAGTCCTTGGATCTGAAACTGCTGACAGGTGCCCCTGGGAACTGCTGTGGTATTTGGAGTCTATAGAGACACCCATTGCTCAGGACCCCAGGGCCTTAACAGGGAGTACACTGGCTTCTGGGAAGCTTGATGGAGTTGTTGCTGCATAGGTGCAGAAAATCCCAGCAGTGGAGTAAGGCCTGAAGTAAGCCCCCACTGGGCTCTGTGGGGCCTGGGGCAGCCTCCTCTGTTGCAGGGCCGCCAGCATCTCCAGCAGAAGTGCAGTGCTTGCTCTGGGGACACAGGGGCCTTTTGGAATGAGCATGTGGACTTGGCTTATGGATTGTGCCTACCCCAGAGCGTTGCTGTGTCTCTCAACACACACAGCTTCCATGGGCTGCTCACTCCAATTCTGATGGAGAGGGCATTTATGACTCTGTCCGTTGGTTTGTTTTCTCACTGAAGAGGAACATAGATGCACCTGCTCTCTGGGCAAGAGATGTGGCAGCTGCAAGCTGCACACCCTGTTCTGAATATTGCCCAGACCAGAATATGAATTACTTGGTCATAAATCAGTGTCTTGTCTGCAGAAAACTTGGCAATGTGAGGGACGGCAGCTTTAACTTGATTCCTGGGAGGCTGCCGGCCTCAAAAAGGACAAGGACTGGCAATCAGATGGGCATTCTCTCTAATTTGGGAGGCTTTCGGGCTTCCTCACGGAGTGCTGCTCCTGGGGACGTACCACAAGAACCTCCCTTGTCTAGTTTTGTTCTGACGCTTGGGCTCATTCACCTGACTGTCTCCTTGCTTGTCTGGCTCTCAGGAAAGCCTTCCCGGAGAGGATGTGGCTGACCCCTGCAGCCATCTCTCCACAGACAATCATGGCCCTGAGCTTGGCTGTCCTTGGTTGGGTACATCCAAGGCTCTGCCTGCCAGGGTAGGCACTGGCCAGGCTGTGGGATGGCAGCGTTGCTGACTTGTGCTCCTGAGTCCTGGGGGCCCTGAGTGAGCCTCCGTGCAGGAGTCGGGCTGGGCTGAGAGGTGTGGAGAGTCGTTCCCTTAATGGATGGTCAGGCACAGCAGCTATGGGCTCAAATTCCGGAGGGACGCTGAGCCAGGTCCCAGCCTGTGCACTGAGCATGTCATTCACTTTGAGATCCCCTCTAGGGTAAGGCACACCGTGAGTGGATGTGCCACTAAGAAGGAGGCAGCAGGCTGAGCGTGGTGGCTCACGCCTGTAATCCCAGCTCTTTGGGAGGCCAAGGTGGGAAGATTGCTTGAAGCCAGAAGTTTGAGACCAGCCTGGGCAAGAAAGTGAGAGCTCGTCTCTCCAAAAAAACGTAAAAATATTAATTGCTGGGGCGTGGTGGTGCATGCCTGTAGTCCTAGCTACTCAGGAGGCTGAGGCAGGAGAATCGCCTGAATGACCCAGGAGTTCAAGGCTATAGTGAGCTATGATTGCACCACTGTACTTCAGCCTGGGCAACAGAGCAAGACCCCTGTCTCTTAAAAAAAAAAAAAAAGAAGAAGAAGGAGGAGGAAGACAGTACTCCCAGTTATCATTGCGAGAGGCAGAGATGCGAGATTCCACTTTGAATTATGTTGAAATTTGGGGAAAATGCATGCCTGATAATGGGTAAAATACAGTAAGTTTCCTCATCTGTGAAATAGAAATCCCACTAGTCGTTGACTCAGGAACTTGCTGTGAAGATTAGAGATGAGGTGTGCAAAAAAAAGCACCTAGCGTGGCTGCTGGCATGCCCTGAGTGCTTAATAACATTTGTTATTCTCATTTTATTGTTGTTATCGTAGTTGCTGTTATGACAGATAGCGGGAGAGGATGTTGGCTGCTTTATCAGCTGGCTGGATGTTTGGTTTGTTTTTTTTTTTTTGTGAGGGTTAAAGTGGGAGATGGGAAGCTGTCTTTTTCCATCAGAGTTGGAAAGGCCCGGAGTGTTCATTTCTCAGCAATAATTGTTTTCAAATGGTTTTATTTTAGGGATAGATCCCTTCTTTGCCAATGGTATTTCAGATGACCCCCCAGTATATGAAAAAGATGAAAGAGGAGCCACAGGTCCTGAAGGCTGCCCAGCTCAGCCTCCCCACCCAACCTGGGCTCTGAGGACCTGGCTTGGGAGGTGCTGCTCTTGGCAGCCCCAGCCTTCCACCTCTGTGGCCTGTGCCATGGCCAGGAGGACCTGCATTTCCTTCGGACTGTCTCTCTGCTCAGGCGGATTATTTCGTGCTTCGTGTGCCCTCCCAGGGTAGGGACGGGGAAGCTGTGAGGATGCTCTGTGGGGATCGGCTCCCTGTGTTGTCCATGTCTTCTTTTAGGTGGAGTTGGCTAGGCAGGGAACCTGGCACCATTTCCTTCTCAGAGCAGAGAAACAGAGTCGGCGTTTGTGAGCGTGCATTGTCCAAACCTGCATTTGGAAGGGGTCAAAGTAGGCTGGGCTTTGTTTTTACTTTTTCTTTTTAAATTATGATGAACTATACATAATGTAAAATTTACCACTTCAGCCATTTTTAAGCATACGATCGATGCATGACATTAACTACATTGATGGTGTTGGGCAACCATCACCACTATCCATCTCCAGAACTTTTTCATCTTCCCCAGACTGAAGGTCTGTACCCATTTATAGCCAGTAAACAACTCTCTACTCCCTCCTCCCTCAGCCCCTGGCCACCACCATCCTACTCTATGTCTATGAATTTGACTACTCTAGAGACCTCATATGAGTGGAGTCCTACAGCGTTTGTCCATTTGCATCTGGTTTATTTCACTTAACATAATGTCCTCAAGTTTCATCCTTGCCTTGGCATGTATTAGAATTTTCTTCCTTTTTAAGGCTGAATAATATTCCATTATATGTCTGCACCGCATTTTGCTTATGCATCCATTGGTGGATGGACACCTGGCTTGTTTCTGCCTTTTGTAAAGCATGCTGCTGTGAACACGGGTATACATGCTTTTACTCTTGACCCCTTGCAAACAGGTCTGTCTTGCACATGTGCCCCAGGTACCACTCAGCCATCTGCTCATTAATGGGAGAGGGGAGAACCTTCCCGGTTCTCTTGAGTAACTACCATGATCACAGCTTTCTGGAATGTAGCAGGTTACTTGATAAAGAGGGCGGGAATTCTTAGAAAGGAGGGTTTCTGGCTGCAAGCCCCATACCTGTTTTCTGCCACCTTCTCTGCCAAGGGAGCTTGAGCCAGCCATTTCTGGGAAGTGGTGAGCCTCAGATATGGTTCAGGGAAGATGGGAAGTGTTACAGTGTAATTCCATCTGCTGATGGGGACAGGCACAAACCTGGTGGCTTGTTGTCCTTGGAACAGTCAGTGATGAAGGCAGAGTGGCGGTAGGACAGGGACCCCGCTTAGTTATGACACTGCCTCCTAAGTGGAACTAAGTGGAAGGTCTAGTGGGGCCTTCTTCGTGGGTTGGGACAGTGGTTCTGCACCCCCACTCAGCAGCTCAGGAACTGAAGTTAGAGCCTGCCTTCAGGGGATGGGCATGTGTACAAGGGATAGGGGACCAGTTAATCCAGGAGTTAGATGGTGACTGAGACTCCAGGAATTTCCCCTTTCCTGTAAACATGGGTCATTTTCTAGAATTACCACGTTCCCTTTAATTTTGCCATGTTTAGGAAATCTGGCTGAGCTGGTAATTACCAAGTCTAACTGAGAAATGTCTTATATGTAACCTTCTGTTTCCCTTGAGTGTTTCGGAGGAAGCTGTGGGCACGTTTTATGGATAGGTGCTCCGAGTTCTTTCCGCTTTGGTCCAGTCTGAGTGGCTCTGATAAGCGTTGGCAACACCACCGATTTTTGTGGGGCCTGGCTTCAGAACATGAATGTCTGTGTTTCTGCAAAACCAAGTGTACTCACTGCCTCCTTTTAAAATCATGCTACAAGGATGTCTTTCACTTTGAATTCTGCGCTTACATTGTTCAAGAGGCATCACCATGTTTATAACCTCAGACGCAGTAATTCCACCCTAGGGCATTTTCCTAAGGAAAATTGCTTCCCCCTTTTCTTTTATGGTAGTATTATGTGAAATTATTCATTGTATTCATAACAGTGGAAAGCTGGAAACAAACTGAGCATCCTGTAATACAAAAGGGGTTCCATTAGCTTGGTAGACGATTCTGTCATCATCCGATGGTAAGGATGAAAATGAATTAGCAACGTGGAACATTGTCATAAGTGGAAAAAGTGAGATGCCCAAAGTGTGATGATTTGTATCAGTCATCTCTTGTTCGGTAACAAACCATCCCAAAGTTTAGAGGCTTAAAACAATGCGATTTAATCGCAGTGCCATCTGGCTTGGTATGAGGTGGTTCTGCTGTCACACAGGCTTGGTCATGTGACTGTATTCAGTTTGTGGTTTGACTGCCGCTGGCATCCGAGGTGGCCTAACCGTTGTAGCTAAGGACTTGGTAGGGACACCGGAAGGCTGAGACCTCTCTCTCCTTGTGGTCCGTCATTGTTCTGCAGTGAAGCCTGAGTTGCTTCTCATGGAGGCTAGGTTCCAAGAGCAAAGGTGGATGCTGCAGGGCTTCCTGAGGCCTGGGCTATGGAACTTCTCAGCTGAACTTCCACCGGATTCTGTTGGTACAGTGTGTCGCAAGTCTTGCCCAGATCTAAGCGGGGGTAGAAAGCTGGACTCTACCTCTTGATGGGAGGAGCAGCAGTGTCATGTGGACACACGGCGTGGACACAAGGCATGATTCTCAGGGGCTCTGGTGATTGCTCCCACCACAGGATTTTAGTTACACAGTCACAGGACAAGGACTGGAAGTGATTGTGGGAAAATGATCCTAGACCATTGGTAGAGGAGGTGAGGTTGTGGATGACTTTTTTAGATTTTTGCTGTTGCCATGTTATATAGTAGGTTCAAAGTAAAAAATCCTTAGCATGTTATCCACTGGACTCCTAGTTCAAGATTGCTGGGGTGTCAGATCCACTGTTAGGTCCCATAAACTTGCAGGCTCGGCCAGTGCAGAACCTCTGCAGCCTGGCCTTCGGGAAGAAGACATCCAGAGATAGTGACCACACCATGGGGTACCTTCAAGCTCTGGTGCTCTCTCTTCGCCTTGCTGACCTTGATGGAGTGGATAGGCCTTGGGTTCAACATGAATTGACCCAGGCCATGGGGGCATTGGTTGGCCTCCTCTGTAAGGTAGGCGTGGGGCTCAGCCTGCAAGAGCTGACCATACTTATGTAGGATTAGGGGGCATCGGTGGGAACCCTGGTGTCCAAGGACAGTATTGTCTGGTTGACTGAAGTTAGGGAAGTGGGTGGGGAACATGGAATTGTCAATCCTTCAGGCTCCTTTTGAAGGTCATTGTTTTCCTAAACAGATGGTTATTTGGACTCTTACAAGTTCTCTGTAAGTTTGTAAATGTTTGAAAATAAATAGTGGAATAAATAAATACATGGGAAACCGCACTTTGCCTACGTGTGGGATGCTCGTGAGACCTGGAGGGAGGGCACTCCCATGAAGGCGGGGATCCCGGGTAGGCGGTGATCTGCAGCTGTGGCCGCCTGCTCGGACAGGAAAGGCCTTGACGTCCAGATCCTGCTGGTGGGAGAGCCGTGGCCCAGGCTCCTACATTGCCTTGGGGAGGAGAGTCAGGCCCTGCAGGGAAGGGTTGTGAACCTGCTCTGGGCAAATGGGCCTGGCTCCTGGGAAACTTCGGGCCTGCAGTAACCCTACTCTGACCAGAGGAATCCTTCCCCTGTCGCATTGGCATCCCTCCCCTCACTGTTCTCTTCATTCTGGACCCCCTTGTCATCACGATGCCAGTGCTGTCCCTTTGGTGTGGGGTTTGTGCTCTGACCTGACCCTCAGGCCCTGCCAGTGCCCTGGCTTCCAGGCAGATCTGGGCAGGCAGGTCTGAGCCCCCGGAGCTGGGTAAGCATCTGGGGCATGTGAGGATTGCAGGAGGTGACCCGGGACAGTGCCTCACGCCCAGGGTGACCAGAAACTGTGTTCCCTTCCCTAACCCACCGGGTTTAAACTTTTTACTTGCTAGCCATAGAGCTCTTAATCAGACAATATCCAGGGGAACCCCCATTATGTAAGGCAGGTAAAGCTGGTGGAAGCTCTCCCACCCACTAGTTGTCCCTGCTCAGCCTTGGCACGGGGCCACTGTGGGACCGGAGAGCTGGGAAGCCACCACCTCAGTCCCTGCCAGTCTCTGGTCTGATGGTGAGGAGGGGTCTGGCCTGCTCAGTGGCAGGGTGCGGAGGTGAGGCTGGTGGCTGTTCTTCAGCTGTGGGACTCGTGTGGGGACAAGCTGAACAGTGTGCTGATCTCTGATCACCACTCAAGCCACAAGTGACTGGACAGGCATGGACCTGTGTCCTCATAGTGAGGACCCATGGGGCTTCACCCAGGACAGCCTGGTTCGCCTGCCCTCCGATGCTGGTGGAGGGGAGGCAAGGCAGAGGGGACTCCTGTAAAGGGCTGTTTTTTTCTGTCCTGGAATGAGCACATTCTGAGGGTGAGTGGCTGTCAGCAGTTAGGAAAAATTGCCTGTTGACTTGTTTCATTAAGAGGCCCCTTGCCGAGGGTGAGGTCGCAGCCCGGCCCTGCTCAGGGAGGAAGCGGTGTTTACAGAGCGGCCAGCTGGTGCCGGGTGAGGAGGTGGCTGATCCCTCGTTATGGAGCTGAGAAGGCCTGCGCTTCCAGCCCATTCCTGCCATGCCGCTGCCCTAATGGCTGTGACAATGGATGGATGGATGGACGGAGGGCCAGGCCAACCAGGCAGTGAAAACAGGAAACCTAATCTTTTAAAAATAATCCAGGGGGAGGGGAGAAAGTGAAGCAGCAAAGCCCTTAAGCCGACAGATGGCCCTGGTGGGGTGTGTCTTCCAACTGGGTAGGTGCTTCTCAAGGCTGAAAATTCCAGTGAGTCGGTGAAAGCTGAGCGTGCCCACCAAAGACACTTGAATGGGCGGCTGGCATTTTCAAGCTCTGTTCCTTATGTTAGACGATGTTGTTTTAGCACAAAGCCTCCCCCCGGATCCCAAGCCTCTCCCCACCATGGCTCCAGAGTCATCCCTATGTGGAACCCAGCGGGGCAGTCTGACCTTGTCCCTTTGGCTGTGACCCTGTCCCACCCTTGGCCTCTGTCCCTGGTTCTTGCCCAGGTCCACTATTGCATGGCCAGATTCATCCTCACAGGGACCTGACCGCTGTTCCCTTCTCACAAACCTCTGAGTTGCCCATGGGCTGAAGGTCAAGGTCACGCATCTCAGGCAGGCAGGTGTGCAGGACCCTCCACGCTCGTGGGCACTGGCGGTGCGGGAGCACAGCTCCCTCCTCTCTGCTAGCTCTGAGAGTCCCCCGCCACCCCTCTGTGTGCTTCCTGCACCCCCTCTCCTTGCCTAGAATGTCCCCCACAATGTCTCCACTTGCCCAGCTCTGTCCTCTGTGTCCAGCTTTGAGGCTACTTTCTGCAGTCACCACTATTATCCCACCCCATGTAGTTCTCTGTCCCCGACCTGCATGTAACCTGTTTCCCTCCTCCGGCCGCTCTCAGCCGCTCCTTCATGCCTCCTTCCTGGGCTCCCTTTGGTACTTGTGTGTGCACCGCCTTCTCGCCTCCAAGTCTGCAGTTCCTGGAGCATTGAGTCATCCTGTTACCATTGCTTCTGACTCGAAGGACACGGCCCCTTGGGGCTGGCTGGTGTCATGTGTGGCTGCACAGAGGGGAGGGGCTGTTCTGCCACCTGCCCTTTGAGGCTGTGTGGGCACGGTTCCCTCTAGAGCTCCATGTCTAGCAGAGCATGCGGGGGTCCTGCTGTGCCCCCACTCCCATAGTGCTTGAACCACTTCACCCCTTGCATGGGGACCAACAGGATCTACCTCCCTCTGTCGAATGTACTTCTGAAAGGAGGAAGGTTACACTGAAGTTTCACCTACCGTCCATGGGATTTTGACCCTGCTGTAGTGACAGCTGCATGTTTGGTTCTAGGGGAGGAGGGGTGAATGACTTATCTTGGAGAAGCCAGAGCCAGGTGTCAGGGAATGGCCTCTGTGTCTGCCACCTCCTGCTGCCTCTCTGCCTGGGTCATTTGGTTCAGTGGCTATAACTGTCTTGGAGCAGCATTTGCTTCCAGGTTGGGTTCAGGTATGAAGTGCTGAAAACATGGGAATCCCTGAGCCCAGCCCCACCCAGGCTTGGTCTGCTAGGGGAGGTGGAAGCAGGGCTTCTGAGGCCCTGAGGCTGCCTGGGGAGTGCGTTTCTTCTCCACCCACTTGCAAGCTCAGCTCACTTCCTCTTACTGTATACTTGGTGTTTCATTCACACTCCTTGCAGCATGCTTCTGGGATATGATGAAAATCAGCTGTGGGTGTTGATTTCGGAGCTGGGCAACGATCCTCTCTGGACCCGCATTCCCATCTGTAAGATGGGGGTAGTAACCTCCACCCTCACTGCTTCCTGGAATTGTTGATGCATCAGAGAGAGCAGCCAGTTTGCACTGTGGGCTTCCAGGGAGATTTATTTCATGCCATGGTTCCCCTTTTGGATAAGGGGCTAGATTTGCTTTCTTCATCAGATTGTCCCCGGGGACACACACAGGAGTTGCTCTCACGTCGTTGCCTCTTGGTATCTTTGAAGCCTGTCTGTTAGAACCCGCCTCTTTGATGGTAGGGCAGGATTTGGAGAGGTGATGGCCTCTTTGGGTTGAATTTCTCACTCTAATGGGCTCACAGTACCTTCTGATTACCTCCTGGTTCAGCTTCCTTGACAACAAACTAGAATTGCTTCAGATGCAATACTTCATTCTTCCTAGTGCATGAGTAATTCATATCCACTATTTGCTCCCTCTTTTACAAATTGGAGGATGGCGATGCAGATGGAAGATGACCTGCTCATGCATCAGGCCGAGACTTCAGGCTTCCGAGGCACATGTTTGAGGTTGAGACTCCCTAGGGAGAGTGGAGTCACCTTTGCTTTGCAGAGGAGCCATGGGGGACCATGTCTCAGCACCTCTGAAAGGTTTTCTGCCCCATCCAGTCTGCTGCTTCTCTCCCCTCCCTCCTTCACCCTGTTCCCCTTCATCAGGGGTGTAAATGATGGTCTTCCTGTCTTCCCATGCACCTCCCTTAGGACCAGAGCAGGTGGGAGATGTCTTCACAGGAGGGTTCCAGGATGATAGGTTTGGAGCAAAGGGCTGGGGGCTTCTGGGGAGCCCCATTCCTGCACCTCCATGCTGAATGAAGAGGCCACACGAGGATGCTCACACTGCTCAGTGCTTCTTAGAGAAAGCTGCTGGCTCTGATTAGGTCTGGTAGGGGGCAGGGTCCTTATTTCTCAGGACTCAAGACAGATCCTCAATCAATGGCAAGAGTCATTTTTGTTTTCCCGCCAGGCTCACTAGAGTTTCTGTCTCTTCCCACTTTTCTTTGTGGGACAGCTTTCGGGAGGGTGGGGTTGTCTTTGTTATGAGAAGTGACAGCCAGATGGACTCAGTGGCTCACACCTGTAATCCCAGCACTTTGCGGGGCCGAGGCAGGCAGAATCTGAGGTCAGGAGTTCGAGACCAGCCTGGCTAACATGTTGAAACCCTGTTTTTACTGAAAAGACAAAAAATTAGCTGGGCGTGGTGGCAGGCGCCTGTAATTCCAGCTACTTGGGAGGCTGAGGCAGGAGAATCACTTGAACCCAGGAGGCGGAGGTTGCAGTGAGCTGAGATCATGCCACTGCACTCCAGCTTGGGCAACAGAGTGAGACTCTGTCTCAAAAAACAAAAAAAAGAGAGAGAAGTGATAGCCCTCCCCGTCTTCTCACCTGTCACTCCTCTTGGTCTCCCTGTGGAGCAAGTTTCCTGCAGTCACTATGTGCTTTGTTCACTTCTACATCCACAGTGCCTAAAACAATGCCAGCACGTAGTAGGTGCTCAGTTAATGCTTGCAGAGTGAACAGGTGACACACCTGCCTGGCGCGTCTTGGGCCCCTTATTAGGCACAGTAAGGCATAGAAAACTGTCTGATTCCGGCCGAGTTTCCAGGCTAAGTGGGAAGGTGGAACACAGCATATGAAGATTAAAATGAGAAGTAAAGTGATAGTTCACAGTATGTTGGTGGGAAAAGGTTGATACGATTGTCAGATAAATTGCACAAGTGCTAAGTGCTGAGAAAGTTCAGAGCAGGGGAAGTGGTTCCCGAGGAAGGAGGCAGAGGAGTGTAGATTTTGTAGAGAAGGCTAAGAGAGGGTGGGATGTGGCAAAGGGCGAAGGGTAGAAGGAGACATGACCTGGGAGAGGGGAGCGTGGCAGGGGCCCATGGGCTTCAGGGCTGTGACCAACAGCATGCTGGTGAACAGACCAGACGTGGGCTATGTTGTCTGGGCCTGTGAAGCTGAGTTCAAGAGCCCAAGCCTTCCTCCCTCATGCCCATGCTGTTGGAACCTTGAGGTGGTTACCTGGGCAGAATTCCTGTCCTGGTCTCTGGGCAGCATCTCTCCTGCTTCTGATAAAGACTAACAAGGTGTCTTAGTCTGTTCAGGCTGCCATAACAAAATGCCAGGCTGGGCTGTTTATAAACAAGAGAGATTTAGTGCGCACAGTTCTGGATTTGGGGAAGTTTGAGATCAAGGCACCTACAGATTACATGTTAGATAAGGGCTCCCTGCTTCATAGATGGCATCTTCCTGCTGTTTTTCATGTGGCAGAAGGGCCAAAGAAGCTCTCTTGGGCTTCTTATTGTAAAGGCATTAATTTCATTCATGAGGGTTCCACCCTTACGACCTCATCACCTCCCAGCAGCCCCACCTCTTAGTATTATCACATTGGGGGTTAGACTTTAACATAAGAGCTTTGGTGGGGGGTACAGTATTAAGTCCATAGCACAAGGGGTGACACCTTGGAGTGGGTGGAGGGTGACCACCTAGCAGTGTGACAAGAACTCCACTAAGGGAATTGGGGTGTGAGTGTGAGCATGTGTGAGTATTTGTATGTGCACACTTGTGTGTGTACATGCATATCTCCAAGTGTCCATGTATGGCTGTGTGAGTGCATGTGCCTGTGTGTGGCCCATTGGGGGACAGGAGCAGGGGCCTTGAGGCTGGGCTTTGGGCTTTGTGTACATTTCTTAGCATCTTGTAGATGCGGATGCTGACTCCCTCCTATGGTGCCTCTCAAGATGAAATGAGAGCATATCCAAAGCCCTGTGTGCACAGTCGCTCCCTTCTTCCCTCTTCTCCTGGTATCAGCCCCCCTATTCTGGCTGGCTGAGCCCTAGGCTGCCGGTGCAGGGGGTACTCAGGGAGGAGGGCTCAGGCAGGCAGCAGAGGCCTGGAGGGCCTGGCTCTGTGGGATCTGTGACCTTCTCCACTCCAGTTGGCAAGGGTCCAGGTGAGTCTCCCACCCTCCCAGTGCACAGCGAGATTTCAGGTTTTGTTTCTAGACCCTGATTGCCATGTGGTTTTCACACCGCCTCTCCTCCTGCCATTGACAGTGGGGGGCTTTGATTGCTGTCCCCCCTGTAATGGGAACACTTTGCTGACCTTTTCCTTCCTTTCCCCGCTAAATGATTCCTGGCCAAAGCCCTGCCTCCCCATGGGGAGCCGCCTCTTCCTGCCTTTCCCAAAGGCACAGGCCCTGATGCCCAGGACCCCGTGTAGGACACACAGGGACAGACAGGAGTGCCCTTATCTCACCCGCTGGTTTGGAGGGACAGTTTATCTCTCTTTTCCACATGGTCTAAAGGAAGCTGGTGCTGAAATGGCAGAGACAGGGACTGACTCCACAACAGGAAGACAGGCTCGGGCGCAGATCTCTCGACTGTGGCCGCCACACAGTGGTCACTGCTGTTGTCCTGGGCCACCTCTCTGATCCCCAGGGCTCTCCTGTCCCAAGTGGCTGCCTGAATTGGTTTTTTGCACTGGCATTTATACCTTTACTTGGTTAATGATTCTTAGAGTTCTTTATGGACTGTAGGGGGAGGACCGAGGTCCAGGTGGTGGTGATGGCTGCTTTCTAACTGGCAGTCCTGGGCAGTGCCTTGAGGGGAGGCATTTCTTCTAAAGCTCAGCTCTCACTTGTGCCTCCAGGAGAGTCAAACTGCCGCCTTGCTCTGAGCCATCTCAAAGTGAGGTGAGCCACATTCTCTCAGCAGGGTGGTGGGTTGGCAGATGACTTGAAGGAAGAGCCCACTCCCTGCTTACCCACTCTCGTTTTAATACGCCAAGTCTGCCCAGAGACGCTGGCCTCCTCAAAGGAGGAAAGACACCCTCCAAAACCTGCTGAGAGGCCGGGGGCTGTAGCTCACGCCTGTAATCCCAACACTTTGGGAGGCCAAGGTGGGCGGATCACTTGAGGTCAGGAGTTCCAGACCAGCCTGGCCCACACAGTGAAACCCTGTCTCTACTAAGAATACAAAAATCAGCCAGGCATGGTGGCACACGCCTGTGATCCCAGCTACTTGGGAGGCTGAGTCAGGATAATCGCTTGAACCCAGAAGGTAGAGGTTGCAGTAAGCCGAGATCACGCCACTGCACTCCATCCTGGGCGACAGAGCAAGACTCCATCCCCCCCAAAAAAACAAAACCTGGACAGAGTGGCCCCCTGCAGGCCCCCCGCTTCTTGGGGCTGGAGCAAGTGTTCTTATAGATGTCTCTGGTCGTCTTGGCCACTGGCTCGGAGACAGCCACCGAGACCCGGCATTTGGAGCAGCTGGCTGGGATGCTGCAGGGAGGGGTGTCCAAGCAGGAGGCAGCCAAGCCTGCCTGGAGCAGGATAAGATGAGCTCCCCTCTGAGACTCAGTATTTTCTGTTCAATGAAAGGAACAGTCCAGTATTTGAGACAGGAGAACCGGAATTGACTTGACTGGTCTGTGGTGCTTTTTTTTTTTTTTTCCTGTGCCTTGATTCTTCCATTTAAATACAGAGGACACCTGACCCTAAGGCGCATGGACCAGAGACATCATCTGAACCCAGAGTAGCGTGCATGGTGATTATTTTGAGATTTCCTCTCTGTCCCCATCTGGGCTCATTTTCACTGGATGGACCCCACCATGCTTCTTAGACCCTGCGGCAGGCTGGCCAGCCCAGGTGGAGGGCATGCGCTTTGCCAAAGGCGAGACCGCTGGCTGGAGACTGGACTGCGGGGCCATCCTCCAGGCTCTTGCACGGGGACCTGGAGGATGTGGCCCAAGCTCAGTCTCCTTCAGTCTGCATTGGTGGCTAATCAGGACACGGGTATGGGGGAAATCCCTGTAGGTCTGGAGGTGGCTGGGATGGCCCAGGGCTTGTTTCTCACCCTTTACCTCTAGTTTATATCCCACTGACACCGAGGTTTATTCGCAATGCACTTCAGCAGATAGGGTGATGGGGTAGAATCACAGAGCTGAGGAGTCCACGGTAAAGAATTCCAGGTCCCTGTGCTTCTCCTGCATCCCAGCTCTTCTGTCATTGGAAGGCAGTCATCCAAGACTCCTCCCTTTTCTGGCCTTTGCTGTCAGGGAGCCTGGGGGCCAGTTCACTATTCATTTCGCACAGTCAGTGCATCCCAGGGCCTGAAACACGCTTTGAGCCTTCATTTTTGTTTTCTTCCCAGTGGCCTTATTTTTACACTGTTTGATTTCTTAAGGCTGCTTTGGATCCTTTTAAAAGTAGGCGAGTGAAAAGCTACACAAACAAACTCCTGGGCTTGGCACCCTCCTGTGCCCACATCCGGCGCCCTTTCTTTGGGACCTGCCGGAGCCTGGGTCCCCTGGCAGGGTGGGGCAGGATAGGGTGGGGTGTTGCCTGAGAAATGGTGCAAACCTTCTTGCACTCCGTAAATGATTCATTTCCTTCAAATGTCCTATGCTGTTTTCCAGCAGAATCTCCATTATGTATGAATCAAGATCCTGGCTGACATTTTCTGCCTTGGCTGTTGTGAGCTTTCCCGTCAGAAATATCCTTCCCATGGGGCCTGAAGTAATTATTTTATATTTATTGGCATTAAGTGTATGAGAGAGAGAGAGAGAGAGAGAGTGTGTGTGTGTGTGTGTGTGTGTGTGTCAGAAGTGGTGTATCAGCTGCCACATAGTAAGAGAGCAAAGGATCTTCTTTTGTCTTATGGTGTTTTACCTGTGCTGATTGGTTCTTGGCAGCCTTTAAATGCCTAGGCAGAGAGGAAGAGAGAGGTTCCTAAGCTTCATGGTGAATTTCTAAGTCTGTGTTGACTGCAGGAAATGTATGAGGAAAGGATGGTGGTTGAGGCCTCTCCCTCACATTTAGGCCAGGGGTTGGCAAATTGCAGCTTAGTCCTGTCTGCTGCCTGTTTTTGTAAATAAAATTTTATTGGAACACAGCTTGCTCATTGGCTTATGTATAACATTTGGCTGCTTTCATGCTATGATGACAAGGTTGAGTAGTTGAGACAGATGCCATGTGGCTTGCAAAGCTGAAGATATTCATTAGCTGGCTCTTTCCAGGAAAAGTTTGACCCCTGCTTTAGGATAAAACAGAGAAATGGAGAGACATGGAATAGCAGAGTATCTTTTCAACTAGGTTCAATATGAATGAACAGGTCCCCTCAGTTGCACCTGAAAGGGGCCAGAAGTCCTATAGGTTTGGGTTTGGGGGAGATTGAAGTTAGACTTGCTTGGTTCAGAGACCAGGCCAGGATCGAGCATTTGCCATTGGTGACCTGGAGGTGTCTGGAGCAGGATCCTTTTAAATAGGCAAGCTGCTTGCTGGGAACACAGTTCACCTTAAGCTTTAAAAAAAATTCCTTCAAAGCCAAAAACCATGCAAATATGGAGCTGCCTGACAAGCCGAATGATTGATAGGGTAGAAAATAGGGTCTGTCATAAAATATTTGAGGAGGTGGATTTTTACAGCAGGGAGAAGCAGGCTGACAAGTGCCACTTGTTAATGGTGACTACCACCTTCCGTACCTACTGTGTGCCAGGCATAGCAATAGACACTTTGTTATTGTGTTCCGTCTAGAAACAACCCTGCTAAGTAGCTCCCAGTATTCCCCAGTTACCAGTGGAGGCTCCAAAGATATATCTTTTGTGTGAATTGCACAGCCCACGATCAGGGAGGAAGCCATCCCCTGTGGTCCAGCCCTCTGCACAGGTAATGGGGGAATTAGCTGGAATTGCAGCCATCCTGTAGGACATAAGGAAGAACATCTTGACTGTAAGCATGGTTAAACACTGGGATGAGCTGTCAGGGAAGCGTGAGAGATCCCCATCTGGGAGGAGCTTTGGAAAGGAGAAACATTTGTAAGTCTATTTTCAGCTTTCAGCTGCATGGTGACACAGGGCATTGGCCTTGATGGCCTCTAGGAGATCTTGTGACCTTTCTGATTTCAGCATTCTCTCTCCTGTCACATCAGACCCTTTGCTGGTTTAGATCACAATAGTACTGCCAGTGCTGCACCCTTTTAGAACTTCTAAGGCCATGAGTTATTGGAGATTCAGTTTCCAGGGTGGTTCTTGAACCTAAGAAATCTTCTAGAAGCCTGGGTCATGTTGTGAGGTCCTTGTGCCTGTTGGGTCGTGGTTCTGTCTGCCTCAGGTTACTGTTGGCCCCAGGGCTCTTTTTCCTGCAGGCCTTAGTTAGCACCATGAATGGTTAGGGGTATGGGGGTCAGGGTGAGTGGTCACCAGTGGGTTTCAAGGGATTGGCCTATTTCATCTAAGTTGCCAAACTTATGTGCACAGAGTTGTTCGCAGTATTTCCCTAGCATCTTCTTAATGTGTGTGGGATCAGTAGTGATATCCCCTCTTTCATTTCTGATTTTGGTCATTTGTGCCTTTCTTTTTTTGTTTGTTAGTCTGCTAGAAGTCTGTTACTTCTTTTTGTTGGGTTTACTTTGTTCATCTTTTAAAAAAAATTTTAGAGACCTTTCCTCTTTTCTGATATAAGCATTTGATGCTGTAAATTTGCCTCCAAGCACTGCTTTAGCTGCATCCTACAAATTTTTATATATTGCATTTTTATTTTCAGTCATTCCAAACCAGTTTCTAATTTTCCTCGAGACTTCCTTTTTCATCTGTGGATCATTTAGTAGTGTTTAATAGTAATGTTTCATTTCTAAGTATTTGGAGGTTTTTCCAGGTGTCATTCTGTTACTGATTTTTAGTCAAAAATAAATGTATTAGTTTCCTATTGCAGCTGCAATAAATTGCCACAAACTTAGTGACTTCAAACAACAAAACATACTACCTTATAGTTCTGGCCAGAAGCTTAAAAGAGGCCTTATAGGGCTAAGTCTTAGTTTTCCTTCATCTGAGAAGGTCTTTATTTTGCCTTCATTCCTGAAGGATATTTTCATTGGATATAACATTCTGGGTTGACAGTTCCTTTCTTTTAGGACTTTAAGATGTTTCATCCTCTTCTGGCCTCTATAGTTTCTGATGGGAAATCTACAGTTACGTGAATCCTTATTCTCCTGTATGTAATATGTTGTTTTTCTCTGACTGCTTTCAAGACTTTTTTCTTTAACTTTGGTTTTCTGTGCTTTTATTATGATATGTCTGGCTGTAGTTTTCTTTCTTTATCCTGTTTGGGGTTCACTGCATTTCTCGGGTCTGTAAATTTATGTTCTTCCCCTAATTTGGGAAGTGTTCAGCTATTGTATTTTCCGATACTGTTTTCTGCTTCCATCTCTCCTCTCTTTCTGGGACACCTGGGACATGAAATTAGACATCAACATCTTTTGATGTTGTTCCATAGATGCTTGAGGTTTTATTCCATTTTTCTCCATTTTTGTTTTCTCTCTCTTATTTAGATTGGATAATTTCTATTGATCTATCTTTAAGTTCACTGACTCCATTGTCATCTCCATTCTGCTGTTGAACCCCTCCAGGTAATTGTTTATTTTTTGGTTCTAAAATTCCTATTTGGTTCTTTTTTATAGCTTCTATTTTTTTTGGCTGAGAAGGCCTGTCTTTTTATTTGTTTCAAGAGTCTTTGTCCTTTCTTCTTAGAGCATGGTTATAATAGCTGCTTTAAAGTCTTAGTCTGATAATTCAAACATTTGGGTCATCTTGGGGTTGATGTTAGTTGATTGCCTTTTCCTTTCACAGTTTATGTTGCTTAGTTCTCTGTCAAGTAATTTTGGGTTATATCCTGGACATCTTGAGTGTAATATTATGAGACTCCGGACCCTGTTTAAATGTTCTGAAAATGTTGACTGATTTTTTTTTTTTTAAACAGGCAGTCAACCCAGTTAGATTCAGATGGCATATCCTGGCTCACTTTCTCAGCTCTGTGGTTCCGGTATCCACCCTGCTGTTGACCACTGAGGGATCAGTTTGAAACTGGGCAGTGATCTGTGCTGTGCTGATTCTAAGTGTTTTCACACATGTGCAGTTTAGGGGTGAGCCCAGGGCTTCTTATGAAGATTTAAAGGATCCCTTCTCCAGCTCCCTCTTCTCCATGATCTTCCCTATACTCTCTACTTCCCCATGTCCCCCCTTTCAGGTGTTCTGATTAGAAGGCAGTTCCCCCCTGAGGGTCCACTGTTGCTGTGCTGGTGAAGGGGGCAGGGGCTTCACCTATTTGGTGGCGCTTGGTTAGTGTAGAGTGGAAAGAGTCCACGGGTCTCCACCCCAGGGAGGCCGCTGCTTGCATCTGTGGGGAGAGGAATGGACACGTTGTTTGTGCTGGGGAAAGGTGGATAAAGCCAAAAGAGTTCAATCTACAGGATTTCTCCTTCCTGGGCTTTTGGTTAGAGAGAGCAAGCTTTTCTGTTTGGTTCTTTTTTTTTTTTCCTCTTGTCTGTGCCTGTTGGTAGTTTCAAGCTACTCTAGTGCCCATGCTGGGAGGCAAAATTCCAAAAACTGGAAAACCAGAAAAATCACTGCCAAGGTGTCCTTAAAGTCCTGCAATCTCTGCTCAGTCCTCCTGCCCTTATCTACCTTTTTGAGTCCCATGATAGAGGTTTCATGCAGAATTTGTACCTGTGGATAGTGGGAAAGGCTGTAGTGTGCTTTTTCCATCTTGCCTGGAATTGGAAGTTCCAACTTCTACATTTAGACGTCCTTCTCTCTGTGTGTGGTGATGTTCCCTGGGATAGACCACTACTGCCCTTAGACAGCATTCTGAGGGTGGTGGCCCATACTGATCACCTCAGCCCACCCAGTAACTTTCCTGCGGCCCCTCCCAAGACCCCCGCCCCAACAGGGCTAAGCTGATACACACACTGCGGATGCAGGCCTGCCTGCTGGGCCTTCCTGGTGTTTGTTTTTTCCAGGCAAAGCACCTCTCTCTGCCTCCTGCTGGTTTATTCAGCAGTGTCCCAGGGTTTGCTCATTGTCTGCTTTGCTTCAGACCCTTCTATCAAATTCCATTGTCTCTGTCTTAATGGTCTTTGCAGGGTAGGCATGGCCATCTGCATGTTCACTGAAGGGCCTGCCTGCATTTCCAGGGAGAGAAAGCCTTCAGGCCACTGGTGCATAAAGATCTTTGGAAATGTCCAGAAGATCCCAAACATTGCCTGTCCTGCATGCCAGGCCTCACTTGCCACCAGCCTGCTCCCCAGCCGCACATCCAGCTGTCATTTCCTAGAGAACCCATCCCACGCAGTTGTTTTGGACACATAGCGTTCCTTCAGGGAATGTGGCCCCGGGGCCACAGGTGGAGTAGAGGGCACAGTATCCCGAACCATCTAACGGGGCCCGACTCACCCTCACCATGCACCAGGCCAGTTATGGTTTCTTTCTGTGTCTTATTTCCCCCTCCATCAAATGAGAGTTATTGTAGAAACCTTATAGTGCTGTGTTGGGATTAGCAGTAAACAGTTTGGCATGTGGTAGATGCTCGGGAAATGGAAGCTGCCCTTTTTTCCTAATGGGAAAGAAGGGATTTTGTTTTTGAGACAATTCCCTTCCTCTGCTGCTGCATAGGGACACCTGGGTGCCTTTCTAAAATTAGACCAGGGCATGGTGGCTTGCTCGTAATCCCAGTGTTTTGAGAGGCCAAGGCGGGAAGATCACTTGAGGCCAGGAGTTTGAGACCAGCCTGGGCAACCTAGTGAGACTCCGTCTCTATAAAAAAATAAAATTAGCTGGATGTGGTAGTGCACGCCTGTAGTCCCAGCTATTCAGGAGGCTGAGTCAGGAAGATTGCTTGAGCCCCAGGAGTTTGAGGCAATGGTGAGCCATGTTCATGCCACTGCACTCCAGCCTAGCCAACAGAGCAAGACCCCGTCTCATAAAATAAAATAAAATAAAATAAAATAAAATAAAATAAAATAAATAAAATACCAACAGCCTGTGCTGGCTGGAGCCATGGTGTTAAAAGGCCCATGGACTTGGGCCATGCCTGAGCTGGCTGTGCTCTGCCTGCCACTTAGGCTGCCCCTCCCTGACCCAGCTTGTGTGGAGGAGGCATGGAATCCTACAGGAATGTGAAGTTCATCCTTCCCTGGATACTTGGGCACCATCTGGCCAGGCTCATGGAGCAAATGGGCCTGTGAGTTATGTCCCCACCCGTGCCTACGCCCAACCTTTATGCCCCGTTTTTAGTGGGAGAATTTTGTTTGGAGCTGCAGGTGTTGGGGGGTGGCACGTCTCAGGCTTTGGGGTCTTCCTGTTCTCTTTCTTGGCCCTGCTCCACTCCTTGGTTCCCCTGGCCCTGTCTTGCCTGCCTGTTAACTTTGGGTACCCTCAGCCTGTCCCAAGGCAGCTCATCCCTCAGGCCCTGCCCTGTCTTGTCTCTCCAGCCTCCCAGCCCAGGGGCTTGCTCTCCATGTAGTAACTAATACCTTAGTGTGATCCTCTAATTTTCTGTTGCTTTCTTGCTTCCATGGTTGTTGGAAGCCTGGAGACCCAGTGTTTGGCCAAGGACAGGGCCTGCTGGTTTTAGAGCTCCTGGCCCAGTAGGGATGATAGGACCCAGGACCCCAAGTGCTCTAGGCAGGCACTGTTCTGGGTGCTGTAAAGCACGGTGCCTAGCACCTCACAGGGACTCGGGGTGTCCTGGCTGACCAGCCGAATCCACTTTTTATTGACAAGAAGCCTGGGTCCCAGAGACATTAAGTAACGTGCTAAGGTCACCCACCTGGGCAGTGGTAGGGCTGGGTTTGAACCAAGGTCTGCACTGCCCAGCTCATGAATTCTGCTGCTTGGGAGCCAGCAGCACTACTGGCACAAGGGTAGGGGGACCTCAGGCCTGTCAGAGAGGGTGCCTGGCTCTTTGGGAGTGGGGGGTGCACCAGAGTGGGTTGGAGACAGGACCCAGAGCACCACCCTTTACCTGACCAGCATCTTGGTGGGGTTCCCCACCTGGAAAGGCAGGACCCTGGGGTCCAACAGAGCCTATTGCAGATCCAGGTTCTGGCCCAGCTGGGATGCTCACTGGCTTCTGTGGCTTATCAGCGAGCCTACCTGCTGCACCCGTGAGCATGGGCGGCCCCATCTGCCTCCTCCTTCAGGTGAGATGGCAGGATCAGAGAGATGGAATGAATGCTGCCGTGTCGCATTCATGTAGGAAGGCCTTATTTACAAACCATCTGTAGCAGTCAGAAGGCCTGATGTGGTCAGGCCAGACCATGGAGCCCCTGTTCTGGATCCATTTGGCAAAGATGAGAGAGAAGCTGGGTTAGGCTTTGTTGGGTAAATGCAAATGCCACATCTGTGTGTGCACACACATAGGCTGAGACATTTTTCTGCGAGGTGGGGGATCGCATTGAGGGAAGAAAAGGTGCTCTAATAGCTTCAGCCTGGACTTGGGTCCAGAGCTTTGGATAGAAGCATCTTTCCAGACAATTGGGATCCTGTAGAAAATCTGCCCTCTGAGGCTCTTCTATGCCTTCTGTTGTGTCCTGGGACCCCTTGGCATCTCCAGGCAGAGCCTATACAGAGCATCCACATCAGAGTCCCCTGTGGGCCCCAGTGCCTGTAGTTCCATCTCCTGCCTGGATGCTCGGTTCTTGGAGCGAGCTTCCTGAGCAGCCTCTGCAGGCTCCAGGCTCTGGCAGCATCTCCACGCCACTCCTGCCGGCCTTTCTCCTGGTGGAAGCAGCCTGCGTTGCTTCTCTGCCCGGTGGTGACAGGCTGTTCTCGTTTGGAAACAGAAGAGACACCACTGCTTCCCCACACCGACTTCCTAAAACATGAGGCTCCCTTCTGTGGTGTATGTGTAAAATGCCTGGCTCTGTATATGCACGTGGTGCACGCCTGGCCCTGGGGTCTTCACATTCTTCAGAAGAGGCCAGGCATGGAGGCTCGTGCCTGTAATCCCAGCACTTTGAGAGGCTGAGGCAAATGAATCATTTGAGGTCAAGAGTTCGAGACCAGCCTGGCTAACATGGTGAAACCCCGTCTTTGCTAAAAATATAAAAATTAGCCAGGTGTGGGGGCTTACACTCTTGTAGTCCCAGCTATTCAGGAGGCTGAGGCACAAGAATCGCTTGAACCCAGGAGTCGGGGGTTGTTGTGAGCTGAGATCACACCACTGCACGCCAGCCTGGGTGACAGAGCGAGACCCTGTCTCAAAAAAAAAAAAAAGAAAAAAAAGAAAAAAAAAAAGAAGAACATGGTGACTTCACCTGCCCAGGGAGGCGTGCCAGCCAGGGGCCCATGGAGAATCAGATATTCAGCCAGGGACAAGGGCATGTCAGTGGGCAGAGTGCCAGGGTGTGGGAGGCTCTCTGGGTGGTCGCTGACCAAAAACATCACTTCTGGGTTTTGTGACTCAGAAATGAGCTCAGCCTGTATACCCTGCAGATGTGATGAGCCCCAGGCCGAGTCCTCTGGGGGTGTCATTAATGGCGTGTGCATGAGCATTTTCTTCTGGCATTTTTACAGAGACCATGTGCAGCTGGACTCTCCGGAGACAGCAAACAGAAATTCTATTATGTGTCCTATCAGCTAGTAAAGGAGGGGAGCTTGCCTTGAGTTGTGTTTTTCTGCGACCCTGTGTGTTTGATCCTTGTCTGCACCCAGTTTGGCCACCCTGACCTCTGTCACTCCCAAGTCCGAGGAACCAGTGGTTATGTGAATGTGAAGTTATTTACTTCATCTGTTTATTTAGATCTGGGCCCTGGGGTGGCCCCATGCGTTGAATAAGTGTGTTCTACAGAACCCATGGTCCCTGGGTTCTGGGTGATCAGTGGCCTGAGGAGGGACCAGACTCCAGCCCGTCCTAAGGAGCTTATGAGAAGTTTTGAGGGGACTGGTGCCTGGACATGGGCTGTAGCGTAGGTGGAGTGTCGAGGAGGACCCTACACACGGTGAGTGGGAGAAAGCACCTGGGAGAGCATCCCGCAGCCCAGGAGGGTGGTCAGGTTAAGTCACAGCAGGGATGGGGCTATCAGAATGGTGGGCTGTGAAGAACTGGGAGGGCCAAGACTCAGGGAGGCCATCTGGATGGGGAAGGTGTGAGCCGAGGCCCAGAATGGAGCACCCAGGGGACCCAGGCTGATCAGGTCGCAGCGAGCATGAGGGGACTGTGCGAAGCCATGAGCTCCAGACTCCCCAGTCGTGGGCCCTGATGCGGGGGTGTGTGTGAGCTGGAGCCGTGGGACCAGGGCCGAACCCGTGTGCTGGACAGTCTTCGGGGCCCAGACACCAAGGGCCACCCGGAGCCTACAGGAAAGTTGGGGAGTAGAGGGGCATGTGTTGTATGGACAGAGCCCTACCATGCTTAGAGGAGTCAGGCTCCTCCCCCGACTCTGTGGCCACACATTGTCCCTCACACTCTTGATTTCTCAGCCACAGTGAGGGTGAAAACCAGGGTCAGCTCGAGACTATGACCCAGTTCCCATTTCACCTCCTGGGTCTTCTCCAGGTTCTGTGGGGTTTTTTGTTTTGTTTTGTTTTTTTGAGATGGAGTCTCTCGCTCTGTCACCCAGGCTGGAGTGCAGTGGTACGATCTTGGCTCCTAGGTTCAAGTGATTCTCCTGCCTCAGCCTCCCAAGTAGCTGGGATTACAGGCATGCACCCAGCTAATTTTTGTATTTTTAGTAGAGACGGGGTTTCACCATGCTGGCCAGACTGGTCTCGAACTCCTGACCTCAAGTGATCCGCCTGCCTTGGCATCCCAAAGTGCTGAGATTACTAGTGTGAGCCACCATGCCCGGCCTTCTCCAAGTTCCGAATTCCCTGAAAGCAGCTGTGCTGTTGCCCTGCCCTCTGGGGCACAATGTTAGGAGTAAGCAGCGTTTAAGTGCCTCCCTGATTAAGAGAAAGATGTATATTCCCACTGGGTGGCGAGGACATAGATGTCCAGGCCCATGTGTTCCACGGCATAATGTGGGGACTGCAGAGAGGAAGGGACATGTTTATGTCCCAGGTGAGTCATGGAATCTCAGAATATGAGGGTGTGCATGTCAGATTTTTTCAAGGAGGGGTGTCTTAGTCACTTCAGGCTGCTATAACAAAAATGCCATAAACTGGGTACCTTAAACAACAAACACTTACTCCTCACAGTGCTGGAGGCAGGAAGTCAGTATCAAGGAGCTGGAACATTTGGAGTCTGCCAAGGGCCCACTTCCTGGTTCTTAGCCATCTTCTTGCTGTGTTCTCACCTGGTGTGGAAAGGATGGGGGCTGTCTCTGGGGTTTCAAAAGGGCACTAATCCCCTTCATGAGGGTTCCGTCCTCCTGACCTAATCACCCCCAAAGGCCCCACCTCTAAATACCATCACATTGGGGGTTAGATTTCAACATAGGAATTTTGCAGAGATGTGAACATTTATTCTGTGTGCTGTAAGGGGCATCTCAGAGTGCCACCCCCACATCTCCAAAGCTGCTGGACCTTGCATATGGGAGCTGACTCTCTTGGGGCTGGTGTGACTCATGGCTGGAGGCCTGGCTTGTTAACCCAGCTCTGAGGTCCTCTGGGTGCCACCTCCTGCACACCAGCCAGCCAGGTGGCCTCCACGTACCTTCTGTTTCATGGAGAAGAGCTACTTGCTTAAGACAGGTTCCTCAAACCCCTGGCATCTGGTCTCAGGTGACTCTGAGCATCTCATGGCTACCTCCTCCCCACCTGCAGCCTCATCTCCACCCTGCCGCACTCTATGACTGAGCAGCACAGGGCGCCAGGGGATGTTTGTCTGCACTGCTGCTGTGTTGCTGACTTATGAGACCTCTTTGGAAGGGGCTCAACAGGTGAGGAGAGTGGTGTGAATCCACTTGTCCTAATAGACCACTCCAACTTTCTGAACATCCCAGGCTTTCCTGGTACAGTCCCCATCTTCCAGCCAAGAGGAGAGCATGGCTCAGGTGGGATTCAGGCGAGAACAGGGCAACGCACACCTACTAGCCAAGATACAAAGCACTTAATACAGGGAGGAGTCATGTGGGCAGAGCCCAGTGGGTCTGGGTTCCCCTCATGAGGACCGAGAGGGGACCAACACCTGTTAGATGTCTGCTGTGTTCCTGACGTTGGCCTGGGTGTGGGATGTGACTGGGTGTCTGTTGCTCTCCTTGGCAGGTGCCTGCCCTGGAGGTAAAGAGGCTGGGACAGTAACTTTAGGCAGTCAGCTGGGGTCTGTCTGTTAAGCAAGGAGCAGGAATCAGCCTTGTTCTCTACTGGCCTGTCTGGGAAGCGTGAACAAATTCTGTGTCTTGAATAGTACCCGAGTCAGTTGCCAGCCCTGTGCTGGCTCTGGCAGGGGGTAGCTGTGGAGGCAAGAGTGTTGGGCAGGGTGACCTGATTGAGCCAAGCTGTTATTCTTCCACCTGAGGATTTTCCAGAAGAAGTGCCAGGCTCAGAACCGGCGTCAGATACCTCTGAGAGCCTTTCCGGTTGCCACGGTTCTCCCAGGATCGTGGAGTTCTTGAAGGAAGGCCTTTTCCTGGCGTGTCTGCAGTGGCATGGTGATATAGCCACGCCGCCCCTGTTTGTGAGTTGAATCTCTGCAGAACTCACTTTTCCCAGGAGGTGCTTTCAGAATGCAGCATACCACAGTCCTCATCAGGATCTGCTCATTTGGCTGGGCTGGCAGGTGGCTGAGTTGGCTCCCGGAGCGGGTGTCTAGCAGCTGTGCTCATGGAGGCAGGCTGGGCGTGTGAATCTCACCTCCTCCCACGGCCCCCTGGGGAAGCAGGATAGGAGCTGGGCCTGGTTCCCGAGCCTGGCCGATTGGGAGTAACAGGTGGGATCTGGACCAGGTTGTCACACCCACAATGACAGCTGGGATTATCACCGTGGGTGGTAATTCCCACATGACAGTTTCGAGTTTCAGGTCAAGAGCTGGGTCCTCTCTCTCCTCTTGCATCTGGACAGAGAGATCCTTGCCGGCTGGTTTTCTGGCTCGTTCCTCAGCTGTTTTCTGTGGCCTGCAGAGTTTGCAGCCCCAGGGGAGTAAGGAAAGCTCTGCTCTGGCCTGATTTTTGCTGGAGAAGAGAAATGTGGAAGTCAGGGTGGTGGCCTTTGCAGTGGGTCAGCTTTGGGCTGCTGAGACGGGCGGCGTGAAGGCCGGCTTCCAGAGCCCTGGCTGGCCTTTGTAGTGGATGAGACGGACCAGATTGCCATGCTAGGGTCACCCGCTGACCTGCAGTGGCCTGAGCAGATACATGGCTCTGCCAGATTTCCTGAAGTGGAGCCCTCAGCCTCACACTGCATCCCCCAGAAGCCAGGCAAGAGGAGGTCATAAGGTTTTTCTGGAAAGGAGCGAAAGAGTGCGCTGCTAAATGTTGCAGGTGGGAGTGCGTGAACAGGTGAGGCTTCCGGTAATTATGACAAGTGATGCTTGTGCTTCTCAGTGCCGTTTCCTCCCTCTGATGGGGCCTGCTTGACACCTCGCAGGGAGCGTGGGTGGAGAGTGTCATTATCCCCATTTCATTGGTGGGAACATTGAGAGATGAAACGAGGAGTTTCATCTGCAGGCCCCTGGGCCCTCTGGTCATCCCGGTCATCCTGGTTGGTTTATTGTCTTGTTTTTTAAGGGGGATGATCGAAGAAAGCCTTGGAGGTAGGGTGGGGGAAGCTGGGAACAGAGGGAATTATATTTCCTTTTCCAAATACTTGTTTAAGAATGGAAGAGTTCCTGGCCACATAATCCATGTGCACAGATTTTCCGGGGGAAAATCCATTTGAGTTTAGACTTGGAGACCGTGCCACCTCCCGGTCTGTTCCTCAGGCTTTTGACATCTGCCCACACCTGGAACATCTTAAATTCTGGTGGAGAATACAAAACGTCACTCCCCTGCCCCAGCTCACCCCTAGTTCAGCCCCCCAGGATACCTGAAGTTGGGGATCCTCCTTCTTAGCTGTGGAGCTCAGGGTATGTTGGTTCCACGTCCAAACCTTCAACCTTCATCTGTAAAATGGGGTACTGATGGCTCCCTTGCAGAGGCCTGGGGATTCGAGGCAGCACTTCTGGCCCGTACCTGTTGCCATTTCTGCATGTTGTACCCCTGGCCCTGACTCAGGCTGGCGTCCTGAACACCTGTGCATCCACAACCCCATAAGCCTTCCAGGAGCACTATAGATCAGGGTGACCCAGGATTAGGCCGGGGGTGGGAATTACAGACTACCCCCAGGACTGACCCAGAGCTATACCCCTCCAGGGCCGGTGGGAACACGAGTGGTTTTTGTGTGTGTATGTGGCTTGCAGCTTGCAAGGGGGGTGGGGGGCAGGTGGCGGGGTTGGTTCGAGTCTCAAACTGTCCTCTGTCGGGTCGGGTCAGGCCTCAAACTCTCCTCTGGGCCATTTCCTTCTTTTTCTCAACAGAAAGAACCCAGGCTATGGAATCATGTGTGGGCCCAGCAGGGTTCATAGGCACCTTCTCAGTCTGTCTCCAGCGTTGGGCTCTTCTGGTCCTGCCCAGCTTGTCGCTTTAGTACCTCAGTTTCCTTATCTGCATGGAAGCCCACCTGTCAGCTTGGATGAGGGGAGGAAAGCAAAGCCCCTCAGGCCCTGTGTGGGAAGGAGAGTCTGAAAGTGCAGGGGCTGTGCTCAGGAAGGAGCGCAGCTTCAGGAGGGGCTGGTTGGCTGGCAGTGTTGTGCAGGACATTCAGAACGTGACTGGGTTTCTATTCTGATTTGTACAAGCATAGGATACTCAGGTGGCTCTGGTCTGTTCTCTAGCAGGAGAGTCTGGGGTCAATCTGTAATAATTTAGCTTCTGAGCAGGTGCCCGGCACTGGAAGAGGAGAGCCCAAGAGAGCACGGATACATTGTGTGGCTGAAGGGGGCAAGGCCCTGGGCTGCCTCCTACTCTGACCTTGTGGGCCTTGGTGTCTGCTCTTCCCCTCTGTCTGCCACTCTGAGTCTGGAATGTGGCAGTGATATGGGTGTTGTGGGCACTCCTGGCATGTGGGCAGCTCCTCAGTGCTGGTGTCTGAGCTCCACAATGACTTCATTCATGTAATAGTATGTTATGGCTGCGTAACAAAGAACCACAAACTGTGCAGCCCAAATCATAGAAATTTATCATCTCACAGTTCTGACGACTGGAAATATGAGATTGAGATGTTGGCTGGGTTGGATCCTTATAGGTGGCAGTTTTCAAGTTCACATGACATTCTCCCTATATGCCAGTCTGTATCCAAATTCCACCCACCCACCCCCACTTTTTTTTAAGAGACAGCGTCTCCCTCTGGCTCCAGTCCCAGGCTGCAGTGCAGTGGCGCAGTCATAGCTCACTGTAGCCTCAGCCTCCTGGGCTCAAGTGATCCTCCCACCTCAGCCTCCCAAGTAGCTGAAAACTACACTTGACCACCATACCTGGCTAATTTTTATATTTTTTTGTAGAGACACGTTCTTGTTATGTTGTCCAGGCTAGTCTCGAACTCCTGGCCTGAAGTGATCCTGCCTCCCAAAGTGCTGGGATTACAGGCATGAGCCACCACGCCAGGCCACCTCTTTTTTAAAGGACACAGTCACATTGGATTAGGACCTAACCTAATGACCTCATTTTAACTTGGTAAAGACCCTATTTTCAAATAAGTTTAGAGGTTAGGACTTCAGCATATGAATTTAGGAGGGAACACAATTTAGCCCCTAAAACTGTACTTCTATTCTTTTGTTTTAAATTTCAGAGCCTGGCTGATCGTGTGTGTGTGTGTGTGTGTGTGTGTGTGTGTGTGTGTGTGTCTGTCTATGTGTGAAAATATACATAGGCCGGGCGCGGTGGCTCACGCCTGTAATCCCAGCACTTTGGGAGGCTGAGGCGGGTGGATCACGAGGTCAGGAGATCGAGACCATCCTGACTAACACGGTGAAACCCCGTCTCTACTAAAAATACAAAAAATCAGCCGGGCGTGGTGGCGGGCGCCTGTAGTTCCAGCTAATCGGGAGGCTGAGGCAGGAGAATGGCGTGAACCCAGGAGGCGGAGCTTGCAGTGAGCCGAGATAGTGCCACTTGCACTCCAGCCTGGGTGACAGAGCGAGACTGTCTCAAAAAGAAAAAAAAAAGAAAAAGAAAAAAAGAAAATATACATAACATGTACTGTTTTAGCCATTTTTAAGTGTGCGGTTCAGTGGTATTCAGTACATCCACATTATCATACACCTGTCACTACTGTCCATCTCCAGAACTTTTTCATATTCTCCACACTGAAACTCCACTAAACGCTAACTCCCTCCTCCCCTCCTGTCCAGCACCTCACAACCCCCTTTCTACTTTCTGTCTCTATGAATTTGACTACTCTAGGAACCTCATATACGTGGAATCTTACGGTATTTGTTTGTTTGTGCCTGGCTGATTTCACTTAGCATAATGTCCTCAAGGCCTATCTCAGTCAGCGTGTGTCAGAGTTTCCTTCCTTTTTGAGGCTGAATAATACTCCTTTACATGTATGTGGCACGTTCTGGTTTTCCACTCATGCATTGATGGATGCTAGGGTTGCTGCCACCTCTTGGCCATTGTGGATGGCGCTGCTGGGAATGTGGTGAATGTGCACCTCCTCTCCTAACCTGCCCCAGGCATCCTTCAGAAGCGGGGCAGCCCAAGACCGAGATGGGGGAAGAAGGTGGTTTGCCTGCCCTCCCAGGCTTGCTGGGTGTCTGCCCGTGGCTGGGCCCTGGCCCCGGGCTCAGGGTGGTGACCGCCAGCAGGGGGAAGTCCCTCTTCCTGCCATTCCCCCCCGACCAACCCTCTGTATTTCCTCTTTGGAGGGGCAGTGAGTGGGAAGGGAGGACCCACAGGTGTGCAGCGGCCATGGCCCGCATCCTGGCTGAGCACCTTTGCTGGTGTGGAGGGACTCCCTCCAGTCACTTTCAGACCTCACTCCCCATGCTGCTCCCACACCAGGGCACTGTTCCCACGCCATCCTCCTTTGAAGGGCACTACCCATCTTCCCTGTCTTGCCCCTTCCCACCCTCTTCCCAGGGACTTTTCTGGTCAGTTCCCTGCTGCCAGGTCTATACCTCAGGGACTAGAAGCTCAGCATCCCCTCTGCTCTTCCTCCTTTTGCCTTTGTCCTCTTAGCCAGACCCAGGCTCACTGTGCGTCAGTGCCCCTGCCTGCGTTTTTCTACCAACACCAGGCCTACCTGGAGTGACCATCGCAGAAGCCCCCAGCCCTGCCCCACCTCCAGTGCCACACTCAGATGTGCTGCCAGAACGTCACCTGTCTCCCTGCAGCCTCTAGGCTCCCCTCTTGTTCCAGACCCAGACATCTCCTAAATGGAGCCCAAGTCCTTGGCCTGAAGCCTGAGGCTCCCCACAAAATCACCCTCTTCCTCTCTCTCCTCTCACTGCCAGCCTGTATCCCCTTTCCCAGCTGTACCCCCTTTCCCAGAGACCACTTCCAGCCCCCCTTAGCTCTTAGTGGCCTCTGGCTGGATCTAGAAACCAAACTGACACCAGGTACATTAACAAGAGAAAAGCACACAAATGTCATTAGTTTTACAGGTGCATGGGAAACTTCACCAGAGTCAAGTCCAGACAAGTGGCCGAAGCAAGATGCTTTATCCTTTTTCGATAAAGAACAATAAGTTTGAGAAGTGGCAGGACAAGGGGGATCTGGCTAGGGGCAGTAAATTCTTGAGCAGTCACTGGGAGATATATGAGGGGTGTAAACCTGGTGGAAGATAAGGGTTACTTTGTTAAAGCATATTTATTCAGGCCCACTGCAGCCCCCGATTCCATCTCAGGTGATAAGGGCTATTTTCTCCCCTGGTTCAAGGAAGACACCCCTCCCAGAGGAATCTTTATGGCTTGCTGAGTATAGCAAGAAACAGGTCAGCTAGCCCTTTCTGAAGCTGCAGCTCGAAGTCAGTGTAGCCATCCGGTGTATTTTGGGATGGCACGTCCTTCACTCTTTCCCAGCCTTTCTGCATTTGTAAGCCCCAGGAAAGCCGGCAGCTGAGTCAGCCTGAATCCCTCCATGGGGCGTCTTTGCAGCTCCCTGCCCCTGCTGGTTGAAGGCTCTGTTGGTCGCATTCTTCTCTCTCACAGACTCTGCCCCTCCAAAGCCCTTCCAGCCCTCTCCTGGGGGCTGGGTTATCTCTGTCCTCAGACTCCATGGCACCGAGTTCAGGCCATGTCTTAGTGTCCTGTGGCTTCCTTAACAGAATGCCACAAGCTTAGTGGCTTACAACAACAAACATTTATTCTCTCCCAGTTCTGAAGACTGAAGTCCCACATCAAGGTGTCCGCAGGGCCAGGCTGTCTCTGGAGGCTCTAGGGGAGGATCCTTCCTTTCTGTTCCCAGCATCTGATGGCCCACGGCATTCCTCGACCTGGTGACAACATCTCTCCAGTCCCTGCCTCCGCCTTCAAATGGCCTCCTGTATGCCTGTGTCTTCTGTCTCTTTAAAGATATTTGTCATTGGATTTAGGGTCCATCAGTGTGATATTGTGATATAAGAAACCTGTATGTGGTCTTCCTTCTGGTTTCTGGCACAAGCTCCTAAAATCATTGTAATTTCCTGAACGATGGGGTGATAGGAGCATCTTTTGTTATTCATACAAGCCCTTTTCTGTGGGACCTGAGGTTATGCTAATGAGGTGATGCTTGAGGGGCCCCTAGATAGCTGTGGGACGGGGCTGGTTGCCAGAGGAACCAGCCACGTGATTAGAGGGTTGGAACTTTAGCTCCACCCCTGAACTCTGGGGATGGGGAGAGGGGTGGAGATTGAATTGATCACCCGTGTCTACAGCCATGCCAGCCTGATCTCGGCTGAACTGATCATCAGTGGCCAATGATTTAGTCTTGCCTACCTAGTGGAACCTCCATGAAAACACTACACAGTGAGGTTCAGAGAGCTTTCACGTTGGTGAACACATGAAGGTGCTGGGAGGGCAGTGCCCCAAGAGGCCATGGAAGCTCCCCCACAATACACACCCTGTTACCCAGCCCTCTTCCGTTTGGCTTTCGTGAGTGGTATCCTTTACAATAAACTGGTAAATGTGAGTAAAAGGTTTTCCCGAATTCTGTGAGCTGTTCTAGCAATTTTTTTTTTTTTTTTTTAAGATGGAGCCTCGCTCTGTTGCCCAGGCTGGAGTGCAGTGGCGAGATCTCGGCTCACTGCAACCTCCCGGGTTCAAATGATTCTCTTGCCTTAGCCTCCCGAGTAGCTGGGACTATAGGCGCCTGCCACCACGCCCAGCTAATTTTTGTGTTTTTAGTAGAGACGCGATTTCATCATATTGGCCAGACTGGTCTTGAACTCCTGACCTTGTGATCCGCCTGCCTCAGCCTCCCAAAGTTGCTGGGATTACAGGCATGAGCCACCGTGCCCGGCTCTAGCAAATTATTGAACCTGAGGAGGGGGTTGTGGGAACACCCCATCTCCACTCCCAGCTTTAGAGTCAGTAGGTCAGAAGTACAGGTGGCCCAGACTTCCCCCAGTGCCTTAAGTGGGAACAGTCTTGTGGTACTGAGCCCTTAACCTGTGAAGTCTGACACTTATTCCACATACTTACTGGCAGAATGGAATTAAATTATAGGACACCCGGCTGGTGTCCAGAGACTGGGAGGATTGCCTGGTGAAAGGAGAAAACCCACACGTGTGTTGTCAGGAGAGTTCTGGGGGAATAGAAACACATCATAGTAGTAGTAATTGGACAATCTAGGGTGATCTCATCTCAAAGCCTTTAACTTCATTACATCTGCAAAAAGACTCTTTCCAGGTAAGGTCGCATTCGCAGATTCTAGGGTTAGGATATGAACGTGTTCCTTTGGGGGCCCACTACAGTGGGCTTCTCACCTTGGTGTCCTCAGGGGAGCCAGTGTCTGCCTCCCTCTCCTCCGTTAGGTCCTGGCTCCGTGGTCATTTCCTCAGGGAGAGGCCCTGCTGTCCTTCCTGGGTCTGTCTTCCTCCCTCCTGCATGTGCTCCGGTGCCACCTGCCTCTCTCCCGTGGCCTTGTCATGGTTGCTGTGATGCCCACGTCACGTGACTCCATGGATTCCGCTGGCTCCCATGGGCAGGGGCTGGGTGTGCGGTGCTCACCATTCCATACCCAGCACAGTGTCCTGCACGTATTAGATACTCAGTAAGTACATTTGTCTGGGGCTAAACCTTCAGGGTCTCCAGGAAGTCTTTCTGAGCCCCAGAGTCCTAAAAAGCCCAGGTGCTGCTGAGGAATAATAACTGTATCATCCTGGGGCGGAGGGCTGCTGCCTCTTCCCAGCTGGGGTTTCAGCCTCTGCCCTGCCCCCGCACCAGCCGGCCCCCAACCTGAAGCCTAGAGCATCAAATTATTATTGCCTCCGGGAATGACTGGGAGCCTTAGGCACAGGTGGGTCCTTGGAGACAGGGGATGGTCCTTTAACAGTGTTCTGGATCCTGATGGAGAAGAGAGGGGGTTCTCCTCTGCCCACACTGAGGCACACTCGGCTTGTGGAGGAAAACGGCTGACTAGTGCCCCCAGAAAATCGCCAGCAAAGTTGACCTTCTGGTGATTCAGTCTCCAACCAGCTCAACCTTCAAGCAGGCAGAGCTGTCAGGGCTGGTCGTGTGGGTTGGACTTTCTCCTCCAAGAAAGCTCAGAGTTGTAAATACCTGTTTCTCATCTGCGGTGTCTAGGGTTGCCTGGGGAGTCAAGGCATCAGGGAGCAGGACAGGCTCAGGCCCTTCCCGACTGACATTTTCCAGCCTATGGGGGGCCTTGGCTAGCCTGGTGGCTTTCTCTGTGGCATACGCTGATTCATGACCCTGACCTCTCTCTACCCGGGCAGCTGCGGCTTTCCATTCTTGGGTGCTGGCCTGGTGATGTCATTGTTGGGGTACGGCATGAGGGCTGGGAGGCCACAGGATCCTGGGGTGCTCTCTGTGTACCCTTCCACCACAGAACCAAGGACCCTGGTGGCAGGCCTTTAGCCAGGGTGCGGTGGCTAACTGGATGGGGCACGTCTCATTTATAAAGAATTTTGAGGCACTTGGCGTGGATGCAAGAAGGGGCAGCTGCCAGCCTGGCAGAGGAGGAGAAAGTAGAGAAACCACCAGAACCAACCACACATCTCCGAAAGCACTCACTGCATGTGGGTGGCCTGAGGTTATGGCCAGGCGGTACTGATGTCCATCCGGAAGGATACTCTCAGCCCTCGGGAAACAGTGGAATTATGTTCCGGGTTCCCTGCTTAGGAGAGGAAAACAGGTCAGCCTTAAAAAAAAAAAAAAATTGAGGTAAAATTCACATAACATAAAATGAATCATTTTAAAGTGAACAATTCCGTGGCTTTTAGTGCCTTCACAGTGTTGTGCAACCACCATCTCCGTTTAGTTCCGAAACATTTTCGTCACCCCAGAAGGAAACCCCTGCCCATTAAGCAGTCACCGACCTCCTTTCTGTCTTTATGGGTTTACGTATTGTGGGGATTTAATATCAATGGAGTCATACAACATGTGGCACTTTGTGACTGGCATATTTCCCGTAGCATCATGTTTTCAAGGTTCATCCGTGTTGTAGCATGTGACAGAATTTCCTTCCCTTTGAAGGCAGAGGCCGGGTGTAGTGGCTCACACCTGCAATCCCAGCACTTTGGGAGGCCTAGGCGAGAGGACCACTTGAAGCCAGGAGTTCAAGACCAGCCTAGGCAACATAGCGAGACCCCTGTCTCTACAAAAAGAAAAAAAAAATTATTTTAGCTGGACATAATGGCACACACCTGTAATGCCAGTTACTTAGGGGGCTCAGGCAGGAGATCACGTGAGCCCAGGAGTTCGAGACTATGGTGAGCAATGCTATTCCATTGAATCTGATGGACATTTGGATTGTTTCTACCTCTTGTGAATAATGCTTCTGTGAACATTCTGGTACAAGTTTTTGTTTGAACACTAGTTTTCAATTGTTTTGATTATACACCTAGGAGGGGAGTTGCTAAGTCGTAAGGTTATCAATGCCACATCTTAGAAATGCCTTCTCTTTGGAATGAAAGTTGACCCAGCAGGCAGGTCACACAGGTGCAGCTGGGCACAGTCAAGCTCTGCCTGAGACTCAGTTTTTCCTGTCTGAAAAATAGCAATCTAAAAGTTCATGCCCACTCAGGTGCGTATTCCAAGAGATGATACGTGGGTTTTCAGCACCATATGTGACCTGGAGGAAGTACCCCGTAAAGGGTGGTGGGTTTTTTTTGCCCACTACTTCAAAGATTTGGGTCTTTTTTGCTGTCAGAGGAACTTACCTCCCTGAAGCACTACGGGTATTCCCTGACCTTACCTGAGGTTCTGCTACGATAGCCAGCTTCGGAGCCCCCAAGATCCACAGCCCTTCTCGAGGGTAGAGTCTGCTCTTGGTGGGTGCATGGTGGTAAGAAGGTGCCAGGCTATGGATGAGCGTGGGGTGCAGAGCCAGCTCCGACTGTGGACTCTGCACCCTTCATGAGACCCGAACCTCTGTCCCAGCCATGGTTTTCCAAGCCTCTCTGGAGGACAGTGCCTGCCTGACAATCCCTCCAAAAGACGTGTGCTGCTGTTTGTAGAAGTCGCTGGCACCATGCTGCCATGGCCTGCCTAGGACCTGGGAGAAGATGGGAGGCCAAGAGGAGGGCAGGAGCCGGGAAGGAGGACAGCTGCAGCCATGACAGGGTGGGGGTTTGATGTCCGCCTCTGTGAAAACCTCCACCACAGCTGGCCGAGCCACCGGATGTTTGATCTCCTTTTACCTTTGTAAATAAATACTGCCTAGTCTTTGGCTGCCAGTGTAAACAAGGATGGAGACCACTCTGCTGATGATCTCTGTGCTCCCTGGAGTTCCTGCCTCCTCCACCCAAATTCCTCCCAGTGCCCCTTTCTTCTCTTGACTCCAGTACATGTTGATCGGAGGGCCCTTTACAGCCGCTCTCATTGTTCTGGGTAGGGAGGGCCCAGAGCATGACCTCTGATCCCCTGAGGGCTTGCTCCCATCTCACCCTGGGGCACATTGGCAGAGGTTGGGTCAGGGGCTGGGTTCCTGGAACCCCACACCTCTGGCAGCCACACCACGGATGGAGGATCTGGGGTCTCTCTAGGCATATCTGGCCTGGGAGAGCCTCTCCTGCCTGGCTGTACCCAGGCATCACATGGCCGATGGTCTGAGCTCAGTTCTGCATGCATTTCCTGGGAGCCCACCGTTCCACCTTCTGTCTCTATGAATCTGACTACTGTAGGTACCTCATATGAGTGGAATCATAACAATATTTGTCCTTTTGTGTCTGGCTTATTCCACTAAGCAGAACATCAAGGTTCATCCATGAGATTGCATGTGTCAAAATGTCCTTCCTTTTTAAGGCTGAATGATGTTCCATTGCGTGTATACATTACATTGTGCTTCTCCCTTCTTCTGTCAGTGGACATTGGGTTCTTTCCACCTCTTCCTTCCCATGTTGTGATGAATATGGGTGTGCAAATATGTCTTCAAGTTCCTGCTTTCAGTTCTTTTAGAGGCTGGGCGCAGTGGCTCACGCTTGTAATCCCAGCACTTTGGGAGACTGAGGCTGGTGGATTACTTGAGGTCAGGAGTTCCAGACCAGCCTGGGCAACATGGTGAAACCCCATCTATACTTAAAATACGAAAATTAGCTGGGTGTGGTGGCGCACGCTTGTAATCACAGCTACTTGGGAGGCCAAGGCAGGAGAATCACTTGAACCCAGGAGGTGGAGGTTGCAGTGAGCCAAGATCGCGCCATTATACTCCAGCAGTGTCCGGGCAACAGAGTGAGACTCCATCTCAAAAAAAAAAAAAAATCAGTTATTTTGGGTACATAACTAGGAGTAGAATTGCTGGATCATGTGGTAATTCTGTTTAATTTTTTGAAAGATTTTTTTTTTTGAACCAGTGTAGTCTAGGGGATGTGACCGCAGCACCTACCTGGGCCTGGGCTGACTGGGACCTAACCAGGCATTATTCTTTTCGCTATATTATTTTTATTTTTTGGCTGCCCTTTTTCCTTTTATGAAAGAATAGATTTGCAGAGTTCTGGGGTTGGGTTGCTAAGCAAACTGCCTGGAGAGAAGAGGGTTTCAGATTTCACTAGGCCCTCCCTCTTCCACACCAACCCTGGGCTGTCTGCACTGGACTTCCTCTCCCCAGCCCCACTCCTAGTCTGGTTCCTGGTTCAGGTGAGCAGCAGCCAGATTCCATGCCCCCACCTTCTACCTTCTAGTGTTTGGGTTCTGCCTTGGATAAAGCTTTGCAGGAAGGATGTGGCTGATGAGACCATCAACCTCAGTCCTGCCAAGGGTGAGGCGGCCCAGAGAGGTTTTTCCACTGGGTATTCCTGGTACGGGGGCAGGAGCCAGGCCTCCCAATTGGTTCTGGCTCTTGGGAGATGGTGGCTTTCAAAATGCCAAATAATGTACTTTATCCTCAAGAGGAAAGGGCCTTGGCTGGGCATGGTGGCTCAAGCCTATAATCCCAGCACTTTGGGAGGCCGAGGCAGGAGGGTTGCTTGAGGCCAGAGTTTAAGATCAGCCTGGACAACATAGCAAGACTTTTTCTCAAAAAATGTTTTTAAAAATTAGCTGGGCAGGCCAGGCACGGTGGCTCACGCCTGTAATCCCAGCACTTTGGGAGGCCAAGGTGGGTGGATCACAAGGTCAGGAGATGGAGACCATCCTGGCTAACATGGTGAAACTCCGTCTCTACTAAAAATACAAAAAAAAATTAGCCAGGCGTGGTGGCGCACGCCTGTAGTCCCAGCTACTCCGGAGGCTGAGGCAGGAGAATGGCGTGAACCCGGAAGGTGGAGCTTACAGTGAGCCGAAATCGCGCCACTGCACTCCAGCCTGGACGACAGAGCAAGACTCTGTCTCAAAAAAAAAAAAAAAAAAATTAGCTGGGCATAGTGGCATGCACCTGTAGTCCCAGCTACTTAGAAGGATCCCTTGAGCCCAGGAGTTCACAGCTGCAGTGAGCTGTGATCACTCCACTGCACTTCAGCCTGGGTGACAGAAAGATCATGTCGCTGAAAATAAAATCACGGGTGGGGGGTGGTGCTTTGTGTACTTAGGGGAGCTCAGGTGTGAAAAACTGCGTTTTGAAAAAGCAGGTTCCTGTGTGCTGGTTAGAATGGGGGGATGAGGAAATTGAGGGGCAGTCCTCCCCACACCATCATTTGCCTTGGAGCAGACTGGAAGAGTCAGCAGAATGAGGGGCAACAAGTATGGATTGGAGTGATCTGGGTGAGCTGAGGCAGGGGCTGAAGCCCTCATATGGAACGTGGCAGGGATGAGCAGGCCATCTGGAATCCAGACTTAAAAGCATCAGTCACCCAGACATTGATTTGAGATCTCTGCAGAGGGGGAAACGGCTGGGGTTTCAGCCACTTGGAGTGTCCTAATTCCCCAGCAGAGTCTGGCCGTGAGACCTAGTCTCTCTGTCTCACCTGGCGGGGTGATGTGTCCACTTCAAAGTCTCACTGGACACAGGCAGGCAAACCCTCACCGGGCACTTGATTCTTGCACCAGGTTTTAGCGTGGACGTTGCTAAGCCAGCATGTGGCTTCGCACATGTGGAGTCTTACAGTTACTCTGAAGCAAGCCCTGGGACCCCGAATCTGACCCCGAAGTTCTTGCTGGGCTGACTCCCTACTCGGTGTTGACTTGACCTTACACGGGAGTCAGTGTAGTCATGGGCTCGGAAAGCACTCAGATAAAAGGTGCTCCACCCAGTGATGAAGAATGTGTTGATGTCTTAAGATCGTCTTCAGATAAACAGCAAAACCGTTGGTTAAAAGCTGGTCTAACCCACCTTATTTTGTTGTTGTTTGTTTTGTTTTAGACGTTTCGCAGCCTGAAGCTGTGGTTTTAGTCTCTTTCTCTAGTGATAAGTGGAAAAGAGGGATGAGGAAGGGGCTTTGCTGGCCCGACCAAAAACAAAACTAAGAACCCATGAGTGTATTCTCTCCCTTGGGCACTTGGACACCTCTGCTAGAACATTTAGTAGACGCTGACAATTCCAAGCTAATGTAAAAGCCAAGTCTGGAGGGTCATGGGGTGGGAGACTAGGGTGAGGAAGTTGTTAAAGGAGGCCAAGGGGATGGCACGGCCTTCATCTAATAGTGACAGTAGCATTTTAGAGCTAGAGGGTCTTTATCCATTGTCTAGTTCACATGCATGATTTTAAAAAAGGAAGCTGAGGCAGGAGGATTGCTTGAGCCCAGGAGTTGGAGACTAGCCTAGGCACCTTAGCGAGTCAACGTCTCTGTTAAAATTAATAAATGAAGTCAAGAAAGGTGAGGCATGGGCGGCCTCAGTGACCTGGACTAACTCACAGAGAGGTAGCAATGGGGAGGGCCAGAGCCTCGCTTCTGAGGGATTACACCACAGCTCACTTCCCCCACCCAAAGGCCAAAGGAACTGAGCGTTAATAACCAACATAGCGATCTTGGTACCTGGAGCCCCCTCGATGTCCCATGGATTAAGGAGACCAGATTCCTCCATACAGCTTGTTGAGGGACTTGGTGGGTGCCCCTTGCTCTTGGGGTCTTCCTACTTTGGCTGCTATGCTCAACCCAGACCCAGCCTCTTCCTGGAATTCTCCTTTCAACACGCACAGAGACAGAACCCGGCCCGGACTTTGCAGCCAGTAGTTGTGTGCAATCACCTGGGACAGTGCTGCAGGTCAGCAGCCGGCAATGCTAGACACCGGGTTGGGGTCGCTCAGCAGGTCTAAGCCCTGGCTGCCAGCTAGATTCCCCCAGGAAGCCCCTATAGCTTCGGATTCAGCAGGTCTGTGTGGATCCCGGTGAAATCGTTTTCAAAGCCTCCCAGGTGTTGCCGACGTGCAGCCAGGGCTGAGGACACCTGTTAGAGGGTGCTGAGTCCTGTGGGACGAGAAGTGGAGAACCTGGGAGAGGGAGAGGCAGAGGTGTGCAAGGAAGCCGGAACTTCGGCCACCTGCACCCACAGCTAGTGGCAGATCACTCCAGACACACGGCTCTCCCCGGCCTTCCACGTGGAAAGGACTGACAACAGTCTCCACTTCAGGATTGCTGGGTCAGTTGCTCTGAGTGCCTGAGGGCAGCCCTGTGCCCACCCAGCCTGGGTGTGTGTGGTGGCAGTTGTAAACTCCTGAATGAACACCAAGGTCACCTCTGCTGGTAACCTTTGGGCAGGGCTGCTTACAGGTGACTCATGGTGAGAGTGACGTCACCCCATCAGGGTGAGCTCTCAGAAGTCCCATGGGCCTCAAAGTCCCCCTTTGGAAGGAGTGGAGAAGGGATCCTCACATGAGCCATGGATTGGGCCAGAAGATCCTTGTGGGTTGACAGTGGTCATGATGAGTCCACTGGCTTAGAAAACTCAGGCTGAGAACAGGCCATGGAGGAGCTCCAGATGGCTAAGGCCTTGGAAACACGTGTTGAGCTTTGTCATTCAGCCTGGGAGGAAGGGAGTGATTATCTCCAGGTGCCTCTGGGAGGAATGAATTACTCTGTATAACCAGATAGTCCCAACAGGCAGGGGGCCTCTTGTAGGATAAGCCACTCTGTCCTCCTGCGGGTACTCACATTGGGGTAAGGGTGGTCTGGGATTTCGACAGACCTGCTGGAAGGTGGTCTATGACTCAGCCAGAAGCTGGGCCAGACTGGGGGATGGGGGAACCTGTAGCCCCAGTTCCCTGGGCTGGCATCGGAATAGCATGGTAGGACTCGCTGCTCATGGTGGACAGAACTTGCACCCCAGCCAGCATGCTGGCCTGTGCTCCTCACCCCATCAGACCCCATGGGCAGGTGTGCAAGGTGCAAGGACCGTTCCTGACATCAAGACGGTAACGGTAACATTTTGGGTTTCCCTTTCTTTTTCTTTTCTTTTCTTTTTTTTTTTTTTTTGAGACAGAGTCTTGCTCTGTCACCTAGGCTGGAGTGCAGTGGTGCAATCTTGGCTCACTGCAACCTCCACCTCCCAGGTTCAAGCGATTCTCCTGCCTCAGCCTCCTGAGTAGCTGGGATTACAGGCACCTGCCACCATGCCCACCTAATTTTTTATAGTTTTAGTAGAGATGGGGTTCACCATATTGGCCAGGCTGGTCTCGAACTCCTGACCTCAAGTGATCCACCCACCTCGGCCTCCCAAAGTGCTGGGATTACAGGCATGAGCCACTGTGCCCAGCCAGGGTCCCCCTTTCTATAGCAACCCAACCCCCCTGTATGGGGGAGAACCAACTGTTTTCTCTGTACACAAGCTCAACGCAGAACACTTATGTGACCAAATGTAGGGGTTTTTCCCACACCAAGCAGTTCTCTGCAGACACCAGCTGGGTGTCCTACAATTTCAACTCAGTTTTGACATTGTCTACCTGGAGTTAGCATCAGATCCCACTGTTAAGGGCTCAGCTCCAGAAGACTGCCCCTAACGTCAGGTGTCAGTAGCAAGTCCAGGTTATCTATTGGCCGTAAATTGGAGGTTCCTACAGCCCCCTCCTTGAGTTTGATCACTTGCTGGAACGGCTCAGAGAACTCAGGAAAATAACTTACTAGCTGACTGGTTTTTAATACAAAGATACAACTCAGGAACAGCCATATGGAGGAGGTGCACAGAGGAAGGTCTGTGGGAAGGGGTGCAGAGCTTCCATGCCCTCTCGGGGCACTGCCACATTTTCAGCAACCTGGAAGCTCTCCTAACCCTGGCCTTTTGGACAGCCCTCATTGTGTAGGCATGATTGATTACGTCACTGGCCATTGGTGATCAACTCAACCTTCAACTGTGGGTCTTCCCCAGAGAGTTGGGGGTGCCAACTCTCTAATCGTGTGGTTGGTTCTCCCGGCAACCAGCCCCCTTCCTGAGGCTATCCAGGAGCCCCAGCCACCTGTCATTTACTAGCACACATAAAGACATGTATTACTTTGGAGATTCCAAGGGTTTTAGGACCTGCATGCCAGGAAAGTAGAGGGTGGGATATGCAAAGATCAAATATACATTTCTTAAGTCACAACCCCCTGCCAGGGGCAGACGTATCTCAGAAAGCCCCTTGTATTGTCTAGGGAGTGAGCTCATGTTCATCCCCCCTCACCTTGTGGTCTTTGACCAGTCAGTTGTGAAGGGGACGTCAGCATACCCGAGGTCGTTGTGAGATGCCTGTTGGGGACAGAGATGGTGTCAGCTGGGTGCTTGCTGGGATGGGTTGAGTATGGATGCTCCCTTCTCTGTCTCTAACACAGGATGCTTCTTTGCACACACAGATGGCTCGTTCGGAACACCACCTGGATACGGCTGCGCTGCAGACCGGGCAGAGGAGCAGCGCCGGCACCAAGATGGGCTGCCCTACATTGATGACTCGCCCTCCTCATCGCCCCACCTCAGCAGCAAGGGCAGGGGCAGCCGGGATGCGCTGGTCTCGGGAGCCCTGGAGTCCACTAAAGCGGTGAGTCCCCATGGTGTACGTGTGGCAGGAGGGCCAGGTGAGGCTCCCTGAAGCGCAGCCCCATGCTCAGGGGTATGTAGCAGGTAGGTGGTGGAGCAGCCAATGGTTTGGAAGCGAGTGGGTCACCAAAAACTCCTTCCTCATCTCTACATGTGGTACACAGACAGCCTGCCAGATGTGTTGATCAGGGAGATCGGGGGATGCTTTGAACTGAGCGTGGAGGAGGCAGGCAGCATGTGGTCTTGAGGCTGAGAATGTCAGCACCAGAGGCCACCACCAAGACCTGCGTGGTGGCGCCGGCAACACTCCTGAGCCAGGTGGTGTCTGGGCTTGGGTCCCTTTGCTTCATAGCCTTCTTGCTCCCTTTTACCAAAGCGTGTGCTGAGGATGGCTCCATCCATGTGACCAGAGCCTTTCCTGTGAATTTTCACTTGACCCTCATTAATAATTCTTGGCCTTTCTGTCACTTCCACTTTACAAAGGTGAAACTGAAGTCCAGTGGTGGCTTCCCCAAGGTCTCATGGCTAGTGAGTAGCGGCACATTCAGTAGATGCTCTGCCATGCCCTCCAAGAAAGCAGTGGACCCACGCCCCCCCTCACATGAGAACGTAGCCCGGGCTGGTTGCAGGCTGGATGGTGCTGGACCGCCCGGCCCTGCATGAAGTTCTGATTCCTCTTGCTGGTCCCACAGCTCAGGGGGCTGCTTCAGCAATGCTCTGGGGCCCAGATGCTCACCCCTTGCCATTGGTGCATGTCCCCCCACTTGACCTCTTGGGTTCCTTACTTCTTGGGCTGAGAAAATCACTGCCCCAGGGCAGTTGCTCCTTTTTGTCTTTTTGGTCCCTGATGACAGATTACTTCCGCACTCTGCTTAGCTTATTTCTAGATGGTTTCCACCATAGCCTGGCATGGTGGCTCACACCTATAATCCCAGCGACTCAGGAGGCTGAGGTGGGAGAATTGCTTGAGTCCAGGAGCTCGAGACTGCAGTGAGCTGTGATTCTCACCACTGCACTCCAGCCTGGGCAACAGAGCAAGACCCTATCTTTAAAAATAATAATAAAAAAATAAATAAAAAGAGCAAGAGAGAGATGGACTTTTCCCCATTTCTGTAAGGAAGCTCCAGAAGTGTATCTTCTCACTGAGCTGCTTTTTTCTGGGGCTGACATGTTAGCTGCACGCCTGGGACTGCTGCTTACGTATATACTTTTGTGATTTCTGAAGGCCTTGGTGCTGGGCAGGCTTCTCATTCTGAACCGAGAGGATGGGAGAGGAAGCCAGTGGGTAACATGTACCTGCTCCGTGCAGCACACACAGGCTGCTGCCTTAGGTAGCTTCCTATCCCACGTCGAGTGTCAGCTTTTTACAGACTAGGAGGCCGAGGTTCAGAGAGGTGAAGTAACTTGCTTGGGCCACACAGCTCCAGGGTTTGAAGCCTTCCTGATTCTTCAATGGGCACACTTTCCCTCCCTCAACTGTCTTGTCTTTCTTGGTGCACCCCTTTCTTGCTGCATTGTGAGCGTGGTTTGGTACAAAGAAGGACCAAGTTCAGGTAGGCTAAGTGCTGAACTTGAGAAAGGCAATTTCTTTCCATCATTCTTGAGGGCTATCTGCACCCAGCCAGTCCTTGATGCAGTTCCTGGCCCCGAAAGGAAGCTGATCTGCCCACTCAGTGCCCCAGTCCCTGTCCGGGGGTGGGGGCCTCCCACCCACACCTGGCTCTGACTTGGAGTACAGCCTTCACCTTTCAGTCCAGGGCTTCTCCTCTGTGAAGCCACTCCAGATCCTGGTCCCCCGACCCCTGCTCCCTGCTTCTGCCCTCACAGGAGCTGTAGATGTTTCTCGTGGTGCACATCCTGCAGGAGGTTGCACGTCTCTGCCTGTCAGGTCCAGAGTTTCCAATCCCAAGCACGCCCCTTGGCCCAGAGCTGGTCTGAAGAGGAGGGGATTTGATTGGAGGAGAACTGTGTGTAGCTCCTTTCCAGAAACCTTCTGGTGCTCTTCCCAGTGGTTGGGGCCCCAGGACGGGTACCCTTCACTGCTCTGGAGACAAGCATAGCCTTGACTTCCTGGTTTCCCTGCCAGCCATGCAACAAGCCATGCAAATGTCATCTTTCATTTCTGATCTTTGGTTTGAAGACATGGCTGTCGCTTCCTAGGACACCTGACTTCCCCCAGGGAGCATGGTGATCTTGAGGCCAGAGGCACCCTGATCCTGACCATCCAGTGGGAAATGGGCATCAGGCTGCTCATCCCTCTCCTCCTGCACGCCACCCACCCCTCATTTGGTCCCAGATGCTGATCTTGAGTCTTTGGGGTGTCAGTGGACTCCTGTGGCATGGGTCTTCTCTGTGAATACCCACTCGTAGTGCAGACAGAGGCTGGACAGAGGCCAGGCACCCCCTTGCCCGGGGTGCTGTGGGAAGGATTCACACAGGCTGGCCTGTTGCGACAACCTGCAGCCCCAGGACCCTGTACAGAGGCCAGCCCCTTGCCCTCTGGTATGCCTTGAGGGCCAGGTTCTTGGGGTGTTCGCCGGCTGGGCCGCAGGACAATGTCCAGTCTGTTGGTAATGAAAACCTGCCCTTGCCCAGAGCAAGAGGGTCCTTTCTCCAGCAGCTGTGCTAGCTACACACTCCCAGCCCAGAGCAGCCTGCCCCTCGCAGTAAGGGTTTTGCACCCTGATCACCACTGGGCTCCCCCAGATTAGGGGGACTAGGAGGAGGGACTAGAAGGGGCCTCTTTGCACTCTGCCCTGTCCTGAAGCTCAGTTCCAGCTCCCGCCCTCAGTTCACCCGTGGGCCTGGTAGCCAGCTGACAACAGTTTTATTCACCTGTTCTCTGTTGGCTTTTCCTGCTTGGTTGTCACAAGCCCAGTTTGTTTTGTGGGTTCTTTATTGGCTTTTATTTAGCCTCAAGTTTTGTGTTTGTACCCACCTAGGTAGGGTCATGGTAGGAGGGCCTTCCTTCCATGTCACTGACTTCTTTTTCCAATTTCCCTTTACCTCCGGCTTCCTACCCGCCCCAGCCTCCTTGCCTGCCTCCATGGCCCTCCCTGCATTCACGTCCTTTCCCATAACTGGCACAAGCACAGCCCTGAGTTATAAATAGCCCCAGGCCAGGCCCTGCCCTTTGCTCTCTCGTTTTCTCTGCATGGACTTGGCTGATTTCTGAGCCATCCCTGTCTGATGCCATCAGCACTATTCAGGACTCTAGAAGATTCTTAGTCTAAGGAGAAGTGCCTCATCCTGAGTCTTGTCTCCACCCCACCCCGTCCATGCCCTGAGCCAGATGTTCCCTGAGCGGCCCCGCCCTTCAGAACACGGAGGGAGAGCCAGATTCTGCCTTCCTGCCTGTGCTGTTTTTCCTCCTGGCTTTCCAAACCATGTGGACAGAACGAGACACAGTGCTCCCACCCACGCCGGCACAAGCATCTCACACTGGGTGGGGCTGTCATGGGCCCTGCTGCCCTAGCAGCCTCCCTGGGCCCTACAGGCCGCCTGGTACTCATAGTAGCAAGATTGTCCTTAGAACATGAGCACGGCTGGCAGGCTGGGTGGATGGGTGGCGCTGCCCAAGGGACCCACCATTCCCTTCACCTCTTCTCCTCTTGTGGAGCAGGGAGCGGCATCTGCACACAGTAGGAGGCACCTGCAGGGGCAGCTGGGGTGCTTTCCCCAAAGACTCCACCATTCATGATGGGCAGAGAGGGGGTGTCATAGGTCGCCCCACCCTACGTGTATGTGCACCATGGGCAGCAGACTTGCTGAACTTGGGTAGCATTTCAGGGCACCAAGGCAGGCTCAACTGACAGCCCTGGGTTCCTTGGACCCAACTGTCTCCAAGTGAGAGTACGGAGACCCTGAAGGAGCCCTCAGAGATTCATAAAAACGCAGCCAACACTAGGATACAACCAGGTGTTTAAGATCCACTCATTGATTTATTAAATGAATCTTAATTGAGCACCTGGGTGTTCTGGGCACTGTGCTAGACAGGGAAGTTCCTAGCTCAGGCACAGCCGTGGCCTGGAGGCTCCCACCCGTGGAGTCACTGCCTACCCTGCCCTGGGGGGACAGGTGTGCATGGAACCTGCGTGTCCTTTTCCTTGGAGCTGCTCTCAGCCCAGATCTTGATGGCTGTCCCCCCCACACACATGTACGTGTGTATAAATGCATATATATACACACATATACACAGGCACCCGGGCATGCTGACACCTCATGCATACATTCACACAAGTGTGCACACACTTAGGAGATTCCCAGGGCAAAAAGGTGGCCCAGGAAGGCTTTTTAGATGGTCCCAGTGGGCAAGTGAGGATGTGTGGTCCAAGCCCCAGGGACTCAAATGGGGCACAGGGTGGGGCTCCCTCCCCGGGCAGTGGAGGCTCAGGGCCGGAGGGCATTTGCCTGAGACCATGGGGCAGGCCAGGCCCTGGGCACTTCGTGTTGAACCTGCTGTCTATACCATGACATGCCTCCCTCCTAGAGGGCCAGGGAAATAGGACAGCAGGGTTGGGAGTAGGCAGGGGCTGTGCTGGGACCCTGATTCCAAATTCTACAGATACCATGAGGCCTGAGCTGACCTCAGTCAGATCCTTCCTCAAACCCATCAGTTCTCACTGGAGGTGATTCTGCTCCCAGGGCATGTGTGGCAGCGCCTGGAGACATTGTGGCTGCCACACCTCGGGGGAGAGGGTGTTACTCACATACGATAGGTAGAGGCAAGGATGCTGCACAGAATCCTGCAAGGCACAGGATGCCACCCAGCCCCTGACAGAGACTCCTCCGGGCCTAGATGTCAGCGGGGCCAACGAGAAGCCTGCCCGCAGCCAGTGATTTTCCCCGAAAGTGGGAAAGTGAGTGATCAGGGACCACCGCCCCAGTTCCACGCCTGTGAGCCCAGCAACCAGTGGAGAAGTGGACGGGGCTGTCACAGACACCGGACCTGGCACCACCCCCACCCCCCGCACCCACACACTTTCCTCTGACTGCAGGCAGGGCCATTGGGCACAGGCGGAACAAAGGGAGCACGGCCTCAGCCCGGTGGAGCACTGAGGTGCTGCCATGGGCATGGCCAGCCTCCAACATTGCCAGTGGCCAGGGAGTAGGCGGGAGTGGCCAGGAAGTCAGGTGGCGATTTCTGTGGCCTTTGGCATCATCATCTTTGGTGTCATGCCTTTGCTGGGACTGTTGTAACAAAGCATCACAGACTGGGGGGCTTAAAGAACAGGAGTTTATTTTCTCCTAGTCCTGGAGGCCTGAAATCCAAGATCAAGGGGTGGGCAGGGTTGGTTTCTTCTCGGGCCCCTCTCCTGGGCTTGTCTTCTCTATGTGTCTTCACATAATGTTCCCTCCATTTGAGTCTGTGTCCTGACCTCTTCTTTTACAAGCACCCCAGTCCTGGTGGGGTAACATGGCTCATGCCTGTAATCCCACCACTCTGGGAGTTTGAGGTAGAAGGACCGCTTGAGCTCAGGAGTTTGAGACCAGCCTGGGCAACATGACAAGACCTTGTTTCTATTACCAAAAAAAAAATTTTTTTTTTTTTTTTGAGATGGAGTTTCGCTCTTGTTGCCCAGGCTGGAGTGCCACAGCATGGTCTCGGCTCACTGCAACCTCCCCCTCCTGTGTTCAGGCAATTCTCCTGCCTCTGCCTCCCAAGTAGTGGGGATTATAGGTGCCCGCCACCACACCCGGCTAATTTTTGTATTTTTAGTAGAGACGGGGTTTCACCATGTTGGCCAAGGCTGGTGATCTCGAACTCCTGGCCTCAGGTGATCTGCCCGCCTCGGCCTCCCAAACTGCTGGGATTACAGGCGTGAGACATTGAGCCTGGACCCCCCAAAAATGTTTAAGTTAGCAGAGCGAGGTGGTGGGTGCATGAGGTCCCAGCTACTTGGGAGGCTCAGATGGGAGGATGACTTGAGCCTGGGCTCTCAAGGCTGCAGTAAGCTGTGACTGTGCCACAGCGCTCCAGCCTGAGCGACAGAGTGAGACATCGTCTCAAAAAAAACAAAAAAGAATGTGACATATGGAACCTTTTGGCTTCAGTTTACCTTAAAGGCCCTGCCTTCAGATACGGTAACGTTCTAAGGTACTGGGGGTTAGGGCTTCCACGTGAATTTGAGTGGGGAGGGGAGATGTTATCATAACTAGGACTAGAAGGTGGCCTCCCAGGGGCATGGGCTCTGTCCCCTACATCAACATCCAACAATGTGTCAGCTTCATCATTTGGAGACAAAAACAGTAGAGCTTCCCTGAACTTTCAGCAGGGACGCTAATGAGAAGGGGGGACTTTGTCATAGCCCACATGTAAGAGGGTCCCTGCCAGTCCAGTGATGTCAGGGTCTAAAAAGCAGGGTCAGGGGACACAGGCCTTGAGCCCCAGGGACAGGGTTCTTCTGGGGCAGATGGTAGCAGTCCCTGTGGCTGGGAGGGAGGGCATCTGGAGAAGGCGGTGCTGCCTGGGCCCCGTCAATCGAAGGGTCATGTGGCGGCAGCAGTCAGAGAATCCAGGTGAGGCGGGCCCCAGGTGAGCAGTGGGGAGTGGAGTTTGGCTGCAGCAGAAGCCAGGTGGCCATGCTGTGGGCTCTGACGCCCCCTCAGGTCAGAGCCTCCTTCTCCTTCCCTGACTGTGTCAGGCAGCTGCCCTTGGGTTGCATGCAGAAGCGTGGAGGGAGGCCTGGCCCAGCCTGCTCCGCACCAAACTCTGTTTCGTGGTCTGGCAAGAGTAAGGGTGGCCCTGGTGTTGCCAGATGACCCCCCTCCCCGGGATTCTCAGTGACTGTGAGTGTGTGGCTTAGTATGTGCGGAGGGTCCCCTGCCTCCCTTTAATTCCATGTGGAGCCTTTGTGGGGGCAGGGGTTTGTCCAGAGGTCAACAAGCTGGCCCTCCTCTCTCAGAGGGCCCTGATGGAAGAATCCCCCTACCACCCTTCCAGGCTGACTTCTGTCTATTTCTCCTGCAGAGTGAGCTGGACTTGGAAAAGGGCTTGGAGATGAGAAAATGGGTCCTGTCGGGAATCCTGGCTAGCGAGGAGACTTACCTGAGCCACCTGGAGGCACTGCTGCTGGTGAGGAGGATTTAGGGAGCTGAGCAGGGCGGGATGGGGCAGGGTGACAGGGTTGGGGAGCCTCTTTGCCCTTAAGTCCCAGGTCAGCTGTCAGAGCCTGGGTGCAGCTCGCCATCCCTGGAGTGGATACCAGTGGAAGACTGAGTTGCCAAACCAAGCTGGTTTTAAAATTGTATTTGTTATGTGATTTAAAAATAAAAGTGCATATGTCAGGTAACCATGACTGTCTACTGCCATACAATGCACCTGACGGATGGCAGCCCCTCTCACCTGTGCTACCTCACTTGTGCCCTCTTCCAGCCCATGAAGCCTTTGAAAGCCGCTGCCACCACCTCTCAGCCGGTGCTGACGAGTCAGCAGATCGAGACCATCTTCTTCAAAGTGCCTGAGCTCTACGAGATCCACAAGGAGTTCTATGATGGGCTCTTCCCCCGCGTGCAGCAGTGGAGCCACCAGCAGCGGGTGGGCGACCTCTTCCAGAAGCTGGTGAGTAACCCAGGGCCGGTGCTGGGACTACAGGCGTGTACCACCACGTCCAGCTAATTTTTTGCATTTTTAGTAGAGACAGGGTTTTGCTATGTTGGCCAGGCTGGTCTCAAACTCCTAACCTCAAGTGATCCACCTGCCTCAGCCTCCCAAAGTACTGAGATTACAGGCGTGAGCCGCCATGCCCAGCCTTTTTTTTTTTTTTTCTAATTTATATTTATTTAGATAGTTATTTTTAAAAAGAGATGGGGACTTACTACGTTGTCCAGGCTGGAGTGCAGTGGCTATTCACAGGCGCAATTCCACTGCTCATCAGCACGGGAGTTTTGACCTCCTTCCTTTCCAACCTTGGCTGTTTCACTCCTTCTTAGGCAAACTGATGGTTCCCGACTCCTGGGAGGTCACCATATTGATGCCAAACTTAGTGTGTAGTGCACTACAGCCCAGAACTCCTGACTGAAGCCATCCTCCGGCCTCAGCCTTCCGCGTAGCTGGGGCTATAGGTGCACGCCACCACACCCTGTGTGTGGCTGGGACTACAGGTGCACGCCATCACACCCTGTGTGCGCCATCACACCCTGTGTGCACCATCACACCCTGTGTGCACACACTTTCCCTAAAGCAGGCTTCCTCCGCTGGGAAACAAGTCCTCTAGGGGCAGGTGTGGCCAGAGGCCAGGCCCCCCTCTAAGTGTGAAGAGCATGTGATTCCTTAAAAGCCCTTCCCCCAGCACTTCTGGACTACCGAGACACACAGCTCTGGCCTCGGGCCTCCCCTTGGCTGGTGCTGGGGGCTGAGTTTTCTGCTCTGAGGTGTGGCTTTCCTGTAGGGGGACCCCTCCCTCTGCCACCCTGTGCTGCAGACCCCCAGACTCCAGGCCAGAGCTAAGGCTTGAGGAACACAGAAGGCACTTAATTTGTTCCAGTTCTTGCTCCCTGGGGCTCTTTCCCCCATGGCCAGAGAGCAGGAGGCTGTATTTTGATACATGCTGCCCCCTCCATCTTTGAAGCCCCCCCACCCCCGTTTCTCCGTGTGTGTGTCAGCAGTTTTAAACCTAGTGGAGGGTGGTGGCTCGGGCTGGGCTCCGCGTCGGGCTGCCCCGCAGCTGCTCTTGGGCAGCCAGGGCCGCTGGGTGTGGGGCCGCCGGGAATGGCGGGCCCGGGTGAGGGCGGGCCCGGGTGAGGGCGGGGGCGGAGAGGCGAAGAAGCTGCAGGAAGGGAGGGTGACGAGGGGGAAGCGAAGGAAGGGGAAGAGGAAGGGAAAAGCGAGCGAGAGGGGCAAGGCGGAAGAGGAAGCAGGGCGGAAGGGAAGCCCGGGCCGCAGACGGCGAAGGAGGCAGCGGGCCGGGGGCTGAGGCGGGAGCGAGGACACGCCCAAGAGAGGAAGCAGAGGGAGGCGGAAGCGTGGAGGAAGGGGCGAGAGGCATCATCAAAGGAGATGAGGGGAGCGTAGGGGCCGGGAAAGAGGCACAAGGAAGAAAGTATGGGAAGGAGGAATGGAGGGTCAGGGCTAGGCGGCGGGAGGGCGCCAGGCCGGGAAGAGTACAAGGACAAGGAGGTCAGGTTTGGGCCTACATCCCGGGGACAGGGGCGGCCATGGCGGCGGCAGCCAGGGAGGAGGAGGAGGAGGCGGCTCGGGAGTCAGCCGCCTGCCCGGCTGCGGGGCCAGCGCTCTGGCGCCTGCCGGAAGTGCTGCTGCTGCACATGTGCTCCTACCTCGACATGCGGGCCCTCGGCCGCCTGGCCCAGGTGTACCGCTGGCTGTGGCACTTCACCAACTGCGACCTGCTCCGGCGCCAGATAGCCTGGGCCTCGCTCAACTCCGGCTTCACGCGGCTCGGCACCAACCTGATGACCAGTGTCCCAGTGAAGGTGTCTCAGAACTGGATAGTGGGGTGCTGCCGAGAGGGGATTCTGCTGAAGTGGAGATGCAGTCAGATGCCCTGGATGCAGCTAGAGGATGATGCTTTGTACATATCCCAGGCTAATTTCATCCTGGCCTACCAGTTCCGTCCAGATGGTGCCAGCTTGAACCGTCAGCCTCTGGGAGTCTGCTGGGCATGATGAGGACGTTTGCCACTTTGTGCTGGCCACCTCGCATATTGTCAGTGCAGGAGGAGATGGGAAGATTGGCCTTGGTAAGATTCACAGCACCTTCGCTGCCAAGTACTGGGCTCATGAACAGGAGGTGAACTGTGTGGATTGCAAAGGGGGCATCATATCATTGTGAGTGGCTCCAGGGACAGGACGGCCAAGGTGTGGCCTTTGGCCTCAGGCCAGCTGGGGTAGTGTTTATACACCATCCAGACTGAAGACCAAATCTGGTCTGTTGCTATCAGGCCATTACTCAGCTCTTTTGTGACAGGGACGGCTTGTTGTGGGCACTTCTCACCCCTGAAAATCTGGGACCTCAACAGTGGGCAGCTGATGACACACTTGGACAGAGACTTTCCCCCAAGGGCTGGGGTGCTGGATGTCATATATGAGTCCCCTTTCGCACTGCTCTCCTGTGGCTATGACACCTATGTTCGCTACTGGGACTGCCGCACCAGTGTCCGGAAATGTGTCATGGAGTGGGAGGAGCCCCACAACAGCACCCTGTACTGCCTGCAGACAGATGGCAACCACTTGCTTGCCACAGGTTCCTCCTTCTATAGCGTTGTACGGCTGTGGGACCGGCACCAAAGGGCCTGCCCGCACACCTTCCCGCTGACGTCGACCCGCCTCGGCAGCCCTGTGTACTGCCTGCATCTCACCACCAAGCATCTCTATGCTGCGCTGTCTTACAACCTCCACGTCCTGGATATTCAAAACCCGTGACCGTCAGGGCCACCCCTGCCTGTGGGCCAAGGAGACCAGTGAGTCAGGGACCTCTCTTGCATGAAGGGTGCAGTGATAGTTCCTCCCCACTGCCCCACTGTGCTCCTGGGCCTGTGACCCCAGTGCTCAGGCACCTTGCAGTAGAGGCTTCTGACTCCTGGAGCTTTGTGGCTTACCAGAGATGCAGTCCCTCCCAGGAACCTGTTGGAGAGGCAGGACCTGCTGCTTTAGAGGAGTGCAGCTGAACCTCGGCCCTGCGACTCTGTTTGGCCAGAGCAAGGATCTGGCCTGGAGAGGCCCATCCTACACCCCTTATTAGAGCCGTGATAGCCTACAGAGTGAGGTGAGGTTCTCCCGCCTTCCCAGGTGGTTTCTTTCTGCCACTTCCTGGAAAGAAAGGTGAGGCTGCCAATAGCCCGCTAGCACCAGCCAGACCTCACGCTTGACCAACCTCTCGGGGCCAGAGGTTCATTCCTGGGGCACTGTGGCCTGGTTTTGTTTTGAAACCAAGAGAGGGCAAAGGGAACCCAGCAGTTCTGAGTGAGTTCTAGCCAGCCCTACCTCAGGCTGGCTGTTGAGAGATTTTACAATTTTCATTTTTGTAAAAATAAAGCTTGATTGTTCACAGAAAAAAAAAGAAAAAAAACCTAGTGGACGTGACTTGGCCTGCCGCCCTCCTGAGAAATGGAGAATCGTGTTGTTGGGGGGAAAAAAACACACATCCAGAGCTCTTTGCCAGATAATATTCCGAAATCACTCAGAGACTTTTTTAAAACTTTAATATCTGAGGAACACTGGAATTTAACTTTGGAAGGTTTCCGCTGGCTGCCCTGGAGGCCTTGAGCTACCTTCATGCGTCAGATGATGCAGCCGGAAGACTCGGAGGAGAGGCTGGCGTTGCAGTGGGAAGTTGTTCCCCATAACGACGAGCTGAGTACTCACGTGTGTTCAACCTGGGCTGGGTGCTGGGGACTCCCCAAGGACAGATAGGCCCGGTGCCTGCCCTTGTCCCCATGACCAGCTCAGTAGGGTTGGCCCAGCATCGCTCTGTCAGGTTTCCGGGTTGGACAAGTCTTAGGACCAAAGGAGCTTGCAGTGCCCTTCCCAGCTCCGGTGCCTCTTCCAAGCCCAGGAACTCGTGATCCACGTCCAGTGGTTCAGAAAGCCAGACTCAGATGCGGCTTCTGCCACCTCCTCCTGTGGGGCTGCACGGGCTGACTTCCCTGCTCTGGGTTGTGGTTCTGGCTGAAGTTTTATCAACTCAGAATTTTTATTTTTCTAATTATTTCAAACTTACAGGAGAACTGTAAGAATGGGGCAAAGAGCTCTAGTATAGCCTTCATCCAGATACACTGATGGGAACTTTTTGCCACATTTGCTTTATCTCTTTCTGTGCACACGCAAACGCACATAGACACATACACACACAAGCACAAGAAGTTTTCCCCCTGAATACTTCATTTGCTAAGAACAAGGACATTCCTATAACTCACAGTAGAATTTGTCAAATTCAGGAAATTTCACATTCATGAGATACTATTATTTAATATGTAGTTCATATAAACTTCCCCCAAGTTAACAATTACATTCTTCACAGCTGTTTTCATTCTCTGATTCAGGACCCGGTTTAAGATCATGTTATGTACTTGGTTGTCCCATCTCTCTAGTCTCCTTCCATCTGTACCAGTTCCTTAGACTTTGCTTGTCTTCCATGACCTTGACTTTTTTTTTTTCTTTTTCCTTGAGATAGAGTCTCACTCTGTCGCCCAATCTGGAGTACAGTGGTGCAGTCTTGTCTCACTGCAACCTCTGCCTCCTGGGTTCAGGCGATTCTCCTGCCTCAGCTTCCCTGAGTAGCTGGGACTACAGGCACGTGCCACCATGCCCAGCTAAATTTTTTTGTGTTTTTAGTAGAGACAAGGTTTCACCATGTTGGCCAGGCTGGTCTCAAACTCCTGACCTCAGGTGACCCGCCCGCCTCAGCCTCCCAAAGTACTGGGATTATAGGCATGAGCCACCGCACCCTGCCTTTTTTTTTTTCCCTTTTGGAGATGGAGTCTCGCTCTGTCACCCAGGCTGGAGTGCAGTGGCGTGATCTTAGCTCCTTGCAACCTCTGCCTCCCAGGTTCAAGCGATTCTCCTGTCTCAGCCTCCCGAGTGGCTGGGATTATAGGCATGCGCCGTCACGCCCGTCTAATTTTTGTATTTTCAGTAGAAACTGGGTATTGCCATGTTGGCCAGGTTGGTCTTGAACTCCTGACCTCAGGTGATCTGCCTGCCTCGGCCTCCCAAAGTGCTAGGATTACAGGCCGCCGTGCCCAGACAACCTTGACATTTTTTGAAGGGCACAGGCCCACTCGGGTTTGCCAGTTTCCTCAGGAATAGCCTCACGTTCTGCGTAACAGCACCACAGCAGCGAGGCTGTGTGCTTCTCAGTGCATCAGATCCGGAGGCACATTTTTGATTAGTGAAAAATGTGGAAAGGAATTGCTTAGAACTTTGCACAAGCCACCTGGAAGATGTGAGCTCCTGGAGCAGGAGGGAGGAGAAGTCTTGAAAGGAGTCCTCTTCCCAAGACCCCTGAGACCCTGCTGAGCTGTCACCTCTTCTGAGAGGCTGTCCTGGTCCTGACCACATTCTCAAAAGCAGTCTCCTTGCTCTCAGTCCCTGTCCTGCTTATAACCATCTGCCATTACTTTGCTTGTGTGTGTTCATGCATGTGTTTATCAGGCACTGTCCTGTTAGAACACCAGCTTCAGAGGGCAGCGCCGTGTCTGAATTGTTTACCACTGCGGTGACAAGGCCTAAAGCAGGCCCTTGGCTGCTTTGTACCAAGGCTGGGAGGCACTCAGTGACTTGCAAAGGAGGGAGGAGGGAAAGAAGGAAGAGCTCTGGGCCTCATCACTGCACGGATGAGGAAGAACCTAGAATTGGAGGATGCAAGGACTCCTCCAGGTGGTCAGCATGGCAGGGGCCTGGCAGGTGTCTTCCAGCTGCTACCCTTTCCTCGTACACTCTAAGACCCTTCTTGCAGCCCTTGTAGGGAGCAGGGCCAGAAGATCAGACAGTGCCAAGGGTGCCTGGTTTATCCAGCATCTGGGATTGTCATCTGTAGAAACATAAAATTCAATATAAATGCAAATGCACATGGAAATAAAATTTAGGTTTGACACAAAACAAACACCAGGAGCCGTGAATGCCTTGGGCTTCCAGCTTGCAGTCAGCTACAGTGGGAGTCTCCAGCCCTGACCAGTGCATCTCCTGGGTCTGCCCTTATACTCCCCAGGCCTAGGTTTGCTGATTTTTCCCTCGCTGCCCATAAAGGTGTTGTGGGGCCCAGAGATGGCAGTGTCTGCTGCACTCACACAAGTTGTTGCTGAATCGAGTGTGTGTCTGAGCTGGAGGTGCAGTGAGGAGATCTATTATTGCCATTGGTTTAATAAAGAACAAACAACACCTCTCGCCTTACAGCCGGTCGGTCTCCCCCCACCAGGTGTGTAGCATGACACCTGAGCACCCTCACCAGGCCCAGGATGGGCTTGTGTCTGTGCAGTGGGAGGCTCTCTTCTGCAAAGACGGCCGGACTTGGCATTTCTTATGTGTCTGAAGGGACTGGACATGCGTGGAACACCATGGGTGGGAAAGGGGGTGACCTCTGTGTCCAGGGTACACTCTTGCAGCCAGAATGGGAAAGTGCTGAGCACAGACACTTGTCCAGATTCACTGACAACCTCAAACTTCAGCTGCCGCTCATGGCACCATTTCAGCGAATGGGGTGGGAGGAATAAGTAGCTCTGGAAGGGAACTGTTACCTGCCTGGCGCCGTGAGTCACTTCTCAGCATGTCATTTTGGGAGCGGGAAGTGTGCTGGGTGCGTGGGGAGGGGAGCAGGTGGGAGGGAGCAGCACGGAAGCGCCGAGGCCTCTGCAGCCTGTGTGCCGTCTGCTGTCCCTGGAGTTTCTGCAGAGCTGTGCACGGGAGCCTGCTCTTCAGAAAGATGGGGGAGCAGCAGCACCTGTCCCACTCTCTCTTCCTTCCTCCCCCTCAGGCCAGCCAGCTGGGTGTGTACCGGGCCTTCGTGGACAACTACGGAGTTGCCATGGAAATGGCTGAGAAGTGCTGTCAGGCCAATGCTCAGTTTGCAGAAATCTCCGAGGTAATGCCTTGATGCCGTTCAGACAGGTGCACCGCTGACTCCCACCTGTACCCTCCACCTCCCGAGGAGAACAGAGTGCACCAGATCAAGATCTGGTCGTGAACCCCAGCTGTTTCCAGATTCTGTTGGGTTCGTTGCGTCAGCCCTGTGCTGGGGATGCTGTTGTGCGCAGACCGAAGGAGCAGCCCACAGGGCGTCCTGCCTCCCCGGGGGCGAGGGCCTGATTCTGGGGGTTGCCGAGTTCCGGGGACACTCTTTGCACTGTCTGTCTGCAGTGAGGGGTGTCTGTAGTTCTGCCTGTGAGCAGCTCTCTCCACAAGAGTCCTGAGGCTGACTTTGTACCTGGCACTGGAGGCGAGGCCGGAGGTGGCCCACTCTTCCTTTTCTAGCCTGCCAGAGACCTTGAGAGCATTGAGGAAGCATTGAGGGGCTAGCGCCGTGGGGCGAGGGCTCATGGCACCTGTGCTCTGTGGACCCATGTGGGGAGCAAAGCGACAGGTTGGAGCTGCACTAACCCAGGCCCCAGGTCTGAGAGGCTGCTGACTCCCTGCCTGCATTTAGCCCCAGGAAGCTGAAACCTCAAACCATGTGGTGTTAGCGCCCAGGGCCTCGAAAGAGTCATTCAGAAACAGAGACCATGAATGGGCCATTCAGAAGGCTGGTGGCCCAGCCAGAACCAGAACCCAGCCACACCCCTGGGTCTGCACTCCAGACTGGGGTTCTTTCTGCCCTTCTCCAGCCTGTGTCTGCCTGGTGGTCACTCTGCGACATTTTCCTCTTTGGAGGCCCTTGCCTCTTCATGAGCCCCCCATCTCGCTGTAGCTTTGCCTTCTGACTTGGCTTTCCCCCACCCAGCAAGGGTTCTGAGCAGAAAGCCCTCCGTGTGAGAACCGCAGGGTTAGAAAGAGGCATGGGCACTAGAAATAGGGAGTGAATGCGGTCACCCTTGCTGGGACACCCTCAGCTGTCACCCCTGGGCTTTGTTGCTGAGGCTTTGTGCCGTCTTATTGTTTATCACCGGATGGAGCATCACGGGCTTCGCTCTGATGTCTCCAGTGGTGACAGTACCTGCCGCTCTGTTCTTCCAGAGTCTGTGGGGCACCCTGCTCCGCCAGGTGCTGCTGGTAACAGGCTCTGCATGTATCCGGGGCTCCAGCTCCCTCCCCACTGCCAGCCTCCCTCTGGACCATTCAATCTGTTCTCTTTTCCTTTTTCATTAAATGAGCAACCCTCCTCCCCCACAGCTGGAATGGTGGCATCGAATTTCAAGTGACCTTGACAAATCAGGGACCTGATCTTTTAAGAACAGGTTACAGTTAAGCGGGCAAGTTCAAGTCCACCCAGACAGGTTTCTGCAGAGGAGGGAGGAAACACCATGGGACGCCACCTGGGGATCACGTGGTGCCACCAACCATGCACCAGTGGATTCTGAGCCATGGTTGAGATGCAGGGAGTGGGATGGGGCTCAGGACCAGCTGCAAACCGACCCACCGTGAAAGTTTGTGGCACCTGCACCATCAGGGCGACATGCACTTTGGTTCTCTGTGTTTCAAAAAAGACCCAGAGGAATTGGAGCCACCCAAAGAAAGCAGAGTCAAACGCAAGGAAGAGAAAGCAGCAAGCCCTGCAGAGGTGTTGGGGGGTCAGTGCTCAGGCGTGGGAGTTCGAAGATCACCCTCAAGTACAGGAAGGAGTGGAGTAGTGTCCGTCTTCTCCTGGGACAGTCCTGAGAGATGGGCAGCATCCAGTTAGATCTGGTTCCATGGAACACCAGCTCTCCAGACGGTAGGAATAGGAATTACATGAAAAGGGCTTTGGGAGTCAGGCCAGTTTGGGAAATGCAGGGTTAAACCAAACTCACAAGTTTTCTTGAGGCAGGTTTTCCTGGAGCTCCTAGATAACTCCCAAGCATCACACTGTCCACGGACACGTGGGCCGCCTCCCAGGCTCTTGTGAGCCCAGCACCTGGTTTTTGCAGTCTTTTGTTTGGCTCTCCCACCCCCTTACACCCTTTGGGAACTGCTGAGTCAGATATACAGAAGAACAGTCACTGCGAGGGCTGTTAAACTCTCAGGAAAGGTACCAAAGTGCATGGCAGCGTTTGGCCCCAGTGAGCTGGAAAACACTTTCGTCTGGTCTTGAGATGTTTCCTGCAGCACAAGAGGTTGGCAGAGCAACCTCAGAACCTCTTCTGTCTCTGTTTATGCTTTTGTTCAGAAGCTTAGTACCAGGAATTAATCTCAGCTCCTTCCCAGAGGATTTTAGGCACACAGGGATCTTTTATTCTGCACTTCTCCAGTGATGCTTTCAACACAATTGTATCAAAACAGCCTAGGCTATTCACTTACAAGCCCTGCTTTTGCCCTGGGAATCTTAGCACCTCATTTTTTAGTAAGTACACTTGCAGATCCGGAGAGGGCAGGTGGAGGTATAATCCAGTGTCAGTCTGCAGTGGTGGGCCTGCCCTGGCCGTCTCCAAAGATGGGTGCTCTTCGGAACTGGCAGCCCCCTGCATGCTGTCTAATTGCCCCAAGAAAACAGTGACGTGTGTTTAGGAGCATGCTCCTGTTGGCCTCCATTTACAGGATCCTCTGTGTCAGAGGATCTCAGCCAGGCGTGATTTTGTTCACAAGGGACACTTGGCAATGCCTGGAGACATTTTGGTTGTCAAAACAGCAGGAAGGCAGACGTGCTCCTGTACCTATAGGTAGAGGCCAGGGCAGCTGCTCAGCACCCTAAGGTGCCCAGGACAGCTGCTCAGAGAATCTGTAGCCCAAAATGTCAACAGTGACCTGGCTGAGAAGCCCTGTCCCAGGTGGACCGCAGCATCCAGGGCATCCTGCGTGCTCGGCTTGCTCGTGGGTCCCTGCACACCCTGTGACTTCATTATCAGCTCAGAATGCACCTGGGGTTTGTTGTAGTGAGGGAAAGCTGAAATTGTTGCCAAAGGGGGAACTGTCTGCATCATCAAAGCTGCTTCTGTCATCTGTGTGAACATGCGCTTTTCTCTCTGCAGAACCTGAGAGCCAGAAGCAACAAAGATGCCAAGGATCCAACGACCAAGAACTCTCTGGAAAGTGAGTTCTGCATGCTGAGGTCTCTGTGTGCCCTCGTCAGGGAGGCTGCTGCTGGCAGAGGGGGCGTTGTGGAAAAGCAGACACAGTGCCCACTTGGGTCATCCCTTGGTGCCTTCCCTGTTCTCTCTTCAGATAGAGTGGGCACGAGGAAAGAACAGCTCAGGGAGGGCAGGGAAGGATACCATCAGGACCAGTTTGCCACCAACATTAGCAACAAGGTGCTGCTTAAATTGACTTAAATGTTATCCTGTTGACCCCAGTGGCCTCATAAGGAGGATTTTTTTTTTTTGAGGCGGAGTTTTGGCTCACTGCAACCTCCACTTCCCGGGTTCAAGTGATCCTCCTGCCTCAGCCTCCCGAGTAGCTGGGATTACAGGCACACACCACCACAGCCAGCTAATTTTTGTATTTTTAATAGAGATGGGGTTTCCCTCCGTATTGGTCAGGCTTGTCTGAACTCCTGACCTAAAGTGCCTTGGCCTCCCAAAGTGCTGGGATTACAGGTGTGAGCTACCGCACCTGGCAGTAACAAGGATTTTATTTTCTGTTTTTGCCAATGACAAGTTTGGTCATAAAGTAATCTGTGCAGAGCACAGGCTTTAAGTGGCTGGGCAGGAATTGAGTCCAGAGTTGCTGGGAAAGTGCTGTCAGGAATTGTCAGTCACTTCTTATTTTCAGTTGTTAGGGTGTTGTGAATAGTTACACTTGCAAAGAACAGCAGCCCCCGGAGCTTTGTCCTCCAAGCCTCAGTTTCCCTATCTGCAAAATGAAAATAGCGATGAGTGCCTTATGCTGGTTGTGGGAGTCTTGTGAAGAACATACTTGGCATGTCTCAGAACACACCTGAGCGTCTGTGCCTGGGACGGGCCACACTCACTGTCATCATGGAGAAGCACGGGTGGCTGAGGCTGGCCAGGGCTCCCACCATGCCAGGGAGTTGCTCCCACTGCAGTGGGGCTCATGTGCCTCTGGAGTCCGGGTGTCCTCGGGCAGGTCGCCAGAGAACCTGTCAAACCAAGAGTTGTATTGGCATCTGAGTAGGTTTCTGCTTGTCTCAGAGTCAGGTGTCTGAAATGTCCTGGGATCGATGGTAAGAGCAGCTAAGAGGTCTGCTCAGCTTACCCTCTGGGCTGGGGAGCAGGTCTCCCTCCAGAATTGGGGCCCACCCCAGCCCGTCCTTGCCAGGGTGGGTTCCCTGACCTCAGGCTAGAGGAGCAGCAGTGCTGAGCCTTTTCAGCTGTTGCCACCGAGCCAGCCATGCAGGCTCGGGTCTGACAGCCGCTCTGGACTCTGCATGCAGTGAATGTCCTGGACTTAAAGTGTTCCTGTTGGGTGCTCTAGCCTTGCCCTTGTCACTGCGCAGAGGGGAGATGGGGCCTGTGGAGGCTGGGGCAGCCCCCTCCCCACTCACCCTTGCACCGAGGGTGGTCAGGCAGCTGGTGTGCTTCTCCATGTGCAACCTCTCTCACCTCCCCTCTCTCTCCACAGCTCTGCTCTACAAGCCTGTGGACCGTGTGACGAGGAGCACGCTGGTCCTCCATGTAAGTCACAGCGCCCCTCTGGACCGGGACCAAAACTGCCCCCTCGGGCACACACAGCAACAATGTTCTGAGACCTTTTTTTAGTTGTCATAGCTGCAGCCAAGGGGGTGCTACTGGCATCTAATGGGTAGAGGCCTGGGGTGGTGTTGGACATTCTGTAGGGAAAGGACAGCTCTCTCTTGTCCCTCCACAAAGAGTTACTCCACGCAAAATGTCCACAGTGCTGAGGTTGAGAAACCCTGCCCTAGATCCTTACAGAGGAGTCCTTCTTGGCCATGTGCATGCAGCGTGAGTTTGCTGGAACACATGTAGGACCTGCTTCCAGGATGGTGCTCACACAAGCTCTGTCCACAAAGCTGGGGCCCAAGTGAGAGAGACTGTGGTGACACTGAGGGAGCCGGCGCTCTGGGCTCCGTCCACACTTTGTGTCTGCACTTTGCACACAGTGGCAGGTGCCAGTGCTCCTCTGTGTCTAACTCAAGTCTTTCTTCCTGGGGCAGGACTTGCTGAAGCACACTCCTGCCAGCCACCCTGACCACCCCTTGCTGCAGGACGCCCTCCGCATCTCACAGAACTTCCTGTCCAGCATCAATGAGGAGATCACACCCCGACGGCAGTCCATGACGGTGAAGAAGGGAGAGGTGAGTGTGGCAGGGGATGGCTTGGGTCCACCCATCCTGCTGAGCTGGGGGCATGCAGGGCCCCTCGATCTGAGGTCTGGAGCCCTTCCTGGTCCTCAGCAGACCTTGCCTTCTGGGATTGGTGAGATTGGCCGCACACTCAGTCCTGTGTGGAAGGTGTCTGGGTGCAGTCTCAGGGGTGACCCTGCAAGCACCATGCCCTCCAGGTGGCAGCCATCACCATGCCTCACTCAGCCACCTCTTTCCTTTTCTGTCATTGTGGGTTGTGTCCAGGGACCCCTTTTTTTTTATCCCCCACAGTCTTGCCAGCTCAGGCTCCCCAGCCAAGGAGACTTGTGCAAAGGAGGTGAGTAGGAGGATGGCATTTTGTCTGCCTGGAATCCTCCTACTTCCCCCTGAGTGCTTTCATTAAAAAACAGTTAACATCGGGTTTAAGGATTAGAAAGTGGGGTTCGTGGTTTGTGTCTGTGACGTGAGACTGGTTGAAGCACTTCACGTCTTCCTCCGGGAAGACTCTCCTTCCCCTTCCCCCCCGTCACTGATGTACTCTGTGTGCACATCATCGATGAGCAGGCATGGCCTGTGCCTGTGCCGCTCTGAGCCTTCCTAGGTGTGGCCTGGCACATAATGAGGCAGATGCATTCCCAGGCAGGTAGCAGCTACTGAGAACAGCCAAGGCGTGTAAGCTGGGGAGCCAGTGTCCAGGGGGAACAGCTTTTGTCAGAAGCAGCACTGAGGCGAGGGGAGCTGACCCCCGGCCTCAGGGGTCTCATGCAGGGACAGAAGCTGTCTGGCCCAGGCAGGACACAGGCTGGGCGTGAACCTGACTGTAGTTGCCTCAGAACCACCTCATGGCTGGGTGCGGTGGCTCACGCCTGTAATCCTAGCACTTTGGGAGGCCTAGGCGGGTGGATCAGGAGGTCAAGAATTCGAGACCAGCCTGGCCAACATGGTGAAACCCCGTCTCTACTAAAAATACAAAAATTAACTGGGCACGGTGGTGGGTGCCTGTAATCCCAGCTACTCGGGAGGCTGAGGCAGGTGAATCGCTTGAACCCAGGAGGCGGAGTTTGCAGTGAGCCGAGATCTCACCACTGCACTCCAGCCTGGGTGACAGAGTGAAACTCCATCTCAAAAAAAAAAAAAAAAAAAAAAAAGAGAACCACCTCCTTCTCTTTCTTCTGGTTCATGGGCCAGGTGGTCGGCACTGTACCAAGGACACGGGCCCTGTCCTCAGGGCCCCCAGGGTGGACCTGCCCAACACATGGGGCTTGCTTTCCTCCTCCTGCCCTGGGCCACCAGGCAGGCAGCTGTCAGCCCCATCTGCCACACACCACTTTGGGAATGGTACCCTGAGTGTCCAGAGTCTAATCCGAGTTGACCTTTAGTGAGGGACTTGGTCAGGTTTCTCCTGGTGGGCCTGGCCCAGGAAGGGCATGGAGGAGGAGGGAGCTGTCCCTTCCATTCCGCTCTCCGGCTTGTCCAAGCCCTGGAGCTGGGCAGACTCAGAGTCCCATGCCAGCATCGTGAGGACCGACCCACTGGGTGGCCTAGAGCTTCTCCCAACTGGGCCCATTCCTTGTCTTTGCAGCAGGGTGGGAACATGGCCCCACCTCATCGGGCACCTGGGCTGTCAAATGGGCATGATTTAGTGGCAGTCCTCGCCATCCGTGTTGGCTCCTTGGCAGTCTCTGAGCGCATTGAAGGCGGAAGTGGGTCCCCGGCACCTTCCAGTGGAGGCGTTGAGCAGTGCAAGTGTTCCCCAGCTGCTCATCCCATGGCTGGGACCTGGGAGTGGTGGGGGATCAGATCTTGCTTCTTGGAGCAACAACCGGGCCCTGCCCTTGGTTCTCTTCCCTGGCTCAGGGCCCCAGAAGGAGAGCAAACCTGTGACAAACCTGTGGGCAGTCCACACAGATCTAAGTGGATGTTGGATTTGCTTCTCCTAAGCCTCCACGTGCTGGGTGGGTTCCTGCCAGGTTCGCCCTACCCTCCTGAGATGCCTGCTCTTTCTCTTCTACCGACTATTCTTTTATGAGCGCTCTGACCTCCTGGGAAGTGAGTGTGGGCGTCCTTTTTCCCATGGCTTCTCCTGTGCCTAGTCTGCTCCCTGCAACTGCAGCTGCCATTTAGCATTCCTAGAGACAAGGAAGGGCCTTCTCAGTGCTCGGATCATTGGAATCCACTGCTTTGGGGAATTAAGGAAAACGCGATGTTGTCTAGAAGTTGACACCTAGGCCCTCGTTCCTGCATCCGTCCCCATGGGGGCCAACTTCCACGCTTACCCATGGTCATGTCTCGGGGCCACCAAGGAGGAAGTGTAATTTAAGAAGGGCTGGGTGCGGCTGGGCGCGGTGGCTCACACCTGTAATCCTAGTACTTTGGGAGGCCGAGGCAGGCGGATCACCAGGTCAGAAGTTTGAGACCATCCTGGCTAACACGATAAAACCCCATCTCTACTAAAAATACAAAAAATTAGCTGGGCGTGGTGGTGGGCACCTGTAGTCCCAGCTACTCAGGAGGCTGAGGCAGGAGAATCTCGTGAACCTGGGAGGCGGAGGTTGCAGTGAGCCGAGATTGTGCCACTGCACTCCAGTCTGGGCAACAGAGCGAGATTCTGTCTCAAAAAAAAGAAAAAAAAAAAAAAAGGGCTGGTTGCTTCACAAAGGCAGGGGCCTGGATCTGCATCCTCCCCAGGACCTCGCCCTGGTGGAGGGGCACTTGCTCATTGAGGAGGGGTCACCTGGGTGCCTTAGCTGCAAAGCAAGGTGGAGGACTAATGACTCTAGAAAAGTCACCGTGAGTCTGACCAGCACCCCTTCACTCAGAGCTTTCTATCCGAGGCACGTTAAGGGAGGTGGCTTGATGGTGGCTAAGGCAGGATGATAGATGCCTGTGCTTTGCCCCTGCCCCTGCCATTCCTGGGGCAGATGCTGCTGATCAGTTGGGCACTCCAAGCCTGGACATCCACCTCGGTATCCCCTGGCACTGCCCAACGGGTTTGCAGTCCTTGATGCAGAAAGAAAGATGCCAGATGGGCGAAGCCCCGTCAGGGTCCGCTCTCCCTCACTGCTACCAGTGTACTGATTTGGGGACACCCTTTTGCTTCCCTGGGTGTCCGTGCTCTCTGAGGGCAATGATGCAGGGTCCGTGGCCCCTCCACTGGGTGTTGAGACTGAAAAGGTTTCACAGCCTGCGAGGGACTTTATGAAAGTGAGGGGTGGTGGCCTGCCCGCATGCTGCCATCTGTGTCGGAGGTGACGGGCGAGCTCCCCTGACGACACTAGCCAGGAAAGGGGGGCAGAAGCTCCAGGCTACTTCCTCTTAGAATTTGCAGCCAGGGGCAGGGCCTGAACTTTTCTCAGTTCTGCCCATCTCTTAGTTTGGTACATGACATGGAGTGTCAAGTTCCCAAAGGGAGAAAGGGACTGTGCCTCTGCATTCTCATGACAGTTCTGTGGGGTCAGAGGTGATCTCCCTTTTACAGATGAGGAAACTGCGACTCAGAGAGGTTGAGTGTCTTGCCCAGTCACACAGCCACTAAGTAGCTAAGCCAGGATGCGAGTGAGGCCATGGGCCCCTGGCCGCCTGTGTGCCCCTCGGGTGTGTTACTCTTTGGTTCCCTTCCTCCTCTGTGAGCCGATAGGACGTTTCCACCCCTCCTCTTGTTCCTGCACTACCTGGAGGTAGGAAAGAGGAAGAGATGTCCCTTTTAGCTCCGCACACTACCCCATCCCCTGCTGCTGCTGCTGCTGCTGGGAGTGTGTCAAGGGGTTGGGGCTGTTTCTGTCTTCCCTGGCATTTGATGTCAAGAGGAAAGCTGCTTCTGTTGGCCTGGGTGTTTCGAGGTTCTCCTGCAGTCACTACTGGGCCTCCTGGGAGGTGGCCCATTGCTACCTGCTGAGCCTGGGCAAGTCTGGCATCGAGGAGAGGCCCAGGTATGAGCCCTCTGCAGGGTCAGCCACCCCAGCCCCAGACCCCCACTGTGGCTCCTATAATCTCATTGCCCTTTTCAGCCACATCCCATGGCTCCAGGGCTGTGCTCTTTGGGGAACAGTGACTTTGGGCTGCATTCCAGGTAGCTCCCTGATGCTGAACGGTGGCCGGCAGGTGCTCCAGCTTCCTGGCATCCTGGCCCAAGCACACCTGGGGGCCGTGAGCCACAGGTGCTGCCCAAGAGAATGCCCTCCTTAGCCTTCCCAAAATGACAGGATCAAAGGATCCCGCAGGCACAGTTTCTTTCCAGGCCTGGGTTCTGAGGGCTGGTGGGTGGCGCTCATTTGTTTAGGTGAATTAACTTCACAGTTAGATAACCAATCCCCACTGCTGGGTGACTTCCCACGTGGTTGCCTCTCTGTCTACTCGGAGCCTTGGCACCACGTGCTGCTCAGCACCCCCTCCGCCTGGGCTCGGAAGCATAGCGGACGATCCAGTTTGGATGTTCTGTTTCCCAAGAGCCAGCCAGGCATTGACCTCCAATACCCGTTCTCTGCCTGGGATTGCAGAGGCCCCTCTTTTAGGAAGAACACAGACAGCAGTCCAAACAGGAGCTGCAGGAAGGCCCTGGAGGAGGGAAGTACCACCAGTGCAGGCTTGAGGCTGAGAGATGGTGAGGCTCGGGCAGAGGAGAACCAAGGTCTTTCAGTTGATGATTAAAGAGTTGGAGAACAGGCTGGGCATGGTGGCTCACACCTGTAATCCCAGCACTTTGGGAGGCCGAGGCGGGTGGATCACTTGAGGTTAGGACTTTGAGACCAGCCTGGCCAACATGGTGAAACCCCGTCTCCACTAAAAATGCAAAAATTAGCCAGGCATGGTGGCAGGTGCCTATAATCCCAGCTACTCCGGAGGCGGAGGCAGGAGAATTGCTTGAACCTGGGAGGCGGAGGTGGCCATGAGCTGAGATCACGCCATTGCACTCTGCACTCCAGCCTGGGCAACAGAGTGAAATTCCGTCTCAAAAAAAAAGAGTTGGAAAACAGTTGGAGAAGCCAGACCCTGTTGGCAAAGTTTGCAAGGGGTGCTACGGAGAGGGAGGTGCCCACCCCAGGGGTGAAGACAGGATGGGTGGGGTTCTCAGCTCCACTGGACACCAAACAGAAGCTGTAAGTGCAAGGCTAGTGCCCATGTCGAGGGCTGGGCCTTTCTGGGCCCTTCATAAACATTGGCAAACAAAGCTTGGGTTCTCGGCTTGTCTGGGCCAAGTTCTAATTCCTTCCAGGAGCGTGGGCACGTTGCTTACCTCTTAGCTGTTTCTTCTCCAGGAAGTGGTGGAGCTGGAGCCTGCTGCATGGGAGGGTTCTGTGGAGTGAGATGAGATGTTTTACGTCATGCTCTTTTCACACCTTCTTGGCACCCAGAAAGAGCTCAGCAAACATTAGCTGCTACCAGCCACCCTGACTGTGGCTGTCAGCCAGCATTGTTCTTCCCAGGCCCTGCCCTACCCTCCTCCTGGCATAGTGTCTCTCAGGGCATAGGAAACTTTCTCGGCCAGATTGGCCATGGGAGGCTTTCTTGGGGACCAGAGAGTCTGCAGGGAGGGCAAGTCAAGAGCAGGTGAGAGGGAGGGAAGGGCGAGCAGGACCCTTGACCTCATTCTCGGCTGCAGTGTATATTGGCCTGCCTGGTGACCCTCCTTGCTCCTGGTCCCACTGCCAAACCTCTGGAGTCTGCCACATCCCTGCATAGACAGGGCCACTGACAGGCAGTGGCAGCCAGTTCAGTGGCACTCAGCCAGGTCTCCAGGGGTGTGCGCTTTGCTCTGGGGGCAGGGTAGCGGGGGCTGAGGCCACTGGCTGCCTCCAGGGCCCCCCCACCAGCCAGCAGCTGGAAGCTCCACCTTGGTCTTCACTTGGGCCGTCTTCCTTCTCCACTTCCTCAGCTGCTATGTGGGCTTCTTTGGCAACTTTTCCTTGTCTCACCAGTCAAGGCCCTGCTGATTTGTTGATGATCAGACTGTAGTTCGTGTACCTGGGGAAGTTTTCCAGCATCTCCATGGAGCCATGGTCTCTGATTCCTGGAGCATGTCGTAGTCGGTTCAGGCTGCTGTAACAAAGTATCATCTGCTGAGAGGCTCACACACAGGCCTTTACCTCTCACAGTGGTGGAGGCTGGAGATCCGGCAGGGTGCCAGCAGGGTCAGGTTCTGATGAGGGCAGTGAGAAGCACGGCCACCCTCCCACTGTACCCTCACATGGCCTTCCTGGGAGTGGACATGGAGAGAGAAAAGGACCTCTCTTTTTTTCCTTCTTATGAGGACACTCATCCCATCACATGGATTCCACCGCATGACCTCATCTACACCTACTCACCTCGCAAAGGCCCCACCTCCAGATACCAGCCCATTGGAGTTAGGGCCTCAGCATAAATTCTGAGGGGGACAGAAACTTTCAGCCCTAACAGTATGCTTCTTCCAGACTGGCCTTCCTGGGAAGGCCCTGGATAGGCTGTGCCTGGGGTTGGGGGTGATGTTGCACTGGCAACAGCTGGAGGAGGCAGCTGGCCTGGGGGAAGTCCCCTTAGCAAGGAGGTGCCCCTCCTCACTCCCACCAGCCTGATGCGACCCCCTCCTCAGAAGACAGGGCACATAATGTGACCTCACAGGGCCTCAGTTTCCTTGTGTGTAGAAATCAGGGTTATGGTGCCTGCCTTGTAGAGTCCTGGTGAGGAGTGAGTGGTGTGATTCATGGGAAGCTGTGACTGTCACATTCCCACCTGCAGAGGACATGGCGAAGGGTGACAGCCCCGTGTGAGGCCCTGCAGGTCGCAGTTTCATTTAATCCTCAGAACATACCACCAGACTGGTCTTTCTCACCCCATCATGTTTAAGGAAACAGAGGCTCCAAGAAATGGAGGAGCATAGCCAGCATCATCGTCACAGAGAAGGAGAAGGGTGGGCTCGGGACAGTGAAGATGCAGGCTGTCCTGGCCACCCTTGCTTTCTGCGGGCTCCTGTGGGGATGATGATTTTAGTTATTCAAGAAGACAGGTGGCGTTTCTTCCAACTGGTGTTTCCCACCTGGGATGTGGGGGGGCTCCCCAAAGGGAGTGTTGTCCTGCCAACTGGGGCCTGCTGTCCCACTGCCCTGCCCCGCTCTGAAGCACACACAGGGACCCATGCCCACACGGGGTTACTTGCACCAGGACACACACAGGCCTGACACGCACAGGACATGCCCTTGCATGGGAACACACACACAGAAACATGGAGATGCACACAGTGAGACACACGGGCACACACCTACCCAGGCCACAGGCCTGTGTGGGGTTCCACGCACGAGGGCACGCTCAGGCACTCACACTCACACAAGAATGAACACACCTGGAAACATGGAGACACACAGGGACACACAGACGCAGAGCACATAGGATCTTCCCCTGTGCCCTTTTCATACACAGACTCCCATGGCCCCGGGGAGCCAAAGTGTGGTACCGTCCCTGTCCCGGGGCCACTGAGGCCCTGGCCCTCTCTGTCCCACAGCTCCAGCTGGGACTGTTTGCCCTAGTTGAGATGCTGAGCCTTGGGGACAGTGGTTTCCAGCCACGTGGCCTTATGCCGGCTTTGGGATGCAGTCAGGATTGTGACCCCGGCCCACCCTTGCCGTGTGCCCTGGAGGACGACTCGGGTGGGCTATGCAGGAAGCCTGTGCTGATCTCAAGGCCAACTGTCCTGTACTCCAGGCCGGGGACCAGGCTGCTGAGCGCTTCCGAGAGGGACATCTCCTGGGCAGGGAGTGACATAGGCCACGCCATGTGGGCCTCCCAGCCATGTGCTGGTGCTGTGTGGGCTGGGAGGGCAGGCAGGGGCCGAGTGACGGGGACTGCAGAGCGGGGCCTGAGATGCTGTGACATGCTGGGCTGCCTGTGGCTTTCGGGCTTCTCTCAGATGAGAGTTGCACAGGTGGGTGGGGGGTTGGGGAGTCTGTGGCAGCATCAAAAGAGTAGCCCAGAAACCGCCGAGTCCACTGTTCGAGCCTCCCGGGCCTGCAGCCCGCACCCCAGAGGGGCCACTTCCTCCCCACAGTCAGGCCTGTGTGTCCTCTCAACGTGGCAAGCCGGCATGTGGGTGCTACAGGTCCCCAGTGTGACACTCAGTAGCCTTGCTGAAGGCCGAGGGTGCCCCTTAGGTGGGTTGTGGGCAGCCTCTGCTGGAGAGGGAGCTGCGTTTCTTGACCGCAGGCAGAGTGGGCTGGGTCTGCAGTTTCTGAGCTGAGCATGGGGTGCCCTCTGCTGGTGATGGCGAGAAGCTCACTGCCTTTGTATGGAGAAGGCTGCCATCCAGCCCCGCCACTGCCCCAGAAGGAAGGCGCCTGAGACCCCTCCTCCTTGGCCGGGAGGCCCTTTGCTGTGTCCCTGCCAAGAGGACCTACTGCAGTCCTTCCCGAAGGACCTCAGTGTCCTGGGACCCTACCCAGATCTGGTCCCCACTGCAGACCCAGCAGTTTGGGTTACCCGGCTTCAGCGCTCCAGCTCTACATGATGTTTCTCCAGGTGCACATGCTGTTTCTTGCTTCCCGTGGGTGCCGTCACCAGGCAGCCGTCTGCCCTCGGCAGGCGGGGTGTGGGTGAGTGCCGATGAGTCATGGCCTTGGCACGCCGGCAGCCTTCCTACCCTTCCACTTATGGGCACCAGCAGCCCCTGCGTAATTCATTGGTTCCCCTTCGCAAGAGCCGGCTGCCTGTCGTGAGCCAAGCTGCTTATGATGGTGACATGAAGCCTCCACCTCTGAGAGTGTCGGAGGACTGGCCCAGGCTGTTCTTGCAAATGGGGAGCTCTGTTGCCTCCGGCCCCAGAATGGGGGAAAAGTTCAGAGAGACCGAGGCTCCCCGAGAAGAACCTCAGGCTGCAGGTGACAGCAGGGCAAGGTGCCTGGTCTGGCCCCAGGACCAGCCTGGCTCCCTGAGAGCACAAGGCCTCATCACTTCTCGAGATGAGGACAGGTGCACCGCCTGCGGGGAGACACTGGGTTTTCACACTCTCTGTTGTATGTGCCTCCCCTGCCAACCCTTCTGACTCTCAGTGCAGGGCGGGCGTCGTCCTCCCTGTGAGCCTTCCCTGAGACCAGGTGGGCTGGGTGCCCACTAAACACTTGGCCTCTCTGCCACGAGGTTGTGGACTCCTGAGGGTAGAGGCCTGTGAATGTTACCCCTCTCTTTCTGCGCTGCCTGGGACAGAGGGTGGACCTCCCTGAAGCTCTGTTTTCTCATTAAGGACCTGCCTACAGCCTGTTGTGGGGATTGGGTCAAATAATTCAGGCGATGTGCTCGTGCAGTGCGCTGGTCCCAGCGTGGGGAAGGCTTGCTGCGACAGCCTCTCCTCCTGTCCCTGTACCCTCGGCACAGCGCCCAACCCTGTGAGGTACCAGGCAGGGGTGACTTACCTAGACATGCCCATTCAGCAGCCCCTTGAGCAAGAAGGACCGACCCTTGCCTTTCAGATGCAGACCAAGATGCAGAAAGGCACCCTTCTCAGGCCGCAGGTGTCCAGGCAGGTGTCAGAGGTGCAGCCCGTGCACACCGGGGACCCTATCCATCCTGTCTAGTTGGGAGGACTAGGAGTTCCACATGTGGGACCCTCAGTTCCTGCTGCCTTCAGAACCAGGCCCAACCCTTGCTGTGACCTCGAGGGCTGCCACTTTTCAGAGTGCACTGGGCCTGTCTCCACCCATAGACCATACTGCCACATCTGTACCTCGGGCACCAATCTCTCCCCACCACAGGGGCCTGTGCCTGAGATGGTCCCTCTACAGAAATACCTGCTCCTGGCATGGCTGGCTTCTTGCCAATTCTGGATCTCCAGCTGCCACCCCAGAGAGGCACTGGCTTCCCTGTTTAAAGAGGGTCCCCCCATCACCCATCTTCACAGCAGACTGTTTGCTTGGCTGTGTGCCCCTTCAGACCCACACCCATTACCTCCCCCTCTCCCCCATCCTCCCACCCTCTTCCAAAGGCTGAACACACAGGAGGGATTGGGAAATTTGTTGAACAAAGAAGTTACACATAAGCCCTGATGTGTTAGCAGGACAGTGAGATGAACAAAACGTTCTGGAAAGTGGGTGTGAGGGTCAGATGTGGAGGGAGTGAAATCTTCCCAGGGAGAGAATGTCTCTGGGTCAACCTGCTCCTGCTGGGCTGGGAGGGCCGAACACCCCCCACCCATCACCCCAGGCTGGCCCTGACCCCAGCCTTCCCTGTGCCTGCAGCACCGGCAGCTGCTGAAGGACAGCTTCATGGTGGAGCTGGTGGAGGGGGCCCGCAAGCTGCGCCACGTCTTCCTGTTCACCGACCTGCTTCTCTGCACCAAGCTCAAGAAGCAGAGCGGAGGGTGAGTGACGATGTGGCCCCTGTCCCAGCAGTGACCCCACCCTGACTCTCCAGGTCATGGAGGGTCTTGTCATGGCGGAGGTCAGTGGTGATGTAGCTCGTTACATTCCGTTTCTACTTGGGCACAATGCCAGGCTCCAGGTTAAAGATTGTCACTAGCAATCTGGAGACGTCATGGGGCATCAGGGTGACCAGCTTTGACTCCTGTAGTGAGGGGTAAACCCGACCGTGGCTTCCGGCACTATTGCAGAAAGGTCACCTCAGGACCCATCCGGGAAGCGTGAGATCAGGGGCTGCAGGCAGTGCTGGGTGGTGGCTGCTCCTTGTCTCCCCGAGCCTGGTGGTGGCTTTCCGAGTTATCCTCGGCATAGGCGTGCACACACTCCCCTCCTCCCTCCTCCCTGGGTTCACCCAGGTTGCACCAGGTTGGAATGGAGCAAAGAGGGCCACACTGGGAAGGACCAGCACGGGGCTCTTTCCTGCATCCTGCCGTTGCCCTGCTGAGTGGGTTTAATCAGTCAACTCAGAGGAGAGCCTTAGTTCCCCCATCTGTCAGGCGAGGGGATGACGCCAGCTAGATCTGTAGTCCCTCAAACTTTACGGCCCTGGGGGTGGATTTCAGTCCTGTCCTGTCATTGTGCAGCCTTGATGTGCTCCCACATGAGCCTTCAACCTTAGAGCCAGCTCAGGACAAGGTGGATCTAGACTCCTGAGATGCCTGGGGCCTGCGGTCACATGTTCAGAGTGTCTGTTCCCAGGAATCCTGGCACCTGCCAGTGGCCTCATCCCAGTCTGTCCCATGGAACACGTGCTGGGTTTTAGGTCAGGTAAACCATGTATGGCCGAGAACACTGGCTCTTGGGCTCTTGACAGCAGTGACATCAGCCATAGAAGGCAGTCGGTGCATGTGAACGTTCTTCTCTCCCCATCCCCAGCAAAACGCAGCAGTATGACTGCAAATGGTACATTCCGCTCACGGATCTCAGCTTCCAGATGGTGGATGAACTGGAGGCAGTGCCCAACATCCCCCTGGTGCCCGATGAGGAGCTGGACGCTTTGAAGATCAAGATCTCCCAGATCAAGAATGACATCCAGAGAGAGAAGGTGCACACCAGGGGAGCAAGGGCCGGGTTTGGTGTGGTCAGAGTGGCAGCAGCCCCCGCACACGGCCAGTGGGTGCTTTCTCCGTCAGGCCTCTGGGCCCCAGGTCTGGTCTCTGGGACCCCTGTAAGCTCTCAGCTCTTGGAGGGCTGGGCATCTGGGCACAACTAGGTGTCCAGTTGTTCTGAGAACCCCCAGCTAAATGGGGAGCACCATACCAGAGCGGCTGCCAACCCAACCCTCCAGAAAAATGAAGGGAACTGGTCGTGGTCTCTACAGTGCGCCTTTCACGGGATACTTCTTAGACCTGGTGGACTGCCTCATGCTTAGTTGTCTGACCTGTGACCAGGGGTCCCTCACGAGAGAAACTTGTTTAAACTGTGTCCAGTTTATGCCCACCTGACCATTGCTGTGGCACTGGGAGCCTGATTTTGTGTTTTCACTGGCATCCCCGGGGAAAACTTAACCTAGGCAAACACCTCCTAGTTTTTCGGAAACACAGCACCACAATAGGAAACAAGTTCAGAGATTTTACCTACAGGTTTTGGACAAGGAGGTGCCATGAGTAGGGAGGGCAGTCTTCTGTCCCTGGGTCATGCAAGGCAGAAATGAAGAGTTAGCGCATGACAGCTAGCAGTATTTATAAGGGAACAGGGTGTGATCACTTTAAGTTCACAGGCAAATGCCTGGATGGTCCTTTTAAGGAAGCAGCAGGAATGCGGGAGCTCAGTCAGCCGGGCGGGAGAGAGGCTTCCGGGTTCTCACCTCTGGCCACAGGCTTGAGCTGTTCAAGTGTGTGGTCTCCTGATACCCAGGCTGCGTCCTTTGCCGTGTGGTTCCATTACATGGGTGAAGTACTGAGTCACCAGAGAGAAAGTCACAGCCAGACAGTGGAGGGCTTGGAGTAGTCCAGGATGCAGGGTTGGGGGAGGTGCTGGCTGTCCCCCATACAAGCTACCCTGATGGGGCCCAGGCCCAGGTGGCAGTGCCACCCCTCTAGGTGTTCAGGACTACCTGCCCTTGGTTTTTTCCAGAGATGTTTGAAGACTGTAAAAATGGTGAGGACAAGCCCCTCAATCAAAGGTTAGCCAGGCCAGAGGAGGCGGGTGGCATCAAGGTTAGGCCTGGGTCCAGGTATGCCCAGGTAGGGTGGACGCAGCAGGACAGGAGGTCCTCAGCCCTTGCCCAGCTGCCCAGCCTGCTGTACCCAAACCCAGCACACTTAGGAACACAGGGAGCTTCAAGACTGGGGTGAACATTCTATTGTCATCCTTGTGGGACTGTGACCTCCAGGGTAGGGTGTCCCCACACAGAGTGGGAGCCAGTGCTCAGGGCAGCTGAGCCCTATTGACTGTTACTGTTGCATTCTCCATGTTCAGCTCTTTGGGGGATGGGATGGGGTGGGGCCCTACCTGGTGACAGGCAGCACAGTTTTCTCCTCCCCAGGGATAGTGGCTTCTAGAGTGAAACCCATGGCTCAGCATAGGAAGGGCCTTCCCATCCAGGTTCTGTTGACGGTCGTCTGGTCTTCTGCTGGCATCTCCACAAACATGCCCAGGGGCCCGATGCTGAAACCTAGTTGGATTAGGAAGAGGGTGAGGGACCCTGTAGGTCACAGCAGCCTCCTAGACATTGTCTGAATTTGGGAAAATGAAAGGCAGGGATGTTGGTAAAAGTTTCTTCTCTCCGCCCTTGTGAGAGGAAAGACTTAATTCCTCCAAAAAAGGTTTACTGAGCATGTCCTGCAGCTTATGCCATGCCTTGACCCTGTAAAAAAGCTGTTTCTGTCCTCCAGAGGCCACCAGCAACTGCGGTCTGGGGCCCTGGTCTGTGCTGAGTGGAGAGATGGGATTCTTGCCCTCTGCAGGCTGAATGCAGCTGGTGGTGGGGATGGATGGAATGGGAGTGGGTTGTGTGGAGCGCTGGAATGGGAAGGTGAGGCTGTGGCATCTCCCCACAGAGGGCGAACAAGGGCAGCAAGGCTACGGAGAGGCTGAAGAAGAAGCTGTCGGAGCAGGAGTCACTGCTGCTGCTTATGTCTCCCAGCATGGCCTTCAGGGTGCACAGCCGCAACGGCAAGGTGAGCGCCTGCTGTTCCGGCCCCTCCTGCTCTCCTGGCCTGGGATGGGCTCCTGGTTGCCTAATGGCAGTGCGTTTTCACTTGGATGCGCCCCACTCTGAGAGAGGCATGTCCGGCATGGTGCATGCAAGCACGCACATTCCTTTGTCTGGGGCTTTGGGCTGTAGCCCCCAGGTTGAGTGGCAGCTGGCTCAGCTCCCACAGCTGGGAGTGGACAGGGTCTCCAGGGAGGGTATAGGGCAGGGGAGCCTAGCAGGTTTGTGCAGATCTGGCCCTTGGTACAGGGATGCTGTCCTGGGGCCTTGAGGGCCAGAGACACACCTTCTGTCCTGAGTCTGGCTCCTGCTGCCATCTGTAACCTGGGCCTCTCCCTCCTGTCAATACATGTCTGTCAATGTCCAGAATGGCTTGTTTTCTAGCCTGACCAGGAGAGGCAGCTGGTGGGCTCTGCAGAAGCCTCACCTCTGGGCTAGTGTGGGGCTTGTGAATTGAATGCAGGAGGTCAGGTCTGGATCAACGTTCACCTCTGCAGATCCCACCTGGTTACCTCCATGTCCCTAAGCTGTGCCCCTCTGCCAGCATCACACCCTGACCCATGTAGTTCGGGTGAGAGATGGTGTGCCAGAGGTGCTGTGGCACCCAGCTGGCAGGAAGGGTAGGGAGTGCCGGAAGCGACATGCCAGGCCGTGAGCACACCTGGCCACTGGGCTCCAGCCGGCTGGAGATACGAGTTGTGTGCTCTAAGGTGCCCCGGGCCTACCAGGCATTTGCGTAGCCAGGGCGGAGATAACTGGGTGTGTTCTTCTTGCCCACCCTAGAGTTACACGTTCCTGATCTCCTCTGACTATGAGCGTGCAGAGTGGAGGGAGAACATCCGGGAGCAGCAGAAGAAGTGTGAGTATCCTCTGTCCTGAGAGGGGCTGGGCTTCAAACCATTAGGGCCAGGCTGGCAGCTCCTGTGGTTTTAAACCTTCTTTTTTATTTCGAGGGGTTTTATCCAAGTGAAGTGTTGCATGGAGGGCTAATTTAGAAAAGAAGTTGGCGACAGCCATCCCGATAGGCCCCCAGCCCTCTTGTTCCCCTGCCAGCCTATCCTGCCCCCATCACCTGGGCACTCATTTCCCCACTGCCCTGTGATCCCCTGTGAATCCCCCTTCCCCAGGCCCTTTCCAGATTCCACACCTGCCCCTACACACACCCCTGCCATCTCCCCCTAGTCTGCTGCCCATACACCGCACCCCCGGCCTGCCCCCTAGTCCTTTCTGGGACCCTGCCACCACCCCATTTTCTTGGCCTCCCCCATTTCTCCTCATCTACTCCCCGCCCCCTGGGCCTTCCCTGCCCCAGCAGGTGCTGATGCTAAAGGGGCCTTTGGCTGGGCCCACTTGGGCATTCACACTGTGCTGGCCCCACTGCCCTGTTCATATGGCCGGGGTTGCCCGCTCTCAGCTCAGGGGCGCTCCCTCCTGTCTGGGGCAGCCCCTTCCTTCTCTGGGCACTTCCCTCTGTCAGGGCGCTCCTTCCTTCGGGTCCTGCCTGGCAGTGTCGGTGGGGAAGGCAGACCCGGTTCCCTCCTTGGAGGTTTGGGATTCACCCTGAGCTGGGGCTCTGCATGCCTCTGGCCTGGCCTGACCTCCCGCGCCCTCAGGCTCATCATTCTCACCTATGCAGAGCCACCTCTCGGCCCCCAATGCCACCGTGGCCTGGGGGATCAAGGATCTCCGGGCAGCCCTGCCAGTGCTTGTGTCCCAGGGTTTCCTGTCATAACATAGGAGCCCCAGCCATTTCCAGAGTGGCAGCCTCTGTTCCCTGTTCAGCATTATGCCCAGAAATAAGCCCCTTTTCCTCACCTGGTGGAGAAACGGGGGCCTGTGTTAGCAGAGGACGGGCAGAGCCATGCTGCTGTCTGTATGGGGAGACCTCACAGGGAGGTGCTCCCAGTCCAGCCACTCATTCTCAGACCTGCCTTGTGGCTGTGCTTAGGTAGCGTGGGATGTGTGTGTTTGTAAGTCTCATGCTAAGACTCCTCCAGGCCTGGGCTCTCCAGGGCCACACCTCACTCTGCCGCCAGACCAGCACTGCACTTGAGAGCCAAGTGCCCTCTCCTGAGCCCCCAAGCCCTGGCACCAGTTCTTGCCGTGCCCCTTCCCCAGGGTGTGTGGTGGAGGTCCAGTGGGAGGGGCCAGAGGGCCAAGGAGCAGATTGACCAATTGGTGCACCTCTTTTCCAACCTCCCAGGTTTCAGAAGCTTCTCCCTGACATCCGTGGAGCTGCAGATGCTGACCAACTCGTGTGTGAAACTCCAGACTGTCCACAGCATTCCGCTGACCATCAATAAGGAAGGTGGGCCCCCCCGTTTCCGTGTACAGGGCACCTGCAGGGAGGGCAGGCAGCTAGCCTGAAGGCTGATCCCCCCTTCCTGTTAGCACTTTTGATGGGACTAGTGGACTTTGGTTCAGAAGGAAGAGCTATGCTTGTTAGGGCCTCTTGTCTCCTCCCAGGAGTGGACAAGGTGGGTTAGGAGCAGTTTCTCCCTGAGTGGCTGCTGCTGGGTGGTTGAGGAGATGCACGGCTTCTGTTCCTAGTCACAAGGCTGCAGCAGACGCTCCTCAGATGCTCTGTGCCTTGGATCTGGCCCCACTCCCGTCCTCCCAGCCCTCCTCTCCTCCAGCTACCTGCCAGCCGGCACTTTTGGTCAAGCTGTTTTGCATTCACTGTTGCACATATGCTCAGTCACACACACAGCATACGCTATGCACATGTGTCCACACACACCCCACCCACATCCCACATCACCCCGACCCCCTCTGCTGTCCTTGGAACCTTATTACACTTCGAGTCACTGGTTTGCCTGTATTGTGAAACCAGCTGGATCCTGAGATCCCCAAGACAGAAATCATGATGAGTATGTTTTTGGCCCATGACACTGGCTTACCTTGTGCCAGGCAGATGGCAGCCACACAGTGTCCACCGGATGGTTGATTTTGAAGCAGAGTTAGCTTGTCACCTGCCTCCCTTTCCCGGGACAACAGAAGCTGACCTCTTTGATCTCTTGCGCAGATGATGAGTCTCCGGGGCTCTATGGGTTTCTGAATGTCATCGTCCACTCAGCCACTGGATTTAAGCAGAGTTCAAGTAAGTACTGGTTTGGGGAGGAGGGTTGCAGCGGCCGAGCCAGGGTCTCCACCCAGGAAGGACTCATCGGGCAGGGTGTGGGGAAACAGGGAGGTTGTTCAGATGACCACGGGACACCTTTGACCCTGGCCGCTGTGGAGTGTTTGTGCTGGTTGATGCCTTCTGGGTGTGGAATTGTTTTTCCCGGAGTGGCCTCTGCCCTCTCCCCTAGCCTGTCTCAGATCCTGGGAGCTGGTGAGCTGCCCCCTGCAGGTGGATCGAGTAATTGCAGGGGTTTGGCAAGGACTTTGACAGACATCCCCAGGGGTGCCCGGGAGTGTGGGGTCCAAGCCAGGAGGGCTGTCAGCAGTGCACCTTCACCCCACAGCAGAGCAGATTTGGCTGCTCTGTCGAGCTGGATGGATACTACTTTTTTTTTCCTTTCCCTCTAAGTGGGGGTCTCCCCCAGCTACTGGAGCTGTCAGAACAGTGAAGGCTGGTAACACATGAGTTGCACTGTGTAAGTTTCTCGAGGCCGGGCGCAGTGGCTCATGCCTGTAATCCCAGCACTTTGGGAGGCTGAGGCAGGTGGATCGCTTGAGCTCAGGAGTTGGAGACCAGCCTGACCAACATGGTGAAACCCTGTGTCTACTAAAAATACAAAGATTAGCCGGGCTAGGCAGTGGGCACCTGTAATCACAACTGCTTGGGAGGCTGAGGGAAGAGAATCGCTTGAACCCAGGAGGCGGAGGTTGCAGTGAGCCGAGCTTGTGCCACTGCATTCCAGCCTGGGCGACAGAGCAAGACTCCGCCTCAAAAAAAAAAAAAAAAAGTTCCTAGAAACAGCAAAATGTGGAGACAGAAAGCTTACCAGGGATTGTTGGGGAATGGGGTTGGGAGAGAGGACTAACTGCAGATGAACCCAAGGGGGACTTTTTAGGTGAGAGCAGTGTCGTGAAAAGACTGTGGTGCTGTTTGCGCTCACATTTACATTTCCTAAAATTCTTTAAACCCTACACTTGGAATGGATGAATTACATGACATGCAGATTGCACCTTCATAACATAATCTTTCTCCTGGGCCCCTGTCTCTGGCTGCCTCATAAACGCTGGTGTTTCCCTCGTGGGCCTCCCTGCATCCCTGCATCTCCTCCCGGGTCCTGTCTGTGAGCAATACAGCGTGACACCCTACGCTGCCCCGTGGTCCCGGGCTTGTCTCTCCTTGCCTCCCTGTTACCTTTCTTTCTATCTCTTCCTTGCCCCGTGCACTCAACCTTGCATCCCCAAACCAAACCTATTATTCATGGACCCCAAACTTGTTCCTCTTATGTCCTGTCCCTTTGAGGGGCACCACCATCCACCCGCATGGCCAAGCCAGAAACCGTGGTCTGCTCTCCCTCCGTTAAATGCCATTCTCCATCAGTGAGGCTTCTTAGTCATCTCTGGCTGCCTGGCCAGGCCCTGGCTGTGGCCTCCTCCCTGGTCTTTGTAGCTCTGGATATCCCTGCAGAAAGGGTCCCCACTACCAGGCCTCTCCATCCCCAGTCTCAGGTAGTTTTTCTAAAATGCAAACCCCACCCTGCAACTTACCGCCCACAGCCCAGCCCACTCTTCTCCAGGCCTCGCCTCCCTCCCTTCCCCCTGCACCCCACGACTTCTCCAGCACTGAGCTGCTTCCTGTGCCCCACAGTGGCCTGGAGTCCCCTTTGCCTTAACTCTTTGCCCCATAGTACAGCGGGGTCTGCTCTGATTGTAGGGGCTTCCCACATCCCCCAGGATGGCTGCCCTCTGCTGTGGCATCACTGTGTAACAATGGCGTGTACACCTCTCTGTCCCCACCAGTGCAGGGCCCTTCTCATCGTAGGGGCTTTAGCTGGGGTTTGTGGATCGACTGAGTGAACGAATGTTGTGGGAAGTCCCGTTTCCCAGCCGCACCCAGGGAAATTCCACAGAGCGGGCAGGGGCATCGCATGAGGTGCTGGTGTTCACGCCAGACCACAATTAGGTGTTTAATTTTTAAAAAGAAAGTTACAACCTTTTTTTTTTATTTTTATTTTTTCTGATTCTGCAAATAACACCTGCTCTTACAGACCATGTGGGTGATGTGGAAAAGACCTGTGACCTTCTCCATGTCCACTTCTCCCCACAGATCTGTACTGCACCCTGGAGGTGGATTCCTTTGGGTATTTTGTGAATAAAGCAAAGACGCGCGTCTACAGGGACACAGCTGAGCCAAACTGGAACGAGGTGAGGAACTGATTCCACAAGGGCCCAGCCTGCCAGGTGGGGCACAGGATATTTTCCACTGGAGATAATCTAAACCTTCAGGGGCTCCCTGAGGGCTTCCCCCGAAGGCAGTGCTGCTGAATTCCAGGAATCTCCTGGGGGGCCAGTAGGTGACGTGTCCAAGAGATTTTATCTCCTTGTTCCTGAAAACCTTACCCATCCCTGTCATCACAAAGAAGCCACCTATTTTGCTGGAGAAGTGTTTGGAAAGAGACTTAAAAAGGCTTTTTGTCTGCCTTTGTTAGCGCTTATGTTTACTTGGTAGGTTTCCATAGTGTTTTTCCGCAGAAGTTGGAATGAGCTCCCGTGACCCTCTTGGCTTCCGGAAGCCTGGGGCTCTGCTGGTGGGGCTGGGACAGGGACTGTAGGGTCCTGCTTGCTTGTCTCGGGGTGTTGGGTTTGTATTGTGTGTCGCCGTGCCTTCCTCCACCTTGGAGAGCTGCTGTGTGAGTCACTTAGCCATTTGGCCCTGCACCTTCGGGAGTAGGGGAATGATTGCAGAGAGGCCCGTATTGACTAAGTCCCAGATCCATGAGAGGTGCCATTTCCCAGCTTCTGCAGCAGCTGTGACCTCGAAGGTCTCATTCTTGATGCTGCAGGTAGAGGCCAGCTGGGCCTGCAGAGAGCTGCCTCCCACCCCTGCTCCTGCGAAGGAGGAAGCCAAGAGCCCCCAGGCTGCTTGGTCTACACGGGTCACGAGGCTGGTGGATGGAGCAGTGGGGCTGGAACCCAGGTCTCCTTTCTCAGCATCCACTACTCTTTGATCATTTTAGACATGTTGCTTGAATAGTACAAGGGCACAAGGAGCTCAGTAAAATAACCTGGTCATTGTAGCTCTGGACATCCCTGCAGAAAGGGCTGAGTGGCAGCTGTGATGAGAGGGGGTATAAGAGCCACAGGGGATCCATCGAAGAAGCCTTTGCAGAGACCAAGAGTGCCACGACCCAGCAGAGACAACAAGAGAGGGTGCCAGGCAGTGTGCAAAAGGTTCAGGTGCCAGGCAGCCACGGAAGCTCCGGGGAGGCATGAAGACATGAGGGTTAGATTGTAGCAGGTCACGTCCACCACCCTCACTGTCCATGAAGATCTGGACTTGGGGACACTCACATGTTCCTGGCGCACACACACACCCACCCCCTCCCCTATTCAGGTTCAGAAATTCCTGCTGCTTGCTTCTTCCCGCACCCTCCTCCATTTCCCCGCCAAGAAGCCATGCGCGCACACGCCTCGGTGTGAAGCGCAGATTCACCAACAGCACCGTCAGGGTGATGGAGGAGAGAGTTAACACCACGCACCCACGGCAGACAACTGGAGAGCTCGGGGAGCAGTTTTTCCTCCAAGTCCCTCTCCCTCCTGTATCAACCCCAAGGATCACTCTTTTGTTTCCTTTTAGATATAATTCATTTTTTAAAGAGCGGTTTTAGGTTTGCAGCAAAATGGAGCAGAAAGAACAGAGTTCCCATGTACCTCCTGCCCCCCATCTCAATTATGGACATCCCACTCCAGGGTGGGACATGAGTTACAGTTGATGAGCCTGCATTAACCCATCATTACCACCCAGAGTTCATAGTTGATGTTAGGTAGGGTTCATTCTTGGTGTTACACATGTTATGTGTTCTGACAAACGTGGAATGACGTGTATCCACCATAATAATATCTTACAGAATAGTCTCACCGCCATAAAAGTGAACCTGCATCGACAGATCATTATCTTTCAGAGTCCATAGAAATATCTTTTTTTGAGGGAGAGTCTCACACTGTTGGCCAGCCTGGAATGCAGTGGCATGATCTTGGCTTACTGCAGCCTCCGCCTCCCGGATTCAAGCAATTCTCGTGCCTCAGCCTTACAAGTAGCTGGGATCACAGGCATGCACCACCACGCCATACTATTTTTCGTATTTTTAGTAGGATGGGGTTTCGCCATGTTGGCTAGTTAGTCTCGTACTCCTGGTCTCAAGTGATCTGCCCACCTTGGCCTCCCAAAGTACTGGGATTACAGGTGTGAGCCACCGTGCCCAGCCCATAGAAATATCTTAACAAGTACCCTGGCGATTGTGAGGCAGGTGGTGTGGGGATCACCCTTTGAGATGCTGGTGTAAGGAGTTTGGATTAAGTTTGAAAGGCAGTCGGAGCTTCTGGAAGCATCCGGGCTGGGCCACGGTCTCATGCCAGGGGTGCTTACAAGGAATACTTCCATGTGTCCCAGGACTAAGGGAGGAGGGTCTCAGGCATTGGTCCCTCTGGGCCAGCAAGGGCAGCAGGGAGAGCCCCGGTTCAGAGGACCCTTCAGCCATAACATTGACCCGTTTGTTCACACTGGACTTCCCTTCTCCCTTGGGGCTGCAGGAATTTGAGATAGAGCTGGAGGGCTCCCAGACCCTGAGGATACTGTGCTATGAAAAGTGTTACAACAAGACGAAGATCCCCAAGGAGGACGGCGAGAGCACGGACAGACTCATGGGGAAGGGCCAGGTCCAGGTGAGGCAGCCATCCCTACCCTCCCCTGCCCGATGCATGGCGTCCTTTTTCATGCAGCCCCTGGGGACACTGAGATGGTCATGGCCTTGCACCCAGGGTGGGGTGGGGTGGGCAGCTGTGGCTCTGAAACATCCATCGTGGGAGACCTGAGCCGGTGCCTGCATGTATCTTGATGGGTCTTGACGTACCACCCTCTGTCTGCGTGTCTGTTGCGTCGGCTCATTCCCAAAGGAATTTCCATTCAACTTGGTTTTGCAGCTGGGGCCTCAGTTCCTGCCCGGCCTTAGGAGAACCCAAGGTGGAACAGTTAGATGGTGTCCTAGGCTGAAATTGGCCCATCCTGTGCCAGTCTTCTTAGAAAAGCACAGGGGTCCCAGAGGCTGCCTGCAAGCACAGGGGTCCCAGAGGCTGCCTGCTTGGCATCCCCTATCTGTGGTCTAGACCCAATTTCTAGGGTATAGAGCTGTATCTCTGAACAGGGTGCACACAGACAGGTCTCCTCCCAGGCTAATCTGGAAGCCCCCAGGTGAGACCGAGAATGTGTCCATACAGGACCAGCAAGGGGGCCCTGGTTCTTAAGGAGACTGCCTGGGCCCTCTGTCCTTCAGAAGCTTGTCTAGCCCCTGGGAGCACGCCACCAGGGTTTCCTGGAGGATCATAGCTGGCGCCCCAGGCCCTGTTTATCCTGTTCCCACCCTCACAATTGCGCGGGGGTAGCTGAGAGGAAGCCCTGATCGTGCTTTCCTTATAGTGCATTATATCAGTGGGTTGTGGGTACAGCTCTCTCTTCCCAGGACCTTCCATCTTCACAAGAGGCCTCTAGAGGGAGTGGGTTTGGCTTTCCACATGCCCCTAGAAGCACAGGGCTCCTCAGGAAGCCCAGTCTCCCTCCCTAAGCAGGAAGTAAAAATCCTCTTGTGGTTAAATACCAAGTGCCAGGCTGGGCGTGGTGCTCACGCCTGTAATCCCAGCACTTTGGGAGGCCGAGGTGGGCGGATCACGAGGTCAGGAGATCGAGACCATCCTGGCTAACACCGTGAAACCCCGTCTCTACTAAAAATACAAAAAATTAGCCAGGCGTGGTGGCGGGTGCCTGTAGTCCCAGCTACTCGGGAGGCCGAGGCAGGAGAATGGCATGAACCTGGGAGGCGGAGCTTGCAATGAGTCAAGATCACACCGCTGATCTCTAGCCTGGGTGACAGAGCGAGAGTCCGTCTCAAAAAAAAAAAAAAAAAAAAAAATACCAAGTGCCAGGAAGAATGAAGGGAGAGGGTGGCTCTTCCCTGAGTCACCTGTCATCTTTGCTGATGGATCCCACATTCTCATTCAGATCAGCAAATCTTTACCAAGTGCTGGCCTCACCCCCTTCTGCCACCCTGGCCTGGCTGGCCACATCTTCGGAGGTGCAGCTACTGCCTGTTTTTCTGCCTTGGAAGCTTATAAGGGAACTCAGTGGCTCAGAGCCTCCTGGGGCTCCCTATACTTTGAGATCAGGTTTAAAAGCAAAAAGACTCCTCTGGCACATGCCTGTATTCCAGCTACTCAGGACGCTGAAGCGAGAGGATTGCTTGAGCCCAGCTATTCAAGACCAGCCTGGGCAACATAGACCCCTGTCTAAAACAAAATAAATTAACTAAAAATTGCTCTCAGCTCTCCTGTCGCTGTCCCACTGCACTGTCTTGTTCACTCTGCCAGCCTTTGTGTGGATTCTCATGGTGGGAGATTGTACCACACAGATGGGCCACACCACTCTTGATGGAGTACTTAGTGCTGGTCTCCTTTGAGATCCGAAGTATTTTAGCATCAGTCAAATGACGGTCATAGTTTGGGTGATGGTCACGGCTCAGGTTCTTTTTTACACGTGCTTGCTTTGGTTGTTGTTGTTGTTCTTTGTTTTCTTGAGGCAGTATCTGGCTGTGTCTCCCAGGCTGGCGTGCAATGGCAGGATCATAGCTCACTGCAACCTCAAACTCCTGGCTGAAGCAATCTTTGTGCCCTAGCCTCCCAAGTTGTTGGGATTACAGTCGTGCCCCACCATGCCTGGCTAAGTTGTTTTTTGTTTTTTGTTTTTTTTTTTTTTTTCGAGACAGAGTTTTGCTCTTGTTGCCCAGGCCGGAGTGCAGTGGTGTGATCTTGGCTCTCTGCAACCTCCCGGGTTCAAGCGATTCTCCTGCCTCAGCCTCCCAAAGTGATGGGATTACAGGCCTGAGCCACTGTGCCTGGCCACATGTGCTTTCCCATTCGGTCCTTGCAGCAGATCTTTGAGAGAGCTCATTTGACACTCAGGAGATGCTTCTCTAACCTGCTCAGAATCAGGGCCCTGGGTATTCAGGGAGGTAGAGGGAGCAGACTGCAAAGCCAGTCGTGCTCCCATCGCTCCCACTTCTCTCTCCCTCTCCATGTTTTCTGTCTCCCCCACCCAGCCTAGGGCATTCCTCCCCCACAGTCCAGCCTGCATCTGGCACAGTGTCACTGCTCAGCCCAGGGATACTCACAGCCTGGGTGCCTGGCTCCTTTTTTCAGCTCATCAAACCAGGTAAAGGGAGGTTCAGATTCTGCCAACCATTGACTCAATTCATCCAAATCTTCAATCACTGGAATCCTGGGAGTGGCTGGATTTGAACCAGGACCTCTGAGTACTATTGCTAAGTAACTGGGGGTCTCAGTGAAAGAGAGAAAAGAGCTGATAGGCCTCTTCCTGTGTTATCATGTCAGGCCATCTTTTGAAACTCTTTTCTGCAATGCTACTGAAGTATTTATGCACGTGACCTGTGCTCTTCTGTCAGTCTAGGGGTGCTGGCTGAGCACCCCACCCCATCCCGGGGAAGAGGAGAGCAGTAAGTGTCGAAGAAAAACCCGAGCTGGACAGCAGTTAAAGTGGTAAAAGCAGGTTTTGTTTAGTAACTATTGTGATAGGGAAAAGACTAGAAATGGAAGGCCTAGAAATGGGCTCAATGCTGAAGTCACTTGGATGAGTGGGGACTTGCAGCCAAGAAGCAGGGTAGGGGTTGATGGATGGAAAATGATGAAGTAACATCAGGGGGAAGAGGGATTCTGGTGAAACCGACCCGACAGGATTCTTGCTGAAGACAGGCCAAAGTGATCGATCTCCCCCGGGGGATGGCGTGGGGTGAGGAATCTGATCAGATAGCAAGGGCAGGGGGTTCTGGCTAAACGGACTTAGCAGGATTCTTGCAAAATTTGGGCTCCTGAGAACATGCCCAAGGATGGGATCTAGCTGGAATAAAAAGCTGGAGGGACCAGATGAGTTCCGTCAAGGAGAGTCTTTGTCACACCCCCACCACACTCAGTGTGACCTGGGTGAATTACTGTCCCACTGGCCCAAATGTGTTTCCTCACTTTTCCTTCCCTTCCTTCCTTCCCTTCCTTCCCTTCCTTCCTTTTCTTTCTTTCTTCCTTTCCTTTTTCCTTTTTCCTTTCCTTTTGCCTTTCCTTCTTCTTCGGAGTCTCACTGTCTTGCCCAGGCTGGAGTGCAGCGGTGCCATCTCAGCTTACTGCAACCTCTGCCTCCCGGGTTCAAGCGATTCTGCTGCCGCAGCCTCCTGAATAGCTGTTATTACAGGCATGTGCCACCACGCCTGGCTAATTTTTTTGTATTTTTAGTAGAGACGGGGTTTCACCATGTTGGCCAGGCTGGTCTCGAACTCCTGACCTCCAGTGGTCCACCCGCCTTGGCCTCCCAAAGTGCTGGGATTATAGGCGTGAGCTACTGCACCCAGCCTCCTCACCTTTAAATCTTCCCCAAATATTTGTTCAAAACAAACATCACTCATTTTGTGTTCCTGCTGCAACAGACCCCCTGGGGCCTGCCCCTCTCCAAGGCTGTTTTTTGTTTTTTGAGACAGAGTCTGGCTCTGTCGCCCAGGCTGGAGTGCAGTGGCATGATCTCGGCTCACTGCAAGCTCCGCCTCCTGGGTTCACGCCATTCTCCTGCCTCAGCCTCCCGAGTAGCCGGGACTACAGGCGCCCGCCACCACACCCAGCTAATTTCTTGTATTTTTAGTAGAGATGGGGTTTCACCGTGGTCTCGATCTCCTGACCTCATGATCCGCCCTCCTCAGCCTCCCAAAGTGCTGGGATTACAGGCGTGAGCCACCACGCCTAGCTCCAAGACTGTTTAGGGGCTACGTAAGTTTCTCTCCTATGGGCGCCTCTGCCACATGGACCATGTCTCATTCGTCTCGGAATGCCCCCCAGGCACATCACAGACCCCCCTGCACGGGTGAATGGCTGTGTGGACGAGACCTACATGGCCCTGAGATAATCCTTGAAATACAAATGAGGATTCTCGATGCCTTCGTGGCCTTACCTGACCATACCTCCCCCAACTCCCATCACGTCCCCCGTGACGTGATCTTTATTTTGGCTTATGTTTGTCTCTGCTGCTGGAAAGTAAACGTGGAGGACAGGGCTTTGTCCAGTTCATTCTCTGTGGTATCTCCAGTATCCAGACAGAGACATAAAACATACATCTGTATCTGTAAGTTATTTAATACATTGTTTAATGGATCTAGAGTTTATATATATATATATATATATATAGTAAAATATATATTGGCACAAAGCAAGTACTGTTACATGCACTGGAAATTGCTGAGCCAGGCACCTGCCCTCTCACAGATGAAGGTGCTGAAGTTCCCAGGGGTGGCTGGGGCGGGAGCCAGCCAAGCCTGGGGCTTCTCCACCACGCTGTGCATGTGCCCAGTGGTGGTCGGGGCCTTCATGGTGAGGGGGTCGGGGAGTTCAGAGTTTGGACTCCCACGTGCATCCCTGCACCATGGGCAGCCTTTTTATCTTAGCCAGAAGGCTGAGAAGTAATTCCTTCCTTTTTAAAAAAATTGTAAAATAAGCACAATGTAAAATGTCCCAGGTGTTTTTAAGTGTGCAGTTCAGTGGCATCAGGCACATTCACATTGTTGTGCAGCCATCACCACCATCATCTCCAGAACTTTTTTTTCATCCTCTCAAACTGAAACTCTACACCCATTAAACAATAACTCCCAGGGGGGCAGGTGCAAAAAGAATAACTCCCCATTCCTCCTGCCCCCAGCTCCTGTTAACCTCTAGTCCACTTTCTGCCTCTGTGGATTTGCCTACTCTAGCTACCTCATGTAAGTGGAATCATACAGCATTTGTCTTTTGGGTCTGGTTTATTTCACTTAGCAGCATGTCCTCAAGGCTCACCCATGTTGTAGAATGTGTCAGAATGTCCTTCCTCTTGAAGGCTGAGTAATATTCCATTGTATGGATTAACAGACATTCACCAGCAGGTGGACGCCTGGGTTCTTTCCAGTCTGAGGCTGGCATGGTCAGTGCTGTTGTGCACATGGACATAAGATCCACCCAACTTGGTGTTATCTTTGCATTCGCAAGCTGTTGCCAGGCACATCCATGGGCTCTCGGGGGGAACAGCTGCTGCAGAGTGGGCAGTCCAACAGGGAGACCGCCCGAAAATGGGTGGACCTCACTGCGTGGTGGGGACTTGAGAGCAGCTGCCAGGGTGCCACCAGGAGGGCCCCAGTCAGACCTGCTGGCTTGTACCTGGTCAGGTGCCCACATAACCCAGGCTGGCAGAGAAGTCTGGGAAACTCCAGCCAGCCAGCCAGAGCACCAGCTTCAAATGAAGCAGAGGCTCACAGTCCAAATCTCATCCCCGAGGCTCACATAAAACATTGGCAACAACAAAAATGAACTCTGATGCCCCCACTGGAACATGAGTTGTGAGCCCAGCAAGACACATAAATAGAGCAGGAGAAATGGGAGAAGACAAAAGTCTATGACTTGATAGAATGTTGCCCTCTAAGGAGAATAGACAGGGCTAACATGATTTAGCAACCTAGAAAATTTGCAGATGAAGAGAGATGCACCTGTCATCCTAGCACTTTGTGAGGCTGAGGAGGGCGGATCATTTGACATCAGGAGTTCAAGACCGGCCTGACCAACATGGTGAAACCCCGTCTCTACTAAAAACACAAAAAAATTAGCCAGGCGCGATGGCGCATGCCTGTAGTCCCAGCTACTCGGGAAGCCAAGGTAGGAGAATTGCTTGAACCAGGGAGGCAGGGATTTCAGTGAGCCAGGGTCGTGCCACTGCACTCCAGCCTGGGGGACAGAGCGAGACTATCTCAAAAAAGACAGAAAAAACCTGAAGAAATTCCTAATGGCAGCAAGGCTCCAATTTCCCCAGCTCTGCCAACTGTGGTGACTCCCTCTCTGGCCCAGGATGTGCAGGAGCACTGGGACTGTGTCTCAGGGCCCCCGTCCCTGTTGCGCTGCACTCGGCTAGGCTGCAGACTAGCCCTCCAGCAATGTGTCCCATACCCCGTCCCATGAATCTTGGATGGATGTTGATGCCTTCACCTTGAAAAATCCCTCCCTGAAGATACAGATTCAATGTCCCCTGCTCTGTGAAGGCTTCTCTGTCCCGTGACCTCACTTCCCAAGTAACCGTGCCATCTGAGCCACCAGTCAATCTGGGCCAAAGCCTGCCCTGGCTCTTGGCACATTTGCCACATCCTTCCTTTCCAGCTTCTCTGATCTAGACCATGAAGGCTGGGGAGAGGGGTCTTCTTGTTCTTGGGGACCCCCCCGCCAGGCATGGCACACAGGAAGCCTTCCATGACTAGGGTGGCACAGCGGGTTCCTGGTGTCTGAGGATGGACCAGGATGGCCTCGCTCACTCAAATGGCTCATTCAGGCTCGGGGCTGGCTTGGAAGGGACACCCGACTTGGGTCCTCTTGCACCTGCCCACACACAAGGACTTCAATTTGTGCTGTCAGTGGCTCTTTTCTGGACTGTGGGCACCACCACAGCTTTGTCCCTGCTGTACTGTGTATCCCCTTGCCTTTCTGGCTTGTGGCTCTGAACAAAGCAGGTCACCCATCCCAATTTCTAGAGCCCCCCCACCGCCACCCCCACCCTCATGGAGCCTCTATCGTGCAAGAAGGGAGGTGGGGACCTGGCAAGTCATCCAGGACAGGCATTTGAAGAGCAGGAGCCAAAATCTGAGACTCGGGCAAGTGGTTCCTAAACCCAGCTCATCAGCACCATTAAGGGGAGCAAAAAACCAGACCGGGCCAAGCCCCCAGCCCAGAAGATCCCGACTCCTGCTGCCCACAGACAGGCACATGAGCAGCTTTGCTGAGGACTCCTTTCCATCCCAGACCCCTGCCCTTGGGGCCTGCCAGGGACCTCTGCCCTCATGGTTGGATCTGGACACTCCCGGGATGCTGCGGCTTCTCTACCTGCTGCAACTGCCTCACCTCACGGGAGGGTCTCTCTACGCAACTTCTGAGTCGAGGTGCATAAGCAGTGTGGGGGCTGTAGGCCCCTGTAGCTGGCTGCAGAGAGCCAAGCGCCTCCCACACGGTACAGCACAGAAGGCTCCTGGTGTCACTGGGAAAAGCCCAGATTCAAAAAGGCTGGGCTCCGGAGTCATGCACATCCTCTCTCAGGTATCCCTGTGCAGAAAACAGTGTCCACGGGGGAGAAAGAGGCCAGGCTGGTGTCGCAGAGCGCCAATGGCATAGTCACCACCACTCCTCCGACTTACTTCCTCCTGGGATCCCACAAACAAGCCCCCCAGCTGGGAGCCTGGACCTCCAGGGACCAGGGCAGCCGCCACCTACTTGGCGTGAGTCATGAATGCCCTTCACACAGCAATCAGATTCCTTCCTGTCTAGCCATGGTTCCCACCCATCACTCCCACTGACACAGGGACCAGGGGCTGGAGCCAGATAGTGCCTGCTCCATCGCCTCCTCACAAACGACAGATAAGGATGAGAACAGCAGCAAACGCTGACCCCCCACCCGTGAGAGCATAAGTCACTCAACCGTCAAGGCTGCATGGCCCCCCCCACCCCAATTTAATTCACCTGTGAGAGGGCAAGTGCCTGGCTCAGCAATTTCTAGTGCATGTAACAGTACTTGCTTTGTGCCAATATGTATTTTACTATATATATATAAACTCTAGATCCATTAAACAATGTATTATTACATAACTTATAGAGGTATGTTTTATGTCTCTGTCTGGGTACTGGAGATACCACAGAGAATGAACTGGACAAAGCCCTGTCCTCCACGTTTACTTTCCAGCAGCAGAGACAAACATAAGCCAAAATAAAGATCACGTCACAGGGGACGTGATGGGAGTCGGAGGAGGTATGGTCAGGTAAGGCGGATACCGTCATGAAGGCACCAAGAATCCTCATTTGTATTTCAAGGATTATCTGAGGGCCACGTAGGTCTTGTCCACACAGCCATTCACCCATTCAGGGGGGTCTCTGATGTGCCTGGGGGGCATTCCGAGATGAATGAGACATGCATGGTCCATGTGGCAGAGGCACCAATAGGAGAGAAACTTATGTATGTAGCCTCTTAAACAGACTTGGAGAGGGGCAGGCCCCAGGGGGTCTCTTGCAGCAGGAACACAAAATGAGTGATGTTTGTTTTGAACCAATATTTGGGGAAGATATGAAGATGTAAACATCATGAAAATGTAAGATCACATGAGCAAATTCTTACACAGATTCCACGGGATTCTTCTTGAAGCACACCGCCATCAACATGGATAGTGATACAGGTCCTCCTTGCTCTATTGAGAGCCACTTTTGGACCCTTTATTTTTAACTTTTGTACCATGAAATGCATCCATTTTTATAACCGAATGATTTTATAGTAAATTTACAGAGCTGTACAACTTTTACCAACAATCCAGTTTTAGAATATTTCTATCACCCCAATTTCCTTGTTGCCTTTTTTTTTTTTTTTTTTTTTAAGACAGGGTCTTGCTCTGTTGCCCAGGTTGGAGTACAGTGGTGCAACCACACTCAGCACAACCTTGATGTCCCAGGCTCAAGTGCTCTTCCTACCTTAGCCTCTCAAGTAGCTGGGACCACAGGCATGCGCCACCATGCCAGGCTATTTTTTTTTTTTTTTTTTTTTTTTGAGACAAGGTCTTGTTTTGCTGCCCAAGCTGGTCTCAAATTCCTAGGCTCAAGTGATCCTCCTGCCTTGGCCTCCCAAAGTGCTGAGATTACAGGTGTGAACCACCGTGCCCAGCCCCTGTTCCCAGTTATAGCCACTCCCAGACCCAAGCCGATCTGCTTTTTGTCTTTAGAGATTTGCCCATTCTTCACATTTCATAAACGTGGAATCATACTAGAGTGGGCTTTTTTGACTGATTTCCTCCACTTACCATTATGTTTTTGAGGTTTATTCATGTGGTAGCATTGTTTGGTTCCTTTTTATGATAATAATTTTCCATTGCATACATATAACATGTTTTTATTTCTGCATTTACTATTTGACAGACACTTGGATCATTTCTAGTTTGGGCTGTTAAGGTTGATGCAGCCACGAACATGTCCTTGGTACCAGTCTCTATATGGACGTATGTTTTCATTCACTGAGTAAACACCTAGTAAGATTGCTGGGCTGTGCAACAAGGTGACTATTTGGGGAACTGCCCTACGTTGTCTGGAGTAGCTGCACCATCTTACATCCCCAGTGGCCATGTATGAAAGCCCATTTCTCTACATCCTCACCGATGCTGGTTATAGTGTATCCTAAGGGAGAAGGGTGTGTTCCTTTTGAAGTGATGTTAGAGACTGGTTGGGATCAGAGAAGAGAAGCAAAGAGTTAAAAGTGGGATAGAGGCCAGGCGCGGTGGCTTACGCCTGTAATCCCAGCACTTTAGGAGGCCAAGTTGGGTGGATTGCTTTAGGTCAGGAGTTCAAGACCAGCCTGACCAACATGGTGAAACCTCGTCTCTACTAAAAATACAAAAATTAACCGGGCATGGTGGCAGGTGCCTGTAATCCCAGCTCCTCAGGGGCTGAGGCAAGAGAATGGTTTGAAGCCAGGAGGCAGAGGTTGCAGTCAGCCGAGATCTCGCCACTGCACTCCAGCCTGGGCAACAGAGTGAGACTCCGCCTTAAAAAAAAAAAAAAAAAGGTGCAGGATGGATCTCAGGAGAGCAGATTGTGGTCATAGACTACAGCAGGAGGCCTGTAATCTCTCTCCTGGTGAACACAGAGGTTCTCTGGTGGTCTCAGCAAAGACCCACCCCCGGGAGTAGGTTATAGTGCAGACACATGGGGCCCAGACAGGAACAACTGGGGTTGCCCTGCTGGACCATCCAGGCTGGTGACGATGGGCGTGAAGGAAGCTGTTGTCTACAAGGAGCTAAGTGAACAAGCATTTCCTCCTTTGGAAGGTTTACTCATAGCCCCCTCCCTGCCCCTGCTGAGGGTGGGTGAGAGGATGTCCTCCGGCTGCCCATTGGTGACTCAATCCAGCCACACTGACTACAAAGCAAGCAGGGCAGTGCTGGGCCCCCAGCAGAGCCACCATGCAAAGTGGTCAGTGATGCTTCAGGGCAGCACACAGCACCTGCCCCAGTTGGGCTTCGGCCTCCCTCAGCCCCCACCCCACCACTTCCCTGGGATGGATGTGCACGATAGTTTTCTAGGCAGACCTCTAGGCCACCATCTGCCAGGCCCGCTGACCATAGTCATTCTTTCAAGGCTCCTGCCTTACCCAGTCCAGGGGGAGAGGAGCAGCAACCTGGTCCATCCTCCTGAGACCACTGCATGTGAGCAGACAGACCCCTGCCTGCCCAGTCCCCGGCCAGGCAGCAGGCATGTTCCTCACCAAGACCTTGCAACCCAGGGGGACCCTGGACAGCATCCGGAGTGCCTCGGTTTTTCCCTTAAGGGAAAACTGTTTCCCCCTTGGTCATCTGTTTTTCCAAACCCCAGTCTTTTGCTTGTTTACTTCTCTGGTGCTTTAAATAACTGCACGAGAGAGCGTACCAGCCTTGAGCAATGTTTGGGATTGGCTGAGCTGAGGCACAGGCCTCATTATCATGCTATTCTTTATACGGCTTCCGCTCTGCGGCGCACACTCTGTTCTTTGGAACAGAGCCAGCCTTGGGACAGCCTTTCCCACTGGAGCTGCCAGTCAGGACCGCCGTGAGAGCCAGTGCCTGGAGGCCAACACCCTGGTCTTCAGTCACTGGGAGTCACAGAGAGGGGCCCGATAAAGAGCCCTCCTGGCAGCATCAGTACCAGGTTGGAGTGGGCGCTGGACACCACCAATGCTGGGGAGTGGACGCTGGCTGGAGCCCCACCCAGGGCTGCACATTGCTCAGCCAGCTAGCTCTGGGGGAGCAGGACCTGAGCAGGGTGTCCTCCACCCTGGGTCCATCAGAGGCACTGCATTTGATTATTGGGGTTACCTGCTGGGAGTGGTGCAGATTTTGGACAGTCTGGATTGCTTCCAGCACAAGGCAGGCTGACCAGTCATACTTTACTCAGTCTCCAAACTTGGGCAACAGGAAACTAGCCACTTGAGAAGGAAGCTCAGCTTTTCTGGGCTTTAGAGGAGATGGAGACACGTTGGAAATTCCCGTAACCAATAGGCTGGGGTGGGAGGGTGTTCTTCCCACACACACACAAAAAAGTGGAACCCGGAGGTGATGGGAAGCTTTGACCTTGGCCAGCCAGACTGCGGGGTGGGGTTTCCCTCAAAGCCTGGTCAAAAGGCCTTGGAGGCTGGAAGCTCTCGTTTAGCCCCACCAGCTTCCCAGAGCAGCAAGGCCAAGCATGCAAGAGTCACCATCCACCCTGGCCATGATGCAGGGCCTCCTTTGGTACTTCCACCCCAGCCGGGCGGGCCGGAGCCGGGCGGCCTCTGCTGAAAAGCACCTGTGGGCCGTGGTTCCAGGGGGGCTTTGAGGGGCAGCCGCTGATGTCTGGACAGCTTCTCTTTCTGTCTCTTCTTACCTGGACTCTGGGTTGCTTGTTAGCTGCTTCTGCCTGTTCTGGGTTTTCAAGGGGAGAGGGGCCCAGTGATGGCTGTTCTTTGAAGGAAAGGTAAGAATGTCTCCTGCTTAACATGTTTCTGTGTTTCCAGTTACTTGGTTGGTTAGTAGAGCCAGGGTCTCTCGCTTTGTTGCGCAGGCTGGAGTGCAATGGCATGATCATGGCTCACAGCAGTCTCCACCTTCTAGCCTCAAGTGTTGCCCCCACCTCAGCCTCCCGAGCAGTTGGGACTGCAGGCACATGCCACCATGCTTGGCTAATGCTTTTGAAAATTTTTTTTTTATAGAGACAGGGTCTCACTATATTGCCCAGGCTGGTCTTAAACTCATGGGCTCAAGTGATCCTCCTGCCTCGGCCTTTCAAAGTGCTGATATCACAGGCAGGGTTTCCATTTTTTAAAGCTCCCAGCAGTGGTATAAACTCCTCCTTTCCAGAGAAAGCGCACTCTGTCCGCATCCCTCATGTTGTCCTCTCCTGCCTCTGCTTAGGGTTCACTCCGGGGGAAAGTGCCACTTGAGAGTTTCCTTTTTATGTGTGGTTCTGACTGACCGCTCCCTGCTCACAGATGCTGCTTCTCAGGGTGGGGTCCCTGAGGCCTGGAGTGTGGCCTCTGACGACCTTCAGGGCCAGGTGCGGAATGAGAGCCTGTGGCCGCATGGCCCCCGGTGGGAGACGTCCCGCCGCCCTTTGCTTCTCTGTGCCACTCTGGCTGCACAGTTCAGAGCCTTGGGAAACGTTAACCAGTAGGACCTAGAAGGGGAGGTGAGAAGGGGTCAACCCCCAGGTGTGCCTGTGGTGAGCCTTCGTGCTGAGCAGGTGCAGGGAGGGAGGCCCAGGTGCACACACCTGTGAAGTAGGGGGGCAGCTGGCTGGGCTCCTTGACCTGCTCCAGAGCTTCTTATTTTCTGGCCACTTCACCTGCAGAAGGCCCAGGTGGCTGTAGCCGCTAGGGTCCCTTGCAGTGGAAATGATGCCTGTCCTCAGCCCCTCTCTAGGCCTGGCACTGTGCTCAGCACCGTCGTGTGTGTGTATGTATATGTGCACGCATGTGAATGTGTGCAGACATCATGAGGTGTGGTCCCTGCTGTTAGGCAGCTTGCCTTGTGGCTGAAGTGAACCATCACCTGAATCAAGGGATGGAAACACAAGGCCAGATGCAGTGGCCTTCTATGGAGTCAGACGGTGGCTCCGTGACCTGGCTTCACTCCAGAACTACCTGGGGTTTCTAGCTGTGTAAATCCCAGGTCCCACTCAGATTATGAGTCAGTTCTCTGCAGGTGGAACCCAGGGAGGTGTTTTTTTTGTTTTTGCTTTTATTTTTGAGACGAAGTCTTGCTGTGTCGCCCAGGCTGGAGTGCAGTGGCGCCATCTTGGCTCACTGCAACCTCCACCTCCTGAGTTCACACCATTCTCCTGCCTCAGCCTCCCAAGTAGCTGGGACTACAGACGCCCACCACCACGCCCAGCTAATTTGTTGTATTTTTAGTAGGGACAGGGTTTCACCATGTTAGCCAGGATGGTCTCAACCTCCCGACCTCGTGATCCGCCCACCTCAGCCTCTCAAAGTGCTGGGATTACAGGCGTGAGCCACCGCACCTGGCCAGGGAGGTGTATTTTTAACAAGATGGTACTGCTCATTCACCCAGCCCAGCCAGTGATCTTGGCATACCCAGGAACCGCTGACATAGAACGTGCTCCCCATAAAACGGGAGACAGAGGCTTCACGGATGGGGGACATGTGGCTTGGTCATGACAGGGTGTTACATACCAGGACAGACTGTGTTCGGGTGACATTAAGGACAAGCTCCTGCAGGCTAGCTGTCTGGATAGTGCCGGGTGGGGGTAGAAGTTAGAGGGGTCACAGAGGGGCTTCCTCCCGGCCCCCTCATCAGCTGCTTGATTTAGGGCTTGTTTCTGGGTCCTTCTGGGCCTGATTCTGAACCATGGGACTGGTGTGGCCTGCAGGCTCCTCCCGCCACAAGCTGTTCATGGTGCAGGGGGAGAACAGTGTCCACAATTCCCCAGACAGCAGCTGTGGATGCCAGGCCCCCAGGAGTTGTTACTGAAGTTGCTGCTGGACAGCTCACCTTTCACTGAGCTCCACATAGCACCCGTGGTGATGGAAGCCGGATGGAGAGAGCCTGCCAGCCTGCACATCAGCTCCCAACTGGGCGGGGCAGAGGGAGGAGGGGGTGGGGACCCCAGGCAGCAGGGCTCTGGGAGCAGTGGGGCCCTGGGTTCCAGGGGTGTCTGGCAGGCCCCTCCTTACTCTACCTCTGTTGGCCTCTGGATGGAGGTGCTGGCCGCAGTCGGGCTCTGCCTCTGACTAAGGGTTGGGGAAGTGGCGGGTGTGGGCTGCTGCCCCGTGGGGCCTCTGAACAGACCCCAGGGCCTCTGCCAATCATGACTCCTTCCTTTCAGCTGGACCCGCAGGCCCTGCAGGACAGAGACTGGCAGCGCACCGTCATCGCCATGAATGGGGTACGTGTCCGTGGGACTCTCCTGGTGCCCACTTCCCCCAGAAGGATAGGGTGGCCTCTGTTCATTTCAAATCAGTCAGAGGTGGCTGAGCCTGAGGCAGCATCTGAGAGGGAGCCTGGTTGGAGAAGGGAGGGCCCCCAAGAGCAGAATCACCATGCACGGGAATCGTCATTCATTGGCTGGAATGCAGTTGCCAGCCAGGCCCTGAGCATCCCTCCTCAAACAAAGGTCTCATGGCACCACCAGGACAGGTGGGGCCTCCACTCAGGGACCTGGGGGCTGCCCATAGAAATGGAGACCCCTGATTTGTCTTTAGGTACCCCAGAAAGGTTTAGACCTTAAAAGCAATGACACACCCAAAAAGGCCCGGGTATAAATGGTAAAATGTTAATATTTGAGATTCTTGGCTTTTTCTTACATTATTCTGTCTTTCCTACTTAATTTTTAATTGTTACTAAGAAAGAGAAAGCCAGGCACAGTGCACCTATAGTCTCAGCTACTCTGGAGTCTGAGGCAGGAGAATCACTGGAACCCAAGAGTTCGATTACAGCCTGGGCAACATTGCAAGCTCCTATATCTAAAAAAAAGCAAGCAAGCAAGAGAAGCAGCGGGGATTTTAGGAGGTGCTTCTGCAGAAACCAGTCGTTTACATCATCTTCAACAATCCTGGCTCTTGCTGAAGTAGACTAGGGGCTTCCCCGAGGGGCGGCTCCACCTCATGCTGAGACCTCTGCATGCCTTGGGGGTGGAAATATTTGATGAGACTCCCAGGGGTCCTTGGGACCTTGGGCTATGAGGACCAGAAGGATTAGAGGACTGTGCCCCTTCTCCCTACTGTAGATCGAAGTAAAGCTCTCGGTCAAGTTCAACAGCAGGGAGTTCAGCTTGAAGAGGATGCCGTCCCGAAAACAGACAGGGGTCTTCGGAGTCAAGATTGCTGTGGTCACCAAGTGAGTGGGGAGGGGCTTGGGCTCACGCACTGAGGGTGCCTGTCCCTTCAGCTGTTTCTGCAGAAAAGAGCATGTGTGGGTCTCTCCTCTCTGTGCGTGGCCACTGCACGGTGAGGTCAGGCCCCAGGGAACACGGCGTCTTCAGCTACCTCCTGTGTTTCCTGCAAACCAGCTCAGGAATGTCCTTGCCACCTGGCTTGGAAGCAGTAGGCTGGCTCCAGGAACTGCCCAAGTGCAGGGTTTTCTGCCCTTGCTTGGAATTTATCACGGTCCCAGATTCCTGTTGAATGGCCGTAACCCCTGCCCCTTTGTCACGAGTCAGTTGCCAAGAGAAGCCTGTTTGGTTTGAGAGCAGTTCATGCAGACATAGACCACTTCCTCTGAGAATTCATTTGCTTCCCCAGGATGGAATCTGGCTGGGCCTCTGACCTTGCTGGTCACGTGGGCCGGGGCCTCCATCAGTCATACCCTGGACTCCTATCTGTGTCTAAACACCACGCCCCACCCCCAACTGCACGGCAGCCACTCGCATAGCACTCTGGGAGGGCTGTGGGCATGAGCAGCGAGGACTCCATCAGCAGCTCCCCCAGATAAGCCCTGCTAATGAGGGGGCTTGCGAAGCAGCTTTGATGTGCTGGTAAATCCAGGTGCAAAACAGAACTCAAGTTAAGGCCTCCGCACAGCACTGCGTTCTAACTGTGAAGGATTCTTACTCTAGTGTCCTGTGTGGAGGTATTGGAATTGTCCATTGCTAAGACTCAGAGGAGAAAAGCACTTAGCATCGCAGGACTTGGAGCACCGGTGCTGAGGCAACCCTTCATTCATTCGTCGGATGTGTGTTAAGGCCCAGGCCCAGGGCAGGGGTCAGGGATTCTCCTCTCACACAGCACGTGGGTGGCAGGACCAACACCGGGTCTGACCTCCCAGCCGGGGGTACAGGCTGCTAACCCCAGGCCTGGAATCTGTCAGATGCCCTTCCCGTGCTGACTTGACATAGACAGGCCTCCTGACCTTCCCGCAAAGGTCATGTGTGATTCGCAGGGGTTCTGGCCGCTTGAAAGGTTCCTGAGAAAGTACATGCCATGAGGACAGAGCTTGCAGAGGGAGGACAGGCATGCAGAAGGCTCTGTGTGCAGCCCCAGACCTGGGTACCTTCGTCACCGTCCTCACCCCACCTCCGGGTGTGCAGATATGGAGCAGGTCTCCTGTGTTATGGCCCAAGCAGGGCTGTTAGGACACTGAGAACATTCCCTCCTCCCGCAGGAGAGAGAGGTCCAAGGTGCCCTACATCGTGCGCCAGTGCGTGGAGGAGATCGAGCGCCGAGGCATGGAGGAGGTGGGCATCTACCGCGTGTCCGGTGTGGCCACGGACATCCAGGCACTGAAGGCAGCCTTCGACGTCAGTGAGTGTTGGCCTGCGCAGGACGGGATGGAGGTGTGGGCAATGGTGTCCGCGATGAGATCTCAGAGTGCTCCATGGCCCAGGCATGTCACATCCTTCTCTGTGTCTTTTCTTCATTTACTGTGTTATTATTTTTAAAAAAGAGAAGACAAGAGTTGTAGAAAAAGCCTCTGTAGAAACCAGTTTTTAAACCATCCTAGCCATGCATGCCACTTGCTGGGGTAGGCCAGGGGTTTCTGCAGGGCCTTGGCCTTCCTGCCTTGGGGTTGGACAGGAGGTGGAAGCCCAGGACTCAGTGCAGTCTGTCCCCTGCCATGTGTGAGGATGCGGCAGGCAGAGGGCACTGATGAAATTCAGCCCAGGCTGGGGCTGCAGCATCTCTGCCTCCATCTCACCAACCCTCACAGGCTATGAAGGACCTGGAACTGTCACAAATGCCAGGGGAGGGCACTGAGACCCCAGAGGGTCCCTCCCAGCATCTTCAACAGGATTTTGTGCCTGCAGACCCTTCTTTGGGGCACACACCACCAACCCTGACCAGGACCCCTAGAATGCCCAGCATCCCTGGGAGGGCCCTGTGGTAGTTTCAGCTCCCTCTGGGGGCCCAGAATGAACCTGGCCTGTGGTGAGGATGTAAGCACCAATGGCCAATTGGGTCCAAAGGAAGACACCGGTTCAAACACTGAAACCAATCAGATTCTCCCACGGCCTTCCTGCTATCAGACGACACTGGTGCAGGGGTGGTTGCTATGTACAGGGCAGAGCCACCCAATCCCCACGCAGGCGCTGTGTCCTGCCACGCTGGCCTCCTCCTGGCCATCACATCAGGCCAAGCAGGGGAGAGGAATGGGAATGCCCACGCACCCCTATCAACTCTGCAGACACAGAACCATGCACAGCTCTTGGGAGGAGTCAGATGAGCTGCTCAAAGCCCAGGAGGGACCCGCACAGTGGTCAGCATGGCAGGGACAGTGCTTTAGCCAAGGCAGGGATGGTGGGAGACTCACTCGGGATCCTCAAGGAGGCCGCTGCATTTCCGTGCTCTTTCCAGATAACAAGGACGTGTCGGTGATGATGAGCGAGATGGACGTGAACGCCATCGCAGGCACGCTGAAGCTGTACTTCCGTGAGCTGCCCGAGCCCCTCTTCACTGACGAGTTCTACCCCAACTTCGCAGAGGGCATCGGTGAGCACTGGAGGCCTTGGCCTCATGGGAGACGTCTCCTCCACGTGCACTGCTGCCCTTGGAGGCTGTGAAAAGTGAGGTGTGGGAACCCAAGCTGTGCCCCCTCTGCCATGGTCGGCATTTTAACCCAACCTCAAAAAGCAGGGGACCAGAACCGAGCCTGTCCTGGAAGGCCTTGCCCATCCCTAGAGGGCTCCCTGTCCCTACTCCTCAAGGAGACCAAGAGGCTGAAATAGTCAGCACTGCTGTGCTGTGGGGTCCTAAAGTCTGCTGTCCTCCTTCCTGCAGACCAGGGCTGAAGGAGGGTGCCTGGGTGCTCTTGCCATGGGTCCTGGTCCAGCCAAGCATGGTTTCAAACATGACCTGACCCTTAGTCAACCTGGAGGCTGATGTCTAGAGTGGGTGCTGGTGTGTGCAGTACCTGTGGCCTCTGCATCACCCTTAGGGCAGGTCTGCCTCCCGGGCCCATGCACAGAGGACCTGGTCTCCCAGCCTGCAGGTGCCCCTGTGGTGTCCAGGACGACGAGGGGGTCTCTGCGTACTTGGTGGGGCTGGGACCCTCCCACTTCCCACCTCCTTGTGTTCCTCACTCCCCTGTTTCATTCCATGCTGAGCCTCCCCTGCCTTGGGCTCCTCTGGGGAGGGGGTGGTGGCAGGAGTTGTCCAAGGGCAGCTCTGCCCATGAGCAGCTGCTCTAGCGGCTCCTCCTGCTGCTGTTTGCCGGGTGCTGCTGACCCCTGCGAGGTAGAGAAAAGGCGTTCAGGTGGTTCACACCCCACACAGGTGCCCCTCACAGGGTCCTCAATGGGGGCCAGAGCTGTGAGACTGAGGATGATGACGAGCCTGGGCTGTGCAGGGACACAAGCCCCAGGTGCTCCATGTGAACACCTCGGGAGAGGTCTCTGGCTCGTTGTGACCCCAAGGAGTAACCCACCGCCTTCTGCAGCTCTTTCAGACCCGGTTGCAAAGGAGAGCTGCATGCTCAACCTGCTGCTGTCCCTGCCGGAGGCCAACCTGCTCACCTTCCTTTTCCTTCTGGACCACCTGAAAAGGTAGCCCAGCTCTCCCATGGCAGCCCAGGGCTCCAGGTCCCCAGGCCGCAGAGTGCCCCTCTGCTCCCACTAGACCCCCAACACCGAGGACCTTTTCTCCTGACCCTTGTCTGCAGTCACTCACTGCCTTTGGCGACTAGTGCCACTGCCACCCCTGCCCCAGCCTCTCTTCTTTGCCACCCTCCTCTCTCTGCACTGTGGCCTTAAAAAAGAGCTCAGAGCTTTGGCCGTGGCCAGCAGTGCACTTGGACCCCCCTCTTCCCTCCGAGTCACATCAAGTAGGAGACCTCCCCACCAGCCCAGAGCTGGCTCCTTGTCCTGGGCCACTGAGACCCAGAAGTACCAGGGCTGGAGTCAGCTTGCAGCACAGCCAGGGTCGAGGTCACTCCCTTCCTGAGAACTCCAGCACAGCCCAGCCCCTCTGCCTCTCTCCTGGGGGTGGCGTTGAAACAGCACCCGCTGCTTTGGTCCTCTACAGGGTGGCAGAGAAGGAGGCAGTCAATAAGATGTCCCTGCACAACCTCGCCACGGTCTTTGGCCCCACGCTGCTCCGGCCCTCCGAGAAGGAGAGCAAGCTCCCTGCCAACCCCAGCCAGCCTATCACCATGACTGACAGCTGGTCCTTGGAGGTCATGTCCCAGGTATGGGAAGACAGGCTCCAGCCCATGCAACCCTGACCTGACAGAGGTGGCCTCTGCCTGCCCCACCCCCAGTCCTGCCCATCTTCTTACTTGCATTGTATGTGGTGTGGCCAACATTCACAGAGAGGGACTTGCCTAGGTCTGCATGGATGGGAGTGATAGTGGGGGCCCAGGCCACCTCCTGGTCCTGCTAGTGCACTTTGCTGGAAGCTTAAAACTACCTCAAGTGTTCGGGTGTGGTGGCTCATGCCTGTAATCCCAGCACTTTGGGAGGCCAAGGCAGGATAACCAATCCCAGGTGTTTGAAACCAGTCTGGGCAATGTGGCAAACCCCATCTCTAGAAAAAATAAAAAGAAAAATTAGCCAGGCATTGTGGCACACATCTGTAATCCTAGGTATCTGGGAGGCTGACACAGGAGGATTTCTTGAGCCCAGGAGTTAGAGGCTGCAGTGATCCATGATGGAGCCACTGTACTCCAGCCTGGGGGACAGAGCAAGGCCCTGTGCATCTCTAAAATAAATAACCACCCCCCACCCAACAAGTCATGCCTTGTCAGGACCCCACCCCACCCCCATCTCACTGTAAGGGGTTCATGACACCAGCAGGGGTCCCCAGCACCTGAGATGGACTTGGAGGCTTGGGCCCCAAAGACCTCCCACCAGCAGCTGTGAGCCCCGCTCTGAGCCACTCTTCTCTTCCCTACTCTGCCCGGGCAGGTCCAGGTGCTGCTGTACTTCCTGCAGCTGGAGGCCATCCCTGCCCCGGACAGCAAGAGACAGAGCATCCTGTTCTCCACCGAAGTCTAAAGGTCCCAGTCCATCTCCTGGAGGCGGACAGATGGCCTGGAAACCTCTGGCTAATCGGGCCATCCGTAGAGCGGGAACCTTCCTGAGGTGTCCTTGGGCCACCCCCAAGTGTTGGGCCATCTGCCAAGAGACAGCGACCCAAAGCCGAAGGACAGGTGGCCTGGAAAGATCCCGCCCAGGTCTGGGAGCCCCAGGCTGGCCTCAGACTGTGGTTTTTTATGTGGCCACCTGAGGGCGCCCCAAGCCAGTTCATCTCGGAGTCCAGGCCTGGCCCTGGGAGACAGGGTGAAGGGAGTGGTTTTTATGAACTTAACTTAGAGTCTAAAAGATTTCTACTGGATCACTTGTCAAGATGCGCCCTCTCTGGGGAGAAGGGAACGTGACTGGATTCCCTCACTGTTGTATCTTGAATAAACGCTGCTGCTTCATCCTGTGGGGGCCGTGGCCCTGTCCCTGTGTGGGTGGGGCCTCTTCCATTTCCCTGACTTAGAAACCACACTCCACTTCTAACAGGGTTTGAGAGGCTTAGTCAGCACTGGGTAGCGTTTTGACTCCATTCTTGGCTTTCTTTTTCTTTCCAGAAGGATTTTTGTGCAGAAATGGGTCTTTTGTTGCCATGTTAGTCCTCCTTGGAAGGCAGCTCAGAAGGCCTGTGAAATGTCAGGGGACAGGACCCCCAGGGAGGGAACCCCAGGCTACGCACTTTAGGGTTCGTTCTCCAGGGAGAGCGACCTCGTCCCCCGATCCTGACCGCCCTTCCGGCCCACGCTCTCCTGTTTGGCTTCCACAGGCCTGGACTTCTCTGGCTTCTCTGCCCACACACTCCCTGCCCCCAGTGTCCCTGCCCCTGCCCCAGCACAGGTGACTTCATTTCTGTCCTCTCAGCTCAGTGGACTCGCTCAACTTTTGTATAAGTCTCCACTTGGTGGCAGCAGCTTGCTGATGACTTGTTTTAAAACTTTCATCCTAAATAACCTTTTGATACTTGAATATTTGTAAGTTTTATACATAGTTTCTAATTTTTTTCCGAACAGATCCAGATACCTAATAAGATGCTGGAATGTAATCCCTGGACAATCCGTGTCCTGGCAGCATTTGGTCTTCCTCTAAGCGCCTGGCTCCGCTGTTCTCAGGAGTGGGTTCTGAAGTCTCTGGAGAACAGGATACGTGGAGGGTTAGGAAGGGGCCAGGCCTAGAGACGGGAGACTCCCTCCCGGAGCAGGTGGAGGCACAGGACCATTCGCTACCCCATCTGCCGACACCTGCGGGGGAGCCCAGGCATTCTTTGTAAACCCTCCTGACCACCTGGCTCAAAGAAAACAGAAGCATGGAGACCGCCAAGTATTTTCAAGAAATAACCCCATGAATATTCCATCACTTTTTTAGAAAGAGGGGCTTGGGGCAGGCAGAGGAGAGAAGGGAGAGCAAACTGAGAGCCAAGTTTCCACACGGTCCTGCAGGAGGAGAGGATGCAGCTGCCCAGAGGGAAGCAGGATCACATTTAAGGAAGTGTGTGGGGTCCCTGGATGACACCAGCACCCAGTGCGGCTCTGTCTGGCACCCGCTCCCAAGGTGGGAGGAGTGGGTGTCCCCTGTGTGTCAGTGGGCAGCTCCTGCTGAACCCGCAGCTCACTAGGGAGCCTGACAGTGGGGCCATGCGCCTGACACTCCTCTCTGCTTGTGGACCTGGCAAGGCAGGGAGCAGAAAACAGCCACTTGAAGGCTTTCTGTCTGCGTCTGTGTGCAGTGTGGATTTAGTTGTGCTTTTTTCTTGCTGGGAGAGCACAGCCACCATTTACAAGCAGTGTCACCGTCGTGGGTGGCGAGGACAGAACAGGAGCCTCTGCTCTCTGTACCTATCTGGGCCCGGTGGGCTCCCTTGTCCTGGCTTCCATCTCTGTCTCAGCGACCATTCAGCCCTGCGCAGGAACACGTGTTGCTTAGAAAAGCCAAATCCAGCCTTGTCTCTGCCTCCTCTGGTCTCATGATGTGCATCTGTTACCTTGAAACTGGAAACCAGTCTATCAATGTCTGTGCCAATTTTTTATTCCCTCCCCAACCTCCTTCCCCATACGACTTTTTATTTATGTAGGATGTGTGCTGTCTAATGATGGGATGACCACACTTTTCCATGTTCTAAAAGTGCTCCTCTCCCGCAGGGTCCCAGGGCTGGTGGTTGCTTTGGGTCTACAGCTACGTCTTACCCACCTCCTGCCTCAACAGCCTGTGTGGTGGCAAAGCCGGTGTGGGGCTGGGGAACGCAGCGTTCTCCAGGAGGGGGACCTGGCTCTCCTTCTGCAATGCAGGCGAAGGCCTAGATGCCAGTGTGACCTCCCACAAGGCGTGGCTTCCAGACTCCCCGGCCGGAAGTGATGCTTTTTTGCCTTGGGCCCTGGGTTTGAAGCAGCCTGGCTTTCTCTTGGTAAGTGGCTGGTGTCTTAGCAGCTGCAATCTGAGCTCAGCCACCTACACACCACCGTGGCCGACACTTTCATTAAAAAGTTTCCTGAGACGACTTGCGTGCATGTTGACTTCATGATCAGCGCCGCTGGGAAGAACCCCTGAGCCGGTGGGGTGGGGCTGGAAGCAGCAGGTGCAGTGATAGGGCTGGGTGCCCAGGAGGCCTCAGTGCTCAATCAGGCCAAGGTGGCCAAGCCCAGGCTGCAGGGAAGGCCGGCCTGGGGGGTGTGGGTGAGCACAGGCAGGCACCAGCTGGGCAGTGTTAGGATGCTGGAGCAGCATCCGTAACCCCACTGAGTGGGGTAGTCTGGTTGGGGCAGGGACCGCTGTTGCTTTGGCAGAGAGAGATGATCCCCACTGGGGAGAGGCTGTTCTGACTCTGCAGGTGGGACAGGGACAGATGGCCACCAGGGTGACCCGGCTGGTCTTCCTTTGCTATGCTAAGCCCTGGGACATGGAGGATTCCTGCCACCCTGGGCCCGGGTTCTTACCTGTGGCCACCGCTCTGGCACGAGCCCCTCAGTCTTGGGTGGTTTCTGCCTGGTCCGGGATTTGGTGTTGCTGCTGAGTCCAGCCTTTCCACCACCTCCGCATGGGCCGTGGGTGTTGTCAGCTGCCTCCCGCCTTGGCTTCAGTAGCTCACCCAGCTTACAGGGGAGCTGCCCTGGGCTGGAGATGGGCATGCACCCTGGGTCCTACTTGAATGAATGCAGCTTGAGGAGAGCCGGCCATATACACTGGGCCACAGGTTACCCTCGGCAATGCCCACAGCTGTCAGCCTGAGCCTCCCCAGGAGAGCAAGGCTCACACGACAAAGGCTGCCCGTGGCCAGTGAGGTGGCTGAGCCCAGCCAGGACCTTTCTCGGACTCCCGGGATGTGGCTCTGCTCGTGAGCTGCCTGGTCAGCTCTCTCGGGGTGAGAGGGGCTTGTCACACGGGCGCCTGCCTGCAGTGTGACCCTTCTCAGCTTCTCTCAGCAGCCCTGCCTGCGGAGTGTCACCGCCACCATGATCATTTCCCTGACACTGCGAGGGTGGGGGGACGTCCTGGGTAGAGACAGGGCCCGTGGCAGCAGCAGGCTCAGGGGAGCCCTGCACTGGTGGACTGGGGACCTGGTGGAGACCACGCCAAGGGCTGGACAAGGGGACGAGCCTCCACCCTGGCCTCTCCGCAGGCCTCAGCAGCCCCTCCCACAGGCAGAAGGGTTGACACTGGGTTCTGCCCTCACTGCAAGAGCTGCAAGTGCCACGTGCTGTTCTGCCCAATCTGGTGTCTGCAGGTGAGGAAAGGACTGCCGCTGGCCCGTTTCTGAGTGTTCAGCACCTAAGGGTGACAGCACTGTCTGTCCCTACCCTCCGGGTCCTGTTTGAAGATCAAACCCATGCTCACAGGCCGATATTTTTTTCTTTTAGAGACAGGGTCTCACTTTGTCACCCAAGCTGGAGTGCAGTGGTGCGATTATAGCTCAATGCAGCCTCCAATTCCCGGACACAAGGGACCTTCCTGCCTCAGCCTGCCAAGTAGCTTGGACTATAGCTGTGTGTTTTCTTATTATTTTGTAGACATGGGGTCTGGCTATGTTGTCCAGGCTATTCTCAAAATTCCCAGCCTCAAGCAATCCTCCCGCCTCAGCCTCTCAAAGGTTGGGATTACAGGTGTGAGGCAAGGCACCCAGCTCAGCCACAGAGCCCTATTGCATCTCTCTTACTAAGAGCAAGAGCTGACTTCCCCCTCATCCCCATTCCAGAGTGTTGGGGCTGTGTTCAGCCGAGGCCAGGCCACTGGCATGGGCCCAGGGAGCGGGATCATTCACTGCTGCCCCAAATCTGAGATCATTCCACCTTGACAAGACTTCCTCATCCAATCCCTTTACTTGACAGCTGGGGAAACCAGTGCACACAGAGCACCCCCAGCTCAGTCAGGGTCTCAGAGCTGATCCATGAGCGGAGGCTGAGATCCTGGGATCTTGTCCCCCAGCCTCCCTGCAAGCTTACTCCCTTTCTTCTAGAAGAGATGGGGCCAGACCTCGACCAGCAGCCCTGGCCTGGACATGACTGTGCTCATGCAGGTATTGAGGCTGAGATGCCCCGGCATCACATTTTTTTCTTTCTTTTTTTCTTTTTTTTTTGAGACGGTGTCTCACTCTGTCACCCAAGCTGGAGTGCAGTGGAATGATATTGGCTCACTGCAACCTCTGCCTCCCGGTTAAAGTGATTCTCCTGCCTCAGCCTTCCAAGTAGCTGGGCCTACAGGCTTGTACCACCACGCCTGACTAATTTTTGTATTTTTACTAGAGACGGGGTTTCCTCATGTTGGCCAGGCTCGTGTCGAACTCCTGACCTCAGGTGATCCACCTGCCTTGGCCTCCCAAAGTGCTAGGATTACAGGCATGAGCCATGGCATCACTTAAACGTAGTGAGAGGCCGGGCGCAGTGGCTCATGCCTGTAATCCCAGTACTTTGAGAGGACGAGGCTGTCAGATCACCTAAGGTCAGGAGTTCGAGACCAGCCTGGCCAACATGGTGAAACCGTGTCTCTACAAAAAAACAGAAAAAAATATCCCTGCGTGGTGGTGAGTACCTGTAGTCCCAGTTACTCAGGAGGCTGAGGCATGAGAATCGCTTAAACCTCGGAGGCGGAGGCTGCAGTGAGCTGAGATGGCGCCACTGCACTCCAGCCTGGGTGACAGAGCAAGACTTTGTCTCTAAATAATTAAATAAATAAATACGGCCGAGCATGTGCCTTAGGCCTGTAATCCCAACACTTTGGGAGGCTGAGGCAGGTGGTTCATGAGGTCAGGAGCCCGAGACGAGCCTGGCCAAGATGGTGAAACACTGTCTCTACTAAAAATACAAAAATTAGCCAGCTGTGGTGGCAGGCACCTGTAATCCCAGCTACTTGGGACACTGAGGCAGGAGAATCGCTTGAACCTGGAAGGCAGAGGGTGCAGTGAGCCAAGATTACACCACTGCACTCTAGCCTGGGCGATGGAGCAAGACTCCATCTCAAATAAATAAATTAATAAATACAGAGCAAGATTCCATCTCAAATAAATAAATGTACACCTGTAATCCTAGCACTTTGGGAGGCTAAGACAGGTCGATCACCTGAGGTCAGGAGTTCGAGACCAGCCTGACCAATATGGCAAAACTCCATCTCTACTAAAAATACAAAAATTAGCCGGGCGTTTTGACGTTTGCCTGTAGTCCCAGCTACTCGGGAGCCTGAGGCGGGAGAATCACTTGAACCTGGGAGGCGGAGGTTGCAGTGAGCCAAGATGGGGTGACTGCAGTCTAGCCTGGACAACAGAGAAACTCCGGCTCAAAAGAAAAATATAACTTCATAAAAACGAAGTAGGAAGAAACAGAAAACCTTGTCTAGATCTAGAACCATTAAAGGAATTGAATGTTTATTTTAAAATCTGTATCCCATCCAGTCAAAAATCTCACAAAAAACAAAACCAAAGAAAAGCACCTGGCCCAGATGATTTTATAGATAAGTTCAGCAAACATTAAGAAGAACAGAAAGTCTTTATCTTCTACAGAATTTTTTTAAAATAATTTATTTATTTATTTATTTTTGAGAGGAAGTCTCGCTCTGTAGCCCAGACTGGAGTGCAGTGGCATGATCTCTGCTCACCGCAAACTCCGCCTCCCAGGTTCAAGCGGTTCTCCTCCCTCAGCCTCCACAGTAGCTAGGATTACAGGTGTGCCTGGCTAATCTTTTGTATTTTTAGTAGAGACGGGGTTTCACCATGTTAGCCAGGGTGTTCTCGGACACCTGACCTCAGGTAATCCACCTGCCTCGGCCTCCCAATGTGCTAGGATTACAAGCACGACCCACAGTGCGCGGCCTACATAATTTTTTTTTTTTTTTTTGAGACGGAGTCTCGCTCTGTCGTCCAGGCTGGAGTGCAGTGGCGCGATCTCGGCTCACTGCAAGCTCCGCCTCCCGAGTTCAGGCCATTCTGCTGCCTCAGCCTCCCGAGTAGCTGAGACTACAGGCGCCCGCCACCACACCTGGCTAATTTTTTGTATTTTCAGTAGAGACGGGGTTTCACCGTGTTAGCCAGGGTGGTCTCGACCCCTGTCCTCGTGATTCGCCCGCCTTGGCCTCCCAAAGTGCTGGGATTACAGACATAAGCCACCACACACGACCCCGGCCTACATAACCTTACAGAAAAAGAAGCAAATGGAATTCTCCCCAACTCATTGTGAATTTAATATAAGCTTAAAACCAAACCAGACATAAATAGTACAAGCAGGCAAAAGTATAGACTAACTTCTTATGGACATATATGCAAAAATGCTAAATAAAATATTAGCAAATAATCCAGCAATGGATTAAACATGTATCATGACCAAGTTGGGGTTTTCCTAGGAAACTAAGATGATGTAATAAAAGAAAAAACTATTAAAGTAGTACAAACTATCAAAGGAAAAAACCTGTATGATCATTGCAACGGGTTCATTTGCGACATAATATAATTTTTTTCTTTTTTTTTAAGTCTTTTTGGCTGTAAGTTTATTCAATGCAAAATAATCTTCTCCAATTTTACTGAGGTGGCTGACGGCGTCCACGACCAAATCTGCCTCTAAACTGGAATTCGGTTGCTGACCCAGCCGCAGCCTCGGCTTTCTTGTTGGCACCAGGGGGCATAGCATTCCCTCTGTAGGTATCTCTGTCGGCTTCCCCTCTCGTTGAGTCTTGCAGGTCGCTCACCCTCCAGACCTTTAGACTGAGGCCTGCCAGTCCATGGACGGCTGCGGCGTAGGGTGGCAGGCACAATCTCCAGGGGCAGATGAAGGTAATCACGGAGATACTGGATATCCTCATTGGTAAGGTACCAGCAGACATGACTCCAGGCAAACTGTTCCTTCATGTAGTAGCCTCGGGACTTGAAAGACTGCATGGCCTTCATGACATGAAGGTTGGGCACATTCTTCCTTTTTTTTTTTTTTTTTTTGAGACGAGTCTCACTCTGTCGCCCAGGCTGGAGTGCAGGGCCATGATCTCGTCTCACTGCAACCTCCGCCCCCTGGGTTCAAGCGATTCTCCTGCCTCAGCCTCCTGACTAGCTGGGGTTACAGGGAACAGTGTTTTCTTTTGTCAAAAGAGCCTCTTAAGCCATTGATAATATTTCCCAAGCTTGTAACAGATACAAGCCTTTAAAGAATGACATTTGCAGTCACCCAGTAGGACATATCTTGAGATGAAATCAGAGTTGTGGGCTTTGCAGACAACAGCAGTCATTTCTGGTGGCTTCCGGGAGTGGAGGGGGACTGCAGCTTTGGCAATGTAGGTGATACCAAAAGGACTATAGTAATTTTTTCTTAGTAATTAAAAACTAGGCTGGGCGCGGTGGCTCATGCCTGTAATCCTGGCACTTTGGGAGGCCAGGGTGGGTGGATCACCTGAAGTCAGGAGTTTGAGACCAGCCTGACCGACATGGTAAAATCCTGTCTCTACTAAAAATACAAAAATTAGCTGGGCATATTGGCGCGTGCCTGTAATCCCAGCTACTGAGGTGGGTGAGGCAGGAGAATTGCTTGAACCCGGGAGGCAGAGGTTGCAGTGAGCCAAGATCGTGCCACTGTACTCCATCCTGGGTGACAGAGCAAGACTCCATCTCAAAAAAACAAAACAAAAACCAGACATAACAAGGTCGAGCTCAGTGGCTCCCGCCTGTAATCTCAGTAGTTTGGGAGGCCGAGAAGGGCAGATCACCTGAGGTCAGGAGTTCAATAACAACATGGTGAAACCCGGTCTCTACAAAAAATATAAAAATTAGCCAGGCATGGTGGCACACGCTTGTGATCCCAGAGGCTCGGGAGGCCAAGGCAGGAGAATCACTTAGGAGGCGGAGGGTGCAGTGAACTGAGGTCTTGCCACTGCACTCCAGCCTGGGCGACAGAATGAGACTCCGTCTCAAAAAAGAAAAAAAAATCCCCAGCCATAACAATATACATGTATGTTATACAATAACCAAACCAATATAGAAGGGTATATAGTGAAAGGAGAAGTATTGTTGTGGGTAAAATTGTTTCTATGAATAAATGGCTGATCCAGTATTTTTTTCCTCCAAAAAAACACCTTTTCCCCTTTGATTTAGTGTATACCACACAGAGTCGCTTAGCCGATTCAGTGACTTTTTTGATAGCTGGAGAATGCTTCCTAATGGTTGCAGGTGTGTAGGGGTTTTCTTGACATTTTCAGTAAGAAAGTGAATGTTGTGCCATAGGAAAGCTTTATCACAGGTGCACGTTGGTAGCCAACCAAATAACGTGAGTGTCAAGTACAGTATCTAGTGAGTGGAGAATAACTGTAATAATTACAATTACAGTTGTAGTTAAAGTGAAGTTTGTATCAAAATTTCTGTTTCAAAGGTGAACTTTTAGGGGGTGTATCTGCAGTGTTTCCTCCTCAGATGTGATTTCTCTGAAGCAGTGGTTCTCTATAACTGACTTGACACACAGTGCATCTGATATTTCGAATGACTTAAGTGATAGTATCAAAATTACTATCATATACATATTTAAATCACATGACTAACTTGTGTGTGGTATTATGCAAACTGCTCAGCTCAGTAAGGGAACAGAAATAAGAAAAAAAAAGGACAATATTGGGAGTCTTTTATACAATTAAATTTGTTCGATTAAAGGACTATCCTTTCTAAAAAAAAAAAAAAAAAGTCCTGCTTTCTTGGTGTTAAAATAAAGCATCTTTTATGAAATGATGGTGATAGTAAATGGTGATATACAGTAAATGTAAATAATAGCAAATACAAGGTTAGTTATCTTATTGTGATTTGTAAAAATAAAGAGAGCCGAGAATCTCGTTTTGCTGCTATTGTTTGGGAGTTCAGGAAAAAGTTCCTGGGGCTTTTGTTGTTAAGAAGATTCAAATACAAATTATTTCTTAAGAGTAAATATGAGTTTATTTTGAGGTCATTTGTCACAGTCTACTGAGAAATCCACTGAGAAAGCTTTTAAGTTTGCCTGGTATTAAAGATGTTCCTATTCTGATCATTGTTAAATAGATCTTTTCTTATTAGATATAAAATGTCAGGAGATATTTTATTTTGAGACAGAGTTTCGCTCTTGTTGCCCAGGCTGGAGTCTAATGGCATGATCTCGGCTCACCGCAACCTCTGCCTCCCAGGTTCAAGCGATTCTCCTGCCTCAGCCTCCCAGGTAGCTGGATTACAGGCATGTGCCACCACTCCTGGCTAATTCTGTATTTTTAGTAGAGACAGTGTTTCTCCATGTTGGTCAGGATGGTCTGGAACTCCCGACCTCAGATGATCCGCCCGCCTCAACCCCCAAAGTGCTGGGATTACAGGCACAAACCCCCTCACTCGGCCCCAGGAGATTTTTTTGTGTTGTGCCAACAAAATAAGCCTAGGCAGGGAAATTCCTTCTGGTGGTTGGAATTGTTAGTACTGAATAGACTAGCTGCGAGGTAAAAACCCCCATGGGGTTTTCTGTCAGCTCAGATATCATTGTGACCCCAGTCTTTTGCTGTGAAATAACATGACCATTAAGAAAGTAGCCTTAAACAACGTATTTTGGGTATGTTGAGGAGGAGGGACAATTATGATCTGTTCCAAAGTGAACATAACAGATGATCCCTGTGTCTGTGAAGCCTTTAAAATTTATAGTGCTCTTCTTCTGTTAATTTCAAGTAAGATTTAGTTATTGTGACATACTCTTTAAAAACCTGCGGTGTATCAAAAGGCTCATTTTTAAAGCATCTTGAAAGGAAATTAATAATGTAATATCTACTTCAGAATAGTAGTTTTTACATTCTGAAGAGTGACTGACTGCTCTCAGCCACTTCTGAATTCTCAATTTTCAAAGGATAATTTGGTAACTCCATAAAGAAAATCCGTAAATAAGAGAGTGAATATCTTCTTTTTGTTTGTTTGTTTTTGAGATGGAGTCTCCCTCTGTCGCCCAGGCTGGATTCCAGTGGCCTGATCTCGGCTCACCGCAAGCTCCGCCTACCGGGTTCACGCCATTCTCCTGCCTCAGCCTCTGGAGTAGTTGGGACTACAGGCGCCCGCCACCACACCCTGCTAATTTTTTGTATTTTTAGTAGAGACGGGGTTTGACCGTGTTAGCCAGGATGGTCTCGATCTCCTGACCTCGTGATCAGCCCGCCTCGGCCTACCAAAGTGCCGGGATTTAAGGCGTGAGCCACAGCGCCCGGCCCCGAGAGTGAATATCTTTTAACAGTGTTTTTCCTGATCTTTTCCAACATCTTCATTGTGGTTCTGTCCTTTATTTTTTGGTTAAATCCAGAGGTTTACTTCTGCCTGTATCTTTCCAAACTATTAATCTGTTCACAATCACTCTCCCATTTAAACCCTTCAGCAACCCCAGTACCTTCGTAATAAGGTCTCCTTAGCTTGGTATCCAGAACACTTCAATACTGGGCTTTGACCCCTGTTCTCCTTCCCCCACCTCTGTTTAGGTGCTTCACTGAGCTGCACCGAACAGCTCTTGGCCCCTTGAAATCTCTGCAGTCTCCTTGTCTCCCTCTGCTGGAATATTCTTCTCTCACTTCATCTGATCATTGCCTTCAAAACTCAGCTCATTTTCTTATTTCCTTGCCCTTTCCATGTCCCTTGTTTTCCTCTGATTAAATTAATGTTCCAAACTCAAAAGAAAAACAACTCAGCTCAGGCATCACCTTTCCTGGAAGGCTTCCCTAGTCCTCCTGCCTCCCGCAGACTTGTCTGGCACCCTGTGCATTTGGGATTTGGCACACTATGTCTCGTCTGCGGCCTCCACTGGACGATGAGACCGTAAGTGTGTGGCTTGACGGAAAGTTGTTGACTCTGCTGGGGTGCTGGTACAGTGCTGGGCACGGCAGTGTTACAGAGGAAGTGAGCCACTTAGTTTCTGCCCTTAGGAGCTTTTCTTCTAGTTGCAGTTGACCCTGCCAGCTGTGAGACACCTCCCAGTAGTGCGTACCAACTTTCAAAGTCTGTTTAATTGTATCTTAGTGTCTGATTCCAATTTTATTTCTTGAAGGAGGGGAGTGTCTCTAATGTCTTATTTTGGCACCCAGAGACCAGGTAGGCATCATTTTTGTCCCAAATTGTGGAAGGAATGTACATTTGGCACAGATTACTTCCCTTTTTTCTCTTGTACACCTTTCACCTTTTTTGTTTTTGTCTTTTTTTTTTTTTTTTTGAGTTTGATGTGTTTGGACAGTAAGGGTTTACGAGATTAAGATTAAATTTCAACTTTGTCTATTGTGCATATAGCCTAAGGAAAACAAAAAGTTAAAGAGGAAAAATACATTGCCTCTAAGAAGAAGACTCATTATTCAACTTTTTTTATTTTTAATTGTTTTCAGAGACTGGGTCTCACCCTATCACCCAGGCTGGAGAGGTGATCACAGCTCACCGTAGCCTTGAACTCCTGGGTTCAAGGGTTCCTCTTGCCTTAGTCTTCTCACTAGCTGAGACTGCAGGCCCGCACCAGCACACCTGGCTAATTTTACAAAAATTGTTTTTGAGAGACGTGGTCTTGCCATCTTGCCTAGGCTGGTGTGGACCTCCTGGGTTCAAGCAAACCTCCCACCTTGGCCACCCTAAGTGTTGGGATTACAGGCATGACCCATTGTGCCCAGCCTAAACTTTTTTTTTTTTTTTTTAATGCTGAGCTGTACACAGAAGAAAGTAAAGGTATTGGTCAATCCTAGGAAAGAAGTATGCAAAGAAACTGGTGGCAGGCTGGATATGGGCATATTTCAGGGCTTTGGAAGGTGAAGAGGAGAGGATTGCTTGAGGCTGAGAGTTCGAGACCAGCCTGGGCAACATAACGAGACCCTGTCTGTACAGATAAACATTTTATAATTAGCCAGGTGTATGTACCCTAGAACTTAAAGTATAATAAAATAAAATAAAATAAAATTCACCAGGTGTGGTGGTGCACAACTGTAGTCTCTGCTACTCGAGAGGCTGAGGCAGGGGGATCTCCTGAGTCCAGGTGTTTGAGGCTGCAGTGAGCCAGGATCACACCACTGTTCTCCAGCCTGGGCTACAAAGCGAGACTCTGTCTCTAAAGAAAAACATACTGGTGGCATTGTCAAGATTTGTCAAGAAATAGCCATTATGCTGGGCCCAGTGGTGTGCACCTGTAGTGCCAGCTTTTCAGGAGGCTGAAGTGGGAGAATCTCTTGAGCCTAGGAGTTTGAGTTCAGCTTGGGCAGCATTGCAAGAGCCCAGTCTCAAAAATATTAGGTCAATAAGATTTATTTTAATTAAACAAGAAAAAGAAATATCTGCTAAAATTTAAAGCTATTCTATTCTTCCTCTCTCTCTTCTAGTGTTCTTGGGGAAGATCCCGACTAAGCCATTTTCCAGTGGCACCTCTTCCACCATGAGTTCCTGAGGCAGTCCGATGGGGCTACTTTATTCCAGAACAATCACAGTGAGACCTCTTCTCCCGATAAATGCCCCTTTTCTCTCCTTAATATATTATCTTGCTTACAAAACACTGGTGTCTCCTTATCATTGTTTGGTTCTATCCCACTGGGACCAAGAATTCTTGCCCAGGAGCAACTGAATTTTCTTCTTGCTTGCTTTTTAAAACTTTGGTGGGGTAGAGCCAATTTTAAATCTTCTGATCCATTTTTTCATTGTTTTTCTCGCCCTTCTGCATTTTCTGCAAATTCCGTTGAATCATTGCAGTTACTTAGGTTTGCTTCGTCTCCCCCATTACAAACTACTTGCTGGAGTTTTCAACCCTAGTTCCCTCATTTTTATGATTTATGCTCATTTCTTTGTACACATCATCTTGCTCCATCTCCCAACTCATGGCCTCTGGCCCTGGATTATTGTTTTAGTCTTTTATTTTTTTGTCTTCTTCTACCTCAACACTTATCTTCCTCTCCCAGTCTCCTGTACCCTATCACCAAGGTTGTCATTAACCTTTCATATTATTCCTCATTATCCATGTATTCATTTGCAAATAAGCGTATATTAACAAAATCACAGGTTTATGGAGATATAATTCACATACCTTAAAATTCAGGCTTTTAAAGTGTACCTTTCATGTGGTTTTTGGTATATTCACAAAGTTATGCATTGATCACCACCATCTGATTCCATAACATGTTCAATACCTCAGAAAGAAGTCTGTACTCATTAGTAGTCATTTCACATTCACCACTCCCTCTGGCTCTGGGCAGTCACTGATCTTTGTGTCTCTATGGATTTGCCTAGTCTAGGTATTTTTATGTAAATGGAATCATACAACATGTGACCTTTTGTTTGGCTTTTTTCATTTAGCAAAATGTTATCAAGGTCTATCCCTGTTGTAGCATGTATTAGCACTTCATTTCTTATATGCTGAATGATATACTTTATTTGTCCATCAGTTGTTCATGCTTTATTTGTCCATCAGTTGATGAACATTTGCGTTTTTGCCACTTTGGGCTATTATGAATAATGCTACTGTGAACAAGTGTGTACAAGTTCCTCTGCAAATTTTTGTGTGGACATATCCTTTCAGTTCTCTCAGGTGTATATCTGGGAGTTGAATTGCTGGGTCATGTAGTAGCTATGTTAAACATTTTGAGAAACTGCTATAATGTTCTCCAGAGCTGTACCATTTTAAATTCTGTGTATGAGGATTCCACGTTCTCCACTTCCTCACCAGTGTATGGATTTGGGGGTATACTTTTTAAAAAGTGGGATTAGGCTGGGCACAGTGGCTCACACCTGTAATCCCAACACTTCAGGAAGCTGAGGTGGGAGGATCACTTGAGCCTAGTAGTTTGAGACCAGCCTGGGCAACATAGGGAGACCCTGTCTCTACAAAAAATAATTTAAAATAAATTAGCTGGGCGTTGTGGCACACACCTGTAGTCCCAGCTACATGGGAGGCTGAGGCAGAAGGATTCCCTGAGCCCAGAAGTTTGAGGTTGCAGTGAGCCATGATGGCAGCACTATACTGTAGCCTGGGTGTCAGAGCAAGACTCCGTTTCAGGGAAGAAAAAAAAAGTGGGATGATATTTTTGACACTTTTCTTCTTGTTTTCTTAATTTCATACTTCTGGAAATTCCATTAAATTAGCTGGTACCACTCTAACTCATTGTGTTTCATGGCTGCATAGTAATATTGCATAATATAAATATACCATTCATTCATCAAAGTTAGCAGATATTGACTGTTAGGTGCCAGGCACTGCTCTAAGCGTTGAAGAAAAACACACAAAAACTTTAGCATTCTTAGAGTTTATTTTCCAATGGAGGGGGTGGAGGGAGGTAAGAATTTAGGAAATAAATTAATTACATATATAGCATAAGGTTTCACCAGTGAGTGCAGCTTGAATCGTTGGCGGCTTTCTTAGTAGTATAAATACAGTACTAAAGATGAAATTACTCTAAATGGTGTTACTTAAATTACTGTAATAGGTATTACTATTAGTCACTTTGCAGGTGAAAGTGGAAACACCATCGTAAAATGTAAAATAGGAAACAGCTGGTTAATGTGGCTCTGGAGTTTTTCTAGGACATAAACTGATGAGCTAGAAAAGTAAATGTGTCAGTCCTTGGTAGCAAAGTTTGTACGTTTATAAATTTTATCCAAATCCTCTTAATCTAGTAATTAATAGACACTCTTCACAAAAGGATGAGGGAGGTATATGTGTATGTGTTGAAAGGTTCCGAAGGATGCAACCGAGAGTACTTTGGGGGACGTGGCAAAACTTCCAGGCCCATTCAAGAGTCTTGTTTTCTCCCTGAGCTTTTATGTATTTATTATATTGCCCTATTAATTATTGAGATTGTGCCTTACAGTAAAAGCTGCTTTAAATTGTTGACGCTATAATTTAAAATAATCTGGGTCACCTAGAGTGGTTAAGCCTGGAAGAAAAGGATGTCCTTCCTGCCAGGGCAGATTGTATGTAGATATGCAACCTGGTTGCGCCTGTGCTGACCTCTACTCTGTTGGGCCTGGAAGTATGCAGTTCAACGTTTCTCTTCTGATGTTTTTTTGGGGGGGGGGTTTTGTTTTTTTTTTTGTTTGTTTTTTGAGACGGAGTCTCACTCTGTCACCCAGGCTGGAGTGCAGTGGCATGATCAGGGCTCACTGCAACCTCCGCCCATCCAGGTTTAAGCAATTGTCTGCCTCAGCCTCTGGAGTAGCTGGGATTATAGGCGCATGCCACCACATCTGGCTAATTTTTTGTATTTTTAGTAGAGACGGGGTTTCACCATCTTGGCCAGGCTGGTCTTGCACTCCTGACCTCATGATCCACCCACCTCAGCCTCTGGAGCAGCTGGGATTATAGGCGCATGCCACCACGTCTGGCTAATTTTTTGTATTTTTAGTAGAGACGGGGTTTCATCATCTTGGCCGGGCTGGTCTTGCATACCTGACCTCATGATCCACCTGCCTCAGCCTCCCAAAGTGCTAGGATTATAGGCGTGAGCCACTGTGCCCAGCTTTTGTTCTGATTTTTTTAAAAAATTTGACTTTGTTTACTTTTTATTTTATTTTTATTTAGAGACAGAGTCTCACTATTTTGCACAGGCTGGTCTCGAATTCCCAGGCTCAAGTGATCCTCTTCCCTCGGCCTCCCAAATGCTGGGATTACAGGCATGAGCCACTGCACCTGGCCTTAACTTTGAAATGAAGTTAGAAATGTACATTTTATTATTATTATTAATTATTATTATTATTATTATTATTATTATTATTTTAGAAACAGGTCTTGCTCTGTTGCCCAGGCTGGAGGGCAACAATGGTGCAATCACAGCTCACTGCAGCCTCCACCTCCTGGGCTCAAGTGATTTTCCTGCCTCAGCATCCTGAGTAGTTGGGACTACAGGTACTCATCACCACAGCTAATTTTTATTTTTGTAGAGACAGCGTCTCACTATGTTGCCTAAGCTGATCTCACACTCCTGGGCTTGAGTGATTCTCCTGCCTCGGTCTCCTAAAGTGCTAGGATTATATGTGTAAGCCACTGTGCCCAGCCTAGAAATGCACATTTTAGACACACATTTACTCAACTTTCCTATTGCCTGCCCAGGACTATCCAACTGTATTTTTGTGCCTCAGAGTCCTTTCACATGTTCTGCTTTTACTGGGAACTCATAGGCAGTAAGATCAAATGCTGACCTTTGAGGCATCTACGCACTTCCAAAATCTGCTTCCTCTCTCATTTGCGACTTTATTTATTTATTTTTTGAGATGGAGTCTCACTCTGTTGCCCAGGCTGGAGTTCAGTGGCACGATCTTGGCTCACTGCAGCTCTGCCTCCTAGGTTCAAGTGATTCACCTGCCTCAGCCTCCTGAGTAGCTGGGATCACAGGCAAGCACCACCACACCCAGCTAATTTTTATATTTTTGGTAGAGATGGGGGTTTCACCATGTTGACCAGGCTGGTTTCAAACTCCTGACCTTGGCCTCCCAAAGTGCTGGGATTACAGGTGAGAGCCACCATGCCCGTCCTCATTTGCCACTTTAAATTGGAGGAGATGAAAAAATTATGTATCCTCAAAAGCTCAGGGTTTCCTATTTGGGACTTCAGTTACAGAGATTCATTTTTTTGTTTCCAAGCTGGGTGTAGTGGCTCACACCTGTAATCCCAGCACTTTGGGAGGCCAAGGAGGGAGGATTGCTTGAGCCCAGGAGTTCAAGACCATCCTGGGCAACATAGTGAGGCCTCATCTGTACTAAAAATAATAAAAAAAAAAATTAGGCATGGTGGCACTCGCCTGTGATCCCAGCTACTCAGGAGGCTGAGGTGGGAGGATCCCTTGAGTCTAGGAGATTGAGGCTGCAATGAGTTGTGATTGCACCACTGCACTCCAACCTGGGTGACAGAGTGAGACCCCGTTTGAAAACAAGCAAGCAAACAAAACTATTTGTTTCCAAATGGCACGCAAGGAAGATAGTAATCTCTGAGTGTTAAGCCAGCAGATTTTGCCACTTCATTTTGTGTGCTAACTCAAGAAATCAGGACACCTGATGAGTTGAGGTGTTCAAGGTAAAGCTCTGCTATGCCCCCTCCTTCATAGGCTGTTCTGCTTGGGCCTCCCAGTAATGGAGGACTACCTCTTTTCTTGCTAGAGTCTCTACAGTTTTCTTTTCTTTTTTTTTTTTTAATTTTTTTTTTTTTTGGATCTTACCCTGTCGTCCAGGCTGTGGCACGATCTCGGCTCAGTGCAACCTCCGCCTCCTGGTTTCAAGTGATTTTCATGCCTCAGCCTTCCAAGTAGCTGAGATTACAGGCGTGTGCCACCACGCCTGGCTAATTTTTTGTATTTTTAGTAGAGACGGGGTTTCACCATGTTGGTCAGGCTGGTCTTGAACTTCTGACCTCAAGTTATCTCCCTGCCTCAGCCTCCCAAAGTGCTGGGATTACAGGTGTGAGCCACCATGCCCAGGTGAATGGAATAGTTTTTCATTCACCACAGTTTGTGACTGTCTCTACATTGTGAAGTGACAAGTTCTCTTCTCTTTTCCTTCTGCCCCTCATCACCTTTTTCTTCCTCATTTCTTTTTTGAATTTTGCTGTCTTGAATTGATGTCTAAAGGATGACATAGCAGACAAGGGGCCTGACACATGAACTCTCATGAGTTACTGAGGAGTTTCTCAGTGCTCTGTCTGCATCATCTGCTCGCTCTCTCCTTCCTAGGTGCTAGCCTGCCAACCTGCTTTGAGAAATTGGAAATGAATCGGGGGGTAATCAGCCTCCCCTTGTACATGTAGGGACCGCATCTCCAATGCCTTGCTTTACACAATAACGAATGGTGTTTTGCTTACCTACTTCCACACAAACTGCTGATATGGTTAGGATTTGGGAAAGGGGAAGAAGGGAATTTTGGGTTTTGAGGAGTAGCTGGGGCTTGAACAAAGAAGAGGTAGTAATGAACATTCCTGGGGTGAGGCAATTAGTTAGCTGAGGGAGAAGAAGGCATATAATAAATTAGGGATTGACAGACTGTCTGTAAAGGGCCAGACAGTAAATGTTTTAGTCATTGAAGACCTTAAGGTCTCTGTTGCATCTAATCAACTCCATCATTGTAGTGCAAAAGTAACCACAGCCACTACAGATGTGAATGAATGTGACTATGTTTCAATAACATTTTCTTTTTTTCTTTCTTTTTTTTTGAGACAGTGTCACTCTGTTGCTCAGGCTGGAGGGCAGCAGCCTGATCATAGCTTATTGCAGCCCTGACTTCCCAGGCTCAAGTGATCCTCCCACCTCAGCCTTCCAGGTAGCTGGGACTACAGACACACGCCACCACGCCCCACTAATTTTTGTATTTTTTGTAGAGGCGGTGTTTCACCATGTTGGCCAGGCTGGTCTTGAACTCCTGAACTTCTGGGCTCATGCTATCCACCCTCTTCGGCCACTGAAAGTGTTGGGATTGCAGGCATGAGCCAGTGTCCAGCCCAAAATAGTCTTTTGATTTTTTTTCCCCAACCATTTAAAAGTTCAAAACATTCTTAGTTTTTGGGCCGAAAAAAAACAAGTGATGGGTCAGATTTAGCCCTGGATTGTGGTTTGTTGACCCCTGTCATAGAGGAACAGGAAGCAGAGAGGACTGGTTATAGGGCCTGGGAAACCAAGCCAGGGAGTTAGACTTAAGGTAGTGTGAAAGAGGAAACCATTTTTGTAATGTAATGAAAAATTTAAAGGAAGGATATTTTGTATTTATATGTGTTCCTGGAAAATCTCAGTTTTTATTCAAACATTTTCACTATGGAAAATTTCAAACATTTACAAAGTAGAGAGAAAAATGTAATGAAATACCAAGTGATGTATTTATCACCTACCTTCAACAATTACCAGTCCTAGGTCCTTTGCATTTCTGTTTTAGAATCAACTTGTCACATTCTACAAAAAAGCTGGCTGGAATTTCTGTCGGGATTGTTTTGAGTCTGCAGATAATTTCAGGGGAAGAATTGACTTCTTAATAAAATTGAATTTTCCAAACCATGACTATGTTATATTTCTCAATTTATTTAGTTTTTCTTTAATTTTTCTCAACAATATTTTGTAGTTTTGTGTACAAATCTTTCCAGTTTTTTGAAGGGATGTGGTCAGATTTACTCCTATTTCATATATTTTGATACTGTGAATTTCAGCTTCCAGTTATTCATTGCTAATATATAAAAATACACTTGGTTTTTGTATATTAATCTTGTATCCTGAGACCTTAATGTAATTTGTTTTCAAAGCTTTTTTGTGGATTCCATTGGCTATTCTGTCAATGTTGTCTGTGAATAAAGACAGTTGTACTTTTTTCTTCCCACTCTGAATGCCTTTTATTTATTTTTGCTTCCTTTACTGCACTGGCTAGAACTTCTAAGTACATAATGAATAGAAGTGTAACTGCCCAATGAGTTCACCTTGCCCATTGCCTAGACAGAGCCGATTCACCAAGACGGGAATTGTAATAGAGAAAGAGTAATTCAGGCAGAGCCTGCTGGGTGGGAGACCGGAGTTTTATTATTGCTCAAATCAGTCTCCCTGAGCATTTGAGGAGCAGAGTTTTTAAGGACAGCTTGGTGGGTGGGGGGAAGCCAGTGGGCCAGGAGTGCTGATTGGTCAGGGGTGAAATCAAAAGGAGTTGAAGCTTTCTTCTTGAGCTGAGTCCGTTCCTGGGTGGGGGCCACAAGGTCAGATGAGCCAGTTTATTGATCTGGATGGTGCCAGCTGATCCATCAAGTGCAGGGTCTGCAAAATTTCTCAAGCACTGATCTCAAGAGCAGTTTAGGGAGGGTCAGAATCTTTAGCCTTCAGCTGCATGACTCCTAAACCATAATTTCTAATCTTGTGTCTAATGTGAGTCCTACGAAGGCAGTCTGGTGCCCAGGCAAGAAGGAGGTCTGCTTTGGGAAAGGGCTGTTACCGTCTTTGTTTTAAACTATAAACTATAAACTAAGTTTCTCCCAAAGGTAGTTCAGTCTACACCCAGGAATGAGCAAGGACAACTTGGAGGTTAGAAGCAAGATGGAGTCAGTTAAGTTAGATCTCTCACTGTCTCAGTCATAATTTTGCAAAGGCAGTTTCAGTCGTGGTAGAAGTGGATTTCCTTGTCTCATTTTTGATCCTATGGGGAAAATGTTCAGTCTTATGTCATTAAGTATGATATTAGCTACAGATATTTCATATATGCTGTTTATCAAGTTTAGTAGGTTCTCCTCTATGTGGAGTTTTGTATTTTTTAAATAAGGAATGAATGTTGGGTTTTGTTTAGTGTTTTTCTGTGTGTATTGAGATGATCATATGGCTTTTCTGTTTTAGTTTACAATGTTGGTGAGTTACATTGACTTTTGCATTTTTTTTTTTTTTAAGATGGAGTCTCACTCTGTCACCCAGGCTGGAGTGCAGTGGCGCAATCCTGGCTCACTGCAACCTTCGCCTCCTGGGTTCAAGCAATTCTGCTGCCTCAGCCTCCCAAGTAGCCAGGATTACAAGTGTGCACCACCACACCCGGCTAAATTTTGTATTTTTAGTAGAGGTGGGGTTTCGCCATGTTGGCCAGGCTGGTCTCAAACTCCTGACCTCAAGTGATGCACCCATCTCAGCCTCCCAAAGTGCTGGGATTACAGGCATGAGTCACTGTGCCCGGCTGATTTTTGAATGCTAAACCAACCTTGCATTTGTGGGATAAACCCTACTTGGTTATGATGTATTATCCTTTTTTTCTAGATTGTTAGACTCAATTTGCTAAAATTTTGTTTGTAATTTTTACATTTATTTTCACAAGAGATATGGGTCTGTAGTTTTGTTTTATCATAGTGTCTTTGTCAGATTTTGGCATCAAAGTAAATGCTGGCTTCATAGAATGAGTTGGGAAATCTCTGTTTTCTGGAAGAGTTTGTAAAGAATTTGTTTTATTTCTTCTTTAGTGGAATTCCTGAGTGAATCCATCTATGCCTGGAGTTTTCTTTGTAGAAAGGTTTTTAACTACAAATCCAATTTCTTCAATAAATATAGAGCTATTCAAGTTACCACTTTTCGATGAGCTTCAGTAGTTTGTACTTCAAGAAATTCATTTATTTTATCTAAGTTCTTGAATTTACTGGCATAAAGTGGTTCCTAATAGTCCCTTATTATCCTCTCATAGCTGTAGAATCTGTAGTGTTGTCACCCCTTCCATTCCAGGCCAGTGGGGTGACTCATGCAGAGTAGAGGGAGTTGATGAGAAGAGAAAGGGAGAGACACATAGTTGCCAGTATTTTTCAGCAGTAATTCATGCTATTCACATCATACCTTTGATTTTCGTCTGTTTTTCAAGTAACAGGCTGAGGCAGAAGAATCACTTGAACCCTGTAGGTGGAGGTTGCAGTGAACTGAGATCATGCTATTGCACTCCAGCCTGGGCTACAGAGCAAGACACCATCTCCAAAAACATGAAAATTACAAATAAGTAAATGTGAATTTCAGATAAATAGCGATGACTCTTTTGGTCTAAGTATACCCTAAATGTTGTCTGGATAAAAGACACTTAGGTGAGTGCTGTGGCCAGGAAGGCAAGAGGGATGGGGGACCAACCAACTAGAGACAAGGGAAGGTATCACTAAGGACACGGCAGTGGAACTGAGTCCTGAAGGGACCCACGAGCAATTATTTCTCAGGGAAGAAAATGGTAAGGGGTTTTCAGGGGTAGGAACAGTAGGAGCCAAAGTGTGGGTATGTGAGAGTGTGTGACTATGTGTGCACGTAAAATGGAAATGAGATGGAGGGATGGGTTGGAACCTGGATTCGAAGAAGCAGGTATCGGCCCTGGGGTATTTGGCCTGGGACAGTGAGGCATTATTTTACAGGAGAGTGGCCTGGTGGGATGTGTGCTTTAGAGTGTGGACACACAGCTGTGGCACAGAAGGATTGCTGGCAGGGGAGGGCGACAGGAGGCTGCCAGAGTTGTCCAGCTGGACTTCTTCCCTGACACAGACAGGCTGGCATAGGATTGGTGTGGTAGTGGGGATGGGAAGGAGGGAATGCCGCGAGGTCAGGAACTTCCTCCAGTCGCCAAGAGGCGTCTTGACCGTTTAAAAATGTCTCTGAAGATTTAGCACACCAAGGCCCCCTATAGTCCCAGGGTATAGGCCACCCTTGAGATTAGAAAGAAACCCCTGGGAGCTGTGGTGGGGTGGGTGTGGCTGTTGGAGGTGTCCCTATTCAGACTCCTGCTCTACCATTTGCTTTGGGATCACCTTTTACAGTGGATCTGATATTATAATACCCACTTCTTATGATGAAAAGGAACTGAATGAGTGTGGAATCCCTAGGACCCCGCTGGAATATAATGGGCCCTCGGGGTTTAGTTTCTTTCCTTCTTGCCGGTGAGGTTTGAGAGGGACTGGAGAACAGTGGATTTCGACCATCCATTTGGGGTTGTCAGTCTGTGCCAGGCCAGCTGGAGACTACAAAAAGGAGGTACAGGTAAGCAATGAGGCCCTGTGGTTCATTCTCAGATTTCATTCCAGGAGATCAGAGAGAGCCTTTTCTGGAACTGTATCCTTTCTTGGGAAATATGGGTGGAAATCCAAGGGCCCTGTGCATAGATTTTCCCTTCTCTTTCAGCTTTGCCAGCTGCCAGAACTGTGGCTTTCTCAGCAGATTGTCTGTACACATGAGACCTTTTTTACGGAATGGTTTACAGAAAGACAAACCCTTCCTTCCAAGTTTAACCAGTCCCCTTATACCAAGGTTTCCCAACCTTGGCTGTATTGATATTTTAGGCTGTATAATTCTTTGTCGTGGGGGGCTGTCCAGTGTGTTGTAGGGAGTTTACTAGGATTCCTGGCCTCTTACACACTCACTGTCTGTAGCACCTTGCCTCCCACCCAGTTGTGACAACCAAAAATGTCTACAGACAGTGCCAAATATCCCCTAGGGTACAAAATTATCCCCTACTCCTCATTAAGTACCACTGCTTTATACTCACTAGACACAAGGAGAAATAACTTTTTTTTTTTTTTTTTTTTTGAGACGGAGTCTTGCTCTGTCATCCAGGCTACAGCGCAGTGGCGCGATCTCGGCTCACTGCAAGCTCCACCTCCCGGGTTCATGGCATTCTCCTGCCTCAGCCTCTCGAGTAGCTGGGACTACAGGCACCTGCCACCACGCCCGGCTAATTTTTTGTATTTTTAGTAGAGACAGGATTTCACCGTGTTAGCCAAGATGGTCTCGATCTCCTGACCTCGTGATCCACCTGCCTCAGCCTCCCAAGGAAAAATAACTTCTTAGCATTTTTTATTAATTTCTTTTTAACCTAACCAGTGAAATGCTTGTTGAAAAAAAGTCTTCTCTTTTACTAAACTGAATTTGAATTCCAATCTATTTTAACTTATTTAGTTTAGAAAGACTTCCTTTGCACCACTGTCAAACTTTCAAATATAAAATTTTGTTTTTTGTTTGGACATAGTCTTGCTCTGTCGCCCAGGCTGGAGTTCAGTGGTGTAATCTTGGCTCACTGCAACTTCTGCCTCCTCGATTCAAGTGATTCTCCTGCCTCGGCTTCCTCAGTAGCTGGAATTACAGGTGTCTGCCACCACACCCAGCTAATTTTTGTATTTTTAGTAGAAACGGGTTTTCACTATATTGGTCAGGCTGGTCTCTAACACCTGACCTTGTGATCCGCCCTCCTCAGCCTCCCAAAGTGCTGGGATTACAGGTGTGAGCCACCGCTCCTGGCCAATTATAAGCTTTTTAGAAAGGATTTTTTCTAAGGGTGGGGTTTCTGAGTCACTGAAATAATTTGCCATCCCTGACCTTGGACTGTTACACCATTTTTCCTTTGACCTTTGATCTGTGATGAAGTAACTTCTGGAAGTGAGATATCAGGAGTTATGTTCTTGTTGGTTTACACGTTATTTTTTACAAGAACTCTATAAACTAGATTTTATCAGTTCTTTTTTATAGGAGAAGAAACAGATTTGTAGATACATAAAGTGATTAAGTGATTTGTCCAGAGTCACACAACTTGGATGGCAGAACTGGAGCTTGAACCCAGGTCTCTTGACCTTTAAGTTCAGTTCTCTACTCACTGTATGGGAGACCCGGAAGGAGATTCTTTTGGTGTGTCACATAGCCTTACCATTGCTCTGTCCTATGTAACGTCATCAATTATGTGAATTATCTGACATTACAAGAGTCAGAAGGTGTCGTAGAGATGCCTTAGAGTCCAACTTCCTTTTTATTGTAGATGAGAATACTGGGTGGCCAAGTGACTTAGATTGAAGACAGCACTTGTTAGAAGGAAGACTAATGGGTTTCAAGTCAAAGTCAGAATTTAAAATATCCTGAAGGCTGGAACCTTGGGCTGATTTACCAAATAAAAATTTTAACAGATAAAGGTTTAGATTTTTTAGAATACAGATTACACAGCAATGAAGAGGAAACGCTGGGCATGGTGATGTGCTCCTGTAATGCCAGCAACTTGGGAGGCTGAGGCGGAGCTCAGGCTGTAGTGTGCTATGATAGAGAAAAAAAATTAAGAAGAAAAGGAAAGAAGTGGGATGTTGCTTACTGTACAGCTTTTTCAACATTTCTGCATGTTTGTAAAATTTCATAATAAAACATTAGGGGAGGCTGGGCACAGTGGCTCATGCCTGTAATCTCAGCATTTTGGGAGGCTGAGGCAGTGGGATCACAAGACCAGGAGATCGAGACTATCCTGGCCAACATAGTTAAACCCGTCTCTACTACAAGTGCAAAAATTAACGGGGCGTGGTGGCACGTGCCTGTAGTCCCAGCTACTCGGGAGGCTGAGGCAGGAGAATTGCTTGAACCCGGGAGGCGGAGGTTGCAGTGAGCCGAGGTTGTGCCACTGTACTCCAGCCTGGCGACAGAGCGAGACTCCATCTCCAAAACAAAAATAAAAGGGGGAAAAAAGAGAACAGTAGCTTAGCAGCAGTTTGTGTGGTAAAAGACTTGAAAATATTAGATAACCATGAACTTATCATGAGCCTCTGGAAGCTCCTAGAAAAGCAGATTTTTTTTTTTTCTTAGATTAAGGTAGGAGCAGCTCAGTTTCTAGATCGAGGGAAATAATAGTCTTGCTGAGCTCTGTGCTTGCCAGACCAGATCTGTCTTGTATCTGTGCCCACTTCCGAGGTGCCTGTCATACTTTGATGCCAGTGGGTACAGGGTACTGAAATCTGGAGGAGTGGATGGGGAATGTGTGGTGCTGACTTGGAAGGAGGGCCAGTTTAGGGAAGCTCCATGGTGGTCTTCAGATACTGGGGGAGTTGTGGAGTGAGAGTGGTACTTTTATTTTGAACATAAAGCTTAGATTAAGGGAGAGCAAAGACATTACAGGGAATTAGATGCCCATTCTGTTTTCCTCATTCCTGACCCTCCCATTCTGTATCTTCAGTACAGCAGCGCAGGTTAGTCTTTGGGAACTGCAAGTCACGTTATAGGACTGCACGGCTTTTATTCACCGTCCTGTGTCACATGAAGTCCAGGGCTTGACTGGTCTTCTGGCCCTTGCCGACAAGTCCTCATTTTGACATTTCTGTATTCTAGCCATACTGTATTCTAGCCAAGTCATTAGAGTTCTTCAGTTGAACCTGTGTTTACTCTCATACCTTCGAGGTGTACCTCCTACTTTGTTGCCCAAAGTAAGGCAGAACTGGGGATCTTTCTGCTCCCATTGTATCCTGTACATATACTTGCCCTGTTTTTTGTTTTTTAAAGTAGGTTCATAAAGGATGGGGACATATTTTGTTCATTTACATGTCCTGTTTATTCCTGTAGACTGTGAACTCCTTGAAAGTAGGTATTTTTGTCCTAGTCTTTTTTTTTTTTTTTTTTTTTTGAGATGGAGTCTCGCTCTGTTGCCCAGGCTGGAGTGCAGCGGCATGGTATAGGCTCACTGCAACCTCTGCCTGCTGGGTTCAAGTGATTCTCCTGCCTCAGCCTCCTGAGTAGCTGGGATTACAGGTGCCCACCACCACACCCAGCTAATTTTTTATATTTTTGGTAGAGACAGGGTTTCACCATGTTGGCTAGGCTGGTCTCAAACTTCTGACCTCAAGTGATCCACCTGTCTCGGCCTCCCAGAGTGCTGGGATTAGAGGCGTGAGCCACTGTGGCCGGCCTGTCCTAGTCTTTATATGCCCATATATTTCCTTGACTAGGTTCCCAGAGAATTGGTGCTTGGCTTGCCTGGACACGGAATAAACGTTTATTGATAAATAAATGTTGTGCCCACAATGACTTGTCTCATAACTTTTTAGTAGTCAGGATCCTCCCACAGTAGACTCTTGTAACTACAAGAATGTTTTTTTGTCGATGTTGCACGTAGAGTTTCCTGTAAAATGGCTTCCAAGATATTTTTCATTTCTAGTAAAGAGTCTGTGAGCCGAGTTTTAAATAGTATTATGTCTACCTTACGTGGTAGGTAAGAGATAGCCCTTTGTTTTCCTCAGGAGGTTTTAATTATATGATCTCCTTGTAGAAGTAAAGGAAACTCTGGAGCTTCCTGTGTGGCTGTGAATGTGTAATTAGCTTTGGGCAGGGCTCCCAGAGCTGTGAACCCTGTCCTGAGGAGCACTGGGACATTCTAGTGAGCGTTCAGGCCACCCAGATTGCAGCCTTGTAAATGAAGGGTTTATTTCTCTAATGAGAGTGGTTTGTGTCTTCACCCAAATAATATTTTAATATTAAATTATGACAAATATTTTAAATTTAAAAGTAGATATACATAAATTAGTATGATTTTTAAAATAATTTCAGTAATTGTTTAAAAAAGTAATTTTAATACATGTCAATAATTTATTTTAGACTCAAGGGGTACACGCACAGGTTTGTTGCATGGGTATGTTGCACGATGCTGAGGTTTGGGGTACGGATCCCGTCACCCAGGTAGTGAGCATAGTTTTTCAACTCATGCCCATCCCTCATTCCCTTCTTCCAATTAGTATGATTACAACTAAGAATTTTACTTTTACAGCTCTAATTTAATACATATTGATCTAGACCTGACAATAAATATTCTGCTCTAAGAAAGGTTTTATGTTAAATAACATGGTAGTTAGTCCCTTCAAAATAAAAAATGTTGATTAAGAATACCAGCAAGGGCCCAGCGCGGTGGCTCACGCTTGTAATCTCAGCACTTTGGGAGGCCGAGGGCGGATCACCTGAGGTCAGGAGTTCGAGACTAGCCTGGCCAACATGGTGAAACCTGTCTCTACTAAAAATACAAAAATTAGCCAAGCGTGGTAGCAGGTGCCCATAATCCCACCTACTCGGGAGGCTGAGGGAGGAGAATCACTTGAACCCGGGAGGCAGAGGCTGCAGTGAGCCAAGATCGTGCCGTCGCACTCCAGACTGGGGGAGAAGAGCAAGACTTCATCTCAAAAACAAAAAGTATACCAGCACTGATGACAACATTGGACAAGTAGACAGATCTAGAAGGGGCAGGTTGAGCTGTGTAGTTTTAGTGTTGTTATGGTTTGTTTATATGTTGTGAAATATTCATTGAGATCAAAATCTGGCATTCCTAACTTGTGTTATGTGTATGTTGGAGGCCATATGGAGTGGCAGAAGTGAAGTGGGGTTTGAATTCAGACCGTTGTTCCTCAAGAATGAATTGACCTGGAGAGAATTACTTGCAATCTCTGATCCTTAGTTCCTTCATCTAGACATACCCACCTGGGATCATGTGAGGATCCAGTGAACTGTACAAGGCACCGCACAGGACATGGTGCTTGCTGCCTGGGAGAGGCTGAAGGCCTTCAGTGCCTTTCCCTGTTATTTTGGGAGCAGTGCATCTATTTTGATGTTTTTAAGAAACACTGTTTGACAAATACATGAGGCATACTTCATGGACTATTGTTTCAGATTATTCTTAGAACACAGAGGCAGGATCCACAATGTTTTTATGAGGAGAGCTACTTTTTGTTCCCCCAAACCTTGACTTTCCTGGACTAGAGGTCTCAGTGATGTGTGCTGATGTGACACCCTTGAGCAAAGTTGGAGAAGAGAGAGTGGTAATTTCCACCACCTCCCCTTCTCCAAGACACTGGAAGTGCTGTGAACTGTGCTCCTTCGCTCCTCCGCTCTGTAATCTCTGCCTGGGGGGGCTCTAGAGGGGCTCTAGGGAGGAGTGTCAGCCAGTGATTCCTCTGTCTCGACCAGGTAGGGACCCAGGATCTTCTGGTGAATTCTAATTTGTTTTTTTATGAGCCTGAGGGTCATTTAAGGAATTTGTGGAAGCACTTGTGATTGTCTCAATGGTTGGTGGGTGCTATAGGCATTTATTTAATAGGTAGGGCCCATGGAATTCAAGGCTTAATGTGGTGACAGTTCTGTAAAATAGAACTTTTCCTATGATCTGCACAGCTTTAGAATATCCTTTTTTTTTTTTTTTTTTTCTGAGACCAAATCTTACTCTGTCACCCAGGACAGAGTGTAGTGGTGTGATCCCAGCTCACTGCAACCCGGGTTCAAGCGATTGTCCTGCCTCAGCCTCCCAAGTAGCTGGAATTAAGAGATGTGCCACCACGCTCGGCTAATTTTTGTATTTTTAGTAGAGGCGGAGTTTTACCATGTTGACCAGGCTGTTCTCGAACTCCTGACCTCAGGGGATCCATCCACGGCCTCCCAAAGTGCTGGGATTACAAGCATGAGCCACTGCGCCTGGCCTAGAATATCTTGATGAATAATTTATGTAGATAGAAAAAAACTGTTTAAGGCCGAACCTATAACTGAATTCCATTTTACATAAAGGGTTTTTTTAAATGTAATTTTAGTAGAAATGGAAATTTCAGGAAATGGGATTAATCTAGACTTTGAAGGGAAATTATCTCATTTTGTTCTTGGTTTTACTAAGTGTATTACTAGTCTTGGTTCTCTCAAGAAACAGAACCGATAGCATATATATATATATGTCTCCAGTAGGAAAGAGTGAGATATGTTTATATATATATAGTATATTTAACTATATTTAACCAATATATATGATTGTATCATGTGCATCCTATTGGTTCTGTTTCTCTGGAGAAAATACAAGTATTCACCAGTTGCCCTTTATCTATGGTTTTGCTTTCCATGCTTTGAGTACCTCATGGTCAACCAAGGTCTGAAAATATTAAATGGAAAAATTCCTGAAACAAACAGTTGGTAAGTTTTAAATTGTGGACTGTTCTGAATGACATGATGAAATCTTGTGCGGTCTCATTGTCACACCTGGAAGATGAGTCCTCACTTTGTCCGATGTAGCCATGCTGTGTGTGCTGCCTGCCCATTAGTCCCTTAGTCTTGGTTATCAGATTAACTGTCTGGTATCACAGTGCTTGTAACCCTTATTTCACTTAATAATGGACCCACAGTGCAGGAGTAGTGATGCTAGCATATTGTATTATTGCTTACTTTATTATTAGTTATTGTTGTTAATCTCCTACTGTGCCTAATTTATCAACTTAACTTTATCATAGGTGGTATGTATACATGGTCCCCAACTTACTGTGGTTCGACCTAAGATTTTTCAACTTTATGATGGCATGAAACTGTCACATTTTTAATGTAATGTATAATATTCAATAAATTACATGAGGTGTTCAATACTTTATTATAAAATAGGCTTCATGTTAGATGATTTTTGTCCACCTATAGGTTAATGTAAGTGGTCTGAGCATGTTTAAGATAGGCTAGGCTAAGCTATGACGTTCAGTAGGTAAAGTGTATTAAATGCATTTTTGACTCATGATATTTTCAACTTAATGATATTTTTATTCCATCATAAGTTGAGCAGCATCTTTATGTATAGGCAAAAACACAGTATATATGGAGTTGGGCAATATCTGCATTTTTAGGCATCCGTAGGGGTTCTTGAAACATATCCCCCTCGGATAAAGGGGAAGCATTCTATATATAACAAGATCCTTATTAAAAGAATTGGCTCATGCAATTATGGAGGCTGAGAAGTCCCAAGATCTGCAGTTGGCCAGCTAGAGATCCAGGAGAGCTGATGGTGTCATTCTGGTCTGGCTCTGAAGGCCTCAAAACCTGGAGTGCCACCCATGTAAGTTTCTGTCTGAAATCCAGCAGGCTTTAGACCCAAGGAAAACCAATGTTTGTTTCAGTTTGAGTCGGACGGCAAGCAGAGATGTCCCAGCTCAGCAGTCAGGTGGGAGGGGCTCCCTCTTACTTAGCCTTTTTGTTCTATTCAGGTCTACAGTTGATGAGATGAGGTCCTCCCACATTAGGGAAGTTAATCTGCTTTAGACAGTCCATTGAGTAAAATGTTAATTTCATCCAGAAACACCCTCACAGAGACACCCAGAGTGATATTTGACCAAAAGTCTGGGCACCCCATGATGCAGTCAGAAGACACATAAATTAACCATCACACTAAGAGTGATTCATCTTTTTAGGTAAATGAAGAATCAATCACATTATTGATAGCATTCATGATAGGTAGTGTGGTATCTGAGTTGCCAAAATGACATACCCAAATGAAGAGTGTTTGTAGCTGTGAAATTCAGTGATTCAACTTAGAGATGTGGATTTCTGACCATTCTGCCTGAAAATTTACATATTGAAATTTATATTTATTAAAAATGGTTTTTATATTATAGTTGCTGTGTTAAGTAGATATTTTTGGAAGATATATCTAATAAATAAGTTATTTCTGAATTTCATTTCAGGATAATAAAGGTATATTTTCAATAGTTTTTAAAGAAAGGGGATGAGGCATGATAGTTCACACCTGTAATCCCAGCTACTCGGGAGGCTCATTGGGAGGATCCAATGAGCTTGGAAGGTCAAGGCTACAGTGAGCCATGATTGCACCACTGGACTTCAGCATGGGTAACAGAGTAAGACCCTGTTTCAAAAAAAAAAGGTGCGCAGGGGGTATTTGGGTCTGATATGGCTAAGAACCGGCGGTCTAAGTGATCTCAAGCTGCCAGCCTCCTTGAGCAGTCTGCATCTCAGCATCTTTAAAGCTTTGACTGTGTTTCTTTTCTCCGCTTGGACCTCTGCAAAACCGTAGTCTTTCTTCTTATCAGGTCTTTCACAGTGTTGGGATATATTTTCCAGAAATGTTTGTTCGATGTTGTTCATTAGCTTGTTTTTTGTCTTTGAATTTTAGCTTTATTGATATGTAATTTATATGTCATACAATGCACTTAAAGTGTAAAATTTAGTGGTTTTCAATATATTCACAGGATTGTGCAACTATCACCGTGATCTAATGTTAGAACTTTGCATCACTCCAAAAACAAACCCTGTATCCGTTAGTAGCCAGCCTCTATACTCCCTACCCCAACCCCTGGCAATCACTCATATTCTTTTTATCTCTATGGATTTGTTTCTGCTAGATAATTTGTATAAATGGAATCATATAATACATGGTCCTTTGTGGCCTTCCTGGTTTTTTGTTCTTTATTAAAAAAAAAAAAAAAAAAACAGGATACATGTGCAGAACATGCAGGTTTGTTACATAGGTATACATGTGCCATGGTGGTTTGCTGCACCTATTGACCCATCCTCTAAGTTCTCTCCCCTCGTTCCCCACCCCACAACAGGCCCTGGTGTGTGTTGTTCCCTTCTCTGTGTCCTTGTATTCTCATTGTTCAACTCCACTTATGAGTAAGAACATGCAGTGTTTGGTTTTCTGTTCCTGTGTTTGCTGAGGATGATGGCTTCCAGCTTCATCCATGTCCCTCCAGAGGACATGATCTCATTCCTTTTTATGGCTGCATAGTATTCCATGGTGTATATGTACCACATTTTCTTCATCCAGTCTATCATTGACAGGCATTTGGGTTGGTTCCATGTCTTTGCTATTGTAAACAGTGCTGCAATAAACATACTGTGTGTGTATACATATGTAACAAGCCTGCATGTTGTGCACGTGTACCCTAGAACTTAAAGTATAATAAAAATATATATGTATATAAAATAAGCATACCATATGCATGTGTCTTTACAGTAGAAGGATTTGTATTCCTTTGAGTATATACCCACTAATGGGATTGCTGGGTTATTTCTGGTTCTAGATCGTTGAGGAATCACCATACTGTCTTCCACAATGGTTGAAGTAATCTACATTTCCACCAACAGTGTAAAAACATTCCTATTTCTCCACAGCCTTGGCAGCATCTATTGTTTCTTGACTTTTTAATCATCGCAATTGTGAATGGCGTGAGATGGTATCATAGTTTCAGGTTTAAATCTACATTTAAATCTTTGAGTTGAATTTTGTATATGATAACAGTCTAGATTTATTCTTCTACATGTGGGTGTTGGGCATTTCCTAGCACAGTTTATTGAAGAGATTGTTATTCCAGAGGGTGTGTTCTTGGTGCCTAGGTTAAAAATGAGTTGACTGTAAATGCGTGAATTTATTTCTGAGTTCTCTATTCTGTTTTCATTTGTTTATGTCTGCCTGTCATTTGTCTGTCTCTCTCTCCTGCCCCTTTTTTTGACAGTACCATGCTGTTTTGATATTATACTATAGATCTGAAGTTACTATGGATTTACAGTATATTTTGTAGAATATTTTGAAATCAGGTAGTGTGATGCCTCCAGCTTTTCTTTTTATTCAAGATTCTTTTGTCTCTTTGAGGTGTTTTGCATTTCCATGTGAATTTTAGAATCTTTTTTTCTATTTCCATGAAAAATGTCTTTGTAGTTTAACATAGATTGCACTGATTCTGTAGATCACATTGAGTGATAGAGATATTTTAACAATATTCTTCTAGTGCATGGACGTGGGATATCTTTCCATTTACTTGTGTCTGCTTTAATATCTTTGATCTATGTTTTATAGTTTTCATTGTAGGATCTTTCTTGGTTATGTTTATCCCTAGGTATCATTATTTTGGAGGGCGGGAGTGGGTAGCTACTGTAATTAAACAGCTTTCTTGATTTTTTTTAATGTGTTTCACTGTTGGTTCATGTGTGTGCTACTCATTTTTGTATATTGATATTGTATCTTGCAACTTTACTAAATTTATTATTTCTAGTAGTTTTTTTTGTAGAATCTTTAGGGTTCTCTCTCTAGGTATATATGATCATGTCACTTGCAAACAGAAGCAATTTGACTTTTTTTCCCCCAAATTTGGATGGGTTTTATTGCATTCTGCTGTCTAATTGCTCTAGCTAGGACTTCCATTACCACGATGAATAAAAGTGGTAAAATTAGCCACACTTTAACAAGATCCTAGAGGAAGAGCTTTTAATTTTTCCCCATTGATTACGATGTTAGCTGTGGGTTTGTCATATATGGCCTTTATTGTGCTATGTTTCTTTTGTACTCATTTTGAATTTTTATCATGAAAGAATGTTGAATTTTTTTTTCAGCATCTACTGAAATGATTAAATGGTTTTTGTTCTTGATTCGCTGAATGTGATGTATGACATTTATTTGTGTTTATTGAATCATTCTCGTATTCCTCCAATGAATCTCCAAATATTTTGTTGAGGATTTTTACATCTATGTTCATCAGGGATATTTATTTGCCTGTGGTTTTCTTTCTGTGTTGTGTCCTGGGAACTTTTTTTTTCTAGCAGGGTAATGCTGACCTCATAGAACAAGTTTGGAAGTACTCCTTCCTCTTCATTTTTCGGGGAATATTTTGAATAAAATTGGTATTACCTCTTTTAAAAATGTCTGGTAGAATTCAGCAGTAAAACCATAATTCTTCTGTTTTTCTTTGATGGGAGATTTTTATTACTGCCTTAATTGCATTACTCATTATTAGTCTGTTCAGGTTTTTTTATTATTCTAGCTTGTGAAATTGCTATGCTTCCAGACATTTATTCATTTCTCCTGGATTTTTCAATTTGTTTGTATATAGGTGTTTTTAGTAATCTCTTACGATCCTTTGTGTTTCTGTGTTATCAATTGTAATGTCTCCTTTTTCATCTATGATTTTACTGCAGTTTTCTTTCTCTTTTTCCTAGTCTCATTATAGCTTGTCAATTTTTTTTTCAAAAAGCCCCCAGCTCTTTGTTCCTTTGTCTTTTTGTAATTTTTTTTTTAGTTTCTATTTCTAAAATTTCTTCTCTAATCTTCATGACTTATTTCTTTCTACTAATTTTAGCATGTGATTTTTCTTGCTTTTCTCATTACTTAAAGTGTACTGTCAGATTGGCTATTTGAGATCTTTCTACTTTTCTGATTAGGCATTTATAGCTATGCACTTCGCCTCTTAACTGCTTTTGCCGCATCCCACAGGTTTTGTTATGTTGTGTTTCTATTCTTATTTCTTTCAATTAATTTTTAATTTCCCTTATTCGTTTCAATGAATTTTTAATTTTTTCATTTATTGGTGGTTTGTGGGCATGTTTTAACTTTCATATATTTGTACAGTTTTTAAAGTTCCTGCTGTTACTGATTGCTAGTAGTATTCCACTGTGCTCAGAGAAGATACTTGATATGATTTCAGTTTTTAAAAATGTGCCATTACTTGTTTTTCGGCCTAACACATAGCCTATCCTGAGAATAATCCATGTGCTACTGAGTAGAATGTGCATTGTGCAGTCGTGGAGTCGTGCAAAGCTGTGTACATTTCTGTTCGGTCCATTTGGTATAGAGTACAGCTTAACTAATGATTTTTTCGTGGTCTGGATGATCTGCCCATTGACGATAGTGGCGTGTTGATTATAGTGGAGTGTGGAGGTACTCTATTATTATTAATATTTTTTTGAGATGGAGTTTCTTTCTTGTTGCCCAGGCTGGAGTGCAATGGCACAATCTCAGCTCACTGCAACCTGCACCTCCCGGGTTCAAGCGACTCTCGTGCCTCAGCCTCCCGAGTAACTGGGATTACAGACATGTGCCACCTCGCCCTGCTAATTTTTTGTATTTTTAGTAGAGACTGGGTTTCTCCATGTTGGTCAGGCTGGTCTGGAACTCCCGACCTCAGGTGATCCACCCGCCTCGACCTCCCAAAGTGCTGGGATTACAGGCGTGAGCCACTGTGCCTGGCGGGAATCTTAAAAAGTTTAATACATGGAAGCAGGGTAGAATTGTGCTTACCAGGGACAGGGAGGTGGGAGAAAAGGGGATCTGTCAGTCCAAGAGTACAAAGTTGCAGTTATGTGATTATAGTCAGTAATACTGTATACTGCAAATTTGTGAAGAGACTATATTTCAGGTGCTGTCATCTAACTATATGAGAAGATAGATGTGCTCATTAGTTTGTAGTAATTATTTAACTATGTGTATATATATGTACACACACAAACACATATATACATTTTCATATATATGAATCAAAACAGGCTGTCCACTTAAATATATTCAATTTTATTTTAAAAATAAAAATGAGACAAAGAAAAAAAGCATGCATATAGTCTTAAACTCAATTACCAATATATATAAGTGCACAGCTAATCAGAGCAGTGAATTAAATGTCAGTTATATTTGTTTATATTGTAACATTTCATTTTCGTATGTTTTCTATTTATAATTATGAAAATATTTAAAGAGTTCACAATGGAACTATATATTAAATATTCTCAACATATTTTAGAAGTGATGAATGTTACAAGTTTTAGGTCATAGTCACTGTAAGAATGTGCCCTTGGGAAGTGTTATCTTCTGTTGGTTTGTATTTTAAAACATGCACCACTACCAAGAGAGAGCCTGGGTTTTTCTAATGTTTACCCACCATAAATAATGTTATAATGAATGCCTCTGATCCTATATCACTATGAGCAATTAAGCATATTTCTGACAGATAGCTTCTCAGATTTGGAATTGCTGATCCAAAATCAATGCATTCCAGAAGTTAGCCCAGTTCTAGGACTGGCAGAGGGAGAGAGCCTGAAGGAAACTTTGGCCTTGGGGTGGAGCTCAAAGGGGAGAGGTGCACTCCCCATGGGCATAAGTGGGGGATACCTATACCCAAACTTTCACAGGTACCTAGTACCCCTAAACCCAGGGAGTCTTTTCTGTCTATTCTGATTGCATAGGTGCATGATGGTGTCTTTCTCTCCATTAGTTAACGTTTACTTTCTCGGTTCTAAAACTAGTTCTCGGCCAGGCACAGTGGCTCACGCCTGTAATCCCAGCACTTTGGGAGGCCGAGGCAGGCAGATCACGAGGTCAAGAGATCGAGACCATCCTGGCTAACATGGTGAAACCCTGTCTCTACTAAAAATAAATTAGCTGGGCATGGTGGCGGGTGCCTGTAGTCCCAGCTACTTGGGAGGCTGAGGCAGGAGAATTGCTTGAACCTAGGAGGCAGAGGTTGCAGTGAGCCGAGGTTGTGCCATTGCACTGCAGCCTGGTAACAGAGCGAGACTCCATCTCAAAAAAGCTGGCCTTCCAGTGTCCAAAATGCTGTCATCTCTTCTTCCACAGTTTGTCTATGTGGGTTTGTAGCTTTAAAAACTTTATTTCATGGTTTTTTTTTTTTAAGGATAATTGGCGGGGGGAAATAAAAAATTTTGGATCCCTCTTCTTTCACAGGAAGTGGTGAACGATTTTTCATTTACACAAACATTTAAAAACAATTTTTTCTACCTTTTGACAGCTACATTGCTTCCCATAGTGTAATACTCAATAAATTATTTAACCATCTACTATTGTTAGCCATTCAAATCATTTCCTATTTTATACTATTGTCAACTTCACTGAGGTGACCATCTGATACATGTATCTTTGGGTTCATTCAGAATTATTCCTAGAGAATAGTGCTTTAAAGTAAAGGTTTTATTATTATTTAGGTATGGCAGGGCCAACAGATCAGATGTCAGCCATTGAAAAAGCAATTTGGGCCGGGTACGGTGGTTCACGCCTGTAATCCCAGCACTTTGGGAGGCCGAGGTGGATGGATTACCTGAGGTCAGGAGTTTGAGACCAGCCTGACCAACATGGTGAAACCCTGTCTCTACTAAAAATACAAAAAAAATAGCTGGGCATGGTGGTGGGTGCCTGTAATCCCAGCTACTTGGGAGGCTGAGAAAGGAGAATTGCTTGAACCTGGGAGATGGAGGTTGCAGTGAGCTGAGATCGTGCTAGTGCACTCCAGCCTGGGCAAGAAGAGTGAAACTCTATCTAAAACAAAAGAAAAGAAAAGAAAGAAGAAAGAAAAGAAAAGAGTAGTTTGTTACTTGCAAATCCCAAGACAAGGGGACACTCCATGCCATGGGAGCAAGAGGCTGCACAGAGAATGCTGCAGTCTGTCAGAAGGTGGTGGGGATGGGGGATGTTGCAAGAGGTGTTGCTGTGGTTTCCATAGGAAGGAAGAGGTAAGGCAAGGTGAGCAGGTTCAGGATTGGTTAGTTCAAACAATTTCAGTGGGCTCTGTGGCATCGGGGCTGTTCCATCTGGTACCTAGCCCTGGTGTGATTAGGGTGTGAGGCTATTAGTCCAGAGTGGGAGAGCCCCATAAAGGAGGTGGTTGGGGATGTGGGCTCTGGATTGGTGAGTTTGTATATGAAAGGCACACTAAGAGACAAGTGGCTTATTTCTAGGAATTGGCTAAACCTGGGAGGAGCACCCTCCAGGAGCAGCAAAGCCCTGGATGTTAAAGTATCAGAAAGGAGACAATAAAGAACATGGTTAGTAAAAAATAGCTAGGGCAAAAGAGATGCCCCTTTGAAATGTTAGGATAGATTTTGCCAAATTGCCCCCAAGAAAGCTTGAACTAATTGATCTCTCACATCAATGGTGAAAGTTCCTGGTTTTCTATATTCTTGCCACTAGGCACTACCACTGAAAGAATAGTGGTAAAGATCCTTGCAAATTCAATAGGTGCCATTTGGATATCTGGTTTGAATTTGCGTGTCTTGGTGTGCATGCTACTGATCTGTGAAAATGGTATTTTGTGGATGTGAAGACCCCTTGGAGCCTGGCTGGTGGGATGGAGAGGACTGTGGACTGTACCCACCCTGATGTGCTCCTGGCCTCCATGGAAGGACAGCTATGTGGGAAGTTTCAGAAGGGCTACAACTTCCCCACCCCAGCTGTGACCCAGCCCACAAAGGATTCTAGAGATTTAGTCCCTTGCATGACCTTCTAAAGTGAGAACATAGGGCCAGCATCAGTAGCTCCTGGGATTTGGGTAGACCTTTCTACAGTCCAGCTTTTTGGAGAAGCTTAATGTCATTTATGCTTGCTGAGTCCTGTGTAAGCCCCAAAGCCAAGCTTTTGCAAGCATAGGACTTAGGCACCTTTAAAAAGGAGTTGTTTACCTTCTACCCTCCTGAAGAGTGTGTAGGAGTTTCCCTTTGAGAATAACCACTGGTCCCTTCAGATGGCTTGGCTGCTTCTGCCAGGCTCTACTTTTGGAAATGCCCTTCATCGTGTCAGTCTCAGAATTAAAGACTTTCAGCATCTCCTCCCCATTGTCCAGGGATGAAGTCTGTTCTCCTTAGCTTGGCATTGAAGCTCTCTGTCTTCCATTCACCCTTCCAGTCCAACTGGCCTCCCCAAGAAGCCCCTGAATCTGCCTTGTACCAATGTTAATTTCTTCTCTGCCTCTCCAAATTTTGCCCATGTCTCAATACCCGGTACCATCAAGAGACATCACAGTTTTGGGCATTGAGATATATGAACACTGACAGTTCTCAGGGCAAGAAAACACACAGCACATGCCTCTCTATGGAGGCCACTCTATTCACCTGGATGCTTACAATGTAATCTATAGTTTGAATTTACAGGGCTCTTTCCAGATTATAATTCAATCTTAACTTCTCTGAGTCTAAATTTTTACATTGCTTTCTGAATCATCTTTGTTACCATTTTATTCTTAACAGGCTAAAGGAAGGGTTAATAGAGTAGTGCTAACAAATAGGATCTGGGTTTATAATCAGGCTTTTGTGATTTGAATCAAAGAAACACAAAAACTTAGTGTTTATCAGAGTGTAGTGCACTTATTCCTGGAGTTATGCGAGATCATTTTAGATGGCATAGAAACTATAAAGCACTTATAGAATGGATGTGTATTTATTTTGCTGTGCATTAGGAAAAAAAAAACACCTTACTATCGAGTCCATGGTTTAATGGATATTACCTGTGGCAAGGATTGCTGGCAATCTGTTAAAATCTGTCCCACCTTCCTTGGTACACGGCCAGATTACATTTTCCAGCCTTGGTTGCAATTAGATTGACCACGTGAATAAGTTCTCACCAATGGACTCTGAGTGGGAGTGAAGAGTGCCACAGCCAGGCCTGGCCCATACAAATGCTCCATGGTCACACTTCTGCTCCTGCCTGTTCCAGGTGATGGGGAATTGACACCTATGGCAACTTTAGAAACCATGAGTTAAGGATGGCAAAGACACCGTAGTCTAGATTAGGAGTGAGTAAACTAGAGCCTAAGGGCCAAATCTGGCCCACTGTCTTTTTAAAAATAAAGTTTTATTGAAGAACAGCCATGCCTGTTTGCATAGGTATTGTTTAAGGGCTACCTTCACTACCACAGCAGTTGTCACAGACAGCCCATGGCCTGCAAAGCCCGAAGTACGTACTATCTGGCCCTTTTATAGGGAAAGTTTGCTGACACCTTAATTTCAATCTCTGAATGACCATATGGAGGACAGCCACCTTATTGACCTGAACAACATTCTAGTCCTTTACCTAAGCGAAAAATAAGCCATTGAAATTCTGGGCCTATTTGCTACCATAGTCTACCCTGCTCTCACTAATAAGTCTTGCTCAGCAGTCTCAGGGTGATTGCCTGATGAATGTACATGACCCGACTTCCAGTTGTTTGAGCCAATGAGGCTGACTAGTTATGCCCACGGGAGTACAGGTCTCTTCTCTACGACCCACCACCAGGCCAAAATTTCCTCTAGATGCTCTGACCAGTCAGTCCTAGGACCTGATTGACTCCAGGGAGTCTGACCCCCTAAGTATAACACAACATCATGGGCCTGGGAAGGTATAAACATAATACAACTCCTGCCCAATGAACTGAATGTTAACAGGAAGATGTTCCCTGAAGCTCAAGGAAATGACTTTGGTGACAATGACCCTTGCCAGAGCCAATGCCTTGTCACCTACCTGGTGGTCATGATGGCGATCAAGGGTGTCCCTGCTTTCATGTAACTAACTTGCCTTCAATGGTTCGCTTTTCCCATTAAGTGACTTTTTTTCAGTTATATACTTTTGTAAACTAGAAGTGTTTTTACTGTCATTTCTTTATGTACTTTTTATTTTTACCATCAATTTAATTTAAAAAACTGCACTCACACATTTTCCATGCATACCTCTAATTATTGCAGGTTATACAGGTCTTGCACTTATGGAAATGGTATAAAGTCTCCTTTTTGAGTGAACATGTTGAAGTAAAAAGAGTTACTTCATTTAAAGAAAACTGCTCATAGAAGTACAGATGATACGCTGATAAGGCAAAAAACCACGATATTAGTATGAGAATAACTGAGGTTCCAGAAACACTGCATATGCCTAGGCTGCGGTGGAGAATGTCATAGAATCCTGGATTCATAGAGTGCAGAGCCACAGTGAAGGGTGCTTGAGAGAGCCCCTCCCCCAGAGCAACCCCGTCTTTCCACAAGGAATCCCCAAATGTCACCCAGTGGATTCTCAGACTTCTGTCTTCCAGTTCAGTGTTCTCCACCACAAAATCTACACCTGATCAATCCCATGGTTCACAGACAAAGCTGAGTAAGGGGCCCAGTAGGACATGGGCTTGCTGTGGCCCAATGCCTGCTCTAATATGTGCTTTCCATATATCTGCTGGGGTAAATTGATGGAGGTGGAGAGGTTTGGGGGAGTTCATTTGAAGCCCCCAGATATGCCCACTCTCCCAAGTCCTACCCAACTGCTTAGAAGTTAAGGCCAGTTCCTAGGATTTTACTCTGCACATCATGTAATTCCACATGGGAAACCAGAGGGTGTTCCCCAGAAAAAAGCAATAACCCCAACCAACTGCCACTTAAACAAGAGACATACTGCTTACAGCTGAAGTGGTGCCAGAGGTGTTACACGTATTAAACAAAAATGAGATCTATTGTGAGGCTTGGTATGCTCCAGCCTCACCCATCACAATCTGCAGAGTCATCACGAACCAGAAATTGGCTTCAGAGGCTGCAGCCAGACCCTGGCAAAACCCAGGAGTGGCCAAAAGATTCTCTGTTTGCAGAATTGGCTAGTGTCACAAGCGGGCATGTGATCGAGCAGTGGATCAAGAGAAGAACTAATCCTTACCTTTTATATTTTGCGAACACAGCACCGTAAAGTCTTCATAGGCCAAGAGCCAGGGCCGTTTCCCGGGTTGCAAAGGTCAGCTGGCTAGGGCAACAGGCAGGATGGTTAACAGGCACGTGTGTGTGCGTGTGTGTGTTGTGCTGAGTGAGTGAGACTAGCCTTGCGGATGTGTGGTGGTATTGTGGTGGACCTTTACTGGACACTCTGCCGGAAAACTGAAGTGGCACTTGTGCTTTAGTCCAGCTGGATATCCCTTTCACCCTGGCAATTCATCAACCAGAGGAAGGAAAAATAAGACGTCGTAAAGCGAGAGAAGTCCCTTATGAGTCTTTCGACTCTCACGTCTAATTAGGCGCAATTGGAGTCCCACGGGGAATACCAGATCAGTTTGAAGCCCGAAATCAAATAGCTGCAGGATTTGAGTCAATATTTTGGTGGGTGGACAATTAACCAAAATGCAGACTGGATAAACTACATCTATTACAACCAGCAGCGACTTATTAACTACACTAGAGATGCTGTTAAAGGAATAGCTGAGCAATTAGGGGCTACTACCAGATGGCTTGGGAAAATAGCCTTAGACATGATATTAGCAGAAAGGGGAGGGGTTTGCGTCATGATTAAAACTCAATGTTGCACCTTCATCCCAAACACCACCACCCCTAAGGGAAGTATAACAAAGGTATCGCAAGGTCGGACTGCTCTATCCAATGAGTTAGCCAGCAACTCAGGGGTAAATGACCCCTTTACAGGATGGCTAGAAAAGTAGTTCGGGAGGCCGAGGCAGGTGGATCATGAGGTCAGGAGTTTGAAACCAGCCTGGCCAACATGGTGAAACCCTGTCTCTACTAAAAATACAAAAAATTAGCCGGGCGTGGTGGTGCATGCCTGTAGTCCCAGCTACTCAAGAAGCTGAGGCAGAAGAATCTCTTGAACCCAAAGGCAGAGGTTGCAGTGAGCTAAGATTGCGCCATTGCACTCTAGCTTGGGTGACGAGTGAAACTCTGTCTCAAAAACAAAACAAAACAAAACAATGAAAAAACACCATAATGTGATACTACTTCAAATCCATTAGAATAGTCATTATTTAAAAAACAGCAACAGAAAATAACAAATGTTGGTGAAGATATTGAGAAATTGCAACCCTTGTGCATCGCTGGTAGGAATGTAAAATGGTGCAGACACAGTGGAGAACAACATGACAATTCTTCAAAAAATTAAACAAAGAATTACATATGATCTAGCAATTCTACCTCTGGCATATACCCCAAATAACTGAAAACAGGGACTTGAACAGATATTTCTACAACTATGTTCATCGCAGCATTATAGCCAATAGCCAATTGTAGTCAATAGCCCATTGTTCATTGCACAATAGCCAAAAGGTGGAAACAATGCAAATGTCCGTTAATGAATAAATGGATAAACAAAACATAATATATACATACAATGGAACATTATTCGGCCTTAAAAAAGAAGGAAATTCTGATGTATAGTATAGCATATAGGAACCCTGAGACCTTATGCTATGTGAAATAAGCCAGCCAAAAGGACAAACATTTGTATGATTCCATTTGCATTGGGTAACCAAAGTCACTAAAGTAGCTAAAAAGTCACAGAGACAGAAAGTGGAATGGTGGTTATTGGGGTCTGGGGGAAGGAGGTGTGAGGAGTTATTTTTAATAGGTACTGAGTTTCAGTTTGGGATGATAAAAACATTCTGAAGATGTATAGTGGTGATGGTTGTACAACAATGTGAATGTATTTAATGCCATTGAACTATACACTTAAAATGGTTAAAATGGTAAATTTTTTATTAAGCATATTTAACCACAATTTTTAAAATTTAAAAAAGTATGCCATTTTATTTATAAATATTTGTGAATTTTCCAGATTTCCTTTTGTTCTTGATTTCTAATTTCATTCTCTTGTGGTTGAAGAAGATACTCTGCATGATTTCCATCCTTTTATATTTATTGGGATTTGTTTGGTGGCCTAACATATGGTTTATTCTGGAGGATATTGCATGTGCACTTGAGAAGAATGTAGAATCTGATATTACAGGGTGGAGTATTCGGCTGCATTTAAAATAGTTGATTTGAAGTCTATTACTTTAGGAGTTCCATTACTCCTTACAGCTAAAATGTTTGTTCCATTACTACGTATGGCTAAGATGTTGGGGAAGACATTTCCAGAAAGAAAAAATCCTGGGGGACGGCCCCCAGAAAATTATAGGGAGATGGGAATTTTCTACCTGGTCCTGAAGAGCAGGCAGGAATGGAAACAACAACTGATCAACATTCCCAGACTCTGAAAGGCAGGTGAATGGCACAGCTCACCATGGTACAGTTCCATCCACACACACCTGGGAATGCCCTCTCCATGAGGAAACAGAGGCAGAGGAGGCAGCCAGTCAGTAGACAACATGGATCTCCTTGGCCATCAACCTCGCTGGGCTGTCGTCCTGAAGCGGGGTGCTCAGAGACTCACCTCTATGATACTGAGCTGTGATCAGCTTAGGGATCACAAAGAACACATCTCCAAGCAAGTCCAGAAGACTGTCTCGGATTTCAGTCAGGGAGTGCTTGTCATGGAAGTATTCACCAGCCACAAGGTGCAAATAATTGGGCAGGATGTGCTGTAAAAAAATCATAGTCATAGGAGATCCAGGTCAACCACAATGGCCAACACGTTAACTCTGCAGGTATGATTCTGAATGCTTTACCCACATTGCTTCATTTAACCCACACAGCAACCCTGTGATGCAAGTATCAAAACTAGCCCCATTTCTCAGATTAAGAAACTGAGTCTTAGAGAGGTGAAGTCGTTGGGCCCACCTGGAAGAACCATGATTCTTTCAAAAGTGTATTTGCATCCAAATCTCATGCTCCTGGCCTCTCTCTTGTGTCTCAGAATGAGCCACTACTGGCTGCATCATCTGTGGAGCTCAGTGCAAAGTGAAGACATAGGCTCCTCGTTCACAAATCATTAAGAATTTCAAGATGGTGACAGCAGAGCATTCAACCAAATGTAGGACCCTTCTGAGCAACAAGGTCCTCTGTGACTACACAGGCAGAACATCCATGAAACCAGTCCTGCTCCGGTACCAGCGCTGCTTCCTGCACTTAGCTATTATCTTACCTAAGCTAGTTGGTCTCTTGGAGCCTCAGTTTCCTCATCTCTAGGGATGTGGAGGATTATAGAAGATATGAAGAGAAAAGCATGCTGCTTGACCCAGAGCACGTTTTCAGTCCTGTTGGTTCACCCAGGCCCCATTGCTGAGTGCCTTAATAGGACATCTGATGCTTCTCTGACCTGGCACCAGCCTGCCTCCCAGGCTTCTCCCTCTCAACTTTCCCCAAGCACAAATGGCAAAGAGTGCATGGTAAATTCTATGAAGATTCAGGGATCTGGTGCTCTGGGAAATGCTGGAAAGGTGTTGCAGCTCAAACCCCTACCACTAAGACAGCAGCACAGCCCTTGATGGGTTTCTTTGGAATTTGGAGGCGAGGCAGTGTACATAACATTCGGGAATGCTGCTCAGACTCGTGTATCGCGTCCTCAGGAGGCTAATGGTTTTTAATCAGGCCAGAGCAAGGGAGGCCTCTGCAGCAGGTCCAGTCTATGGTGTAAGGGCCTGGCCTCTTTGGCCATATAACCAGCAGACCCCATGGTGCCGGAGGTGTCCAAGGTGGGTACACATGCTGTGTGGAGTCTCAGGTAAGCCCCCATAGGACAGTCAGAGTGCAAAGTCCTAGGGTTCTGGAGCAAGGCTATGCCTTCTGTATCAGAGAACTACTTACTGTTTGAAAAGTAGCCCCTAGCATGCCACTGCGCCCAGGAGAGACACATGCCCTTCCATTCCTCTTGCACTTCCTTGCACAATCTACTTCCCACTCTACTTGAAATGTCCTTCTGCTCACTTGTTCCCCTCCCCTAAGGCTCAGATCATCGAGCACCTTCTCCATAAGGCCATCTCCAATCCACCTGAGAATTCCACTGTATGACTTACATCATCAATATCTCTCAACCTTAGTCCCAGTTCATCATCAGACAGCTGCAACTCATCAAACATCCCTCCACCAAGGGGGGCCTGAGGGATCTCTGCCTGTAGTGTTTCTGTTTTCCTTTTTTTTTTTTTTTTTTTTTTTTTTTGAGATAGTCTCTTGCCCTGTTGCCCAGGCTGGAGTACAGTGGCAAGATCCTGCAGCCTCAAACTCCCAGGCTCAACAGTCCTCCTGCCTTGGCCTCCCAAGTAGCTGGCACCACAAATGCACACCACCATGCCTGGCTAATTTTTTTATTTTTTGTAGAGACAAGGTCTCCCTATGTTGCCCAGGCTGGTCTTGAACTCCTGGGTTCAAGCAATCCTCCTGCCTTGGCCTCCCAAAGTGTTGGGATTACAGGTGTGACCCACTGTGCCCAGTTTCAGAGGACTTTTTTTAAAAATAGAAATCAAATAATGTCCTTCTTCCTTCTGTTCTCAGTCTTTAGGATGAAGTCTACGCTCATTATTACCTAGCTTACAACAGCTGAAAGCATTCTCTCCTGCTGCAGCCAACCCTCAGCTGATCTCTTCACACCCCTCTACTCCCAGTTGGTACTCTTGGTTTTTCACAGTTTCTCCACCCACCCCTTCCATCACCAGACAAGCTCCATTAATCCTCCAAACCCTTCTCCCCAAGAGAGGCACCTGTCCCCTTCTGTGGGCACCACAGGGCCTTGGACACTCCCCTGCTTCATGTGTGCTGTATTGAACTGTCTTGTCATCTCTGTCCACCCCACATTGCACCCCAGTGCCCAGGGCAATGCAGGGGCATGTGGACTCTCACTAAACATGTGTTCCATGGACAAATGAGCAAAATGAACATTAGCACTGAGTCCACCCTGAATAAATGTTTATGGAAAAGAGGAAGATGGAAAAAGGAGAAAAGGAGAAAAGGAAGGAAAGCAATCCATCTCTATATCCTACTGTCTAGAGTAAGACCAGATACTGCTGAGTTTGTGCAGTGAATGAATGAATTAGTGATGGAACAATAAATGAGTGAATGAATGAGTAAATAACTGGTCTTGTCAGAACCTGGCCCAATGCCTGGCTGGTGTGTAGTGAATACAGGTCCCCAGTCCCATGTGTGTTTTAGCATTCAGAGTTTTTCAGACTGTAGGTAGACAATGCAGCACCTATGTTGCATGTTATCACACAGGCTTGGGGTGGGGTAACACCCCAACACCCACATTAATGCATCCACAGAGAAACATCTGAATACTGGGATAAATAAAATGAATGAATGAATGTGTAAGAACAAAAATGACTGATAGCCACAAATCAGTCAAGGTGTGGTTTGGCTGCTGGGTGGGTTACAAAAACCCTCTGAGTTTTTGGAGCTCTTCCAGGTTGGGGATTGTGCATTGGGATTGTGGGCCTATTGATATAGGTTGGACCTGTGTCCCCCACCAAATCTCATGTTGAATTGTAATCCCTAATGTTGGAGGTGGGGCCTGGTAGGAGGTGATTGGATCATAGGAGTGGTTTCTCATGAATGGTTAGCACCATTCCTTTGGTGCTGTTCTCGTCATAGAGTTCCCATGAGATTTGGTTGTTTAAAAGTGCGTGGCACCACCTCCCTCTCTCTCTTCCTCCTGCTCTGGCCGCGTAAGACGTGCCTTCTTCCCCTTCGCCTTCCACCATGATTATAAGTTTCCTGAGGCCTCCCCAGAAGCTGAACAGATGCCAGCATCATGCTTCCTGTATAGCCTGCAGCACCATGAGCCAATTAAGCCTCTTTTCTTTATAAATTACCCAGTCTCCAGTATTTCTTAATAGCAGTGCAAGAGTGGACTAATACACCTATGCTTAGTAAAGGTCTACTGAATGACTGAGTGAGTGAGGAGTGTCTGTGCCCCTGGCTGCTCCCGCTGAGTGTGACCCAGGGCTATCTGTGAAAGTGCATGTGTCTCTAGAGTACTGCAGCCTCCCAAGCTATTCACCAGGATGTTTTGTGTCAGACAGAGGGCAAGGGACTTGTTGGAGCCACTGAGAATCTCAGGAGCCTCCTTCTGTGGAGAGAAGCAGTGCCCTCCATAAGCCATCTGGTCATCAGAAGGTTAAACCCATCTCCCTGAGGGCCTGGGCACCTGACTTTCACAGGGGAAGCTGGGAAGGGCAGGAGCCCTCCAGCCCAGGCAGCCACGTGTGGAAGTGGCCTCAGTGTGCTGCTCAGATAGTTAATTTCTTCTTCTCACTTTTGATAAAAGGCAGCTGTTCCCTGTCATTCCACCTGCAGCCTTGTGGGGCCCGAGTGGCCACCTTGTGGGAAGGCTCCCATTATGAGCTAAGTTGTGGCCCCCTCAAAATTCACACATTGAAGTCTTAACCCCCCTTCACTTCAGAGTGCGACTATTTGGAGACAGTACTTTTAAAGGGGAGATTATGTTAAAATGCGGCGTTAGAGTGGGCCCTAATCCAATCTGGCTAATGTCCTTATGAGAAAGGAACGTTTAGACAAACAAAGCAATATTAGCACCTTGATCTTAGAAGTCCAGCCCCCAGAACTATGAGAACATGAATGTCTGTCATTTAAGCCTCCCAGTCTGTGGTATTTTGTTATGGTAGCCCTGACTGCCTAAGAGACACCAACTTGGCTTTGACACCAAGTTCAAAGAGAAGCCAGAAAATTTCAAAACTGGTATTTGCTGTTCTCCTTCTAACGACCTTTGCGGGTGGGGCCTCTGAGAAGCCACAGTGGGAGGTCAGGCAGTAGCAGTGAGGCTGGTGGCCACCAGCTGAGAACTTGGCAAGGGACTCAACTTTTCCTGTCTCAGGCTCCTCATCTGTAAGATGGAGTTTGCAACAGGTACCTCCTGCCAGGGTGGTGATGAGAACTGAAAGAGTTGATATTTGTAAAGCTCTTACAGTGGTACTTGGTATATAGTAAGCGCTTTGTGTGAATATTTGTGAAATTACCATTTTCTGGCAAAATTACAGCTTTAAAATGTGAGGCAGCAGAAATACTATCCACCTGACAAATAAATTTTCTTGGTATGTTTTCTGCTGAAAATCTTGGGGTAATGAATCACTAGGGCCAATACTTAAATGAATACTAGGGCCATACCTGTCTCCTGGAATCTCAGGGGAACCTCAGAGTCATTCATGTTACCTACAAGCATATTCTAACTACTAAAAACCTTCTTGTACATTAAGGAGCTGGGATTTGTTTCTGGGGGATTTCCTGTGGTTTCTAACAGCTAGCAATGGGTTTAACTGCAAATTCACATGGAATTTCAGCACCCACACAGGCTTTTGAGCTCTGCAAATTCTGTCAGTTGAATAACTCCAATATCTAGCATTTACTGAGGACTGACTATATGCCAGACTGTTTGATGTATAGCTGTGAGGTAGGTGCTAAGAATAGCCGTATTTCACAGATGAAGGAATGGAGACTCAGAGAGGGTAGGCAACTTCCCTAATGTCACACAGCAGGTAAGCAGAGAACTCGGCATTTAAAGGCAGAACCTAGTCTGGGCACAGGCTCATGTCTGTAATCTCAGCACTTTGGGGGGCCAAGGTGGGTGGATCACTTGAGGTCAGGAGTTCAAAACCAGCCTGGCCAACATGGTGAAACCCTGTCTCTGCTAAAAATACAAAAAAAATTAGCTAGTCGTGGTGGCAGGCACCTGTAATCCCAGCTACTCTAGAGGCTGAGGCAGAAGAATCGCTTGAACCCGGGAGATGGAGGTTGCAGTGAGCCAAGATTGTGCTACTACACTCCAGCCTGGGCAACAGAGTGAGACTCTGACTCAAAAATAAAATAAAATAAAATAAAAAACAGAGCCTAAATGCATAAAAATTACACACCAGTGTCTCCTTACTAGCTAGGAGATGCTGGAAAGCCACTTTAGCTGCTCTGAGCCTCAGTTTCTTTAAAATAGGGATAATCATGCCTGTTTTCAAGTTCCTGCTTGGATTGCCTGTGCTTGGCACTAGAAGGCATTGGGGAACTGGTTACAGTAGTTACAGTGGTGGTTGTCATCACTAGCACTGCCTTCTTCTTTCTAATACACACCCAGAAATCACTGAAAGGCCTTACCTAAGCCATCAACTGTGATTCACTGGCCTCATCTGCAACATGAGGACAAAAATCCCTAGTCCCACTTGAAAACATTGCCTTGGAGGTCAAATTAATAATGGTACAACATGCTTTCACAACCCAATGAACTCGGGATTCTGGTTCTAGCAGCCATCAACTAGCTTTGTAATTTGACAAACCTCTTTATTTCTTAACCCCATTTCCCCCAGCTTAAAATGAGGTCAGTCTATATAAATGAGCTTCAACAGTATTAGGAATTTGAAGCCTCCACTCTTCTGAGGACAGATGAAAAGTTTATTTCCAATGAAGAGAGTCTTCCTAAACCATGGAATCAAAAAATCATGGGTTTTTCCCGGCACCCAGGCCTCAGCTCAACAATCTCTCCCCCAGAGGAGCCTTTCCTAACCACCTGTTGTCTCCCTAAAGATAACTTCTCTCCCCACTTGTGCCCTTCATAGCATCTATCACTCTCCGAAATCATCTTCTCAACCTCGTGTCTCCTCTGTCTCTCCCCACTAGAGTGTAAGCGCTCAGAAAGCTGGTACCACGCTCGCTGCCAACTGCTCAGTTTTTATAAGCCTGTAATAAATACTCAGCACATACTTGTTGAATAAATAAAATGATTCAACAATTTTGCAACTTATACAACCTTAGCATTCTTGGATGTCAAGATGCTAGAACCAAGGCTGGACATGAAAAGTTTAAAGGACTGAAGTTTTTCAAACCTATCTGAATGTCAACTCTGAAGTAGTAACTGCATTTTTTGGAAACAATAATTTATAGTATTTTTTGAACAAAGACCAAATGGACCCATCCCCTCTTTCCTTTTTATGTAGTTGTTTCTTCCACCCTAAACCTCATCACATGAGGAGCAAGGCAGACACTTGCTGTGACTGGCCTGGCCTGGTCCTCGCTTATCCTCTTTCAGAGAGAGGAAAGGTGATCACTGTGTGCTTGGCTGGTGGGCTCCAGCACTTACAACAGTGGATGTCACCTGTGGAAATGCCCAGCTGTTGAAGCCAAGAGCTGCATCACAGTTTGAGGGAGTGGCAGTATGGACAGCCACAATTCTTACCATAGGCAGCGGGAAGCCACACTCGGGGTTATTGACTCCGATGATGGAAGGAATTGCTTTAAATGCTTTCTGAGACAATAGATCTAGAGGCTCATTAGGAAAGAAAGCACCATCAACCACTTGAGTGAAAGCCTTTGTTTTCTGTAATAGGGAAGAAAAAAAAACCAGCAGCTATTTCTGTTCACAAAATCTGCTGTCCCAAATCCTGGCCAAGCAAAGCCAACCCAGTCTAGCACTGGCTTAAATGCACTTAAAAAGTAAAAGCAAACACTATGGGCCCAGCTCAATATATCAGTCCCTGGCAGCTCTGCCATGTACCTGGGCAAGGGGGCTAAACTTGTGTGTGCCTTATTTTCTTATCTGCTAAACGGGAATATCTACCTAAGAAAAACAGTGGCCTCGGATATGGTTTGGCTATGTCCCCACCCAAATCTCAAATTATAGCTCCCATAATTCCCACATATTGTGGGAGGGACCTGGTGGGAGGTAATTGAATCATGGGAGCAGGTCTTATTCATGCTATTTGCATGATAGTGAATAAAGCTCATGAGATCTGATGGTTTTTATAAAGGGGAGCGCCCCTGCACAAGCTTTTTTTTTTGCCCACTGCCATATAAGACGTGCCTTTGCTCTTTCTTCACCCTCCACCATGATGTGAGGCCTCCCCAGCCATGTGGAACTGTGAGTTTATTAAACCTCTTTCCTTTATAAATTACTTAGACTCAGGTATGTCTTTATTAGCAGCGTGAGAAGAGACTAATACAGCCTAGCACAGAGATTCTCAAAGTGTGGTTCCTAGACCAGCAGCATCAGCATCATCTGGGAATTTGTTAGAAATGCACATTCTCAGGTCCACTTCAGGCCCTCAATAAGAAACTCTAGGGTCGGGGTGTAGCCCAGGAACCTTCTTGTAACTGAAATGCCTAACCTTGTTTTTACTTTAACTCGTTACTTTGAATTTTATCCTGCTTGTCTCTTTAATCACCTAGCCTTGCTTCTCATGTAAATAAGACTCTCTCCAGCTAGGAAGGCTGGACAAACTCCAGTTGATCCCTTAATTTACAAGACACTGAGGGCTCCTCATCCAACACCCTTTCGTAAGGAGTTGGCCTGTGTAAACAGATCCTCAGCATTTCAAAGGAGCCCAATTAACTGATAAGGTACTAGCACCAACAATGTATGAAGTTCCCAGGATTTCTCTCCAAGAGATAACAACATAAAACCTTGAGTTCATGCCCTGCATAGACTCTATATCTAATTATAATGAAAGATTTAGAACCTTGCACCTGATACCGTTGCTCTTCTTGTAACTATTTGTCTTTTGTTTATCACTCTGTAACCATTTTGCTTCTTTTGATTCTTGCATGTTTTTACTTCTGTAGAATTATTACATTTGAGTCCCCCTCCCCTTCCTAAACCTAGGTATAAAAGTTAATTGAGCCCCTTCCTCGTGGCAGAGAGAATTTTGAGCATTAGCTGTCTCTCTGGCCGCCGGCTTAATAAAGGACTCTTAATTCTTCTCAAAGTGTGGCGTTCCCTTAACTCACCTGGATACAACATAACCAGTCCTCCAGGTGATCCTGATGCATGTTCAAGTTTGAGAACCACTGGCCAAATACAAAGGGAAAAATGGTGGTAGATGGAGTAGCTAGGACTGTAGGGGTTGGTGTGAACACCTTTCTCAGATGTCTCCCTGAGACACAGTGCCTGGGAAATGCCTGGATATTTCTGGGGTCTCAGAAAGCAACACTCAGCTCTAATCACGGTTTCTTCAGGTTTCTGTTTTGGGATTTGGGTAGAAAGGAGCACATGGAAGAGTTCAATACAACGTCAGGTCCAGGACTTATCCATTTCACTGAGGCTAGCATGGCTCAGAGTGGACATTCAGTACACAGCACCTAACTAGCAAATGTTGAAATCTGAAAGATAATGATCTTGTTCATTCAAAGACTGTCATCAAAGGCTCTCAAGGTTGGAAGGGACATAAAAGATCACCCGGTTCAATTAACTGTCACTGATTGAAAGTCTGTCAGTGGTCAGCTATATTTTGCTTGAATACCTGGAGAGGTGGGCATCTCACCACCTTCTAAAGGAGCCCAGTCCTTTTCCAGACAACTGAGGTCTTGAAAAGTTTTCAGTTACACAAAACTAAAATGACTTCTGAATAGAACTTCTAGCTTGTGATCTTGACTTCAGCTTCTGGAAGCATGCATAACAAGTGTGGTCCCTCTCTCCAGTGAGATGCCTTCAGGGACTTAGAGACAAGCCTTGTACTTTGCTGAATCTTCTCCAGGCTAAGTTGCACCCCTGCCCCAACAATGTTCTTAAATTACCTACAAGGGTTCTATACCCCTACTTATTTTTTTTACAGCTGTTACCAAGTATCCCCAGTCCTCCTCTTTTCCATGTTCCAAATCCAAATAAATAACAAAAGGGTAGGATTTGTTCACCTCTCTATTCAAAGGGCAACCCTGTCCCCAAAACTGCCCCCTCTGTCCTCACCTGGCTGAGGGTCAGCAGCTCCTTGGAGGATTTTGTCCTCAGGCACCTCAGTGGGGCCTCAGAGTCTGATGCATTGTACCCACAGAATTGTGCAACTACCTGCAGCTATTTTCAGAGAAAGACCAGGTCAGAGCATGATTTTGAAAGCATCTAGGAAAATGAAACCTGGAAAATGCCCTCCTATCAGCCACAGGCTTGTCCTCCATATATAAGTCCATCCTGCTACCCCTGCCTAGCCCCATGCCCCTATAAAGGAAGGTGCACGTGGCAGACAGGTTGCCACTGCCTCACCCTCACTCTCTTGCCTGGCTCGCCTTGTCATCTTTAGAAAACACCACAGCTGGGGATGGGTGTTTGTCAGTCTGTGGATATGGAATGGAATCAAGATTCCTGGTCACAAAGAGATCAGTCCTGTGAACTTGGCTGCATTGGTACTTGGCTCCTCCAGAGTCTAGAAGCCCAACCTTGAGGTGCTAAATGAAGACAGAAACACCAAGAGCGAGGAACAGCTTTGCAAGCTCCTTCAGTGTCAGTAGAGGCAGGGCTCCAGATCAGATTCTCAGCTTGTCAGCCCTGCCCAAGCCCCAGGCCCACTCACAGCCTGGAATGTCCTACCTGTCTTTTTTCCTGCCTGTATACCAATCCTTCTCATTCTTTAAAGCCCAAGTCCTGCTCTCCACAATGTCCTTTCAGGGCACTGCAGCCCCCAGAAACGCCTTCCTCATCCAATCTCCTATAAGCTCGATGTTCCCCACCTTCCATGCCTGGCCCATTGCTGAACACCTGCTTTCCTTGTCACTGAACCTTCCATATTTGTAGAACTCACTCCCTGAAAGTGGTGGCTCTTAACCTTCTGGGAGTCGTGGATACTGTGAGAATCCAATCAAAGTTACAAACCCCCTCCCTGGGAAAATGTGCAGGCATGTGGAGTCTGGTACAATTGTGGGACCACTTCCCAAACCATCCATGGATTCCAGGATTTAATCCTATCCATGGATAGGTGATAAAAAGATTATATTGCCCTCAGGTTTGGATATGCTTTCTCCACTGATAAATCCCAAAGTTCTAACAGAGCAGGGAAAATAGTGGGCATTCAGTGATGTGTCAAATGAATAAACATATGCCCAAACTGAAAGCAGCTTTATGGAGAATGTTACCAAAATCAATGTTTCCACGTATTGAGGGTATTTTTTTTTACAATTTCATAACTCTATGTTTCTGCTCTTGGTTATATACTGTTACTTTCTATAAAATGTTTAAGAAAATTTACCACTAAAATCATTAATACTCAAGAGATGGCTCCACAGCCCAGTGCTTAATTAATATGCATTGAATGAAACAGCTCATTCATTAGCTCATTCATCCAGAACATTTATAGCTGCCTGATATATACCACTTATTATGCTGGGGGCCTGAAGGACAGAGAGATCCTGGTCTCTAGGGCCTCACTCTGTAGTAGATAATTAAGAGACAGATGACAAATATCGTGGGATAGATGGCACATGGTGAGAAGGTGCCTGAACACATTCTCCCCTAACTGAGGAGAGGAAGCTAGCAAGGTGTTAACAGTATTCGTACGTCCTCACTCTTCTCATAATCATGGGCCTTCAGGTAAAGGATGATGGCCACCCCACTCTCCATGACGGCTTTGTGGAATAAGCCTTCGGCCATGGGAGACAGAATCTGGAGAGAGAACACAGAAGATCCAGGAAAGGTTACGCAGAGGACTCCCCACCGATCACAAATACCATTCATCCCTCTTCAAAGAAACCTTCCCAGGAAGCCTCCATAAAAGCTCTAAACTTAGAGGGGAAAAAAAACCCTTTTTGGCGGGGGTTAAAGGACTAGCTGTGAAGGTTTGGGCAAGTTACTTAACCTCTCTGAGCCCTGGTTCTTCATGAACTTTGATGTCAAATGTTCAGGCATGTGATTTCTAGCTCCTTCACTTCCTAGCTGTGTAACCTCGGACAAGTTGCTTAATATTTCTTTTTTTTTTTCTTTTTTTTTTTTTGAGATGAAATCTCACTCTGTGGCCAGGCTGGAGTGCAGTGGCGTGATCTCGGCTCACTGCAACCTCCAACTCCCAGGTTCAAGTGATTCTCCTGCCTCAGTCTCTGGAGTAGCTAGGATTACAGGCACGCACCACCATGCCCAGCTAATTTTTGTATTTTTAGTAGAGACACGGTTTCACCGTGTTAGCCAGGATAGTCTCAATCTCCTGATCTCGTGATCCGCCCGCCTTGGCCTCCCAAAGTGCTGGGATTACAGGCGTGAGCCGCTGCGCCCAGCCAAGTTACTTAATATTTCTAAGTATCAGTTCACTCCCCTGTAAAACTGGAGTAAAAATTGAGCCCGTATCACAAAATTATTGGAGGAGCAGGGGCAGTGACAAACATAGAAGTCTTCACAGGTGGTCTGGTCAAATTTCGTTCATGAAATAATGGCTGTTATAATATATGAAAAGTTAGGTTAATATAATCCACTTTAGAAGGTAATTTTGAAGATGTAAAAAGACCACATATATTGTTAAGTGCTAGTCAGCAGAAGCTCTCTTAACACCATGTCACTGATTTCTGCAATTAACCTGCCAACTGATGCCAAGGAAATGGTGACCACACTGAGCCAATGGACCATTTTCTAGCACCTCTGTCCATTTCTCTTCTCATCAGTTTCTTGCCAAGAATCAGGTGTGTTTGCTTCCAAACCTGTTTTGTCAACTGCACTTGTTATTGTAATTACATAATCAATGAAATATCATGAGAACAAATGAACTGTATGTGTAAAAGAAAATCAAATTATGTCTGGAAAAAAATTCTTGATAAAGGATGGCTAAAAAATATTGCTCTCGGGCCAGGCATAGTGGCTCACGCCTATAATCCCAGCACTTTTGGAAGCCAAAGCAAAAGGATCACTTGAGCCCAGAAGTTCAAGACCATCCTGGGCAATATAGCTAGACCCCATCTCTAAAAAAATGAATAAATAAATAAAAATTAGCTGGGCATGGTGGCACATGCTTCTTGTGAGGCTGAGGCATGATGATTACTTGTGCCCAGGAGTTCAGGTTGCAATGAACTATGATCACCCCACTGCATGCCAGTCTGGGCAACAGAGTGAGACCTTGTCTCAAAAAAATATATTGCTGTCGCTGGGCGCGGTGGCTCACGCCTGTAATCCCAGCACTTTGGGAGGCCAGGGCGGGCAGATCACTTGAGGTCGGCAGTTCGAGACCAGCCTGACCAACATGGAGAAAACCCATCTCTACTAAAAATACAAAATTAGTCGGGCATGGTGGCACATGCCTGTAATCCCAGCTACTCGGGAGGCTGAGGCAGGAGAAAAGCTTGAACCTGGGAGGCAGAAGTTGGGGTGAGCCTAGATTGCACCACTGCACTCCAGCCTGGGCAACAAGAGTGAAACTCCGTCTCAAAACAAACAAAAAAAGCCTTATATGTCTGTGTATGTATATATATGTATATAAATATATGTGCATGTGTGTATATACACAGTATATATAGTGCATATATGCACTATATATGTATATATTCTTATATGCACTATATATGTATATATTCTACTTATTTCTTGTCCACACATAATTTGACAGCTATATATATATAAATATTATCTAGTATATATATAAATATCTAGTACATATATAAATATCTAGTATATATAGATATATAAATATCTAGTATATATACACAGTGTATATAGTGTATAGTGTATATACACTACTATATATAGTATATATACTATATATATAGTAGTGTATATACACTATGTGTGTGTATATACTAGATATTATATATATAATATATATGGTATATATATACTATATACTATATATACTATATATAGTAGTGTATATACACTATACACTATATACACTATATACGTGTGTATGTATATATACTATATATATACTGTATACTACTTATTTCTTGTCCACACATAATTTGACAGCTATATATATATCTAATATATATAAATATCTAGTATATATAGATATATAAATATCTAGTATATATACACACATATATAGTATATATAGTGTATATATAGTGTATAGTGTATATACACTACTATATATAGTATATATACCATATATAGCAGTGTATATACACTATGTGTGTGTGTATATACTAGATATTTTATATATATATAATATATATATGGCTGTCAAATTATGTGTGGGCAAGAAATAAGTAGAATATTTGCAGGAAAAGTATAAAACTCCAAAATGTGCTCAGGCATCTTTAAGTTTGTGCCCACCGTAAAGAAACTGAAACTGCAATTTGAGGACAGCAACATTTGCAGTGGTTTATGCAAGATAATCCATGTTGGAACTCCAGTCAGCAGACCAGCTCTGCAAACATAAGGCCCTGTATCAAACTGTTGGTGAGGGAATGTACATTTTATGGTTTAAATTAAGTTAAAATAAAATTAAAATTTAATATTTATATGCATCTTTTGATATTTCATGCTTTAGCTGAGTTTTCTATTAAACAAGTAATTACCGCTCTGGTAATTGAATACTAGGGTTTCTCCTCTACAAATATAAAGGAGTTTTCCTCAAATTATTACTCACTATGTGATCTTGGGTGATTTATTTAAAGTTTCCCAGTGACGGCTATCTTGTCCATGAAATCAGACTGAGCTCCTAACTCATGATGTGTTTGTGAGGCTTGAAGAAGACAATGTGCCTTAAAGTGTCTGTTGTGCATGAAGGCACCAATCAAATGTTAGTGACTCCTCATCATCATTTTTGGACCTCCCACACTGAGATTCATTCAAATCACAAAGCAGAGAACTTACAAGGCTGGAAACACTTATGGCTCCCACGGACTCACCAAAGATGGTCACAGAGCTGGGGTCCCCACCGAAGAACTCGATGTTCTTCTGGACCCAGGATAGAGCAGCCACCTGGTCCTTGAAGGCCCAGTTCCCGGGAGCGTGCTGATCCCATGTGCTGAGGACAAGAGGCAGGGTGAGAATTCTCAGTTGGCCATGGCGTGTTTCCCACAGCCCTGGAAGTTCTCAGCAGAGGCTGTGGGCAGATGTCAGTGGGGAGGGGACTGAGAGTCAGAGGTCTGGAGGAGCTGGGGAAACCGGGCTCAGTTCTCACACTTTGCTGGGATTTGGATTTGAGAATTTGATGAAAGCTATGCACCCGAGAAGAACGCACATACAATACTGTAGGTGCAATTTCAAGTATTCATAGGCTCCTCAGAATCCATGAATCCCAGTGCGTGAATCCTGTGTTGCCCAGGCTGGTCTGGAATCCATGAATCCTTTCCTGAGAGTTGGTCTGTACTAGAAAGCAAGGGTTTTCTGAGCACAGAATTTTCCATGAAACTAAATTAATAATAATCATAATAACAATAATAGCAGGTGCAGCAGGTACCGGACACTGTTCTAAGGGCTTTAAGGCTAATACTCCTACAACCCTCACACCTATGAGGTAGATGGTGCTGGGTTTTCTCCCTTTGCTTCTCTGGGTCCTCTCCACCCTTCTCTGCCCTGTCCCCCAAAAGCTGACCTCTAGGAATGTCATCACCCAGGCCTCAGCTGTGTGCTGTGAGGGTGGGCTAGAGAGAGACTGGGATGTTTATCCCACCACCCCGTGCTCCCTCTCTGCTGGGAAGTGTTTGGGCAGAGGCTGCTTTTCTCCACAGCAGCAGCTCATGCCAACTCCCTTCCACTAAACCTGTGAGCATGCTGTCAGGATGATGAATGGATACATAAACTCTTTAATTCAGGCACTGAGAGGTTAAACCCCCTGGCTCAAGAGCTAGAAAGCTGCAGATTTGGGATCCCACGCCCCCATGCTGCTGCTCCTGCACAATTGCATGTTTCCTGGGATGGAATTAATGGGAGAACAAATGAAACAACTGGAAATCCCACAGAACCAAAGAAATGTCTAGACCGAAAGCATGCACGCAGTGCACACCATCAGTGCAAGTCATCCTGGGGCACATTCTACTCCACTCCATTCCCCAGTTCCCCAGACTGCTCCTTCCCCTGGGTTCCCTCCTCTATCCATGACCACTGAGCTGGCTCTGCCTCCACCTTCTCTCTCCCAGTCCCCTGCATCTGGTCAAGAGTCAAGCCCTGCCAATTTTACCTCCATTCTTCTGTGGCTCCCACCCTGGTCCCCATTTCTCCATCTGTTTATCCTGAGAAGCATTATACCTTAGTGGTTACTATCTCAGCCTCGAGCACAGGATTCACAGCCTGGCCACTTATCATCTGGGTGACCTTGGGCAAGTCACTTAACCTGCTGTGCTTCAATGGTTCTCATGTCTAAAATGGGGATAGTGCCCACTCCACATGGTTGTGAAGATTGACGGTGCCAGGCAGACAATAAGCATGTCATATACACCTGTTATATACATGTTAGCTATTGCTTTTGTGGTTCAACCACCCCGTGGCCCGCATCAAGACGGTGCCTCCCATTGGGGGTCCGTATCTGCAGCTGGGCACCCCTGGCTCAGCCTCCGTTCTGCTCTGGAGGTTCCTGGTACACTACTCTGAGAAAGGTACTCCTGGTCCCTCAATCTGTATTGGATAAAGCCCAAACTCCATTTACGGCCTGGCATTCAAGGTCTTTCCCTGTCAGGCCTGTCCTTGCCTTTCTGCATCCATCTCCTGCTGTAGCTTCATCTACCTATGCTCAAACCAGATATGATAAACAATTGTTGAAAACGTTCCTATCAAAGGAATCTTACGCAGAATCCTAATGTATAGAGCAGCTAGAAGTGTAATTGCTCGGGTCAGGGCACCCCGTCAGCCTGTCCTGCCTGCACAGCACTCCCAGAGCCACATTCCAGGCCTACAGGCCCAGTGCAGTTTGCAAAAGTATTGCTTCATCCTCATGTGTTGCTACCTCCCTTCCAACTTCCTAACCTTTGCACAGGTAGCACCCTTTGCCGAGCACACGTTCTCTCAACCCCTTCTCCTCAAACCCAACCACATCCTTCAGGTGCAACTCCAATGCCACCCCTCTTCCGAAGCCTCCCCAATCCCTTGCAACTCATTCCTCTGTTTCCGCAGCCCCATGGCCTCTCATTCTTGGAGAATTAACCATGTCCTTCTTGGTAATGTGGAAATTTTTGTCCCTGCATTATGTCCCCCATAGTCAGGAGCCTCTGTAGGGCAGGATTCATATTTTGAATCATTGCTGATTTTCCCATAGTATGTGACAGTGACCCCCAAGCATAATCCTGGCCCCACCTCTCACTTCTCTTTGCTTACATTGGTCCCTGGTCAGGACTTCTCCTGCCATGTTTTAGGCAGGATAATAGAAGTGGTCAAGAGACCTAGCTCTGTTTTGTGACCCCTGGGAAGTTGCTTGGCCTCTCTGGGCCTCCATTTTCCAGCTGTGAAATGAAGATAACAACAGAGAATCTTCCTTGAAGGATTATTTTGAGGATGAGTTGAAATAATGCATGCCTGGTTCATTGATAACCCAATACATGTTAGGCATGATTGGAGGAGGGAAGCCACTGTGATGGAGTGATGATTCTCAGGTGAGCATTCGAGAAGCCTTGGGGTGAGGCTCAGGTAGACGCTACCAACTGCTCACACAAACAGTGTCCTGTCTTCCAGGGCATGCAGTGGGGCTACATTGCCCCAGCTCGCTTGCAGCTGGATGTGGCCATGTGACTGAGTTCTGCCAATGGTGAGTGAACAGAAGTGACGAGTGCCACCTGCAGGCTGGGCCAGGAGACTCTCCCTTGCATGGTCCTCCATGCTTTCTCCGCCCACCTGCCAAATGCAGAAGATCCGGGGCCCTAGAGAATCCACATCAGAGCTCAAGATGTAAAGAGCCAGATCCCTGGCTGACCATGGGGAAGAATATCTGCTGATCAGGGATGCTCAATTAAACTTTACTCAAGTGAGAAAAAGATTTTTATTGTGTTAAGCCACCAAAATTTGGGGATTTATCTGCTACGGCAGCAAAAATTACCTAAGGAACTAGGGCCAGTTTTGTTCAATGTCCTGGAAGGCTCACTCCTTCTTAGGTTGCTGGGCACTGTCTATGGCTACTGCACTGCTGCCCCTTGGGGATCTGGGATGTCGATCATTTGAAGAGACTCACGTGAAGAAGCCAAATATTCCCAGCCGGTACTGGACGATCACAACCAGCATGTCCTCATAGGCAGCCAGGGAGGACCCATCGAAGATGGAGGCTGAGCCAGTCTCGAAGGCACCGCCTGGGAACCACAACAAAACCTGAGGAGGAGACAGGAATGTCCCATCAGCCCACCAGGCACCACCTCCCCTCCCCATGCAGTTTGGGGCACACGTTCTTCAGATGAAATATAAATGTCCCACTTGCTAAGCAGGGTGTGATGTTTCATCTTTTGAAGGCCCAGGGTGAAGCATGTAGGCTCTGGCACCTGAGTGCCTGGGTTTGATTCCCAGCTCTGCCACTGACTAGCTGTGTGACCTTGGGCAGTTTACTTAACCTAAGGCTCATTTTTCCCATCTGTAAATGTGAAGAAGGAAACTATCTCACTCACGAAGTTTTATGAGGTTTAAACAAAATTCTATATCTAAAGCTCATAGAACAGTGAGCATTAGCATATTTCAAGTTTCAAAGTGCTCAGAAATTGTTCACTAAATATCAGTGAACCTGTGACCCACAGGAAGATGGAAACCGTTGTAAGCCATGTCTAAAAGCAAAAACAGCTCAAGGTGTTTCAGAGGAAAGCTCTCTACCTTCAGAGGGAGGGGAGGAGAGGGGAGAAAAGGGGAATGGAGGGGGTGAGGGGAGGAGAAGTGGAGAAAAAGAGGAGGAGGAGAAGAAAGAGGAGGAGGAAGGGAGAAGGGGAAGGAGGAGAAAGGATGAAAGATGAAGAAGGAAGAGAAAGAAGGGTCAGGAGCGGTGGCTCACGCCTGTAATCCCAGCACTTCGGGAGTCTGAGGCGGGTGGATTGCTTGAGCCTCAGGAATTCAAGACCACCCTGGGCCAATATGGTGAAACCCTGTCTCTACTAAACAAAAAATTGCCGGGCATGGTGGCAGGCATCTGTTATCCCAGCTACTTGGGAAGCTGAGGCACAAGAATCACTTGAGCCCGGGTGGCGAAGGTTGCAGTGAGCTGAGGTTGCACCACTGCACTCCAGCCTGGGTGACAGGATGAGACTCTGCATCAAAAAAAAAAAAAAAAAAAAGGAGGGAAGAGTTAAAAACTTTATTGATTAGAAAAACTGGGACCAGGGAACATAAAACGTTATTCGGATGGCATTATCTCTATTTATATATTTAATAAGAAATCCGTTCCATTCTCTTTCTTAGGGTCATGTTAGAGATTACAGCCTTTGGGGCAGGTAAAGAGAGGAAAGCCACTGAGGAAAGGGGAAGAGGACAAAGCACTGGCTTTGGTGCCAGAATCTAGCACCTACTGCATGTACAACATGGAGGAAGTCATTTATGCCATTCCTGTGCTTCATCTTCTCCATCTGTGGAATGGGTCCAAATGCATGATTATGTTTTATAAATGTCTGTATTTAGCCAGTTCTTGTTTTTCTTTCAATGCAGCTACAAGGCCACAAGTTATGCTATGCTATAGATTATGTGACCTATCACGTGAGTAACTGCTTTTATTTATTGTAAGTCCGCTCATAAAAACCCCCGCTCTCTCTTTGTTTAATGCTCAGCTTCTTGGATATGAATCCACTGAGCCGGCGCATACCTAAAATAAACAATCCTCCTGTTTCTCATACTGGTCTCTCCGTTCCTCAGTTTACCGCAACAGTCCTGCTCAATGAGGTGAGGGAGCCACATGGTGGTGTCAGTTGGAAGGCAGGCCAGACAGGGCAAGGAACCAGGATCAGAGAAACCGGCTTATGTGTGGGGAGGAGATCCCCAGGTCCTGCTCCTACTTGGGCTCCTGGCAGCTCCCAGCCACTGTCCAGAGCTGCAGAGTCAGTAGCCTGAGGGTGGAGGGAGCAGGCCTGCTCTGCCTGGGACCACCCTCTTCATCCCTCTGCAGCTGAAGGCTTCACACCAATAAACACATGAGGCGGCAAGGATTACGGTAGTGCCGAGCAGCCACTCACACTTTAGTGAGAATTGCTGGATGAAGTAGTCCTGGGCTAGATCCCAGGAACATGGCAGGTCAAGTTGGATGGTGGAGGGGGTTCACCCAAGGCCTGGAGGGTCTGGGGCAATAGAAGAACCAGAGACTGGCTCATGGGGCAGATAATACCCCCACCCACTAGCCCAGATATCCAGAACACCTGCAGGCACAGGGCAGACTCTTGAGCCAACCCCATGGCCATCCACAATCCCAGTGAGGCAGGAAGAGACACAGACTCTGCCCACCTGGCCCAGTACTAAGAAACACCCCTGCCTTTGCATGTGCGTGCAGGGTCCTCACCCCGTGTGTGTTGTGGGGGGGTCCTCACACTCCAAGTATGGGTAACAACCCCTAATACGTGGCACCAGGACACAGTGGGCCCGGGGGGGCCAGTCTCGGCCCAGTCGATGTGGCCACCCCCAGCACCAAGGTGCCCTCACTGTGCAGGGCATCAGCAACTTTGATGAGTTTTCATTTAACATTCTCTTTATCACAATTACTTTGAAAACTATTCAGTGCAGTTATTAATAATTAATTATTATCTGCTGTTATATTAATTATCTGGCCATCGGGAATGTCACCAAGATTTAAAATTTTTGTTAATAATATTTCCTGGACATGGGAGAGGTTTCCTGCATCTCCACACATGCCCTCCCTGCTCTGGGTGAGGCTGGCTAGGGCCCCCCTGTTGTGGGGACCGCCCACTCTCGCTGGCACCGCCTGCAGGCTGCCCCCATCAGTTCATCCTGGGCCCTGGGCAGAGCTCTGGGCAGGCCTGGGTGACTGAACCCTCCCTCCAGCTGCTCCCACCGGGCCCTGGTGTGCCCATGCTCGTGAGCCCTGTGGCCTATGCAGGTCCTCAATGGCCCCCAGGATGGGGCCGCCCTGGCACCGAGGCCTGCTGGGATTGCAGTGGGAGGCTGCAAAGCGCCTGCCACGTGAGAGGTGGCACCAGTGGCCTGCTGTGCTAGGTCAGCCCCAGCTGCAGATTCCAGGCTGCTGCACTCCCACAGGGCCCCTGCCTAGCCCCGCAGCGGTCTCCAGTGTCCTCATCAGCCCTGTGACCAGCAGCCTCAGGGAGCCACAGGAGACAGGAGACCCTCCACTGGGTGCACACAGACAGGCCTGGAGAGGACAGGATGGGCCACATGGACGGCTGGCTGGGGCTGCGGAGCCCAGGGGTGGTGCCGCAGGCACTGGGAGGTGGCATTATGTGACCACGGCAGCCTAAGACCACCACTGTGGGCCCAAGCTCGCAGCTCGCTTCCCACTATTCTCAGTGAGAGGACACAGGCTACCCCTTGAGGCCAGCCCACAGCTCTCTTACCAGGCAGCAACTTACCGCCCCTCACTGTGTCCTGTCGCTCTGCTCTTGTGGCCTGCTGTGCAGCAGGCACCATGTCACCCGTTCATAGATGAGCAAGCCAAGGCTCGGGGCAGGAGACCGGTGCAGCAGGCTCTCACCACCTCATGGGAGCAGGCTCTGCACACGGCATGCTCTCAGGCCCCTTTGGCTGAGTGCCCAGCCCCAACCCCAAGCTACCCCGCTGGCTATCCAAGCACTGGGTGGAGTCTGGAGGAGAGAATGGTTAGGTGCCTCCTCTGGGTGGCCCCTCACTTTAGGGAGGCTCAGGGGCTGTGCTCCAGCCTAGGTGGACATGGTTGTGGCTGCCCCTGTCCCTCCTCCTGCCCCTGCCCCTCCTCCCACCCTTGCCTGCTTCCTCTGCTCCAGCTCAGTCAAGAAGCGTGGGGTGCTGCTGAGACAGAAGGGGGCCAGGGAGAATGCCCATGGCATGAAGTCCTCCAGACCTGCCCTAACCTCCCCCTCCCCACTCTACAATGCGCACCCCATAAAGACCTTTGTCAGGCAACCCCTCCAATGCAATCAGACCAGCGTGGAGCCTCCTGTGCCTGAGGAACTAGTCCCAAGCAATGGCAGCCCTCAAACCCACTGTGGGCTTGTCAGCATGGTACTATGACAGTGCTGATGACAGTAGTGAGGATGGGCTCAGTCACAGCGACCATAGTGACGGAGGTGTGGTGATGGTGATGGAGGTAGTGATGGTGATAGTGATGGTGATGGTGGTGGCGATGGAGGTAGTGATGGAGGTGGTGTTACTGGCGGTGGTGGTGTGGAAGCGGTGATGGGGGTGGTGATGGTGGAGGTGATGGAGGCTGTGGTGGTGATGATGGTAGTCATGGTGATGGTGGTGGTGGTGATGCTGGTGATCATGGTGATGGTGGTGGTGGTGGTGATGGTGGTGGTCAAAATAGAGGTTATGTGGTGGTACTGATGGTGATGGTGATGGTGGGGATGGTGAGGGTAATGGTGGTGGTGATGGAAGTTGTGGTTACAGTGATGGTGTTGATTGTGGTGGAGGTGATGGTGCTGGTAGTGATGGTGGTGGTGGTGGTGGTGGTGGTGATGATGCCGGTGCTGGTGGTGATGGGGTGCTGGTGGAGCTGGCCATGATGGTGGTTATGGCCGTGCTCATGGTGACAGTGGTGATGATGTAAATGGATTCTCCTCCTGGAGTTTCCTGGAGAAACAACTTCTCTGCTTCCCCAGGGCTGCCTGGTCCCTCCCTGCCTGGGGGTGGCCCCCAGAGGCAGGAAGAGCAGAGCGTGGACTGAGCCTGACAGGGCAGTCAGTATCTTGAACTCACAGAGAACATTTAATCTTAGTTAAAAGTAAATAAGTTCATTTACTGGGAGGGGAAGAAGGGCCCAATATTTACTGCAAGCATGTGGAGTGATTACTCCAGGAGGTTCCCTTGGGATGCCAGGCTCCATCCCCACTCCTGTCAGGTTCACCTGTGGCAGGTGGGAGGGAACGGCATGGGCCCACCCTGCCCTCGGGCCCCCAGAGGGGCATCTCTCTTCTACCCCCCACGGCAGGGGCTGCAGGGTTGGCAATGCCCCCTTCCCTCCCTCAGCCCCCAACTCTTGGCAGGGCCCTGGCCCACGGACCCCTGGATTCTTGCATGTGGGCACACCTCAGCCCCTGGCAGGACACCCCCAGGCCCTCACTGGCTCTGTTGCTCACCTGCTGTGTGACCTCAGGAACCCTGCCCCTTTTTGAGCCCCTGTACTCACCTAGGAAATGGGTGATAAAGGCACGTGCCCCCGGCGGGGGATGGAGGTTGGTGCTGGTGGTCAGTGTTCCCATGACAATGACCTATTGGCTGTGCAGAAGGTGAGCCTCATCTTCCAAACTCAAGGAGTCCTTCATGAGCACAGCCCTCAGCCACCGAGATCCCCCAAACTCCCATAGTTCCCGAATCTCCACGGCCAAGTGCTGAGACAAGAGCCCTGGGGCTCAAGGCCCCTCAGGCAGGGTGCGGTGAGGGCCCGTCGGAGGAAGGGCTTCCTCCTGCCCATCCTGGCTGGGCGCTGTGCGGGACTGCAGGAGCCTGAGTTGGGGTAAAAGGAATTTCAGGGGAGACAGTCAGATCCAAGGTCAACTGCCCAGCTCAGCCCAGGACTCCAGCCTCTTGCAACAAGATGGGCCAGGCCCCTCGCTGGAGTCTGCTCAGCAAGGGGCCTGTGGGTCCCTGGGCAAGCACTAGCCGGGTCCTACCCTCAGCCTGGGGCCTCCTTCCAGCCTCCTCCCTGGCGCAGCCCAGCTAGAGTTTGTTCATTTCCTGGGGGCTCCCGCCTCCCCCTCCCCTGGCCCTGCACTGCGTGAGGGCGCATCTCCTAGAACCAGCCCCCCAGAGTCTGCTGAGATTAGGAGACCTGGAGGTTACCCCAGGGACACCCTGCCCCTGTGCCCCAGACAGGTGTCCCCCCCACTATGGGTGATGAATGTCGAGGAGCTGCCATTATAATTAGTGTGGAATGTGCCGCCTCTCCCAGGGAGGAAAATCCCATCTTGGAAATACACCTCAGATGCAAGTTGAATTTCACCCACGGGGCCATAAAACCATTTTTTCAATCACCTGGTGCTGTTGGGGGCTGGCACCATTAATCCTGGAGATGTTATTTAGAGCCAAGACATCACTTGGGGAAAAAAATCAGGTCCGCACTCCATGAGGAACCCCTCTCTATGCCCTGCAGAGGCCTCAGGAGATGGACGAGACTGCTCGGGCACCAGGCAGGGAGGGGCAGGGACGCAGCTACCCTCACAGCCACCCTCACGGCCCAGGAGCCATGCCTCACTTCATCAGCTCCTGCCAGACCCTCCCTACCAGAGATGGCCCCATCGGCATAAGGGAAGACTGAGGCCAGAGAGGAATGGAGGAATTGGAGGGCTGGAACAGCTGGTGGGCTGGACGGCTCAGCTCCACTTGCCCTGCCTGCCCCCAGCAGACACTGCCCTCCTCTTCATTCCCAAAGCCCCCACCCGGCCCAGATCCTCTCCTGAGATCAGTATCATCCAACAGCCTTTTATAAAAAATTGTTTCCTTGATTACCGAGGGTAACAATGAAAACACGTAATTGAATCTCCAAGAAATTACCATTTTTATAACTTGCGCCCAGTTCCCGAGATAAATTAAACGCCTCCCCTGTATGGTGAGCCGCTCACTGCGCATCAGAGAGGGGCTGATACTGCCCTTTATCATCGATGCGGGACTTACTAAGAAGAATGCCTCACACTGCCTCCCGGGAGGCTCCTGGCACCTCCAGCTCATGGCCCTGAGCGGGCAGAGTTGGCCAGCTGGAGGCGCCGGGCGGGTGGTCAGGTGGGCCCCCTCCTGATCACTCCTGGCCCTGTTACTGGCTAGCTGCGTGGTGGTGTGGGTGGTAAGTGGGAGGGCCAGTCAGAATCTTAGCCCAGACTCCCAAGAAAATCAGGCCTGTGCGCAGCCGGGCAGCGACAGCTTTCTGAGAAGTGCAACCCTGGAGCCAGAGTGGGGAAAAGGCAGGGAAGCCGGGTAGGAGGAAGGAAGTGGAGATGGCAGAGAGGGAGGATTTACCCACCTGCCCCCCACTTGCTGGCCAAAGCTGACCCCACCCAATTGCGCCAGTGCCCAGAGGACCCAAGATATCACAAGGTCAGGCAGCAGAGCGGCTCTGGGGGAGGCGAGGCCCCGCTGAGGCAAGGCACCGCCTGGCACAGGGTCCGGGAGCAGGTGGGGGCAGCAGGGTGGCCACACCCACCCAAGGAGCTGCTGGGTTGGTCAGCAGAGGGGCGGGGAGGTGGGGCCAGCTACCGGGATGGGCTGTCCATCTGTGAGCAGCTGGTAGTGGGTTTCCTGCTGGCAGTTGCTAGTGGCTGGATTCTCATGGCTCTCTGGCTGGCTGGAGGCCGTTTGGGTTGTGGGGAAGCAGAAGCCTCCAGCCTGTGGACTGAGTTTCCTGAAAATGTCTGCAGGCTGCACTCAGCAGAGCCAACTTCAAGCAAAGGACCCGAGTGACACTATTCACGTGCAAACCACCGCCCCTCCCAGCGTGGCTGTTTGCCTGAGGGCCCAGAGCCACCCCCTGGGGAACACTGCCTAGTCAGAAACCTGGCAGTGGTGGCTGCACAGCGAGGAGGGGTGCTGTCAGGGGACAGAGGACCTGCTCCCTGGGAACGGGAGAACTGAGGCCCAAAGAGTGGCCTCCCACTTGATCTAGGCAAACTCAGGGTCAAGGGCAACAGGCTGAGGTCACCAGGAGCTCAAAGGCTGGCTCTGAAGGTGAGACCTTCTTCTGAGGAAGCAAGTGGCCTCAAGCAGCACCCTCTGGCAGCCGGCCCAGAGGACTGGAGTGGGGTGGGCCGGGAGGAACATCGTTCGGGACGGGGTGGGTGCCTACACCCACAACTGTGCTCCTGCCTTCTCTCCCTCCCTGGCCTGGTTCCCGACTTCCCAGGGTCCCCTCCTGCCCCCACGAGGCCCTGCCGCCCAAGGGCCTGCCTGGATGCTCCAGTGGGGCTTGAAACCCCCACAGTCAGGCAGCAGACCGTGACTTCTCAGCTGTGTGTCCTGGACAGAAGCAAAGGAGGCCCCAGAACCTCTCATCGCAACTCCAACCAACATGGGAATCCAGGGCTGCAGGGGGCAGCCTGCCTGGGGACAGGGCTGGGCTCAGACCCCAAAGCCCAGGGTCTGCAGCCATCCCAGTCCCATTCCACAGAGCCTGAGGCACCAACCTCAACCTACTCCCAGCCCCACTCCCACCCCATGCCCCAGATCCCCCATCCCACCAGAATACACCCAGCCCACAGCCTGGCTCCAAGGAACAGGCTTGTCGGGCCTGAGGGCCTCCAAAAGGGCTCTGTCTCCAGGCCCGGAGGAGAGCAGAGGCCCCAGCCCAGGTCAGAAAGGGGCAGAGTGGACGCAGGGCCCCAGAAGGCCAGCGCTGAGATCCCTCCCCTGCCCTGTCCCCAGTAAACCTCTGGTGTGTCCCCTTGAGGCCCCCATGAGAAGAATGAGGCAAGCAGGGTGGAAATGGTGTGGTCACTCCAGAGCAGTGGCCGTATCCAGCCTCCCGGCCAGCCCTCCTCCCCAGACCAAGGCCCAGGTGGCATCTCCCAGGGCAGAGCCAGGACCAGCCTCCCACCCTCCCCTGCTGTGGGGGCCGAGGCAGCAGTTGGAGGTGGGGGCTCCACCTCCCCAGCCTCCGTCATTCCCTCTCAGATGACTCTTCATGTGGTTTGGTTTGCCTCTTGGAGTCCCTGCAGGGTGCCCCTGCTGACCCTAAGCTGGCCTCCTGCTCGCTGGGAACCCGGCCATCCCTCTGGTTCCTGGTTCTTCCTCCAAATGAGGTCTCTCTTAGCTGAGAGCAGCGCCTACACCCGGGCCACCCTCCATCCACGGCCTCACTGACCCAGGCCACAGCGGCTGCCACACCCTGGTCAGGGGCAGTCATGACCTTGGACAGGAGCTGGGACCCCTCCCCCAGCCCCAGCTGCCCACTGACAAGTGGGACAACCTGGGGCCAGGCCGGGGCTGCCCGAAGGCTACTATGCTTGGGAAGACCCCAAGACAGGAGCCCTGCCCCTTGGGAGGGGTGGCAAACTGCCCCGGGACAGTGCCGGGGTGTCTGGGATGATTCGTCTCCATGTGAAATGTGGGACAGACACCCTAGACTCAGCAAGGGAACTTCTGGCTACCTGGTCAGCCCCTGCCCTAGGCCTCCATGAGAACTTCGGATCCAAGTGGGGAGGTGGCTCCCCCAGCACTGCCCCTGACCTCCCAGAGCTTCCCCTGCTGGATGCTCCAGCTGCAGCTCCCAAACCACTTGGCCTGCTCTGGGCACTGCGTCTGCAGGGGCGTAGTGCCATCTGGTGGTGAAACTGGGAACTGCACCACAGCTCCAGCCCGTACCTGCCGCACACAAGTCCCGGAGACCAAGGGGTGGCCATGGAGGGATTCCAGGGGGCCTGCCGCTCCTCACCTGCTCCCCACCCACCCCCCATCTCTCTCTCAACCCAGGAGCCTGATACTGGGACACACAGACAGGCCCTGGGAGCTCACAGCCCAGCACCGTGTTTCCTGCTCCAATAGGCAGCCTAGTCCCAGCAGGTGCTGGGCAGGCACAGGGCAGCTAAGGGGACGGGTAAGGAGTCCTGGCTCTTGGCCCCAGCAAGGACCTGGGAGATGACCTTGGCACCGACCATCAGGCACTCGCCACACTGTCTCCCCAGGCTCCACTGTCTCCCCAGGCTCCGACTAGAAGGGACAGGTGGGCAGGAAGTGCCAAGAAGGTGGACTGGCCAAGCCGGTGGGCTCCTCACAGGGAGGAGCCTGGGCCTGGGCAGGGGTGGGCACGTTCAGTTCAGCCCCGGCAACCCTGGAGCCAGGGGCCTGGCAGCCCCAGCATGGCCACCTCCTGGGGCCTTGGAGCCCTGGACACCCTGGCTGACAGTCATTTACTGGGGCCACATTGTCCATGAGAGGTGACATTCTTATCTCTCTCTGATTCCTAAATAAAAAATGTGAAAAGCCGTGTCCAGAGCCTCACCCAGGAGGGAGACAAATGGCCTGCTATGGCCCGCACCCTGGGAGCGGCTTAGCCATGCTGGGGACGGGGCAGACAAAAGGTGAGCCCTTACCTCTCTGAGCCTCACCTCTGACATGGGAAGGCCCCAGGGACAGGGAGGTCATGGGCTCAGCATCCCCAGCACTCTGCCCTTCCCCCACACCCTGTTCCCAGGACCCAGCCCTCATCTGTTCTCTGTCCCCTCGGGGGTGCCCCACAGGGTGGGAAGGCAGGGGAGGCTGCCCGGCACTCGGGGCATGTGTCCACTCGCCACCCTGGCCCTGGACAGGGTGGGGCACTCTGCAGGCCACCGCATCCCTCACACAGCCCCCCGCAGACCCGTCCTCCTGGCTGTGAGTCTAGGGGAACCTGGGAGGCCCAAGACCACCCTTGGAGCCCCATGGGCCCTGACCGAAGGCCACCACGCACCTCTTCCCCTCCTGAGGCAAAGGAGCACTCACACCTCAGGCCACAGCCCAGGCCCTGGGAGGACATGAAGGGTAGTGCCCATGCCAGGGCCCATGGCCATTTCGGCCAGGTTTCCTGGGACCCCCAACCCTCCCCATAGGGCAGCTCTGAGGGCTGGAGAGGGAGTAGACCCTGACAGGCAGCCTGGGTGGGTGTGGGCCAAGAGCCCAGGTTAGGAGGGGGCACAGAGATAGGGTCCTCTGAGGGCTGTGGCTAGCCCAGTGACACCGAGTTCCATCCACTCAGGGCCTGTTCCCTGGCTTTTGAGATAAGCTTGGGAACAGCCAAGCACAGGCAAGGTGGCTCACACCTGTAATCCTAACATTTTGAGAGGCTGAGGTGGGCAGATCACTTGAGCCAGGAGTTTAAGACCAGCCTGGGCAACATAGCGAGACCCAGTCTCCACAAAAATAAAATAATAAAGAATTAGCTGGGCATGGTGGCGCATACCTGTGGTCCCCAATACACAGGAGGCTGAGGTGGGAGGATCCCTCAAGCCCAGTTGGAGGCTTCAATGAGCTGTGATCGAACCACTGCACTCCAGCCTGGGCAACAGAGTGAGATCCTGTTTTAAAAAATAAAAATAGAAAATAAATAAAACGAGCTTAGGGCATGGAACATCAAGGCGGCAGTGCAGACAGCAGAACAGCCCCATCTGGCCCCTGCCCTGCGCTGCAGCCCGGCTCCAGCAGGAAGGACTCGGGTCTCCATGCTGGGCGCCCCAGCCTCTCCTCCTCTTTGCCCTCCCAACCCATTCCTGGGCAGCAGAGGAGGGGCAAGGGCACAGGGCAGACCCTCTGAACCAGGCTCCTCGAGGCCATCTGGACACTGTGGCAACATGGGCAGGAAGCGGCTTCCGTTGCAAATGATGTCCAGGGAGGCGCCGGCCTGGCAACGGGGCCACGGCCCCCCCAGCACACTGCTCTGGCCACACTTTTCGCCCTCGAGGCCGGGAGTTCCGGCTTCCAGCCAGTGCCCCCGCCGCAGCCGCGCCCTGTCCTGCACGACATCCCGGAGCCTGGACCTGAGGCGAACCCCCACGCCCACCCCAATCCAGGACACCGCTTGGCAGGGCGCTTGGCCTTTGTTAGCGTATATGACCCCGTGAGTGGGGAACCCCAGGGCTGGGGATCCAGGGCCCCGTCTCTCCAAGAGTCCCCCCGACCTTCTCGGGCTCAGGGTGATTGGCAAGGATCACAGGGAGGGGTGAGAGGGGCTGGGGGAGGAGGGGCTTCAGGGCTGAGTGAGACAGCAGCAGCTTTCCCTGGCACAGGCGGGGAGAGGAGTGGGGGCATCAGGGAACTTGGGGTTTCCAGGCCAAGGAGGGTGGTGCCCAGGGTCAAGGGTGACGGGAGGACACTGGGCCATTCAGGGGGTCCTGGGCGCCCCCTCGGGGCCACTGGGGAAGCTCATCTAGGCCTGGGCACCTACGGTGGGACCTAAGGACCCCGCCCTGCTGTTCGCCCAGGAAGCCAGTGTTGTCTTCCTTGCTACAGGAGCCACCTGTCTCTGTGAGGACCTCTCACTCCTCAGCATCCTGGCCCCTGTGGGGCACCTAGCAGGCTGGGGACACACAGAGCAGGTGCAGCCCCCACCCCACTCACTCAGGGACACAGAGAGCAGGGGGCAGGCCCCGCCCCACTCAGGGACACAGAGAGCAGGAGGCAGCCCCCGCCCCACTCACTCAGGGACACAGAGAGCAGGGTGCAGCCCCCCGCCCCACTCACTCAGGGACGCAGAGAGCAGGGGCCAGCCCCCGCCCCACTCACTCAGGGACGCAGAGAGCAGGGGCCAGCCCCCGCCCCACTCACTCAGGGACACAGAGAGCAGGGTGCAGCCCCCCACCCCACTCACTCAGGGACGCAGAGAGCAGGGTGCAGCCCCCCGCCCCTCTCACTCAGGGACGCAGAGAGCAGGGGGCAGGCCCCGCCCCATGCACTCAGGGACAGAGAGCAGGGTTCATCCTCCCGCCCCACTCACTCAGGGACACAGAGAGCAGGGGGCAGGCCCCGCCCCACTCACTCAGGGATGCAGAGAGCAGGGGGCAGCCCCCTCCCCTGCTGCTCAAGGCCTCCTCCACCCCACCCCAGGGCCACCTCACCTCAGGGTTCCTCCAAGAGGCCTTCCTTAGCCCCCATCCCAAGTTGCCCCATGGGGTCTCTGAGCTCAGCAAATCCGGAGACCCATGACATTCCAGCAAGGAATGAACAGGGCAGAGGCCAGGGGAGGTTCCTGAAGGCTGCCGCCGCCCTCTGGCAGCTAACAGACAGCCTCCAGTAGCCAGGGCCAGGTATCCAGCCGCCTCTGCTGGGGAGGCCCCACGTGGCACTGAGAACAGGAGAGAGGTCTTCTGCAGACAAGATCTTTCAAGACACTTCTTGAAGTGGAGAGCAGAGGCTGACATAGCAGGACACCCTGGCAGGAAGAAGGCAAGCAGCTGGCAAGCAGTAGCCTCGTCACTGGTATGAGGAGACGTGTGCTGCAAACAAGCATGGCAGGACAGCAGCGGGAGCTGGTACTGTCCCCACTCCAGACCGCAGCCCTGCAGCCCGAGACGAGTGGGAGCCGGTACTGCCCCCACTCCAGACCGCAGCCCTGCAGCCCGAGACGAGTGGGAGCCAGTACTGCCCCCACTCCAGACCGCAGCCCTGCAGCCCGAGACGAGTGGGAGCCGGGACTGTCCCCACTCCAGACTGCAGCCCTGCAGCCCAAGATGCTGCCTGGAGGCAGGAGGCCTCCCTTCCAAGACCTGGGTGTCCGGCTTTCTCAAGTTAACAAGGAGAGAGGAGTGCCGGGCAGCTCTGCCTGCCTCCCCTATAAACAGGGATCAAAAAGAAAGAAAAGGCTGGGCACAGTGGCTCACGCCTGTAATCCCAGCACTTTGAGACGCAGAGGCAGGCAGATCACGAGGTCAGGAGATCGAGACCATCCTGGCTAATGCGGTGAAACCCCATCTCTACTAAAAATACAAAAAAATTAGCCGGGCGCGGTGGCGGGCGCCTGTAGTCCCGGCTGCTCAGGAGGCTGAGGCAGGAGAATGGCGTGAACCCGGGAGGCGGAGCTTGCAGTGAGCCGAGATCGCGCCACTGCACTCCAGCCTGGGCGACAGAGCAAGACCCCATCTCAAAAAAAAGAAAAAAAAGAAAGAAAAGCCAGACATTTGAGCACTGAGTCTCATGGGAAGTTCCAAGACTAAATAAACAAAAAAGAACCATGAGAGAAAATGCAGAAAGCAAAAGATTCGCCTTCCTCCAAACCCACTTTATGCCTAAGAGCAGAACTGAATTCTCTGGAACAAGAAGAGGGGAGCTCAGGGAATGATAGAGATGTCTTGGAAATGAAAAACAGGACTGCTAAAATCCAAAACCAATTTTTTATTTTTATTTATTTTAAAACAGTCTGGCTCTGTCACCAGGCTGGAGTACAGTGGTGTGATTTCGGCTCACTGCAACCTCTGCCACCCGGGTTCAAGCCAGTCTCCTGCCTCAGCCTCCTGAGTAGCTGGGATTACAGGTGCACACCACCACATTCAGCTACTTTTTGTATTTTTAGTAGAGACGGGGTTTCACCATGTTGGCCAGGCTGGTCTGGAACTCCTGACCTCAAGTGATCTGCCTGCCTCGGCCTCCCAAAGTGCCTGGGACTACAGGTGTAAGCCACTACATCCAGCCCCAAAACTAATTTTTTAAAAAGCAGAGAGAGTGTGTGTGTTTGGATTCAAGGAAAATCTTATCTACAAGCAAAGGTAGAAAGAAGGACTCACAGAATCTATCCAAAAGGCCCAACATCTGACTGACAGGAGTTCCAGAATGAGCAGGAAACGAGAAGAAATGTTATCAAAGAAATGCCAGGTCTCAAGGCAGAACGTGCTCACCAAGCGCCCAGCGTGGTGAGGAAACACCCGCAGTTGGTGTGACCCCCCAGAGGTGCAGGGATCAGAGGGGACCCTGCAGGCTTCCAGGGAGAAGGCCGGCGGCCTGGCTAGCTCTCACCACCAAGGACCACGACTGGCCTTCCAGTCCTGTTGGAAAATGCCCTCTTCCCCGATTCTCTCCCCAGCCTGATGTCCAGCAGGTGTGAGGTCAGGGTAAGACGCTTCTAGTCCCGTGAGGCCTTTTTTTTTTTTTTTTTGAGATGGGGTCTCGCTCTGTCGCCCAGGCTGGAGTGCGTGCAGTGGCACAATCTCGGCTCACGGCAAACTCTGCCTCCCAGATACCACACAAGGACTTCTCCGAGCCAGCTTTCTGAGGGTTAACTGAGGGCTGAGGGGTTCAAGAAGGAGGACACGGGCACAGGGACTCACGGGCAGTGAGAGGCAGTGGGGCCAATGGCGTGAGGAGCACCAGAGAGCAGGAGGGAACGGGCCTGGGGCGTGAATCCGGCCCCATGAGTGCTCTTCGGCCGCCCAAAACCGGTCCCATGGGTAACAGCGTGGCCTTCGGCAAGTGACTAAAGGGCTTCCTGCCTCAGCTTCCCCACCTGTAAACAGAGGATAACAATGGCATGTACTGGATCTGGCATAAAGTAAATGTTCAATAGATAGCTAGAAAAGAATGTTTTAAAACCTCAGAGATACATTAGGCGAAAATAAAAGCTGGGCTACAGAATGACCTCTTCCGTGGGGACGAGGGGCAGAGGACGGCAGCCCACCTCCAGGAGGAGCTTAAAGAGGCGGCTCCTGGCTGCAGGGACAGGAGATAGAAGTGGGAAAGGCTTGGGCGCCATTTTTATTGTTTGGTATTTTTTGAATCCACACTGTGTGTGTATTATCGGTTTTACATCTTAAGAAAAATAACCAGGCTGGGTGCAGTGGCTCACGTCTGTAATCCCAACACTTTCAGAGGCTGAGGCAAGAGATCGCTTGAGGCCAGGAGTTTGAGACCAGCTGGGCAACACAGGGAGACCCCCCCATCTCTGCAAAAAATTTAAAAATTAGCCGGGCATGGTTGCATAAATCTGTAGTCCTAGCTACTTGGGAGGCTCAGATGGGAGGATTGCCTGAGCACAGGGATTGGAGGCCGCAATGAGACATCATTGTGCCACTGCACTCCAGCCTGGGTGACAGAGCAAGGCCCTTTCCCATAAAAAGAAAGAAAGAAAAAAAACTCTTGGTGGGTCAGAGGCAGTGAGGTCATCAGGCGGGGCAGCTTCAGGACCAGGTGGAAGGGGCCCACTGTGACCTCCCTGGCTGCACCCAGGCCTTTGTGACTGGGAGCCAGTGGGTCACCCAGAGCCCTCAATAAGAGGGCAGCAGGTCGGGCCAGGCCAGAGCCTGGACCTGGGGTCAGGAAGGGGTTGCAGGGAAGGATGGAGGGGCTGAAAACCCTGGGCCCCTGCGGCCACGCCCAACCCCAGTGTCCCCCAGCCGCAGCCTCCAGCAGCCATGGAGGATGCCTGGACTAGCACTGCCAGGGATTTGTAGTGTGACCCTGCCTGGGCCCCATCTCCTCTGCTCACTCAGTGCAGTCCCAGAGACCTTACCCAGTCCCAGGGGCAGGGGGTAGTGGGGAGGGGATCCAGGGTGGAGGGCGAGGCTGCCAGGATCTTTTCTGTCCAGCGAGGAGCAGAGAGCGAGAAACCCTGAAGGGCTGAGACAAGGAGACCTGGAGTCAGGGCTCGGGTGGGGCTGGCCCCTGCACCCAGGGTCGAACCAGGGGGCTCCCAGGCAGGGGGGATTCACTGGCTCCGGGGTCAGACCCTGCCCATGCCCACCCCTGTCATCAGAGGGAGGGGCCCTGGCCTTGCCCAAGGCAGCCCTGTCCCAGCTTCAGTGTGGGCCTCTGGGCTCTGCAGAACAGTCCTTCCTGGAGCAGGAGAACCACAGCCTGGTGAGCACCCACCCATCACCTGGCGCCCCTGCCCCAGCCCCAGCCCCAGCCCCAGGAGCGGCCATGACAAGCAGTCCCCTCTCTCTGCTCCCCACCCCAGAAAAGACAGAACCAGGACCTTCGGGAGCAGCTGGGGGCCCTCCTGGGGCCGGGGCAGCAGTTCCTGCCCCTGTGTCCCGAACACTCAAGCTGCACTGCTCTGGCCTGGGTAAGTACAGGGCCCAGGGACCCCATGCAGCCAATGCCCCACTAGCCCACAGCCTTGGGGCTGATCTGGGGGCTCTCCCACAGCCCCCCGACCCGGCTGGCACGCAGCCCTTGGGGAACAGGGCACCTCTGCAGCTGCTGCGGCGGGAGCTGTCCCAGGGGCAAGAGGCTTTCGTGCAGCCGTCCCTGGTGGGCCTGGGGGAGGGGCTGTGGGGGGAGGAAGCTTCGTACAGCACTCCAGGTGGGCCTGAGGGGTTCATTAGGGAGGGAGGTCTTCGTGCAGTAGGCTAGTGGGCCCGGCGGGGAGGTACCGGCCACCCTGCTGATGCTGCCCAAGCCCACCCTGGGCCCCACCCTCAACGAGCTGCAGCAGATCCGCCTGTGCTTTGAGAGGAAGAAGATGGTCATCACAGAGGTGCCCGCCTGGCTGAGGGGGAGGGGTGCTGGGGGCCACCCCGTGGGTCCTGCTCCTCAGGCGTGACCCCACCTTCTCCCAGGCGTGGGACAACGTGGCTGAGATGCACGTGGCCCTGAACAACCAGGCCACCGGGCTCCTGGTAGGTCCCCACAAGGCAGCACCCAGAAGGATGGGGCCCGGCGGGCAAGAGGCCGGGGAGGGCAGGGCCAGGGGCCTCATGTGCTTACCTCCTCTGGCCCCCAGAACCTCAAGAAGGACATCTGGGGCGTGCTGGACCAGATGGAGGACATCCAGCTGGAGATTCTCAGGTAACACAGGGGCAGGGGCTGGGCCAGCTGAGCAGGGTCTCGGAAGGGGTTCTGGTCAGGACAAGGCAGATACATCCTTGACCCTCCCCACCTACCTCCATAGCACTGAGCCGGGGGTGGGTGCCAGGCTGGGGGGTGGAGGGCGTGGGGTCTTGACAGTGAGGCCTCTGCAGGGAGCGGGCCCAGTGCCACACTCAGGCCAAGAAGGAGCCGCAGATGGCGAGCATGGCAGTGAGCCCCCCACGCCCCACTCTGGGTCTGGAGACCAGCCCCCCACCCAGCACCCTGCTTGGGCAAGGGGGAGAAATGAGCTCCAGCAGAGCAGGTCCAGGGTGGGGGGCATCTGAAAAGTGGCTGCAGGAGCCTGTCCAGGAGGAAGGGGCCAGGGCTGCGGTGCGGGGAGCCCTGTCTGAGGAGGGTTTCCCAAAGCCAGGGATCCCCGCCCTCAGCCTGGACCCTCGGAGTGGGCTCCCCTCCCCATCAGAAAGGGAGACCAAAGTTGGAAAGCTCCAAGGGCCTGGCAGGCCAGCTCTGGTAGGTGACTGTGTGGCAGAGCCCAGCCCCCAGGCCCCCTGCGTGCCCCTGGCCCTGACTGCCACCGCCCGTAGGCTGCTGATCCTGAGGCTGCTGCTGGGCACCCTGCTGGTCGCCTACGTGTACATGGTGAACCCCAGGCCCTTCGAGGGGCTGGTGCCGCCCCTGCTGAGCCGTGCCACCATCTGGAAGCTCCGGGCCCTGCTGGACCCCTTCCTGCGCCTTGAGGTGGATGGCTTCCTGTCCTTCTAGGCCGGAGGCCCAGCGGCCCCAGCAAGGAGGTGGCCAGGCGACCAGCGCTGCCCCAGATGCCCAGTGGCTGCGCTGGCCCCCTGCACACGGCACCACTGTGCACCGTCCCTGCCAGGAGCTGCAGAGAAGGGGGGTGGCGGGGTCTGTCCTGAGGGTTGGGCCTGTGGTTGGACATAGAATCATGACATATGTAGCCGGTGAGCACGTCTCTGTGGAAATTGGGGAAGGGACGCCGGGGCGATCCGGCAGCGAGGGTCCCTCAGGGTGGAGACCCCAGCTCAGGGCCGGCTTCCCACCCCACATCCCACCTGCCCTCCAGAAGGCAGCCCCTCTGCACGGGGCTCTGACCCAAGGCGTCTTAGGAGGGTCTCCACTGAAAGGCAACAGCAGTAAGGACTGGGGAGTCCTCAGGTCTTGCCCCCTGGGCCAGGCCCTCCCAGGGACCTCAGAGGTCAGGTTTTCAGCACTGAACCTGCTGATCCACTGACCTCATGCCCCTCATGCAACTCCCCTCCCTTCCTGGCCACCACCCTCCCTGCCCAGGTCCTGTCACCTCCCCAACCCAGGGCCCTGTCCGGTCCAGGGGGCCACACTGGTAGACAGAACTGTGGAGATCAACACCAAAAATTCTATCTGGGGAATTAATTAGCAGGGATACCCTTAAGAACAATAGAGAATGGTTTTGTGGCTTTCTCATCCCAAAATGGGAGAAATAGAGCCGCAGCCCAAGGTAAACCAGGGACAGGGACCCTGTGCTGAAGGGCTGGCCGGGATGCCACGCTGCCATAGGCTGTACCACTGCTGGAGGACACAGGACTTGGGCCTTGGGCCCTCTGAGCTCCCAGCGGCATCATCTTTGGGAGCAGGCAACCCCAGCGGGGCCCAGGCAGAGCTGGCCATGACCACAGGACCTTGGTGGCAGGCAGGGGCCAATGGCTCACCAGGCTAGCGGCTCCAGGAAGTTAAGTCATCTGTTCATGTGTCAGGGGAAGGGAAGGAGGAGTGCAGAAACCTTTGGGGGCAACCTGAGACCCCCCCACCCAGCCCACTCCACGGAGGCCTGGGCTCCCAGAGGAGGAAGTGGCTTAGTCTAAAGAGGTTGGTTGGGCAGGGAGGCCGGGCAAAGGTTGTGCTGGTCCCCACAGCTCTGGGGCTGCCCCCTGTGGGGTGCTGGACCCCCTGCAGCAGGTGGGGGACTCCTTGAGGTCACGTGGACACAGGGTCTCAGGCGCTGGCAGGCTGGGAGTCTGTCAAGCTGTGGCTGGTGAAGAGAGCCCAGCCCACCCCCAGCCCTGCCCCAGGGTCCATGGCAGTCTGACCTCCTGGGTCCCCAGCTGGGCTGTCCCAGACCCGCCTACTTGTCATCCTGCTAGGGCCCGGAAAGGCTGGGGAAAAGACTGGAGGCAGCCAAGGGCAGGCAGCACATGGCCCCGCATGGGGGTGCCCTGGCGACCAGGCTCCAGGGGGCCCGCAGTGGTGGGTGGTCCTCTGGGTGGCCAAGGTGGCACAGGAGCAGCCCAGGAGGCACCCAAGGCTGGCCACACTGCCCCCATCCACAGGTGCAGGTGCCAATCCACCCCCTGTGGGCTGTGGCATCCGTGAGAGAGAAGCAGAAAGTTGGTCAACACGGCACCAGCTTCAGGGCCCTAGAGCTCACACCCTTCCCGCACTGAGATAGCCTCAGCCCAGGATGTCTCAGCCCCGAACAGCTGTGCACCCCTCACACTCCCTCAGCGCTGCCCCTGGCATTTGGCAGGCAGGAGAGTTCCAGCAGGTTCAGCAGCCCCTACAGGGCCCTGTGCCAGCAGGTGGCCCCTATGCACCCCTATTTCATCTCCCCAAGCTCTTGGGTTCCTGGGATTCCCCTGTGGGTAGTGGCAGACCCAAGTCTTTCCCCCAAACACCCTGTCACTGCCAGAACTGATGCAGACCCAAGGCGAGAGACCCTCACACTTCCCAGCCACAGACCATCGGCCACCCCCTCCTCCCAAGCCTCTGACTCAGCCCAAGTCCACAGAAATGCCCCCAAGGAACCCACCGATCCCTGCACACCAGACAGCAGCCACCCCCTCTTCTGAGGCCTGGCCCCTGCCCTCCCCTAACTCTGGGGGTTCTGCAGCAACAGCCCTGGCCTTGCCTGAGGAAAGAATCAAAATAACTTTTTTAAAATAAAATTATAGATATATAGATGTAGATATAAAAACATAAAACAGAAACAACGCAAGCGGACGCTGTTGTGTGCTTACTCTCAGGTCCCTGACACCAAGGGAAGCACTGACCCCTCCCCAGTGTGCTTTGCCACGGCGTGAGCACCGCAGCCAGGCCGGGGCTGGGGACGTGGCATGCCTTGGGGCAGGGTTCTCCAGTTTGGCAGGGAGGGCCTGAGGGCTGGGGAGGAGGCTCTGGGTGTCACAGGCCCCGTGGCAGCATCACCCCCGTGCCTGCTCCCGCCTGCCCCGTTGCCTCCCATAAGAGCATAAAAAAAGGTTCAGGCTTTGGTGAAAGGGACGGCGGCGGCCGGAACACTGACACATGGCTGGCCATCTGTCCACCCATCCACCACTACCCAGAGCAGATCAGAGCAGAAGCATCATTGGCCTTGCCAAGCTACGAGCTTCCAGCGGGGTCCATGAAAGGCAACGTGTTAGGAGTAGCCTGGCTGGGGACACTCGGTCTGGGAACCCACAGGCTGTGTCGGAAGGACGGCGGGGGCCCTGGGTGCCTCTGTCGATCTCTGGGACCCATCCGTAAGGGGACCGTTGGGGGCTGGCCTGGCAATGACCTGGGGTGCATGGGTGATGGGAGTGAGCCAAGCCTGGCTGAGAGAGCGTGCCCCAAAGAGACTGACTGGGCCCCCTCACTGCCCCAGCCATGGGATGGGCCCAGACACAGACCAGCCCAGTGGCCCTTGGCCCAGTGAGCCAACTTCCCCATGGGCAGATGAGTGGACGGGCAGATGAGTGGACAGGCAGGCAGAGCGCTTGCGGCAAGCTGTGGAGGCGTGGCACTCTCTCCCGCCGATGGGTCCACACCAGGCTGGGGTGGCCTTGGGTCCCTGGGGCAGAGAAGTTGATGGGGAACGGGGGTGTGCTGCGGGGTCCTGGTCCCCGTGGCACCACGGCGGATGGGTGGTGGTCAGTCCTCACACCAGGATCTCGTACATGGTCCCACCCACGCCAGACACCTTCTTAACCAGCGTGTGCCACATAGATCTGGCAGAGGGCCCTGGGGGGCCTGTGGCAGGTCCCAGCCGGGCCAGGCCCAGAGACTGCCCATTAAGCTTACCTGGGGGAGTCTTCAGCTGAGGGTGGTCCCTGCATCAAAACAAGCACATACACGCATGCACACGGTGAACACACGAACACGGGGACAGAGGACGGAGGAGGCAACAGGACAGAGACGACACAGACGTGGACTGGTGTAGCCATGTCGTGGGGCCCTGGGCAGTCCCTGCCCTCTAGGCTCGGAGGGTTCACCCAGAAAGTAGGAGGGAGATGCAGAGCCTGCCTGGGGAGCGGCTGTGCCATCACAGGACAGATGTTGTCAGAACTGCCACCACCCTCCCAAGTCCCTGGGTCCCTAGGCAGCACTGGCCACAGAGAGCATGGGGCAGTCAGGTGGGCACTGAATGGAGCCCCTGCCCTGCTCTGCACTGGGAGCCCGGCCACTCTGCCTGGCCTCATTCCTGCTCTCTCTCAGGAAAACGAGGGGCTGCCCTCCTGCCCACCAGCGCTGACCAACAGCAGCTCTATCCTTGCTGCTTAAACCTTCTCAAGGTGAGAGCCCTTTGTCCCCGGGCTGCGATCCCTGCCTGGCTGCAATGCTGCCCACTTCTAGGTCTCGGGCTCCCCACTCATCACTCCCAGTGGCAGCCTCCTCCCCAACTCCACAAAAGCTGAACAGACTCCTACCCTGTGGGGTAGGGGAGGCCTCCTCAGGGCTGGACTGCTGTGCCCTCAGCCCCTTTGTGGCCAAGTGGCCTGGGCTGGGCTGGGCGGGGCTGGGCTCTCCCCCTGGGGCCGCATCTGACGACAGGAAACAGCTGAGCCTGTGCTTGAGGTTTCCAGGCCCAGACGGGGTGACAGACGACAGATGCCGTGAGGACACCATGCGTCCGTGGCGTGGGTCCTGGCCCCAGCAGGTGTGCAGCTCTCCTACCTGGGCCTGGGCCTACAAGCCAGCTGACCCCGCTCTCTCAGTTACCAACCTGCTGGGTGCCTGGAGCCAGCCTGCTTTCTCCAGTCCTCAGTTTCCCCACTACGAGCAGGGAAGCCCCTGCTTCCCAGAACTATGTCCCACAGGGAGGGCCAGGGCCCGGCCACCCAGGGAGGCACATTCTGCTGCGAGGTAATGTCCTCAGCCCCAGCCTCCTAGAGATGCAGCAAAGCAGGCCCAGGGAGAGCACCGGGTAGACAGGGCCACTGTGACCCAGGATGCCAGAGCCACAGCCTAAAGGAGGCCCAGGCTGCCACATGATACTGACCCCAAAGAGAAAGCCCCATGGCCTCCTACGTGCTGGGTCTGTGCCAGCTCTGGAAGAACAAGTCATTGGGATCAGGACACAAATTCTCATACCCTGTCCCCAGAGCATGCCCAGGACATCCTCAGAGCTGGGCCACACGGGCTAGCCAAAGCCTTCAATGCAGGGTGAGGCGCATCCTCCCTGTCCCGTCCCCAGAGAAAAACTCAGGCCCCTGGGATGACCTATGAGTGCCCAGCCAAGAGGGGCCCTGCAGACGGCTGGACAGCTGCCCTGTGCCAGGAAGCCCACCCGCACCTCCCAGCACCCACCTCTGCACGGTCAGCGAGGGCGGTGGCTCTAGGAGGTCCATTTGGATGAAGGTGACACCTTTGGGGCCTGTGTAGGATGGTGAGTGGGGAGTGCCGGGCGGGGAGGGCAGGCCCTGGCGTGCGGGCGACCTGTGTGAGCCACTACTGGGCCGGGGCCCCGGGGCGTTGCTGCTGACCTGATCAGCCTGCAGGGAGGAGGACGACGTCCGCAGTGCACGGCTCACGGAGCTGGAAAGCGAGGACAATGATGTCTGCAGGACAGGGTTGCAGGCGCCGCCGAAGCCGGGCCTGGCCACAAGGTCATCTGTAGAGCTGTAGCACAGCGTAGGACCTCGGAAGCCCTCAGACAGCACACTGGCCTGCTGCAGGCTGTAGGAGCTGGGAGCATCATAGACGCCTGAGTCGCCGAAGAGTGAGTCGGCCTGGGAGCGCAGCAGGCACTCACGCTCCTCCCTGTCCTTGCGCTCCTGGATGGATGCCATGATGGTCCTGGACAGGATGTCGTAGAGCACAGGCGAGGGCTCCTGGGGCCGGGGGCCCAGCACGGGACTGAAGCTGTGGGGCAGGGGCCATGGTGGGTCGCCCGTTGCCCCAGGGTGCAGGTAGGGTGAGTGGTATCCGGCCACGCCAACTGCTGGATGGGCGAGGCAGGCGTGGCCACCAGGCGAGCCAGGGTTGAGCACATTATTGTAGGACAGGCTGCGATTGTGGTTGGGCAGTGCATGGGGGGGCAAAGATGCTACGGTGGGGCATGGGAGGCCCACCCTCGGAGCACAGGGGCTGCAGGGCCACGTAGTCCCCGCCCTGCCGGCTTGAGGCCTTGAGGCTCAGGGAGCACAAAGCAATGAGAAGGCATCAGAGGCGCTGAGCGGTGGGGATGGCAGGTAGGCTGCGTGCAGGCCCCCGGGCCCATAGTCAGGGAAGTCCAGGCTCGGCTCGACACAAAGTCCAGGCTATGGATGCTGTCGTCCCCCAGGATAAGGGAATCGGGGCCTGGAACCTGTAGGGAGAAGGCATTCTCACCACTGCCCACCTGCTACCCTGCCTGCAGCTGCCAGTCAGCACCCACGGGGTCCACACCTGGCACCGCGGCCTCAGGAACTGGGCCTCAAGGAGCCGTTAAGAGCCACATAGTGACCCATGGCCCTGTCCCTGAGCATCCATGGCTGAGGGGCAGGGGCTCTGCAGCGGGAGGGAGGCCACAGCTGGCTACTGCAGACACCCAGGGCTCAGCCTTTTGAGCTACGCAGTCCCAGGGGCCTACCACTCAGGGCAACCACAGGGAGGAGGGGCCTCGTCTAGCCTCTTTGATGGGCACGTGGGCATGGGCTTGGGCTTGGGCTAGGGACAAGAGCCTCAGGAACCACAAAGCCAGAAGGCGATCAGGGCCAATGTAGGCTCAATGCACTTGGCCAACCAGACCCAATCCCCCACTGGACCCAGGAGTCCCAGGAAGATGACATACCCGGAGCCCTCATCTCCAAGCAGGGCTACCGCCTCCTGAGAGGCATGGCCCCTGCATGCCTGCAGACTCAGACCCTTGACAAGGAGCCTAGACTCACTGCTCCACCATGTGACTCTCTCCAGGAAGGACATCAATCCTGAGGGGAGAGGTCCCCAGGGATGGGGCTGGTCTGGGTGCACGGGCCCAGCCACAGGCCTGCCTCTCCGGGTGGCCCAGAAGGAGGGACGGCGCCCTGGGGCTGTTCAGCATTCCTGATCACTGCAAAGACCGCCCTGCGCTGCTCACCATTCCAGTGACCACAGAGCACTCATGCAACTCAGGGAAGAAAAATGTGCTTTCTCCAGCAGGTCTCAAATTCTTCCAAAGTCTTCCCATAGGCCTTACAGAGTGACTAATGGTGGAATTCCACGCATCCTGGTACCCAGTGCTCCTGGAGCCAGCCGCCCACCTGGCCTAGGACAACGCTGGCCAAGGGACAGATGCCAAGCCTGGACGTCCCGTGCCAGCCCCTTCCAGGACACCCTGCTCCTCTCCGTGGGTCCCAGCTCTGGGTGCACACAGGCAGGGTCCTACCAGTCACACAAGGCCCTTGGTGACCCAGGCAGAGCCCTGAGGGGTGTGGCCTCAGGGGATGTGGCCTCTGCTGGAGAGGCAGGGCTCAGGGGGGGCCCTTCACGGGGTGAAAGCTGTGGGGAGAGCTCCTGGAGGCAGGCCTGGGGGGACAGGGCTTGGGCGTGCAGGGGGCAGGGGGCAAGGCGGGGGAGGAGTGGGGGGCAGGCCACGCCTCTTTACCTGCTCGCCTCATCCACAGAAGGTGCCTTAGGACCCGTGAGCCGGCCTAAACTTGTACATGGCAGGCGTCGGGGGGTGGCGGAGGCTGGTCCTCTGCACCGACAGGGCACTCTCTGGGGATGTAGACCACTGTCAGACTGAGGTCAGATGGGGGTCAACCCATGTCCCTCCCCAGGTGTGGCTGCCCCGACCTCACCAACACTGCCTGGGCGTGGGGTCTGCAGGTCACTGCTGAACGTGCCAGCCTCCATCTTGGGGGGGCAGCGCCGGCCCCAAGTCCAGCGGCTTATCTAGCGGGTCCAGGCTGCCCTTGGACTGGGAGGGGGCGGGGTCAGTGGTGTGTGGGGCTTGGATGATGGGCAAGGCTTCGCTAGGGATTCGACCTGGAAGCTAGTCCTCTCCCCAGAATCTGTCTACGGCTCCACCTACCCCATCCACCTCTTTTAGGCCCCCCCTAACTTGCCTGTTTCCCCATCCAAGGGCCTGACTGCCAGCTTAGGCCCGCACCGCAGACACTCACCTCCAGCAGACGCCCTCTTCATCGCAGGGGTGGGGCGGGGCGCGTCGAGGACCGAAAGTCGCTTTGGGGCCGGCGCCCGTCTCCCCGCAGCCAGGTCCACATCCAGGCGCCGCCGCTCCGGCCGGGCCTGGCCGCGGGACAACGCTAGGCGTGCAGGGCGAGGGCGGCGCGGGCCTCCGGGAGGATGAATGTCTTATGGAATCAGGTGGTTTGACACTCGAGGAATCCGCCCAGTTCCCCTGGGCCGGCCAGGGCGGGCCGGGGGCGGACCCGGGCTGGGCCTCGCGGTGGGCGGGGCGCTCACCTGGGCGCCGGCGCGGGCGCGGGCCCGGGCTGGGGCTGGGGAGCACGGGCCGGCGGGAGCGCGGGCGCGAGGGGGGCGGAGGGGGGTTCTTGGGCGGCGCAGCGGGCCGGGGCGCGCTGCAGGCCAGGCAGCAGGAGGCGCTCAGCCAGCGCAGTGCACCCGCGCCGCGCGGGCCCAGACAAAGGTGGTGTATTCCTAAAGAGGCGGCGGCCCCTGCAGGAGGCCGAGGGGATGGCGGCCCGGGCCGCAGTGGGCCAGGCCCCAGGCCTGAGAGTGTGGCGGCCTAAGCTGGCCCGCTCCCCAAGCGGGCAAGGGCTTTGTCCGGAGGCCTGGGCATGGCCTCTGCCTACCCACTCCCTTCCTGGCCTCACGAAACCCATGAACCCCTCCCCGCCGGCCCCCTGCACAGAAGCCCTTGCTGGAGCACGGTCGCCCCCATTTTTCAGTAAGAAACAGGCTCTGCACTGTTTCTTAGGCTTAAGAGAGTTCTGGGGGCCCTCCTGGGCCTTTGTGGCCCTCTCTGCACCACCCTAGGGACGGGATCCAGGCCTGATGTTACCCGTAACCCTTCAGGGGTCTCCCACCTCTTCCCGCCTGCGGAATGGGGACTCCAAACCCAGAAGACGCTCTCGGAGGCCACCTCCTTAGTATCCCCCACTCTACCAAGCCAGCTCTCATGGGGCAGGGGGGAGGGGGGACGGGCATGGGGCCAAAGAACCCAGTGACACCCCTGCACACAGGGGTGCAGGTGTCCCTTCTCTGCTTTCTGCTCGGGGCACCCACCGGGCCTCACTGATGTGCTCCTAAGTGTATCCCGGGGTCTTGAGACAACTGCCAGGCTGCCCCTGCACCTGGAGAAGTGCTGGGAGTCAGCTCAGCCGGGCTGGGTCCTCCCCAGGCCCACCCTGCATGAGAGGACCATGCAGATGAGGGTCTTGCAGGCCCACCTGGTGTCAGTCTGTAGGACCCTGACTCAGGGATGGAGTGGGCCAGCCTGAGGCCTTGATGGCCCTCCTTAGAGCCCAGGTCCACTGACATGAAGCAGAGAGACCTGGTGACTGGGCAGCCCTGTGCTCTCTGCCTGCCCCTGGCCATGGAGGTGGCCCTGAGGGACATGAGCAGGGTGCAAGGCTGGTGGCCTGCCTGCTTTGTCCAGAGGAAGTGAGGACCTACCAGAGCCCTGGTGCTCCCATCTCAGCCCAGTGGCAGGCAGTTTCGCGGGACGGAGACATACTGGATGGGCCGGGCCCTCTGCCTGGTGTGGAGGCTGCACTGTCCACACACCTCTGGTTGCCACTCTGTAGCCCTCATCACCTTGGCCTGCTTTATCCCTATCACCCTTGTCCCAGCCTAGGCTTACCAGGGCATTGTGGAGTGCATGCCATTCCCAGTCGCACAGAAGGTGAGGTGGGGCCCAGACACCCCCCAGCCACTCTGCCCCCTGGCCTCCTGAAGGGGTGGGCTGTGCACACACTGCCACCTCCCCAGGGGGTACTGGCTGCCAAGTGCCACCATCTCAGCCCTTGCGGTGGCTCAACGGGTCCTCCCAGAGCCACATCAAGACGTCGTCATCCATTGCACAGATGGAGAACCTCAGGCGAAGCTCACATAGCCAGTGGGAGGCTGAGGCCTGACCCCCAAACAAGCATTCTTCCTCCAGGGTCCCTGCACACAGCAGCCTTCAGACTAGGAACTGAGCTCTTGCCACAGGGATGTATCAGACCCTAGATGAGTCATGTGGCACTGGCCATCAGTCTGAGGACAGCACTGGGGTGGACCAGGCTCCAGTCTTGGGCTGCTCTGTGCTTGCAGAGAGGCCTTGAGACACTTCTGTGCTTACTGTGCAGGCGTCACTTCCATTATCAGTGACCCAGAGCGGCCCACTACAGCTGAAGATTGTGACCCCACCCCCTCTCTCATAGGTTTAATGCCCCTCCCACCCCTCCTGGAGCAGCCGAAGTGACCATTCTGGGGCATGGGATGGGCATGGGAGGAAATGGGGAGCCAGGGCTGCCCTGGAGACTTCTGGTATCAGAACCCTCTCCAGCCACCAAGCCCAGCTGTCCCCAGTTGCTCTGGGTTGGGGCCTGGGCCTCCACTTCCCCACAGGTCTGTGCAGTGGGAGCAAGGCAGAGGCCCGCAGAGGGACAGGCTGGTTTCCTGTGTCTGCCAGCTTGGTCAGCACCTTGGCCAGCGCCCTCCCCGCTGGAAGCTGGGCCCACTCCTCGGTACTGGCTGGCTGATTAGGTGTGGGCCAGCGCTGACAGGGAGTTATGGGGGTGCAGAGGCAGGACAGGCCATCTGTGCCCAGCTGATCTGAGTGCCCAGGTTTTCTGGACACGTGACCCTGGGGATCAGGAATGAGCTGGAGACTGGAGACAGCTGTGCCCTCAGGGCTGGACAGACCTGTCACACCCTGCCTGGGCTAGGTCAGCAGGGCCACACAGGCATCTGCCTCAGTTGCTCCCCACCTCACACCCACCCTGTAGGGCACATCCTCTGCCAGTTTGCTCAGCCCACCAACCCCCTCCAATGAGGCCAGAGGCTGCCTCACCTCCAATACCCACCCCCAACCTGGGGCTCGGCTGAGCAGGGGTCAAGAAGGGCGAGCACGCATTTCGAACTTGCCCTGGTTTTGAGCTGAGGGAAGCAGAGGATGCAGGAGTTGCCCACTCCAGAGGCCCTGGGTGTGCGTGAGGAGCCCTGAGGCTGGGCTGAGCCGCTTGTGGGAGACACTGTGCCCCCTCCATCTGAGATCGGGGCCTGGGTGCCCGGGACACTACAGACCTTTTGGGGAACCTGGGAGTCGGGAAGTCTAGAGATGGGACCCACAGGCTGGAGTCTGGGCTTTCATCCACACTCCCCCCGCCCGACACTCCCCCAGCCACCGCCTGCACATCAGGGGAGACAACATGCCCCCACGCCCACCTCTGTCCCCAGCAGGGCTGTTCCTCCCCTCATCTGCTCGGATCAGTGTTTTCTTTAACTGAGCCCCATGGTGGCGAAGGGAGAGCTCCAGCGGACCAGGCAGCAGAGAGGGGAGGGGAGAAGCCCTCAAACAGGCCATGCGCTCTCCACAGAGCCGCATACAGCAGGAGGGGGCTGGGCAGCCGGCTCAGAGCCCATTCTCTCCTGGGTACTCTTCTGGAATGGCCCCCGGCCCCACTCTGTTCCAAACATGGGACCGTCCAGCCTGGGCAACAAGAGTGAAACTCCATCTCAAAAAAAAAAAAAAAAAGTAGGAATTAACTAAGGAGGTGAAAGACTTGTACAATGAAAAGTACAAAACATTAGTGAGAAAAATTAGACATAAATAAATGGAAACATATTCCATGCTCATGGATTGGAAGACTTTATATTGTTAAGATATCAATAATACCCAAAACAATCTATAAATGTAATGCAATCTCTACCAAAATACCATTACTTTTTTGCAGAAATAGAAAAACCTATCCTAAATTCATATGAAATATCAAAGGGCCCCGAATAGCTAAAGCAATCTTGAAAAAGAAGAACAGAGCTGGATAAGTCACATTTTCTGATTTCAAAACTTACTACAAAGCTACAGTAATCTAAACAGTGTGGTACTGACATAAAGATAGACATACAGACTGATAGAATAGAGAGCCCAGATGTATAGTCAAATGATTTCTGATGAGGGTGCCAAGACCATTTAATGGTGAAAGAACAATCTTTTCGACAACTGGTGCTGGGAAAACTGAACATCCACACACAAAAGAATGAAGCTGGATCTTTACCTAATAGCATATATAAAAATTAACTCAAAATGGAACAAAGACATAAATGTAAGACTAAAACAATAAAACTCCTAGAGGAAAACATAGAGGAAAAGCTTCATGACACTGGATTTGGCAATGATTTCTTGCATATGACACCAAAAGCACTAATAGCAAAATAAAAAGACAAATTAGACTTCATGAAAATTAAATTTTTATGTGCATCAAAATACACTATCAACAGAGTAAAAAGACCACACACAGAATGGAAGAAAATATTTTAAAATCATATACCTGATAAAGGATTAATAAACAGGATATATAGAGAACTACTAAAACTCAACAACAAAAAAACCACCAACCCAATTTAAAAAATGAGCAAAGCAGCCAGGCACTGTGGCTCACATCTATAATCCCAGTACTTTGGGAGGCCGAGGAGGGTGGGTCACTTGAGGTCAGGAGTTCAAGACCAGCCTGGCCACCATGGCAAAACCCCGTCTCTACAAAAAACACAAAAATTAGCATGGCATGGTGGTGCATGACTGTAGTCCCAGCTACTCGGAAGGCTGAGGCACGAGAATCACTTGAACCCAGGAGGCGGAGGCTGAAGTGAGCCGAGATCACAGCACTGCCCTCCAGCCTGGGTGACACAGTGAGACTCTGTCCACCCCCTCCAAAAAAAAAAAAAAAAAGAGCAAAGGACTTAACTAGACATTTTTCTAAAGGTATACAAATGGCCAGCAAGCACTTGAAAGGATGCTCAACATCATGAATCATTAGGGAAATGCAAAGCAAAACTGCAATGAGACACCACCCCACACCCATTAGGATGAATACCATTAAAAAAAAACAACAGAAATTACAAGCGTTGGTGAGGATGTGGAGAAGTCAGAACCCTTCTTCATTGTTGGTGGGGCTGTATGATGGTACAGCAGCTGTGGAAAACAGTATGATGGTTCCTCACAATATTAAAAATTGAATTGCTGTATGCTTCAGCAACTCCACTTCTGGGTATATACCTGTGAACCCAAAATATCTGAGACAGGTCTCAGTTTATTAATAGAAAGTTCATTTTGCCAAGTTTAAGGACACACCTGTGACACAGCTTCAGGTGGTCCTGATGACATGTGCCCAAGGTGGTTGGGGCTCAGCTCGCTTTTATACATTTTAGGGAGACATGAGACATCAATCAATATGTGTAAGATGTACATTGGTTCAGTCTGGAAAGGTGGAACAACTTGAAGAGGCAGGGTCTTCCAGGTCATAGGTAGATAAGAGACAAACGGTTGTATTCTTCTGAGTCTTTTATCAACCTTTTACTGAATACACAATTTGGTCTGGCTCAGTGAATTTGCATTTTTGCATAAACAATAGGCAGAGAGAGGAAGCAATCCAATATGCATCTGTCTCAGGTGAGCAGAGGGATGACTTTCTGTCCTACATATTTGAAGATCATCTATCAGTTTATATTGCCAGGGTGAAATTCAACAGAACTGTTTTAGGGTAAAGATCTTGAGGCCCACGAGGAATTCCCTTGTAGGCAAATTGTGAGGGAGGTATGTAGCTGTTTTGTTTTGTTTGAGATGGAGTTTCACTCTTTTTGCCCAGGTTGGAGTGCAATGGCGCGATCTCAGCTCACTGCAACCTCCGCCTCCCAGGTTCAAGTGATTCTCCTGCCTCAGTCTCCCGAGTAGCTGGAATGACAGGTGCATGCCATCATGCCCGGCTAATTTTGTATTTTTAGTAGAGACGAGGTTTCATCATGTTAGCCACGCTGGTCTTGAACTCCTGACCTCAGGCGATCTGCCCACCCCAGCCTCCCAAAGTGCTGGGATTATAGGCGTGAGCCACCACGCCCAGCCGCTGTTTTTAATCTTTGTAGCTATCTTATTTAGGAATAAAATGGGAGGCAGGTTTGCCTGACATAGTTCCCAGCTTGACTTTTCCTTTGGCTTAGTGATTTTTGGGTCCTTAGATTTATTTTCCTTTCACATACCCAAAAGAATTGAAAGCAGGTTCTCAAAGAGATATCTGTACATCCATCTTCATAGCAGCATTACTCACAATAGCTAAAATATGGAAACAAGCCAAGTGTTCATCCACAGATGAAAGGATACACAAAATGTGGTCTATGTATACAATGGACTGTTATTCAGCCTTAGAAAGGCAGGAAATTCTAACACATGCTGCTACATGGACGAACCTTAAGGACATTATGCTGAGTGAAAGCCACAGTATGATTCCACTCAAATGAGATACGCTGAGGAGTCTCAATCATTGACAGAAAGTAGAATGGTGGTTGCCAGGGCCTGGGGTGAGATGGGAATGGGGAATACTGTTCAGTAGGCACAAAGTTTCTGTTTCACAAGATGAAAAGGATTCCAGAGCTAGACAGCGGTGATGGCTGAGGTAGAAGGATCACTTGAGTCTGAGAGGTTGAGGCTGCAATGAGCTATGATCAAGCTACAGCACTACAGCCTGGGTGACAGAGCAAAATTCTGCCAAAAAAAAAAAAAAACCTTAACATCACTTGGCCAACCTTATTCAAGAGCCCAGTGTGTCTGGGCCCCTTCAGAGTTAAATTTCCGTGAAGTCAACATACAGCACCTTTCACCGTGGTCACTGGAGGTTCCCTCTTCATTTCTCCTACACTCTTTGCTCTCCCACCAGATCGTCCCAGAACTCCTCTCTCTCTCGCCACTGATGAACTGTTGTGGGAAAAACCTAATGGCCACTTTCCACTGCCCATCTTCCTGGACATCCTGGCAGCAGTCCGGGTGAGGGGCTCACCTGCGATTCTGAGGACCCTCTCCTCTCTGGATCCTGACATCAGAACGTGCTCCTCCCTCTCTGGATGCTCCTCCCCAGCAGCTTTTGCCAGCAGAGACTCCTCTGCCTCAGTTTACAATCTCCAGTGCAACACAGTTCAGTTATGGCCTTATTATTCTATCTCTACACTTAAAAACATAACCTCTGGGTGATGCAATCCATTTCCAAGGCATTAATTATTATCTCCATGCTTATAAGCCCAAGGTTTTATCTTCATTCAGAATTACATAGATATAGAATTGCTCTGTTGATTTTCTGGCTTGGTTGTTTCACAGACATTACATATTAAAAACAATCCAACCCCCAAATCTTCTTCTTCTTCTATTTGGCTGTGACCCAGACTGTCAATAAATTGCACCAGTGTTTTTTTTTAAATTCCTTTAGAGACAGGGTCTCCCTCTGTCACCCAGGCTGGAGTACAGTGGCATGATCATAGCTCACTGCAGCTTCAACCTCCTGGGCTCAAGCAATCCTCCCAGCTTGGCCTCCCAAAGTGCTGGGATTACAGGCATGAGCCACTGCCCCCGGCCTGTGCCCGTGTATGTTAATTTGTGTATTAGTCTAGGACTCTGGGAAAGTTTCCTCATCCTGTATGTCCCTATGTCCTAAACAACCTGTGGCCCAGTCCTGTTCATTCCTCCTCTAATATGGATCTCCAAACGCTCCTCTTTATTTCCACACCCACTCCCAGCCCTTAACCTCTTGGCCCTTGAAAGGCCTCTGAGGAGCTGTTCTTAGGTTTTGGCTTTGAGGAACAAGCCTGCTAAGGTCACTCGTGTCCAGAATTTTGTGTGAACATAAGTGTTGTCGGGTGAGGTCCTCCAGACATCCTTGAGTTGGACGACTCCCTAAAAGGACTCGAAGAACTTCATGAAGCCCAACTCCCTGAAGGACACCACCTGGCCCAGGGCCCCACCATAGATCAGGCCGTCAGCATAAACTGCCCACAGCCCCAGCTACGAAAAGACACTCTTATCAGGCGAGTATTTCAGTGGTTTCTGGGCTTCCTCCCTGGAGCCAGGCAAGGCCAGACATTCTCTTGGAATGAGCAGGTTCTGAGCATCCCAGACCAACTGCATTAATTCTCTGCCACACCGTACATGTTTATTTCTCTGGGGCAAATGCCCAGGGACTGAGTTGCCAGGTTGTTCCGTAGTGGCATGTTTTGCTGTTGGTGGTGGTATTTGCTGTATTGGGAGGGGGAATTGCCACACTCTTTTCCAGGGTGGCTGTACCACGTTACATTTACCCAGCAATGTGTGAGTTGCCCAGTTTCTCCCCATCCTCACCAGCTTGTGGTGCTGTTTCTACACTGTATTTAAGGCATGTTGATGGATGTGTCATGCTGCCTCACCATGATCTTCATGTGTATTAGTCTGCTTCGGCTGCCGTAACAAAATACCACAGGCTGGGCGACTTCAGCACCTTAAACCGTTTTCTCACCATTCTACAGGTTGGAAGTCCCAGATCAAGGTGTGGCAGCATCAGTTCCTGGCAAGGGCCCTTCCTGGTTTATAGATGGCCCCTGTCACTCTGTCCTCATGTGGACTTTCCTTGGTGTGTGTAGGTGGAGAGAATGGGAGCCAACTCCCTGGGGTCTCCTCTAACAAGGACACAAATCCTGTCTTATCAGGATCCCAATTTATGACCTCATTCAACCTTATTTCTTACTCCAAATTCAGCCACACGGGGTTAGGGCTTCTACGCATGAATCTGGGGGATATATACATTCGGTTCATAACAATACCTTGCCAGGAAATGGCGAACATCTTTTCATGTGCTTACTTGACATCTGTATATACTCTTGGTGAAATGCCTATTAGTGTCTTTTGTCTATTTTGTATTTGGGTTTTCAAAAAATGCTGTTGCATTTTGAGAGTTCTTGGCACATTCTGGATACTAGCACTTGGTTGGACCTGAAATTTGCAAATGCAAGCAGACTTCATCTTATTATGCTTTGCTTTATTGTACTTTGCTGTACAAATTGAAGGTCGTGGCAATCCTGCATCAAGGAAACCTACAGGAGCCATCATCCCAACAGCATGTGCTCACTTTGGGTCTCTGTGTCAAAATTTTGGTAATTCTCACAACATTTCAAACTTTTTCATTATTATGATATGTATTGTGATAATCTGTGATCTTTGACGTCACTATTGTCATTGTCATTGTTCTGGGGCACCATGAACTGCACTCATATAAGACTGTGAACTAATTGATAAATATTGTGTGTGCTCTGAAAGCTCCACCAACCAGCTGTTCCCTCAGGTCTCTCTCTCTCCTTGGGCCTCCCTATTCTCTGACACACAATATTGAAACCAGGCCAATCAATAACCCTACAGTGGCCTCTAAGTGTTCAAGTGAAAGGAAGAGTTGTGCATCCCTCACTTCAAATCCAAAACTAGAAATAATTAAGCTTAGCCAGCAAGGTATGTTGAAAGCTTAGATAGGCCAAAATCTAGGCCTTTTGCACTAAACAGCTAGCCAAGTCATGAATGCAAAGGAAAAGTTCTTGAAGGAAATGAAAAGTCCTACTCCAGTGAACACACAAATGGTAACAAAGTGAAACAGCTTATTTCTGATATGCAAAAAGTTTTGTTTTAGTGGTCTGGTTAGAAGATCAAACCAGCCACAACATTCCCTGAAGACAAAGCCTAATCCAGAACAAAGCATTAACTATCTTCAATTCTATGAAGGCTGAGAGAGGTGAGGAAGCTACAGAACTGTTTGAAGCTAGCAGAGGAGGTTGGCTCATGAGATGAAGGAAGGAAGCCATCTCCCTAACAGAAAAATGCAAGATGAAGCAGCAAGTGCTGAGGTAGAAGCTGCAGTAATTACCCAAAAGATCTAGCTGAGTTCACTGATGAAGGTGGTGACACTGAACAACAGATTTTCAATGTAGACAAAACAGCCTTTTATTGGAGGAAGATGCAATCTAGGACTTTCCTAGCTAGAGAAGGAAAGTCAATGCCTGGCTTCAAAGCTTCAAAGGACAGGCTGATTCTCTTGTTAGGGGTGAATGCAGCTGGTAACTTTAAATGGAAGCCAATTCTTATCCATCATTCCCAAAACTCTAGGGCCCTTAAGAATTGTGCCAGATCCACTCTGCCTGTGCTCTATAAATAATCAACAAAGCCTGGATGACAGCATATCTGTTTACAGCATGGTTTACTGTAAGCCCTCTCTGAGACCCACTGCTCAGAGAAAAGGATACCTTTCAAAAGATTACTGCTCACTGACAATGCACCTGGTCACCCAAGAGCTCTGCTGGAGATGTACAAGGAGACAAGTGTTGTTTTCATACCTGCTAACACAACATCCATTCTGCAGCCTGTGGAACAAAGACTTTCAAGCCTTGTTATTTAAAAAATACATTTCATAATGCTGTAGCTGCAATACATGGTGATTCCTCTGATGGATCTGGGCAAAGTAAATTGAAAACCTTCTCAAAATGATTCACCATTCTAGATGCCATTAAGAACATCTGTGATCAAATAGGATGAGGTCAAACTAGCCACATTAACAGGCATTTGGAAGAAGTGGATTCCAACCCTCATGGATGACTTTGAGGGGTTCGGGACTTAGTGGAGAAAGTCACTGCAGATGTGGGGGAAATAGCAAGAGAATTAGAATTAGAAGTGGAGCCTGGAGATGGAATTGAATTGCTGTGATTTCATGATCAAACTTGAACAGATGAGGAGTTGCTTCTTAGGGGTGAGCAAAGAAAGTGGTTTCCTGAGATAGAATCTACTCCTGGGGAAGATGCTGTGAACATTGTTGAAATGACAACAGAGGATTTAGAATAGTGCATACACTTAGTTAATAAAGCCGCACCAGGATCTGAGAGTACTGACTTCAATTTTGAAAGGAGTTCTCCTGTAGGTAAAATGCTATCAAACAGCATTACAAAGCTACAGATCAATCTTTTGTGAGAGTCAATCGATGTGGCAAACTTCATTATTGTCTTATTTTGAGAAACTGCCACAGCAACCCCCCCCACAACAACCCTTCAGCAACCGCCATCCTCATCAGCCAGCAGCCAATCAGCTTCACGGCATGACTCCACCAGCAAAAAGATCAAAAAGATTATGTAGGGGTCTCTAAAGGCTCAGATAATCCTTAGCATTTTTTAGCAAAGTTTTTTCTGTATCACAAGTCATTAAGCAAACCAATATTCTTGTTTTTTTTTTTTTTTTCTTTTTTTGAGACAGGATCTTGTGCTGTCACTCAAGCTGGAGTGCAGCGGCACAAACATGGTTCACTGCAGCGTCGACGTCTCAGGCTCAAGCGATCCTCCCATCTTATCTTCCCTAGTAGCTGGGTCTATGGACATGTACCACCACACCCAGCTAATTTTATTTCTTTTTGTGGACCACATTGCCAAGGCGGGTCTCGAACTCCTGAGCTCAAGACATCCACCTGCCCTGGCCTCCCTAAGTGCTGGCATTACAGGCATGAGCCACAACACCCCGCCCAAGAGAGTATTTTTAAATTAAGGAATGTGCATGGTTTTTAGACATAATGCTATTGCACACTTAATAGATTACACTGTAGTGTAAACATAACATGTATATGCACTGGGAAACAAAAACATTGTGTAACTGAGTTTACTTCCATATTTGCTTTGATTGTGGGAGTCTGGAACTGAACCCGCAATATCTCCCAGGAATGCCTGTCTTTTCTCCTGGTCTGTACTTTTTCATTTCATCCTCTTAAGCTAAGTGTTTCATGGAGCCTAGGTTTTAAATGTTGATGAATTCTGATGTATCCATATTTGTATGGGTCATGCTTTTGGTGTCAAGTCTCAAATCTCTACCTAGTTGTAGGGCTCCATTTTTTCTCTTGGAATTTCTCCCCTAAAGTTTTATAGTTTTATGTTTAACATGCAAGTGACCCATTTTCAGTTAATGTTTGTATGAGCGAGGTGAAGTGCATTTCATTGAACAGTTTGTCATCAACATTTACCTTATTTTAAAAAACCCACAAATTCATGGTATTTCATTGTTTGGATGCACTGGGACTTATTGAACTAGGCCCCTCTCAATGCCTATGGTTTCTTCTTCCTTTTTTGTTATTATAGTAAGTAATGCAACATCCATTTTGTTGTTTTGTGTGTGTGTTTTTGTGGAGATGGAGTCTCAGTATGTTGCCTAAAACTCCTGGCCTCAAGCGATCCTTCTGCCTCCTCCTAAAGCACTAGGGTTACAGGTGGGAGCCACCACACTTGCCTGAGAACGATATTCTCATCACAAATATATTTGCACAAATGCGCCCCCACACCTGTTTGTTGTCATTCGACTCGGTCATGCAGTAGGCAAAGATAAATTGTTTGAACTTTATGTGGTCAGGCTATTTCTTTGATGGCTTCTGGGCTTTGTTTTATGATTTAGAAAGACCTGCATTCTTTGGAGTGGAGGAATTAAATGGAATTAAAAGTGTCACATCCATGTTTCTGCAACGCCTTTTGTGGTCTGTTTTCCAGATCTACCACCGCTCGGAGCCCTGGAGCTGCTGGCGCAGCCCAAGGAGGTCCTGGAGGGGCACCCCGGCCTCCGCGCCCCTGGGAAAGGTCCCCACCCCTCTGGAGCTTGGGCCCTGCTGGTACAGACCGGGAGTCCCGAGGGGAGTCGGTCCCCTTCCTGGCAGCCGTCCCTGGTGAGGAACGGAAGTCGCAGGGACTGCATGTAAAAATGTCCCAAGTACCCCTTCTCCTGCTGGGTTGCACCGTGCCTGGCGGTGGCCGCTGGGAACTCCAAGGCTGACACCCGCTATGGGTGCTGGACGCCCTCCGTCGCCCCGGGCCGAGAACACCACCTGAGGTGGATCTCTTGTTCTCGTAGCTGGGACCACAGGCGAAGCCACCGCGCCGGCCTCTGCACCCATTTCTTGTGCAGTCCTCTGACCCCGTGAGGTGGTCAGGGAGGATGGCCCGGGCCTCCTGGTCCTGGTTAGCACAGCAGGGCACTGCCAGGCTGGCTCACTGTCCATGGCAGGAGGGTGCAAGATGCAAGGCGGCAGACGGGTGGCCCGTAGGTGGGAGGGGGAAGGCCCGTGGGCAGGGACTGGTCTGTGTAGCCCGGCTGGCTGTGCTCCACCTGCTCCAGCCACAGCCTGGAGCACCTGGGCCCAGGTTCCTCCCCAACGCAGGCAGCCTCGCCAAGGCCTCTGTGGACGTGCCCTCCCCACTGAACGCACAAGGTATCCTCTGCTCTCCCAAGTGAAGCGGGGTCAGGCCAGGATAGGAGGTGGACGGAAGAGCGCTTGGAAATACGGGGCCCTGTAGGCATCTTACTGCTCTTGACAGCCAGACCCTCTCTCTCCTCTTGCAGTAGGACTCGGCCCAGCACTCTCCAAATGCAGCCAGCCCCTCCGCCCCAGCCCAGCACCATCCCTCCCACTCCCCCGGACTGTATGCAAACACACTGGCACACAGCAGCTTCGGCCTCTTCAGCCAGCTGACCCAGAGAAGACCCGTCCACAGCACTGACCCACACCTCACTACTCCCTGACACCGTCCCAGACCACACCCTCCTCCAACCCAGTCACTCACTTGGTGAGCAAAGATGGCCTGCTTTGCCCCAGGTCCTGCTCAAAACGCTTAGGAATCCATCAGAGAACAAAACAAACAGGGTTTCTGACTTCATGAAGCTTCCATTTTTGTGGAAGAAGACGGACAACAGAAGCTGTATTTATTAAACACTTACATAACATAGCACTGACTCCATGGCAGGTGTTATGCTACGCATTTTATAAATACAAATTCATTTGATCCTCATGAAAATTCTGAGTTAGGTATTGTTCATATAAATAAGGAAACCAAGGCAAAGGGGTTAAACAATCCACCCAAAGCCACACGAGTAGCAAGTGGTGAAGCCACAACTCAACCCCAGGCAGCCTGGCTCCAGAGCCCAGGCCCTCCACCTCTCAGTAAGCATGAGTGAGCAACACAGCATGCTAGAGGGTGAGTGCCCCGGAAAAATGGAGAGTAAAGCAGAGTAAAGGGAATCCGGAGCACGGAGGGAAGGAGACACACTGACATTTTAAACTGGGAGGCATGAGGATTCCCAGAGGAGCTGACATCTGAGCAAAGGCATGCAATGCAAGGGTTGAGGGAGTCTGCATGCAATATTGCAGGAAAGAGTGTTTCAGGGAGGGGGAGTCTGTCCCACAGTCCTGAGGCAGGGTGTGCCTGGAGCATGGGAGGAAGGTCCGGCCAGGGAGGGGACAGCCCCTGCCTTTTGTGCAGCAGAATGCCCGAGCGTGCTGCGTGCCCAATTCCCTGCCTCCCTGGTGGGCCGTGCTGCTCTTTCAGTACTCACCTTGACTTCCAAAGTGAACAGTGAACTTAGAGAACAGAGCCCATGACCTCTACTCCCTCTGCTTGTCCCTGGTACTTTCAAGCTGATGTTTGCTGGATCTGTCTGCCTTGCCTTGTGGATTCCACAAAACTACAAGGTCCAGGAGGATGAGCAGGTCCTGCCAGGGAAGCTTCTGACACCTCTGTCACTGGTCCTCCTACACTAGTGGTGAGCAGTAGCCTCTGCCTGGGGCGGGGAAGCAGCAGTAAGTAAAGGGCACTTGTATTCTGTATTTTCAAAGCATGCCTGCCCAATTCTATATTCAAATTTTATTCCCAGTAGGACCCTTTAAACTGGCAGGCAGCCAATTCCACCCTACTTGACAAATGGCAAAACCACCCACCTCGGCCTCTCAAAGTGCTGGGATTACAGGCGTGAGCACCGTGCCCAGCCTCAAGAATGACTCTCAAGAGGTGAGTAAAGACCGGGCTGGGCGTGGTGGCTCATGCCTGTAATCCCAGCACTTTGAGAGGCCAAGGTAGGCAGATCACCTGAGGTCAGGAGTTCAAGACCAGCCTGGCCAAGATGGTGAAATTCTGTCTCTACTAAAAATACAAAAATTAGCCAGACATGGTGGCACACGCCTGTAGTCCCAGCTACTGGGGAGGCTAAGGCAAGAGAATTGCTTGAACCTGGGAGGCAGAGGTTGCAGTGAGACAAGATGGTGCCACTGCACTCAAACCTGGGCAACAGAGCGAGACTCTGTCTCAAAAAAAAAAAAAAAGAAAGAAAGAAAAGAAAAAGAAAAAAGAAAAAAAAAAGGTAAGTAATGACCGAACAGTACAGGGTCCCAATCCCATCTAAGTAGGCTTAAGGCAAAGACTGAGCATTTACTTAAGTCACAGAGAATTTAGCTAAACGCAGTGAGTCACCCACTTCACACAGAGAAAAATGCATCCCTCTACTCCTGTCTCATCACACGCAGAATGCCCAGATTTCTTTCCCATAGTTCCCCTTGAACTATGCAGGCTACTCATAAGGAATTAAGAAATATGCATCAGACACTTCCCTATTTCTAGTTTCAGTCTTCAAAGTAGCCAAAAGAAAATGCCTTTTTGTCCTACATCAGAAATGGTAGGACACCTCTTTCCTCCCATTTATTTCCAAAGTAGATTACACCAATTTAATTCCATTTTATTTTCCAGAATAAGCATACAAAAAAATCCATCCTGGAAGAACCATTTTCAACTGGGCGTGGTGGCTCACATCTGTAATTTCAATGCTTTGGGAGGCTGAGGCAGGAGAATCATTGAGACTAGGAGTTCGAGGCCAGCCTGGGCAACACAGAGAGACCCCATCTCTACTAAAAATAAAAGAAAAATTGGCCAGGCATAGGGGGGCAGCCACGGAGTCCAAACAGCTCCGCAGAATCTAAAACATTTACCTTCTGGCCTTTTACAGAAAAAAGTTTGCTGACTCCTCCCCAGCTGATCTTGCTTGACTCAGTTCTCCCACCTCCACAAGATTAACTGACCTAAAACTCGACTTCCACCGTCCCTCTGTGTTCAAACCCCCGACAGGTTCCCTGATGCCCATAAAGCCCACACTGTACCCTGACATCCATTCGACCAGGAGAATAAACAAGAAAAGCCCTCAAGGACATGCCTTTGCTCATGCTGTTCTCTGCCTGTCAGGAAGCCCTTCCTGCCTTCCACCGCTAAGCCTGCCGCTGCTTACCTTGCCCTTGCAGTCAGGGCAAGGCTCTGGGAATGCTCCCGGCTCCCTCTGCTCTGCTCCCACAGCTCCCTATACTTACCCTCATCACAGCTCTTACCACACAGCACTGAAATCATCTATTTGTGCGTCTGTCTCGCCAGCTGCAGCAAGATCCCAGAGGGCAAGGAACACATCTTACTTATCTCCCATCACCCATACAGAACCCAGTACAACAGCTCATCAACACTGAACGCAACCCCAGCCTGGCCAGGCTGGCCTCCTTGCTGCCCCTGAATACATGCTGCTCACGCTCAACTCTGAGCCTGCGCTCACCCCAGCACCCCCACATCTCACTTAAGACAATCCGACCATGGCCTGGGCACAGTTCAAATTGCATTTCCTCCCTAGGCCCACAGAAGTCAATAGGGTCGCAGGTTCAAACCCCCAGCTCCTCTCACCCATGTGCCGAGTGCCCTTGCACAAGATGCTTCTGTCTCTGGGTTCTCATCGTAAAGAGGGAATGACTCAGTATCCCCTAACTTGCAGGGCTGACAACGCATATAAAGCTTCTGAACCGACACTTGGCATATAATAGATTTTTAAGAACAGCACACTTGTTTTCCCCAATCACACTGTCTATGCCATCTGGGTGTTTCATCCCTTTTCTTCCCCGTAACTGTTGTGTATATTACCCTGGCTCTCCTGAGGCAGGTTTGTCATGAGCAGAGACACGGTCGTAGTATACTTCCATGAAGCCGCCCCTGCCCTAAAACCCAGGACAACACAACACGTGGAGGAAGGGACCAAAGGATACAACTTTAATAAATAAGTTATTTCAGGTTATTTAGGTTTAAAGAATTGCTAATAAAAAAAAATGCAAAGCCCCAGGGGATCAGGAGTGAGCTAGAGAGCAGGCTTTTGCAGATGTTTTCATACTGATGACAAAGGCAGTTAGAGAGCGGGAGCAAGTGGGTTGAGGAGGGGACCAGCAAGATAGGAAAGAACTCCCCCTTGGAGGTGGTACTGTTCATTCTCACCCATCCAAACACTGCAAAGAAACCTGTGCTGACTCACTGGACAGTCTGGACCCAGCATCCTCCCCTGAAGACTGTCTCTGGATGACAGGAAGCCCCAAGCCTCAGAATTCCATTCCAAGTTTCATGAGCACTAGTCAGTGACAGTACCAGCTGATGTGTGGGGTGCTCACTGGGTGCTTACCACATGCCTGGGAAGATTCTAAATGCTTACGACCATACAAGGTTAGGAGGACTGTTACGCCCTTCATTGCACAGATGAGGAAACTGAGTCTCGGGGGGGATAAGGAACACACTCCCGGTCACACACTCTAGTAACCGGTATAGTACAGCACAGTCTGGTTCCAGAGTCCAAGCTCTTAACCACAACGCAGTTTGAGTGTCTTACTCTGATTTAGCTCCGCCATTTACCAGGTGAGAGATCTCAGGCAAGTCATCTAACCTCACTGCGCCTCATCTTTCAAGTGGGCCTCATATGGGTAACTTTCTAAGACTGTCATGAGGATTGAAGGCAATCATGCCATGACACATATTATGAAGCGGACTCCTGAGAAATCAGTTCCCTCCCACTTTTCCCATATCCCAATATAAGTGAGGTTTTTAGCCAAACCCCTTGACCTCTTTTACTACTAGGAATGATCTACATGCCCTGCTGGATTTTCCTGCCTACTGCCTATGCCTAAGCATTTGGACCTCATAAAAACTTACAAAAATGGCCTGGAGACAAGCAAGAAAGGAAAGCAACTGCACACAGAACTGAGTGGGGCAGCACACCAGAGATGGCCCAGACGGCTCCTGGTGTGCAGATGAATACTGCATGAGCAGAGGTCGGGCCAGCCAGGCCCTGCCAGGACACGCCACAACTGACAGTCCGTGACAGCACCTAGATCCATGTACTGCACCAACAGGCCCAGATGACAGGCCTAGGAGGCTGTAGGCAGAGCCAGGAGCACCTGTGCCTCTGAGCCCGCATGAGTATAAGTGCTGTAGGGGGACAAAGAGGGGCAGGCAGGTTAATGTGACAGGCAGTCATTCCCACCAATGGTGGGATATCAGACTGCCTAAAATGTTGTCTATAGCAAGGTAACTGTTTAAATTCCTATAGAAGGAATTCTGTTGCAAAATTCCTTTACTGTGAAGAATTTAATTTCAAGCCAAGAAGTACAGATACACACTAGTTTATCTTGAAGGTAAATCCACATTTCCATACATCAAGTTTGCTTGAAGGGTAAGAGATACCTTTAAGCCATGAACCCTTCCCCTGGGCTGGTGGTCATGCACAGAGGGAACCTGTCACTAGCAGCATGTAAAAGTGTCCTTCGGGGCCAGGTGCAGTGGCTCACACCTGTAATCCCAGCACTTTGGGAGGTTGAGGTGGGCAGATCACAAGGTCAGGAGTTCGAGGCCAGCCTGGCCAACACAGTGAAACCCCGTCTCTACTGAAAATACAAAAAATTAGCCGGGCATGGTGGTGCGTGCCTGTAGTCCCAGGTACTTGGGAGGCTGAGGCAGAAGAATTGCTTGAACCTGGCAGGTGGAGGTTGCAGTGAGCCGAGATCTAGCCACTGGACTCCAGCCTGGGCGACAGAGCGAGACACCGTCTCAAAAAAAAAAAAAAAAAAAGTGTTCTTCAAGTTAGCAAGTCAGCTCCATTAATATAGCAGGGAGCAGAAGCCAGGTGTTTAACTCATTTCTAGAAGATGTAAGTAATTTCTATTTGAATGGACCTGATCAAACGGATCCAAAGGTCTTAGAAAATAAAAGGTTAAAACCCAAGCAAAACGGTATCTCACTCATCATATCCAGTAGTAAGAAGTCCTATTAGGCCTTTTCCCACAATACATCAGCTTCCAAATACAGCACATGACAAAGAAATACTTCAGGAAGATGGAGGAATGGGGGGCTTGCTACCGTGCTGGCTGATGACATTATTACAAGGCTCCAACCAGCTCCGAGGCCGTGGTAGACACAGCACCGTGGTCCTACGGTTAGAAAGGAGCCCCAGAAGCAGCATGGACAATCTAATGCCCAAATCATGGATGAGGCGCCTCCATGCACAGGACTGCTCCCATCCACCGTTGCTAGAGCACCTAGGAAAGGGCACAGACTGCAAAACCCTCCTCTAGGAAGGGCTGCCCAGTCCACCGGGGGCAGCTGTATCTCTCGATGAGTAGCTGGGCAAGGACAAGCACATTGAGAGCACCAGGTCCAAAGTGGTGACGGGCCCAAGGGCAGCCTGCAGGCAAGGGAAATGGTCCCAGCCTTTCCTGCAGCCAAAGTGCAGGGCTGGTCCTCAGGAAGGAGTTGCAAAATGATCCTGTTTGCAAAACACAAACATTCCACAAACAGCAGACACAGCGGGTAGGTAAGTTCTAGAAATTCTCAGTCTTAGGTGCAAGAAATAAACAAAACCAAATCAAGAAGAATATTTTACTAGTTAGCATAAATTTGCTTAGCACTCAATGTCCAGGGCTTCCTGGCCAGTTAAATCCAGGTTACTGCACTTGCATGGCTGACAATGCATCCAACCTCTTAGAAATATCAACCTCTTGCAGACGCAGGCTGTCTTACCGCGTGGCACTGATATACAACAGGTGCTCAATAAATGTGCTGAAAAAAGTCAGTGTGTAAAGGATTCCTGAAGTAGGAATCCCCCCTGCTCCCTGAGGGTGGTTGAGGCTCAGGGGCTTGTTTGTGTCCCCACCCTACTACGCTAGGGCCTAGCACGGTGCTCACTACACCTGGAGGGCCCATTCAAGCTGCCACCTGTGAATTTCTTCCCTGCCTCATACTGTCTTTTTCTGCCCCACTCCTCTTCCTTTTGCTCCCTGAACATGTAATCTCATGGGATTTGGAGTCATTAGCTATGCAAATTATTGGGTTTATGGCCCTTTACCTCACTGGAACAACTTCCCTGCTGTAAAATGGGGTGAAAGGACCCTACCTGAAGACTAGAAATGATGTGTGCGCAGTCTGGCCACAGTAAGGGGAAGTGATCGCTGTTATGACTTGCTTATATAATTTTCCACAGGCCCCACTGTCTAAAGGAACTTAGAATACCAAAAGCAGAAAGTTTATTTGTTTTTCCTACCCCTGGCAAGGGTGGTTTTGAGAAAGCCTATCTGTTTTGGAAAGAAACTGACCCAAGCCCATGTCACTAGTTAAAATATTTCCTTTTTCCTTTTTCTCAGGGAAATGGATGACTGACTAGTCATGGCCAAACTGGGAAAAAGGTTCTGTTCCATAAGTTCATGTGCCAATTACACACAGCGATTAGGATTCCCAGATGGCTCGTTCTCTTTTTTTAAAATTTTACTTTAAGTTCCAGGATACATGTGCAGAACGTGCAGGTTTGTTACATAGGTATACGTGTGCCATGGTGGTTTGCTGCACCTGTCAACCTGTCATCTAGGTTTGAAGCCCCACATGCATTAGGTATTTGTCCTAATGCTCTCCCTCCACTTGCCTTCCTCCACCCCTGGCCCAGCTCATTCTCTTAAAAGAATCACCCATAAAGGAGTTTAGCTGGCGCAATAATGGATCTGCTTGGGTTCCACAACTTGGGAATCAGAAGGAAGGGAAGGACTTCCTCACCTTTCCCAGGAACAGGGCTGCCCTCAGCACTCTCTGGATTCCCAAGGCACAGCCCCCAGGTTCCTGAACACACAGTGTCTTAAGTGCCCCCCGGGAAGCCCCCCTGCGCCCACACCCTCCTCCCAGTGCTTTAGAACTACCTCCTGACTCTGCCCCCTGAGAAACAGGCCAGGAATATTTCAATGAATACGCCAATTAACCTCAATGCACCTCTCCTGGCACTTCAGAGAGAGAACTCAAGAGTGAAGAGAGGGAAATATGGAGGAGGGGTCTGAAGACAGGAAGCGGTGACCCCCCAGGACGGAGGTAACCCCGTGGAATATGCCCAAGTCAGTTGCCCTCAACTGGTCTGTGACACCACAAGTCCAAAACCCAATGCCTTCATCTAAATCCTGACGCCACCACTTGTTTTAGCCCTCTGTGCCCCACTTCCTAGTGTGAAAAGCAGGGATCATAACAGCACCCAGTCTGTCCGCTGTGGTGAGGACTCAGCGCGTTAAGACACGTGGGCACTCAGGACAGAGCGTGGCATGGCCAACGGTCTCTAAGCGTCTCTGCTGCTGCCATCACTGCTGTGCTCATCAGCGCCAGGTGCTGCTCTCCCACCTGTCCCTGTCCCACCACAGCCCGACAATTCTCAGCCACAAGGAGCTTTGGCAGTGGAGGCAGGGAGGAATATGGCTAGAACCTTTGTAAGCTGACTTTCTGTAGGCTGGGGACAGTCCACGCTAAAGGGTAGCTGCCATACCCCCGGGAGCTGCAGGTGCCAGGAGTGAGCACTCTGCATCTTCCCCCTGACCAAGCTGCTCCTCCTCTCTTCCCAAGCTTCCAACACTGGCACTGGCTTCCCAGGACCCATGCCACCTCCAGACTTCAATTGGCAACAGAAAAAAGACAGGGGGCTGGGTGCAGTGGGCTGCCTGTAATCCCAGCACTTTGGGAGGCTAAGGCTGGAGAATCACTTGAGCCCAGCAGTTCAAGACCAGACTGGGCAACACAGAGAGAGTTTGTCTCTACACAAAATTTAAAAATTAGTCAGGTGTGGTGGTGTGGGCCTGTAGTCTCAGCTACTCAGGTGGCTGAGGTTGGGGAGATGGCCTGGGCCCGGGAGGTCAAGGTTGCAGTGAGCCGAGATCATGCCACTCTAGCCGGGAGGCCACAGAGCAAGACACTGTCTCCAAAAATAAATAAATAAATAAATAAAGAAGAATGGGCAGGAGAGAGGAGAAGGCTGGGACTAAGGTTTCATTTCGCCTTTAAATAGGAAAAGTCAATAAAAGCTACTAGTTAACCACGTGGCTGTGCTGTCCATCCCTCTCCTGCCAGAGTTAACCAGAGCGAATCTCCTGCCAGAGTTAACCAGACTAAATTATTCAGCAGATATACAATTCAACAGACACCTGCAGATGTGCCTAATGCAGGAAGACTCCTCACTAGATTCCCTCACACATAACACACGTGCACTCTGAGCTGGGCGCTAGAGAGACACGGCCTAACAGAACACGAAAAAGATACTGTTGTCCTTGCCAAGGTCCTCACTACTTAGCAGAAGCTCTTGCCCTTCCGCTTCCACCTTTCATCAAGTTATAAGCCAACAGTCTCACTTCTTCTCTCTTCTTTAATCTGATTTCTGTCTTCCCTTTCTTTTTTCTTTTAAGAGACAGGATCTCACTCTGTCACCCAGGCTGGAATGCAGCGGCATGATTATAGCTCACTGCAGCCTCAAACTCCTGGCCTCAAGTGATCCCCCCGCCTCAGCCTTCTGAGCAGCTGGGACTATGAGTGTATACCACCATGCCCGGCTAATTTTTAAAATTTTTGTAGAGACAGGGTCTCACTATGTTGCCCAGGCTGGTCTCACCTGGCCTCAAGCAATACTCCTACCTTAGCCTCTCAAAGTGCTGGGATTACAGACATGAGCCATTACACCCAGCCTTTTCTTTTACTTTTTTTTTTTGTTGAGACAGTAAGGTCTTGCTCTGTTACCAAGGCTGGAATGCAGTGGTGCAATCTCCACTCACTGCAGCCTTGGCCTCCCAGGCTCAAATGATCCACCTACCTCATCCTCCTGAGTAGCTGGGACTACAGATGTGCAACACCCACACCCGGCTAATTTTTGTATTTTTCTGTAGAGACAGGGTTTCACCATGTTGGCCAGGCTAGTCTGGAACTCCTGACCTCAGGTGATCTGCCCGCCTCAGCCTCTCAAAGTGCTGGGATTACAGGCGTGAGCCACCACACCTGGCCTCTTTTTTAAAACTGTGGCAACCATCTCTCCTCTGTTGAACTCGCCAATGAGAAAAAGTCAATGGGGCCAGGCATGGTGGCTCACACCTGTAATCTCAGCAGTTTGAGAGGCTGAGGCGGGCAAATTGTTTGAGCCCAGGAGCTCAAGACCAGCCTAGGCAATGTGGCAAAACTCCATCTCTACAAAAAATGTAAAAAATTAGCCAGGCTTGGTGGTGCACGCCTGTAGTCTCAGCTACTCAGGCGGTCAAGGTTGCAGTGAACCATGATCACGCCACTGCACTCCAGCCTAGGTGGCAGAGTGAGATGCTGTCACAAAACAAAACAAAACAAAACAAAAGTAATCAACTGCAGGGTTTGGGGTGACAGTTTCCTGGTCATTCCTCCCAGTTTCTTGGTGTCTTTATAGCTAGAGATGGCTAAAGGCCACCCGCAAGAAAACAACTGAGGCCCATGGGGGCAGGATGCTGTTCTCTCCACCGGAGCAACCCAACCACTTGGGTATCTGACACCACCCATCACCCCCCCAACTCCAGGGGATCCGAGCTGAATTCTGAAGAGTGGAACCAAAGATGACAGAGTGCGTGGCTGGAGAGAGGGGGAAGTCCACAGAGTTTAGGTAAATTTCTGAACCACATCCCCACCACGCCCACAATGTACTGCATTGAAGTACACTGGAAGCTAAAGACCAAAAAGGAATCAGATTTTCAGCTCTGCCACCTAAAGCAGAAACTGAGGGCCTTATTCACCTTCAACTCTGCCACCTAAAGCAGAAACTGAGGGCCTTATTTACCTTCAACTCTGCCACCTAAAGCAGAAACTGAGGGCCTTATTTACCTTCAACTCTGCCACCTAAAGCAGAAACTGAGGGCCTTATTTACCTTCAACTCTGCCACCTAAAGCAGAAACTGAGGGCCTTATTCACCGCACAGACTTTAGCCCAAGTGCCATGCCTCCAGTTTCACAGTTTCACCAGCAGCTCAAGCAAATGGCCTGGACACTAAAGATGGCCTCTGGGTCAGAGTATCACTCATTTCCTCTGTCCACAAACCACTTTGATTCTCTTTGATTCTCTCTGTCCCTCATCTCCCCATCTAGTCTTTTTTTTTTTTTTTTTGAGACAGAGTCTTGCTCTGTCACCCAGGCTGGAGTGCTGAAGTGCAGTGGTGTGATCTCAGCTCACTGCAACCTTGGCCTCCTGAGCTCAGGCAATCCTCCCACCTCAGCCTCCAGAGTGGCTGGGACCACAGGTGCACACCACCACACCCAGCTAATTTTTGTACTTTTTGTAGAGATGGGGTTTAGCTATGTTGCCCAGGCTGCTCTCAAACTACTGGGCTCAAGCAATCTGCCCACCTCAACCTCCCAAAGTGTTGGGATTACAGGCATGAGCCACTGCACCCGGCCCATCTGGTCTTATTAAATACTTCATTCTCTGCAAATGCAGATGTTTTCTCAGCTCTGATTATTTTTTCTAAAGTAATGACCCTCCACCTGGCTAGACAAATGCTTCTAGCAAAGGAAAAGACCAGGGTGTGAAAACTGTACTGCAATAGAACATAAAGCCCGTCCAACCCCCACCTCCCATCAGACCTGGGGTGGTGGCAGCAGCAGGCATCGGGGCTCTCAGGCCTGCCCATTAGTCATCCCTAAGGCCTGTTAGCACACAGGTTAGGAGGAGCACACACTCTGGAATCAGAAAGCCCAGGATTGAGCCCAGCCCTGCTTTCAGTTAAGGCTTTGTCAGTCACTATCACTCCCTTGACCTAGGACCTCACAAAACCTTGTCATCTGTAAAACTGGGGATAATAAGTTCTACCTTGAGTGTTATTGTGAGGAATAAATGAGGTAATGTCTATGCAGCACCTAGCACAGATTCCTGCAGATAAACACTCAATAAATGTTAACTATCATCCACTATCTAGTTATCAGAAAAGCACAATGATATTGTATCTTTAAGTCCTTCCACTTCCAAAAAAAAGAAAGAAAGAAAGAAAAAGATGTGTGGATTTTTTTCCCCTAAAGGTATCAGTGAAGTGAAATTTAAGAAGGAAAACCTGGGCCGGGTGCAGTGGCTCATGCCTATAATCTCAGCACTTTGGAAGGCCAAGGTGGGCGGATCACCTGAGGTCAGGAGTTCGAGACCAGCCTGACCAACATGGTGAAACCCTGTCTCTACCAAAAATACAAGAACAGCCAGGCGTGGTGGCGGGCACCTATAGTCCCAGCTACTTGGGAGGCTGAGGCAGGAGAATCACTTGAACCCAGGAGGCAGAGGTTGCAGTGAGCTGAGATTGCACCACTGCACTCCAGCCTGGGTGACAGAGTGAGACTCCATCTCAAAAATAAATAAATAAATAAATAAAATCAACTTTATGGAGAAAAATTTACATTCAAGAAAATATGCCCATTTTAAGTGTCCAACTGGATGAATTTTCAGAAATGTGTGCACCCGCATGACCACTTCTACAATCGTGATACAAAACATCTCCATAAACTTAAATCCCTGTAGCCCTTTGCTGGCAGTTCCCCCACCCACCCCCAGGAAACCCCTGATCTGCCCTCTGTCACTGTAGGCTAGTTTTGCCTTTTCCAGAATTTCATATAGAGGGAGTCATGCAGTATGTACTCTTTTGTAGCTAATGTTTTTGAGATTCGTTGGTGTTGCTGCATTGTTTTCTACTGCGGAATAGTATTCCCTTGTACAAATGTACCATAATTTGCTCATCTACTCTTCTGTGGCTGGACTTTTCAGTTTGGCGCTAATATGAATCGTGGAGGCAGTTTTAGACCAAATTTAACTTAACAATACAATATGGAGTGATTAAGTCAAGCTAATGAACATACCTGTTACCTCACTTATTTGGCATTCTTTTATGGTGATACACCAAATTTCCTCTTATTTTGAAATATTCGTTATTATTGACTACAGTCTCCTGCTGTGCAATAGACCTCAAAACTTTTTTCTCCTGCTTGGCTGAAACTTTGTACCTTTTGAAGACGAAGTCTCCATTCCCTTGTTCTACCACCTTGCCAGCTCTGGTAACCATCATTCTTCTACCTTCTACTTCTATGAATTCAGCTTTTTTTTTCTTTTTTTTTTTTTTTTGAGATGTTGTCTCGCTCTGTCGCCCAGGCTGGAGTGCAGTGGCACAATCTCAACTCACTGCAACCTCCGTCTCCTGGGTTCAAGTGATTCTCCTGCCTCAAGTAGCTGGGATTACAGGAGCCCACCACCATGCCCAGCTAATATTTGTATTTTTAGTTGTTAAGGAGCTGGTTCCTGGGGCCATTTGTGGTGCAGGGTTTGTTGTTAAGGAGCTGGATCCTGGGGCCGCTTGTGGTGCAGGGTTTGATGGGGAAGACAGCCCCATCTTCCCCGCTTTTTTCTTCATCACTCTAAGTTTTATCAATTTTTTTATCTCTCTCCTTTCAGATCTGTCAGGTTTTGCTTCCTATATTTTTAATCCCTATTTTGGGGTACATATGCAGTTAAGATTGTTATATCTTCTTGATCACTTGCAATTGTAATTATAATTATGCAATGTCTGTCTTCATCTCTTAAATATTCTTGTTCTGAAGTCTGACTTGAGTAATATTAATATAGCCACTCCTGCTTTCTTACAATTTTAATATTTATATATACGTATCTATATTTCTAATCTTTTAATCTACCTGTGTCTGTATATTTTAAATGGATTTTTTGAAGATAACATCTAATTGAATCTTGCTTTTTTATTCAGACTGATAATCTATGCCATTTATATTTAATATAATTTTTATGACATTGAGTTTAAATCTGCCATCTTGTCATTTGTTTTCTTTTTGTCTCGTATATTCTTTTTTTCATTTTTCTTGCCTCTTTTGGGCTGTTTTTTGGTATTCCATGTTTTCTCCAACATTGGCTTATTAATTATACCTCTTTGGTTTTCTTCTGTTTTGGTTTAGTTATTGCTCTAGGGCAAGGGTCAGTAAACCTTTCCTGTAAAGAAACAGGTATCAAATATTTTAGGCTTTGGGAGCCATACTGTCTGTGTCACACCTCTGCTGTTGTAGCACAGAAGGAACTGTTACATAATGAGCTCAGATGTGTGCCAGTAAAACTTTATTACAAAAGCGGGCGGTGGGCCAGAATTGGCCCATGGGCTGGAGTTTGATGACCCCAGCTCTATGTCAGTCTATTTTCAAATAATCTTACACTAGTTAACATAGAGCATTTTAAAAGTATTTTTCCATTTTTTCTTTTTATGTAATTTTTGCACAAAATTTTTTTTGTGAAATTATGTTTTCACTTTAGAGAGTACATTATCTTCTAAATTAAAATGATTCAAAAATGCTTGTTGAAGTGTATTCACGTATTTAAATACATGAACTGTATTCACGTATTTACTGCTTCTGGCAGTAGTGTTCCTTCCTTTGTGTTGATCCAGATTTCCATCTGGCTTTTTTTTTTCTTTTGCAGGAAGCACTTCCTTAACATTTCTTATATTGTTGTCCTGCCACTAACAAATTTTCTCGGCTTTTCTTTGTCTCAAAATGTCTTTATTTCATCTTCATCTTTAAAGGATATTTTCACTGGATATAGAATTCTGTGTCGACAGTCATTTTTTTTAAGCATCTTAAGAACGTTTGTTTTGTTGTTTTCTGGCTTGCATGGGTTCTGACAAGAAGTCTGCTAGTAGTCTTATCTTTGTACTTTGTATATAATATACACCCCACCCCCAGCTGATTTTCTTTGTATTTATCCTGCTTATGGTTCATTGAGCTCCTTGGATTTATGGATTTATAGTTAGTCAGATTTGGGAAATTTTGGCCATTGTTTCTTTAAGTATTTTTTCTGTTCCCCTCCCCTTTTTCCAGTACTCCAGTTTTACATATTTTAAGTCACTAATATTATCCTAATTACTGAAGCTTTGTACTTTTTGTTTTTTGGTTCTCAATCTTTTTTCTGTGCTTTAATTTGGATAGTTTCTGTTCCTGTCTTTAAGTTCACTGACCTTTTATCCTGGAGTATCTAACCTGCCCTTGATTTCATTCAGTGGAGTTTTAAAATTTCATTTGTTTTTCATGCCTAAAAGGTCTATTTGGTTATTTTTTTCATATCTTTGGTTTCTCCTTCATTTTTGTAGTCTGTTGCTACGTAACAACTTTCTCCAGAAGTTAGCACCTAAAACAGCAGGCATTTGTTGTCTCGTGAAGTTTTTGAAATTCAGGAACCCAGAGCAGTTTAGCTGGATGGTTTTGGCCCAGATTCTCGTCAGAGGGTGCAGTTAGGGGCTTTTGTCCTGGGTTGCAAAGCTGAAGGCTTGACAGGGGCCAGATGATGTGCCCAAATTCATTTAGGTGGCCCTTGGCAGGAGACTTCACTTTCTCTCCATATGGACCTCTCCATAGGTCTGCTTGAGTGTCCTCACAACATGGCAGCGTTCAACGCAGAGTGAGTGTTGAATGAGTTAGGAAGAGACAGACAGAGCCAGCCCAAGATGGAAGCTACAGTGTATTTTATAACATAATCTTGGAGTTGATCTACTATCACATCTGCCTTTTTTTTTTTTTTTTTTTTTTTTTTTTGAGACAGAGTCTTGCTCTGTCACCCAGGCTGGAGTGCAGCAGCACTGTTATAGCTCACTGCAACTTTGAACTCCTGGGCTCGTGATCCTCCCGTCTCAGCCTCCTGAGTAGCTGGGACTACAGGTGCACACCACCATGCCTGGCTCTGCCGTTTTCAATTGATCATGTAGGCCAACCTTGGTATGATGTGGGAGGAGACAGCACCAGGGTGTGACTGCCAGGAAGCAGGGTCGCTCAGGGCCATCCTGGGAGCTAGCAGCCATCCCCTTCACTGTGTTCAGGTTTTCCTGTAAATTCTGCAGCATATTTATAATTGCTGTTTTAAAATCCTTGTCTGCTGATTTCATCATTTCTGGACTTATTTCTATTGGCTGAGTTTTCTCCTAGCTATAGAACACATTTTCCTTTTTTTGCATGCTTAGTAATTTTTGATTGTATGATGGTAATTGTTAATTTTATGTTAAGTGTATGAAAGGGTGCAAATTTCCTTGTTCTTTCTTTGAAGAGTATTGGGCTTTTTCTGGCAAGCAGTTAAGTTATTTTGGGGTCAGCTTGATCCTTTCAAGAACTGTTTTCACACTCTCTTGGGGCTTGTATGGATTTGCTTTTATTCCAGGGCTAGTTTAACTCTGCTACTAAGACATGACCCTTCTGAGGTTCCTAGCAGATGACCTGGGTGCTCAGCAAGAACACTTGCTCTGGCTGGTCGGCATGTGCCTGTCCCCGGTCCTGCGTGACCTCTGGAGTTGTTCCCTGACAGCTCCCCGATGTGCTTGGTTCAGCCTTGTGGAGTTGCATGCTGTGTGCGTAGAGTGTATTACTCAGCAGCTCAGCGAGACCTTTCTCCAGGTTGCCAGAAGCCTTCTGTGCACAGCTCCGCCCTCCACAGATCCTCCCTTCCTCTCAGCAGGACCATCATGCTGAGCTTGAGCTGTACCCCACGGCGCCAAGCCTGGAAGAGACCACTGGGTAGAGCAAGGGGTGTTCAGAGGTTCACTTCATTTGTTTCTCTGTCTTTAGACAGCCCAGTGTCTGTGAACAGTTACTGTGTGTATTTTGTTCATTTTTCTAGTTGTTTACAACATGAAGGCAGACCTGGTCTCAGTTGCCCAGCATGACGTCCCAGATCCACATGTGAGGAGGAGCAGCAGCATGGGGGTTCCGCTGCGAGCTCAGGGCAGGGGTCTGTATTCCAGGAACTTGGGTGGGCTTCATAGACCCCTGTCGTTCCCAGAATTATAGGCAGCACGGAGTGTGCTTGTGCACACTTTCCTGGGTGGAGAGGCACACGGCACCTCACGCATTGAAGCGTTGTGGCCCCTCGGGGAGTTAAGACCCAGTGGGAGGAGGACCAGGGCGGGGGGCCTGGAGATGGAACCGCACCTTCCCATGCTGCCTCGCTAATTCTACAAATACTGTTGACATCCTGTGCGTGTGGCCTTGGGCAGAGGGGTAAAGACCGGGCAGCCCTGGCAGGGGCTCTGGGGCCAAGGATGTCACCTTCTGGGGGTAAGAGCGAGATGTCCTTCCAGAGCCTGGGTTTTGAGAGGAGGTCACCCTGGCCTGGTTAGGATGAGTTGTCATCTTTTAGCTTTTGGTTTGGTTTCTGTTTGTGTTTATTTTCACTTTTTGCCATGGAAAGTTTTAAGCATATATATAAAAATATGGAAAACAGCATCGAGAAGTCCCTGTGAGCCCATCCCACCCTCTTCCCCCTTCCTGGATTATTCTGAAGCAAATCCAAGGTATCGTAATCAATTTAGCTGCAATCATTCAAGTATTGTAGCATGTGTCTCTGAAAGGCTGGTGACTCCATAAAGCCCTAACCAGAGTCCTTTTATTGTGGTAGGACCTGGTCTCGGTGGGTGAGGACAGTGGGGAAAGGGGCAGCGTCCAGCAGGGTGACCACCTGTGCGAAGGAGAAGAGAGACAAAGCACCTGGTGTTGGACCAGACAGGGGGCTCAGGACCTTGGGCTGCAGTTGACCACGTGAGGCCCTTAGCCTCCAGAGAAGGAGCTGGTTTAACATGACCCATGGTTGTGGAGACCTTGCTTCCTAGGTGGGGCTGCCGTGCCCCTACCATCCTCCCACATAAGCACGTTACAGAGATCTGTGGAGCCAAGGGGCTAGTTCACCAAAATAAGACCTGGCCGTGTCCACCACTCTGCTGGTCTGGCTGGGGCTGCCGTCACAGAGCCCCACAGCGGGGGCTGAGACCGCAGATGTGTGTCTCACACAGTTCTGGAGGCTGAAATCTGAGATCAAGGGTCACCGGAGTTGGCCCCTGGGGAGGACTCTCCTCCCGGCTTGTGGACGGCCGCCCCTTGTATTCCTGTGTGGCCTTTCTCCTGTGCACTTGGAGAGCTCTGGTGCCCCTGCTGGATCAGGACCCACCCTTATGACCTTCATCAGACTTGACTTCCCTCCTTAAAGGTCCTATTTCCAAATACAGTCACATGGGGATTAGGTTAGTATCTAAATTTGGGGGACACAGTTCAGACTGTAACAGTTGCTCTGCACAGCCCCGCTCGGTTACATCATAGATGTTTGCACACATCTGTGCACGTGAACTACGTGTTATCTGTTGCACATGCAGCGTTACTAAACAGGGTTCCCTTATACCTCCCGGGGTTCTCGGAGTGGCGTCTTCTCTTTTGCTGGGAACCTTGCCGCCTTTCCTCTCCCTGCCCCTCCCAGCCCGTGGGCCACCTGCTCTCTTCCACGCCTTCCTTTCTCCTCTGCTTGTGCAGCGGAAGGTTCTGCCAGCAGGGGAGTTAGTGAGCAGCCAGTGGAGGGTGTGCCCAGCCTTCCTGCTGCAGACCCGCCCCCAAGTCAACACGGACTTCCCTCCCTGCGCGCCAGAACTTTGCGTTGTTCTTAGTGGCATCTGGGGTCGAGGAGGGCGACTGTCAGCCAGTTGGGGGATGTTTTCTTCTTGGTCTCTCGGCTTCTGCTTCCCTGTGAGCTGGGCAGCCTCAGCCCAGGTCCTATCCGGTACTCAGCTGGCCTCGGTGTGCACAGCGCAGGCTTGAGTGCAGCCGTGGGGGCGGGCGGGGCAGAAGCAGGGCCCCTGGGAACAGCTGAGTCTGAAGGGTCAGAAGCCACGGCCCCTGTGGGGGGCTCTGGGGCAGCCAGGGGAGCTGCTCGTTAGTCGTCTCTGGGGCAGAAGGAAGGGACCTTCACCTGGGTTGGGACTGGGCCTGGGTCCCCAGTCTCACAGGGAGCTCGTCCTGATTGTACCTGCCCGGCTGTGACGGCTGAGCCCGGGCTCCTGGAGGCAAGGCCACCTCAGGCCTCCAGGGCCGGAGCCGCAAGGAGCTGCTGGGTTTCCACAGGGCCACGGGGGCTGCGGCCACACGGAGCGGGAGCACAGGTGGGAAGGGTGTCTGTGAAAAATGAAATCTGTTGCCGCTTCCTCTAGCTTAATTACTGGCATGGTGGTTGCAGAGTTGAAATGCAGCTTTAAAAGCCTTTGTGAGTAATTAGTGTCAAACACACAAGATCTACAAAGCCATAAACTCACAGCTTGGTGATATTACCAAGTACTAATTAAGAAAGAAAAAAGAAAATTCCCTTTCATGATCAAATTTTGAGCCCTGCCAAAGATGAAAAACAAGGCAATTTGCAGCCGATGGCGACGCCGGAGGGTAAGTGGCGTCCACAGGAAGATGGCGGCCGAGCGCGGCGAGCAGGCAGGGTCTGGTTGAGGGCTGGGGTGGTGACGGCGTGATTGTGCCTGGCTACCGGGTTCTCAGCCAGGCAGCACCTGATTCCCAGGAGAGATGGAATCCCAGCTCAGAAAGGGGAGACTCATGCGAGGGCAGAGGCAAGGCACCCGCCCAGAAGGATTGGGGGTCTCCCCATTTCACAGGTGGGGACACTGAAGCTGAGCTCACAGCCAGGAGAGGGACAGCAGAGTGACGGCCGAGACCATCTGCACTGCGAGGGAAGCAGCGCCCACCTTCCTTGGTGGTCCGGGAAGGCCGGACCGGCCCCTTGGGTCCCCACTGGCCTCAGCCACTGTGGGCTCGTCCAGCTTCAGGTAGGCGCCCGGCCACTCACCTGGGAGGCTCTGAGAACGACAGCTTCTGTCTCGTGAGTGACGTGGTGCCCGCTTTCATCCTGGGGCCCACAGCTGCCAGGAGAGGCCAGGCCGAGGTCAGGAGGCTCAGCAGCTGGTTCCATGACTTCCTCTTCGCTGAGGAGGTCAGGACAGAAGCTTCTAGATGACAGGCCGCCCAACTTGGTATAAAACAGCAAATTTCTGTGCCTGTGCTGTCGGGCTGTGAATGACTTCTCGTCTGTTTCATGAGATGCAGCTTCAGCCCAGGGAGCCATCAGATGCAGCCGGGCGAGACGCGGAGCCAAGAGCTGTCCTCGCCCCCCATGTGAGTGACTGGAGAGACGAAATTCTCAAAGTCTTGTCACTTACGGGGATATTTTTAACCCAGGACCAGGGAAGCACAGCTCTCATTGGTGGCCGAGTGCTCTGGCGCTTGGGCAGTGGGCAGCAGCCAGGTTATCGGGACGTGCTCAGGCCCAACAGGACCCCCAGAGCCGCACCTGCCCCCCACAGAGTAGAGCCGGCCCGGGAGCGGCCTTGGTCACATCTAATCCCACCAGCCGCCGACAGTGGAGAGCTGTGCCTGGCCCAGAGATGTGGGCATCACATCCAGGCTGCAAACACACGGGGACCACCTGGCCCCGCCAGGGTTCGCTCTATCCTGGCTTGGCCTGCATGGCCTCTCGCCGTCTGCATGGTCCACTCACCCGAGTCAGGGCTGGGGCATGCAGGGAGTGTGCAGTGACATTGGGCAGAGGGAGGCTGCTCAGGTCCAAGTAGGCAGAGAAACCGCATGCCCAGGCCGCTAAAACCTTGAACTGCAGGAGCCCTGAGCTGCTGTTGCTGTTTTATTGTTTTGTTTTGTTTTGTTGTCAGATGGAGTCTCATTCTGTTGCCCAGGCTGGAGTGCAGTGGTGCGATCTTGGCTCACTGCAACCTCTGCCTCCCGGGCTCAAGTGATTCTCCTGCCTCAGCCTCCCGAGTAGCTGGGATTACAGGCACCCGACACCATGCCTGGCTTTTTTTGTATTTTTAGTAGAGACGGGGTTTTGCCATGTTGGCCAGGCTGGTCTCGAACTCCTGAGCTCAGGTGATCCATCTGCCTTGGCCTCCCAAAGTGCTGGGATTACAGGTGTGAGCCACCGCGCCGGGCTTGTTTTACTGTTTATGACGCGGCTCTGCTGCCGCTAGGACAGATACTTGTACAGCCCGATTCAAAGACTGTGCAGAGGCGTCTCCCAGATACCCCAGGGTGCACTGCAGTCAAGGAAGGCTGCCTGGAGGAGGTGGCCTGGAGCTGGGGCTCACAGGTGAATTAGAGTTTGTCTGGCTGGGTTGGGGAGATGTTTCTGGCCTCAGGATCTCACGTGCTCATGCTCACCGGCTCCAGGGCACCCAGCGTGCAGGGAGAGCAGAGGGGTAGGCCTCGGGCTCCAGGCCAAAGTTGGGGAAAGAGAGTGTCAGACCTGGGCTTGGGGGACGACTCTGATGTCGTCCTCATGGGGGATGGTTGAGTAAAGGGTGGGGTGTGGCTCACTCGTCTGGCCCTCGCCCATGTGGAATGCCCACCGTGCTGGGCCCCGCTGCAGGTGCTGGACGCGCAGCAGTAATGCGGGGGTCCTGCTCCGCCTGGGCACATCTTCCAGCAGGGATTGGAGGGCCGATGGCCAGGCAGGGTCTGTGCTCTGTGTCTAGGTGGTTACGGGGGGAGGCGGGGAGCCTGGGCCTTGGCTGTGGGTGGACCTGTGGCTTGCTGACCTGGTGCCCAGCTGCCCCACCTCCCAAACTGTGAGAAGCCAGGACCAGCCCCATCCTCCATCCAGATGGTCTCTGACGTTGCCCTGGGAGCCGGGGGGGAGGGGTGGGGGATGTTCTAACTGAAGGGCCTGGGCGGCCTAGAGCCCTTCTGTATCTTCTGGCCAATGGTTTTATCTGGTCCACTGCCTCCCAAGCCTGCACATCCCATCACGCGCATTTAAACTGTTAAAAAGTTACTCCCTTGACTAAGCCGGAAATGCTCTCTATGGCCCTGTGGATCTGCGTCCAGTTCCCCACGACATTCCGTTTTTGGAGGCTTTGTGAAGAGGCTGGGGGTTTGTCAGCCCCACTCGGAAGCGAACAGGCTGGTTCCCCGCCCCAGTCCCAGCTTCTCCTGCGGGCAGCTGGCCTGAGAGCCAAGCACTCCCCAGGCCATGGCACCGGGTGGGCAGGACGCTTTCCTGCCAGGCAGGAGGCAGAGCCCTCCCTGGGACCCCGAGTGTCTGTCCTGGGTGGGGACTAGACAGTGACCACCACCTCGACCCCGGGCAAGCCCACCTAGCCCTGCCCCCCCACCAAGCCCTGCTCCACCTACACGAAGCTGCGGCCAGCCCCTTTTGCCCCCAACCTAAATGACTGAGAAGTCTGTTAGGGAGGGCCTCCCTGTCACTCTAAAGAGCAGGAACAGGACATCCCTGCCCCAGGGCACGGAGGCAGCTGGCCATCTGCGAGTGGGACCCGCCACGGTTGGCCAAGCTCAGGCCATATGAGCTGGGACTGGCAGGCAGTTCCTGGCTGCCTCAAATCTGGGGTCCAGACTCTCTGCTGACCTCCCAGAGCCCGGCGTGTCTTTGCACACTCTGTCCTTGTCCCCAGCCTCCTCCCCGCCCCAGGGTGTGCCTGGGACTTTAGGTAGTCTTACCTGTCAGTCATACTTTCTTCTCGGCCAGGGACTGTGGACGGCAGGACGTTCACCCCGTGGTCAGTGGCTGGGCCTTTCTCATGAAGCAGCTTGATTGAGATGTCATCTACAGAGCGTGCAGCCATCATCACAGTCTATCTTGGAATGAATGCCTTTATCACCCTGGAAGGAAACGTGCCCCATAGCCATCCCCTCCCAGCCATCGGCAGCCACTGTCTGTGTTCTGTCTCTAGACTCCCCTACCGGCAGTGTTGCAGGGAGATGGGCTCAGCGATGAGTGGTCTCTGGCGTCTGGCGTCTTTCACTGAACGTAAGGTTTTCACGGTTCGCTCACATTGGACCACGTGCTGACGCTCCATTTGTTACTGATGAATCATACAGTCTAGTGTGTGGATAGACCATGTTGTTTATCCGTTCATCCATTGATAGAACATTTGAATTGCTTCCGTTTAGGGCTATTACACACAGTGCCGCTGTGAACATTCGTGTACAAGCTTGTGTGTGGAAATGCATTTTTGTTTCTCTCGGGTGTACACCCATAAGAGGAAGTGCCGGGGTCACGTGGTAATTTAACGTTGAGCTTTGTAAGGAGCTGCCTCTTCTCCCAGGTTCTCCCCGTCCTCCCCAACACGCGCCACTGTCTGCTTTTATGATGCTTTTCCATCCCAGGGGCTGCGGGTGCCGCTGGGTTACAGGGTCCGTGAACCTCCTGAGATTCAAATGCAAAATGTGAAGTGGGTGTTGGCGTGGGTTTCGGGTAGAGGGACTGCAGCCCCTGCACGGGGTTAGGAATATGTTTCCCAGTCCAGGCAGAGCTACGCAGGAATCGCCTCTAGACACCCAAGAGGGAGCAGTTTTGTCTGGAGAAGTAGCCCACTGCCGTGTTTCACCAGGCTGGCCTGTGATAGCTGGACCTGCCCCGATGCCACCACCTCCTCCTGCCAGGGCTTCCCTGTTTGCTGAGTCTGCGTTATTGATGAGTCATCGTCTATATACACGCACCCGTGAGGCCGTCAAGGCAGTGAACAGACCCTTCGCCCCCAGATCCCAGGCCCTGTGCAGCCTGCCTTGCCCCTCCCACTGCAACCCGACCCCAAGCAGCCACTGATCCTTCTGTGTTTCCTGTCACCACGGGTTCATCCATGTTTTCTAGAGTTTCTGTAAGTGGAATCACGCAGTATCTAGCCTTTCTCGTCTGGCTTCTTCCACTAAGCGTAGTTAGTTTGAGATTTATCCATGTTGCTGTGGTATCAACAGTTTATCCCTTTACAGTCATACAGATAGACCACAGTGTCTTCATCCATCCAGATGTTGACGGGCATTCCGGTGGCTTCCAGCTTGGGGCTGTTGCAAATAAAGTGTACAGTGAACATTCACATGCAAGCTTTGCACGGACATTTATTTCTTTTCTCTTGGCTAAATCGGAGTGGAACTGCTTGATTGTGTGGTCGGTGCATGCTTAACTTTACAAGAAGTTGCCAAGCTGTTTTCCAAAGTGCCTGCACCATTTTCCATTCCTATCAGCAGTATAGGAGACTTGTAGTTTCTCCACACGGTCACCAGTACTTGACATGATCAGTCTTTTTAATTTCAGTCCTTCTAAGAGGTGACTGATGGCGTCTCATTGTGGTTTTAATTTGCATTTTCCTCATGACGAATGACACTGAGCATCTGTACCTGTGCCAACTTGCTGGTCTTCGCTGAAGTGCCTGTTCACATCTTCTGCTAATTATTTATGGGGTTCTATGTTTCCTTAATGAGTTTTGAGAGTTCTTTGTATACTCCAGATGCAAATCCTTCATCAAATATGTACATTGCTGGTGTTCTCTCCTTATATATGACATGTTTTTTCATTCTCTTAACAATGTCTTTTGAAGAGCAGACATTTTTAATTTTGATTAAGTCTAACTTACCCGTCTTTTATTTTATAGAGTGTGCTTTTGCTGTCGTATCTAAGAAATCTTTACCTAACCCAAGGTCACAAAGACTGCCTCCATTTTTTTTCTTCTAGAAGTTTTATAGTTCTAAATTTTACATTTGTGTTCATGATCCATTTTGAGTTTTTTTTTATATGGTGCAAGGTCTGGATTGACTCTTTTTCATTTTTTATTGCATATGAACGTCCAGTTACTCCAGTATCAAGATCATTCTTTTTTACTGAATAGCCTTTTGCATCTTTGTCAGCCTGCTAGGATTTTAATTGGAATTATGCTGACTCTATAGATCATTTTGGGGATAATTGACATCTTAATGATATGGAAACTTCTAATCTATGAACAGTTTCTCTCAGCAATGTGTTCTCATTTTCAATGTGCGGGTATCAGAGGCATTTGAACCAGAGTGACTCCATTTTGAATAAGGACTGGGTGAAATAAGACTGAGACCTACAGGACTGCTTTCCCAGAAGGTTAGGCGTTCATAGTCACAAGATGAGATAGGAGGTCCGCACAAGATGCAAGTCACAAAGACTTGGCTGATAAAACAGGTTGCAGTAAAGAAGCTGGCCCCAAACCCACCAAAACCAAGACAGCCATGAAAATGACCTCTGGTCAGCCAGGCGCAGTGGCTCATGCCTGTAATCCCAGCACTTTGGGAGGCTGAGGCAGGCAGATCATGAGATCAGGAGTTCGAGAACAGCCTGACCAACATGGTAAAACCCCATCTGTACTAAAAATACAAAAATTAGCCGGGCATGGTGGTGCATGCCTGTAATCCCAGCTACTCAGGAGGCTGAGGCAGGAGAATTGCTTGAACCCAGGAGGCAGAGGTTGTAGTGAGCTGAGATTGCGCCACTGTACTCCAGCCTGGGCAGCAGAGTGAGACTCCGTCTTAAAGAAAGAAAAAAGAAAGTGACCTCTGGTCATCCTCACTGCTCATTATACTGTAATTATAATGCATTAGCATATGACACGACACTCCCACCAGTGCCATGACAGCTTACAAATGCCATGGCAATGTTAGGAAGTTCCCCTATATGGTCTAAAAGGGGGAAGAACCCTCAGTTCTGGGAATTGCCTACCCCTTTCCAGGAAAACTCATGAATAATCCACCCCTTCATTAGCATATAATCAAGAAATATAGTATAAGTGTTAGTCGAGCAGCCCACGTCACTGCTCTGCCTATGGAGTAGCCATTCTTCTGTTTCTTTACTTTCCTAATAAACTTGCTTTCACTTCACTGTATGGACTCACCTCAAATTCTTTCTTGTGTGAGATCCAAGAACCCTCTTTTGGGGTCTAGATTGAGACCCCTTCCTGATAACATAGGTATTTCACATCTTTTTCAGATTTATCCCAAGTATTTTAGATTTTGATATTATTATAAAAGGGTTTTGTTTTTACATTTAATTTCTGTTGCTACTATATAAAAACAATTCATTTGTATATTGATCTTTTTATTTTGCAACTTCGCTAAACTCATGTGTTAGTTCCAGTAGCTTCTTAGTATATCTGATGGGATTTTCTCCTTAGACAATGATATTATCTGTAAGTACACTTGCAGTTCCACTTACCCACACTGGATGCTTGTGAAGTTCCTTGTTCTTGTGTTATTTCAGTAGCTAGAACCTTCAGGATGATGCTGAATACAAGCAGTGAGAGTGAACATCCTTGTCCTGTTTCAGATCTGAGGGAGAAGCATCCAATCTTCAGCCATTAAGTGTGGTATTCTCTGTACGTCGTTCATAGATACCCTTTCTCAGGCTGAGGAAGTTCTCTTCTAATCATAGTTTGCTGAGATTTTTTTTTTTTTTTGAGGAATGCCTGTTGGGTATGATCAGATGCTTTTTCTGCATTTATTGAGTTGATCATATGGTTTTCCTTTTGTACTTTGTTAATATGTGGAATTACTTTGATTTTCTAGGGTTAAACCAACCTTGTATTCTTAGGATAAACCCCACTTAGTCATACTACATTATCCTTTTTATATGTTATTGGATGTGAATTGCTAACCGTTTTGTTTTGAATTTTTGCATAAATATTCCTTAGGGTTGTTCCATAGTTTTGGGGGGGTGCGGCTTGTAATGTCTTCTGATTTGTATATCATAGTAATGTTGGTCTCACAGAGTGAGTTGGAAAGCATTCCTCCTCTTCAGTTTTCTTAAAGAGTTCATGTAGAATTCTTGATTAAAACAAACTGGAAGAAAAGAGTTAATGTAGAATTGATATTATTTCTTTTTTAAATAGTTGATCCAATTCATCAGTAAACCCATTGAACCTTGAAGTTTTCTTCCTGAGGTTTTAACTACACATCAGTGTCTTGATAGACATAGAGTTATTCACATTGTCTTTTTCTTTTGTGGTGAGCTTTAGTAGTTTGTATCTTCAGAAGTTTGTCCATTTTATCTGTTTTCAAAGGTATTGGCATAAAGTTGTTCATAATTTCTCTTACTACCCTTTTAACATCTGTAGGATCTGTAGTGCTATCATCCCTCTTCTTCCTGATGTTAGTAACTTGTCTCTTCTCTTTTATTCCAGGTCAGTCTGGCTAGAAACAGCTTTGGGTTTTATTATTTATACTGCTTTTTTGTTTTCTTTCACCATTGTTGCTTTGATCTTTATTTTCTTTCTTCTGCTTACTTTGTCTAATTTGCCCTTCTTTAGTTCCTTAAGGTCGAAGCTGAAGTCTCTGATTTGAGACCTTCTTTTTTTAATGTGGACATTCAGTGCTATAAGTTTCCCCCTAGTTTCTGCTCTAGTGGCATCCCACAAATTCTGATATTTTGTTTTTATCTTCATTCAGTTCAAATCACTTACTAACCTCCCTTTTGATTTCTTCTTTGACATATGGGTTATTTAGAAGTGTGTTAGTTTCCACATTTTTTGAAAATCTCCAGATGCCGTTCTGTTACTAATTTCTCATTTAATTTCATTATTGTCAGAGAACATTCTCGGAACGGTCTGAATCCTTCTACTTTTTTTTGGAGACAGAGTCTCATTCTGTCACCCAGGCTGGAGTGCATGGCACGATCTCAGCTCACTGCAACCTCTGCCTTCCAGGTTCAAGTGATTCTCCTGCCTCCTACCTCAGCCTCCCGAGTAACTGGGATTTCACCATGGGGTTTCACCATGTTGGCCAGGCTGGTCTCGAACTCCTGAGCTCAGGTGAACCACCTGCCTCGGCCTCCCAAAGTGCTGGGATTACAGGCGTGAGCCACTGCATCTGGTCACATTTCTTGAAATTTGTTTTAAGGTCCATCCAGAATGTTACTGCCTTGGTAAATGTTGTGTGTGTACTTAAAATCTGTGTGTATCCTGTATCCCACTGGAATGTGCTATATTGATGTCAAGTAGCTGACATTTTTAATAATGTTTGCAAAGCTTCTATATCCTTGCCAATTTTCTGTCTTCCTGTTCTATCAGTTATTGATAGATGAATATTGACATCTCTGACTATAATTACAGATTTCTCTATTCCTTCTTGCATTCCAGTTTTTGTTTCATATATAAATGGACGCTTTTATCATTATGAAATGACCTTTATTGCTAGTAATATTCTTTGCTCTGAAATCTACTTTGTCTGATACAGAGCTGCACTGTCAATAAGCAACCTTGGGTATATCGCGCATTTGGTTCCAGATCACTGTGATTAAACCAATATCACAATAAAGCAAGTCCCATGCATTTTGTTTCCCAGTGCATATAAAAGTTATGTTTATCCTATACTATAGTCTGTCAAGTGTACAATAGCATTATGTCTTTAAAAAACAATGTACATGTCCTGATTTTAAAAATACTTTATTGCTTAAAAATGCTAACGATCACCCAAACCTTTAGCCAGTTGTAATCTCTTTGCTGGTGGAGGTTCTTGCTTTGATGGTGATGGCTGCTGACAGATCAGGGTGGTGGTTGCTGAAGGTTGGGGTGGCTGTGACAGTTTCTTAAAAACACCAATGGGCTGGGTGCTGTGGCTCAAGCCTGTAATCCCAGCACTTTGGGAGGCTGAGGCAAATGGATCACTTGAGGCCAGTAGTTCGAGACCACCCTGGCCAACATGGTGAAAACCTGTCTCTACTACAAACACAAAAATTAGCCGGGCATGGTGGCACGTACCTGTAATCCCAGCTACTTGGGAGGCTGAGGCACGAGAATCGCTTGAACCTGGGAGGTGGAGGTTGCAGTGAGCTGAGATCGTGCCACTGCACTCCAGCCTGGGCAACAGAGCACGACTCCATCCCCCCACCAAAAAAAAAAAAAAAAAAAAAACAGCAATGAAGCTGGCCACATTGATTGACTCTTCCTTTCATGAAAGATTTCTCTGTAGCATGCAATGCTCTCTAAAACCATTTTACCTACAGTAGAACTTCTTTCTATCTTGGAGCCAATCCTCTCAACCCCTCAAACTGCTTTATCAACTAAGTTGATGTACTTTGCTGTCATTTTTCAACAATGTTCACAGCATTTTCACCAGGAGCAGATTCCATCTCAAGAAACCACTTTCTTTGTTCATTCATAAGAAGCAGCTCCTCATCCATTCAAGCTTGATCATGAGATTGCAGCAATTTAGTCACATCTTCAGGCTCTGCTTCTAATTCTAATTCTCTTGCTATTTTCACCACATCTGTCCATCTTCCTCCACTGACCTCTTCTTGAACCAAGTCATCCAGGAGGGTTGGAACCAACTTCTGCAAACTCCTGTTAATGGTGATACTTTGACCTCCTCTCATAAATCACTGATGTTCTTAATGGCATCTAGAATGACAGCTCCTTTCCGGAAGGTTTTCAGTTGTCTTTGCCCAGATTCATTAGAGGAAGCACTCTGTGACAACTATAGCCTTACAAAATGTATTTCTTAAATAATAACACTTGAAAGTCAATTGTCCCTTGATCTAGGGACCACAGGATGGATGCTGTGTTAGCAGTCATAGAAACAACGTTCATCTCCATCAGAGCCCAGTAACTAGTTGCATTGTCAGTGAGCAATAATATTTTGAAAGGAATTTTGTTTTCTGAGCAGGAGGTCTCAACAGTGGGCTTAAAATATTCAGTGCACTGTGCTACGTTTGAACAGATGTGCTGTCATCCAGGCTTCGTTGTTCCACTGATAGAGCACAGACAGAGAAGACTTAGCATCATTCTTAAGGGCCCCAAGAGCTCATTTACCATCTCCATATTAGCAGTAAGCCTGTTCTGCTTTCTTAACATTCATGTGTTCGCTGGAATAGCCCTTGTGATTTCCTTTACGAACTTCTCCTTTGCAGGCTAGCTGTGTGGTGCAAGAGACCTAGCTTTTGGCCTCAGTTTTCAACATGCCTTCCTCACTAAACTTAATTATCTCTAGCTTTTGATTTAAAGTGAGAGACATGTGAGTCTTCTTTCACTTGAACACCTAGAAGCCATTCTAGGGTTATTAATGGGCCTGGTTTCAATATTGTTGTGATGGTCGTGTCTCAGGGAATGGGGAGGCCTAAGGAGAAGGAGAGAGATGGGGGATGGCTGGTCAGTGGAGCAGTCAGAACACACACATTTATCAGTTAAGTTTGCTATCTTATGGGCACTGTTTGTGGAGCTCCGAGACCATTACAATGGTGACATCAAAGATCACAGATGACAGACTACCATAAAAGATATACTAATAATGAAAAAGTTGGAAATATATATGACACAGACATGAAGTGAATCCACGCTTTTGGAAAAATAGTGCCAATAGACTTGCCAGACACAGACCTTAAATTTGTAAAAAATGCAGTGTCTGTGAGGCACAGTCAGGCAACGGATGAAGCAAGGTGTGCTCATGTGAACACGGCGAAATGTGAGCACACTGTATCTGCTTCACGTTACTTTTAATCTACTGCGTCTTCATAGTTAAAATGTGCTTCTTAAAAGCAGGATATAGCTGAGTCTTAAATGTGCATAAAATCTGACATTCTCTGCCTTTTCACTGGGCCATTTACATTTAAATTGATTACTACTTTGATTAGATAAGTCTATCATCTTGTTATTTGTTTTCTGTTTGTCCTGTCTGTCCTTTGTTCTTTTTTCTTCCCTCTTTTTCTGCCTTTCTTGGATTGAATTTTTTACAAGTTCATGTGCCTCCTTTTTTGATTTGTTAACTGTATTTTTTACAGGTTGTGTTAGGATTTAGGGCACGTAGATCTTTAACTTAACACAGTCATCCTCGAATGATACGACACCACCTTACGTGTAGTGTGAGAACCTGACAGTCACATACTTCCAGTCTTCTCCTTCCTGCCTTAGTCGTCTGCTTATAATATATTTTATTTATGCACATGATAAACCCCACAATACTTTGTTTTTATTTCTGTTTAGTCAGCTATCTTTGAAAGAGATGTAAATAATAATTGTAAATGTTGTATATGTCTGCATATGCAGCTCCCACCCCTCATTCATGGAAGGAGTAGGGCTGTTCTTCCTTCTTCTTGTGTAGGCCCATGTTTGTTTTTATTTATTTATTTATTTTTTTGAGGCAGAGTCTCACTGTGTCACCCAGGCTGGAGTGCAGTGGCGCGATCTCAGCTCACTGCAACCTCCGCCTCCCAGGTTAAAGCGATTCTCCTGCCTCAGCCTCCCGAGTAGCTGGGATTACAGGGATGTGCCACAACACGTGGCCAATTTTTGTATTTTTAGTAGAAACAGGGTTTCACCATGTTGGCCAGGCTGGTCCTGAACTCCTGACCTCAGGTGATCCTCCCACCTCGGCCTCCCACAGTGCTGGGATTACAGGCGTGAGCCACCGGCCTGGCCTGTTGTGTAAGCCCCTGTTTGCATCCTCATTTTCCTTCTGTCTGAAGGGCTTCCTTTAATATTCTTGCAGTGTGAATCAGCTGCTTTTTGGGATATTTTAAGCTCTTGCACACCTGAAGAAGTCTTTATTTGGGGGGAGATATTTCCACTGGGTGGAGAATTCTGGGCTTTGTCTTTCTGTACTTTACAGAGGTGATCTCACTGTCTTCTTAATTCCATTATTTCCTCTGAGAAGTCTGCTGTCATCCTCATCTTTGTTCCTCTGTCAGTAAATTGTCTTTTCTTCCTCTGACTGCTTTTAAGATTTCATCTGTACTACTGGTTTTGACCAGTTTGATTATGATGTACTTTGTGTACTTTAATGTTGTTTCCTCCCCCTGCCTTTTTTTTTTTTTTTTTTTTGGTGGGGGGGTGGTTAGGGTTCTTTGAACTTCTCAGATCTCTCAGTTTACACTTTTCCACACATTTCAGAAAATTGGGGCCATTACTTTTTCAAGACTCTTTGCTGTCCCCACCACTGGCGACCAGTCCTTGAATAACATCGCTGCAGAACTCAGTGGCTCATGGCTTCTGGGGTCAGGAATCCAAGTGTGGCTGAGCTGGCTCTCTGCTCAGAGACCTCACAAGCCACGGTCCTCTTGGCTCTGCTGGGGAAGGTCCCACGTCCAGGTACACCCATGTGGCCGTCAGAAGGATTCTGCTTCTCATCCGTGGTTGGGCTGCCGCGCTGGGTTCCTATGGCAGCTCCTCGCCATGTGGGCAGCTCACGCACGGCAGCTGGCGTGTCAGAGCTCTGAGAACCAGGGTGGGAGCCGCAGAAGTCACGGCTGCCGTGACGTGACTGCAGAGGGGAAGCCAGCACTTGCGCCACACTTTGCATCAGCTGTAAGTCACGCTGAAGGGCTGGCGCTGATGCGGGTGATGCCTGGAGGTGGGGACCATCAGGAGCCATTTCAGAAGTGCCACCAGCCTGCCTCCGGGACTCCTGCCCCACGTGTCAGGCCACGTGACGTCACCCCACAGCCCACGCCCGATGTGCTGCCTCCTTTATATTTATCTTTCCGTTTTTTTCCTTTTTGTTTGTATGCACTTTTCTTTCTTTTTCTCATCTGTTTCATCTCGGACGGTTTCCGTGGTTGTATCTGCAGCTTCACTGATCCTGTTTCCGCAATGTCTGATCTGGCATGGATCCGTCCCCCGCACTTGTTGTCTTCATCCTTAGAAGGTCAATTTGGCTCTTTTTTGTCCCTTTTATGTCTGTCCTCAACTTTTTGGGCATATGGAGCAAAGTTACAGTGACTTAATGTGATCTGCCGCTTCTGACGTCAGGTCAGCCCTAGGTTTGTTTCACTCAGCTGATTTTCTCTTTGTTGAGTGCTGCGAGGCTGTGTGTGCATGTGTGCGTGTGCCTGTGCATGCACGTGTGTGTGTGTGTGTTCCTATAAATATTCGTGAGCTCTGTTCGGAGACACAGTTCAGGTACTTGGAAACAGCCTGGTTCTCTGGGTCTCGGTTTAGGAAATGTGAGGTGGGAGCAGGGCAGCGTCTGTCTGGGGCTCACACCACCCCTTGCTGAGGGGTGTCCATCTCAGTGCTGTGCCCTGGAGCCGCCTAGTTCGCAGGCTTTCCCGCGAGGCTGCCGGAGACAGGCACTGCTCCAGCCCAGTGTGAGCTTCAGGCGCCGTTTTCTGGGTTTTTCTCTCTAATGCTCCAGGTTTTCTCAGCCTCTCACCAAGCACTCCAGCGAACTCAGCCCTCTTCTCTGGCACTCTGTTCTGCGCCCTGGCTCCAGCTCCAGCCCTGTCCCTCAACTCAGGTCCCCCGAGGCCCTGCCTGGGCTGTGACCGTCTCCCCAGGCTCGCCCCGTCTCTCAAGGCCCACCACCCTTCCTGACTGAAAACTGTTGTTTCACATTTGATGCCTCATATTCTGGCTGTTTCAGATGGCAGGTGCATCTGTCCTTGTGGCTCTGTCTCGGCCGGAAGCTGCCGGCCGCCCTCTGAGGTGGGAAAATAGGCATTTTGTCTCCATTTTACATTCAGGAAACTTCAGCTCAGAGAGACAAACTGATGGGCCCCAGGGCCCACAGCAGATAAGAGGGGCAGCCTCACAGGAGGGCGGGCCTGCATCTCCGGCCCTCCTCACCCCGCATCCCCAGCATCACATTGCCCTAAGCGTGGCGCTCCACGAAACGTCACCCCCAGCAGCATGGGCCTCGCCTGGGTGGGAGGTGAAAAGGCGCAGAGGCTGCTGACGTCCTCTCCTGTTCTCATTCGGCTACATCTGGAAAGGGTGGTGCTGTCTAGCCTGGGCCCAGGAGGGGAGGACCCCACAGCCAGGCAGGGCTCAGGAGGGGAGGACCCCACAGCCAGGTGGGGCTCAGAAGGGGAGAACCCCACAACCGGGCCGGGCTCAGGAGGGGAGGACCCCACAGCCAGGCGGGGCCCAGGAGGGGAGGACCCCACAGCCAGGCGGGGCCCAGGAGGGGAGGACCCCACAGCCAGGTGGGGCTCAGGAGGGGAGAACCCCACAGCCAGGCGGGGCCCAGGAGGGGAGGACCCCACAGCCAGGCGGGGCCCAGGAGGGGAGGACCCCACACCCAGGCCGGGCCCAGGAGGGGAGGACCCCACACCCAGGCGGGGCCCAGGAGGGGAGGACTCCACAGCCAGGCGGGGCCCGGGAGGGGAGGACCCCACACCCGGGCCGGGCTCAGGAGGGGAGGATCCTACAGCCAGGCGGGGCCCAGGAGGGGAGGACCCCACACCCGGGCCGGGCCCAAGAGGGGAGGACCCCACAGCCAGGCGGGGCTCAGGAGGGGAGGACCCCACAGCCAGGCCGGGCTCAGGAGGGGAGGACCCCACAGCCACGCGGGGCTCAGGAGGGGAGGACCCCACACCCGGGCCGGGCTTAGGAGGGGAGGACCCCACACCCGGGACGGGCTCAGGAGGGGAGGACCCCACACCTGGGCGGGGCTCAGGGAGCCACTGGGCGAGGGCTGTGCTGCAGCTCCTCCCTCCTCACCTGCGTGCCTGAGCTGAGCACCTGTCCTGCCTGCCCGCGGCGTCCCCTTTCTTCCCTTAACCTTCAATGTGCTCTGCGCTCCTGCTGCCCTCGGGGCCAGTCCCTGTCTTTTAACCCACACTCAGCCCCTTCTCCCTCCTTCTCCATCCCCGCCACCTCCTCTAACTCATCCCTGTGGCCTCCATGCCCTTCCACGGCCCTTGGAGCCGCCCGTGGCGGATGCCACTCACAGCAGGGGCTGCTCAGGCCGCCCCACCCCGAGCTGGCGCCCCCACTCCCTCGGCTCCCCTCCGGCTGCGGCTGCAGGAGCAGCTGCGTGTGGCTGTAAAGCAGAACGCCCGTGTGCGAGGGGGAGCTGTATAAATAGAATAATAATAATAATAATTGTTGGTTTGGGATTTTTCTGCGACTGCTGGGGTGCCTGGCCTTGCCCGCCCCGCCAGTCACTCTTGAAGGAAAGGTCACCCTCGCCGGGAAGATAAACCCCAATAACGCTGGTATAATTAGCACAGGCAGTATTTAGATGCTTTCCTCGGTACAATTAGGCAGGAATAATTGGCTGAGCTATTTTCCCCATGCCGGACACACTTTTTGCCAGCTTCCGTTCTTTGGAACTTCATGCCGGGACATTTGTTCTCGGCATTCTGTCCAAGCTGTCCTGACCCAGTTGCCACCAGGCCCTCAGCACGGTGCTCACGCGGCAGCATCTGCGAGGCCTCCTTTGGGCCCGGCTGTGTCGCCTCCCCCGAGGGACGCTGGAGGGACAGTGCGGCAGAGAGGGGTGGGAGCTGAGGGTCGTGCACACAGCAGGGTGTCCTGGGGTCAAACCTGGACCTCTGGACCAGGAGCTCCGAGGAGCTGAGCTGGGCTGGGCCTGGAGCTGGGGGGCCTGTGCAGGGTGGGGCTGGGCCGGCCATGGGCATCCATGAGGGAGTGAGGCCATGAGCGGGGGAGTCAGGCATAGGCTGTAACAAGTCCTGTGGCCAGCCTGGAGGAGGAGTCCCTCGGCTGCGGTAATACACCAGAGGCGAGAAGCTTGCTCTCTCCCTCCTCAGAGCGCGGACAGGCCAGGCAGTGACTATCAGGGCTCGGCGGTGGCTGCTGCTCCTGGATCACCCTCGGGCCTTGGATGTGCAGCAGGCAGGCTGGCCCCACAGCACCTGAGACTCCTGTGCAGAGCCCAGCTGTGAGGTGTGAGGCTGCCAGGAGTCCTCGGTATCCCGGTCTAACAGGTTGTGTAGACCACGGTAGCACCAGCCATTTTCACGCTGTACCCAGCAGGCTCAGCACGGTCTTGACGTTATCACGCCCGAACTTTGGGATACAGATCACTGCTGCCGAGGTCATGAAGCCAAGCTGGGACTGTGCTAACCCCAGGGCTGGGACTGTGCCGGCCGCCAACCCCGCCCGGGGCTGGGACAGTGCCGACCGCCAACCCTGGGGCTGGGACTATGCTGACCTCCAACCCCGGGGCTGGGACTGTGCTGACCTCTAACCCCGGGGCTGGGACTCTGCTAACCTCTAACCTCCAGCAGCACCCGCTGGGATGAGGGCACACATTACCCAGGTTTATCACCTCTGGACCCTGATGCCATGGTCCAAGGCCTTCAGCCCCTGAGACTTTTTAGGGAAGGGAGGGCAGCCCTGGCCGTGGAGGCTCGTGCAGAGTTGTGTGCATGGTGAGACTGCCCAGCACTGTTCACAGGCGCTCAGACGGGCACCGCAAAGACCCGTGGACAGACAGAGCTGTGCCCCACCTGGGATTCGCACAAGCCCAACCTGGGTGCCCTGGCCACTGGGTGCCGAGGGGCATGGGCCCGTGTCTCTCACACCTCAGCAGCAGCCCTATGACAGGTGGCCTCAGCGGACTCTGCTGTGGCCACCTGACCAGCGCCACCCACCCCAACCAGCTGGCTGGGCTCACGCTGTGACCCACGCCTGGCGTCTGTGGTGCCACCAGCCAAGATGCCAGCCATGACGCCAGCGTGGCACCCCAAGCCCAGGACATCTGGGGCAGGTGGGTGGGCAGCACCGGCCTCAGCAGCCCACAGAGGGGCCTCCCACAGAGTGTCTGGAGACGCTCCAGGCAGACGGGCAGACGAGCAAGACGCCTGAGGGTTGCAGGCCAGGTGGATAAGGATTGGGGCTTGCATGTGTCCGCAGTGGGGAACCCGTGTGCTCAGCGGCCTGTCTCGAAGCTGTTCCGCTCTTGCAGATATAATTTAGATATACATTTTTCCTAATTACAAATATGCAGCATATAAAAAAATCTGGAAAATGCAGAGAACCATGAGTCACTTTCCATCCCAACACTCCGAGTTAACCGCCATTAACATTTTGAAGATTTTCTAAGGGTCCTTTTGCACTCTGTGAGTGTGGGTGTGAGAGTGTGTGTCGTGCTGCAGTGTGAACTTGAAGGGTTTTCTCACCCCTGAAGTTCAAGGCTGACTCTCGGCGGACGCTGCTGAGTCTTCTCCCCGGCTCGCCCCATGTGTGCATGAAAGTGCCTGGAATGCGTCAGATTCTCAACTTGAGAAGCCCGGAGAGTCTTTTGAAGTTGAAAACACTGATTTCCTTACAGCCTCAAGACAAAAAAAAATCTCCCCTTCGCTGGCTTTGAGAGCAGGTGTCTTCTACAAGCGAGGTTCACAGGGACCTGTGGCTGCCCCGGCAGATGCCAGCCAGGCACGCCCATCTCCTCTCCCACGGGTCCTGGTGGGGGAGCCTCTGTGGGAAGCCTGGGGGCTCCGGGGCCTGGCAGACAACCAGTCCTGCTGCAGCGAGGTGGGGACAAGGCCGGGAGCAGCTCACTTCCCAGTAGAGGCCATCCGATGGCACCAGGGCACGGGGCAGCTGCCGTCCTCATGGCCCGGGGTAACGTGGGCACAGGGTTTCCTCATCCCACTGTGCTCGGTGTCTCCCCTGAGCCCGGTGATTTTACGCACCTGACTTTGTTAGTCTTCTCGGCAATGCCCAGCATGCAGACCAGGCTCAGAGAGGTGTGTCGGTGTGCCCAGGGTCACGCAGCTTCCTGGTGGCCAAGCCGAGGTTAGAAGCTAGTTCTGGTGGGTGTGAAAGCCCCCGACGTCGGCAGCTCTGCCACCAGGCCCACACAAGCAGGTGGTGTAAGAGGGGAGGTGTTGGGGCCGGCAGTGCTCAAGTCAGGATCGAGCCGTCTATCTGGAAGGTCGTCGAGGGTGTGTGGTGGTGGCTGGGAGGTGGTGGCAGGCTAACTACCTGCCGTTTTCCTGCAGTGCCTAGGCCCAGGAGAGGGAGCAGCCCCCAGTCAGGACCCAGCTGCAGGACACCCCATCCTCATGCACCTTGCTTCCCGCTCTCCCTCCCCCCACAAATGGGCTCCCAGCATAACTTCCCCCAAGGGCTCCTTTCCTCTCCTCTCCCCACACACAGCCCTGCTCGGGAGTGGCGCTTGCAGCACACCAAGGACAGGAGGATTGGGCTTCAGGGAAGCAGGCGCCTGGAGCTGTGTCCAGTTAGGTGCATGGCGCTTGCAGATCTGAGCATGGAATATTCATGCCTCCCCCAGCCCAGCAGCTGCGGCTTCTCATCTGGAACAAGGGGGTGCTTCTCCCAGGAAGGCCAGTGGGAGCAGGGGTGTGTCTGAGAACGCCGGGCGCTCTGCCCTCACGATGGCTGCTGATGCCACAGCCCCGGCCTCTGTGCCCAGGCCACTCTCCAGCCTGGTGAAGTCTGTTCTGGGAAAAGAGAGAAGCAAGACAGATGTGGGCCTTGCCCTGTGGGGCCAGGGCACGGGCAGGAATCCCACTTGGGGTTAAGACGCTGCAGTCACCCCCCTCCGGGTTCTGTGCACTGGCCCCTCCAGGTGCTGGGGTCCTCTGTGGCCGTGGCGTTCTAGGAGAGATGGGCAGGGAGACGCTGGCGCCCTGTTGTGTAGCTTGTCCTTGTGTCTGCTTCACAGGCTCTTCCACTGTGCAATTTCCTAAAATTTTGGCGAGGCCCATTTATCCATTTTAATTTTATTCTATGGATTGTGCTTTGGTGTTGAGTGTCAGAGCTCTGCCTCATCCAGATCCTGAAGATTTCTTTTTTAAAATAATTCTGTGTTTTACATGTAAGTTCATGATACAGTTTGAGTTAAATTTTATATGAGATGTGAGGTTTCGGTCAAAAAAAAATTTTTTTTTAACTAAGTGTGTCCAGCTGCTCCGGCTCCAGCTGTAGCAAAGACAAGACTGCCCCTCCTCCACTGAAGCACCTTTGTGACTTTTTTGTGACTTTTCTGTATCGATTAATAGGATCATATGTTGTTTATTCTTTAGCCTGTTGATATAGCAGATTACATTGATTGATTTTCAAATACCAAGCTAGCCTCGTACACCTAAACTAAGTCCCACTTGGTCACGGCATAATATTCTCTGTTAGAAAGTGGCCTGGACACGTCTGTGGGTCTCTTTCGAGTTCCTCTGTTCTGTTCCGCTGGTCTCCACATCTCCCCTCCAGCGCTGCCCCAGCCATGTCTGTCTGATGTAGGAGCTGTATAACGCTGTGCTGTAGCTGTACAGTTCTCAACATCAGGAAGGGCAATTCCCCTACTCTTCTTTTTTGGAATGGCTTTCCATATACATTTTAGAATAATCTTGTGTCTCTCTACCAAAAAAAAAAAAAAAAAAAAGATGCTGGCCAGGCATGGTGGCTCACACCGGTAATCCCAACACTTGGGGAAGCCAAGGCAAAAGGATCGCTTGAGCCCAGGAGTTGGAGACCAGCCTGGGCAACACAGGGAGACCCCATCTCTATGAAAAAAACACAGCCATGAGTGGTGGTGCGCACCTGTAGTTACAGCTACTTGGCACGTTGAGGCAGGAAGATTGCTTGAGGCTGCAGTGAGCCAAGACCACACCACTGCACTCCAGCCTGGGTGACAGAATAAGACCCTCTTTCCAAAAAAAAAAAAAAAAAAAAAAAAAAAAAATATATATATATATATATATATATATATATATGCTGAGGTTTAGACAGCAATTACCTTAAAACCAAAGATCAATTTTGGAAAAATTGATTTACTATAAGTCTTCCAGTTCATAAACATTGTATCTATTTATACAAACATTCTTTTGATTCCTTTCATCAGTATTTCCTAACTTTCTGCAAACAGACACTATACAAGTTTTTGTTAGATTTATACCCAAGTATTTAAGATGTTCTGTAAATTATATTGCCTTTTAATTTTGTTTTTCACTTGTTTGCCATTGCTTTATAGAAATGTGGTTAATTTTTGTATGTTCATCTTATTTCCTGCAACCTTCGTGAACTCACTTAGTGTTCGAGGAGTTTTCTGCAGATTGCTCAGGATTTTCTACATGGGCTGTCACGTCATTCTAGGAGTTTTCTGCAGATTGCTTAGGGTTTTCCACGTGGGCCGTCACGTCATTCTAGGAGTTTTCTGCAGATTGCTTAGGGTTTTCCACGTGGGCCATCATGTCATTTGCGAGTAGGGACAGTTCTGTTCTTTTCCAATCCCTATGCTGCTGCTTTCCTTTTCTTACCTGCATGCCCTGGCGTGAGGAGCTCCCATGCTGGGTTGAGGATGAGTGGGGAAAGCCAGCTCTCCGCTGACCGAATGAGGGAAGGCGGCCAGACTCCTCCGTGAAGCAGCGTGAGCTGAGGGTTCTTCATGGTGCTTTTTACCAAGTCGGAGGACTTTCCCTTGATTCCTGCTTTGCAAGAGTTCTTGTCAGGAATGGAGATTAAATTTTGTCAAATGCTTTGCCTGTGTCAATAGGATCATATCATTGTTTTCCTTTAGCCTGTTGATAGGGTGAATAACATTGATTGATTTTCAAATTTGAACTAGCCTTCGTTGTACACCTAAACTGAATCCCACTTGGTCAGGGTGTGATACTCTTTTTCGTAGATTGCTGGATTCCATTTGTTAGTACTTGTTGAGTATTTTTGCATCTAAGTTCATGAGAGACTGATACTTATTTTTCTGTGTGTGCGCACCATCCTTGTTGGTTTCAGTACAAGGTTAATAGTGGAAAGGTGTTTCCCTGTCTTTTGTTAACTGAAAAAGGATTGTGTAAAATTGGTATTAATTCATATTTAATGTTCGGTAAAACTTTCTAGTGAAACCATCTGGGACTGGAGATTTTGAGTAGCATTTTAATTACAACAAACTCGATTTATTTAATGGTTATAGGACTACCGAGGCTATTTTATCTTGGCACGTTTTGGTAGTATGTGGTTTTCGACGAATCCGTCCAGTTCGTTATGAGCATCAAGTTTTGTTGTAGTATTTTTTATTGTTATTTTAATAGCTTCTGGATCTATTATAATATTTCCATTTCATTTCTGATATTGGTCATTTCACTCTCCCCCCTTTCTTTTTTTTGAGATGAAGTCTTGCTGTGTTGCTCAGGCTGGAGTACAGTGGCATGATCTCGGCTCACTGCAAGCTCTGCCTCCTGGGTTCATGCCATTCTCCTGCCTCAGCCTCCCAAGGAGCTGGGACTACAGGCACCCACCACCACACCCAGCTAATTTTTTGTATTTTTAGTAGAGATGGGGTTTCACTGTGTTAGCCAGGATGGTCTCGATCTCCTGACCTCGTGATGCCCTGCCTTGGCCTCCCAAAGTGCTGGGATTACAGGCGTTCCCCCTTTTTAATCTTTGTCAGTTTTGCGAGGGGTTTATCAATTTATTGTTGCTGGTCTTTTTAACAAATTTTTGAGACAGGGTTTCACTCTGTTGCCCAGGCTGGAGTGCAGTGGTGTGATCATAGCTCACTACAGCCTCAAACTCCTAGGCCCACGTGATCCCACATACCTGGGGCTACAGGTATATGCCACCACACCTGGCTGATTGATTATAGAGATGGGGTCTCACTGTGTTGTCCAGGCTGGTCTCAAACTCCAGGGCTCAAGTGATCCTCTCACCTTGGCCTCCCAAAGTGCAAAGATTACAGGTGTGAGCCCCTGCTCCTGGCCGGCCTTATTGCTATTTTTTAAAGAACCAGTTTTTGGTTTTAATAACTGTCTTTTGTTTTCCTATTCATTCCTACTTTTATTATTTCCTCCTCCTGCTTCGGGCTTGTTTCTCCCTGCGTTTCTTGAAGTAGGAATTTAGAGAAGCAATTTGAGATCTTTCTCCTTTCCTGATACTGGCATTGAGTGCTGTCTGTTTCCCTCTAAGCACTGCCTTGGGTGCGTCTGGCAAATTTCATTATGCTGTATTCTTGTTTCCATTCTGTTCTCTTTTTTATTTCCTTCGAGGCATCCCATTTGACTCGTGGATTACTTAGAAGTGTGCTGTTTGATTTCCAGGCACTTACAGTTTTCCTGTTGTCCTTCTCTGACTGGTTTCTGGTTTTGATGTCCACTGGTGTGGCCTCCACCTCTTCACACCACCCCACAGATGAACAGCATTCACATAACTTCCCAGTATCTCGAAGTAGCATCGTTTCCATTTCCTGCGTGTCTTCTCATTTTACTGCATTATTTCAGCTTTGCTTGTTTGAGCCAGGATTCAGGGCTTCCTTCATTCCATCTCTAGCTTCCTCCCCTTGAGTTTCCCCGTTCATGGAGTTTCTCTTGGACCCTCAGCAGCAGGGGGTCTTGTTCTTGACAGGAATCCCTCACACTTCCCCCTTGGCCTCCGAGCCCCACCACATCCTGCAGTTGGTGGTGTGTGGAGAGAGGCGCTGTCTCTGCTCTCCAAGCACTTTGTCAGCCTCCACCCCTCCCTCACTCCGTGCCTCTTGTCCGTGCCCGCTGGGACACCATGGGGCTCGGCTCGGGATGGTGGGACCAGCGCTTAGTAAGACCCCTCAGCCCTAGGCACCGTGTGAGCACTGCTCACGTGGCAGAGCTGGAATGGGGGCCGGGCACACACTCCCTGGCCCACGTGTTCCACGGACGTGCTGCAGAGGTCCCCGGCCCTCCAGGGCAGGCCCTCTCTGCTTCCAGAGGGGCAGGTGAGCCCCAGGCCAGGCCAGGCCAGCCGGGGTCTGGACTGGAGTGCAGTGGCCACAATGGACGCCGCGAGTGTCTTCATTAAGAGTGAGTGTCTCAGTCTCCCCCAGGGCACCCGCCAGCCACATGGCCGCTATGTGTGCAGACTAGACAGGTGGCAGCTCGGGCCGGCCAGACAGAGGGAGAGGAAGCCAGAGCCTGCGCGCAGGCAGCCTCATAAATATTTCCAGCCACAGCCAACGTGTCTTACTGACAATTTGCTTTTTAAAAAATTGCGCTCTAATTTTAAGTGAGCAGCCCCTAATTACAGTGATTTACGAGGTACCTGGGGACTGTGTGATATTTGAACATGGCAGAGGGCTGAGCAGAGATGGCAGAGATGGATGGGCCCGGTGCCACTCATTCAGCAGGTCCTGCTAATGCCGGAGTGTTGGACCGAGGTGGAGCCTCCCAATGCGGCCGGGTATGCTGGGGGAAACGGAGTCAGAGGTGGGCTGCACGGCAGGTCGACTTGTTCACAGGGGGCTGGTGTTTTGCAAACGCTGGGTCTGCCTTCGTGTAGGGTTTGAGCTGGGAGAGTAGCACTGGTCACTCCTGCCTGTCTCCGTCCACCCCCACCCCCACCTGGAGGGCAGTGCGGTATCTTAGGGCGTCATTCTTCCAGAGCCGCCTGAGGCCAGCAGAGAGGAAGTGCTGTAGGAGCCGTGAGTGGGCGGCCCGGCCTACCATTGGGAGCAGCTGTCTTGCTGATGCTGGCAGGGTGCACCTGTTTCAAATAAAGAATGATCAGAGATCACACCTGTAATCCTCACGTCATGAGCAGCTGAGGCAGGAGGATCACGTCAGGCCAGGAGTTTGAGACCAGCCTGGGCAACATAGCTAAAGCCTATCTATCTCTCAAAAAAATTTAAAAATTAGCCAGGTGTGCTGGCACATGCCTGTCATTCCAACTGCTCAGGAGGCTGAGGTGGATCACTTGAGCCCAGGAGCTCGAGGCTGAGTGACCCATCATCATGCCACTGCACTCCAGCCTGGGTGACAGAGTGAGACTCATCTCTAAAAAAAAATTGTTTTAGAAATGAACAGCCAGGCTCCCAAAGCCTGCCAGCCTCTGAGGGCCGGGGAAGGCGGGTGCCTGGAGAACAGCTATTCTTTGGTCCAGCCTGGCCAGAGTCTGCACCACAGTGCCCCAGGCCCAGCCAGGTTGCCAGCCCTGGGTTGGGAGGAGGGCGAAGGGCCGGCTAAGGAGACTTCTTCCCACACTGCCTCCCCACCCCTGCCCAGCAGCTGCAGGAGAATCAGCCCCTCTGACATTTAGGGGGAGAAATTCAGAATCAAGAGCAGAAGGCAGAAATGAAAGGATTTTCTCAGTGAAAGGTCAGAGTGGTTTCTCTTGTTTTTGTTTAAAAATGGTTTGTGTTGAACTATGACAAGGCCAAATGTACTAAGGCAGCAGAAACAGGGGGAGGGCAGGGGGAGGGCACGGGGACGGCTCCTGAGAAACAGAGGAACAGGTCAGGCCGCAGGGCCTCGGGGGCAGCACGTGCTCCAAAGGTGGTGAGGGGAGGGGCGACACCATCAGGGCAGGGCCCAGCCCAGGCATGCTCCGGTGGACAGGGGAGCTGCCAGGACCAAGCTGGATGGAGCCAGGCCGCCCTGTGGCTCCTGGGGAGGGTTCCCAGAGGGCTGCCGGGCGAAGGGAGTCCTTTCCAAAACGGTTTCCTGAGCTCTGATGCACACACATGCAGCTCACCCCCAAGTCTAGCGTTCCATTAGTCTACCGTTCCGTTCTTCCCAGCACATTCGGTGCGCAGCCGCGACCAGTCTAACCGTGGCACCTTTCCACCGGCCCTGAGCCCTGGCGTGCCCCTCCACGACATCCCCTGGGCACGGAGTTGTGTCGACAGGTCTCTGTGACTGGCTGGGCATGTTTTCGGGGTTTGCCCGCGGGGCAGCGTGTCTCAGAGTTTGGCTGTACGAAGCGGTGTTGACGGGTAAACCCGGTTTTGTCTCTCCCTCCGGCGGTTGAGGGCTGGTTCCGCGTTCCATCTGTTAGTGATGGGATCGTGTTGCCGTGGACGTCCGTGCCGAGGTCTGTGTGTGGACAGCGCTCAGACCCCCTGGCTGCGCGCCCGGGCGTGTGCTGGGCCCATGGACTCTGCGTTCAGCTCTTTGAGGAGCCGCCGGCTGTTTGCAGTGGCCGCATCACACACGCTCCCGCCAGCGACGCGGAGGGTCTGATTCCCCTCGACCCAGCAGCTCATGGTGTTTGCTCTCAGTGGCCGTCGGCGCGAGGCGGGTCCGTGTCTCGCTCAGTTGAGGTTCACGTTTCCCCGGTGCCCGGCGTCCTGGCATGAGCTCACTGGCCGTGTGTGGCTCTTCTCTGGAGAAATGTTCAAAGGCCCCTTGTTTAATCGGCCCTTTCCTCTTCATGGTGGAGTTGTGGGAGTTCTGGGCATATTCTGGGTACAGGACTTTTCAGGGACGTGGTTTGAGAGGGAGCTTTGTGGTGGGCTGGGTTTGTGTCCTGCCTGACCTGGGGCTGTGTGGGTGCTGACCGGGGTGGGGCTGGCTCTCGGGGGCAGCTCAGAAGGGCCTCTGTCCACTCCCCACACAGCCCAGGACTGTGGCACAGCAGCTTGCTCAGACCTGCTGTGTGACCTGAACCCTGTGCCTCCTGCCCTGTGTCCCCTGGGGCCTGCAGCGCTGTCTGGAAGCTCCTCCTTGCCCGTTCTCCAGTTACAGGAGGCCTCCCTCTGGGCTGCAGAATCCACAGAGCCAGACGCCCCCTGGGCCCCCAGCGCCCCCCTGCACAAGTGGGGAAACTAGGTCATGGGGCCCAGGCAGTGTGGAAGGCGTTGCAGGAGTTGCCCAGGGTGTGGGGTCCTCCAGCCTCAGTGAAGAGTGGCACTGGGGCCTGTCACAGGTGGGGGCACAGGTGCTGGAGCCCCCCAGGTGGAGGAAGGAGCAAGGTGGCAGCCCCTCGGGTGGGCACACCCTGCAGTGCCTGGGACCCCCAGCTGCCTGGGTAGATGACAGTGTAGACAACAGAGACCTTGCCCTGGGTTAATTCAGTCCCTTTAGGTGACCTGGAATAAGGCCTGGCAGGGTTGAGGACGCATCTACCCCTGTCCAGGTCCTCAGACTGAGGGAAGCCCCCATGGCTGGAGGAGCTGTGTAGGGAGGGAGGGGAGAGGGAGAGGCCTGTCGGGCTGACCGCTGTCTTGTCTCTTGACCGCCCCGCAGGCCACCAGGCCCTCGGGTTCCAAGATGCAGCTACTGGAGACAGAGTTCTCGCACACCGTGGGCGAGCTCATCGAGGTGCACCTGCGGCGCCAGGACAGCATCCCTGCCTTCCTCAGCTCGCTCACCCTCGAGCTCTTCAGCCTCCAGACCGTGGCGTAGCCTGCGCCTCGGGGGCATAGCCAGAGCCACTCTACTTGGCCTGACCTGCAGGTCCCTTGCCCCGCCAGCCACAGGCTGGGTGCACGTCCTGCCTCTCCAGCTCCACAGGGCAGCGGCATGACTGACAGACACGCTGGGACCTACGTCGGGCTTCCTGCTGGGGCGGCCAGCACCCTCCCCACGTGCAGACCCCATGCGTCCCGGAGCCTGGTGTGTGGGCGTCGGCCACCAGCCCGGGCTCCTCACCTTGTGAAATAAAATCTTCTCCCCTAGACACTCCCACTCGCCCTGTGTATCTGTGGCCTAGCCCTAGCAGGGTAGGCGGGAGGAGGGGAAGGAGCTCCCTCAGCAGCCGCCGCCATCTGCAGACCGGACAACGTTAGGGTGAGTCAGGCATTTCCGCTCAGGGAGTGCACAGGTGGCAGCTGGGACCAAGGGTGGCTGGGGTGCCCCCCCACCACCATGGGCTGAGGCCCCTCCGCGTAGCAGCTTCCAGCTCTGCCTCAAGGCCGGGCCCCAGCTCTGGGGCTTCCCTTTGCTGATGGAACCCGGATGGAGGCACAGGGGCTGGGGGGACTGTCCTCACAGATAAGGGTGCATCGAGGAGAGACTGCCCTCTGTGCCCATCTCTCCAGGGCCATAGAAATACATTCCATAGACCTAAGCAGTATTTGAATTTTTATAACAATAGCATATGTGTTTCTTATGTGATTTACTAGAAACAATTTAATTTCTCGAGTTGTAAAAAGGTGTATTTTAAACCTGTGTAAAGGTACCTGGAGATCATTGTCATTCAGAATAACAAAATAAAACAGCAATATAAAAACACAGATATTATCATAGTACAATGTTAAATACTATAATATTCAAGATGATATTAAAATTACATATATCTACATCTATATGCATATAAGGATGTCAATAAATGATATTAATGTCTAAAATTAAATTGTAATTTTTGCAGACCTCTGTGAATATATTAGAAACCATTGAATTGTACACTGTATGGGGGTGAAATTTATGGTATTTAAATTATATCTCAAAGTTCTGCTAAAAAATGAATGGCTTGATATTCTAGTGCTAAGGGATGGTTTTATTTAAAACATAAACTAATAGTTTCCAGTAGATTCCATTAAAAATATTACAGCCAGGATTTCCAGATCACACCCATTCCCACCTTTTTAGAATTTTTGACTATTTTCCAAAGTCTTGAATTCAATGAGGTGCAGGTGGAAGAAAGCGTTTACAAAGTCAGTGGGTTACAGGAGAGCTGGTGTGGGCTGAGGCAGAGTGGGTAGAGAGGCTCCTTTCAAATGGAAGCCTCTGGAACCCGCAGAAAGCAAGTGTAAGGTGGGGCAATCTTCTGGAAAGCTAACAGAGAAAGGCTTTAGACCCAACACTCCCATTCACAAACACAGACAGGGGCATCTCAATGTTTTCTTAAATCTACTCTTTCTATATAGACACAAGGAAATAATTAAAAGGGGATAATTCTGGTTTAGTTATTTCATTAAATTATCAACAAACAACTTTTGAAACAAAAACGGTAAAAAAAAGATAAAAGTGGAAGTCAATAAAATTATTATCTGTTTAATAATCTGTATCTGTGGCTCAGATACAGATCAGGCAAACCAACCAAGGATGAAGCCCCTGCTGTGGATGAAGTCTCCAGCTGTAGATGAAGCCCCCAGCCTATGGATGAAGTCTCCAGTCGTGGATGAAGTCCCCAGTCATGGATGAAGCCCCCAGCCCGTGGATGAAGCCCCCAGTCATGGATGAAGCCCCCAGCCCATGGATGAAGCCCCCAGCCCGTGGATGAAGCCCCCAGTCATGGATGAAGCCCCCAGCCCGTGGATGAAGCCCCCAGTGATGGATGAAGCCCCCAGCCCGTGGATGAATCCCCCAGCCCATGGATGAAGCCCCCAGTCGCGGATGAAGTCTCCAGACGTGGATGAGGTCCCCAGTCATGGATGAAGTCCCCAGCCCATGGATGAAGTCCCCAGCTCATGGATGAAGCCCCCGGCCATAGATGAAGCCTCCAGCCGTGAATGTCCCCTGTGTTCTCCAGGAGGTTTCTTGGGTGTGTCCCGCAGCTGCTCCGTCAATGTGGCAGCCCCGTCTTGCTCATCTGGGGGCATGTTTCAAACCCGAGAAGAAATCATAAGCCCTGTGGAGACAGTCAGTCAATATATTTCTCAGGGTTATCTGAAACAAAGAAAGATCAATTATTACAAAACATGGGAGACATTGGCTGCTCTACATCAATGCCACACATATTACTGTAGAAAGTCAACAGCAGCCTTGAAAGTGGTAGAACCACCCCAGAGAACACAATGAAATTATAATGTTTTATTACATAAAAATAGAAAACCTCAGTGTGACATGAAGTTCAATTTAAAAAAGTGCAAAAGATACATGGTAAACCGGAAAAAAAAACACGGCCAGGCATATCACAAAGGTTTTAATATACTTAAAATGTAACAAGTCTCTAAATATAGGGAAGAAGACTACCAACAATCACATGTAAGCATGTTAGAGACGTGAACAAACAATATAAAGGAAAAAACAGAAATGGCTTTTAATCTCATTGAAAAAATTTTAAAAATCACCTCAATACCACTTTAGAGACAAAATTTTAGAAGTTTCACATGTAACTATGTTAGTGTGGCTGTACACACATTGTTGCTAAGAAAGCCCCATTAGGCACTTGTGGAGAGGAATTTGGCAACATTTAGCAAAGTTGCAAAGCAGTAACACTTTGACCTACAATCCAACATCTTAAAATCCATCCTGAAGGAGACTGGCAAAAATTGAAAAGACTGGTGCACAAGACCATTGGTTGCAACATTAGAAAATGTAGAGCATACTTCTAAACTTGAATGTCAATAAAAATCATAATGCAATTAGATAATTCTTATGAATAAATAATAAAATGTGTGCAAACTGAAAATTGTGAGATGCAGCAAAGAGCATTATGTGAGAGCAATCTATAAGCTTAGTTGTTTACGCTGGAAACTCAGAAAGGCTGAAAGTTAATTAAGCATACAACTCAAGTTAGAAAAAAGTAGCATCAGAATAAATGCAGATAATGTAATGGAAGGATAACAGATGAGAAGAGAAATTGATGAAATAGAAAATAAGGACAATACTAGGGAGAAGTAACAAAGCCAACAGTTGTTTTCCAGAAAAGTCTAATACAAAAGTCATTAGTGAGATTTATCAAGAAAAAAGGGAAATAATCAAAATTCATATCAGAAATTCATAGGAAGACATAACCACAGAAGTAGCAGAGATTACAAAACAATCAGTGGATATTATGAATAAATATATGTATTCAAATCTACATATGTATTCATTATGTATGTAAACATATATGAATATGGATATCATGCCAAGACATTTTAAAATGTGTACAAAATAGACAAAATCCTAGAAAGTATAATTTTCTAAAATGAACTCATGAAGAAATAAAAATCCTGAATAGTTCAGTAGCTTCTATGTAAATTTAATCAGTAGTTAAGAAGTATCGGTCTTTGTCTCTTTCTTTCCCTTTCTCTCTTTTTCTCTCTCACACACAGAGCCCTAATAGTATTATTGGCTAAATCCAAAATTACAGTGGAGTTGTCATTCTAATCCAATTAAAATATTTCCATAAAATTAATGAAGGGGGCTACTTTCAATTAATCTGATGAGAATATTATCTCAATACCATACAAAAAATTAAGTACAAAAAGAAAAATTGCCTGCCAATCTTATTGAAGAGCACTGGCATAAACTCCCCAGAGGAGAAGGCAATGACCACGCCTCCAATAGGAAGAATCAATACAAACAAAACAGTGTGCACCCCAAAAAAGCATATCCTGACTTGCTCAACCTTATAGCCAATATTTAAAAAAATCCGGAACACACAGGGCCATGGGAGTGGCTGTTGGAGAAATTTTCATGAAGGAAGAAAGATTACAACTAAGTTTTAAAATGCTAGTTTTGTTTGTTTTGTCTTGGAGAGGAGGTAAAAGTGGGAGTAAAAATAGGGAGTTTGGTGTAAGGTGAGAAAAGCAAAGGAAACCTGCATGGATGGGCTGAAGGGTGTGATGGGAGAACAGTGAGAAGTACGTTTGGGGAAGCAATTGGAAATAGCAGCTAAGCTTAATCACAATCTATCAAAAGGGATTTGTCGAAGAATTAATGTGTGACTAGAAACAGGGAGGTTATGGGCTTGTCAGCTCGACAGTGGGCACTCAGTTCCACTAACGAATGATGCCCGTGTGGACAGACAGAATGATGGACAGGCAGATGAATGCGTGGGCTTTATGTGAAACAGGTCCTCTTGGTTGTTGACAAGATACTGTTTTAAAGTTCCATTTTGCCATACTTCGAATAGCTTTTCATTCGCTAAATTTAGCTACATGTAAAATCACTAAGGCAGACTTCCAGAGTTCCCACATGAAAATCAAATGTAAACCAGCTGTGACCTACTTCGACACCGTCATCGGAAGTCAGAAGTTGAGCTCCTTTTTGATGTTTAAAGCCTGCATAATATTTGCTGTATTACTATTCAGTGTATTACTATTTCCTTTGTGATGGAAATTTGGTTTGTCCCAATTTTCTATTCTATTAAAACACTGCTACATAGAAAATCCCCATGCACATATTTCTCCTAATTGTGGAAATATTTTACATAAAATACTCTAGACGTGGATGAAATTACCAGGTTATTAGAATTTTAAAATAGGTACTCCCAAATTGTGCTCTTACAAATTATATGAATTCATAAGCTTCCAACTGTTATGGAGTTACCCATTTTGAGAAATCTGTGCTAAAATGACCAAATCAATGCTGATGACAATGATCAGGATAAGTACACTGGGAAGACAACAAAATGATTTAGATCTTAGACAAGTCATGCTAGGTGTCTCCACTGTTTCAGTTCTTGCATTCATTCTTGGGCTTTTTCCTTTTACCAAATAAAATAGCTCCTTGACATCACATGAGTCCATGCTATGCTTAATGAGTATTGGTTAGTAAAAATGCCTATGACTAGTCATCTTCATCTATGCAAGTAAATATTAATTCATAAAACACTTCAAATGTAAGCAATTAATAATTAGTGAATGAAAAGTACATAATATATCAATTAGAAAAAAATCACTATTAAAAAGACATTATTTGTGTGATAAAAGAGATTGCCATTTTGTATTTTTCTACAAGGTTAAAGAAAACTAAGTCAACGTATACAAGTGAGTTTTAAAAGCCTTTACGCCAGGCGTGGTGATTCATGCCCATAATCCCAGCACTTTGGTGGGCCAAGGTGGGCGGATCACCTGAGGTCAGGAGTTCGAGACCAGCCTGACCAAAACGGTGAACCCTCATTTCTACCAAAAATACAAAAAATTAGCCAGGTATGGTGGCATGAGCCTATAATCACAGCTACTTAGGAGGCAGAGGGCAGGAGACTCGCTTGAACCTGGGAGGTGGAGGTTGCAGTGAGCCGAGATAGTACTGTTGCACTCCAGCTTGGGCAACAAGAGTGAAACTCCATCTCAAAAATAAACAAATTAATTAATTAAATAAAAGCCTTTAACCTAGAATGCTGAGTAAATTGGCCAAAAATGCTAACCTATGCATTTCAATACTATAGGATTCACGTTAATAGAAATAACCAGATGAAATGCTTCTGGTATGTCACCTTCCCTACCCACATAAGCCAGTGTTTTTTTCTGTGAATAACAAAAACAGCAGAATTTACTTGCCTATCCGTAAGAAGTTACCACTTCTGTGTATTGCCCCGAAACAGGTGGTGGCTGGGTGAGAAGGGGGACAGCCCTAGGGCAGGAGATGGGGGCTCCGGTATCATGGGCGAGCTTCCTAAACCTCTGCAACTTTCGGCCCCTAAATGGGATGGGCCACATTTAGCACAATGCCCAGAACAAAGTAAGGATTTGACACATCACACTTTTCTCCACATTGTTCTGTCATCAGCCACCGCGACCTGCACCTCCCAGCCCACTGGGCTCCGGCTGTTTCCATCACATGAAGAATGATCCAGAGCCTGGCCTCCAGCCACCCTCCTGGCCTTGCTGCTTCTCACTCTGCCACTGACTCTTAACAGACCAGCCTGGGTGTCCTCAGACATACCACACCCTTCATTGTGGGAGTCATGCAGCCCTCCCTGCTCCTTCCCCAGGGAGCCACGGGGCTTTCCTCCTCAGGAAGACTCTGCAAGCACCTGGATGAAGGGCCCCCATGTCTCTCATCCTCCCTTAATTTTTGTCACAGCTCTCCTTCCTTCCACTCAGTGCAGTGCACACTGATTGATCCTCCATCTTCCCCAAAAGACAGGAACAGCACGAGCAGTAGAGAGTAGATTCCAAGGATAGAAAAAATAGCCAGTGATTTCTCATTTCCATTGATCATCAATGAAGAAAATGTATCCTGAAGGTCGTGTACCTCCTATGGGACTGCTGCATCCTCAGCCTCCTGAATTTCAGCCCAGCACCTTCCTCCCCAGCACCGCAACAGGTCAGGCCTTACCAGCATCCCTGTCTTACTGCCTTTGTGCAGAGCCAGCACCAGGACCAAGGGAGGCCTTGAGATTGTCCCTCCCCAAAAATTTGAGAAATAATCCTTTACGTCACCAACAAAGCACAGCCTTATGCATTGGTGGTCAGTCCCTCCCAACACCTCTGTCACTGTAAAGCTGGCAGCGCCCCTCCAAGGTTGGCCTTCCCAGACACTGGACCTCTAGGTGACAGTGTGTCCTTACCTTGAGGCCTGGGCGCCCAGTCTATCCTGTCCAGTGAGCGAGCTGTGGAGAAGGGGGGATTCCAGGTTAAGGGGAGACTAGCAAGGCTCCTGCTTTTATGCTGCCCTATTGGGAAGGCTGTTAAAGAAACACAAGTTGTGAAGCAGTGAAGATAGAACATGTTTTCATTACTTAAACCAATACATTCCACAGATGGAATAATAAGAAATGCTACAACCAAGCTAACTGAATCCAACAGCATATCAAAAAGATAATCCACCATGATCAAGTGGGTTTCATACCAGGGATGCAGGGATGGTTTAACACATGCAAGTCAATAAATGTGATACATCACATAAATAAAATTAAAAACAAAAACTCATATGATAATCTGAATAGATTCAGAAAAAACATTTGAGAAAATACAGCATTTCTTTATGATTAAAATCCTTCAGCAAAATCGGCATAGAAGGGACATACCTTAAGGTAATAAAAGCCATCTGTGACAAACCCACAGCCAACATTATCCTGAATGGGGGAAAGTGGAAAGCATTCCCCCTGAGGACTGGAACAAGACAAAGATGCCCACATTCACCACTTCTACTCAACATAGTGCTATTCACTACAGCATTGGTTGTAAAAGCAAGACTGGAAACAGAACAAATGGATACCCATAATGAGTGCTTAAGTAATTTTGGGAATAGTCATAGGGTGCAGTACTTTATAGCTCTGAAACAATACAGTGGATTTACATTTGAAAATGTGGAATGATAACTAAGGTGCATTGCCCAGTGATATGTGCAGAGGGGCAGAGGACTTTGTGTAAACACAATCACACATCAGCATGCATTCCAGGTGCATGTTTCTATTTGCACATAGATTGTAGAAATGATATGCAAGCAAAAATGTTGACTTGGTGTTTGGAAGTTCAGAGTGGAAGGGAAACTTCCTTGCTAACCTTTTATGATATTTAGAGTTATTTCTAACCATGAATATGTAATACATTTAGAAATCTTAGCTAACAAGAAAAGCCTCTGGTCCTGGCCTCCTGCTGGCACATATCATATGGACATGGTCCTGTCGTGCTAATGTGTGCAAACTGAGAAAAATCCAAGAATGGGAGTCTGCTTTTTTCATCATACAAATAATTGTTAATAGAAATAGTATGATAATTATTGCTCATTGATATACCATGAATATTCTATTAGATAATAATAAATTTCTGACATTTGAACTATACTTACACATGGAAATTGAAATATATGGATGAAATATTGTGGCTTATACAGGCAATTGTTTTATTGGCATTTTACAAACTGATCATCATTCCTCATGGCACGGGTCCATGTGATATTAAGTAGCTTGTTATGCTTGGGAAAGGCAGTGATGACCACAAGAATGACTTCAACTACTAAAGTACAATGGAGATTTCAACAATGTTTTGTTTAATATTTAAATATTTCATTGTGCTCCCAGGCTTTTTCTCACCCTAATAGCTCTCATCCATATCATGTGGGTCCCATTAATACAGATACCTCCGAATGCACCACTCTTCCATTATATCCAGTCAATTGCTGGTTACCTTGGGCCTACAACTGGGGGAGGGCAGGGGCTGCTGGCCACCTCCTCATCTACAGTAAGAGTCAATGAGCAGTTAAGTGGACACTGAAAACCATTTATCCTGCTGGAGTGAGAAATAAATGGTTTCTTTCTTTTTTTTTTTTTTTTTTTTAGATGGAGTCTCGCTCTGTTGCCCAGGCTGGAGTGCAGTGGTATGATCTCGGCTCACTGCAAGTTCCGCCGCCCAGGTTCATGCCACTCTCCTGCCTCACCCTCCTGAGTAGCTGGGACTACAGGCACCTGCCACCACGCCTGGCTAATTTTTTTTTTTTTTTTTTTTTTTAGTGGAGAAGGGGTTTAACTGTTAGCCAGGATGGTCTCAATCTCCTGACCTTGTGATCTGCCTGTCTCAGCCTCCCAAAGTGCTGGGATTATAGGTCTCCGCACCTGGCCATAAATGGTTTCTTTCAATAGGGTAATAAAATGCATCTTTTCCAAACTATTTATATGACTCAAGGCCCACCTCAATTTCAGATGTGATTAGCCTCAATTCCTGATTCTCACCAAGGTGTGTAATGTCATCCACGGCCCAGTGCAGAGGAACACAGGTGTTGCCGTCAAACTGCCAGGGTCCGATCCCGCCTCCATCACTCACCCCGGGAGCTCCCTTTAAGCTAGGAGTCAACAGCAAGGATGGAAACATGAGTGCTTTTTAAAGTCCTAAAAGTTTAGAGGCCGACTGTCAATTTCTCCTGCACCCCTGGGCACACACCGGGAGAACTTTGTCTCCAGGATCAAGTAAGTGCCTGTGAGAGAGTTGTGTCCCTCAGATTCTGTTCACCACAGGTGACACTCAATGCAACCCCAAACCTCTTCTGCACAATCCCAAGGGGTGCTGACTAATCCAACCCAAAGGCTGTGATGTTTGGCAGAGGCAGAAAAGAAAAGGCCAGGTGTTCCGGGAAAGATCACCTTCAAATAACACAGCACTCTCATAGCCCAGAGAGACAGTTCTTACTATTATGCCAATAAACCTGGAAAAGACCAAATCCAATTTGACACATATTTCCTGTTTCGTTTTGATTTCATGCCCCCTCCCTCAACCTCCCAAGCAGCATGGATACCCCGAAGGCCCCTGGGAACTCTCTCCCATTGGCTCTTACGTGGAAAGTAGTTACCTACCTGCAAAATCCTCGTCATCAGACATGCTCTCCACAATCAAATCTTTAGAAACACAAACATCAGGATAAGTCATTAGAGAGAGGCCCATCCACTCCTCCCACCCCAGCTGAAGCCCGGGTGCTTCACACAGGATCCCCTGGTGTTTCCTCTGGGCTCACAGATATCCCTACAGCCTCTCTGGACATGGTTTTATACTTGCAAAATCATTTGCTCTCACCAGACCCCAAATCCTCCTTCCCAAAAGGAGCCCAGAATCAGGTTTCTGTACCCTAGAGGCAATGTTTTTCCCTCAGGAAATGAGTTATTTCAGGGTACGTACCATTCTCCAGTGTCAATGGCTCCTGCAATTATAGAAAAGAAAACATTAGGGGGTGAAATGTTGCCATGCACGTCACACAGATCTGATATTCTCTCAACAACTTGAGAAAATTAGAAGGGGTATAGTGATTGAGTCAGAGATCGAAGTCCCCCAAAACTAGCACGGAGGACACCTGTGGAAAAGACAACACCTTTTCCCACAGAATTTATCTTTAAAGTGTATTTAGATTGGCAGTTTCATAACTCTTAATCCACAGGGGAAAACTGCTGTGGAGGGAAACACCTCTACATTGCAGTGGATCATGGATGCTGCCATCTACCACGCCCCAGTGTGCCCGGCATGGGTTGATGAGAGGCTGCCAATCAGTAGCACCACACCAAGGGAATTGCAGATGTCATAAATAGTCCACATTGGCAGATGTTCATGTCTACATCTGATTGGAAAGAAGCCAGGAAAGCAACATTTCTGTTCAAGACAAAGGAAAGTGTCTTACCTTGGTAGCATCTTTTTTACAGAGGTATCGTACAGCATCCTCATTAGTGATGTCGTATACAGTGTCCTCATAAGAAATGTCTTCTATAGTGTCCTCATTAGAGATGTCATGTACAGCAGCCTCATTACAGATGTCTACAGCGTCATTAGAGATGTCACGTACAGCAGCCTCATTAGAGATGTTTACGGCATCGTTAGAGATGTCACATACAGCAGCCTCATTAGAGATGTCATGTACAGAAGCCTCATTAGAGATATCTACAGTGTCCTCATCAGAGATGTCTACAGCATCCTCATTACAGATGTCATATACAGTGTCTTCTTTAGAGATGTCTTGTACAGCGTACCCACAAAGAGCTAGGAGAACACAGAGTAAAGGTCAGTGCCCTGGTGGTGAATCACCCAGGGAGCTTGCTTGGTGTGGGTGCCTGGAGGTGGCTGATCACAGCATGGGCCCAGCTGATGCTAGGCCATCCTCCCGGGTGGACCTGCACTAGTGAAGCTAAGGGACATGACTCAGAACACTTTCTGCAGTGGGAATCAGTTTCCAGGTTCAGATATGCATTATCCAGTGAAGTGGGGAAATATAAAAAAATAGAAATTGACAAATTCATGAAAAGCCTTCCATGAGTGCAAGTGTGATTTTTTTTGTTAACCACTTTACATTCAGTATGCATTCATACATACAAAATATTTTTGCAAGAAATCAGAAATTTTAATTTTTGTCAGTTATGTTAAATCTAACTTAGCTGTCAACATAAAGATTCTATCTCATTTACTTTGCGGTCTCCAGAAAATCTAGCACATAGTAAGTAGACCAAAATATTTATTAAATGAAAACACAGAGCAGGGGTGGGGGGCTGGTAGGCAGACCGAGTTGCACCTGATTACCTGGATGATAATAAACTGCACAAAACCTTGATCAGATTAATATTGAAACTGCCTTTTGCTCGGGCTCTTTTCCCTTGCAGAAGAAGGATGACCAAGAAGATGAACAGGGAAGAAATTAGAAACAGAGGCCTTTGCTTACTAGCTAAGGGTCACCTTCTATAACATGCAATAGTCTACAAGTGGCCTTGAACTCTGCCGTGATTCAGTGAGAGTTCCCTCATGTCTTCTACCCAGGTTGAAGTCCAGCGAAACTGTAACTGTGCTCTTTGCAACTTGCAAGACCACACTGCTTCTGCATTTGCTTGTTGTATGAGATTTACACTTGTTTTAAAGCAACATTTTGTTTCAGTTGGGCTGGTGGCCATACACTGCACTAGGCAGTCAATAGTGAGATGGCTCCTCATGGAGGAGGCTTGGCTTGAGGCTGAGGGTCTTTAACCCACATATACAAGAGAGTTGCCACTAAGGGATGGAAGCCAGGCTAATAACCAAGTGCCACACAGAGTTCCTATCTGTCCCTCCTCACCATTTTTGGCTGGCAGGATTTGAGCATTTTAGGGCTTGGGAAGATAGTATTACTAAATCTACTAAAATACATCACCCATCCTTATAGACTTTGGCCAGTTGCTGAGCAAATTAACTTCACAACTGAAGTGGGCCACACTGGCCTTTGTGGTCCCCCACTCCTCTTAGAATTTGTGAGCGTGGGGCCTACTGGAGGGTGGAAGTTTGGAGGAGGGGGAGGATTGGGGAAAATAGCTGATATTAGGCTTAATATATGGGTGACGAAATCTGTACAACAAACTCTTCATGACACACATTTACATATGTAGCAAACCTGCACATCCTGCACATGTACCCCTGAACTTAAAATAAAAGTTAAAAAAAAAAAAAAGGATCTGTGAGCTGACCCAAACACCTGGGGATCTTTGTGCTTTTGACGCACTGATGACTATGCCGGTCCGTGGGGAGATGAGCCTATAACTGCCCTGGGTTGTGTGACCACGGAGGCCACTTTATGATGATGGGCAGTGTCTGGGGCCTTTTGGGCTCGGTGCTTTAGGGCTTATACATGAATGCTGGACTCCCTGTGTGGTGGTGAACACCCCATGACTAAGTGCATGTCAGCGTCAGCACTGGCCCACACTCCTGGGTTCGTGTTTTCACTTTTTCATTCAGGAACTCCGGAGCTGGGGCCCCTCCCTTGGCCCTTCAGGTTCTCCACCTGAGCAGTGGGGATAATAAGGCAGACCCGGGAATGGCTCTGGTGAGGGTGGAGGAGTCACTGTACAGAAAGAGTAGAGCGAGGGTGGATTTCATTGTTAGAAGTGGACACTGGCGATTGGGCTGTATAAATGGGAAATCTCTCCTGAGAAAACACACAGCCTCACCTGTACAGAAACACACACATTCACACCACACGATGCAGCCTCACACAAGACACCACCAATCCTCAAGCACCCAACTCAGCACCACCCAAAAGGGAGCACAGCTGCTTCCTCAAAAATTGGCCATAACTTTTCCCTGGGGAATTCAGGTTTTTAAAAAAACACTTCCCCTATGCTTATTTCTATCACGATCCCAGGATCAGGGTGGCTCTTCACATTGAAACCTGCAAAGATGCCACACTTTTCTTGGCATCCAGATTGTTTTCTTGGCAAGTAATTCCAGAATACTTACCAAAACCAGGCCTCAGAGGGGCCACCCGCACCACCTGCAATACAGAAACAAGACTTTATGAGGGGTACGTCGTGTTGTGGATTGTTTGCACAAGGCTCTGTTTCTCTCAATGAATACTGAAAACTTGATCAGAAAGTGTAGTCAACTTCAAGGCTCCCCAAACAAGGGTAGGATACACACTGTAAAAGACATCAATTTCTGGATGGTGGATCTCTCAGGTCCACATAGGTTGGCAAGTGCAAAATACTGAATCCAAGGAGAAGACATTGCTTCCAAGGACAAGGACCCCAAGGACACGATCTACAACCTGAAGCCATCACAGCTAAATGTCATTTTGGATTACATATCAGTTGCTAAGAGTCACTTCTTCCACCCCCTCAGAAAACTGCATTTAATACCTGTCATGGACATTGTCATTTTTTCACATGTAAAGTCAGTTGAAAAAGAAAGATGCCAAGAAAGGAACATTTCTATTTCAGGGAAAGCAAGGCAACCTTACCCTCGCGTTGACTGGCCTCTCTCCACCTCCTCTGTCCTTGTGAGCTGGAGGCTCCTCAGAGGCTAGGAGGACACAGAGCAACGGTTAGTCATCGATGCTTTTGTTCATGAGTTATTCAGGGAGCTCTGCTTAATGTGGAGAACAGGACAGTGTGTGTGGATGTGTTTCATTAAAAGCACAGCTTGAGCTGCTGCTAGATAATCTTCCCTCGTGGAAAGACAGGCAAGAACGAGGAGCCGAGGAGCAAGAAATGGAGTCCCTGGCATTTTGCTGATGGCAACTTAAGGCAACGGCAATGAGTCAGTCTACAAATGGCACTGAAGTACACGCTATAATTTGATGACAGTCCCACCGCTCACACTGCAAGGTTTGAAACCCAGCTAAATGATTTTCTAAACCCTATAAAACAATATTAGCTTGTAGGATTGATGTCCCAAGACCATTTTTACCTCTGTGGATCCACAGTGGCTGTCACTGCAGTTATTATGTGTTTTAGCATTTTGCACTTGAACAAAAGCAAAGTTTAACAGACAGATTGGATTCAATTCTAGGCAAAACAGTCTATTGTATTTATTCACTAATCCTTTGTTATAACTGCTAATGGGAGAATTAGAAATACTGAAATTATATCCTTTAAAATTAATTAAAGCATAATTATAATCACACAATATTTTTTCATCCAGGCCTCCTTTTCTTTGTCGTGCATGCATAATTAATTGAGGATGGAGAATATCTACGCTTGTTCAGGCCAGCCAACATACGACAGTTTACTTCAAGAGAGGAGACATGGGTTGAATGCTGGTATGGTTTAACTCTGCAGCGCAAACAGCTGCAACAAGTGTGGTGAACTAATCACCAGATGGCCCTTTGCTGCTTTATCATTGTGCCTTATGTGTAGCTTGCGAGATTTGATTACGCCTATGTTTTGTGGTGATCATACTTTCAACTATTCCTAAAATACTGTTTCAGTCTTATCCTTTTGGGGTCAACTGCTGAGGATTTCATACAAATTAATGAAGTTTGTGAATCTACAGTTCTACACAAAGGGGGAAATATTTGCAAATCATTTATCATGTAAGAAACTAAAATTTAGAATACATGTTAAACCCCCCAAAAATCTACAACAAACTAACTAAATAAAAATCAGATGACTCTTTAAAAATGGGCAAAAGACTCGAACATATATTTCCCTAAAGAAGATACAGCCACAGATAGTAGCACAGGAAAAGCTGCTCAGTATCATTAGTCATTATGGAAATGCAAATGAAAAACACAAGTAGACACCAATATACACATACTAGTATGATTTAAAGGAAAATAAGTGTGAAGAAGGATGTAAAGAAATTGTAACCCCGATACATTGCTGGTAGAAATGGATAAAGTTGCAGCCACTGTGGAAACCAGTCTGCAGTGGCTTAGAAGGTTCAATATAGAACTCCCGTTAGACCCAGGAATTCTACTCTTAAAGAATAGAGAACAGAAATCAAACAGATGTTTGTATACTAATGTTTGTAGCATCACTTTTCACAGGAGCCAAAAGGTGGAAATAATCCAACCATCAGTGAACAAATGAATGTAATAAAAGCAAGGTGGTCTGCATGCAATGCTACATCATCCATCTGTAAAAAAGGAGCACAATTTTGATAGATGATACAACATGGGTGGACATTGAGAACATTATGCTTAGTGAAATACGCCAGACACAAAAGGAATATATTGTCTAATTGTACTTATATGAAGTGCCTAGAATAGTCAAATTCATACAAGAGAAAATAGGATAGGAATCACCATGGGCTGGAAATAGGGGGAAGGTGCTATGTTGCTTACGGTGGACAAGGTTTTGTAAGAAATCATCAAAATTGTGGGTGTAGATAGTGGTGTTGGTTATGCAACACTGTGAATATTTTGAATGCCACTGAGTGCACACTTTGGTTAAAAGGTTCAAATGATAAATATTTTATTATACTTATTTTCCCACAATAGAAAACACACACAGCCAAGCCCAGATGCCAGTCTTGCCAGCAGCCTTCCTTTGCCTTCAAGATTAGGCCATCATGCTGTACCTCCAACACACACCAAGGCACCTCGCTCACGCAAGGTGTGTGTCCTCCAACAAAGTTTCACACTCTAAACCCAGATAACTTTTGAAACCCAAGTTCTGTTGATCCCCTACTTCAGGTGCTCCATAGATGCTCCTTTGTCTACAAAACACTGCCTCAGACAATGAAATAGTCCAAAGTGACCAGCAGAATTTTTATGTTAATTCTGATATTGTGCTGTTAGTACAAGTATTTTTCCCCTTCAGATTTATGTCTTTGTTACTGATAAATGTAACTGATAATGCTTTTGTCAGCTATGTTGCCAAGCATATTTATATAAAAATATACTCTTAGATTGTTTTGAGAACTTGACAAAGATGATAGCAACAATGATAATCTTATTTGTTTTATACTAATCTTTATGTGTTACTTTCATCATTTCTTACATGTTGGGGCCTACCATACATTGTACAGTGAAATTAGTGCTATGCATCATGGTAAGAATATAAATTGGCAAAGCTAATTTAGAAAACAGTTCTCTTGTTTCTCAAAAAAATTAGGCCGGACGCAGTGGCTCATGCCTATAATCCCAGCACTTAGGGAGGCAGAGGTGGGTGGATCACCTGAGGCTAGGAGTTTGAGACCAGCCTGACCAACACAGCAAAACCCTGTCTCTACTGAAAATACAAAAAGTATCCAGGTGTGGTGGCGTGTGCCGGTTGTCCCAGCTACTCGGGAGGTTGAGGCACAAGAACTGCTTAAACCTGGGAGGTGGAGGTTCCAGTGAGCCGAGATTGTGCCACTACACTCCAGCCTGGGCCTCAAAAAAAAAAAATAATAATGACCAAAATGTCATTATGCATTACATGACTGCGTATGATGCTCAAAGTTACACTACTCACCATAGAAAAAAACAAAAATAATTAAATGTCCATTAACTGGTAAATGAATAAACACTATCTGTATGAATAAACACAGCAGACTATGAAGGAAAACACATGACCAGCACCTGCTAAAGCGTCAATTAACTTCAAACATAGTATGCTAAATGAAGGAAGTCAGATTCCAAATATATATATATGTCCATTTCTATTAAACAAGCAGGAAATTTATGGAGATGGAATATCATAGCAGTATTGCTTAGGGCTGGAGATGGGAGTGGGGATTAACTGCCAGTGTGCAAGAAAGAACTTGGGTGAGGGAAACATTTTTAAATTAGATCATGGCGATGGGTGCACACAGTATCAATTTAATAAAGCATCAAATTGTAGACCTTTTCAGTGGGCAAACTTTAGGGTGGGTTCACACCCAATATAGGTGTTAAAAATAAATTAATGTTATGGCAATTCTGGTTGGGTTTTTAACAAGCCAAGAGATATGCTGTTAAAGCAGCATTAATTCAAATGGTTGTCACAGGTCACTTAAAGTTAATCAGATAGTTGTCCTGTAAATATATAGCGAATGTTATCCATGAACTTCCTGAATCTATTGCAATAATCACATTTTCTCTCCATTAACCTTTTGAGTTAGCTAATTTTATTTATCGCATTTTCAATGTTAATCCACCATTTCATATTTTGAGATTAACGCACATGAGTCAGAATTCACAGTATTTTAAAATATCGCAGAATTTAATTTACCTTATCTGGTTTTGGTTTCAAGACTATACTAGCCATTTCATTTAATTGTACATGTAGGGTATTCTAATTTATGGAAAACTATTACATCTTTCTTGTTTTTTTTTTTTTTTAAGAAATTACTTCTAGGGATCTATATGGTAGAGTCCATGGAGAATTGTTTTAATTCTTCATTCATGTCTTCAGTGGGTATAGGATTGGTCATATTGGTCATAGTTTTGTGCTCGGATTTCAATAAGAAACTTGTGGAAGAACCTGAAGGGTGGGATCTTTGAGGGAGCCTAAGACAGAGCAAGACAAGCTAAGAAGGAGGGCAGTGCCACAGCAGAACTGCCATTGATGCCCCCTCGCCTAGATTGCGGAAGAGACATCCAGCTGTAGACACTGAGGTGCAGGAAAACAATGGAGCACCATCAGAGAAAGCAGTGCCCAGGAACAAGGAGGCACTGATGGTGGCAAGGGGCAAAGACAGCTGCCACGAGGCTGTTCACATGAGGGTCTCAGGCTGCATAGACACCCACACCAGCTGAGGGGTCCTGGTTTTCATAAAGTGTGTGGCTCAGCCAGGCCACCAACAAGCAGTTCACAAACAGTAGTAATACGACACTTTCCAAAGACCTTACTTGAGTAACACGGTGATCCTCACAAATTTCCAATCAGGATGGTCGCACAGTTCCATCTGCTTTAGGACACAGAGCCTGCCCGTGTCTGTCCTGTCTGCTGACCACGGGTCAGAGGTGCAGGCTGCACTGGGGAGTAAGAATGTCACCTTCTCAACTTTGGGAAAACTCCCTGCCAGAACTGAGAATGGCCCTTTCTAAAGAAGGAGGCTGACCACATCAGGTTGGCAGATGGCCAAAGATTCACTCAGGGAGAGCCCACATCCTGGGCCATCTTGGGTGGTGGCAAGATGAGATGGATGACTGCTTTTGCAACACATACCTGACAACAAAAAATCAACAACTGTAAGAGAGCCAGAAAATCTCCAAATATTTGCACATTAGCAATGCACTTTTAAATAACTCATGGGTTAAATAAGAAGTCTTAATAGAAAGTTAAAAATACCTTTACATTAAATGAAAATGTGACTTGACAAGATTTCTAGATGTAACAAAAGCAGTCTGTAGAGGAAAATTTATAGCATTGGATTCAATATATTAAAAATCACAAGATCTAAAATCAGTAATATCATGTTTCAATTAGGAAACTGTAGAAAATAAAGGAATGCAATGTAAAGCAAGTAGAACAAGTAACAAACAGCATCACAGAAGTCAATAAAATTAAAACACTGAAATCATCAGAAAATCATTAAAACCTAAAGCTGGTTCCTTGACATGCTCATTACAATGAATGAACTTCTATGCAGGCTAACCAAGAAAAAGAAGATAACACAAATGACCAATTTCAGAAATAAAAGAAGAGCCGTCTCTACTGAACTGTTGAGCATTAAAAGGATAATCAAGGAATATCATGAACAATTCTATGACTGCAGTTTGATAACCTCAGTGAAATGTATTAAGTCCTTGAAAGACAATTTTCCCAAGGTCAACTAGAATCCTAGATCATTTGAATAAGCTTAGGTCTGTTAAATAGGTTGAATTCACATTAAGAGCATTCTGAAAAAGAAAGCACCAGACCCAGATGGTTTCTCTCATGAAATCTACCAAATTCTTCAAGAGGTGAATAAAAACATCCACTCAATGCAATATTATTTGGTGATTTAATGTGCATTTTATGCCATTAAGGCATAAAAAAGACATGAAGGAAGCTTAAATATACATCAATTTAGTGAAATAAATTTATCTGAAAAAGCTACATAATATATGATTCCAACTATACGACGTTCTGGAAAAGGCAAAACTGAAGCTACAGTGAAAATATTAATAGTCGCCAAGCTTCCTGGAGAAAGAGGACAGAGATTAATGAGCGAGAAGAGGAGATTTTTAGGAATGTGAACATATTCTTTATGAGAACATAATGGTGAACATAATGTTATACATATTTCAAACTTCACATGTATGTGTAACAGAAAGAATGAACATTATGCAAATGATAGACTTCAGATAATAATGTCAATATTTTCTCATTACTTTTAGCAAATGTACCACATTAATGTAAGATGTTATGTTAATAATAGATGAAATTAGGAAGTCAGGGTGAGGGGACAGAATGATATGGGAACTTTGTGTATTATATGCTCAATTTTTTTTTTTTTTTTTTTTTTGGAGATGGAGTTTCACTTTTGTTGCCCAGGGTGGAGTGCAATGGCGCCATCTCGGCTCACTGCAACATCCGCCTCCTGGGTTCAAGCAATTCTCCTGCCTCAGCCTCCTGAGTAGCTGGGATTACAGGCGCCTGCCACCACACTCTGTTATTTTTTTGTATTTTTAGTAGAGATGGGGTTTCACCATGTTGGCCAGGCTGGTTTCCAACTCCTGACCTCAGGTGATCTGCCCGCCTTGGGCTCCTAAAGTGTTGGGATTATAAGCATGAGCCACCACACCTGGCCATATGCTCAGTTTTTATGTCAATTTAAAACTCTCTAGTTAAAGAAATATATTAATTTAAAAATAATAATATAGCACCACTCTTTCAGGGAGATCTATGCTAATGTTTAACCATCAGGTAAGTTCTAGACATTGGCTTGAAACATTGTCCATCCTTAAACATGAACCAAAATTGACTTTTAAGTGGATATTTACTTTTGTGGTTGTAGCAATACTTACTGACTAAGCAAATTAGAATTCTGACACATTAAAAAATATGGCTTAATCTCTTCATAGATTCCTCTTACATATGGGACACTGAATACTCCCCACAACTGCGATTATTGAATCAACTTAATTAATGAACTTCCACAGTACCTTCTTGTGGCTGTATCTTCTTTCTCCAGAAGCCATGATGCCTCCAATGCTGGTTGGTGTACAGGCTGTATCTTCTCAAAATTTCTATCAGAGAAGATGCTGGTTAATGCATTTACAATAGAGAGGACTGTTGACACCTTGCTGACAGAAGACCAGAAGAAAATAGTGATCATGTGTTCCAAGTTTAATCTTATGATCCCGCTCTTTAAAGGCTTCCAAGCAGAGCCCGCTGAATCAAAGTTGGGTTTCAGGAAGATCATGGAGTTCACTGAGCATTCAACACCTCTATCAGACAGACTTCGAGGGCAGTGAAGGCTGACTCCATATCACACAGAGACAACTTAGATCTTTCTTCTCAGAAGTCCAATAGTCTTCAGAGGAACCCCCCATTCTTACACAACTATGTCATCCAGGTCTCAGGCAAAAGCCCCCAGTATTTTGTAAAATTTGAGCTATCACAGTTTTACTAGCTTTTATGTTATTACAAAGCTTTGTCCTCTTTTAGTACGGATTTTAGCAACAGTGACCTAGTTAGTAAGAAATAGAAGAAACTACTGGAAGAAAGCGTGGAAAGAACACACGAGGTAAAATTTGACCTAAAATGACCAGTCTCATTCACTAACCTCACCATAGTCTTATGGGTTCAATGGACCTGTCCAATCCTTTGCTCTGTTCTCTCCATCACCTTCCTGTGTAATTGTCCTCCACCCCACATATAATAGAAACATTGCACAGGGGAGCTAATCACCTCTTTTATCCCCCACTTCAGGCTCATGCATAAGTTTACAGTAAAAGCCTTTTCAAATGACTGCTTTAATTGCTGCTACGGCACGTATCATCAGTTGAATGGGAACTCTCATGTGACTTTAAGCAAGCCTTTATTGAGAGATGTGATTCAATACTAGGGACAGTATTCTAGTGTAGTAAATCATTGATTTTACGTTATGAAGATCATCAATTATTGAAAATGTATAAATAACGAAGCCCAGCCTTACTCTTCAATGCTGTGTGTGTAAATCCACTGAGCGTGCTGACCCCCATGCTTACACCCACCTGCTAACACAGGGAGGATCCATTCAGAAGGGAGGCACAGCTCCAGCACTGACGCTCTCCATGCCAGCTTCACAAGAGAGTTGCCATGAACAGACACCCAGATAACCACCAAGTGGTAATTTGAGTACTCAATGATCATGATCCCTAAAGTACGTAGCTCAGAGGGCTTGTGGTGAACTGTGGCCAAGACTCTAAAGCATCTCCCCAATTCTTACTGGACTTAAGCCATGTCTTGAGGAGACCCAGCTATGACACGCAGGCACCACATTGTCCTACTTAGTGCCTCCCTTAGTGTTTCAGAACCTGTGATTTGATCAGAAACATGGGCTTTCTATGTTGGTTTCACACTAAGGACTATGTGACACCTGCAGGAAGATGCCTACATAGCTACATTATAAGATCACTGAGCCTCTCTTATGTGAGGGATGGCGTTTGGGATCGCTGCAGGCGTGGGTAATTCCAGGCATAGAGGGTGCTGGAACTCCCTTGCATGGTGAATAGTGATCCCTTCACTGGCTGATAAATAGAAGTTGTAGTTCAGGCCTTCAACAATGGGACCGTATGAGTAAACATCTTGGCTCCTCACTTCATAGCAAGTGAGCTGGGGCACATTTATTTCTGTGGCTTAGTTTCTCCATCTGGTGTGGGGGTTCAATAAACAAGCTCACAACATATGGCCATGATGAGGTTTGAACTAATGTAAGTAAAGTATGTGGTCTGATTTGTTAAATTAAGAAAAATGGCCCTGAGAGTTGTGCTGGGTAAACACACTTTTTTCCTAGGGGCAACACACATAGACACACATTCACAAGCAAATCAAGCAGACTTGCATATAGACCACCCCACCCCACCCCTGCCTTAATACACACCCCCCACACATGACCTAATGTGAACACCACCTAATGTGAACACGTTTCCAGGAACTATACATAGGTAAAAAGAGTTTGTCACCTGGAAAACCAGTTTCTTTTACTATACCCCACATCCTCATTCCCACCAGGTGTCTTGGATCATGGAAGCTCTCCAGACCAAAGCCAGCAGTTAGGCTCCAGATTTCCTACAGAATCTTTTTCTAACAGCCAGTGAGTGATTCCAGAATACGTACCATTGATTGGGCTCAATGAAGTCACCTGTAACTAGAGAAGGAAAACACTCTGAGAATCAGGCTATGCTATGGATGGTTCGCACAGGTCTTTTGTTCACTTGGAAACTCTGGGCAACCAAGATGGGAAAGAATGTTCAAGTCAAAAGCCCCAACTCTAGAGTAGAGTTTCCTTAGGAAAGCACTGGAGCTTTTCTGGAAGGATGTTTCTATCTAGACAATTTTTGGGTAGCAATTACAGAATTCTTATCTAAAGTGGAAAACTTGTTCCTGAAGAAAATATCCCTTAACATGCAGTGTACTATCTGACACTGCCAATTGTGTATGTCCTCTGGAATCAGGTGTCAGTTGGTAAGATACACCTCCTCCATTGCCAAGGAAACATTATCTAACATCTATAGTGTAGTGGATAATTTTCCCATAGTTGATATCAACTGAAAAATAAAGGAACCAAGAAAACAACATTTACATCTTAGGCAAAGACAGGCTACTTTACCATGGTAGTAGAGTAGGGCTCCCTTTTCACACGCTTTTTGGAAGGCTTCTTCAAGTCACCTAGGGGATGTGGAAGGACACAGCATGGCTGTCAGTTCATTGGTGGTGCTACTCATGAATGACTCAGGGACTAGAACTTAGGGGTGTGCCTGGTTAACAAGCATGGATTGAGCTTCTTCTGGACCATTCTCTTCATGGACCAAGGAAGGCAAAGAAAGAGCAGGAAGGAAATGAGTAGAGCCCTTGGCTTTCCAGGCAATGGCAAATGAAAGCAACATGAAATAAACAAACTCCAAATGAACAAATACTAAAATACATGCTAGGATTCAACCACAGCGTCCTGTCACTTCTTCAGATGCTTTAAAAGCCCACAGGACTATCACTTCTTCTTGACATCTACCAAGTCCCTTTCAACCTCCACAGACCCACATACAGTGCTACTGCATTTATCATCGAGGGTCTGGGGTTCTGCTCTTTTTTATGTGTGAATTTTTTAAAAACTAGATTTAATTCCATGCACCAGCATTAATTATATTTATTTATTTTCTTTGTTATAAAAATAATCAGCCAGGTGTGGTGGCTCACACCTGTAATCCCAGCACTTTGGGAGGTTGAGGTAGGTGGATAATTTGAAGTCAAGAGTTTGAGACCAGCCTGACCAACATAATGAACCCTGTCTCTAGTTAAAAAAAAAAAAAAAAATAGCCAGGCATGGTGGCATGTGCCTGTAATCCCAGCTACTCAGGAGGCTGAAGCAGGAGAATCCCTCGAACCTGGAGGCGGAGGCTATAGTGAGCTGAGATCGTGCCACTGCACTCCAGCCAGGGCAACAGAGTGAGACTCCATATCAGAAAAACAAAACAAAACAAAAAAACCGGCAGGGTGCAGTGGCTCACGCCTGTAATCCCAGCACTTTGGGAAGCCAACGTGGGCGGATCATGAGGTCAGAAGATCAAGACTATCCTGGCTAACACAGTGAAATCCCGTCTCTACTAAAAACACAAAAAATTAGCCAGGCGTGGTGGCATGCGCCTGTTGTCCCAGCTACTTGGGAGGCTGAGGGAGGAGAATTGCTTGAGTCCAGGAAGCAGAGGTTGCAGTGAGCCGAGATTGTGCCAGTGCACTCCAGCCTGGGCAACAGAGCAAGACTCTGCCAAAAAAAAAGCCCCCCCCCAAAAAAATCAATTATTAAAGATTAGAAAATACTGAAATGCTTATATTTTAAAATAACCACTATAACCGTACATTTTCCGTTCAGTCTTCCTTTGCCCTGTGTTTGCAGTCATCATGTGAGGAGCTACCTATGTTCAGCCCAGGCAACCCACAGGGAGAGAGGGCAGAGCGGGGAGATGGCCCCTGGTGAGCACTGAGGCTCTTCGAACCAGCTGTCAAGGGAGTTGCAACCAGGGTGATACATGAGACTAATGATTAAGTGGTATTTTGTGTTCTTGTCTTGTCCCCAGGTTGTGTAGCTCACAGACTTTTTTTTAACATTTCTTTAGCGGTCATTTGAAGTTCATAATGCCATCAAATATCAATAAAGGGTCTTCCCATTATTTATCAGCTTTGGGATATGTGCTGAGGAGTGGCCGAGCGCTGAAAGAATGTGATCGGTTGTCCCAAGTGCTGTTCTCCAACTCAAAATCCGCAACCAGTTCAAAAGCATTTGGACTTTTATGTGCCTTTCACATAAAGACTATGACATACCTAAGTTATTCATGTACTAATACCTGCCCTGAGCTATGTGACCATGGACACCATGCTATAATGTGGCTAGTGTGTAGGAACTCTGCAGGCTCAGATCATTCCAGACATACATGCAGATGTTGGAAGTCCTTTGCACAGTGACTCATGATCCCACAGCTGAGTGCTGAGGGCAGGTCAGTAGTTCAGAGCCTCAGCATTGGGGCCCTATGCTTGGGTTCCCATCTTGGCTCTTTTGCTTAGGGGCTCATAAGCTTGGGCACATTCATCTCCGTCTTTTTCTGCCCAGCAAAAGATGATAGTAAATCAATCATGCCATATGTCTGTGGTGATGGCTGAATGATTCGATGTAGGTAAAGTATACAGCATAAGTGCTCATGAGGCTTAATTATCAGTGAAATGTCTTGCTTTAGATTTCACAGCTTAATAAGGCTCAGAGACTCATTCAAGTCCAGGATTCTGAACTCCCAACCCATTGCTCTATGAAATACACCTGCTTGGCCTAAACCCAACCACTTTATCATAATTCAGACCCAGTTTTGAAAGAAGCAGATAAAGTTGTCAAAAGTGCTGTGTCTGCCTGAGTGCACACTCAGTGCCCTCCATGATAAATAATGGGAAGAACCGTTATTGATATTTGATGGCATTACAAACTTCAAATGACAGCTATAGAAATGTTAAAAAAAAAAGTCTGTGAGCTACACAACCTGGTGACAAGACAAGAACACAATATACCACCTAATCATTAGTCTCATGTATCACCCTGGTTGCAACTCCCTTGACAAAGGATACCACTATCTGCCACAACGACCCAGTGGCCTGGCTGGCACAGACAGGGGCAGAGCAAAGGGCAAGAGATCCCTAATCCCATCACTATGACGATAGGGCATCATAGACAGTTCAGGGTGAAGGCACAATCCACATTGTGAGGTCCAACTGCTGCCATGTAGACAGGCGTGCTTTTACATATACAGGAAGGTCATTGAAGATAAGTGTTTTATATCCACGATCAACATATGAGATGACCATGAAATGAACACCAGTGTACTGGGTGGAGCAGCTTATCTATTCAGTCTTCTGCACTAAAACCTGTGAAAGAATATCATGTTGCCTTATTTACTAACAAATACAAGTGCCTCTAAACTTAGTTTCCAACTCACAGAACTGATGAGCACTTAGCTCCTAGAGAGAGCTCTGGATGATGGGTCGGGAGAACTAAGTCACACAATACATCAAAACAGCATTAACAAGTAAACAGGTTTTCAAAGCTTTCTACATGCAAACTTACACAATTATCCCTTTAATTTTTATCTTCATATATATGTATATGATCTATTTGTTTCTGAGTATAAATAAAACTGTATGTTCTTAGTTAACAGTCTCTACCAATTCATTCTATTTATCTTTCTGTGTTGAAATACTGCATTTCATTGGGAAACAAAAAAAAAAAAAAATTTGACTAAGACTACTCTGGAAAGGTGAGTAGGTTGGGTGATTGACTGTAATTGACAATTCTATGATTTTGGATAACTCCCAAAGCATAAAAATAAATGTTTTTTATTTCACACACAGACAATACGCATTCTTATTACATTTAAAATTGATATGTGAATGGACATGACTTACTACAAATTTATTAAACTAAATACACATTTCACAACAAAAGAAGAGAGGAAGGAAAAACATGTCAAAAACAAAGATAGGTACATTTTATTGTGTGAAAAGCCTCAAACCCATCTGTACTACTGTGGCTTTTCTCCAAACTTTTTGAAAGTAATGATTTCATAGGTTCTTAATTAGGTTAAAAACTACATTAAAATAGACTTTGCCATATTCTCCTCAAGGGAATAACTTAATTTGGGGCGGGAGCATTGAAGGGTGCAGGATGTAAAAGGAAATGATACATATTTTTTAAATGAAGAAAAAGTTCAAAAGCACCCTGCTTGATACAAGAATCAAATATATAAAATGAGGAATAAAACATAACCACAAAACTTATTTATAACTGCATATGGAAAATACAGAGGATAATTTTTTAAATAACATATTTTGAAAGTATTAACTAGTAATTTGAAAAGACAGCATTTGACAGGCCAGTATGAACATACCTCGAATGCAGGAAAAGTGGATCCCCATAAGAAAAATCAAAATCAGGAAAAATGAAAGCACAAAGGTTCAATCTGCTCTGACCTTCGAAAAACTCAGCACAGACAGTGGCACTTAAGACTGAGGGCAGGAGATCCCTAATCCCATCACCACGGTGATGGGGCATCACAGACATTCCCGGGTGAAGGCACAATCCACACTGTGAGGTCCAACTGCTGCCATGCAGACAGGTGTGCTTTTACATGTACAGGAAGGTCATTGAAGATAAGTGTTTTATTTCAAAAACTGAATCCCAAGCCTACACATTATTATTCTGTGTTTCTTAAAATAAGTTATGAGATGGGAAATAGGGTACCCCTAAATATAGCCAATAGTGAGAATTTCAAATTGAAGAGGGGCACAACTGATTATTCTGAAAACAAGCAGAGATTCCATTCTTTTTTTTCTTTTTCAACTTTTATGTTAGATTCAGGGTGTACACGTGCAGGTTAGTTACCTGGGTATATTGTGTGGTGCTGAGGTTTGGGGTATGAATGATCTCAACACCCAGGTACTGAACATGGTACTCAGCAGTTTTTCAACCTTTTCCTTCCTCCCTCCCTCTCTTAGCAGTCCTAGTGTCTATTGTCACCATCTTCGTGTCCATGGGTACTCAGCGTTTAGCACCTACTTATAAGAACATGAGGCGTTTGTTTTCTGTTACATTAGTTCACTTAGTGGCTTCTAGCTCTAGCCATTTTCCCGCAAAGAACATAATTTCATTCTTTTGTAGCTGCATAGTATTCCATGGTCTATATGTACCACATTTTTATCCAGTCCACTGTTGACGGGCACCTAGGTTGATCCCATGTCTTTGCTATCGTGAATAGTGTTGCAATAAACATACGAGTGCGTATGTCTTTTTGGTGGAATGATTTGTTTTCTTTTGGATACATACTCAGTAATGGGATTGCTGGGCTGAATGTTAGTTCTGTTTTATGTTCTTTGAGAAATCTCCAAACTGCTTTCCACAGTGGCTGAACTAACTTACATTCCCACCAACAGTGTATAAGCATTTCGTTTTCTCCTTATCCTTGCCAGTATCTGCTATTTTTTTTTACTTTTAAAAAAATAGTCTTTCTGACTGGTGTGAGATAATATCTCATTGTGGTTTTGATTTGCATTTCTCTCATGATTAGTGATGATAAGCATTTTTTCACGTTTGTTGGCTGCATGTATGTCTTCTTTTGAGAAGTGTTTATTTGCCCCTTTTTAAATGGGGCTGTTTTTGCTTGTGGAATTAAGTTCCTCATAGATTCTGGATATTAGACCTTTGTTGTACGCATAGTTTGTGAATAATTCCCCCCATCCTGTAGGTTGTCTGCTTACTCTGCTGATGGTCTCCTTTGCTGTGTGGCAGCTCTTTAGTTTAACTAGGTCTCACTTGCCAAGTTTTGTTGCAATTTCTTTTAAAGACTTAGTCATGAATTATTTCCCATAGGCCATGTCAAGAATGGTACTTCTGAAGTTTTTCTTCCAGGATTATTGTAGTTTGAGGTCTTAAATTTAAATCTTTAATCCAACCTGCGTAAATTTTTGTATATGGTGAAAAATAGGTGTCCAGTTTTTTTCTTTTTTTCTTTTTTTTTTTTGAGAGGGAGTCTTGCTCATCGCCAGGCTGGAGCGTAGTGGCCATTTCGACTCACAGCAACCTCCGCTTCCTGGGTTCAAGTGATTCTCCTGCCTCAGCTTCCCGAGTAGCTGGGATTACAGGCACGTTCCACCATGTCCAGCTAATTTTTGTAATTTTAGTAGAGACGGGTTTTCACCATCTTGGCCAGGCTGGTCTTTTTTTTTTTTTTTTTTTTTTTTTGAGACGGAGTCTCGCTCTGTCTGGGTGCCCAGGCTGGAGTGCAGTGGCGCGATCTCGGCTCACCGCAAGCTCTGCCTCCCAGGTTCAAGCCATTTTCCTGCCTCAGCCTCTCGAGTAGCTGGGACTACAGGCGCCCGCCAGAACGCCCTTCTAATTTTTTGTATTTTTAGTAGAGACGGTATTTAGTAACATGGTATTTCACCGTGTTAGCCAAGATGGTCTCGATCTCCTGACCTCGTGATCCACCCACCTCGGCCTCCCAAAGTGCTGGGATTACAGGCATGAGGCACCACACCTGGCCTTTTTCTGTAATTTCTAAAAGCTTCTTATATCTGCAGGAATGCACAGATTGACTAAGTCAAAATGTTTCAGGGACTAATATTTAATAATTTATTAAACATTGGAAGGCCAAGGCGGGCGGATCATGAGGTCCGGAGATCAAGACAATCCTGGCTAACACGGTGAAACCCCGTCTCTACTAAAAATACAAAAAAAAAAAAATAGCCTGGCGTGGTGGCAGGCACACACACACACCCACAAAACTATCAAGAAGATTATTCAGAGTAGAAAAACAGAAAGGAAAACAGTCTGAGTTGAGGAGGGAAAAGGAAACAGGCATAGTTTTAGAAAAAAAGAAATGAGACGAGAGATCATGTGAAGACTTAAAGACTTTTAGGAAGAGATCTAAAGATCTGCACTAGAACAGTGGTAAAAAATCAAAGGGATGCAAAACCATGCAGAGAAAGATAATGAGAAAAAAATATTAATTGGAATCAGAGAACAAATTAAAGTTCTCATCAAATGGAAAAGCAGCCATATTTGGGGCTTCAAAGGCACTAAGGAAAATTTTTTTTTTTTTTTTTTTTGAGCCATCTTGGCTCACTGCAAGCTCCGCCTCCCAGGTTCATGCCATTCTCCTGCCTCTGCCTCCCGAGTAGCTGGGACTATAGGCACCTGCCACCACACCCGGCTAATTTTTTGTATTTTTTTTTTAGTAGAGACAGGGTTTCACCGTGTTAGCCAGGGTGGTCTCGATCTCCTGACCTTGTGATCCGCCCGCCTTGGCCTCCCAAAGTGCTGGGATTACAGGTATGAGCCCAAGACGGGGTTTCACCTTATTGGCCAGGTTGGCCTCGAACTCCTGACCTCAGGTGATCCGCCCGCTGCCACCTCCCAATGTGCTGGGATTACGGGCGTGAGCCATGGCACCTGGCCTCTTTTTCCCTTTAAATATTGAAGTCCCCAGACCCTCTTTGGAAAAAAAGCATGCATCACAAATGTTTCCTGTGATTTTCATTCCTTTTTTCTTTGGCCTGCATCCTCAACATTGGCAAAATAACCTCTAAAAATTACTGAGACACACCTCAGGAATTTTCTTTGATTTACAAATGTTTACCAAATTCAGATGCTTTGATTCAGCAAAACACAACAGCTAAAATCAAGGATATCAGAAAAATGTTGGATAGCTGGCCAGGTGTGGTGGTGCGCACCTGTAATCCCAGCTACTCGAGAGGCTGAGGCAGGGGAATCACTTGAACCCATCAGGCGGAGTTTGCAGTGACCAAGATCATGCCATTGCACTCCAGCCTGGGCGACAGAGGAAGACACCATCTCAAAACAATGCAAAATTCAAAATAAAAAATAAAATAAAATGTACTTTTTTTGGAGACAGAGTCTTGCTTTTTTGCCCAGGTTGGAGTGCAGTGGCACGATGACAGCTCACTGCAGCCTCAACTTCCCAGGCTCAAGTGATCCGCTCACCTCAGCCTCCCAACTAGCTGGGACTACAGACATCCACCACCACAACTGGCCAAATTTGTATTATTTTTTTTTTTCTTCTGAGACGGAGTGTTGCTCTGTCACCCAGGCTGGAGTGCAATGGCGAGATCTTGGCTCACTGCAACCTCTGCCTCCCTGGTTCAAGCGATCCTCCTGCCTCAGCCTCCTGAGTAGCTGGGATTACAGGTGTGTGCCACTATGCCCAGCTAATTTTTTTGTATTTTTAGTAGAGATCAGGTTTCACCATGTTGGTCAGGTTGGTCTTGAACTCCTGACTTCATGGTATGCCCACCTCTGCCTCCCAAAGTGCTGGGATTACATGCTTGAACCACCGTGCCCAGCCCTATCTTTTGTATATTTTATAGAGACAGGGCTTTGTCATGTTGGCCAGGCTGGTCTCATACTCCTGGCCTCAAGTGATCTGCCCTCCTCAGCCTCTCAAAGAGCTGGGATTCAGGCGTGAGCCACCAGTCCAGGCCAAAATACACTTTTGAAGTAATTTTGAAATATACATTATTAGTAACTATCATTCCTAATGAATAATAATCTTGCTGTGCAATACATCTCAAAAACCCACTCCTCCCATATAACTGAAATGTTGTACCTTTTGGTCAACTCAGAGAGACATATTTTACTGAATTTTTAAAATATCACAAAGAGGTCTTAGGAATCATTTGGCATCTTATTTCTGTAGATCTTATTCATAGACTCTTAGATCTTATTCATCAGCCTGCTGATCTGTTCCTTTTTCAGAAATGCAGATCATATCCGACATTTTTCTTTTTTTGTTTGCTTGTTTTTTGAGACGGAGTCTTGCTCTGTCGCCCAGGCTGCAGTGTAGTGGTGCGATCTTGGCTCACTGCAAGCTCCGCCTCTCGGGTTCACGCCATTCTCTTGCCTCAGCCTGCCGAGTAGCTGGGACTACAGGCGCCCGCCACAACACCCGTCTAATTTTTTTGTATTTTTAATAGAGACGGGGTTTCACCGTGTTAGCCAGGATGGTCTTGATCTCCTGACCTCATGATCCACCCGCCTCGGCCTCCCAAAGTGCTGGGATTACAGGCGTAAGCCACCGTGCCTGGCCTTCTTTTTGTTTTTTTGAGATGGAGTGTAGCTCTGTTGTCCAGGCTGGAGTGCAGTGGTGCAATCTCAGCTCACTGCAACCTCCACCTCCCAAGTCCAAACAATTCTCCTGCCTCAGCCTCCTGAGTAGCTGGGGACTACAGGTGCACACCGTCATGCCCCGATAATTTTTATATTTTTAGTAGAGATGGGTTTTCACCATGTTGGCCAGGCTGGTCTCAAACTGCTGACCTCAGGTGATCTTCCCGCCTCAGCCTCCCAAAGTGCTGGGATTACAAGTGTAAGCCACAGCACCCAGCAAAAAGTAGATTTCAAATGTTCTCACTACAGAAAAATGATACACTTGTGATGTTATTGATATGTTAATTAGCTTGATATTATCATTCCAGAATGTATTCACAGATCAAAACATCACACTCTGCCCCATAAACATATACAATTATGTTCATTAAAATAAAAAAATTAAAATTTTATCTTAGGAAAAAAATTAGTAAGAAGTCCCAGACTTGTAATTTCACCTCCTTAAACCTCAACTTCTTCACCTATAACAGAAAAAGGATAACTCCATTTTCCCGTCCTTTGGAGCTGTAAGACTGCCTTAGCAGAGGGGCTGTCCACGGGGCTGCTATTATTATTGCCATCAAGCAGTGGGAATCGAGCGGTACCCCACACACCACAGGTTACTTTTTTTTGTTTTTGTTTGTGTTTTGAGACAGGCTGTCACTCTGTCACCCAGGCTGGAGTGCAGTGGTTATCCATGCTCACTGCAGCCTCAACCTCCTGGGCTCAAGCAATCCTCCCGCCTCAGCCTCTCAAGTAGCTGGACTGCAGGTGTGCACCACCATGCCAGAATAATGAAAACAATTTTTTTTATTTTTATTTTTTGTAGAGATAGGGGTCTCACTCTGTTGCCCAGGCTGGTCTTGAACTCCTGGGCTCAAGCAATCTGCCTGCTTTGGCCTCCCAGAATGTTGAGATTACAGGCGTGAGCCACCACGCCTGGCCACTGCTGCAGATCACTTTACCCAAGTATCACTCTACATGTTCTGGGGGTGGGGCCCATGACACTGTGCTTATGGAACAATGCGGAGGATTGGTTTCCAGAGAGTCGCAGTTTGCCTAAAGCCTGACAGCCAGGACTCCAGTTCAGGCCCTTGCGTGCAAATGCAGTGATAGCTTCTGTCGCGGCAGGGAGAAGGGAGAGGTTCTTTCTGGTGAGAAAAAATAGGAGCTGGCATCTGAGCCAGCCTTAGAAGGATGAACTGGAGAACTGGAGGCGGAACACTGCAGACTCTGAAACAGGCCTGGGAAGGTATTTCTGGGGCCCAGGAGCAAGTGTCTAAGTAGATGTGCAGTGAGGGATGAGGAGAAGTACAGAAAAGTAGTTTGTGTTTTAAACTGTGGCCAGGCACGGTGGCTCACACCTGTAATCCCAGCACTTTGGGAGGCCGAGGCAGGCAGATCACTTGAGGTCAAGAGTTCAAGACCAGCCTGGCCAACACGGTGAAACCATATGTAAAAATATAAAAATTAGCCAGGCATGGTGGCACATGCCCGTAATCCCAGCTACTCAGGAGGCTGAGGCGGGAGAATCGCTTGAACCCGGGAGATGGAGGTTGCAGTGAGCTGAGATAGTGCCACTACACTCCAGCCTGGGCACAAGAGTGAAACTCCGTCTCAAAAAAAAAAAAAAAAAAAAAAAAAAAGATGATGACAGGGTCTCAAGTATGTTGCCCAGTCTGGTCTTGAACTCCTGGGCTCAAGCAATCTGCCTTGGCCTCCCAAAGTGCTAGGATTACAGGCATGAGCCACCTTGCCCAGCCCCGTGGTTATCTTTGAATCCTGGGCATACAAACTGGAAGTAAGCTCCTACCAGGGAAACCACTTGGCATTTAGGGCCCAGAAACAATCAGTTCTTCCAGGTTGACTCCTCCTGCGAAAGCACATGGGGCCGTGTAATCATTTGCTCGTGGTCCACCTGAAAATCCTGCATAACCCTTCCTAAGGCAGTGCCAGCCAATTTAAGCTCAGAAATGTTCCCTCTCTAAATTTTCCTCGCAGCACCTGAAGCTCCCCCAGCCCAAGGAAAACTGGTGGGTGACAGGAAGGAGAAGCATGACCTCCAGTGCACACTGAGTCCCAGCAGGGCCAGCTCACCCAGGAGCTGAGCGGGAGGGTCTCTCTGCCCTGTAGACACTGGGTTCAGGATCAGGAGCTGAGACCCCAGATCAGACAGACCTAGACCCTGGCTCTTCCTCTTAGCAGCTATGTGAGTCTCCATCTCTCCAGTTATAGTGGGAATGATATGGGGAACCATGTCTCCATCTTATTGTAAAGATTTATAAAATAACCTATGTAAGGTGCTTGTGGGGAGAAATGGCTCAAAGGACAGTGCCTGCTCCAATGACGACTACGACTATTGCTTTTTTTTTTTTTTTTTTGAGAAGGAGTCCCGCTCTGTCACCCAGGCTGGAGTGCAGTGGCGCATCTCCGCTCACTGCAAGCTCCGCCTCCCAGGTTCACGCCATTCTCCTGCCTCAGCCTCCTGCATAGCTGGGACTACAGGCACCCGCCCCCACACCTGGCTATTTTTTTGTATTTTTTTTAGTAGAGACGGAGTTTCACTGTGTTAGCCAGGATGGTCTCAATCTCCTGACCTCCTGATCCGTCTTCCTCGGCCTCCCAAAGTGCTGGGATTACAGGCGTGAGCCACCACGCCCAGCAGATTATTGCTTTTCTAATCCATGCCACAGATCTTGACGTTCTGCCTCCTGCGCACACCTCCCAGCAGGCAACATCCTCCCATCCAGCAGTTGGCACTCTAGGCCTGTTCTGAGCCCCTAAGACTGGGCAGGTCCCCTGCACGCCCTACGCACTCTGGCTTTCTCCTTTCTAGCACTTTCCAAAATCATGATGAATTCATTATTTGGGTGGAGTGCTGCCCTCCAGGCAAGGAATCTCGTGACAGCAGGGACTGTGATTATTTCATTTGTTGCCATAGAACTCGGGCCCAGTGAAGGGCGTGGTGTGGCAGGGAATCATGGTGAATGCTGTAGAATGGGTCGTTCATTCACCTAGCCATTCATTCATTTACGCAGGGCTAGAGGAATTTCACTCTCCACCTCCGTCATTTACTTTCTGGGTGATCTAGAGCAGCATCCTTCTTCTCTTAGCCTCAGTTGCCTCATCTGTAAAATGGGGCTAGCACTGCCCTCTTAGAGTATGGCAAGGAGTCATTGAGATAATGGGGCTATGACACAGAGATATTTTGAGCACCTGGCATCTAGCGATTGTTCAATAGCCACTGGCTGTAGTAAGAGTCTTATTTGGCCAATTGTTATTGTTAATGGGCTCCCTGAAACTACAACAGGAGTTTGCTCTGTCCTTTCATGTCAAAATCCACTGGACTGACCCACACTAACTGACTACTGGAAAGGTAAGGAATGGCTGATAAAAGTTCTTTCTCTTTCCTTCTTCACTTCCTCCCTTCCTCCCTCTCTTCCTTCCTTTCTTTTTTTGAGACAGAATTTTACTCTGTCACCCAGGCTAGAGTGCAATGGTGTGATCCAGCTCATTGCAAGCTCCGCCTCTCAGGTTCATCAGTTCTTTTGCCTCAGCCTCCTAAGTAGCTGGGATTACAGGCATTTGCCACCATACCCAGCTAATTTTTTGTATTTAGTAGAGACAGGGCTTCACCATGTTGGTCAGGCTGGTCTCGAACTTCCGACCTCAGGTGATCCACCCACCTCGGCCTCCCAAAGTGCTGGGATTACAGGCATGAGCCACTGTGCCCAGCCAAGCTAATATAGTTTTTAAATGTTTTGTAGAATCGCAAGGACAAAAAACCAAACACCACCATGTTCTCACTCGTAGATGGGAATCGAACAATGAGAACACATGGACACAGGAAGGGGAACATCACACTCTGGGGACTGTTGTGGGGTGGGGGGAGGGGGAAGGGATAGCATTAGGAGATATACCTAATGCTAAATGATGAATTAATGGGTGCAGCACACCAGCATGGCACATGTATACATATGTAACAAACCTGCACATTATGCACATGTACCCTAAAACTTAAAGTATAATAATAATAATAAAAATAAATAAAATAAAAATAAAATGAAATAAAACTTCAAAAAAAAATGTTTTGTAGAGACAGGGGTCTTGCTATGTTGCCCAGGCTGGCCTTGAAATCCTGGCCTCAGGCAATCCTCCCAAAGTGCTGGCATTTGTCATGAGCCACCGAATCATTCATTCATTCATTCATGCACAGTGAATCCACAAACGTTTTCCAAGTGCCCTCCAGGGGCCGGGCCCAGGACTAGGTGCTGTGGTTGGAAGCAGAAAGGAGAGTCCTGGGCTGAGAGGAAGCCATCAGTTTATCCTCTGTGCCAAGGGAAGTGGCTGAGCCCTCTACCCGCATCCTGTCACCCCCACCCCTGCACTGGCTGATCTGTCTCTGTCCTTTTCCTGAACCTCTTTCACCCTGGCCTGGGCAGGGGGCTCGGCACCCCCACCCCACCATTCAGCCCTTTCCTGCCCTTCTGTCATCTGCTTCCTTTGATCCTTTTGTCAGAAGACTCTTGGAAGCCTCTAAGCCATTGGCAACCCCGTCTGCTGGGCTGGGGCTGGTGACCCCACAGGGGCTGGGACCAAAGTGGGCTTCTCTTGGGATCCTGCTCTGGGAGGCAGATGGATTCTGGCCACATTCATTCATTCGCTCATTCACTTTTTCATTCGCAGGTTCCAGGCTTTGTGCTGGGCCCAGGGGCCACAAAGTAAGCAAGAGAGCCATCGTCCCTGCCCTCATGGAGCTCCAGCCCAAGGGACAGCAGCTTATCCTACGCCAAGGGGCTCCTCTCAAAATTCCCACAGCAGTAGTGATCTAAGGACCTGGGCAGGGGCACTGGACTTCAAGTCTCAGCCTCTGGTGAGTGTCTTTACTCCCGAGCCCCAGTTCCATATGTGGGTACTTGCGGAGGGGCTGGACTTCACATTCCCTAAGGCCTTCCAAGCTCAAAGACTGAGAAGATGCGGTGTGGCCAGGACCCTGCTAGAGTGAGCTCCCTGGATGCAGGAAGGGGGCCCTGGGCCCAGCAGAGAGGCAGGGTGAGGAGGCCAGAGGTGTGGGGAGCCCAGTTTGACAGGAGATGGAATACACATTATTTTAATTTTTTCTTTTTTGTTTAATACTGTTGATGCAACAGTAAGAATACACATTGTTGATCAGAAAGTGAACAGAGCCTTAGCCCCAAATACAACAAGCCTCTTCTCTTTATCTTGTATGGGGTCTCCACAGCCAGCTCAGGACAGGAGTTCAGTCGATGCTGGGAAGGGGCTAGCATTTATTGAGCACTTACTATGTGCCAGGGATGCTGGGCTGAGCTCTTTATGTCAGGCATGAATCCATGGAATCCCTACTCTGGTCCTATGAAGCAGATAGAATCATTCTTCCCATTTTACAGATGAGAACAGGGAGGCAAGGAGAGATGAAGGTTGCCCAGGGCCCCATAGATTGCAGGTGGCACAGCTGGGTTTTGAACCCTGTTTGCCTGGCTTCAGCCCACACACTGTTCTGTCCCCTGGTGACTGAATGGGGGGACCTCCAGGCATCAGGATGCTGAGCTACACAAGGTAGCAGACTTGCCCTTTCTGGGGTCTGCCTCAGTAGTTCCAGCCGAATGTCTGGGTGGTTCACCCCCTTTCCCCCAGAGGGTGGAAAACAGTCAGAGAAGAGAGCAGAGGCCCATCTGCCACAGGAAGTCCTTCAGAGGACTGCAGTAGGGACTCTTAGAGTGGCTTCCCCTCTGACCCTCCGGGGCTCTTGCAGTCCCAGCAAGGCTGGCACCAGTTCCTTCAAGCCCTTTTGGGAATTTCCAGTAGCTGAGCTTCTCCCAGTTCTTAGTATGATGAACTCCTATACAGCCCTCAATGCCCTGCTCAGGTGCCCCTCAACCTCCCTAGAAGGACTCGATCCCTCCTCCCTCTGGATGCCCTCCTCTTCATCTGATACCCTTTCCTGTCCCACACTGCGACTCGTACTGTGGAAACCTGCAAATGTGTCCTCATTGTTGATAGCACAGCACTACCAGCCTCTTCCATCCAGCATTTTTCCTGTGCCAGGCCCCATGCCATGTGCATGACAACCCTCACCAGCCCCTGGGACTGTTCTTACCCCCACTTTACAGATAAGCAAGTTAAGTCACAAAAACACTTAGGTGTCTTATCCAGTGATCCAGGGAAGCCAGGCACCGTGGCTCACACCTGTAATCCCAGCACTCTGGGAGGCTGACAAGAGCCGATTGCTTTCGCCTAGGAGTTTGAGACAAGCCTGGGCAACATGGCAAAACCCCATCTCTATGAAAAATACAAAAATTAGCTGGGTGTGCTGGCACATGCCTGTAGTCCCAGCTACTGAGGAGGCTGAGGTAGGAGAATCACCTGAGCCTGGGGAGGTCAAGGCTGCCATGAACTGTGATTGCGTCACTGCACTCCAGCCTGGGAGACAGAGTGAGACCCCATCTCACAAAAACAAAACAAAACACAAAACTGCGACCCAGGGAACAACCGCAGGGAGTGCTTGTCCTGCCCACGCCTGGATTTTTAGCCCCTTCCTTAGTGTCTACCTTCTGGCCTCCTGGGTTTTACTGCCTCACAACAGGCCCTATATATATATATATACACACACATATATACATATATGCATATACACACATATATATACATACATATATATACATATACATATATTTTTTTTTCTTTTTTGAGACGGAGTCTCACTCTGTCACACAGGCTGGAGTGCAGTGACGTGATCTCACCTCACTGCAGCCTCTGCCTCCTGGGTTCAAGCGATTCTCCTGCCTCAGCCTCCTGAGTAGCTGGCAGTATAGGTGCACACCACCACGCCCAGCTAATTTTTGTATTTTTAGTAGAGACGGGGTTTCACCACGTTGGCCAGGCTGGTTTTTGAGCTCCTGACCTCCAGTGATCCACCCACCTCGGCCTCCCAATGAATAATTGTTGAATAAATAAATGATTGAAGAGTCAATTTTCTCCAAGTTGCTTCTGGCTGACTTGTCCCGCCCGAGACCACACAGCTCCCCATGGATTTGGGTCCCACTGGGTGGCAGAGTCAAAAAGCCCTGCCTCGCCTCAGCCTGGACTCGCTTGTGACCTTGGTCAGAGGGAGCAACATCTCTGGATTTCTTTTCTTCTTCTGTGTAGGAGTCCCTGCCCAAACCACATCATCTCTCTCTTGTGATGCTCAGACCAAGGAGCAAGCAATGGGGTGGGAGGACCTCCAGTTCCTGGAAGGAGCAGGGGGTGCTTCACACACACTGCGGCGAGGCTGAGACCACGTTCTCAGGGGAGGAGGGTGGCTCTGGGCCTCACGACCTCACACCTTCCCTGTAGGTACCCAGCTATGCATCCCCGCCCAGGTGCAGCTTGTGTTGGAAAAGGGTCCCTGCCATCCGGAGGCCCCAGAGCCCCGCCCACCCTACTCTGGTTGCAGACCCTTCCCGCATCTTTGGCAGCCTCGCCACCCCTGGGCACAGCAGGAGCAACCCCAGTGCCCGGGGATGAAGCACCTACTGTGCTTCAGGCCTTCCTGGAGCCCCAGCTCATTGACTAACAGTGACCTCCTGGGGCAGTCCTGTTTTTATCCCCACCTGGTGGGTGGGAAAACAGGCTCAGAGGGGCCAGGTCCCCAAGTGTCACAGCTCCCAGGAGCATGACAAAAATTGCATGGGGAAGGAGGAGGATTTGCTAAATGCCCATTCCTGGCATTCCTGCCCCCCCACCCCCACCCCCCATCGGCAGAATGAACCTCTGGGCTGGCAGGGAAACCGCAGTTTTCCTCAGGTGCACTCTGCTCCGGGGAGTTTCATGTAACCTGTCGTCCATGGAGGCACAGAGAAGAAAGGGCCAGGGCCAGGGCCCCACAGCAGGAAAGGGCCAGGGCTAGGACCTTGGCCTCCAGGCTGGCGGACTTGGCACATCTCAACAGCCAGCGACTCTGTCCCCATGCCAGGATCTGTCCCCTGGCTTCCTCCTCCTTACCCATGGGGAAGGACGCATGGCTGGACTCAGGCAGTCTAGACGCGTGTGCACATGTGCACACAAACTAGACACAGTGTCACACCGGTGCACACTGTCCACACGCACACGCACAGGTACACTGTGCACACACACACTAGACACAGTGTCACGCCGGTGCACACTGTCCACACGCACACAAACAGGTACACTGTGTGTGATGGTACACCATCCATTCATTTTATTTCTATTCTGAGCCTTGCTCTACACCTTTTGGTTCTGAAACATATGCTTCTGTGAGCTGGCTGCTGATGCTGTCCCTGTGGAAGTCACCAACTCCCACCCCTGGCTTAGCACACCAGTTCTGACAGGTCCCACCAAGGCTGCAACTCCCACATAAGGAGTTCAGCTCCCCTCTTCCCGCCTCACCTCCACTTGGGTGGGAATTGGACTCTGGGTTCTTTTCCTTCCTTTCCCGAGTCACTTCACTTCTCCACCTGGGTATTTCAGTCCCGAGAGAGGCCTCAAAAATGTGGAAAAACAAGCCACTAGCCCACTCTCAGAGCCTCACCAACCTGCAAAGGGACATCGATTATCAGGGCACAGGGGAGAATGCCATGGGCACCTGAGCCAGTCCTGGGACCAGGCACTAGCAGGACAAGCTGGGCTGGAACTGGGCGGCCTCCGCATCTGCTTCCGGCCTGCTGTGTGGCCCTGGACAATGGAGAAGTAAGAATAATCGCCCCTGTCCTTCTGAGGGTTGGAAGGGAAAACATGGAGGCTTTAGACAAGGTGACAGCCCTTCAACCCTTCAGTGACAGGGAATAGAAAGCCCTGGGTGGGGAGAGGGAAGTGGGGGAGGAGAAGGAAGGTGGAGGGGAGAGGGAAGGGAGGGGAGAAGAGGAAGGGACTGACTTCCTTGAGTACCTACTATGTATCTGCAAGGTAGCAGGTGTTCCCATCTCTTCATCTCACTGGATTCCCCAACAACTCTACGCAGCTGGTATTCTCTCCCCTAGCACACATGTTTCACTGATGGGAAAGCCGAGGCTCAGAGACGGCCAGCAACTTCTCCAAGGTCACACAGCTTTCACATGCTAGATCTGGGACACCAGCCCAGGCACCTTGGTCTGACTCCAGAGTTTGGCACCTTTGCCCATGTCCCTACCCTGAGCATCTCCCCCTGAAGGTGACGGCAGGGCAGAAAGCGCCGTCAGCACTCGCCTCTTAGGCAGCTTTGGAGGTTCATGCAGCCATTCAGTTAACAAATACTTATCCACTCCCTCTCTGGGTTAGGCCCCTCCCCTCCTTCCTGGGGCTCCCTGGTGGGGGCTGCTGTAGGGACTGATCTCAGCTGGCAAAGCCCCGCTTCACCCAGGCTCAAAAAATAGTCCTGCTGCTGTCCAGCCTGAAGAGTGGGGGCCACAGGCTCCCAGAACCAAGGCTGGGGAGGCAGGAGGCAGAGCTGTGAGCTCGGAGCAGGCTCCATTAGCATGGGGCTCCAGCCTCCTAGCTTAAAGATCGCCTCGGGTGCTCTCTTAAAGAGGTTAACGTTGCAGCTGACAATTGGGAGATCTGGCAGCTGATCAAATCGGCTCTGAAGATCCTGGCAGCTGAAAATGGGAGCTGCTGGGTGGGTGGGTGGGGTGGGCACCAGGCAGCAGAGACCCGCACTGGCTGGGCCGACTGGGGCCCAAGGCAGCAGGGCTCAGGTGGCTGGTTGCTGGCTACGGCTGTGCCTTCAGTCTGGCCCAAGCCATCTGGGTATCCTGTGCTTTGCTGGAAAGACATGGGAGGAGGAGAAGGAGGAGGCAGAAGGCGAGAAAGGAAGCAGGAAGAAAATGGACTTGTAGAGACCTGAACTTCTTTCATCCCCAAACACCAGGTTCTCGCCAGTAATCAGACCAGTTGGCAAAAAGGCACCCACAGGTGAAGAGTTGTGGGACAGGGGTAAGATGGAGGGAGGTTCCTGGTGCCAGTTACATCTCTGCAGTGCCCAGTGGGTCCCTTTCAGTGTAGGGTGTACTCTGAGGAAGCTGAGAGGTCTGAGGAGGAGTCAGGAGAGGAAGATTCCTACTCATTCCGCCCATCCACATTGCGGGGAATGTAGAGATAGGGCACACCTCGGCCTGCCTGAGCCAACCTTGTCTCCTTTCCATGCATCCACCCCGCCACCCACCACCTCCACCCACCACCTCCACCCACCGCCTCCACCACCCGCCACCTCCACTCACCACCTCCACCCACCACCTCTGCCACCCGCCACCCGCCACCTCCACCACCCGCCATCTCCACCCACCACCTCCACCCGCCATCTCCACCCGCCACCTCCACCACCCACCATTTCTAACACCCACCACCTCCATCCACTGCCTCCACCTCCGCCACCCACTGCCTCTGCCACCCATTGCCTCCACCACCCACCACCTGCCCTTTCCTCTGTCCAGCCCACTCCTCCCCTGCCCTTCCACCTGCCCAACCTGCCTGTGTGCCCTTCCATCCATCATCTGCCTGTCTATCTAGATCTCCAGTCACCCCCCGTCTATTCGTTCATTAATTCATCCATTCACCTTGCATCCCCATCCCTCCATCTCCCATCCTCCATCCCCCATCCCCCATCCCTATCCCCCATCCCTCCATCCCCCATCTCTCATCCCCCATCCTTCCATACCCTGATCCCTCCATCCCTCTATCTCCCATCCCCCTCCCCCTCCTTCCATCCCCCATCCCTCCATCCTCCCATCCCCCACCCCTCCATCCTCTCATCCCCCATCCCTCCATTCCCTATCTTCCCATCCCCCATCCCTCCATCTGCCATCCTCTAATTCCTCCATCCCCCATCCCCCATTTCTCCATCCCCCATCTCCCATCCCTTCATCTTCCCATCCCCATCCCTCCATCCCCCATCCTCCATTCCCCATCCCTCCATCTTTCAATCCCATCTTTCAATCCCCCATCCCTCCATCTGCCATTCCTCCATCCTCCCACCCCTCCATTTGCCATCCCCCATCTCATCATCCCCCATCCCTCCATACTCCATCCCTCCATCCCTTCATCTCCCATCCCTCCATCCCCCATCCCTCCACTCCATCCCTCAATCCCTCTATCCTCTATCTCCCCTCCTTCACCCCTCCACCCCTCCATCCCCTGTCCCTCCATCCTCCATCCCTCCCTCCTTCCATCCCTGTCCCTCCATCCCCTGTCCCTCCATCCTCCATCCCTCCCTCCTTCCATCCCTGTCCCTCCACCCTCCATCCCCAATCCCTCCATCCCCCATCCTCCCATCCCCCATCCCTCCATCCACCATTCCCATCCCTCCATCCCTCCACCATCCCCATCCCTCCATCCCTCCATCCCTCCATCCCCCATCCCTCCATCCATTCATCCTTCCATCCAAAGAACATTTCTTCAGCATAGGAGAGGTGCACCCAGCCCAGTTTCGGGGCTAGGAAAGGCTTCTAGGAGGAAGAAACCTACACTGAGACAGGAGAATGAGTTGGAGACACCTGGGCTAGCGGGGAAGGGAAGGTATTCCCAACAGAGGACAAGAGGCAAGAGGCCTCTTGAGGACCATCCAGTCACATTCTGGCAGTCACTTCAGAGGGGGAGGCCCACCAGAGCACAGGAGAAGCTACTGAGGCTGGAGTGGGCAGCAAGGTCAGGCTGTGGAGCTGGGACAACCTGCCCGGCACAGAGCAGGGCCACGCGAAGAGGGAACGTGGAAGGTACAGAAGCCAGGTCCTTGTCCTCCAGCTGTTTACCACTGACCCTTCCAAATAGGCCTGTCACCCACATCCCTCCAGGCTCCCTAATCCTTTGAACTCCCAATATGCTCATAGTTAAAGCCTACAGTTCCACCCCTGCAGGCTTTTTTGTTGCTGTGTGTGGATTCCAGCTTTGGGCAGGGCTGTGCCTTATCCTTCTTGGTGTCCTGCTCCATGGACTCGGCCAGATACCCCCAAATATTCAAGAGATGAAAAAATACAGGTGGCCAGGCACAGTAACTCATCTCTGTAACCTCAGCACTTTGGGAGGCTAAGGTGGGAGGATTTCTTGAGGCCAGGAGTTTGAGACAAGCCTGGGAAACAAAGTGAGAACCTGTCTCTCCATAAAAACAAACCAACAAACAAAAACATACAAAAAATATGAAACCTCCCCGTAAAACTTCCTCCTCCTCTTCTTCCTCTTGGGGCTCCTGGGTGTCGGCGTTAGCCCCTTCCTGTCTCCCCAACACCCCACCATATCCAGTCAGCAGGACCTAACGATTCTGCCCGCAGCACACCTGGACTCTCCACTATCCTCACCCTACCTGGTCACCAACATGGGTGGGCATGGCAGCCGCCTTCTCACTGCCCTTCCTGCCTCCAGGCCACACACACAGTGCAGTCAGAGGGGTCTTCCTAACACATAAGCTGGGCCCTGCCACTCTCCACTGTCATGCTTCCTGCTGCCCTCTGGATAAAGTCCTGAATCCCCGCCACGGCCTGAATGGCCCTTCCCAGGCCAGCCCATCTCCACTTCTCTGGGCTCCAGGTTCATCGCTCTAAGACACGAGGGCCATCAAGTTCATTGCTGTCCACACTGCATCGCTGAATCCACAGTCCTGGCTCCAGCCCCTGGGCCATCTTGGCTAATAGCCTAGAAGAGTCCCAAGTCTTCAACTGCCTGGTCAGACCCCCATATCATCCCATCCCGGTGAGCCCGGGACCAAGTCCACGTCATCCACACCACGTCCAACACCTGATTGGCCCTCAGGCAAAAGAAAATCTTGCTTTGGCTGCCTGAATATTAGAGTTTACCCCCCAGGCCCTCCCTCCCTGGGTCTGACTGCTCTCATTTGCTATTTGTGCCTTAAACCAGAGCCAACTGCTTGGCCTCTTCTCTGCCTACAAAACATTTTTACCGATTTATGGCTGCAAAAATTTCCTTCCTGTCCTCAGATTCACAGGAGAGAGCCCTAGCCCTGACTCAGAATTGGATTCTAGCTGGAGGCGTCCTCTCCGTGCTGGCTCCAGAGAAAGGGTTTATCTGTTTGTTCCTTGACCTTGAGCAGCCGTTGAGGCAGCCAGAGAGAGGAGAGGCAGAAGCTGGGAGGAGAGCGAGGAGCAACCCTGGGGACCCTGCCCTCTGCCCCAAGGGACCCGCGAGCCAGGTGATAGGAAATAAGTCAGAGGGAGGAGGCAGCTGTGCTGTGTGCAGGGCCAGGGCCACGGAGGCCCAGGGGGACGTGAAGCAGCACCTCTCTGCTGTGGCTCTGCCAGTCCGGAGGCTGCACCCTGCCTTTCTCCACCCCAGGTCCCCCCCAGAAACTGGACAGAGAGCTGGAAGGAGACATCAGCCATCCAGGCAGGAGCTGACCCTGCCAGCCATTCTGGGGCAACTGTGGCTGTCACAGACCCTGACCCAGTGGAGGGAATAGACCCAGGCAGCCTGACCTTGTCCACTGTTTATTTTTGCCAAAATAATCTCATTCTTATTACATAAGTAATGTATGCCTATTGTAGATATTGTAGAAAATATAGATGAATCCAATGAAGAAAATACAACCACTCATTCTTTTTTTTTTTTTAGAGATGGGGCTTTTCCATGATGCCCAGGCTGGTCTCGAACTCCTGGCCTCAAGCAATCCACCCACCTCAGCCTCCCAAAGTGTTGGGATTACAGGCGTGAGCCACCGCACCTGGCCTAATACAGTCACTCTTTTTTTCTTTGAGACGGAGTCTTGCTCTGTCACCCAGGCTGGAGTGCAGTGGCATGATCTCGGCTCACTGCAAGCTCCGCCTCCCATGTTCACCCCATTCTCCTGCCTCAGCCTCCTGAGTAGCTGGGACTACAGGCGCCCACCACCATGCCCGGCTAATTTTTTTTGTATTTTTAGTAGAGACGGGGTTTCACCATGTTAGCCAGGATGGTCTAGATCTCCTGACCTGGTGATCTGCCCCCCTCGGCCTCCCAAAGTGCTGGGATTACAGGTGTGAGCCACCTCACCTGGCCAATACAATCACTCTTAATCCCATCCCTCGTCAATGATCCTCTTTGGCTGACCCCCTTTGATATTTGGAGGAGTTGGGTCTCCTCTCAGTCCTCTGTATCTGGCATTCACTTCTAGCCCTGCACACAGTGGACATGGAAGGATGACTTTATGGCTGATCCCTTATCTGTTTTTTCATTCTTCACTAACCCCAGGAGTATTCATTGAACCCTCAGGAGGTCACAAGTTAGTAGTGTTTTAAATTCTTTGGGAATAGACTGGATGCAGTGGCTCACATCTGTAATTCCAACACTTTGGGAGATTGAGGCAGGTGGATCACTTGAGCCCAGGAGTTTGAGACCAACCTGAGCAACAAGGTGAGACCTTGTCTCTACTAACAATACAAAAAAATTAGCTGGGTGTGGTGATGTGCGCCTCTACTCAGGAGTACACAGCTACTCAGGAGGCTGAGGTGGGAGGATTGCCTGAACTTGGGAAGTCGAGGCTGCAGTGAAGCGAGGTCATGCCATTGCACTCCAGCCTGGGAGAGAGTAAGACCCTATCTCAAAAGAACAAAACAAACAAACAAAAAATAGGCCAGGCTCTGTGTCTCACGCCTGTAATCCCAGCATTTTGGGAGGCCAAGGTGAGCAGATCACCTGAGGCCAGGAGTTCAAGACCAGCCTGGCCAACATGGCGAAACCCCATCTTTACTAAAAATACAAAAATGAGCCGGGTGTGGTGGCACTCACCTGTAATCCCAGGTACTCAGGAGGCTGAGGCAGGAGGATCACTTGAACCTGGGAGGCAGAGGTTGCAGTGAGCTGATATTGTGCCACTGTACTCCAGCCTGAGCAACAGAGTGAGATTCTGTCTCAAAAAAAAAAAAATAGAAAAAAAAGGCTGGGTGCAATGGCTCACGCCTGTAATCCTAGCACTTTGGAAGGCCAAGGCGGGTGGATCACGAGGTCAGGAGATCGAGACCATTCTGGCTAACACAGTGAAACCCCGTCTCTACTAAAAATACAAAAAAAAAAAAAAAAAATAGCCGGGGCGTGGTGGCAGGTGCCTGTAGTCCCAGCTACTCGGGAGGCTGAGGCAAAAGAATGGTGTGAACCTGGGAGGCCGAGCTTCCAGTGAGCGGAGATCGTACCACTGCACTCCAGCCTGGGCGACACAGCGAGACTCTGTCTCAAAAAAATAAATAAATAAATAAATAAAAAGTAATAAAATAAGCATAAGTAACTTACTTGGGAGTGGAAAGAGATGTGTGGAAACCCAGATTGGTGCCGGTGTAACCCAGATAAAAGCTGGGCTTCCACATAGCTCCGTCTCTGCCTCCTGGGACCTGATAATCCAACAGTCACAAGTAATTTAAACTAACTTTCTGAATGTCCTTGTGACTCCCAAAGAACCTCAAAGGGGCCTAATTCAAACCCCACAGCAATAGTTCTCACCAGGGCCCGTTTCCTTGCTCCGGTTCTCTCCGTAGACAAGCTGTTGTTTTGCACATGCCCAAGGCTCCCGAACAGTCCTGACAGCAGCCTGCGTCCTCTCGCTTTTCCCTCGGATATTTGTTATGTAATCTACACAGTGGGCAGACCCTTCCCCACCCCACCTTATGATCCATGCCCCTCTGGTGAGTGGTTCAGAGCCCATGCTCTGGAGCGAGACCCTCTGGGTCCAAATCCTGGCCCCACCAGTCACACTCTGTGACTTGACCCCAGTGCGTGGTCCAAGGACCCGTGCTGGGCCACACACTGTTTGTAACATGACACGCTTAGAACTGAGAATAAGCATTTAGTAACTTTCATAGCAACTTGACACTGCCTACATCCCATTGTGACCGTGTGTATTATAAAAATATCATTCCTGACAGATTGGAACATGTTTTCTCGAAGTTCCTTCATCGCAGATAGTTTGGAAGGCGTGGACTCAGCCTACTGTGTGCCTCAGTTTTTTCATTAGTGAAATGGGAATAATGATGGTCTCTAACCTCACCACATCCCTGAGGAGGTGTAAAGGCGTGAAATTAGGAAGGGCTCTGAGACTGGGGGCTGGTCACTGCAATCTCTCAGTAAATGTCAGTGTCACTATCATTTTGACACATTCTCCAGATTCTGCATTACAAGCATCAGATTCTCCTCTGAGGACAGAGGAGGGAGAGTTGGGGAGAGAGTGGACCCCATTCAGTGTATCCTTCCCCACCCCAAGTTCATATGGCTTTTAGCCAAACCTTGAGATTGGAACACCTCTGTCACTGCATCCAAAACCTTTCAGGTTTCCAAAGGGTAGTTTATTCGTCCACTTAACAAATATCTAGGGCCAGCACCATGGCTTATGCCTGTAATCCCAGCACTTTGGGAGGCCAAGGTGGGCAGGTCGATTAAGCCCAGCAGTTTGAGACCAGCCTAGGCAAGATGACAAAAGCTCATCGATACAAAAAAATGCAAAAATGGCCGGGCGCAGTGGCTCACACCTGTAATCCCAGCACTTTGGGATGCTGAGGTAGGCAGATCACCCGAGGGTCAGAAGTTCAAGACCACCCTGACCAATATGGAGAAACCCTGTCTCTACTAAAAATACAAAATTAGATGGGCATGGTGGCACATGCCTATAATCCCAGCTACTCGGGAGGCTGAGGCAGGAGAATTGCTTGAAGCTGGGAGGTAAAGGTTGCGGTAAGCCAAGATTGTGCCATTGCACTCCAGCCTGGAAAACAAGAGCAAAACTCCATCTCAAAAAAAAAAAAGCAAAAATTAGCCGGGTGTGGTAGCATGCACCTGTGGTCCCAGCTACTCGGGAGGCTGAGGTGGGAGGATCAGCTGAGCCCAGGGAGGTCAAGGCTGCAGCGTACCATGATTGTGCCACGGCACTCCAGCCTGGATGACAGAGAGAGACCCTGTCTCAAAATAAAGTAAAATGAAATAAAACTAAACTAAACTAAACTAAACATCTGTAGCTCACGATGAGAGCTGGAGAGTCCAGTGGTTAAGAACTTTAGAGCAAGATGGCCCCGGGGTCCAGTCTTGCCCTACCTGAATGACCTTGGGCAACTCACTTAACCTCTCTGAGCCACAATGTTCCCAGAAGATAGCCAGGAGGAGTCCTAAGCTCAGGACTCAGTTCAGGGCTGAGATTTGGCCGACAATGTGCACACACCTGCAGAAAGCCCGGCCACCCCAGGCACTCACTACATCCAGGTTCGGATTTGCAGGCTGTGGTGACCTCCCAGGCTCCCCACCCTCAGTGAGTTCTTGTGGATTAAGAAGGAATGGGTGGCGCCTTGAGATACCAGACTTGCCAGGTGTTACTTCTAGAAAAATAAATGAATTTAAGGGCTTTGAATATTTGAGAATGGAGAGATTTAAAAATATAAAGGTTTCTGCTGGGCGCGGTGGCTCACACCTGTAATCCCAGCACTTTGGGAGGCTGAGGTGGGCGGTTCACGAGGTCAGGAGATCGAGACCATCCTGGCTAACACGGTGAAACCCTGTCTCTACTAAAAATACAAAAAGTTAGCTGGGCGTGGTGGCGGGCGCCTACAGTCCCAGCTACTCGGGAGGCTGAGGCAGGAGAATGGTGTGAACCCGGGAGGCGGAGCTTGCAGTGAACCGAGATCACGCCACGCCACTGCAGTCCGGCCTGGGCGACAGAGTGAGACTCCATCTCAAAAAAAAAAAAAATATATATATATATATACACACACACACACACACACACATATATATATACATATATATACACATATACACATATATACACACATATATACACATATACACATATATACACATATATACATATATATACACATATATACATATATACAGATATATATATATAAAGGTTTCTTAAGATGGATAGAAGTCTTACCAATTGGATTTGTATTCTGTGGAACAGGGAGGCTTACCTAAGGTCTCTCTCTAGAAAACACAGCTCTGTTCAAAGGGAAAAGCAGGCTGGCCAACCCACGTGATGGCTCTTGAAGCTTCTCTTTTGAATGGCCTGCTAGGACTTGGGCTCCGGATTCACTGGCTAAAGCAAGTCACATGGCCAAACCTGATTTGGTGGGGAGGGGAGGTGTACCCAGCACTGGAGGCCCTGCACGTCGTGTAGCAATGGGGCAGGATGAATAGTCCTCTCACTGGGAGGACAGTGAATAACTGGAAACAGTGACCAATCTGCTACCATGCACCATCTTGGTTGCAATTATCACTCCTGTCTCTTGCGTGGGCATGGTGGATTGGAGGCGGCTGCGGATTCTTAGTCATTCCTCCCAGAAAGACATGGAGTATTTTTCTCCTCCCCTTGGATCTGGGCTGATTCCAGGACTGGCTTTCATCAACAGGATGTAGCAGAAGCGACGCTGTGTGAGTTCCCAGGCTGAGGCTGCAGAGATTTGAGGCATCTTCTCTCACCCAGCTTGAAGTCCTTCCCCTTGGAAGCCAGTCACCGTGAAAAAACTCACCATGCTGTGAGGAAGCCCAAGAGAGCTGCATGGAGAGAAGGGCCTGTGGAAGAGCTCTGAGGTGCCACTCACATGAAGTGAGCCTTTGTGGACCTTCCAGCCCAGCCACCAGCAAACACAACCCAGTAAGTGTCCCCAGTCAATGCTTCTCTCCATAGGAGACCTGTAAATGGGCGGTGGGGGGAGGAATTTTCTGGTCTCACACACTATTATGGGTTGAATTTTCCCCCTCCCAAATTCTTGTGTTGAAGCTCCCACCTCCAGTACTTTACAAAGTAACATATTTGGAGATAAGATCTTTTTTTTTTTTTTTTTTGAGACGGAGTCTTGCTGTGTCACTCAGGCTGGAGTGCCATGGTGCAATCTCGGCTCACTGCAACCTCTGCTTCCCAGGCTCAAATGATATCTTCTCGCCTCCATCATTCATTCATTCACTCACTCACTCATTCAACAAACAAACAATGGGCACCTACCCACCACGGGCCAGGCCTGCCTGGGTTCTGGGGTTCAACTGTGAGTGCACAAACACACTAACAGCCCTTGGAGGACTCACAGTCCAGGGAGGGAGGCAGACAGTGAAGACAGTGAAACATCGAGCCGGTTCATTGCCACTGCCATCCGACCCTGAAGGAGAAGTGCAGGATACGTGTGAGAGTGGAACAGGGCCCTGAGCTCCACCCGGGAGTCAGGGCAGCCTCCCCTGAGACCATTATGTTGAAGGCTGACCTGAAGGATGAGTAGGGTTATCTGTGGGGCTCCAGCAAAACACGGCATCTCTCTGGGCCTCAGTTTCCCCATTGGTAAAATGGGGAAACTCATCACAGCACAAGTGCTTAGGGGACCTTGGTGATTCTGTCGGATCTAAGAAAAGCAACAGGTGCCGGGTGCGGTGTCTCACGCCTGTAATCCTAGCACTTTGGGAGGCCGAGGTGGGTGGATCACCTGAGGTCAGTAAGTAGCTCAAGACCAGCCTGGCCAACATGGTGAAACCCCATCTCTACTAAAAACACAAAAATTAGCCAGGCGTGGTGGCTCATGCCTGTAGTCCCAGCTACTCAGGAGGCTGAGGCAGGAGAATCACTTGAACCCGGGAGGCAGAGGTAGTAGTGAGCCGAGATCATGCCACTGCACCCCATCCTGGGCCACAGAGCAAGACTCCATCTCAAAAAAAAGAAAGAAAGAAAAACAATGGGAGCCTTTAGGAAATCCCGCACAGGTACTGATTTGCTCTGTTAATTCCTCCAATGGGAAAGGGGTGTTGCTAGAGGCAAGAGGCACAGTCCTGACACAGAGATCAGGGATTTGACCCCACCAGGCCAAAGTCAAAAGCAGAGATCAGTGAAGTCAGATCCCACAGAGGCCTGTGGCCATGTCCCCCGGCCCTCTGCAGGTCCCCTGGCCCAGAGCCCTCTCCTCCTGCTGCCCCCTAATGTTTCTCCAGGCCCTGCTGCTCTGTCCCGTCACTCTGTCCACCTCATCTGTGGTGCCTGAAGGTCCCCTCTTGGGCTGTGGGTGTCATTCTTGTCTGATCACCGCCTCCCCCACCACACACACCGCCAACCCCAAATACAGGTTTGGCTTCCACAAAGCCTCTTATTAAGAAATTGGTCAATTTCCTGCTAATTAAAATAAATAGTATGCCACATTAACGGCCAGTTAATTTTCAGAGCTGCCAGGGAAACATCGCCTGGAAAATGTACACCCCTCTGCCCCACCCGCTCCTCGGCAAACGGCAGCCACGTGGCACCCAGCAGCAGCGGGGAGGGCCCGGTGGGTCCCAAGCTTCCAGCAGCATGGGGAGGAAGGGATGACCAGCTGTGGACAGGGCTGCAGATGGGCAGAGCTTCCTGTTCCTGGGGGGACTCGACTCACTCAGCCCAGGAGCTCTGAGACCCCATCCCTCCCCAGGAAACCCAGGCCCTGAGGCCAGGTCTACCTGGCTTACCTTGCAACCAAAGGCGAGATCTTTCTCCGGAACCGGGTCATTTGTTGGTGAGGAAGATGGACTTCTGGGAGGCCTGCGCTCACAAGGCTCTACATCCCGAAGTGATCTCACCAAGGGGCACAACAGCCTGGAGAGGGAAGTGCCATTGCTCCCATTTTGCAGATGGGCAAGATGAGGCCCAGAGCCACCAAGCCCCTCTCGAGTTGCAGCTTCTGGGGGCAGAGCAGGATGTACATCTGGTCCCGCCTAACTATACCCAGAGAAACCTGCCGTGGGCCCTTCTCCATCACACATGGTCATCCCACACTATCACAAAGGTCAGGGGAACCGCTATGTCTGCATAAAAACAAGTGTCATCAGTTGGATTTGTTCAAGGTGAGGCTTACCTGCTCCCTAATATATCGAAAGCTCCTGTTGAAGGAGAGTCAGGGACATGCCAGGAGGCCTGCCATGCTGTGACCAGTTGTCATCTCACCGAATCCTCACCAGTACCACGTGGCTCAGCAAGGTTAGGTAACATACTCAAAGTCACACCGCCTGCCCCCAAATTAGTCATGGCAATCTCCTGTCTTCAAGGTCCAAGTTTTGCTGTTTCCTCAGGGTCAAAACCAAGGTCTTCTCCTGTCCTGGAAGAACATCAAGCCATAGATGGAACTCTGCGTTCCTGGTGTGACCTCAGACAAGGCTCTTTGCCTCCCTGGGCCTCAGTTTTCTCATCTGCCAAATGGGAAGGCTGGACTCACTACTCCCTCAGACTCTGTTTAACTCGAGCATTCTGCAGGGACTCATCCTGGGGCAGGTGGGGTCAGAGGGCAGATGGCCAGGAGCAGAGCCAGATGGGAGCAACAGCCTTCCCTCTGCCAGGACAGGGAGAGACCTGGCTGCCTCACAGTGAGAGGTCTGGCAGCCAGGGAGGGCACTGGGGACAAGGGCCCAGCCGGGCACCCTATGGAGCACATGACCCCCACCTGTCCATGGAGCACACGACCTCCACCTCCAGCTGCCCCTGTGCTGCAGACAACTCCCAGGGTGGCGAGGGTGGCATCCTGATCCCAGCAGCGCCTGCAGGACTGGGAACCTGCTGCCCACCCACCCCCTGCCACTTGCTCTCCCTTCCTTGCCCAACCCCAGGAGCTCAATGCCTGCTCAGGGCAGGAATAAGAGGCAGAGGAGGGGTGAGGAGAGAAAGGAGTCATTAGGGGCCTTGCTGATCCTTCGTGGCGCCTCCATGTCCCTATCCCTCATGCAAAGCACTAACCTGGAGGCGGAGCATTTCATCGAAGCAAAGCATCTCCTGCCACCAAGCACGTCCACGGTATTGGGGATTGATTGCTTCTATCCTCCAGCCCACTCTACGGAGCACCCACCGTGTGACAGGCGCGGCGCTGGGCAACGAGGATAAGAAAATGAATAGGCCACGACATGTGCGCCTGAGAAGTCACAGACTCAGACAGGAGACAGGCTCGATACCACACACCAAGGTCTGGATGCACACAGGACACTGAGTAACTCCTGCAGGGTGAGCGGGTTTCCAGGGCACTCGACAACCGGCAGAGTCTGGAAGCAGCCTGGAGGGGAAAGGGCATTCCTGACGGGGGCACAGCAGAAGCAAAGGCCCAGTGGCATGAAAGACCAAGGAGTGTTGAGGGAACAGAGAGCAGCTTGGTGTTGGGGCGGCATCAGCGGGTGGAGCTGGAGCCGATGAGAAAGGATAGGCCAACTAGGGTTCAAGTGGCCAAGACCTTCTATGCCCTGCTCTGCCAGTTACAGCCAGCAGTGGTGGTAAGCACAGCCACCCGGCACTGAACAATGGCAGTGTGGCCGGCACTGTGCTAAGCTCATCTCAGTCACTCGCTCACCACATCCTCCAACGAGCCCATGAGGCCCAGAGAGGTTAGGCGAGTTACTGGTGGTCACACAGCCGATAGTGGCCAGGCTGGAACTTGGACTCAGGCTCCCAATTCTCACCCACCAGCATGTGCTGCCTCTGAGGAGTTTGGGGTTCCCCTTCAGGACAACTGGGAGTCACAAGGGATTTTTAAGGGGGGTGGGTAGCAGAGTCTCAGTGCCCTAAATCCCCAAGTCATGCTCATGGAGAAACTGCTGCATCCACCTGGGAGACGTGGCCAGTCTGTTTTTAGGGTCTGAGGGTCACCTTGGCCTCTCCGGGAGCTGCCCTGGTTTCCCCAATGCTCCTGAGTACTGGGGCTTGGCCTGCGTCTTCTGCCCCAGCCTGCTGCTCCTGGGTTCCAGTCTTGGAGCCAGGGGTCATCACTGCCAGGGCCTCTTCAGAACTCAGGCGCCCACCTATCAGGGCCTCAGCCCCTCCAACACTCCCTGGGGCCCCCACATTGCCCACCCTCTCTTCCCTCTGCCCTTCCTTGCTCGAGATAACACCTGGGATGGGGGTGCATGGGGAAGCGCCCCCTGATGGAGCTAGACAGCCCTCGGGAGGGAGTTAGACAGCCCTCGGGAAGATCCAGCAGTGGTGGCCTCTCCTTGCCCTTCCCCATGTCCTCCCTCTCCCCTCTGCCCACCCAGCCTCCCACCACATGGGGCACTGGAGTGCTCCTTCCCACCATCTGCCCTCCTGGGCTCCGCTTTCATTCTGCTCCCCCGACCCCAGGTCTCAGCATTGCAGGCATCACAAGACAGCGGATTCCAGAGGCCCCAAAACACTTCCATCCTCCAAGCACGCACTGAGCATATGGAGAAGCTGAGGCCCAAGCAGGGCCAATGGCAGAGCAGCTGGAAGCCCAGCTCTCTTGTGCTCTTGCTGCAGCTCCAGCTCCTGGTCGGCCGTCCACCAGGCATCTGCTGAGCGCGATGTGTTTCCATTTAGGGGCATCTCACACTTGATCCTCACTCCAGCCCAGAGGAGGCTGGGTTAAAACAGGAAGGCTGGGCTGTCCAGCTCTAGCTCCTTCTAAAAATGCAGTGAGTCCCATGTTGGCATCTCTGCTTCGCAAACAGGTAAAACGAGGCAAGCAGTAGGTCAATGACTTGCTGTCTCTGGTCGTGTGTCAGGCAACCACAGTCACACAGTCACGAGGGTCTCCTGTCTGAGATCCTGCCTATTCTTTTTTTTTTGAGACGGAGTCTTGCTCTGTCTCCCAGGCTGGAGTGCAGTGGTGCGATCTTGGCTCACTGCAAGCTCCGCCTCCCGGGTTCACACCATTCTCCTGCCTCAGCCTCCCCAGCAGCTGGGACTACGGGCACCTGCAACCACGCCTGGCTAATTTTTTTGTATTTTTAGTAGACACGGGGTTTCACTGTGTTAGCCAGGAAGGTCTCGATCTCCTGACCTCGTGATCCACCTGCCTCAGCCTCCCAAAGCGCTGGGATTACAGGCGTGAGCCACTGCGCCCGGCCAATCCTGCCTATTCTTTAGTGTTAAGGCCAGGAAATGCCTTAGTGTAGACTCCTCTCCCTGTGAATGTGGCAGACATTACTAATTGATCACAGCACTCTTTCCCTCTAAGCCGAGATGTAGTCTCAGAATCCTCAACACAGCCTCTATTAAATGGGGACCTGGCAATCGAGGTGACACCTACCTGTTCAACGCCCTCTCTGGAGGGCAGGATCCTGTCTTACCTAGTATCTTCCCCAGCACTTGGCTCAGGGCCCAACACGTGGCACAGATCACGGTAATAAATTTTTTTTTTTTTTGAGTTGGAGTGTTGCTCTATCGCCCAGGCTGCAGTGCAGTGGTGCGATCTCGGCTCACTGCAAGCTCCGCCTCCTGGGTTCACGCCATTCTCCTGCCTCAGCCTCCCAAATAGCTGGGACTACAGGCACCCGCCACCATGCCTGGCTAAGTTTTTGTATTTTTAGTAGAGATGGGGTTTCACCGTCTTAGCCGGGATGGTTTCGATCTGCTGACCTCATGATCCACCCGCCTCGGCCTCCCAAAGTGCTGGGATTACAGGCGTGAGCCACCTTACCTGGCCATTTTTTTTTTTTTTTTTGAGACAGAGTTTTGCTCTGGTTGCTCAGGCTGGAGTGCAATGGCACAATCTCAGCTCACTGCAACCTCGGCTTCCAGGGTTCAAGCGATTCTCCTGCCTCAGCCTCCCAAATAGCTGGGATTACAGGTGCCCGCCACCATGCCTGGCTAATTTTTGTATTTTTAGTAGAAACAGGGTTTCACCATGTTGGCCAGGCTGGTCTCGAACTCCTGACCTCAGGTGATCCGCCCGCCTCGGCCTCCCAAGGTGCTGAGATTACAGGTGTGAGCCACCATGCCCAGCCACAGTAATAAATTTTTATTGAGTGAGTGGGTGAACGAGTGGTAACCACCGAATGAACGATGCCTCCCAAAGCCAGTGGCTCTAACCAGCTTCTTTTGTAGCAACAATATGACAGCAATAATTATAACAGTAATGCCCCCAACAGCTGACATTTCCCGAGTCTCTAAGGTATTTCATCTGAGCTCTGGAATGCCATTTCCTCAGGGTCACACATCACAGGACAGAGCCAGACCCCGCCCCTGGCCTCTTGCTTCTGAGTCCAGTGCTCTGCCCCGGCCCCCACCTCTGCCAGGTCCCACCGCAGCTTGTCTGGGTCAATTGGAGCGGACCTGGACCTCAATCTGGGGAACCTGCAGGTGTTGGAGGCAGATCCCAGAGGCCGGGGTGGGAATGGGTGCTCGGGGGAGTAGTTAGTTGGGTTCTTACTCACCTGTTTGGGATTGTAGAAATACAGAATAGGAGACATCACAATGCACCACATTTACCATGACCTGACCCCCCTCCCCCCAAAATTCGTATGTCAAGACATAATCTGCGTCAAGCTTGGTGGCTCATGCCTGTAATCCCAGCACCTTGGGAGGCTGAGGCGGGTGGATCACCTGAGGTCAGGAGTTCCAGACCAGCCTGGCCAACATGGTGAAACCCCGTCTCTACAAAAAATGCAAAAATTAGCCAGGTGTGGTGGCACATACCTGTAATCTCAGCTACTCGGGAAGCTGAGGAGGGAGGATTGCTTGAACCTGGGAGGCCGAGACTGTAGTGAGTCAAGATGAGGTCACTGCACTGCAGCCTGGGTGACAGAGGGAGACCCTGTCTCAAAACAAACAAACAAAAACCAAACCAAACCAAACCAAAACAAAAAAACACCATTATCTGCAATGTGTATTAAAAGGTGAGGATTCTGGCCTGGGGCAATGGCTCACGCCTGTAATCCCAGCACTTTGGGAGGCCGAAGTGGGTGGATCACGAGGTCAGGAGATCAAGACCATCCTGGCTAACACGGTGAAACCCCATCTCTACTAAAAATACAAAAAATTAGCCAGGCATGGTGGGGGGGCGCCTGTAGTCCCAGCTACTGGGGAGGCTGAGGCAGGAGAATGGTGTGAACCCGGGAGGTGGAGCTTGCAGTGAGCTGAGATCGCGCCACTGCACTCCAGCCTGGGCAACAGAGTGAGACTCCGTCTCAAAAAAAAAAAAAAAAAAAAGAGGTGAGGCTTCTGGGAGGTGATTAGGTCATGAGGGCTCTATCCTCATGAATGGAATTCATGCTCTTAGGCAAGAGGCCTGGGGAGCCTGCTCACCCCTTCCACCACGTGAGGACAAGGCTATAAGGCATCTATGAGGAAACGGCCCTCATCAGACACCGAATCTGCAGGCACATTCATCTTGGATTTCCCAGCCTCCAGAACTGTGAACAATAAATTTGTTTATAAATAACCCAGTCTAAGGTATTTTGTCATAACAGCCGAATGGACAAGCACACCCTTTTTTGAATATGTAGAAGAGAGGTCCCCAGGGAGTGTGATCGGCCCAAGGTCACCTGGCGGCCTTGGCTGAGGAAGGTGTGCAGAGCCCAGTGTCAGAGCCCCTGAGATGCCCTCTCCTCTCCTAGGGCCCTGGGCACTTGGGGTTAGTTGTTTTGCATCCTTTTGAGAATGTGAGTCCCTCAGAGGGAGGAACCTGGGCACGTCACATAAGGCTTGGCTCAAGATAGGTGCTCAGTAAACACTGGATGGACAGATGGGCAGAAGGAAGGAGAGAATGAAAGGAGGAAAGGAGGGAAGGAATGGGTAGCTGAGTGGATTCATGGATGGGTGGATGCATGGCAGCACGGGAGGGAGGATGAGTGATTGGGAGGATGGATGGATGGATGGATGGATGGATGGATGGATGAAAGGAAGTAAGCCAACATGGATGGAATGAGTGATGGAATTGATTGTCCCCTGCACCTGGAGGCTTCCAGTGACTCAGCCACAGAGGTCAGGAAGCTGGAGACATGAGCAGGCGGCTCACCCCATGGTCCCCTCCCCCTCCCCACCTGATATTTTCATCAGGACACATCTTCTGCACCAGGCCCCTCAGCTCCTGCCCTGCAAAGCTGCAGATGCCTCTGCTGGCTTTATTAAGGCCCTATTAGCCCAGCAGCCCCAGGGAAGGCTAAAGATGCTGTCACTGCAGACACTGGTTTGGTAGCCTCAGAGGAGCTCAGTAGGGAGGGCCAGGAACCTAAGGTTACAGCGAGGTCTTTAGAGCTGCACAGGCCTGCCTGGTTTAATCCCAGTTCTTCTGCTAATTGGCTGTGTGGCCTTGGGCAACTTACTTCCCTTCTCGGAGTGGCGGCTTCTCCACCTATAAAACAGGGTCATTAACGTGCTTGTTTGAGGATTTGCTGAGCTAAAGCATTTACAACACCTAGCCCAAAGTAAGCACTTGTTACATATCCCAGGATCCCTGGGAGCCAGGTCCACGGTGGAGCGCTCATACACAGCAGCCCCCATCTTTGGGATCAGGGAGGCGCTGTGACCCACCCTATTTCATGGATGAGGAAACAGGATAACAGGAGATGAAATGCTTGGCCAAAGCCACCGTGCTGGGCAGTGACAGGGCTGAGATTCAAACATGGGCTATGGAGACCGTGACTGGGCCACTTCCTGTTCCGGCTACTGAGCAGGAACAAAGCCTGGGACGGGAGCGGGGGGCTGGAGGGGCGCTTCTCCCACTAGCTCCTCAGAGGTGACAGCGCGGAGGAGGGGAGGAGAAGGGAAGCTGGGACAATCACGCTGATGTACGGCTTCCAGCGGGATTAACTGCACCATCTGGAGGCCACGCGTCCACCTGGGTGGGTTAGGAACCCCAACCCTTCGGTGTAAACGGCAGGGGGAGACTCAGTGGATGGCAGATCGGCTGGGGGCTGCCGGGTTGACTGTGGGGACCATGTGGGGCCCACCTGGCTTTCCTGAAGCCCCCATCTACCCCTGAGGATGTCTCCCACTGAGGGGGCTGGATCTCCACCAGACTCAGAAGATTCCACAATGGCTGGATCCAAGGGTTCAAATACAAAGGGAGGGCTGTGGCCTGAGCCACCAAAAAGTACAGGAGGTGAGCAGGAAGAGCGGGGGAACAACAGAGACAGGAGCAGCAGCTGGACACTCGCTCTCAGGGGTGTGTGATGGAGACTGCACCACCTTCCAGCTGTGTGTCCCCAGCATGTGGCTTCACTTCTCTGAGGCTCTGTCCCTTCATCTGTGAAACTGGGATCTAGTCTTTACCTCACTTGGTTGCTTTGAGGGTCGAATTAGATAAGGCAATGTACAGGCCTCGGTGGAGTGCCTGGCACTGAGTAAGTTCACAGTCAGTGGTGGTTGTGATTATTATCCCCATTTGCAAGATGGGAAGACTGAGGCTCAAAGCAGCTCAGGGACTTGTGTCGGATTACACAGTTGGTTGGTGACAGAACCCATGGCCTCTGCTTCTCCTGACCCCAGTCCAGTGCTCTTTTCCTGGAGGCTTGACCAAAGATGAACCTGTCCTGGGACACAGCCAGCCCCGGAGTGTCAGAGACCCAAGGTGGCCATCTTGGGTCACACCAGCTCCAATGACAGATTCCATGTTCTAGCACCTACTGTGCACCAGATGCCATGCCACGAGCTTCTGTGCACCACCGCCAGGAGCCATCACCATCTGTGACAGGGGCACTGCGCTGTCCCCGTCGTCCAGATGCACAAGCAGTGGTTTTGGCAGAGCCAGGATCCACTGCCAGGCCTCTCTGGTCCTGGAGTCCCCATTCTCAGCACAGGCTGCTGCCCGCTGGGCCAAGATGGGGCTTCTCTACACTGCAGCAACAGCTCCCAGGCGCCCTCCCACCAAGTGTTCATCTTCTCCTTCAAGGAGAGATGGCAATACAACACCCAGACTGCCACTGTGGACCCTAAGTCTTTCTTTTTTTTGAGATGGAGTTTCACTCTTGTTGCCGAGGTTGGAGTTTCACTCTTGTTGCCGAGGTTGGAGTGCAATGGCGTGATCTCGGCTCACTGCAACCTCCGCCTCCCAGGTTCAAGCGATTCTCCTGCCTCAGCCTCCCGAGTAGCTGGGACTATAGGTGCCCGCCACCCCGCAACCCGGCTAAGTTTTCGTATTTTTTAGTAGAGACGGGGTTTCACCGTGTTAGCCAGGATGGTCTCGATATCCTGACCTCGTGATCTGCCCTCCTCGGCCTCCCAAAGTGCTGGGATTACAGGCTTGAGCCACCACACCCGGCCCATGGACCCTAAGTCTTCTGGACACCAGACAAGCTTCCCCTACAGGGCGGGGTTCCTTTCTCACATCTAGAAAGAAGGAGGGAGTAGGAAAGAAGAAACATCAGCCCCAGCCCCTCCCTCCCTTCAGCCAGCACAGGGCCGCAGTGGGGGCCCAGGCTGGTAGGCAATGATGGCAGGGAGGTAGTTTGAAGCAGGGGGGTCCCCTTTCCCCGCACACCCTCCCTACATTCCCATCTGGTCAGCCTGCTCGCTGAAAGTTGAAGTCTGCCTTGTACAAAAAAACAAAAACCTCCCTTTCCAGTGTAGAAAGCCCCAGAGACCCGAGCCACTCTGCTTGCCTTCTCTCTTGGCCCTTATGGCCAGGACAGGGGCCGGGGAAATGACAGCTGCCCTGTGCAGGGGAGAGAAATCGTATTCTTTGGCTTGGCTCCTCTCTGGGGCCATACCCCAGGAGCAGCCCACGGAGCCGGTCCCCACTGACTCCCACCAGCCACTGCCGGGAGTAGGGCCAGATGGGGCGGCTCCGGATCCCGCCTCGCTCGGCAGGCCAGGCCCGGAGACCTGTCCCCCTGGTACCTCCCGGCCTGGCCATCCGAGATGACCCTTGCCCCTTCCCCACAGCCCAGACCTCTGATCCTTATTAAAAACAAACAAAATCTAGAGAAAAAAATTATCCACAAACAGCCTGAGAGATGATCGCGCGTCCCCGGCGCACGCAGACACGCACACATACACACACGCACACCCACGCGAGGTCGCCTCCACTTAAACATGCTGCTGGAGGGCGGGTTTTGTTTATGGAACATCCACGTTTCTCTCAACTTTGGGAGGGGTGAGGACTGTTTCAGAGTTTTCTGCTAGATGGGGGAGCCTGGGGCGGCAAGGATGTCTTTTCTGCTTTGTGCTCTTTGCCGGTTCAATGGGGGAGTGAGATACGTGGACAGAAGGACCAGGAAACCCAGGAAGGGGGCCCCAGGGCAGCACCCCCACCCCCAGGGGAGGTCAGGCTCCGGGAGGGCAGCCCCGGGGCCTGGGAAGCCTGGACTGCGCCTGAGCTCCGGAGGATAGGGCTGGTGGCCCGCGTCCCCTCGGCGACCCCGCGCTGAGCCCAGGGTCTGTAGTTCCGAAAACGTCTGGGACCGCTGGGCCGGGATCCCTACCCCCTCCTCTCCCAGCCTTCAACGCCTGGAAACCAACGAACCCGCCCGGAACAAAGGCAGGCCGGCTTTCCAAAGGCAAACAAAGAACAGTTTGTCTTTTCCCTCCCCCCACCACCACCCGAGCAGGCGGCGGGAATAGGCCTAGGGGTCCGGATGGCCCCGGCGCGGCGCGGCGCCAGGGCACTCCCACGGCGCCCCCCAAGGTCCCGCTGCGAATGCGCAGGTCGGGGCGCCGGAGGCCGCGGCAGACAGCGCGGCGCCACTCCGGCCCGGTCTCCGTGGCAACGGGCTGGTGGGAGGGGCCGGGCGGTGCGGGCGCCTTGGCCGCTGTTCCTCGCGGGCACGTCGCTATGGCAACGATGTTACTCTCTGCGGCCGCTTTCCGGCTCCGCTAGCTCGCCTGACCCTGGCCGCTCGAGCCCCCTCGTCTCTCACTTGCTGTGTTTTCCCCTCTTTTCCCGGGCGTCCTCCGCCTGTATCCTGGGCCCCCCAAGCAGCGAGCCCCGGTGCCCCCCACCCTTACCCCTCCTCCCCGGTGCCCAGGGCCCGGGAGGGAGATTGATGGGGTGTGCTTATTAAAAAACATTGTAACCGCCGGGCGCGGTGGCTCACGCCTGTCATCCCAGCACTCTGGGAGGCCGAGGCGGGTGGATTACAAGGTCAGGAAATCCAGACCATCCTGGCTAACACAGTGAAACCCGGCCTCTACTAAAAATACAAAAATTAGCCGGGCATGGTGGCGGGCGCCTGTAGTCCCAGCTACTCGGGAGGCTGAGGCAGGAGAATGGTGTGAACCCTGGAGGCAGAGCTTGCAGTGAGCCGAGATCGCGCCACTGCACTCCAGCCTGGGCGACAGAGTGAGACTCCATCTCAAAAAAAAAAAAGAAAAAACAAAAAACAAAAAAAAGAAAAAGAAACATTGTAACCGTTTCTGTTTCTATTACGTTGACAAGGGAGCGTTATTTACTGTTACTGTTTGCCCAGCAGGCTGTGCCGGGCGCGGGGGTCTCCCCCGGGAGCTCACCTTCAGGCCGCGGAGGGCGGGGGCCGGGCTGGGGCGCGGGCAGGGGGCGTCGGGCGACCGTGCACCCCGGGGCCCTGCTCCTCGCCCCTTCCCCCACCAGCCCGGCCGGGCCCCGCGGCTGGGTGCGTTGCCGCGGGGAGGGACCTGCAGAGGACCAGTGACTCTCCCGTTGTAGGAGAAAGGCAACAAAAAATAAAAACGGCACAGATGACTTCATTCTCGGGAAGGCTCGGTCCTACATGGACCAATTTCCTGGGGACCGTGGTGGAACAGCTTCGCTGCCGTTGGAAGCACTTAAAACTGAACCAGATAAAGACCAGGACATTCTGGGCCCTGCTGAACCAAGCCAGGGCAGGCTGCGGGGCGTGTGATTTCTGGCCAGGTGGGGAGGCGGGTGGCCTCCCTCCACCCTCAAAGGCGCCTGGCTTTCAGTGTCCCAGGATTCGGGGGCTTGTGGGGAGGTCTCCACTGGGATCAGATGGGCCTGAAGGACGCCCCCCACCCTCAAGCCCCTGCTGGGATGTTAATCTCATCCTGCTAATTAAAGTTTGTGATTCTCTCCCTAACTTAGCTCCCCACTCTTGGACATTATCAGCTCAATGCAAACAGTTGCTGCTCTGGACAGGGAAGCCAGAGGAAAAAGGCCTCTGCAGTACACGCCATAACATGGATTAAAAAAAAAATAAATTGGCCAGGCGCAGCCTGCCTGTAATCCAGCAATTTGGGAGGCTGAGGCAGGAGGATCACTTGAGGCCTGGAGTTCGAAACCAGCGTGGTCAACACGGTGAAACCCAGTCTCTACTGAAAATACAAAAATTAGGCGTGGTGGCACACACCTGTAATTCCAGCTACGGGAGGCTGAGGCATGAGAATCATTTGAACCTGGGAGGCAGAGGTTGCAGTGAGCCGAGATCGTGCCACTGCACTCCAGCCTGAGTGACAGAACAAGACTCTGTCTCAAAAAATAAAAATAAAAAAATGTTTATACTTACAAACAACTCCTAGTGAACAACCCAGGTTTTGGAAACAACTTTCAGAGATCCCTTCAGCCTGTTTCATGTTTTCTTTTTGTTCTTCTCTTCCAAGGGCATGCGGTTAGCCTTTGGTTACGGAGGCCTTTGCCCTTGCAAAAAAAGTAATTTTCAGCCCTGTTCCCAGCACCAGCCGCTCGCAGCTGCACAGCCCTCCCTGAATGTGTGAACCAAAAGTCAGGGTTCCAAGAAGAAAGAGCATCCGCCACCCCCATCCCACCCCCAACCCTACCCCAGGTCTTGTAGAGTATAAGACCGAGGTTCCCAGCCCTGAGATACTGGGAGGCATCAGGCAAGCCGATACCCCCCTCCACTCCCAGTCACCAGCACTCACCCCACAGGCTAACGGTCCAAGCAGAACTCTCTGGCAGCTGATGGTGGGTTTAGAGGGTTTAGCTGATGTGAGAGTCGGGACCCTGGGCAGTGTTTGCGACAGAAATGACAGTAGACACCCAGTGTTGCAGAACCCCAGATCTGGAAGGACTTCGGAGATTACCCAGACCAACTACCCCCCTTCTTGTTTTACAGTTGGGCAAATTGAGGCCCAGAAAGGGGAAAGAGATGGGGCTAAGATGTGTCACCAGCTGGTGGTAGAGCCTAGATGGGACCATAGCGCTGTGCCTCCTATTCAGGTGCTGGTCACCCCACTCTTTCATCTGTGGAATTATCTGTATGATCAAGTTTGGGGCTGGGGGCAGGACAACCATGGTTAGGCAGGGGCCACTGACGCCAGACTGCCAGCGTTCAAATACTTACTTCTAAGTGAAGTTCTTCTCACAGAGCCTTGGCTTCTTTATGTGTTAAGCAGTGAGGATAATAACAGACCCTGGGCTGAGCGTGGTGGTTCACGCCTGTAATCCCAGCACTTTGGGAGGCCAAGGTGGCTGGATCACTTGAGGTCAGGAGTTCAAGACCAACTTAGCCAACATGGTGAAACCCCATCTCTACTAAAAATACAAAAATTATCCGGACGTGGTGGCAGGCACCTGTAATCCCATCTACCTGGGAGGCTAAGGTAAGAGAATTACTTGAACCCGGGAGGCAGAGGTTGCAGTGAGCAGAGATTACACCACTGCGCTCCAGCTTGGGCAACAGAGCAAGACTCCATCTAGAAAATAAAAATAAATAAATAAATAACAGAACCTGCTCTGAGTTTGTCTTAAGGAAGAAAGGCCATGATGCAGGTGAGGCCCCTGGACTGACCTGGTACTTGCTAGAACTTAACTGATGCTGGCGACCATGGCATTGCTGGTGGTGGTGCTGGTTGTTGTAGTGGGTTAAACGGTGCACACCCCCCTCCCCCAATATGTCCACGCCCTAATCCCTGGAACCTGTGAATGCGATGTTATTTGGGAAAAGAGTCTTTGCTGATGTCATTTAAGTTATGGATCTTGGGAGGAGGTCACCCTCAATTACCCAAGTGGGGCCTAAATGCCATCACAAGTGCCTAGGTTACACAGAAGAGGAGAAGCCATGTGTAGACAGAGGCAGAGGGTGGAGCGATGCAGCCACAAGCCAAGGAGCACCTAGAGCTGCCAGACACTGGAAGTAGCAGGAAGGGTCCTCCCCGAGCCTGGGGAGGGAGCATCCCCTTGCTGACTTCAATCTCAGACTTTTGGCCTCCAGAACAGCAAGAGAATCATCTGTGTTGTTTGAAGGCACCACGTTTGTAGTGATGTGTTCCTCAGCCGTAGGAAGGAAATGAATACAGGGGTGTTGAGAATGAGGATGAGGACAGGGTGATAATAATGATGGTGGTGGTGATGCTGATGGTGGTTATATACATGAATACCGGGGTGTTGAGGATGAGGATGAAGACAATGATGGTGATGGTGATGCTGATGGTGGTTATATTCACTTGCTAGAGCCGCCTCACAGTTCCAGAGGCCCGAGGTCCACTGTAAGGGTGTGGGCAGGGCCATGTTGCCTCTTAAGTCCCCGGGGAAGCCTCGGTCCCAGGCCTTACTCCAGCTTCTGGCAGCCTTGGCATGTGACCGCGTCACTCCTGTCCTCCGGTCCTCCCATCCTCCCGCCCTCCGTCTTCTCATCATCTTCACTCTGCATGTCTGTTCACCTTTCCCCTTTTTCTAGGAACCTCAGTCTTACTGGATTAGGGCTCCCCAATGACCTCACCTTAACCTGGTTACGTTACCTCTGTAAAGACCACACGAAGCCACATTCTGAGGGACTGGGCTTAGGACTTGAACCTAACATTTTTGTCTTTTATTTATTTATTTTTTTTGAGACGGAGTTTTGCTCTTGTTGCCCAGGCTGGAGTGCAATGACGTGATCTCGGCTCACTGCAACCGCCGCCTCCCGGATACAAGCAATTCTCATGCCTCAGCCTCTCAAGTAGCTGGGATTACAGGCGCCCGTCACCACGCCCGGCTAATTTTTTGTATTTTCAGTAGAGACGGGGTTTCACCATTTTGGCCAGCCTGGTCTGGAACTCCTGACCTCAGGTGAGCCACCCACCTCAACCTCCCAAAGTGCTGGGATTATAGGCATGAGCCATGATGCCTGGCCGAACCTATTTTTTGGGAGGACACAATTTCCCTCATGACAGTGGTGATGATGGAGGTGATGGTGGTTGGTCATGGAGGTGATGATTGTAGTCATGGAGATGACAGTGACTGCCATGGTGATGGTCCTAGGCCTCAGCCCTGGACCCCTAAACCCTGCAGGTGCTCCTTGGGCTGCAGTGGTCAGTTCATAGTCTCTCTGGGGGTCCGGAGTCTGTTCTCTGCAATGGAGAGCAGAGTTGGATTGTCAACTGAAGGAGCAGAGAGGTGAGAAAGATGATCCCAGGATGCTATTGCCAAGTTAGTGTCCTTTCTGCACCCTTCTGAAGCTCTGCCAGACCAGCCACCAGCGGTGAGGTCTGGGCTAGCCCTCTAATCTCTGCCAGCCACTGGTTGAGACCTGGGTTTGTGGAGGGAGCGGCTCAGCCCCAGGCCTCTGGGAGTTTGGGATGGCACCCGGTGGAGACATGGGAGCCCAGCCGCCTCAGCCAGGAAGGCGTGCATCAGGGCGAGTGGACTGTGAGGCTGGGGCAGGTATGGGTGAGAGAGCTCTTCCTGCTCCTCCGCACCTGACTTTTCCCTGTCATGTGCAAGCCCTTGCTATTTTTATACACAGCTAAGTCAGTGCTTGTCTCTGGCCCCTCCTTGCTGCCAGAAACCTCCTGGAGGGTAGGGACCACGATCCGCACGTCTTTGAGTTGCCCAGAGCATGAGCAGGTCCTCCACAAATGCAGAGTGAGTCTGGACCGTATTTTCTGGAAGAACAGCAAGTACCTCCCTTCTCCCTCCATCTGGGCACCATGGAGATAAGATCGGGGAGGCCAGCTGTTTTTGGATGGGATCTTTCTCTACCAGGCCCTGGGCTACCCAAGGAAGCTGGGCAGAACCACAGAGTCAGCCTGGCCTGGCCTTTCTTCTGGAGTCCACGGACCGTGGTAACCGTGGCAGCAGGAAGACAGAGCCCGGAGGACAGAAAGCCCACTGGTCTTTGGTCTTTGACGGAAGCCAGGCAGGAGCAGGCCACTGTTTGTTGTTGTTTTTTTCTTATTAGACATAATTACATCAACCCTATCCTCAATCTCTCTTCCTCTAGCTTTTGCCAAGCAATAGTGGTAATAATAGTCATAGTTAGCATTCCTTCTTTTGTTCAATCAATATTTATGAGCACAGACTCTTGCCAGGCACTCTTCCATGCACCAGGAGACATTGAACAGCAAAGCCAAGTTCCAGCTTTTTCAAGGCTGACCTTCTGGGAAAGAGACAAAGAACCAGGAAACCAACGCTAGGATCCAGGGAGCAAGGTGAGGGGCTAGAGCAGAGAACAAGAGGGCTGGAATTTGGACAAGGAGCCCAGGGAGGCGAGGAGATGCCACTGGAGCCGAGACCTGGGTGGAGGGAGGGAGTGAGGCCTGCAGGGAGCCTGGAGCAGCAGGTGCCATGGCCCTGGGGTGGGTGCCCGGCGTCCTGACCCTAAGGACACCTGAAGCCAAGGAGGGTGAGGGCAGGGGCGAGCCCAGGGTCAGTGTGTGTGTGTGTGTGTGTGTGTGTGTGTGTGTGTGTGTGTGTGTGTTCTGAGACAAGGCCTTGCTCTGTCACCCAGGCTGGAGTGCAGCGGTGTGATCTTGCTCTCTGCAACTTCGACCTCCTGGGCTCAAGCAATCCTCCCACCTCAGCCTCCGGAGTAGTTGGGACTAGAGGCACATGTCACCACACCTGGCTAATTTTTGTATTTTTTGTAGAGATGAGGTCTCGCCATGTTGCCCAGGCTGGTCTCGAACTCCTGGACTCAAGCGATCCACTCAACTTGGCCTCCCAAAGTACTGGGATTATAGGCGCGAGCCCCAGCGCCCGGCTTGATTTGTATTTTTAAACAATCTCTCTGGTTTCTGAGTGAGAATAGACTGAAGCGGCCGAGGGAAGCTGGGGAAACTGATCACAATTCTCAGCTGGGAGCTGATAGAGCCCAGAGGGGAGATGGCGGTGGCCTGGTTGGGGACGGCAGCAGTGGAGATGATAATGGCTGGGTTTTGGATATATTTTAAGTAGAGCCATCAGGATTTGTGAAAGGATCAGATGCGGATGTGGAAGAAAGAAAAATATCAAGCCTGACTCCTGGGCCATCGACAGTGGGAGGTGCCATTTCCTGGGATGAGGAAGACCACAAGAGAAGCTGGGGTGGGGCTGGGGTTTGGGGGGATCACTGTACCTCCATGGCCTTCTCGAAGCCTCACACTGAGTGTCTTGTGAAACCAGTCCTCGCTCCCTGCTTTGGTTCACTTCCTCTTTATGCTTCCCCCTGGCCTGGCTTGCCTCCTCTTCGTGTCTGGTTTCTGTGGATGTTCAGCCCGACGGCCACTCCCTGGCACTGCCAGTCCATCTCTCTCCCCTCCCCTCTTACTCCCCCCCAAAACATCCCCTCTTACCTGCCCCCCCAAAACATCCCCTCTTACCCGACCCCCTCCAAAACATCCTGTGGATGCTGTTCCCTCCGCCAGGAATACCGTTCCCACTGCTCTTTGCACCACTGCTCCTGAGACCCCATCAAGAGCTGGGATTTGCTCAGTTATGCCCAAAAATCTCACGTGATATTCGTATGTTACACACTTGCAGATATTGAATACTCCCTGAAACCATTTAATCCACATAACCACCCCATGAGGTAGGCACTACGATCATCCCCATTTTATCGATGAGGAAACTGAGGCCCAGATAGGTTAAATAATTTGCCCAAGGGTCAGAGCTGGTGAGGATGTGAACCCAGGCAGTCTAATCCCAAAATTGATGCTCTTGTTTGTTCATCCATTCATTCACCATCGCATGCCCTGTGCGCTAGGCTTTGCTCTAAGCTCTGGTACCTTCCATGGAGTACACCATGAGGGCACTGGGGAGGCAATGGTAGGCAGGGCAGCCCAGGCTGAACCTGCATGGAGCTAACTTTCCAAGGAGACAGGCAGGTGACCTGCAAAGAGAAACACAGTGATGTGAGAAATGCACACTGGCGGGGCTAAGGGCTAAGTGCAAAGGCAGAAGGGAGTCACAGGGCACACTCAGCAGGGAGGCGAGGCTGCCTCGGAGGAGGGGAGGGGTCTCAGGAGCAGCCATGCAAAAAGCAGTGGGAATGGCATTCGCAGCGGAGGGAACGGCCTATGCAAAGGATCTCTTGGTGGGAGAGTGAGTAGGGAGGACACAGTGATCCACTGGCAGTGCCAGGGAATGGCGGGGGGCTGAGCCAAGGAAACCACAGCAGGGAGTGAGGGCACTGGTCTCACAAGGCCCTCAGCCTGAGGCTTTGAGAAAGACATTGAGGTACCGTGACCCCCAAACCTGACACATCCAGTTCTGGCCCCGACCCCAGTGCAAACCAGGAGAAAGACCGCCAAGACAACATCCTGTTGCACAAGAGGGCCCCGGCCCACACAGGGTGGGGAGGCTCAGCCCCCAGCCCTGCTCCCTTTTCTATTGAAAGCATCAGGACTTGAACCCAGGGCTGACTTCACAGCCACAGCTGGAGACTGTCCCACCCCCAGGCTGGCTATCAATGAGCAGGTCAGCATCTGCCCTCTGTCCACGTCTAGAAAGGGCCAGGTGGAGCTGGTGTTCTCAGGCCACAAGCCCCAGCTGCCCCACAGGTCATTCATTCTTTCACTCACTCACTCATTCACCTGACAGCTGTTGGTGAATACCTCAATGTCCCAGGCACCCTACCCCCTGCTGAGGATGCAGCAGAGAATGAGACAAGATCCCATCCCTCAAGGAGCTGACATTCTGCTGGGGGGAGCCTGAGGATTAATAAACAAGTATAAAATCAGTAGAGGTACAAGTACCATGAGGAGGAAGGGGGTGGAGACAGGAGAAAGACCGGCTTTGCTGTTAGAGCTGAGACAGACCCCGACTTTGGGGACAGCACTCTGAGGATGCCCCTGTGGCCTCAGGTCTTTCCAGTCCACCCTGTCCCCTGCTCATGGAGGTGCAGTGACCCCCTTACTCCCCACACTCTGCCTCCCTTGGAGCCCCTGCCCCTCCCTCCTTGGTTGGCTTCCAATCTTGGGGCAAAGCCAGATCTCTGAGGGAGCAGAGCACCCTCCCAATGTCCAGGGGTCTGTGTCAGAGCTGGGGAGGGGCTGGGCCCTGCTCACAGTGGGAGGGCCCCCCCTAGCCCTGGGGAGGGTGCAGGCTCCATCCCCCCTTTGCTCCCCCACCCCATCTTCTGCTGGGCACAGAAAGCTGGGGAACAGGGCCCCTGAGCTCTGGGCCCTGGAGCAGAAACTTCAGGTGGGCTGAGGGCAGAGGGAAGGGCTGAATACCTAAAGACTTGCCCAGCAGATAAAACAGCAAATAACCCCCACTCCCATTTCAACCTCAGCACTTGCTGAGCTCAGAGCATTCCAGGGTGATCTTAGCGCAGCCTCACACCTGGAAGGGTTGTGCTGTTGTTATCCCCATTTTATGGAGGAAGAAACAGAGGCTCCGTGGGTCCAGAAATTCACCCAGACTCCAACGCAGGGCCGATGACACTCAGCGGGCATCAGCAGAATGGCTGAGAGCCCCAGGCATCCAGTGAGAGGCCCCAATACCTGACTCACTCAGGCCCACCCTCCACCAGACAGAACTCCCCAAACCCAAAACATCCAGTGCGGGCTCTGACCCCAGTGCAAACCCAGAGAAAGGCTGCCAAGACCAGACTCTGCTGCAGAGGAAGGCCTGGGCCCACATGGGGTGAGGAGGCTCACCCCCAGCTCTGCCCCCTTCTTGTACTGAAAGTATCAGGACTTGAACCCAGGGCTGACTCTACAGCCACACCTGGAAGCACCGGGCAGTCACACCCCCAGGCTGGCTATATGGAGGCCCCACTGGGTCCTGAGGGCAGGTGGCTGTATCATCCCCTTAGGGAGGGAGAGGGGGTCAGTCACCCCTCAAAGTTGCACAGCTAGTGAATGGGGGTGAGATTCAAACCCAGGACTGTCGGGCTCCTACCAGCACCTAGAGAGCAGTGGGGAAGAGGGCCCGAGAACTCTGGCGAGGAGGCTCCCCACATCCATGGCGGCGCTAGACCCAGACGTGGAGGCTCGGTCACCTCTGAGGCTGCACACAGTGGTCCTGGTGCAGGACCCATGGCCACCTGGCCGCCCTCAGATCCTGTGCTGAGTGGCCGTCTCTGCTGCCCCTGCCCTGACCCAACCCCTCTGCTCTCAGGGCTGTGCCCACTTCCAGATCCCTGCCCTGGGACCAGCACTGGTCGGGCACGCTGGGGATTCCTGCCAGAATTCTGGAAGCTTGGGCCCCATCAAGGCGGTCTCTTGCCCCTGAGACTCAGAAGATGGAGCCACAGGACCAGGGGAGCCCGCCCAGCCTGGAACCCCACCCCACCATGAGGCGCCTGCAGGCCTGGGGACATTGGGGCTGGGCAAGGGGTCCCCTTCCTCTGCCTCCTCCTGGGGCCAGGCTCTGACCCTCCACTGCTGCCGTAACAACTGCACGGGCTGCGTGTATGAGCTGCGTGTGTGGGCTGCGTGTATGGACTGCGTGTATGGACTGTGTGTATGAGCTGCGTGTATGGGCTGCGTGTATGGGCTGCCTGTGTGGGCTGCGTGTATGGGCTGCGTGTCTGCACCAGCCCCTGCCTGTGCCTCCGTGTGTCTTTGCACGTGTGTGCATGTGCGCATGTTGGGGTGAGCAGAAACAGCAGGACAGGAGAGGGAGGGAGAGAGGGGAGATGCAGGCAGCAGAGGGCTGGGGTGACACAGAGACTGTGCTGGAAATGCACAGAGAGCAGGGGACATGCCATAGCTGGGGGGAGAGGCCCTCGGAGAGAGGGATGACAGACAGGATGGAGGGGTCCCAGCCAGGAGCCAGTCCAGGTGGCAGAATCAGGAAAGCAGAGGCCTGAGGGAGAGAAAAGGAAAAGGAGAGAGGAGAGGGGAGGAGGAGGGAAGCTGAGTCCAGACCGCAGCAGGGGGCCCAGAGAGTGGGGCAGACAGAGGGTCTTGGATGGGATGAGGAGGACAAAGCCAGCACGTGGTGTGGGGCACAGGCAGCACCTTCTCCACCAGCCATCCTGAGTCAGCCCCACAGAAAAGCCCGGGGGTCAGGAGCAGGTGGGGAAGCAAAGCGGGGCGGGGGCTCCCTCACTCCCAGCCCCATCCTGACCTGGGGAGAGGACAGGCATGAGACCAGCCTCGGAAAGAGATGGTGGAGTCCCCCAAGGCTGCAAGTTCCTCACACTTAGCCCCAAACACCTCTTCTCTGCACCAGCTGGGGCTGTGTGACCTTGGGCAGAGGACGCTGCCTCTCTGGGTCTCTGAGCCCCGGGAAGGTATCAAGCCTGGTGCCTGCGTGAAGGCTCAGCGAGGTGAGACCTGGGTCCTGTTCAGGTGGGTCTGCTGGCAGCGCCCGAGGTGCTGGGCAGGTGCCTCCTTTATCACCAGGGAGAGTGAAATAGGGCCCGAGGTACGTAGTTGCTGTGACCTGAGCAGAGAAATGTGCAAACTGTAAAGTGCTGAGGACAACAGGTTGCTTATTTTAAGTGATATTCACAAAGATCAATTCAGGTTCGTGCCAGATGGGGGAAGAGGGAGGGAGGTGCGTTGAGAAGAAATCTCTGAAGACCCAGGTTGGAGGGGCAGAGACAGCCTGGGGAAGGAGCAGGGCTGTGCTGGCCCCCTCCCAGGCCGCATGGAGGTCCCACCAGAGCCAGGCTGGACCCCTGGGAGTCCCAGAAAGCCATGAGCATCAGGGTGGGCCCTGCAGAAGGTTTGCCTTGGAGACGTGGGCTCCAGGAACCCCCTCAGCCCCAGAATCCCCTCACAATGCCCCCACCTGATTCCCCCCACCCTGTTGTCCAGGGGGAGGCTGCCGAGGGCAGAGAAAAATAGGGGATGGGGGAGAGAAGCTGGGGTCCCCACATTCCAACTTGGGGTTTTTTCCATTCCCTAAAAGCAGGCAGAATGGTGTCAGGAGAGGAGAGAAAAGGGGGAGAGAGAAAAGGAAGAGGTGGAAAAAGGAAGGCAGGGAAGGAGAGGAACAAATGGAGAAGGATTGGAACCTTGAGAGAGGCTGCCCAAGGAAAGGGCTAAATGAGAAGAGAAGGGAGGGGAAGGCAGTGAGAGGCTCCCTGTCTTCCAGAGACAAAGGCTGAGGAGGAAGGAGAGGAGGGGGAGCAGGTGAGGGAGGCAGCGGCAGGAAGGGGAGGCCAGATAGCGGCAGGCCTAGACACAGAGCCGGGGCCCCAGACCCAGGCAGGCGAGAGACCAGCCTCCATCCAGCCGAGGCCCCAGCGGCGGAAGAGGGGAGTGCACTAGCAACTTAAGAGGGAAAAGTCTGCCAGTTGCCCTTGGGGCTGCCATGACAGAAAAAACCTCATCCAGGTGTCAGAGAGTAGCCTGCACACGAATGCACAGCAGTGAGCTACAAATACTGGCTTGAGAGGGAAGAGGGCGAAGGAGGGAGGATGGGGAGGGAGGGTGCAGGAAAGAAGAGGAGGAGAGTTGGTGGGGAGTTGAGGAGCAGGGCTGCGGGTCCAGGCTCAGGTAGCCTCAGTTTTGCAGAGGCGCAGATACAGAGAGATGACTGCTTTGGGAGCTGCAAACCACTGGGCCCCGTGACCCCACTCATGGATAGGGGCAAGGTGGGGAGGAAAGAACTGGAGAGAGAAAAGGGGAGAGGGAGGGACCGAGAGAACCTCAGAAACAGGGAGATCTCGAGAGCAGAGCTGTGAAGGGCAGGGCTGGGGAGGAGGGTGGGGAGATGAGGAAGGGAAGGCAGGAGGGAGAGGGGAGAGGGACGGAAGGAGAGAAGGACGGAAAGAGGGAGATAAGGAGCGGGAGGGACAAGGGAGGGAAGGGCAGGAAGAGGGCAGGACAGGGAGGAAGAAGGGAGGGAGGAAGGGCAGGAGAAAGGGGGGTGGGGGAGGGGTGGAAAAGTGTCCCTGGGGCTCTGAGGCACAGACCACCAAGGGACTGAGCACCTAAGCTGGTCTCCTCCCACCCCTTGCCCCCTCCCACCCCCTTGCTCCACTACTGGATCCTGGGGAGTCTGGCAGGGGCTGTCAGGGTTAAGCAGTGGGCTCCCCTTCCAGGCCTGCTCCAGACAGCAGCCCCCACCCTCCCTTTGTTCACGTCACTGGAAGGGTGGGCCTAGGCTGGGGCCTGGCTCCTTGGAGAAGACCCACCAGTGATCTAGCAGGGCCCAGAGCCAGGGCTGGGCCTGGACATTCCAAGTCAATTCAGGACTCAGAGCACCCCAGAGGGGAAGGGACCTGGGTTGTCCCCTGGAGTCACTAGCATCTGCGGCGAAACTCCCCCCGCCCCCACTGGTCTGCCCTGGATCCTAAGGGTAGAGGGACAGCGTGGCGGGAAGTAGCCCACTCCACCTGGGCAGGAACAAACCCACAGCCACCCGAGGAAGAGAGAATGCTGGCAGGATAGTCATGGAGCGGGGGCTCAGGAAGGCCTCTTTGAGGAGACAGTCTTAACACCTGAGAGCTGAGAAGAATTCAGCCTCACAAAACCCAGAGACGTGGCCCTCAAGAGGGAGATGGGGCTGGGAGACATGGTGGAGTGGCCAGGCCGGGAGTGGCTGCAGGGTTTGAGCCTGGGCCCAGCAGGTCTGGCAGGTCACCCCAGGGGTCTCCTGCTTGCTCCTGAGCCAGTGTCTGTGAGAGCTGGGTGGCAAGGCCAGCGGGAGGCTGAGGGACCCAGGGCCCGGGCATGTGGGAAGCGAGGGCGGCCTCTCCTTGGTTCCTCGGCAGCCTGGACCCTCACCCCCTGCAAGGTCCTGGTGGCCACCGCTTGCAGGGCCGTCCCTCTGGGAGTGGGCAGGGGGGCTGGGGGACACTGGGAAGACCTTCACCCCTCCGAAGGCAAGGCCTGGTCACGTTCATCCTCCATCCCTTTCCCGCCTGGACTCCTCCTGTGTGCTGGGAGCACTTGGCCGTGTGAGAACAGGGCAGCATGGTGGACGGGCCAGCATGGCACGGCGAGGTCTGAGCCCCTGGCTACTCTCCCCAGCCCTGAGAACTCAGGCTGCTCCGTAAGCTCTGTGGGCCTCAGGCTCCTGGTCGCTAGAATGGAGCCACAGGCAGGCTACCCAGAAGTGAGATGCCTGCCAAAAAGCCGTGTGCCCAGCCCAGAGCCAAGACTTGGTCCATCGAGCCCCAGCTCAAAAGCCCTATGAGAGGCCGGCCCTGAGCACCGTCCCTGTCCCTGTGTGCCACTTCAGTCACAATTCAGCAGCTCGCAGCCGCCCACTGAGGCTGAGCCTCTGTTCAAATTTGCCTCGATGTTTGCTGGTCACTGATTCAGGTCTTCGGGCCTCAGCTTCCTTACCCACAAACTGGGGGCGGCCTCTGGGGGCTGTTGTAAGGGGAGCTGGAGGCCACAGGCTCTGGCCTGGAGCACTTCGCTCTCCACCACTGTCTTCTCCTGACGTCTGTGTTTCCTCGTATCTCATGGTACCGCGTCTCCTCCGCAGGACCTGTGTGTCCTGTGTGACGCTGTGTGCCACCCACCACATCTTCAGCCCCTGAGAAAGATTCTGGTGGTGGAGGCTGTTGAGTAAATGCTCACTTGAGCTTCTCCCACTACCTTGGAGCCCCTCTTCTATTTGTCTCCAAATTCTCTTTGCTGACAGAGTGCACAGTTCAAAACCCCACACTGGGATGAACTAGAGGACGCCCAGGTCCAGCTCAGGAGCAGCTTCATGTCCCCTCCACTGCTGTACCTCTAGGGCCTCCCTCTGCCACTGCCATCTACTAGGACATTCTTCCTGGGCCCCTGTGGGACAAGGACTGCCTTTGGCTAGTGTGGGGAAAAGAAAGAGAGATCAGACTGTTACTGTGTCTATGTAGAAAGAAATAGACATAAGAGACTCCATTTTGTTCTGTACTAAGAAAAATTCTTCTGCTTTGAGATGCTGTTAATCTGTAACCCTAGCCCCAACCCTGTGCTCACAGAAACAGGTGCTGTGTTGACTCAAGGTTTAATGGATTCAGGGCTGTGCAGGATGTGCTTTGTTAAACAAATGCTTGAAGGCAGCAAGCTTGTTAAGAGTCATCACCACTCCCTAATCTCAAGTAAGCAGGGACACAAACACTGCGGAAGGCCGCAGGGACCTCTGCCTAGGAAAGCCAGGTGTTGTCCAAGGTTTCTCCCCATGTGACAGTCTGAAATATGGCCTCTTGGGAAGGGAAAGACCTGACTGTCCCCTGGCCCGACACCCGTAAAGGGTCTGTGCTGAGGATTAGTAAAAGAGGAAGGAAGGCCTCTTTGCAGTTGAGATAAGAGGAAGGCATCTGTCTCCTGCTCATCCCTGGGCAATGGAATGTCTTGGTGTAAAGCCTGATTGTATATGCCATCTACTGAGATAGGAGAAAACTGCCTTAGGGCTGGAGGTGGGACATGCTGGCGGCAATACTGCTCTTTAAGGCATTGAGATGTTTATGTATATGCACATCAAAAGCACAGCACTTTTTTCTTTACCTTGTTTATGATGCAGAGACATTTGTTCACATGTTTTCCTGCTGGCCCTCTCCCCACTATTACCCTATTGTCCTGCCACATCCCCCTCTCCGAGATGGTAGAGATAATGATCAATAAATACTGAGGGAACTCAGAGACCGGTGCGGCGCGGGTCCTCCATATGCTGAGCGCCGGTCCCCTGGGCCCACTTTTCTTTCTCTATACTTTGTCTCTGTTGTCTTTCTTTTCTCAAGTCTCTCGTTCCACCTGAGGAGAAATGCCCACAGCTGTGGAGGCGCAGGCCACTCCATCTGGTGCCCAACGTGGATGCTTTTCTCTAGGGTGAAGGGACTCTCGAGTGTGGTCATTGAGGACAAGTCAACGAGAGATTCCCGAGTACGTCTACAGTGAGCCTTGTGGTAAGCTTGGGCGCTCGGAAGAAGCCAGGGTTAATGGGGCAAACTAAAAGTAAAGTCTCTCATTCCACCTGATGAGAAACACCCAGAGGTGTGGAGGGGCAGGCCACCCCTTCAGGGTAGGGTCCCCTCCATGCAGACCATAGAGCACAGGTGTGCCCCAAAGAGGAGCAGAGAGAAGGAGGGAGAGGGCCCACGAGAGACTTGGAAATGAATGGCAGGATTTTAGGCGCTGGACTTGGGTTCGGGGCACCTGGCCTTTCCTTGTGTATTTCTCCTACTGTCTGCCTAACTATTTAATACAATAAAAGAAAACCAGCCCCTGGTTCTTGTGGTGTTTCCACCCTCCCGGGTCCCCGCTGGCTGCCTGGCTTCCTCCCGCAGCTCCTGCTGTGTGTGTATGTGTGTGTGTGTGCACATCTGTGGGGCGTATGTGTGTTCGTCTTTGTAATTGAGGCTGCAGAGTGGAGAGAGCAGGGGTTTTCTCTGGGGACCCAGAGAGAAGGAGGCGTTTTCACCACAGCCGAACAGGGCAGGACCCCAGCACCCGGGACCCAGCGGGACTTTGCCAAGGGGATGGACCTGGCTGGGCCACGCGGCTGTTTGTGTAGGGAAAAGAAAGAGAGATCACACTGTTACTGTGTCTATGTAGAAAAGGAAGACATAAACTCCATTTTGAGCTGTACTAAGAAAAATTATTTTGCCTTGACCTGCTGTTAACCTGTAACTGTAGCCCCAACCCTGTGCTCAAAGAAACATGTGCTGTATGGAATCAAGGTTTAAGGGATCAAGGGCTGTACAGGATGTGCCTTGTTAACAATGTGTTTACAGGCAGTATGCTTGGTAAAAGTCATCGCCATTCTCCATTCTCCATTAATCAGGGGCACGATGCACTGCGGAAAGCCACAGGGACCTCTGCCCGAGAAAGCCTGGGTATTGTCCAAGGCTTCCCCCCACTGAGACAGCCTGAGATACGGCCTCGTGGGAAGGGAAAGACCTGACCGTCCCCCAGCCCGACACCCGTAAAGGGTCTGTGCTGAGGAGGATTAGTAAAAGGGGAAGGCCTCTTGCAGTTGAGATAAGAGGAAGGCCTCCGTCTCCTGCATGTCCTTGGGAATGGAATGTCTTGGTGTAAAACCCGATAGTACATTCCTTCTATTCTGAGAGAAGAAAACCACCCTGTGGCTGGAGGTGAGATATGCTAGCGGCAATGCTGCTCTGTTACTCTTTGCTACACTGAGATGTTTGGGTGGAGAGAAGCATAAATCTGGCCTATGTGCACATCTGGGCACAGAACCTCCCCTTGAACTTGTGACACAGATTCCTTTGTTCACATGTTTTCCTGCTGACCTTCTCCCCACTATCGCCCTGTTCTCCCACCGCATTCCCCTTGCTGAGATAGTGAAAATAGTAATCTGTAGATACCAAGGGAACTCAGAGACCATGGCCGGTGCACATCCTCCGTACGCTGAGCGCTGGTCCCCTGGGCCCATTGTTCTTTCTCTATACTTTGTCTCTGTGTCTTATTTCTTTCCTCAGTCTCTCATCCCTCCTGACGAGAAATACCCACAGGTGTGGAGGGGCTGGCCCCCTTCATCTGATGCCCAATGTGGGTGCCTTTCTCTAGGGTGAAGGTACTCTACAGTGTGGTCATTGAGGACAAGTTGACGAGAGAGTCCCAAGTACGTCCACGGTCAGCCTTGCGGTAAGCTTGTGTGCTTAGAGGAACCCAGGGTAACGATGGGGCAAACTGAAAGTAAATATGCCTCTTATCTCAGCTTTATTAAAATTCTTTTAAGAAGAGGGGGAGTTAGAGCTTCTACAGAAAATCTAATTACGCTATTTCAAACAATAGAACAATTCTGCCCATGGTTTCCAGAACAGGGAACTTTAGATCTAAAAGATTGGGAAAAAATTGGCAAAGAATTAAAACAAGCAAATAGGGAAGGTAAAATCATCCCACTTACAGTATGGAATGATTGGGCCATTATTAAAGCAACTTTAGAACCATTTCAAACAGGAGAAGATATTGTTTCAGTTTCTGATGCCCCTAAAAGCTGTGTAACAGATTGTGAAGAAGAGGCAGGGACAGAATCCCAGCAAGGAACGGAAAGTTCACATTGTAAATATGTAGCAGAGTCTGTAATGGCTCAGTCAACGCAAAATGTTGACTACAGTCAATTACAGGAGATAATATACCCTGAATCATCAAAATTGGGGGAAGGAGGTCCAGAATCATTGGGGCCATCAGAGCCTAAACCACGATCGCCATCAACTCCTCCTCCCGTGGTTCAGATGCCTGTAACATTACAACCTCAAACGCAGGTTAGACAAGCACAAACCCCAAGAGAAAATCAAGTAGAAAGGGACAGAGTCTCTATCCCGGCAATGCCAACTCAGATACAGTATCCACAATATCAGCCGGTAGAAAATAAGACCCAACCGCTGGTAGTTTATCAATACCGGCTGCCAACCGAGCTTCAGTATCGGCCTCCTTCAGAGGTTCAATACAGACCTCAAGCGGTGTGTCCTGTGCCAAATAGCACGGCACCATACCAGCAACCCACAGCGATGGCGTCTAATTCACCAGCAACACAGGACGCGGCGCTGTATCCTCAGCCGCCCACTGTGAGACTTAATCCTACAGCATCACGTAGTGGACAGGGTGGTGCACTGCATGCAGTCATTGATGAAGCCAGAAAACAGGGCGATCTTGAGGCATGGCGGTTCCTGGTAATTTTACAACTGGTACAGGCCGGGGAAGAGACTCAAGTAGGAGCGCCTGCCCGAGCTGAGACTAGATGTGAACCTTTCACCATGAAAATGTTAAAAGATATAAAGGAAGGAGTTAAACAATATGGATCCAACTCCCCTTATATAAGAACATTATTAGATTCCATTGCTCATGGAAATAGACTTACTCCTTATGACTGGGAAATTTTGGCCAAATCTTCCCTTTCATCCTCTCAGTATCTACAGTTTAAAACCTGGTGGATTGATGGAGTACAAGAACAGGTACGAAAAAATCAGGCTACTAAGCCCACTGTTAATATAGACGCAGACCAATTGTTAGGAACAGGTCCAAATTGGAGCACCATTAACCAACAATCAGTGATGCAGAATGAGGCTATTGAACAAGTAAGGGCTATTTGCCTCAGGGCCTGGGGAAAAATTCAGGACCCAGGAACAGCTTTCCCTATTAATTCAATTAGACAAGGCTCTAAAGAGCCATATCCTGACTTTGTGGCAAGATTACAAGATGCTGCTCAAAAGTCTATTACAGATGACAATGCCCGAAAAGTTATTGTAGAATTAATGGCCTATGAAAATGCAAATCCAGAATGTCAGTCGGCCATAAAGCCATTAAAAGGAAAAGTTCCAGCAGGAGTTGATGTAATTACAGAATATGTGAAGGCTTGTGATGGGATTGGAGGAGCTATGCATAAGGCAATGCTAATGGCTCAAGCAATGAGGGGGCTCACTCTAGGAGGACAAGTTAGAACATTTGGGAAAAAATGTTATAATTGTGGTCAAATCGGTCATCTGAAAAGGAGTTGCCCAGGCTTAAATAAACAGAATATAATAAATCAAGCTATTAACAGCAAAAAATAAAAAGCCATCTGGCCTGTGTCCAAAATGTGGAAAAGCAAAACATTGGGCCAATCAATGTCATTCTAAATTTGATAAAGATGGGCAACCATTGTCTGGAAACAGGAAGAGGGGCCAGCCTCAGGCCCCCCAACAAACTGGGGCATTCCCAGTTAAACTGTTTGTTCCTCAGGGTTTTCAAGGACAACAACCCCTACAGAAAATACCACCACTTCAGGGAGTCAGCCAATTACAACAATCCAACAGCTGTCCCGCGCCACAGCAGGCAGCACCGCAGTAGATTTATGTTCCACCCAAATGGTCTTTTTACTCCCTGGAAAGCCCCCACAAAAGATTCCTAGAGGGGTATATGGCCCGCTGCCAGAAGGGAGGGTAGGCCTTTGAGGGAGATCAAGTCTAAATTTGAAGGGAGTCCAAATTCATACTGGGGTAATTTATTCAGATTATAAAGGGGGAATTCAGTTAGTGATCAGCTCCACTGTTCCCCGGAGTGCCAATCCAGGTGATAGAATTGCTCAATTACTGCTTTTGCCTTATGTTAAAATTGGGGAAAACAAAAAGGAAAGAACAGGAGGGTTTGGAAGTACCAACCCTGCAGGAAAAGCTGCTTATTGGGCTAATCAGGTCTCAGAGGATAGACCCGTGTGTACAGTCACTATTCAGGGAAAGAGTTTGAAGGATTAGTGGATACCCAGGCTGATGTTTCTGTCATCGGCATAGGTACTGCCTCAGAAGTGTATCAAAGTGCCATGATTTTACATTGTCCAGGATCTGATAATCAAGAAAGTACGGTTCAGCCTGTGATCACTTCATTCCAATCAATTTATGGGGCCGAGACTTGTTACAACAATGGCATGCAGAGATTACTATCCCAGCCTCCCTATACAGCCCCAGGAATAAAAAAATCATGACTAAAATGGGATAGCTCCCTAAAAAGGGACTAGGAAAGAAGTCCCAATTGAGGCTGAAAAAAATCAAAAAAGAAAAGGAATAGGGCATCCTTTTTAGGAGCGGTCACTGTAGAGCCTCCAAAACCCATTCCATTAACTTGGGGGAAAAAAAAACAACTGTATGGTAAATCAGCAGCGCTTCCAAAACAAAAACTGGAGGCTTTACATTTATTAGCAAAGAAACAATTAGAAAAAGGACATTGAGCCTTCATTTTCGCCTTGGAATTCTGTTTGTAATTCAGAAAAAATCCGGCAGATGGCGTATAATGCCGTAATTCAACCCATGGGGGCTCTCCCACCCCGGTTGCCCTCTCCAGCCATGGTCCCCTTTAATTATAATTGATCTGAAGGATTGCTTTTTTACCATTCCTCTGGCAAAACAGGATTTTGAAAAATTTGCTTTTACCACACCAGCCTAAATAATAAAGAACCAGCCACCAGGTTTCAGTGGAAAGTATTGCCTCAGGGAATGCTTAATAGTTCAACTATTTGTCAGCTCAAGCTCTGCAACCAGTTAGAGACAAGTTTTCAGACTGTTACATCGTTCACTATGTTGATATTTTGTGTGCTGCAGAAACGAGAGACAAATTAATTGACCGTTACACATTTCTGCAGACAGAGGTTGCCAACGCGGGACTGACAATAACATCTGATAAGATTCAAACCTCTACTCCTTTCCGTTACTTGGGAATGCAGGTAGAGGAAAGGAAAATTAAACCACAAAAAATAGAAATAAGAAAAGACACATTAAAAGCATTAAATGAGTTTCAAAAGTTGCTAGGAGATACTAATTGGATTTGGAGATATTAATTGGATTTGGCCAACTCTAGGCATTCCTACTTATGCCATGTCAAATTTGTTCTCTTTCTTAAGAGGGGACTCGGAATTAAATAGTGAAAGAACGTTAACTCCAGAGGCAACTAAAGAAATTAAATTAATTGAAGAAAAAATTCGGTCAGCACAAGTAAATAGAATAGATCACTTGGCCCCACTCCAAATTTTGATTTTTGCTACTGCACATTCCCTAACAGGCATCATTGTTCAAAATACAGATCTTGTGGAGTGGTCCTTCCTTCCTCACAGTACAATTAAGACTTTTACATTGTACTTGGATCAAATGGCTACATTAATTGGTCAGGGAAGATTATGAATAATAACATTGTGTGGAAATGACCCAGATAAAATCACTGTTCCTTTCAACAAGCAACAGGTTAGACAAGCCTTTATCAATTCTGGTGCATGGCAGATTGGTCTTGCCGATTTTGTGGGAATTATTGACAATCGTTACCCCAAAACAAAAATCTTCCAGTTTTTAAAATTGACTACTTGGATTTTACCTAAAGTTACCAAACATAAGCCTTTAAAAAATGCTCTGGCAGTGTTTACTGATGGTTCCAGCAATGGAAAAGTGGCTTACACCGGGCCAAAAGAATGAGTCATCAAAACTCAGTATCACTTGACTCAAAGAGCAGAGTTGGTTGCCGTCATTACAGTGTTAACAAGATTTTAATCAGTCTATTAACATTGTATCAGATTCTGCATATGTAGTACAGGCTACAAAGGATATTGAGAGAGCCCTAATCAAATACATTATGGATGATCAGTTAAACCCGCTGTTTAATTTGTTACAACAAAATGTAAGAAAAAGAAATTTCCCATTTTATATTACTCATATTCGAGCACACACTAATTTACCAGGGCCTTTAACTAAAGCAAATGAACAAGCTGACTTGCTAGTATCATCTGCATTCATGGAAGCACAAGAACTTCATGCCTTGACTCATGTAAATGCAATAGGATTAAAAAATAAATTTGATATCACATGGAAACAGACAAAAAATATTGTACAACATTGCACCCAGTGTCAGATTCTACACCTGGCCACTCAGGAGGCAAGAGTTAATCCCAGAGGTCTATGTCCTAATGTGTTATGGCAAATGGATGTCATGCACGTACCTTCATTTGGAAAATTGTCATTTGTCCATGTGACAGTTGATACTTATTCACATTTCATATGGGCAACCTGCCAGACAGGAGAAAGTACTTCCCATGTTAAAAGACATTTATTATCTTGTTTTCCTGTCATGGGAGTTCCAGAAAAAGTTAAAACAGACAATGGGCCAGGTTACTGTAGTAAAGCAGTTCAAAAATTCTTAAATCAGTGGAAAATTACACATACAATAGGAATTCTCTATAATTCCCAAGGACAGGCCATAATTGAAAGAACTAATAGAACACTCAAAGCTCAATTGGTTAAACAAAAAAAAGGAAAAGACAGGAGTATAACACTCCCCAGATGCAACTTAATCTAGCACTCTATACTTTAAATGTTTTAAACATTTATAGAAATCAGACCACTACCTCTGCAGAACAACATCTTACTGGTAAAAGGAACAGCCCACATGAAGGAAAACTGATTTGGTGGAAAGATAATAAAAATAAAACATGGGAAATGGGGAAGGTGATAACGTGGGGGAGAGGTTTTGCTTGTGTTTCACCAGGAGAAAATCAGCTTCCTGTTTGGATACCCACTAGACATTTAAAGTTCTACAATGAACTCACTGGAGATGCAAAGAAAAGTGTGGAGATGGAGACACCCCAATCGACTCGCCAGGTAAACAAAATGGTGATATCAGAAGAACAGAAAAAGTTGCCTTCCATCAAGGAAGCAGAGTTGCCAATATAGGCACAATTAAAGAAGCTGACACAGTTAGCTAAAAAAAAAAGCCTAGAGAATACAAAGGTGACACCAACTCCAGAGAATATGCTGCTTGCAGCTCTGATGATTGTATCAACGGTGGTAAGTCTTCCCAAGTCTGCAGGAGCAGCTGCAGCTAATTATACTTACTGGGCCTATGTGCCTTTCCCACCCTTAATTCGGGCAGTTACATAGATGGATAATCCTATTGAAGTAGATGTTAATAATAGTGCATGGGTGCCTGGCCCCACAGATGACTGTTGCCCTGCCCAACCTGAAGAAGGAATGATGATGAATATTTCCATTGGGTATCCTTATCCTCCTGTTTGCCTAGGGAAGGCACCAGGATGCTTAATGCCTACAACCCAAAATTGGTTGGTAGAAGTACCTACAGTCAGTGCTACCAGTAGATTTACTTATCACATGGTAAGTGGAATGTCACAGATAAATAATTTACAGGACCCTTCTTATCAAAGATCATTACAATGTAGGCCTAAGGGGAAGGCTTGCCCCAAGGAAATTCCCAAAGAATCAAAAAGCCCAGAAGTCTTAGTCTGCGGAGAATGTGTGGCTGATACTGCAGTGTAGTACAAAACAATGAATTTTGAACTATGATAGACTGGGTCCCTTGAGGCCAATTATATCATAACTGTACAGGCCAGACTCATTCATGTTCACAGGCCCCATCCATCTGGCCCATTAATCCAGCCTATGACGGTGATGTAACTGAAAGGCTGGACCAGGTTTATAGAAGGTTAGAATCACTCTGTCCAAGGAAATGGGGTGAAAAGGGAATTTCATCACCTTGACCAAAGTTAGTCCTGTTACTGGTCCTGAACATCCAGAATTAGGAAGCTTACTGTGGCCTCACACCACATTAGAATTTGTTCTGGAAATCAAGCTATAGGAACAAGAGATCGTAAGTCATATTATACTATCAACCTAAATTCCAGTCTGACAATTCCTTTGCAAAATTGTGTAAAACTCCCTTATATTGCTAGTTGTAGGAAAAACATAGTTATTAAACCTGATTCCCAAACCATAATCTGTGAAAATTGTGGAATGTTTACTTGCATTGATTTGACTTTTAATTGGCAGCACCGTATTCTACTAGGAAGAGCAAGAGAGGGTGTGTGGATCCTTGTGTCCATGGACCGACCATGGGAGGCTTCGCTATCCATCCATATTTTAACGGAAGTATTAAAAGGAATTCTAACTAGATCCAAAAGATTCATTTTTACTTTGATGGCAGTGATTATGGGCCTCATTGCAGTCACAGCTACTGCTGCGGCTGCTGGAATTGCTTTACACTCCTCTGTTCAAACTGCAGAATACGTAAATGATTGGCAAAAGAATTCCTCAAAATTGTGGAATTCTCAGATCCAAATAGATCAAAAATTGGCAAACCAAATTAATGATCTTAGACAAACTGTCATTTGGATGGGAGAGGCTCATGAGCTTGGAATATCTTTTTCAGTTACGATGTGACTGGAATACATCAGATTTTTGTGTTACACCACAAGCCTATAATGAGTCTGAGCATCACTGGGACATGGTTAGATGCCATCTGCAAGGAGGAGAAGATAATCTTACTTTAGACATTTCAAAATTAAAAGAATTTTTTTTTTCTTTGAGACAGAGTCTCGCTCTGTCGCCCAGGCTGGAGTGCAGTGGCGTGATCTCAGCTCACTGCAAGTTCCGCCTCCTGGGTTTACACCATTCTCCTGCCTCAGCCTCCCAAGTAGTTGGGACTACAGGAGCCCACCACCATGCCTGGCTAATTTTTTTTGGGTTTTTAATAGAGATGGAGTTTCACCGTGTTAGCCAGGATGGTCTCGATCTCCTGACCTTGTGATCTGCCCACCTTGGCCTCCCAAAGTGCTGGGATTACAGTCGTGAGCCACCGTGCCCAGCCAAGAAAAAATTTTTGAGGCATCAAAAGCCCATTTAAATTTGGTGCCAGGAACGGAGACAATCGTGAAAGCTGCTGATAGCCTCACAAATCTTAAGCCAGTCACTTGGGTTAAAAGCATCAGAAGTTTCACTATTGTAAATTTCATATTAATCCTTGTATGCCTGTTCTGTCTGTTGTTAGTCTACAGGTGTATCCAGCAGCTCCAAAGAGACAGCAACCAGCAAGAATGGGCCATAGTGACGATGGTGGTTTTGTCAAAAAGAAAAGGGGGGGATATGTAAGGAAAAGAGAGATCAGACTTTCACTGTGTCTATGTAGAAAAGGAAGACATAAGAAACTCCATTTTGATCTGTACTAAGAAAAATTGTTTTGCCTTGAGATGCTGTTAATCTGTAACTTTAGCCCCAACCCTGTGCTCACGGAAACATGTGCTGTAAGGTTTAAGGGATCTAGGGCTGTGCAGGATGTACCTTGTTAACAATATGTTTGCAGGCAGTATGTTTGGTAAAAGTCATCGCCATTCTCCATTCTCGATTAACCAGGGGCTCAATGCACTGTGGAAAGCCACAGGAACCTCTGCCCAAGAAAGCCTGGCTGTTGTGGGAAGTCAGGGACCCCGAATGGAGGGACCAGCTGGTGCTGCATCAGGAAACATAAATTGTGAAGATTTCTTGGACATTTATCAGTTTCCAAAATTAATACTTTTATAATTTCTTACACCTGTCTTACTTTAATCTCTTAATCCTGTTATCTTTGTAAGCTGAGGATATACGTCACCTCAGGACCACTATTGTACAAATTGATTGTAAAACATGTTCACATGTGTTTGAACAATATGAAATCAGTGCACCTTGAAAATGAACAGAATAACAGTGATTTTAGGGAACAAAGGAAGACAACCATAAGGTCTGACTGCCTGAGGGGTCGGGCAAAAAGCCATATTTTTCTTCTTGCAGAGAGCCTATAAATGGACGTGCAAGTAGGAGAGATATTGCTAAATTCTTTTCCTAGCAAGGAATATAATACTAAGACCCTAGGGAAAGAATTGCATTCCTGGGGGGAGGTCTATAAACGGCCGCTCTGGGAGTGTCTGTCCTATGTGGTTGAGATAAGGACTGAGATACGCCCTGGTCTCCTGCAGTACCCTCAGGCTTACTAGGATTGGGAAACCCCAGTCCTGGTAAATTTGAGGTCAGGCCGGTTCTTTGCTCTGAACCCTGTTTTCTGTTAAGATGTTTATCAAGACAATACATGCACCGCTGAACATAGACCCTTATCAGGAGTTTCTGATTTTGCTCTGGTCCTGTTTCTTCAGAAGCATGTCATCTTTGCTCTGCCTTCTGCCCTTTGAAGCATGTGATCTTTGTGACCTACTCCCTGTTCATACACCCCTCCCCTTTTAAAATCCCTAATAAAAACTTGCTGGTTTTGTGGCTCAGGGGGGCATCATGGACCTACCAATACGTGATGTCACCCCCGGTGGCCCAGCTGTAAAATTCCTTTCTTTATACTCTTATTTCTCAGACCAGCTGACACTTAGGGAAAATAGAAAGAACCTATGTTGAAATATTGGAGGCGGGTTCCCCCGATACCTGGGTATTGTCCAAGGTTTCCTTTGCTGAGGAGGATTAGTAAAAGGAATGCCTCCATCTCCTGCATGTCCCTGGGAACAGAATGTTCCCACCAACCACCCTGTGGCTGGAGGCGGGATATGCTGGCAGCAATGCTGCTCTATTACTCTTTGCTACACTGAGATGTTTGGGTGGAGAGAAGCATAAATCTGGCCTATGTGCACATCTGGGCACAGCACCTTCCTTTGAACTTATTTGTGACACAGATTCCTTTGCTCACGTTTTCCTGTTGACTTTCTCACCACTCACCCTATTCTCCTGTGGCATTCGCCTTGCGGAGATAGTGAAAATAGTAATAAATACTGAGGGAACTCAGACTGAGGGAACTCAGACTGGGCAGACCGGGGCCAGTGTGGGTCCTCCATATGCTGAGCGCCGGTTCCCTGGGCCCACTGTTCTTTCTCTATACTTTGTCTCTGTGCCTTATTTTCTCAGTCTCTCATTCCACCTGATGAGAAATACCCACAGGTGTGGAGGGGCTGGCCCCCTTCAGTTTGATTTCCCCCCGACTTCCAAATAAGTTGAAATTATACACTAAGCATCTATTTAATTAAGTTTTCCAGGGTGTGGATAATAAGAGACACGACTGGAATGGGGTGGGCAGTCCCATCCCTGCTCTTGCCTGTTGGAATTCTCAGCCCTCAGGCCACAAAATATGGCAAGTTGTAATGTAGGGGACGGAAGCCATGGGCGAGCCAGCCAGAGCTATCACTCCAGGATGCCAGGTGGGCAAGGGGGACCCCAGGCAGCTCTGCCTCACAGAGGAGGTTCAGATGAACCTCAGGGAGCCTGCCACCCTCTCTGGGGCCTCAGAAGCAGACAGGAGGAGTTAAAGAAGGGCCCTGCCCTGGCTATAGCATCAAAGGACTTTGGGGCAGGATCACCTGGGGGCTGTTGGCCACAATCAAATGACAGACTGGCAGTTCCCTTGACACACAGCCCCTGCTTCAGATCCTTGATACTTCAATCTCACATCCTGAGAGTGTGGGCCACCGCAGGGAGAGGCCTGCCGCTGGCTGGTGGTTCTCCAGGCCTGCTGGGAAAGGCTGTCCACATGGCTGGCTCCCTCCTGAGGAGGAGAGGCCTCTGTGTTCTTGTCCACCCGAATGGGGCTCAGACTGTCTAATCAAACCAGAGCCCGCAGTTTGTGATTGCACACATCATGAACCGAAGGAACTTTCTCACCCAGGGCAGGCCTGCACATGGGGTAGGGGGCAGGCCCTGGTTCTACCTGAGCAAGGAAGAGAACTGTCAGAGTGGCCCCTCTGGTGTTTGAAAGCAGCTGCCATGGCATGAGCCACTCTCTGCCCCCTTGCCCGGCCCTCACTGCATGTCCTCAGCCAATGGCCTCCCAGCCCCAATGCCACTAAACGGCTCTTACAGAAATCCCCAACAGAAATCCCCAACTGCTGCTGGGGGGCCAAATCCAAGTGACCCATTTCCTTCTTCTCCCTTTGATCCCTGTCACGTTGGTTCCCACCCTCCCCTGGTTTTCCCCTGGCCTCCAGACCCCCAGCGCTGATGCCCCTCTTCCCGGCCCCCTGACTGCCTTGACCCTGGGCCCAGCCAATACAGATTCATGATCATTTCCCCCCTCCTCCCTTCTGACTTGGGTCACCCATGGGGCCCTTTCCCTGACCATCCCAAGGGGCCCTGAATCAGGACTGATCACATTGCTCAGCAGATGCTGAGTCCCCGAGGGCAGCCCCAGCATCTCACTCCTCACACACGTCCCCAAGGCTGAGTTTAGAACATGGGATGCAATCATCGAGTGCACATTTATTAAGCACCGACTGTGTGTCAGGACGTGTCCTAAGTTTTCTGTATGTATTAAGAGTACTCATTTTAATCCATCTGCATATCCTCCTGTCTGTCCTCCCGCCCAAGAAAACTGAGGATCAGAGGGGTTACAAAACTTATGCAAGATGACACTAGTATCGTATGGAATAGCTGGGATTTGAGTCCTAGTCTGGTCTGTTGCCATAGCACATGGGCATAACTGTGAAACAGCCTCTCATCCACTCCTCCTGCCCATCCACCCACCCATTCTCCCATCCATACTTCATCTATCCTACCATTCATCCTCCCAATCCATCCTCCATTCATCCTATCATCCATCCTTCATTCATGCTCCCTTCCATCCTCCCATTCATCCTCCCATCCATCTTTCCATCTTTCCATCCATCCTTCAACCGTCCCCCTGTCCATCATCCAACTACCCATCCATCATCCATCTACCCATCCATCCTCCATCCATTCTCCTATTCATCCCCCCACTCATCCTCCATCCATCTTTCCATTCATCCCCTCGGTCATCCTCCATTCATTCCTCATCCAACCTCCATCCATCTTCCACTCATACCCCATGAATCCTCCCATCTATTTTCCCATCTATCCTCCATCGACCTTCCCATTTCATCCTCCCATCCATCTTTCCATCCATCCTCCATCCATCCTCCCAACCATATTTCCATACATTCTGTATTCATCCTCCCAATCATTCCCAATCCTTCCTCCCATCCATCCTCCCACTTATCCTTCATTCATCCTCTCATCCATCTTTCCAGCCATCCTCCCATTCATTCTTCATTCTCCCATACATCCTCTTATCCATCTTCTCATTCATCTTTCCATCCATCCTCCTATTTATTCCTCTGTCCATCCTCCCTTCCATCCTCCCATTCTCTCGTCTATCCTTCATTCATCCTCCTTCCATCTTCTCATGCATCCTCCATCCTTCCATCCATCTATCTTTCCATCAATTCTTCACCCGTCCTCCCATCCATCTTTTCATGCGTTCACCCATCCATCCTTCATTCATCATCCCATCCATCTTTTCATCCATCTTCCCATCCATCCTCCCATTTATTATCCCATGTATCCTTTATCCATTCTCCCACCTATTCTTTATTTATTCTCCCATCCATCCTCCTATTCATCTTTCCATCCATCCACCCTTCCATCCTCCCATTCATCCTCCCATTCATTCCCCCTTATATCCTTTGTCTATTCTCCCATCCATCCACGCTTCATCTTTCCATCTTTCCACCCATCCACCTTTCTATCCATCTTCTATCTATCCTCCCATCCATCTTTCCATCCATACTCCCATCCATTCTTCATTCTCCCATCCATCTTTTTATCCATCCTTCACCTGTCCTCCCATCTGTCCTCCATCCATCTATCATCCTATCCATCCTCCCATCCATCCATCTTCTCATCTATCCATTCTCCCTCCATTATCCCATCCATCTTCCATCCTTCATTCATCCTCCCATCCATCCTCCAATCATCCTCCCAACCATCCTTCCATCCATCCCCCCATCCATTATCCATCCACCATCCATCCTCTCATCCATCCTTCATTCATCTTCTATCCATCTTTCCATTTATCCTTCAACCACCCTCTCATCCATTCTCCCATCCATACCCCATTCATCTTTTCACCCATCCTCCCAGCCATCCTCCATCCACACTTCATCCATCCTTCATTCCTCCTCTCATCCATCCTTCCATTCTCTTATCCATCTTCCATTTATTCCTCTGTTCACCCTGCCATTTATCCTCCCATTCACTCTCCAATCTATCCTCCATCCATTCTCCATCCATTCTCCCATCCATTTTTCCATCCATCCTCCAATTCATTCCTCTGTCTATCCCCATCCATCATCACCATCCTCCCATCCATTCTCCCTTTTGTTCTCCATCTATCTTTCCATCCATCCTTCCAGCAATCCTCCATCCATCCTTCATCCATCTTCTGTTCATCCTCCATTCATTCTCTTTCCACTTTCCCATCCATCCTCCCTCCATTCTCTATCCATCCTCTCATCCATTTTTTCCTTCCATCCTCCATCCATTCTCCCATCCTTTTGTCGATCCTCCCATGCATCCTCCCATCCATCTTTCATTTCATCCTTCAACCACCCTCCCATTCATCCTCTACTCATCTTTTCATCCATCCTCCCAGCCATTCTCCATCCATCTTTCATCCATCCTCCATCCATCTTCCATTCATCCACCCATCCACCCTCCCATCAATCCTCCCATCTTTCTTTCCATTCATCTTTCCTCTATTTCTCTGTCCACCCTCTATCCATCCTCCCATCCACCCTACCGTCTATCTTCCATCCATTCTCCATTTATCTTCCCATCCATTCTCCCTCCATCTTATTCTTCATTCATCCTCCCATCCATCTTTTTCATCCATCCTCCCATTCATTCCTCTGTCTATCCTCTCCTGCATCTTCCCATCCATTTTCCCATCTATCCTTCATTCATCCCGTCATCCATCCTCTTATTCATCTTTACATCCATCCTCCCATCCATCTTTTCATCCATCCTCCCATTCATTCCTCTGTCTATCCTCCCATGCATTCTACCATCCATTTTCTCATCTATCCTTCATTCATCCTGTCATCCATCCTCCCATCCATCTTTCCATCCATCCACCCATCCATCCTTCATTCATCCTCCCATTCATTTTTCCATCCATCCTCCCATTCATCCATTCTCCCTCTATCCTCCCATCCATCCTTTCATCCATCCTTTCGTCAATTTTCTCATCAATGCTCCCATCCATCTTTCCATTTATCTTCCATCCATTCCTCTGTCCACCCTCTCATCCATTCTCCCATCAATCTTCCATTCATTCTCCATCCATCCTCTCTTCTACCTCCCTCCACCTTCCCATCTATCCTCCATCTATCCTCCCATCCATCCTCCCATCCATCTTTCCATCCATTCTCCTATCCATTCTTCTGTCCATCCTCCCATGCATCCTCCCATCCATTTTCCCATCTATCCTTCATCTTTCCTCCCACCCATCCTCCCATCCATCTTTCTATCCATCCACCCATTCATCTTTCATTCATCCTTGCATCCATTTTTCCATCCATCCTTCAGCCATCTTCCCATCCATCTTCTCATCAATCCTCTCATCCATCTTTCCATCCATTCTCCCCCATCCTCCCATCCATCCTTTCATCCATCCTCCCATCCACCCTTGCAACAATTTTTCCATCCATCCTCCCATCCACCTTCCCATCAATCTCCCTTCAGTCTCCATTCATTCTCCTCTATTCCTTGTTCATTCTCTTATCCTCCCATGCCCCAAGCCCTCACTCAGGCTTTGTCATGCCTCTAAGCCTTAATATAGGCTGTTCTCTCAGCCAGGCCTGCTTTTTCTCCTCTTTGTTGGCCCAGGGACTCACACCTGTGTGGGACCTGCCCTGATACACTCCACACCCTCTCCTCCTGCACCTGGCCCTGCCTCTGCAGTACCAACTTCTCAGTGTCCACCTCAGTGCCAGCCACAGATGGGGAGTTCTGGTGGCCTTGCTGGCCCATGACCTCATTGGGGCCTGCTCTCTTGTGGCTCACCCCAAAGCAGAGGGAGTAGAGCCACCTCAGGGACACACACGGTGGGCTGCGCCTTGGGAGAACACAACTAATTTTAACAATGGCCTTAGGGAAGAGACAAATCTGTCCCTTTATTCCCTCCTTAGAGAAAAATCTGTGTGTGCATGTGTATATGCACACATGATTCAGAGCATCAAACGCTGCTGTGACTCGGGTGTCACCAGCCTCATTTGCCCAGTGCTAGAGGGGACAAACACACGACCTCCAGCCACAGGATAGTAGCTCTACATGCTGACTCTTGGCAAGCAGGGCCTGGTGTTTGTCCAGACGCCCAAACCCCTGGGGATGTCCTCACCTGGTTATGTGGTGCCCAGCAGTGTTTCAGTGAACCTTAACCAACCTTGGAGGGCTGCTGGGCAGAGTGGGAGAGCAAGTGTCTGGCTCCTGGTGAGTGGGTGCCCTTGTGCCAGCTAATGACCCCCATGGCCTTCAGCTGCTTTCCTGTCGACTGGGGAGGGGGTGCTCCCAGGCTGCTGTGAGGAGGTGGCCAGAAGAGCGGGAACAGTCCTATGTGTTTCCTTCTCTCCAGAGAGCCTGACCAGGGCTGATGAATTAGGGTGCATGGCCCAATTCACTGTCCATGGATCCACCTTGGATTTGGGGTCCCTGTGGGGATGTGAAGCTTCGGAAACTCCTCTGTCCCCCCACCTTCCTTTTCCCTTCCAAGACAGGATCTGGACTCTTGAAATTCTGCACACTAATAAAATTGTAACTAATTTACATCCAAGATGCGGAGTGAGTGGCAGCGGTTGTCATGGAGACCATCTCCAGGGCCCCGCTGCCTTCGCCTTTCGGTGCAGCCGAGAGTTCAAGAGATTCTCGCCGAGTGCTGCAGCTGGGGCCAGTCCTCATGCCTCCCGGGCACCCTGCCCTGCTCCCCCCATGCTGGGCAGGCCCTTGGGGGATGGAATGGAGGCAGCCCCCCTTGGAAAGGCCCCAAGTTCTGCCGATGGTGTTCTGAAGGTCAAAGTCCCTCTCTCCTGACTGTACATCTGCCCCCAGCACTGCCCATTCACCCTGTGGGCCCCACTGGCTCCGTTCACTCCAGATGGAAGCCCCCTCGAGGGACATGAGGCCCTATCCCCACAGCACAGCCAGCAAAGGCACTCAGAGTGGGGACAGTTTCCAGGGAAGGGGCAGAGCAGCAGAGCCCAAGCCACCCACAGACCTGTCCACCTGGGGTCCACCCTGGGAAATGCCCCACCCTGGACTCCATGAATCCCAAGATGGAGAAAATGCCCTCCGTGGCCTCACAGAGCTTGCCTGCCCACAGGAAAGACGTTGAAATAACCAGTACTGGCCAGGTGCGGTGGCTCATGCCTGTAATCCTAACATCTAGGGAGGCTGAGATGGGCGGGTCACTTGAGGTCAGGAGTTTGAGACCACCATGGCCAACATGGTGAAAACCGGTCTCTACTAAAAATACAAAAATTAGCCGAGGCATGGTGACTCGCGCCTGTAGTCCCAGCTATTTGGGAGGCTGAGGCAGGAGAATTGCTTGAACCCAGGAGACGGAGGTTGCAGTGAGCTGAGATCATGCCACTGCACCCCAACCGGGGCAACAGAGTGAGACTCCGTATCAAAAAAAAAAAGAAAAAGAAAAAAACGAACCAGTGCTGTGACTCTACGCCACACACTGTGCTGAACCCTTCGCATGTGAGATCTTGTCTCAATGTCAAGGCAACACAATGCGGTGGGCAATACTTTAAGCCCCCATTTCATCACGAACAAAAAGGTTGTAGACAGGTGGGTGGATAACACCCAAGTTCGGAGCCCTGGAAAGTACAAGGGCCTGAGGCAAAGCCAGGTCTCATTCTAAAACCGTCATGGAAAAGCTGATAAGCTGCCTGCAGAGAAGAAGCAGGATGAAATAATTATAACAAAGCAGGGTCGATGCAGTCAGAGAAGGGGGTGAGGGCACAAAGGGGCCCTCAGAATCATGAAATCTAAGTTGGGTTTTGAGGGATGAATAGGAGTTCCCCAAGGAGATACATGGAAGAAGAATGTTCTAGGCAGAGGGAACATGTGCAAAGGCACGGAGACGAGAATGTGCCCAGAACATTCAAATACCATAGGCTGGGTGCTGGGGGGTGATGCGGAGGAGGGAGGCGTTCAGTTGGAGCCGAAGAGGGAGCCAGGCTCCAAGGGGCTTCACTCACCAAGCTGAGCGCCCTGCACCTTATCCTGTAGGTGAGAGATTAAAGAGCTGGGTCCAAGCAGGCCCACCCCTGACATCTGTGGGCCCTGGAGCAAGAGCAGAAATGAAGGTCCAGGTAGCAAAGGTCTAGGTGTTCCCAAGTGAGAGAAGCAGCCAGGACGCTGCTGGCTGAAGGGCTCTTCTGTCCTCCTTCCCTCAGAAATGCCTTCACGGGCCTGGGGAGGCCAGGCTCTCATTTATATTCTTGTCTCTTCAGAGTTTTCCACCAGAACGTGAACTGGACCGGGGGCCACAGTCCCCCAGTCTGAAGGGAGACTCATGAAATGCAGATTCCTGGGCCCTGCGGCAGACCCAGGAGACCATGCTCCCGATGAAGATAAGGCGCTATATCTTTAAGAGGTTCCCCAGGTGATAATTATGCATGAAAGTCTAGAGAAGCCCCCCACCCCCTGCTGAAAGTAGCAGGAGTCCGGGGGTGGGGGTGGGGGGTACGTACAAGCAGATTTGTGTTCTAGAAATGGATCCCCAGCTATTGGGCAAATGTGGGCAGGGAGGAGAGCTGGGAGGGGCAGAGAGGCCTGGCAGCACCTAGGTTGGAGAGGGTGGCGGTCTGGTGCCAAGGCAGGATGGTTGGGTGGGGTGTGATACGCGGTGGGGGTGGTGGAGGGGGAAGGTTGTGTCAGCAGAGGCTGAGTTTGAAATTCACGATGGACAGGGCCTGGTGCTGATGAGGCTTGAAGGTGAGCAGGGATCCAGGGCAGCTCCTTTGGGATCATAAAATCTAATCAGACTGCAGGAGGCCTGGGCCCTGGGCCTCCATTAGGCAAGTACCCACTCCCCTCTGCTGATCTGGGCATCCCTGGGGCCCCTTCACTGTCACACTGAGGGTCTGAGTGGGGAAGAATTAAAAGCCCACCTCTGTCCCCGCCTACCACGATCCCCTACAGGAGCCTGCAGCCCTGCTGGGGAGACTGGAGGAGCAGCTGGGAGCAGCAGGCCACCAGGAGGGAAAGGTGGGCATGCCTCGGGGGTGGGAGGGTGGAGTGGCCAGGAGGGGAGGCTTCCCACTGGAGGAGGACTTTGAACCCTCTCACTTTCCATACACAGTTCCAGAAATCATCTTGATAATAAAAATAATAGCCGTGAAAATGACAGCAGCAACTATTGCCCTTAATCGAGCATATTTTTGTGCCAGACACTGAGCATGCAGCAAGGAAGTGGCAGAGTGGGCTGTCAGATCCTGAGCCATGGGCTGGAACCAGCTTTCCCTGTGCCAAGCAGAGAGGGGCTTAAAACTCAACTCCTACCCTTGGAACATTCACAAGCTGTTTGGCCATGAGACTGCTGGAGATGCCTCTCTAGGAGCATCTAGAAGGCTCTAGAAGGTCCATGCCTCTCTAGAAGGCTACGCTGGCAAACACTAGCTGTTGAGACCATGGAGGACTAGACTGTATTTATCAGCTGCAGGAGTTCAGAAGAGGGAGAGCTCATGGGAGCTGCTGGGAAAGGCATGACTTGAGCTGAATGCTGAAACAGCGGCCGCATTTGAAGAAGGGAGAGGAGGTGGAGAGGGGATCCTGGAAGGAGGCTCCAGCCTCGGCAATGGTGTGGGGGTGAGAATGCAGAAGGAGTTTCAAGAAGGTCAAACAGCTGCAGGGGCTGGCGAGTCACTGGAGGCAGGGATGGACACAGATCAGCCCAGGCCTGGTGCGTGTCCTCCTGCTTATTTCTATACCTCCAGGAGAGTATGACACCAGGACATCAAGGCGTCCACCCTTGTCAGGCCTGGGATGGTGCCGCACTGTTGGGGATGGGTTTGTGAGTTCCCAAGAAGAGCCACCCAGTAAGGGCCTCATCATGAAGGGGAGTGAGCTGAGGCTCTTGGGAAAATGGAGGCCTCAGATCTCCCCACAATCTTGGGAGAAAGGCTCCCATACCCCACACCCACCTTGACCAAGGGCCCAAAACCAGACGGGCAACAATGCAGGTCCAGAGTCATCAGCTTGGCCTGACTGTCCCCTGTCTGCCTCCAGCAGAGGTGAGTACCTTGGGTCCAAACCCTTCTGCCCCATTTACTGTGTGACCCCAGAGAAGTTCCTTAACCTCTCTGAACTGAATTTTCTCACTCATAGAGCGAGGATAAAAACTCCAGCCTCCAAAAGCGTATTGATTTGTTTTAGGATTAAATGGGATGAAGCTAAGAACTCACTTAATGGGGATTGCAGTGCAGACATCATGCTTGAAAAATGTTACTTCCCTCCTTTCCACCCTTAAACTCGGGGACAGGTCAGCTGTGACCACAGAAGGTGCCCACTTGACTTGTCCCTTGAGCTTCCACAATCCTCACTGCTTCTGCATCATCCAACAGTGGGGCCAGGCTGAGAATCCCGCCTGATACAGACCCGGTTGCTGTCTGTCTTTACATTTTACATTTAAATCTATGATCCATTACCAGCTTATTATTATTATTATTATTATTATTATTATTATTATTATTATATTTTGAGACAGGATCTCGCTCTGTTGCCCAGGCTGAAATGCAGTGGCACAATCACAGATCACTGCAGCCTCAACCCCCTCCCAGGCTCAGGCAGTCCTCCCACCTCAGGATTAACTAAATAACTGGGACTACAGGCATGCACCACCACACCCGGTTAATGTTTGTAATTTTTGTAGCAATGGAGTCTTGCTTCGTTGCCCAGGCTGGTCTCTAACTCCTGGGCTCAAGAGATCTGCCCAACTTGACCTTCAAAAGTGCTAGGGTTACAGGCGTGAGCCACCATCTCCAGCCTGCTGGTTAATTATTATTATTTTTTGTCCCTTCTCTAGTCTGAAAGGAGCAAGTTAATTTTGTTATAAGATATAAGGTTTAGGTTGAGGTTCATTTTTTAAAAAGTAGATGTCCAAGCTGGGTGCGGTGGCTCACATCTGTAATCCCAGCACTTTGGGAGGTTGAGGCAGGAGGACCACTTGAGCCCAGGAGTTTAAGACCAGCTTGGGCAACAAAGTGAGACTCCCATCTCTAGAAAGCATTTAAAAATTAGCCGGGTGAGGTGGCACATGCCTGTAGTCCAAGCTACTCCAGAGGCTGAGGTGCAGTGAGCCGTGATTATTTCTCTGCACTGCAGCCTGGGAGAGAGAGAGAGAGAGAGAGAGAGAGAGAGAGAGAGAGAGAGAGAGAGAGAGAGAGAGAGAGAGAGACTGTATCAGAAAACAAAAGAAAAAAAAAGGTATCTGGCCAGGTGTGGTGGGTCACGCCTGTAATCCCAGCACTTTGGGAAGCCAGGGCAGGCAGATCACTTGAGGTCAGGAGTTCGAGACCAGCCTGGCCAACATGGTGAAATCCTGTCTCTACTAAAAATAAAAAAATTAGCTGGGCATGGTGGTACATGCCTGTAATCCCAGCTACTTGAGAGGCTGAGGTATGAGAATCGCTTGAACCCAGGAGGTGGAGGTTTTTGTGTGCTGAGATCACACCGCTGCACTCCAGCCTGGGCAACAGACTGAGACTCTGTCACAATTAAAAAAAAAAGATATCCAATTGTTCATCATTTGTTGAAACATCATATGTTTAAAAAAATTTTCTTTATTCATTGATTACTGCACAGTCTTGACTTCCCTCATTTCGCCAGCCTTGCTATCAGATCCTTTGTGCTTTTCATTTCTTCATTTAGTAAATACTGAGAGATAATTGGACACCCATATGGAAAATAAGAATCTTGACCCTTACCTCACATCAAATACAAAGATCTACTCACAATGGATCATAGACCTAAACATAAGATCTATAGCTATAAGAAACTTTTAGAAGGAAACCGAGGAAAAGATCTTTGGGGCTGGGCACAGTGGTTCATGCCTATAATCCCAGCACTTCGGGAGGCTGAGGTAGGAGGATCTCTTGAGCCCAAGAGTTTAAGACCAGCCTGGGCAATATGGTGATAACTGTCTCTACTAAAAAAATACTAAAGGGATGGGGTCTATAGCGAGACCCCCTGTCTCTCAAAAATTAGCTGGATTTAGTGGTGCATGCCTATAGTCCCAGCTTCTCAGGAGGCTGAGGTGGGAGGATCACTTGAGCCTGGGAGGTGGAGGTTGTGGTAAGCCGAGATCACCCCACTGCACTCCAGCCTGGGCAACAGAACAAGACTATGTTTCAAAAAAAAAAATTCTTTGGGACTTGGTGTTAGGCAAAGAGTTCCTAGATATGACAATAAAGCCTAATCCATAAAGAAAAAAATTGATAATTTTCAGCTCATAAAAATTTACAACTTTTGCTCTAAGAAAGATACTGTTAAGAGAATGAACTATGAAAAAATATTTGCACATCACTTATCTGACAAAAGTCTTGTATCCAGAAATTATAAAGAACTCTAATAACTCAACAGTTAAAAAAAAACTAATTAAAAGTGGAAAAAAGACTCATACAGACACTCCCTCAGAGAAGATACAGGGATGACAACTGAACCTATAAAAAGGTGCTCAACCATTATTAGCCACCAAGGAAATAAAAGTCAAAATTACAATGAGATATCACTCCCCGCATCCTTAAATGGCTAAAAAAAAAATACTGATAATTCCAAAAGCTAACAAGTCTGCAGAGCAACTTAAACTCTTGTGCATTGCTGCTGAGGATGCAAAATGATACAGCCACTTTGGAAAACAGTTTGGCATGTTCTTAAAAAGTGAACCATATTCATATCGTATGATGTAGCCAACCTACTCCTGGGCATTTATCCCAGAGAAATGAAAACTTAGGTCCATGCAAAGACACATACATGAATGTTCATAGAAGCTTTATTTGTCATAGCCTAGAAACAACCCAAATAGATAAACAAACTGTGGTCCATCCATACCATGGACTATCACTCAGTAATAAAGAAGAGCCAAGAATTGATCCAGGCAACACCTTGGACAGAGCTCAAAATGATTATTCTGAGTGAAAAAAAAAAAGCCAATCTTTTTTTTTTTTTTTTTTTTTTTTATTGATCATTCTTGGGTGTTTCTCACAGAGGGGGATTTGGCAGGGTCATAGGACAATAGTGGAGGGAGGGTCAGCAGATAAACAAGTGAACAAAGGTCTCTGGTTTTCCTAGGCAGAGGACCCTGCGGCCTTCCGCAGTGTTTGTGTCCCTGGGTACTTGAGATTAGGGAGTGGTGATGACTCTCAAGGAGCATGCTGCCTTCAAGCGTCTGTTTAACAAAGCACATCTTGCACCGCCCTTAATCCATTTAACCCTGAGTGGACACAGCACATGTTTCAGAGAGCACAGGGTTGGGGGTAAGGTCACAGATCAACAGGATCACAAGGCAGAAGAATTTTTCTTAGTACAGAACAAAATGAAAAGTCTCCCGTGTCTACCTCTTTCTACACAGACACGGCAACCATCCGATTTCTCAATCCTTTCCCCGCCTTTCCCCCCTTTCTATTCCACAAAACCACCATTGTCATCATGGCCCGTTCTCAATGAGCTGTTGGGTACACCTCCCAGACGGGGTGGTGGCCGGGCAGAGGGGCTCCTCACTTCCCAGTAGGGGCGGACGGGCAGAGGCGCCCCTCACCTCCCGGACGGGGCGGCTGGCCGGGCGGGGGGCTGACCCCCCCACCTCCCTCCCGGACGGGGCAGCTGGCCGGGCGGGGGGCTCACACCCCCACCTCCCTCCCGGACGGGGCGGCTGGCTGGGCAGGGGGCTGAACCCCCCACCTCCCTCCCGGACGGGGCGGCTGGCTGGGCCGGGGGCTGACCCCCACACCTCCCTCCCAGACGGGGCGGCTGGCTGGGCGCGGGGCTGACCCCCCCACCTCCCTCAAAAGCCAATCTTAAAAGATCACACACTACACAATTCCATTTATATGACACACTCCAAAAGACAAAATATAGAGATGGACATCAGTGGATGCCAGGGGTTAGGGGTGAGGCCAGGGCGTGGCTACAAAAAGATAGGAAGAGGAAGCCTTTTCAGATGATAGAACTGTTCTGGATGCTGATAGTGTGATGGTTACACAAATTGATGCTTGTCATAAAATTCATAGAACTGTACTCCAAAAGGAATTTAATCAAAATGCAACTTGGAAAATAATGATGTAGCGGCCAGGCACGGTGGCTCACACCTGTAATCCCAGCACTTTGGGAGGCCGAGGCAGGTGAATCACCTGAGGTCAGGAGCTTGAGATCAGCCTGGCCAACAGGGTGAAACCCTGTCTTTACTAAAAATACAAAATTAGCCTGGTGTGGTGGTGCACACCTCTAATTCCAGCTACTTGGGAGGCTGAGGCATGAGAATGGCTTGAAACTGGGAGGCAAAGGTTGCAGTGAGCTGAGATTGCACCATTGCACTCCAGCCTGGCTGACAATGCAAGAGTCTGTCCAAAAAAAAAAAAAAAAGATGTGGTGACTCGAGTTCTCAGGTAGTTTCTTCCCGCAACCCACACAGGCCATGGTTCTTCCCCTATAGCACCTTGGAAGGGATTAGAAAAGGGCACCACCCCATGTGCAGGACGCAGCCTGTGCCAGGGCCCTCAGCCTGGCAAATGGAGGACTGGCTGAATTGCAGCTCCACTTGTGCAGTGAGCAACCTACACGACTGTCCATGTTGGGTCCTGGAGCCCCCATCTTTTCTTCTCAGGTTCTGTTATTCCTCAATGGATGGAGTTTTGACAAGCAGTGCCCAGGGAGTAGGGATGAGGTGGCCTGTGCATTAGACTGGACTAACCTGGCCAAGGCTTCTTGCTAATGGCAGCAAATGCACTTAGTGCTGAGGTTGCAGGCTGGTGCTTTGGGGACCTGGAGCTTAATGGCTCACCTGCCAGGGAGGAAGAAGGATGGTCGGACAGCCAGACGCATAGCCAGGATCAGATGGATGGAGGGAGCAGGAGGACTTGCCCCAGCCTGGAAACCCCCCTTCCTCCGAGAAGTGGGGGTGGAGAGTGAGGGGATGTGCAGGAAGGACGCTGCCAAGGAGACTGGCTTTGCCTGAGCCTGTCCCATGGCACATTTTGTCTGCTGATTAATGGTGAAGGTATCATTCCTCTAGAGGGGTAGGTTTCAGGTGGGCCCAGCCACAACCTGCTCTGCCCCAGGGAGCTGGGGATGAAAATCAGGATCCCAGCTCTTTTTTTTTTTTTTTCAGATGGAGTTTCACTGGTTGCCCAGGCTGGAATGCAATGGCGCGATCTCAGCTCACTGCAACCTCTGCCTCCCAGGTTCAAGTGATTCTCCTGCCTCAGCCTCCCGAGTAGCTGGGATTACAGGCGCCCGCCACCATGCTTGGCTAATTTTCATATTTTTAGTAGAGAAGAGGTTTTTCCATGTTGGCCACACTGGTCTCGAACTCCTGACTGCATGTGATCCATCCACCTCAGCCTCCCAAAGTGCTGGGATTACAGGTGTGAGCCACCATGCCCAGAGACCAGATGGTTGTTTTTGTTAGCTTGTTTTTCTTTTTTTTTGAGATGGAGTCTTGCTCTGTCACCCAGGCTGGAGTGCAGTGGTGCGATCTCGGCTCACTGCAACCTCCACCTCCCAGGTTCAAGCAACTCTCCTGCCTCAGCCTCCTGAGTAGCTGGGATTACAGGTGCCCACCACCACACCCAGCTAATTTTTTTGTATTTTTAGTAGAGACGGGGTTTCACTATGTTGGCCAGGCTGGTCTTGAACTCCTGACCTCAAGTGGTCTGCCCCTCCTTGGCCCCCTAAAGTGATGGGATGACAGGCGTGAGCCACCGCACAGGCCGACCAGAGGGTTTTGATCCTGAGGTGCCATGGTTAATTTTCTCTCAGTGGCCCCTGTCAGCAGGCACATTCTATAGTCACAGGAATCCCAGAAACCGGCCAGATGTGTTCTTCAGACCTGGGGGAGCTGGAGACAGAATCCACTCCAGCGGGCGCATGTACGGGCTCCCTCTGGACCCACTGCAGTCAGATGAGGGCTCAGTTCCCCCAGGGCCTCACTCTTGTCTTCCGCCAGGTGGGATGTACTAGCAGGTCAGAGAAGGAAGCCAGTGGCACTTTTTTCTTTTTTTTTTGAGATGAAGTCTTGCTCTGTCGCCTAGGCTGGAGTGCAGTGGCACGATCTCAGCTCACTACAATCTCCCGGGTTCAAGTGATTCTCCTGCCTCAGCCTCCCAAGTAGCTAGGATTACAGGTGCACGCCACCAGACCTGGCTAATTTTTGTATTTGTAGTAGAGATAGGGTTTCACCATGTTGGCCAGGCTGGTCTTGAATTCCTGACCTTAGTGATTGGCCTGCCTCAGCCTCCCAAAGTGCTGGGATTACAGGCATGAGCCACTGCAGTGGCACTTTTTGTTGAAGTGTGACACATACACAGAAATGCATCCCAGGTGTTCACTTCTGTGAACCTTTACAAAGGGAACTCATCTGTAATACCCATCTCCAAATCAAGAATAGAATATAGCGAGCTCCCCAGAAGCCAGGGAGGACCAGTTTTTACAGAATGTAAGGCAGCCAACAGGGCAGCTTGTCCCTCTGCCATTTTCTGTGTCCTCTTGCAGCCAGCAAGGGGAGTCCAGAGGGGAAGAGGCTGGAGCAGCGACCCCCAGCACTGGCCTCCAGCCCTCCCGCCCTGCCTCTCCTCACCATCAGGCCAGCAGAGGGGCTACCCACCGCCTCCCCTGTCACCAAGGAGACCTTGTTCTGGATCCTGAGGACACATCTAGAATCCCATCTGGGGAGCCAGGAAAGCTGGGAGAGGGAGAACACAGAGCCCCTTTGAGCCACTTGTTGGACACCGCCCAAGGTCTCACAGCTTGGAAGGGAAGACTTGAACCCACGGCTGTCTCCACCAAAACCCACAGCCACTGCAGCAGTGCAGGTCATTATCTCCATTTTACAGAATAGGAAACTGAGGCTTAGAGAGGCCAAGAACAAAGCCAGACCTCCAAAGCAGGACTTCTGCTTTGGGCGAACAGGAAGACACAGGCTTCCAGCCGAGGGGCCGGACTTGACCCTGTCCCTCTACGATCAAATGCCTTCTGTGTTCCCCCACCCTCAGGAAGGAGCATAACCTCCTTCACAGCACCCAAGCCCACCATGGCCTGGCCCTGCCGGCCTCACTGTCCTCACCTGTTCTCCAGCATTCTCTGCCTCCAGCACACCAGCCTTTCTCCGTTTCTGCCATGCTCAGAGTTCCTTTTGAGCTTGGGCCTTGGCTCATGTCGTTCCCCAGCAAAGGCTGCTCTTCCCTGCCCCTGCCACATCCTACCTTCAAATGTCGCTGACTCTGGGAGTCTTCCCTGGTGACCCACCCACCCCAGCACACTTATCCTGTCAGTCCCCTTGAATGCCCCCCAAGGTGTAAGTGCACGGCCATACAATGGTTTGCTTAATACGCATCTAGCTCCGAGAGAACTGGGACAGGGGCCTTCTTGTCCTCAGTTGTATCTGCTGTGCCCAGCACAGTCCTGGCACACAGTAGGTGCTGGATGAAGATGTGCTGAGGGCCGGGCGCGGTAGCTCACGCCTGTAATTCTAGCACTTTGGGAGGCTGAGGTGGGCAGGTTGCCTGGGCTCAGGAGTTAGAGACCAGCCTGGGCAACATGGTGAAACCCCATCTCTGCTAAAAGACAAAAAACATTAGCCAGGCGTGGTGGTGCACACCTGTAATCTCAGCTATTCAGGAGGTGGAGGCAGGAGAATCGCTTGAACCCAAGAGGTGGAGGTTGCAGTGAGCTGAGATTGCACCACTGCACTCCAGCCTGGGTGACAGAGGGGCTCTTTCTCAAAAAAAAAAAAAAAAAAAAAAAAAAAAAAAAAAAAAAAGATGTTCTGAGACTCTGAGATGCATGAGGCTGTGGCTGGCAGGCAGAGGGGAGCCACAAGGAGCCTTGAGGGACATAAGACCCAATACCATCTCCATAGGAGGCCTGGGGAGGGGCAGGGCCTTGCTCAAGGTCACACACCACCTAGTGGAGCCTCAGGATTGGAACTCAAATCCCCTGCTCTCCAGCCTGCAGCCTCCCTCCCAGATGCAGCCTAGTGCTGGGAAAGGAGAGGGTGGCAGGCTGGCTCTGAGCAAAAACCCTCTCCTTCTCCTGTTTGCGTCCCTCTCCTTTCCCTGCCTCTCCCCACTCTTCCTCTCCAACCAGGAGGCTGCCGAGCCAATGGCTCAGCGAGGGCTGGGGAGCCCTGACCTGACCCTCTCCTCCCTCCACCCAGCCTCTGCGATCTGTATGCACCACTTTGCTAAGACCTCCCAAACCTCTACACCCTCGCAGGCTGACAGGGCTGCAGGTGCCAGCACTGACCTCCCTCTGCCCTCTGCTCCTGTCCCTCCCCTTCCGCAGGCACCGCCCCCACCACAACTCCGCCACCTCCAGCCGGGCTCTGGGGTCCTCCTGGGCCACCTGCTTACTGTGTGTCCCTGGACACGGCGTCTCCCCTCGCTGAGTTACTTTCCTCATTTGTAAAACGGGGATATGACCCGTCTCTTAGAGTGACTGGGAAGATCGGTGGTATCAACGCAAACTACAGCCCGGCAGCTTCCAGGCAAACTCACTTCTCAGGACGCCTGTCCTGCTGTCTTCTCAAAGAGGTGGATGAAGCCACCACCACCCGGTTTACAGATGAGGAAACTGAGGCTCAGGGAGATCTGGAAACCATTCCCGGCAGCTGGGCTCCGAACCCAGGCCTGCGAGCACAAGGCTGGCTCCCGCCCCCGGCTGTGGTCCCTCCTCCTCCGGGGCAGGGTCCGGTCGTGCCAGACGCTCGATGACAGCCCCCGCGGGGGAGGCCAGGCTGGGAGAGGAGAGGGCAGGGGGCGGGGGCGCCTGACCGCGTGGGGTCGGCCGCGGGTCGATACGACGGCGGGATGAATGGGAGAGGGGAGCGCGGGCGAGAGGGTGAGGGAGGAGGGGAGGAGGGGAGAACGGGAGAACGGGAGGAGGAGGGAGAGGCCCGAGCAGGGGGCCCGCCCCCGCCGCCCCCCTGGTCCCCGCCCCGCCGAGCGTGCCCGGCCGGGTCTGCAGCCGTCAGCGCCAAGCGCGGCCCCGCGGCTCCGCCGAGAGATCGATAACTAATTTCACCGCGGTAGCCGCCCCAGTTTTTCCCCGATAATTGCGCGCCGGCAGCTGTGAGCGAGGCCCCCAGCGCGGCGCGAAGCCCCTCCCGCGCCGATCAATTGACACCGCCACCGGGCGGCAGGAAAACTCATTTTTCTTTCTCTCCCCGGCTCCGGGTGGGCGCGAGCTGAGCTCTGCCAAGGGCCGGGGGCTGCTTGGGGCCGGGGCGGGGAGGGAGGGCAGGTCCCGGGGAGGGGGCGCGGACGCGGGTTTGGGAAAGAGGCTTGCGAGGAATCCGAGGAGGCGGGGTGCCTCAGTTTCTCCACTCTACCACAGGGGCGTGGCCGAAGGCCTCAGGGACCTGGGGTGCGGGTGGGGCAGTCCTGTCCCCTCTTAGCTGTTGGGATGGCGGACTGGCTGGTGGGAGGAAGGGCTAAGTCAGGCGCCGCGGCCTGGACGCGTGGGTTCTACTCTGGACTCACACCAGGGACCACTTTGTGACGTTGCATCCGTTCCTTCCCTTCGTCTCTTCCTCTCCGAGCCTCAGTTTCCCCATCTTCCGAAAGGGGCCTGGCATATCCTGGGCAGGCAGATGGTGGATCAGAGGTAGTGAGGTGCCTACAAGGAAATGCTCCCAACAGGGTGGCTTGGAGGAATCCTCCTTCCTCAGCACTCATGGGCCGGGCACTGTTCTAGGCCGTGGGGGTGGGGATCGAGCAGTGGCCACACTGACAAAGCCCCTACCCTTGTGGAAGTGACATTCTACTGAGGCCATGGACACGTACAGTACCCAAGTAAGCAGTGAGAAGATGGCACGGGCCACGGAGAAAAATGAAGCAAGGTTGGCAGGACAGGGCGTGCTGTGCAAAGGCAACGCAGCCCCCAGGACCCACGGTGGGCCTCGCCCCAGGCCCTCCTTGCAAAGCTCTGAACTGCTCACTCCCAAACTGCTGGTTGTTCAAGGTCATGGGAAACCTGCAGACTTGGCATTCTCCAAGGGAGGTGGGCAGGAGGAGGGAGAGCAAGAGGAAGGAGAAGCCAGGAGGTGGGGTGGGACAGTCTTCCTCTGGGAGAGTCCCTAAGAGGGCCAGAGAGAGAGAGAGAGAGAGGGCTGGGGACTGGAAGACACCAGGGGAGAGCGGGTATGGTCAGAGCTCCAATGGACACGGTGTCCTGGAGGGTCAGGTCAAGAGAGACTTGTGCTGCTGGCTGGGCTCCAGCTGGGCCAGTGAGGCCTAGAGAAGGGCAGGGACTTGCCCAAGGCCGCAGTACATATGGGGGACAGAGATGGGCTCCTAGATCCTGCCACCAGGCACAGAGAAGGGCAAGAGAGGCCAGAGAGGAAAGGAGGAAAGAGGCTCATGGAGCGGGGGCGCCAGTCTCTGTTTAGAGGGGCCAGGAGCCCCAGTGTGCTTCCCAGAGGCCAGCTAGAGCTTCCCAGGAGCACCATGGGTGGTGCTGGGACTTCTACAGGACTCAGCATGACTCAAAGGGCCCTGGGGAATGCATTCTGTTCCCCAGTCTCCCACCCTCCACCTGCCAGAATGACAGAGGCTCCCCCATGGAGGTGAGTAAGCCGGGCAGGGGTGGCGACCCAAGGCTGCTGGGGAAGTGGGGTGTTCCAGGGCGGAGCAAACCTCCTGACTCTCCCCCTGCCTCGGTTTCTTCATCTTAAAAATGGAGCTGGTGGGGCTGGGCGCCGTGGCTCATGTCTGTAATCCCAGCACTTTGGGAGGCTGAGGCAGGCGGATCACGAGGTCAAGAGATCGAGACCAGCCTGGCCAACATGGTGAAACCCCATCTCTACTAAAAAATACAAAAATTAGCAGGGCGTGGTGGCAGATGCCTGTACTCAGGAAGCTAAGGCACGAGAATCGCTTGAACCCAGGAGGCGGAGGTTTCAGTGAGCTGAGATCACACCACTGCACTCTAGCTTGGGCGACAGAGAGAGACTCTGTCTCAAAAAAAAAAAAAAAAAATGGAGCTGGTGGTGGGGTGCTGAGATTCTGTCAATCTTTCTTCCCTCCAGATTCCTGGCATGCCCAGCCCCACGTCTGGGTTGAGAGTAGTGACTCAGAAGAAAATGAAGGCTACTGCTAGCAACCAAATGAGGTTAGTGGGAGGACTGGCAGGACGCGGTGGGCTGGGATTCCGAACTGCGCATAGTTAGGTCTCACCCGCCTGTAGCCCCGTCTATCCAACCACTTAACATTTACTCATCGTTCAGCAAATATTTAGTGAAGACCACCTATGTGAGAGGCACTATGGAGGGCAGTGGGTGTAAAGTCCCCCCTCTTCCCCATCTCCTTCCTCTCCCCACAACCCCCATGTCTCCACCTTCATTTTCTTTTGAGGTATGGTCAAGGGAGGACTGGATTGGGAGTCAGGAATAGACTCAGGCCAGCTGGTGACCTAGGCAGGCCCCTTGCCTTCTCTGTGCCTTGGTGGACCAATGGTCATTAGTGGACTCTGTGTCCTTCCTGAGAGAGGAGGGCCCTGGGTTAACAGCAGCTCTGGGCCGGGGGCCTCACCCCTGGATCTCATTCAGTCCCCATGAAGTGAGATGAAGGAATGGAGACCAAGATTTCACCCAGGGTCCCATAGCCAGGAGGGGAAGAGGGCAGAGCTCAGGTCTGTCTGACCCCAGAGCCCTGCCTGCTTGTCTGAGCTGGAGGGGAAGTAGTGCCCGTCGGGAGAAACTTTCAGATCCTGGATAGATCCGGGATGTGGGGTAGGGACTAAGGTGCTCAGAGTCCCCTTGTCCTGCCCGTCAGTTAGTGGCTTTGGCCACCAGCCATCTCAGAAAGGATGTTGGTCAGAGAAGCAGCTGCCCCAGAAGGCCATGCGGGGTGACCTTGGCCTCCTCGATGTTCCCTGGGCCAGCACAGGCACAGAACGAGCCTCCTTTTGTAAAGAGACGTGCACTCACTGGGTCAGCAGTGAGGCAGGGAGGACAGCCTCACAGCTACGAGCACGGGTTTTTTAAGGCTGGTCACCAACCCAGCTCTGCTGCCTGCTAGCACTGGGCCCCTGGGCAAGCTGCCTCCTCCCCTGAGCCTCAGCCTTCCCATCTGTAAAATGGGCATAGTGGCAATTCGGTAGACCCACTGTGCTAGATCCTGTGCTGAGCCCTCTCTGTATCTGCACACTGAGCCCTGTGAGCAGCATCCCCCTCTTCTATAACCCTCGTGCTTCTAGTCCTCGCCTCAGAGTCCAGCCACGGCAGCAGTTCTGCGCCGCCTGACAGATCTCCATGCCTCCACTGCATCCAGAATGCAGCTCTGAATGCCCCATCTGGAGATGTGGGATCCTGCCCACCCAGGCCCCAGACCAAGGGACACAGTTTATGGCGAGGGAGGATCCCAGTGAGCACATGAGCGTGATGCCCACCAGTCTCACCCTGGAGCCTGGGCCTGATGGAACGTAGGGGCAGCCAGCTTGTGCTACACCCCGAGCACAGAGCCAACAGCCAGTGCCAGGTGCTGCATCCCCAGAAGCTGGAACACATGGTCCAGGGACAAGTTGTAGAAATAGGATTGCCCGGCCAGGCATGGTGGCTCATGCCTGTAATCCCAGCACTTTGGGAGGCTGAGGTGGGCAGATCACGAGGTCAGGAGATGAGACCATCTTGGCTAACACGGTGAAACCCTGTCTCTACTAAAAATACAAAAAATTAGCCGGGCGTGGTGGCGGGTGCCTGTAGTCCCAGCTACTTGGGAGGCTGAGGCAGGAGAATGGCGTGAACCCAGGAGGCGGAGCTTGCAGTGAGCCGAGATAGCACCACTGCAGTCCGGCCTGGGTGACAGAGCAAGACTCTGTCTCAAAAAAAAAAAAAAAAAAATAGGATTGCCCACTCCCCCACCCACCATGCCCCAGTGTCCTTGTGGATTTGTGCTTCTTGTCCCTGCAACTTTAGGGTTGTCAGATGAGAGGCCCCAGCTATCTGGGACAGGGGAGAGGGGAGAGGGGGCAGGGGAGAAGGGAAGTACAGGAGGGCTCCACTGGACACAGCGTGGATCTCATTGAACTCAAACCTGTGACTACATCTGTTACACTGGGGTCTTTCTGCCAAGGACCAGGACTAACATGTAAAGAAAGGGGTTTCCACTCAGGGTGGGTTCTAAGCTCTTCTCGGTCACCTTCTAGCATGAAGTCTTTGCAGGTACTGCAGATGCCAGCACCTCAAAGGGGCCTCTGATGGGTGGACCCAGTTGGTGGCAGGGGCGGGGCTGAATGCTGCCAGGTGGGCACTGTGTTGAGCAGCTCGCCTGAATGGCTTCAGACCTCTTGGCTTCACCTCCTAATCCAGGCCCAGGTGCAGTAAACAGACCTCGCAGGCTGTGACAAGCTCCATGTGGCAGAAAGCTGACAATGGCCTGCCCTAGGCCCCTGTGCTTGCCTCTCGCTTCCAGTCCGGGGCTTTGCTGATGCCACAGTGTGGGATCCCCCAACCTCCACCCCTCCACAGTAACCCACTCAGCAGTTACACACGCTCAACTGCAAGTGCAAAGGCATGAACACCCTACAGGCCAGCGTTTCCTCAAAGGCGGCAGAGCCCTGGAAGCAATGCTCTCTCCTTTCTTCCCCTTGGCGGATGGTTCTGAGATGCATTTTGTAAGGCAGCTCCGGTGATCCTGCGGGATCTGGCACCCCGGCTTCCATAATGGTGAACTCAGCAATGTACGTTTGCATTGGCTTTTTTTTTTTTTTTTTTTTTTTTTGAGACAGTCTTGCTCTGTCACCCAGGCTGGAGCGCAGTGGTGTGATCTCGGCTCACTGAAACCTCCATCTCCCAGATTCAAGTGATTCTCCTGCCTCAGCCTCCCAAGTAGCTGGGATTACAGGCACCCGCCACCACACCCGTCTAATTTTTGTATTTTTAGTAGAGACGGGATTTCGCCATGTTGGCCAGGCTGGTAATTTTTGTATCTTTAGTAGAGACGGGGTTTTGCCACGTTAGCCAGGCTGGTCTCTTAACTCCTGATCCAAGTGATCCACCTACCTCGGCCTCCCAAAGTGCTGGGATTACAGGCGGAACCACTGTGCCTGGCCTTTGCATTGGTTTTCTTGCTGCTCCTGTTTTGCTCTCCCCCTCCCCATCCCTCAGTCTTGCCTCTGGGAGTACTCGTCCCAAACAAGCTCCAAGTACAACAGCCTTTCTTTGAGGCCTGCTTGCAGGGAGCCCAAGCCAAAACAGATGTTACAGGCTGGATTGTGCTCCTCCAAATTCATACATTGAAGTCCTAACCCCAGTTCGTCAGTATGTGTCTGTATTTGGAGATAGGGTACTATGGTCTGAATGCTTGCATCCCACCAAAATTCAGGTTGCAACCTAATCTCCAATGTGATGGTATTATGAGGTGGTGGCATTGGAGAGGTGAGAGGCTCTGCCCTTACTAATAAGATTAATGTCTGTATCAGTCCATTCTTGAATTTCTGTGAAGAAACCCTGAGACCAGGTAATTTATAAAGAAAAGAGGTTTGATTGGCTCACGGGTCTGCAGGCTGTACAGGAAGCATGCTGGCATCTGCTCAGCTTCTGGGGAGGCCTCAGGAAGCTTCCAATAATGACGGAAGGTGAAGGGGGAACAGGTGTCTCACACGGCCAGAGCGGGAGCAAGAGAGAGTTGACAGGGAGGTGCCACACACTTTTAAACAACCAGATCCCACGAGAACCCACTCAGTATCAGGAAGATGGCACCAAGTCATGAGGGATCCACCACCAACCAAACACCTCCTACCAGGCCCCATCTCCAACTCTGGGGAGGCTGAGGCAGGAGAATCGGTTGAACCTGGCAGGCGGAAGTTACGGTGAGCCGAGATTGCACCATTGCACTCCAGCCTGTGCAACAGAGCCAGACTCCGTCTCAAAACAACAATAACAACAACAACAACAACAACAAAAAAAAAAAAACAGAAAAAAGAAAGAAATGATGGAGCACCTATTACCCTTCTTGCACTGGTTCCTGGGGAGCTCAGAGCCTATTTTTTGAAAGTGTCCTGATCCTCTTGCAGGCCTTTCATGTGTGTTTCCTTCCTGGCTTCCTCCTGTTTTTCTCACACCTCTGAACCTGCTGTCAGGTGAAAAATCAAGGTGGGCCCAAAATGTAAGAGCTCATGAATTTGATGGTGTTGGAGTGTCCTGGACAGTCCAGCCCTCAGGGGTGGGGAGCTGGGCAGAGAGGAAGGAGGGCATTCCAGGGGCCAGGGCTAGAAGCAGAGGGACTCCAGGCCCAGAGTAGGATTTCCAGGCTGAGGAAAGAGAGGCCGTGGGTGGGTAGAGGGTCCAGACCAGGACAGGGACACAGGGTGTATCTGGAGGCTCAGTCAGAAATAGCTCCCTCTAGAAAGTAGGCAGCGAGTCGGGGATTGAGCTGCAAGGAGGAAGGGGAGGAGGGAGAGAATGGAGGGACTGGTGTCCAGTGAGCCGACTCCTATCCTGGCCTATTTCCCCAGGGGACACCCCTGGGAGACTGTGATCCTCTCCTCCAGGCTACTTTCCCACTGGTGCCAGGATTCCCCCAACGCCACACTGAGAACCCAGGAGAAGCATCACATTATATGAGAGATAAGAAATGAAGAGAGGGAGCAGGATTTCTGGTTGACAAAGAGGGTATTTATTTAGGGTTTACTGGGTACAGGGAGAAGGGCTGGATGGCTTGGGATGCAGAGAGAGACCCTTCCCCTGGGATCCTGCAGCTCCAGGCCCCTTTGGGTGGGGTCGGGGCTGGGAACCTATGAACATTCTGCAGGGGCCACCGTCTTCTCCACGGTGCTCCCTTCGTGCATGACCTGGCAGCTGTAGCTTCTGCGGGACCTCCACTGCTCGGGCGTCAGGCTCAGGTAGCTGCTGGCCGCGTACTTGTTGTTGCTCTGTTTGGAGGGCGTGGTCATCTCCACGCCCTGGGTGATGGGGGTACCATCTGCCTTCCAGGTCACCGTCAAGATTCCCGGATAAAAGTCATTCATGAGACACACCAGTGTAGCCTTGTTGGCTTGGAGCTCCTCAGAGGACGGCGGGAACAGAGTGACCGAGGGGGTGGCCTTGGGCTGACCTGTGTGGACAGAGGAGGGGGTGAGAGATGGCAGAGGGAGTGTGGGGTGTTGTGGAGCGCCTCTCTCTGTCTAAAGTCTCTGGGAGGGTTCATGGTGTGGCCGCCTGGTCCACCCAGGGCCTCTCCTTCCCTCCTCATTCCCTCCTTTCCACTGGAGCCCTCTGGAGAGCAGACAGCCCTGTGCCTTCCTAGGAGCCCTTCCCAAGTCACCTTTCCCAGGTGTCCTGGCCCAGCCCTTTCCTCTGCAGCCTCGGTTTCCCCGTGTGCACCCAGGGCAGGCTGTGCTCCCTCCTTCCTGGTTTCTGGAGTCTGAGTTTGGAATCTAGGGGTCTCCCTCACAGCACACAAAACTATACTGGCAGGATGTGGGGAGACCCAAGCCTGGCATGGCCTGGAGCTTCCCATCCCCTGGGGCACCAGGCTGTGCCCCAGCCTGGCCCACTCAGCTCTCCTGGTGAAGCGTGGGCTCCACCCAGACACACCCTGGGGCTCTGCCGTCGCCCCTGTCCCCACCAGCCCGACCACAGGACCCTTCACATCGGCTGGGTTCTTGGGGCTGCTCCCCCAGACTTTGGGGCACCGCAGCCCCCATGCCCACCCCAGCAGCCTCTGATGCCCCTGGACTTCACCTGGCAGCCATGGAGTTCTCTGCACTCCCGTTTACTCCCCGCTAGTCACCTTCTGAGTCTAAGGTGCCCTTCCTCAAATGAAGGTGGGAGGTCGACCCATGAACAGAGAGACACCAGGCCCCAGAGATGACAGGGCTCCAGGGACAGGCACATCTCTGCACTAAGAGACCCTCTCCTTTCTGGTGACTGTCCTGGGAGGGCTGGGCTCTGGGACCTCATCCGTTCCTCTGTGTCCCCATGCCCTGAAGACCCAGCAGAGGCCACAGAGCTGCAGCCTAGACCCAGAGCCCTCTCTGTGCCCTCCATTGGTCTCCCCTGGGGGTGACCCCTGTGTCCCCAGGCCCCCGTGTGGCCCTCCCAGGCTGGATGGGCATCCAGCCCTCAGCCTAGAACCTGGGGTCCCAGGGACTGTCTCTAAGGCCACTGCAGGGCCCCTCATCAGAACCAGCCTCTGTCCCTCACTCAGACATCTGCCCTGGGAGAGGGGAGGAGCCCTGACCCCGCCCAATCCCAGCCCAGGCCCTGGGACCAGGCTGTGTCCTGCTGTTGGAACCTGAAGGCGGCTGCTCCCACTGTGGGGGCCCTTCCTGCCATTACCCTGAGACTAACACATCTCCTCCAGGCCCCATGGACAAAGGTAGGGGTCAGTGCTTAAGGCTGGGAGGGCAGAGGGGAAGAAGCCCCAGAGAGAGAAAACACATTTTCCAGAGACAGGAGAGGGTGGGACAGCCTGGGAAGTTAGAGCCACTTACTTAAAACGGTGAGCTGGGTCCCGCTGCCAAACACATGCGTCACTGAGTTATGCTTGGATTGAAACCCCCGGGGCCAGCACCTGGGGCCAGTCCAGGAGCCGCGCTGGAGCAGGAACCTGCTGGGAGTGAGGGGCACAGGGCTGCAGTGTGTAGGCTGTGACCCAGGCACAGGGTAGGGGGGTGGCCAGTGTCCCAGTAGTGTCCCCCAGTAGTGTCTCTGTGCCTGTCCCTTCTCTGAGGCAGGTGCTGCCCCAGCGTGTGTCCCCCTCTCTGAAACTGTTGGTGCTGATGGCAACGCTGGGCCCAGTAGGTCCCAGCAACTCCCTGAGTGACACATCCCCTCAGGCAGCTGTGCCGTGTGGCTGAGGAGTCCTCAGCTGGCTCGGACCTGTCCACCTCACTTGGCCTCATTTTAAGGGCCTCTGAAATCTGCCACAAGTGTCCCCAGTCAAGGAGGCTGACTTCCTCCCTGGACCAGGACATTGGGTCATTCCTGACTCAAGAGGAGAGTCCTCTGCTTTTATATCTACCCATGGAGATGCAGCTCAGTCTCACTTTGTTCATGAAGCCTTTTCTGATCATTCATTCCATCCGTCCGTCCATCCATCTGTCCATCTGTCCATCTATGCATCTGTCCATCTATTCATCTGTCTTTGCATCCATCTATCATCTGTCCATTCGTCCATCCATCTACCTGTCCGTCCATCCATAAATCCATCCTGTCTACCAGGCACTGTGTGCTGGGGACATGGTGTGGTCCCCCAGGCTCTCACCCCCATCTCTCCCAGGCCATGGTCAACAAGGCCCTCCTCATGGTCATGTCCAAGGTCCTTCTGCTGTACCTGGTGTCTCCGCTGGATGCGACACAGGGCTGGCCCCTCTTTCCAGTGACTCTTTTCCCCTTGGGGTCTGAGACTCCCCTTTCCTCTTCCCCTGGCATCTGTTTCTCCATGGCCCATGCCTGGCTGCTGACTCCCCAGACCCCACCCAGACCTCTTTCTTAGCCATTTTCACACTCTGTGACCCCCACTATTGCCCACATGGTGAGGCTGGAGTCTATCCCAGCTCCAAACCCTCTCAGCTCCTCAATTGCCTACTGACCTTGCCCAGTGGGCTACCCAACAGGAGCCTCAAACTAATCACGTCCAGAGGAGATGACCACCTTCCCCCAGCCCAGCTCATTTTCTGTCTTCATCTCATCACAATGACCATGGGCGGTCTCAACCCCTCAGCCAGAAACCTGGAGTCCCTGGACTCAGTCACCTCGCCTCCCACACTGAAATGGCTTCTGCGAACTTAGCTACTGCATCTAGACATTCTTTTTTTTTTTGAGACAGAGTCTCGCTCTGTTGCCCAGGCTGGAGTGCAGCCTGGCAACAGAGCAAGACTGTCCCAAAAAAAAAAAAAAAAAAAAAGAAGTGTCATATTGATCTCTCCCTCTCTCTCCTGCTATGTACAGTCCCATTTCCTTTTATTTTTTTGAAATGGAATTTCACCCTTGTCGCCCAGGCTGGAGTGCAATGGTGCCACCTTGGCTCACCGCAACCTCCACATCCTGGGTTCAAGCGATTCTCCTGCTTCAGCCTCCCGAGTAGCTGGGATTACAGGCATGTGCCAGCACACTTGGCTAATTTTTTGTATTTTCAGTAGAGACGGTGTTTCTCCATGTTTGTCAGGCTGGTCTCGAACTCCCGACCTCAGGTGATCTGCCCACCTTGGCCTCTCAAAGTGCTGGGATTATAGGTGTGAGCCACCACACCCCGCTCCATTTTTATACATAGCATCAATATTTCCACTTTAACTATTTTTAAACGTACAGCTCCGTGGCACTAAGTACATTCACACCGTTGGGCAACCTTCACCACCATCCATCTCCAGAACTCTTTCATCTTCCCAAACAGAAACTCTAAACCCGTTAACTACAGTCCCCCATTCTTCCCTCCCCCTCACCCTGCTAACCTCAAATCTACTTTTTGTCCAAGTGAATTTGCCTATTCTAGGTACCTCATAGAAGTGGATTCAAATGACATTTGTCCTTTTGTGTCTGGCTTATTTCACTAAGTATAATGTCTTCAGGTTTCATCCATGTTGTAGAAGATTTTTGAAATTAATTTAAAAATAATTAACATTCAAAACCTATTAAGACCTATTAAAAATAGTACAGGCTAGGTAGGGTGGCTCACGTCTGTAATCTCAGCACTTTAGGAGGCCGAGGCGGGTGGATGGCTTGAGCCCAGGGGTTCAAGACCAGCCCAGGCAACATGGCGAAACCTCATCTCTACAAAAAATTATGCCGGTGTGGTAGCGCATGCTTGTAGTCCCAGCTACTGGGGACGCTGAGGCAGGGATATTGCTTGAGCCCAGCAGTTGGAGGCCAGCCCAGGCAACATAGTGAGACCCCCATCTCTAAAAAAATAAATAAAACAAATAAATTTACAACTAAATATAAAAAGTGATACACAACCTATTTCTTAAAAACAATGAAAATATCTTTTAATAAGCTATGAATAGAAAAGTCATTTATTTGATAGGAGATATTTACCAGAATTCTACAGGAATAATCAGTCTTTTTTTTTTTTTTTTTTTTTTGAGACAGGGTCTCCTTCTGTCACCCAGGCTGGAGTGCAGTGGTGGGATCTCAGCTTACTGCATCCTCAACCTCCGAGGCTTAAGCAATCCTCTCACCAGCCTCCTAAGTAGCTGGGACCACAGGCAAGTGCCACCATGACTAGCTAGTTTTTATATGTTTTGTAGAAATGGGGTCTTGCTATGTTGCTCAGGCTGATCTCAAACTCCTGGGCTCAAACAATCCCGCCTCAGCCTCCCAAAGTTGTGGGATTACAGGCATGAGCCACTGCACCTGGCCCATAGTATTTCTAAAGATTATAAAAACTCATATTCATATCCCCCCCAGCATAATACCTTTTTTTTTTTTTGAGTGGGAGTCTCGTTCTGTCGTCCAGGCTGGAGTGCAGCGGTGCAATCTCAGCTCACTGCAACCTCCACCTCCCTGATTCAAGCGATTCTCCTGCCTCCCCTCCCGAGTAGCTGGGACTATAGGCTCGCGCCACCACGCCCAGCTAGTTTTTGTATTTTTAGTAGAGACGGAGTTTTGCCATGTTGGCCAGGATGGTCTCAATCTCCTGACCTCGTGATCTGCCCATCTTGGCGTCCTAAAGTGCTGGGATTACAGGCATGAGACACAGCACCCGGCCCATAGTATTTCTATAAGATTTCTAAAGATTCTAATATAAAAACTTACATTAATAGCCCCCCAACATAATACCATTTTTTATTATCTGTGTCTCCCTCCACCTGTCACCCGTCCCTTGTGGAGACCCCTCGGGCCTTCCCCATCCCAGTCTCTGTTCTGTAGGCATCACCCTGCATGTGGCTGTCTCCTCACCCGGCCCCCGCTCCTTGTGGACTTGAATTGGGGCAAATCTAGATCCTCTGGGACCTCAGCCCCAGCACAGAGCCTGACCCTGATGGGGACTCCTTGCTCAGAAGTCCGTGCAGGACACTGACACCCGGTCCCGGCCTGCCACCATGCTGACCCCGCCTCCATGGCCGGGCTCCTGGTGTGGGTCAGGTCGGCTGCCACTGCTGGAGCTCTCACCACAGCCACCCCAGCATCCTCTGGGTGGGTGGGACGCTGAAGGCCCTCACCAGTCAGGGCCCCTCAGATTGCAGAAGGGGAAACTCAGGCCCGGTGTGGTGTCTCATGCCTGTAATCCCAGCACTTTGGGAGGCTGAGGTGGGTGGATCACCTGAGGTCAGGAGTTTGAGACCAGCCTGGCCAACATGGTGAAACTCTGTCTTTACTAAAAAAAAATACACAAAATTAGCCAGGTGTGGTGGCAGATGCCTGTAATCCCAGCTACTCCGGAAGCTGAGGCAGGAGAATGTCTTGAACCTGGGAGACGGAGGTTTCAATGAGCCAAGATCTCGCCATTGCACTCCAGACTGGGCGACAAGAGTGAAACTCTGTGAAACTTTATTTGAAAAAGAAAAAAAAGAGAGAAAAAGGGAAACTCAGGTCCCAGAGATGCACGTGTCCGCTCGATCAGCTTAGAGGATGGGACAGGGGAGAGCTAGAGGGGATAGCTTGGGCCTTAGAATCTGTGCCCATGAGCTGAGTGACTCGGACGGGTCACCTCACCTCTCCGGGCTCTATCCCCGTCTGCACAAAGGGGATCACAGCAGGACCTGCCTATGGGGCCACCGAGAGGGAGGTTCTGCCCCTGAAATGATTATCGCCTGTGGGTATAACATGCACCAGTGAACAGGCTGTTGTGTCCCAAATGCTCATAAATGGACCCCGATGCTTGGTGCTTTGTCTGGGGACCTCCCACCACACGCAGAGTGGTGGCAATGGCTGAGGTCACACAGGGAGTTGTGGCCTCCCTAGAGCCTCTCCTGGGCTTCTTCTTTGGAGGCACTTGCACCCTGGATAAGCTTGTGTCTCCTAGGGGCTGGTTTCAGGAGGCGATGCTGGCTGAGGTCTAGTGACCCAGGGACTCCAGGAAAGGCCCCTCACACCTTAGCTGGAGCTCCAGGGAGTGGCCCCTGCCCAGTGAGGGTGGGAGTGGACAGGTGACATAGGCCAAGGGGAAAAGAGGAGGGGGGGGAGGAGGAGTGGGAGGAGGAGGAGGGAGAGGCCTGGGCATCCTTCAGGGATAGCGGCCACCACTCCTGTGGACGTCCTGCCCCTGCCTCCAGTCCTGCCCTACCCCAAGGACTAGGGGGAGGTGAGGGAGACATTGGCCTTGGTGCCAAATGTAAGTGGGGGAAGAAATCTCAGGAATCAAGATAAATAATATTTTAATATGACATTAAGCAATAAAAATTAATTCAAAGATGGACAAAATCTTGACACTTTAGTTAAAGTCAGTGTCTGTGGCTCCCCTCCAGGGATTAACCTTCCTCCTCACCCCTCTGGCTCGTCTCCCCTTGGTCATCCTTTCCCGCCTCTGCCACCCAGACCCCCACATCCCCTGGAATCTCTCACCCCTTACCTGCCCCACCGGCTCCTCAGGCTGGACCGGCTGCTTCCTCCAGGGGCTCCAGGGCCCAGGGCCCTGCTCTGCGATGCAGCTGTTGGGCGCAGCAGGCCATGGGTTACCACGGCCAGACCCAGCAGCAGCAGGGGCCAGCGCTGCCTGAGGTTGGGGCCTGGCTCACCAGGGGCCTCAAGGCCCCCCTGGCCTGTCCCTGGCCTCATCGGCCCTCAGGGTCAGAGGTCCTTGTGGCCTGACTTGCAGTGTGGGCTCCCTAGAGAGTGGTGCCCTGGTCCCTCTCGCTGGCAGCAGCTGTCCCATTGCACCCCAGTCCATGTGGCCCCATCCTCATCCTCTGGTCCCTGCCCCCAGCCAGGCCCCTTCCAGAGTCCATGACCGTTACCCCTGGGGTTCTGTCCCAGAGGCACATCTGCCAACTGCCCTGCTGTGGTCAGGATCCAGGGCTCAACTGCCTCCCACACCTGTCAGCTTGGCCTTGCCCCTGGGGCCCTGGGTGCTTTGTTTGGGGACCTCCCACCACAGGCAGAGGGTCAGCAAGAGCTGAGGTCACACAGGGAGGTGGGATGCGCCATGGCCCCCCAAGACCCTCCCTTGGGGCTTTCCTTTGGAGGCACCTGCGCCCTGGATGGGCTTGAGTCCCCTCGGGGCTGGTCCCAAGAGGTGATGCACCTGACTTCCCTCCTTCCCCACTTCCCCGAGGGCGCCCTGGGTCTGTGGAGCATCTCACTGGGGTCCAGAGAGCTGCCCAGCAGGAGTCCCCCAGGGCTTGAGCTCAGGGGCCTGGGCTGAGGCTCCTCCAACCGGTCCTAGAGGGAGGTGTGGTTAGAGAGCAGGAAACAGGTTTGGGTTTAGCCAGAAGCCACTCAACGGTTCAAGTCCAGGAATCATGAGATAAGAATGAAAATGCTGTTTAATGCACCATGTTCAGCACCTCACTGACCTCACATCACACAGACACACACACACACACCAACCACCCCAGCTTCCTGAAGGTATAATTGACAAAACTGTATATATATTTACCACCTACAGTGCGATGCTTTGCCACACTGCAAAATGATTAAATCAAGCTGACACACACGTCCGTCATCTCACATACTTATGCTTTTGTAGTGAGAACATGGAAGATCTAATCTTAGCAATTTTCCAGTATACAATACAGTTTTTAACTGTAGACTCCATGTTGTACGATACATCTCCAGAGTTCATTCTTATAGATTTCACTCAAAGGCCAGTAGCTTCCTCCTGAGCGGTGAGTGCATCATGTCATGGCTTCTGACAGGCCCCCGGTCCTCTCCCAGCCCAGCATCCCCGACCCTCTCCCAACATCTCGCGACCCTGTGCTTTGGTGTTGAGGGAGCAGTGGCAGTCAGGAGGGACTGAGCACCTGTGCTGGGCGGCCAGGGCCAGGCTCTTTTGCTGGTGCTGCCAGAGACGCCTCAGGTCACCCAAGAGTCTCAGGTTCCTCTCCTTCCTCCAGAGGCGGGGCTGGAAATGCTGCTGGCTCTGCTCACACTCCAGGGCTGGGTTGAGGTTGGTGTTGGGAGATAATGCATGTCAGTGTTGTTTTCTTCATCTGTGAAAAAGCAGTAACATACACACAACCTAAAATTTATCATCTTGACCTTTTTTTTTTTTTTGAGAGTCTTGCTGTGTCGCCAGGCTGGAGTGCAGTGTGGCGTGATCTCAGCTCACTGAAACCTCCGAATCCCTGGTTCAAGCGATTCTCCTGCCTCAGCCTCCTGAGTAGCTGGGATTACAGGCATGCACCACCACGACAAGCTAATTTTTGTATTTTTAGTAGAGATGGGGTTCACCATGTTGGCCAGGCTGGTCTCGATCTCCTAACCTCATGATCCACCCGCCTGGGCCTCCCAAAGTGCTGGGATCACAGGTGTGAGCCACCGCGCCTGGCCCATCTTGACCATTTTTAAGTACACAGTTCAGTGGCATTAACTACATTCACAATGTCGTGCAACCATCACCACCATCCATTTCTAGATTTTTCTTTTTTCAGAGTCTTGCTCTGTTGCCCAGGCTGGAGTGCAGTGGCGCAATCTTAGCTCATGGCAATCTCTTTCTCCCGGGTTCAAGCGATTCTCCTGTCTCAGCCTCCTGAGTAGCTGGGATTACAGGCGCCCACCACCATGCCAGCTAATTTTTGTATTATTAGTAGAGATGGGGTTTCAGCATGTTGGTCAGGCTGGTCTCAAACTCCTGACCTCATGATCCACCTGCCTCGGCCTCCCAAAGTGCTGGGTTTACAGGCGTGAGCCACCGCAACTGGCTTTTTCTTTTTTTTTTTTGAGACGGAGTCTCACTCTGTTGCCCAGGCTGGAGTGCAATGGCATGTCTAGATCTTTTTCATCTTGCAGAACTCAAATTCTGTCCCCATTCAACACCAACTTCCCATTCCTCCCTCCCCCAGCCCCTGGCACCCACCATGCTAGTTCCCATCTCTATATTTGGGTACTCTGGATACCTCCTATGGATGGGACCATACACTACTTGTCCTTTGAAAGTCCTTTTTAAACTGGAAAGTGCTGCATGTGTAATACCTTCAGGGGCTTATTATTATTATTATTATTATTATTTTGAGATGGAGTTTCACTCTGCTGCCCAGGCTGAAGTGCAATGGTGCTATCTCGGCTCACTGTGGCCTCTGCCTCCCGGGTTCGAGCAATTCTCCTGCTTCAGCCTCCCAGGCAGCTGGTCTACAGGTGCCCGCCATCATGCTAAATTTTTGTGTTTCTAGTAGAGACGGGGTTTCACCATGTTGATCAGGCTGGTCCCGAACTCCTGATCTCAGGCGATCAGCCCACCTCAGCCTCCCAAAGAGCTGGGATTACAGGCGTGAGCCATCGTGCCCGGCCAATTATCATATTATTATTATTACCAGCTGACCCAGTTAGTGTGGCCTGGAAAATGTTGTCAACCATCATAAAATAAATGAATCCTTGATGATACTGAGCTTCCAAATGCCAGTCTTCAAATTTTGCACTGCAACTCAGAGGGTGTAAAATTAATTCCAATGGCTGCAACCAGCATTTTGTTAAAGTGAGGCAGCCCAGAGCTGACTCCAGCTGGAGAGCGAACTGTTCAACGGGAGGGATGGTGAGGGTTCCTGGAATGTTGCTTCAGTTACCTGAATGCGTAGATATGCTCTGGATAACGATGGAAGATCTACTTCTTGCTGGAAGTTTGGATGGAAAATCTTTTGGAAAGTGCTGTCCTGGAACACCTGGCCCAGCTGTCAAATCCCCTCTGGTATTTCCCCAGCGGCTGATCTGCTGTCACGTTTGAAGCCACCCTTTGCCTTAGGTCCTCCATATCCCTGTCCACGCCCCCGGGTGTGTCCCTGGGGGCAGTGCCATCTGATGGCTTGTCCAGCGCTGTGAGGCTCTCCCCAGCTTCCCTAAAGTTGAGTTTCATCCTGGAGCTGGGCCATCTCACACATCCCCTTGGCATCTGCCAGCCATGGTTGTGGGATGCTGTAACAGACAGACAGAGAGACAAACAGAAGACTTCACATTATCTCATAGAGATCACGAGAGCCATAGTGAGCTCAGGCTCCATGGACTGATGCTCAGATCCCAGTGTCCCATGAACACTGAGAGTCCCCTCAGCGCCAAAGGCTGCATGCCAGACAGCTCCCGATCCTCGGGGAGATGGGCAAGGTGCTGAGCAGTAATGGGATGTGGACACCCTAAGAAACACTGATGCAGGTAGAGGGGAAGCCCCTGGGAGGCCCCAATCCAGTCTAGCTTCTCCCCTGTTGGGAGCCTTGGTCCACTGCTGCCCCCGACCCTGGCTCCTCTCACCTTCAGGGCTGGAGCAGCACCTGCACTGGGGGTCTGGGCTGAAGCTGCTCCCTCCCCAGCACCCCCCTTGAGTGTGACACTCATCACTGCCTGGGACTCAGAAACTGTGGTTCCCCCAAGGACAGCCCCAGGTCTCGGGAGAGGAAGCGACTGTTTTAAATAGTGCCCCCAGCCGCTCCCTTTCAGGCCCTGCCTGACCCTGCACCTGCCATGGCCTCTCAACAGAGGCAGCCTCAGACCACATCTTTCTGTGGCGGGAAATCTGGGTCTGGCTGGATCCTGGGGACCCTGCGGGGCTGGGCTGGGCCGGGCCTCTCCAGCAGGTGCAGCTGCAGCTCTCACCACCCAGGCTCACCTCACCCCTTCCTGGACTGAGATGTGTCCAGGCCTGGGCAGAGGAGGCTGGGCCCTGCTGTCCTGCTCAGTGCCCTCCCTTTTTAGGGTCCCTGGTGCCTCTGCAGAGCCCTCTGGGTCCTGCCTGGCTGTCCTCTCTCAGAGCACAGGTGACTGCCCCATCTAGTCACCTCTGCCCTGCTCCCGTGTTTGTGGGTGTCCCCCATTCTGGCCTCCTGCTGGTCAGTCCCCTGCCCACTCTCTATGCCCCAGGCCTCAAAGACTCCGCCTGCACCACCAAGGATCCCTCTCTCTCAGGCTGTCTCCAGAGGAAATACAGGACCATTTTCCTCAGGAACCAGAAGTGAAGGTTCTAGAAACTCTCAAGTTTTCAGGGTCACTGGAAGTGATCTCTGTTATTTTGGCAGCTTCAAAATATTCTTCAAAGCCCAGAAGTCTTGAGGTTTCCTTGGACATGAGGATGATGATGTACCTACCATTATTTACGGCCAGGGTGATGTTTAATTTTATGTGTCAACTTGGCAGGGCCACAGTGCCAGATATTTGGTCAAATATTATTCTGATGTTTCTGTGGCATTATTTTGTGGGTGGGATTAACATTTAAATTTTACATTTCACAAACTTGTGAAAATTAAACAACAGTCTTTTTTTTGAGACAGGGTCTCACTCTGTTGCCCAGGCTGGAATGTAATGGTGCAATCATAGCTCACTGCAGCCTCAACCTCCAGGGCTCAAGGAATCCCTCCCACCTCAGCCTCCCAAAGGGCTGGGATTTAAGTTACCAGTTTCCCTCTATGTGCTGATTTATCTGTATCCTACAAATTTTTATGTGGTGGTCTCATCATTGTTCAGTTTAAAATGTTACCTAATTTTGTTTCTTGAGTTCCCCAACTGTTGGCTTATTCAGCAGTTTCTTTTCTCTCTTTCTTTTTTTTCCTCTCTCTCTCCTTCCTTTCCCTTCTTTCTCTCCTTCCTTCCCTCCTTTCTGTTTTAGAGACAGGGTCTTGCTGTGTCAGCCAAGCTGGAGTGCAGTGGTGCAATCAGGGCTGACTGCAGCCTCCAACTCTTAGGCTCAAGCGATCTTCCCACTTCAGCCTCCGAAGTAGCTGGAACTAGAGGAACATGCCACCACACCTGGCTAAATTGTGTTACATGTTTTGTTGAGAGGGTCTTGCTATGTTGCTCAGGCTGGTCTCAAGCTCCTGAACTCAAGATCCTCCCGACTTGGCCTCCTGAAGTGCTGGGATTACAGGCATGAGCCACCATGCCCGCCTAGCAGCGTATTTCTTAATTTCCAAATATATGAGGAGGTTCTAGTTATATATTTGGTTGTGGGGGATATTTTGTGGGTTTTGTGGGTTTTCTTTTCTTTTTTTTGAGACAGTCTCACTGTCACCCAGGCTGGAGTGCAGTAGTGTAATCATGGCTCACTGCAGTCTCCAACTCCTAGGCTCAAGTGATCCTCCTGCCTCAGCCTCCTGAGTAGCTAGGACTACAGGCACATGCCACCACACCCAGCTACTTTCTCTTTTATTTTTATAAAGACAGGGTCTCACTGTGTTGCCCGGGCTGGACTCAAACTTCTGGCTTCAAATGATCCTCTCGCTTTGGCCTCCTAAAGTTCTGGGATTACAGGGATGAGTCACTGTGTGCCCGGCCATATATTGGTTATTGATTTCTAGTTTAACTGTATGTATTTAGGGTGCATACTCTGAATAATTTCAATTCTTTCAAATCTGCCTTATGGAGACTTGTTTTGTAACTCAATAGATAGTTACTTTTTGTCAATGATTCTTGTCTGTTTTTTATCTTTGAAGAGAATATGTACTCTGCAACCCTTGAATGCAGTGTTCTATATGTAAGTCCATTAGGTACTCATTATTGTCTTTCAATCTTCTATTTATTTTTGTTTTTTAGGGTTTGTCTGCTGAGAAGGAATCATCTCCCTCAGGGACTGTGAATTTATTTGTCCCTGTAGCTCAGCAGTTTTTGGTTTCATATTTTTTGAGACCACATTATTAGATGCATACAAATTTAAAACTGCTAGTCCGGCTGGTAGCTTACGCCTGTAATCCTATCACTTTGGGAGGCCAAGGCAGAAGGATCACTTGAGCCCAGGAGTTTGAAACCAGCCTGGGGAACATGGTGAAACCCCATCTCTACAAAAACATTAAAAACTAGCTGGGCATGGTGACTTGCACCTGTAGTCCCAGCTCCTTGGGAGGCTGAGGTGGGAGGATCATCTGAGCCCAGGAGGTCTAGGCTGCAATGAACTGTGATCACACCACTGCACTCCAGCCTGGGCAACAGTGTGAGACCCTGTTTCAAAAGAAAACCAAAAAACACCATTACCTCCCTCATGTTCCCTGATGAGGTTTTTGTTTGTTTGTTTGTTTTTGAGACTGAGTTTCACTCTTGTCACCCAGGCTGGAGTGCAATGGCAGAATCTCGGCTCACTGCAACCTCCTCCTCCCAGGTTCAAGTGGTTCTCCTGCCTCAGCCTCCAGAGTAGCTGGGATTACAGGCACATACCACCATGCCCGGCTAATTATTGTATTTTTAGTAGAGACAAGGGTTTCACCATGTTGGCCAGGCTGTTCTTGAACTCCTGACCTCAGGTGATCCACTCGCCTCAGCCTCCCAAAGTGCTGGGATTACAGATGTGAGCCACTGCGTCCAGCCGAAATAAAACTTTTATTAGCATAAAATAGCCCTATTTATTCCAGATGACACCTTTTACCTTGAAGTTTCTTTTGTCTGATATCTATATAACTACACCAGTTTTCCTTTGAGTAGGAATTTCACGGTATCTTTTTCCATCTGTTTACTTTCATAGCCATTCTCTAACCTAGCCCACCACTCCTGCACACGGGAGCTCTTCTCTAAAAGACTTACCTGTGCCCTTATCGTGCAAGAGTCATGTTTGTTTTCCTTGCATTTCCAACAGTTTAGTCGCATCTCTATGATGGGATTTCTAGGCCTTTTCTGTGCAGTATCTGGGGCTGGGATAGCACTGCCGGGTGCCCCTCCCCCCATGCTTCCAGGGTACATGTGCAATGTCTGTTATAGACCATGTCAGAGAGCCATCCTGTGGGTCCCAGACACCCAACTCAAATGGCCTCAAACAAGGAGGGAGTTACTGCCTGGCATAACCGGGAATCTGGATGTGGGGCACCTAGGGTCACCCGATCCCAGAACCCTGCTTCCATTTCTGTGGGTTTCTCCCTGCCCTTTCCCCCAGTTGGCTGGATTTACTCATGGGAAGCCTTATCAGACCAAAATTCGAAGGGAGAGAGAAGCCTTCTCCATCATCCAGGCAGAGGGACCCATCCCTGAGGACCAGGACCAGGGACGGGGCCTGACTGCCTTCCCTGGGGCACAGAGAAGGGAGGGAGTGGTGAAGGCCTCAGGCCTAGGACAGGCAGCTGACCACCACCCTCCCCTCCCCACCATCCAGGCCAGGGACAATCTGAGAACCAACTAGCAATCCAGCAATGGGACACATTCAGCAGAACCCTGGAAGGTGCCCCAGGAACCAGGCCCAAGGCCTCTAATGTCAGGGCTCACAGAAACCCAGGGGTCTCCCCACCGTGCATGCAGTGTGACAAAGACTCTCTCCTTGAAAAAACTTGAGCCAGGCCCCTCTAAGCCTTCTCCACTAGGCTTTGACCTTGAGCTTCAGTGCCCACCTTAATTGCGTCTGCACTGCACAGTTTTAGCAAGATTCCTGCTAAGTGGGTTTAGCCATAGTCACCTACCCTCAACATCTGATCACCTTCCCTATCTGATCAAATTCCCAATCCCCCAGGTGACATCTGGTCACCCTGGCCTGCCTTCTGAGGAATCCCCACTTGCCCATGCTATATTCGCATGGAGCCCAGTCTCATACCGAGGCCTCTTCTCCACAGCAGTAGTTCCTGATAAAATCTATTTTGACCCTTTTGCTACTGTCCAGTTCTGGTTTTCTTTTTTTCTTTGTTTTGAGACAGAGTCTTGCTCTGTCACCCAGGCTGGAATGCAGTGGTGCAATCTCAGCTCACTGCAACCTCCGCCTCCCAGGTTCAAGCAATTCTCCTGCCTCAGCTTCCCAAGTCGCTGGGATTACAGGTACCCATGGCCACACCCAGCTAATTTTTTTGTATTTTTAGTAGAGATGTTTTGCCATGTTGGCCAGGCTGGTCTTGAACTCCTGGCCTCAGGTGATCCACCTGCCTCAGCTTCCCAAAGTGCTGGGATCACAGGCATGAGCCACTGTGCCCAGCCCGAGCTCTGATTTTCTATAACAAGTTGGGAAGGCGCTCAGTGGGAGGGTTCAGCCCACAGCAGAGAAGTGTATTCAGAATCTCTTCCTTCTTGCAGGTCACACCTGAGCTGCCCTCTTCCTGAGAACAGAGAGAGCTTCCAGGCAGGGGGCCCTACTGTCTGCCCAGCAGGTGCCTAGGGCCACCATTTAAGAGGGTGCTCACTCTCAGGTGCTGACCCTGTACTCACACAGGTGCCTGCTCCCCTCACTCTGGTCCTGGGCAGGCCCAGCCCCTCTGCATCTGTCTTATGGCCTCCAACCGAACAGGCCTGTAATGAGTGATGGCTGTCACTTCCTTTCTGCCACCCGGGTATCTCACAATTTTTTTTAGCCAATTCTGACCCCAAATCATATGGAGAAGGGGACTGTAGGAAACTTAGTTCTAGTTTAGCCAGGTGGATACAGGGCAAAACCACTCCAGCCCACCTTTGTCAGCGTGGCATTTCTGCACACTTCCTCTAACCAGATTAACCTCCAAATAAAGCCACTAGCAACATCATGCTTCTGCCGAACATGATGAAACTAGGCTCATATAACCCAAACAAGCTAACCCTCCCAGAAAAGGACTCAGGTCTATAGATCACTTCATCCATCTTCAGGTGATGTTTATTACTCTCCCAGCTGACACACACACACACACACACACACACACACACACACACCCCTTTGATATTCTATAACTTAGATATCAAAATAGGTTACCAGCCAGGCGAGGTGGCTCATGCCTATAATCCCAGCACTTTGGGAGGCCAAGGTGGGCAGATCTCTTGAGCCCAGGAGTTCAAGACCAGCCTGGGCAACATGGTGAAACTTTGTCTCTACAAAAAATACAAAAATTAACCACACGTGGTGGCTTGAACCTGTAGCCCCAGCTACTTGGGAGGCTGAGGTGGAAGAATCACCTGAGCCCAAGAGCTCGAGGCTGCAGTGAGCTATGATGGTGCCACTGCACTCCAGCCTGGGCGACAGAGCAACACTGTCTCATTAAAAAAAACCCAAAAAACATACATATGTACATATATATATATGTGTGTATGTGTGTGTGTATATATAAAATAAAAAATATATAAATGTTCATATATAATAAAAAATTTAAAAGTAGGTCACTTATTAACATAAGAATGTATTAATCACAGGGAAATGAGGAGGAGAAAGTGTTACTAGTGTTACGACAAATGCAATTACAGTCATGTCAAAACAAAGAAGAAACATCCTCACTCTTGAGTGTCCTCCTTTCTGTCACTCTCACATGGCCGCAGCTGGTGCTGACTGTTTCTACTACCCACTGGGTAGTCTCTGTGCCCTCAGCAGATACCTTGGTGTTACCTGTTTGGTGGGATGACTCAAACCCTTATACCTGAGGGTCTGGGCCATTCACGCTCCTGCCTGAATTACATGGCTGTAGTTTGCAGTAACTGTTACCACAGGACATGAAGGGACCCCGAGGCTCTCAGTGCTCCAGACATACCCTCCCTTCATCCCTCTGTGTAGCAGTGCCCCAGTACCCTGATAGTTTGGCTCGATCCCCGGATGTCTATTGTTCTCTGGCATAAGGAGCCCACAGTGGCCAGGGAGGCAGCCTCTTGTGGAATTGGTCGAAGGTTTCCTCTCTTGGGAATTAAAGCCTCTAAAGCAACAGAGCCCAGAGCTGTGTGGACGGGAAGCACCTTCTGTTTGTTGATTTCCAGAGCCATGAATCCTGGCTAGGGGTGAGGTGATGCCACATAATGGCTTTCTGGTTGCATTTTAGTGATTGATTTCTAGCATCGTTGCATTGTACTACAAAAGCATAACCTGTATTTCAGCCCTTTGATTTTTTTTTTTTTTTTTGAGACGGAGTGTTGCTCACCCACCCTGGCTGAAGTGCAGTGGTGTGGTCTCAGCTCACTGCAACCTCCACCTCTTGGGTTCAAGCAATTCTCCTGCCTCAGCCTCACAAGTAGCTGGGATTATAGGCATGCACCACCACACCCAGCTAATTTTTGTACTTTTAGTAGAGATGGGGTTTTGCCTTGTTGCCCAGGCTGGTCTCAAACTCCTGAGCTCAAAGTGATCTGCCTGCCTTGGTCTCCCAAAGTGCTGGGATTACAGGTGGGAGCCACTGCACCCAGCCAGCCCTTTGATATTTGGGGACACATTCTTTTTTGTTTTGAGATGGAGTCTCGTTCTGTCACCCAGGCTGGAGTGCAGTGGCACAATCTCAGCTCATTGCAACCTCTGCCTCCCAGGTTCAAGTGATTCTCCCGCCTCAGCCTCCCAAGTAACTGGGATTACAGGTGTGCACCACCACGCCCGGATATATAAATATAGATATCTATTTAGATACCTATATATCTAGAGATGGGGGTTCACCATGTTGGCCAGGCTGGTCTTGAACTCCTGACCTAAAGGGATCCGCTCACCCTGCCTTGGCCTCCCAAAGTGCTAGGACTACAGGCGTGAGCCACTGGGCCCAGCAGGGTACATGTTCTTTATAGCCTGGCATATGTGCGCTTTTGTTCCATATCTGCTTGAAAAGAATGTGCCCTGCACTCGGAGCATGCTCTGCTCCGTGGATGGCATAAGGCTGTCTACTGTCTTCCTCAAACCTTCTCTAGCCGTTCTCACTCATGGCCCACTTATTCCACTAATTACAGAGATGTGTAAGAATCTGGGAGCATCTCTACATCTATAGGCATCCCACAGCTGGAACGGGGCTCCCCTAGACAGTTCTGGCCTTCAGGCCTGCGGAATGGTTGAGGCAAAAGGAAGAAAAAGACACTGAGTCCCAAGCAGAGATGTGGGGTCCTCCTCCCCCAGTTCAGCTTGGGCCAGTCTCACAGCACCCCCTGGTGGCCTCCCGCTGCAGGTCACACACTTACACTCTCAAGGACTGCACTGGAGCTTCAGACAAGGAGGGCACTCTTCCAGGCCCTGTTCTTGCTGGATGGGTCAGGTCTCTTCCTCTCCCTCCCTGTGACTCCCCTTTCTCCACCGACTACAAGGAAATGGTCTCCTGCCAGCCTTCTCGCTGTCTGAGAACGTGAAATGGCAAGGTCTCCTGTTGAGACCTTGAACTACTCCAAGCGCTTCCCACTTCACTTCTATGAAGTGAGCTTCCCTCAAAATTTCTGCTGACCTCATCCACGAAACAGGGAAGAAACCCAAGGGCAGGTTGAGCCTCAGCCATTGTGAGGATCTATCTGAGGCGTAGGGGGTCCTGTCAGGAGCTAGGTTGTGGAGCACATGGGCTCAGGGAAAATCACAGCTGGGGTGCTTGCGAAATCATTGTTTTTAGGAAATACGTAAATACACCAGGCGTTAAGGCGACATGAAAACATAACAATGAGAAGCAAGAAGAAAATGGTTATGGTTGGACCTATTTTCTCCTTTCCCACGAACCAAAGGGCTGGCTCAAACCCCAAATTTGGCCTTCTTCCCTGGTTCAGCTGCACCTGACACCCAGAATACAGCACAGGGCTGGGGGAGGGGTGTGGAGGGGGAGCAGGCCCTCTGCTTCCCATGTTACAGTAGCTAACATGGGAATAGGACTCCCCCAAACCTCCAGCCCAGGCTCCTTCTGTGGCTACGCGAGGGGTGTTTCCCGAGGCACGTCCTTCCCTCCAGCGGAAGGCATGTTCAGGGAACACAGGAACGCAATGGGGCTGGAGCATGGAGGGTCCAGAGACGGGAGCCAGATCAGGAAGGGCCTGCAGGCTGGCCTTGACATTCTGGTTTACATGGGACTCAATGGGGGTGTCTGAGGAAGGGAATGACCCCATCAGGCTAGCAGGGTAGAAAGCACTCTGGCTGCCAAAAGCAGAACAAATACAAGGGCAGTCAGGTCAGGAGGCTGTGCACTGGGCCAGCAGAGGGATGGCAGCAGCCTCAGGTAAGGCAGAGTAATCAGAGAGGAGGTGGCATCCAGTGATATCAAGGAGCAAGACTGGGGGGGGGCGGTCCATGAATTAGAAGGTAGAGGAGGAGTGGGTTTTTGAATCCAGGCTTAAGAGGAGAAAAGGACAGGAAGTAGGGAGAGAGCTGATAAGCACCATCAGTATGCATAACAGGCAAGAGAAAGTCACTTGTTCACACAGCAAGTGCTGCTGGGTGGCCTACTCCACAGCCTCTTCAGGGGCAGAGCCCACCCCTCCAGGGCCCAGTCTGCACAGTGGGAAAGGAAGATGGGCAGAGAGAGGCTGATATTGGGCACCTCTGGGGCGGGCCACTAATAGAAGGGAGAGGCTTCAAGCTTTAAGATAAGACTTCCAGCCAGGTGGCTCACACCTGTAATCCCAGCACTTTGGGAGCCTGAGGCAGGCAGATCACCTGAGGTCAGGAGTTTGAGACCAGCCTGGCCAACATGGTGAAACCCTGTCTCTATTAAAAATACACACACACACACACACACACACACACACACACACACACACACAAAATTAGCTGGCATGATGGCACACACCTGTAATCCCAGCTACTCGGGAGGCTGAGGCAGGAGAATTCCTTGAACCCGGGAGGTGGAGGTTGCAGTGAGCCATGATCGTGTCACTGCACTCCAGCCTGGCAACAGAGTGAGGCTTCACCTCAAAAAAAAGAAAAAAAAAACGAAATTATTCCTGAAGAAACACAGGTATCAGACTTGCTAGACAAAGACCTTAAAACCATCTTAAATACGCTCAAACAGTTAAAGGAAAACATGGACAAAGAACTAAAGGAAATCAGCAAAATTATATATTAATAAAATGAGAATATCAATATAGAGATATAAAAAGAACCTCAACAAAAATTCTAGAGCTGAAAAATACAATAACTAAATTGAAAAATTCAGTAGAAGAAGTCAATGGAAGGTTCAAGCAGGTAGAAGAGAGAATGAACAAACTTGAAGAAAGTACATTTGAAATTACTTTGTCTGAGGAGCAAACAGAAAAGAGCAAACAGGCCGGGTGCGGTGGCTCATGCCTGTAATCCCAGCACTCTGGGAGTGCTGAGGCGGGCAGATCACCTGAGGTCAGAAGTTCGAGACCAGCCTGGCCAACATGGTGAAATCCCTTCTCTACTAAAAATACAAAAATTAGGCCAGGCACAGTGGCTCACGCCTGTAATTCCGGCACTTTGGGAGGCCAAGGCAGGCGAATCACAAGGTCAAGAGATCGAGACCATTCTGGTGAACATGGTGAAACCCCATCTCTACTAAGAATATAAAAATTAGCTGGGCATGATGTCGCGCGCCTGTAGTCCCAGCCACCCGGGAGGCTGAGGCAGAACTGCTTGAACCTAGGAGGCAGAGGTTGCAGTGAGCCAAGATTGCGCCACTGCACTCCAGCTTGGTGACAGAGCAAGACTCCATCTCAAAACAAAACAAAACAAAAACAAAAACAAAAAAATTAGCCGGGCGTGGTGGCGCATGCCTGTAATCCCAGCTACTCTGGAGGCTGAAGGAGGAGAATCGCTTGAACCCGGGAGACGGAGGTTGCAGTGAGCTGAGATGTCACCACTGCACTCCAGCCTGGGCGACAGAGCAAGACTCTGTCTCAAAAAAAAAAAAAGAAAAGAGCAAACAAAGGTGAAGGCATCCTAAGGGACTATGGGACACCATCAAGAGGACCAAGATACACATTATGCATTCAGCAAAGGAGAAGAGAGAGGAAGGAACAGAGATTATTTGCAAAAATGTCCAAAAACTATCCCAAATTGGAGAAAGACGTGAAACTACAAATCAAAGCAGCTCAATGAACTCCAAGAGAATTAACCACAAAAAGATCCACACCAAGACACATTATCATCAAACTGGCAAGTGACAAAAAATCTTGAAAGCAGCAGCCAACAACAACAAAAAAAAGTTGGCTGGGTGTGGTGGCTCACGCCTGTAATCAAAGCACTTTGGGAGACCAAGGGAGGTGGATCACCTGAGATCAGGAGTTCAAGACCAGCCTGGTCAACACGGCAAAACCCCATCTCTACTAAAAATACAAAAAATTAACCAGGTGTTGTGGCAAGTGCCTGTAATCCCAGCTACTCGGGAGGCTGAGGCAGGAGAATTGCTTGAACCTGGGAGACAGAGATAGCAGTAAGCCAAGATCGCACCACTACACTCCAGAGTGAAACCACGCCTGGCTAATTTTTTGTATTTTTAGTCATTGTTGAAGTTCAAGGGAACAAGATGTATGACAAGTGACTACTCATCTGTCAGAGTGGCAGGGCCACTGAGGATGTGACAGTCATTCATCCACTCTGAAACAACTCTTCAGGATCCCTAACATAGAAACGAACATCTGGCCTTTACATGCTTTGATAAACAGGATCTATTCCTGTTAAAGCAGAGGCTTCGTTCATCTCCAAAGCTTGTAGAGGAACCTCAGACCTGGGCCAGAGATCCTCAGAGGGCTGTGGTTTCAGGGCCTGGAGGTGACACCTCCCAATCACACAGACATTGCAGGCTCAGAGGGAGGAGCCCCTTTGAAAGAGGTGAGCAGAGTCTGGGGCATTTGTGCAAATGTTGATGAAGTCCCCAGACAACTCGCAGGCTCCCAGGAAACCCTAACTGGGGAAGAAAAGATGAGGATAAGCAGAGCCCACCATGGGTGAGAAGAGAGGAAAGCCAGGGTCTCCACCACCCAGGTCCTCAGTGTCCCTCCTCCGTGTGCCCGGCCCTGTCCTGTGGGTGGAGGGTGAGGAGAGGGAGAGAAGGAAGGGTTGGCAGTTTCATAAGAACTGGACCTCCTCCTATGAGTAGATGAAATAGTTTAATGAGATTGGTTTTGGATTTTCCAGCTTCCCTAGAGGCCGGAATCAGACTCCCAATATAAGCTCTTGGTCGCTGTGGTGAAAGTTCGTGTGTATTCATCCCCTGAGAAGGTTCCCTAACCCTTACTGTGTCTTCTGTGTGAGGAGTGCAGCTCTAAGCACTCAGGGTACTGTTTCCCAGTGAATCTTAATGAAATGTTTGGAGAATTTTTATTTCCTCCATTTAGCCTAACCAGAACAGAAACGTCAGCTCTAGAGGTAGAACAGGTCACTCAGAGTCACCCGAGCAATGACTGCTGCATGAGCTGCTGACTTGAGGTCTAAGTGATGGGAAAGTTCACCTTTCTGCCTAGTTGCCTCTGAAAATGTATCCTAAAATTAAGTAAACACATTGTTTATAGCTAATCTTTCTAGGTGGCTTCATAAATCAATAAACAGACACACATTTTCCATGTGCAGATGGTGTGCAAAGTTTTGGGGGTCAGACCAACTCAGGAGGCTGCCCCTGAGGAGATAGGAAAGGTCCCCTGTCCATTAATGAGTGGCCTTGGCCAGACTTCCAACCATGGTGAGGGAGGAAGGGGGGCATCCATAGCTCCTTCTCCTCCACTCTCAGGAAACCCTAAGCCAGGAAATAATTCTAAAGAGATCTAGGGAGGAGGAACTGAGAGGACAAGTTGACTCAGACAGGAAGACCCTAGGACTCTCCATGGGGGACGTTCATAACTGAGAAGCATCATTGCTGGCCAGGGGACTGGAAAACACATCATCTTACATCCCTGCATTCCCGCTCCAAATGTCTGAAATCCCAGGAACCCACAGCCTGTCTTCTCACCGGAGCTCTCAGGGGCACTTCTGCTCTCTAGGAGATAGAAACTGTCCCTTCATTATCACATTACGTCATTTTTGCTGCACACAGAGTCTTCCACAGTGGGTTCTAGTCATTTCTCCGTGTTTCCCTTCATCTCCTTTCTGTCTCTTCTGAGAGTCTGATTCCATCTAGCACCTCTTCTCTTTCCTGTGAGGCCAGTTCTCCCCGGGTCCAACCTCAGGGGTGCAGTTCAAAGGTTGTCCCCTTCCTCTTCCCCTTCCCCTTTTGACAGAGTCTTGCATCCAGGCTGGAGTGCAGTGACACGATCACAGCTCACTGTAGCCTTGATCTACTGGACTCAAGGACCCTCCCACCTCAGCTTCGCAAGTAGTTGTGACCACAGGTACATGGCACCCCCGTTTATTTTTATTTTTATTTGTGCAAAGGGGTCTCATTTTGTCGCCCAGGCTGGTTTAAACTCCTGGCCTCATGCCATCTTCCCACCGTGGCCTCCCCGCTCTGCATTTTCTTCTGAGCGCTGGTCTCACAGCCTCCTACAAGTTTGGTGTGCTTTGTTTCCATTTTCATTTATCTCAAAGAATTTTTGAACATCACTTGTAATTTCTGCTTTGATTCATTGATTGTTTAGGAGTGTGTTTAAATTTTTATATATTCCTGAATTCAGATTGCCTTTGTTATTGATTTCTACCTTCATTCTATTGCAGAGAAGATACTTTGATTTCAGTGCTTTTAAATCAATGAGATTTGTTTCATGGTCTAATACATGGTATATTCCAGAGAACATTCCATGTGTGCTTGGGAAGAATCTGTATTCTGTGAGTCTGTTGTAGATGTTGTCAGGTCTAGCTGATTTATAGTTTTTCAAGTCCTCTACTTCTTTATTGATCTTCTGTCTCATTGTTCTAGCCAGTATTGACAGTATAGTATTGCAACTATTATTGCGAAGCTGTCTGTTTCTCTCTTCAATTCCATCAGTCATTACTTCCTATACTTGGGGGCTCTGTGGTTAGACGCACATGTACTAATTGTTACATCTTCTTGATGAAGTAACTTATTTATCAATATATAATGTCCTTCTTTGCCTCTTGTAATAACTTTCATTGACTGACCCATCTTTCTTTTCCTTCCTGCCTTGCCTCCTTCCTTCTTTCCTTCCTCCCTCCCTCCATCCCTCCCTCATTTAAACTGTTGGCAGGACACAGTGGCTTACATCTATAATTCCAGAATTTGGGAGGCCAAGGCAGGTGAAGTGTGTGAACCCAGAAGTTTGAGACCAGCCTGGGCAACATGGTGAAACCCAGTCTCTACAACACAACACAACAAAACAAAATCTAAAATTAGCCGGTCACCTATAGGTGCAGCTATGCGGCCACTCAGGAAGCTAAGGTCAGTGCATCTATTGAGCCCTGGAGGTCAAGGCTGCAGTGAGCCATGATCACACCACTGCACTCCAGCCTGGGTGACAGAAGGAGACCCTGTCTCAAAAAAAAAAAAAAAAGGAAAAAAGAAAAGAAAAGTACATAAATACACAGATAAACTGTTGGTTGGGAGCCGTGTATGCGCCAGGCACTAAGCTGGGGATGAGATGGGATGAAGAGTCTGGAGACTTGGGAAAAGGCTGCATCTCTGGGAGGCCACAGCTTTTCCTTAGTCAAAGAGGGTCCTGGAAGGGGTAGGTAAGATCCCTTGAAGCCAGGTCCTCCAGAGCTCCAGGACCCAAGGTGGAGCTCAGGGTGTGGGAAGGCAGCCAGGGGGCAGCATCAGGCCTGGTGGGGGGCTGGGGCTGGGAGCAGGTGGGATGTAGGGAGAGGGCTGTTCCACCGTCACCTGTGAGCTGCATGAACACCCAGTGCAGCCCTGAAATACGCTCCCCCTCTCCCTGGCCACATCTGTCTTGTTTTTCTCCTGTCCCACATCCCACGCGGCAGCCTTGGCTTCTCCTTGCCTTAGTTTTTTCCCTTGTCACCCTGAGTTCTGGTTTAGGTCAGTGTTAAGATTAACCTTAGCCTGGGGATTCCCAAGGTCAGCCAGCTGCAGGCAGGGCCACCGGAGCTGGGAAGGTGAATCCCCCACCCCCATCCCTTGGCCTGGCCCCCACCCTACTCTCACCTCAGACCTCGCTGTCCCTCCAGGCCTCCCTGGCCAACCCCTTCACCCAGGAAGCTACTGGTTTCCTGAATGGCTGGTCCTCAGGTCCCTGACCCAGCTTCTCCTTGACCAGAGTGAAGGCTGGGCCCAGGGAGGGAAAGGTACTTGCCCAGGATCACACAGCATGTCACCCACAGGCCCAGGCAAGAACTGAGGAGAGAACAGCAATGGCTGGGGGTAGGTGAGGGTCCCCGTGGGCCTGGCACTCCCTAGGCATTCTCATTTAATCCCCAAAACAAACCTGTGGGGAGAGACTGTTATCACCCCCGTGTACAGAGGAGGAAACTGAGGCCCACTGAAGGGAGTCAAACTGCCCGAGGTCAAGGGCTGCTGAGGGCTGAGCTTGGGCGGGACCCCTTTTCTGTCTCACCCTGTGGCTGGGGCTCCCACAGCAGAGGCTCCACTTGGAAGAACACGCTCTGGGCTCCTGCAGGCCTTTGCCAGCTGCCCTCCCTCCTCCTAGCCGTTCAGGGGAGGGGTGGCCATCGGGCTCTGTAGCCCTGACTCGGCCTTACTCTGCTCTGAGGCCTCTTTTCTGCATCCCCGAAATGGGGTCAGAGCTGGGGAATGGTAAAGGGAGGTCACCCCACCTGAGCATATCTGGTGCCTGGCAGAGGGCAGTGCTCCATACAGGCGCCCTCCATACAAGTGTGTTCCATACAGGTGTGCTCCATACAGGTGTGCTCCGATGTGAGCTTGGGCAGGCCCCTTCCTCTCCTGATCTCGGTTTCCCCATTTGTCAGTGAGAGGCTCTGGCCTGAAAGTCAGGACACCCCTGAGCTAGCTCTGCCTCATTCTTTGGGATTTAACTGCTCTAGGCCTCAGTTATCCTACCTGTTAAATGGGACCAAGATCCTGACCATGGGCCCCACAGAATCCATGAGTGGCTCAGCTGGACAACACGTGTCCCATATTTTATAAATGGTACAGGGACAATAAGGCCACTCAATAGCGTCTCAACACAGGCACAGCTGCCTTTAGGAGTTGCAGATCTGGCCAGATCTGAGGCATTCAGGGCCTTTATTCTCAGCCTTGTTCCCTCTGGGCCCTGTTCCTGCCCCTCTGCAGGGCTCTGGGGCTTAGGACACGTCAGCCTGCTGGCCCAGCCCAGTGTGCGTGTTCACAGACCTGGTCTACCGTCCAACCCAGAGAACTCCTATGCACCCCGCAGGGCCCTGCCCTGGACCTGCCTCCCTGCATCCTCTGCCCATTCAGTCTTCTTTACCAGGTGGTCACTGCCTGTGTCCCATTCAGGGCCCAGACCTGCTCTCTCCCTTGTCCCCTGCCCCTATTAAGGCCTGGCCCAGTGCAGGGCCCAGCCATGCGGCAGAATGGAAGGAATTTTTGGGTGGTGAGCAGGGTGGCAGGGCACGTGGTATGGCAGACAGGTTCTAGGGTCTCTGAGATGATCCCTCAGGGTGCTTTTATGGGGGCCCATGTGCACCTGCCATATCCCTGTTGAGAGAAGGGGCGCTGAGGTCACTCCTGTGCCTTTGCTCACACCCATCTTCCAGCATGCCCTTCCTCCCTCTGCCCTCCAGCCCTGGTTCAAGCTCCCAGGCCTGTCTGAGGTTGCCACTGCCCCCAGGCCACCTTTGCTGACATGGGATCCCCAGTATCCCCTGCCCCTCATCGTCTTCACAGAGGGTCTCATCTGCAGCCTGAGCTCTGTACTGGGCAGGGACAAGTACTCCCAGGGGACCCCAGTGCCACAGCCCCCTTCTCCCACGGTGCATGATCAGGCACACTTCAGGTCTCACCTGGGGCTGGGCTAGGTTGATCCCGCTTTGCCTGGGACATCAGGAGCTGAGGGTCTATATAGGTCAGGCCCCAGGAGGTGTCAGAGGGTTTGTGGAAGGATGGGTGTGTGTGTGTACGGACAGATATATGGATGGACAGACTGATGGAAAAACGGATAAGTAACTGTCCAGTCTGAAGTCCTGTCCATGAAGGAGGGACCCTGGGAGGCCTCTTGGGGGCAGCTGTGCTTCCAGGTACTTTGTCACTACCCAAGACCTTAGGGTCCCAGGGCAGCAATTGAAAGGGTCCCCATTTCCCTTTCCCTCCCTGTAACTGGCCAAGCCCCCTGAAATGTCTGAGGTTTGGAAGCAGCAGGTGGGTTGTGACCTTCAGGGACCCACTTCCAGCTTCAGCCAATCCTGCCCACCCTGGGTCCCTCTGAGCTCTGAGTGTCTGGCTGTGCCCTACAGTTGGCCATAGCTCTGCACCTAGCATTTTGAACAGTTCCTGGGGATCCCTGAGAAGGGGGTAGGGCCTGCATGAACAGAAGCTTCTGGAGCAGAAGATGCCGCTTCTGTCCCTTGACTGACTGTGATCTTGAGACCCTGTCTAGCTCAGGTCTGGGCACAGGGCCTGGGCACCTCGGTGCTGGATACAGGCCCATTTCCCAGCTGGGCTGGTGGAGGCTTCATTAACCGAACCCTCCCCTACCCTATGTCCCCACCCCCACTAGCCTCCCCTCTAAAAACGATTCGGCAATTTTTTTTCTTTTTTTTTTTTTTGAGATGGAGTCTCGCTCTGTCGCCCAGGCTGGAGTGCAGTGGTGCGATCTCGGCCCACTGCAAGCTCTGCCTCCCGGGTTCACACCATTCTCCTGCCTCAGCCTCCTGAGTGGCTGGGACTATGGGCACCCGCCACCATGACCAGCTAATTTTTTATATTTTTAGTAGAGACGGGGTTTCACCGTGTTAGCCAGGATGGTCTTGATCTCCTGACCTCGTGATCGACCCACCTCGGCCTCCCAAAGTGCTGGGATTACAGGCGTGAGCCACCGCACCTGGCCGGCAATTTCTAATAAACATACGCTTATGCATATCAAGCAAACTCTACTCCTAGGTTTTTATCCAAACGGAATGAAAACTTATGTTTAAACAAAAATTTGTTTGCAAATATTTATACTGGTTTTATTCACCATTGGCAATAAGCAGAAACATCTGGTTTGACCTAACGCACGCGCGCACACACACACACACACACACACACACACACGTGGAAACAGCCCAATTGTCATTCAACTGGTGAATGGCTAAACACATGGTGATACCTTCATAAATGGAATCATACTCAGCAACAACAGGGAACAAACTATTGATCCATAAGGCAACTGGGATGAATTACAACATTGTTACACTGAACTCAGGAAGCCAGACTCAGAAGGTTACATACTTAGACTCCTAGTCAGCATTAAAAATGAACAAACTAGGTTGCAATTGAGCCACCTGGAGGAACACCCAGAAAACTATGCTGAGTGGGAGAAAGCCAGTCCCCAGAAATCACATACTGTATGATTCCATGTGCAGAACATTCTTGAAATAACAAAATTACACAAGTGGAGACCAAATTAATAGTTGCCAGGGGCTAAGGAGGGGTTTGGGACAGTGGGAAGTGAGTGTTCCTGTGAAAGGGCAACATGAGGGATGTTTGGGAGGGAAGTGTTCCCTTCTTGCTGTATCAATGTCAATCTCCTGGCTGTGATCCGTTACTGTAGCTGCAAGGTGCTACCGTTGAGGGAACTGGCCGGAGTACCTGGGATCCCTCTGTATGATTCCTCACAACTGCATGAGAAGCTGCAATTATCTCAAAATAAAAAGTTTAATTTAAAAAGCGGTCACATCCTTTACGTTTGCATTTCTGTGATATTCTGTAAAAAGCAACAGTATAGGGTCAGAAAGAGACCAGTGGTTGCCGTGGTTGGGGTACAGAAAGGGTTTGAATGTAAAAGGAACGTAAGGGCTGAGAGCAGGGGCTCACCCCTGTAATCCCAGCACTGTGGGAGGCTGAGAGCAGGGGCTCACCCCTGTAATCCCAGCACTGTGGGAGGCTGAGAGCAGGGGCTCACCCCTGTAATCCCAGCACTGTGGGAGGCTGAGAGCAGGGGCTCACCCCTGTAATCCCAGCACTGTGGGAGGCTGAGAGCAGGGGCTCACCCCTGTAATCCCAGCACTGTGGGAGGCTGAGAGCAGGGGCTCACCCCTGTAATCCCAGCACTGTGGGAGGCTGAGAGCAGGGGCTCACCCCTGTAATCCCAGCACTGTGGGAGGCTGAGAGCAGGGGCTCACCCTGTAATCCCAGCACTGTGGGAGGCTGAGAGCAGGGGCTCACCCCTGTAATCCCAGCACTGTGGGAGGCTGAGAGCAGGGGCTCACCCCTGTAATCCCAGCACTGTGGGAGGCTGAGAGCAGGGGCTCACCCCTGTAATCCCAGCACTGTGGGAGGCTGAGAGCAGGGGCTCACCCCTGTAATCCCAGCACTGTGGGAGGCTGAGGCAGGTGGGTCACTTGGGGCCAGGAATTTGAGACCAGCCTGGCCAACATGGCAAAACCCTGTCTCTACTAAAAATACAAAAATTACCCGGGTGTGGTGACACACACCTGTAATTCCAGCTACGCGAGAGGCTGAGGCAAGAGAATCGCTTGAACCCAGGTGGCGGAGGTTGCAGTGAGCCGAGATTCACCTCTGCACACCAGCCTGGGTGACAGAGTGAGACTGTGTCTCTAAAAAAGGGGTGCTTAGAGAAATTTGGGGGGGGGTGGAAATATTCTGTATTTCAATTGTGATAGTTACATGAGTCAATGATTTTTTAAAAATTATACTAGGTTTTATTAGCTACACCAAAAAGAGTAAACTTTACCATAAAGTAGAAATGTTTCAAAAGTTTAAATGTTTTAAAATGTTTATTATGTCATTACAGTTGTCAAAAACATATTTATCTTAAGTGTTTAATGTTCCCTACCATGGATATAACATAGTTTATTTTACCTCCCCCTAACATTCGACATTTAGGCTGTTTCCACTTTTCCCTCCATGAACACATTTACTTTTTTTTTTTTTTTTTTTGAGACAGTCTCTCTCTGTCGCCCAGGCTGGAGTGCAGTGGCACAATGTTGGCTCACTGCAACCTCCGCCTCCCAGGTTCAAGCGATTCTCCTACCTCAGCCTCCCACACATTAAGAATTTTTAGCTGAAGTTTTATCCCCCCAAAACAAATTTCTCGAAGTGGAATGACTTGATTAAAAGGCATGTACATTTTTATGATTTTTCATACATGTTTCTGAAATCCAGTCTCCCTCGGGCAGCCCCCGAGAATGCCCGCTACTCCCCATCAACCTCTGGTGCCCCCAATTCAGCTTCACCCTCCCATTTCACAGCAATCTGGGCCCCTGGGTGGCTTAAACCTGTGCCTCCTCCAGGTTCCTCACCTCCCCTGGACCTGGCTACCCCCACTCTCCGCCCTGGGCCTCCCTCCTCTAATCTGCTCTACACCAGCCTCTCATCAGAAGCACACAAATCTGATGATCAGTCTCCTACCCAAATCCCTCCAGAGACTCCTCCTGGATCTGAGGATAAAGGCGGGCCACAAGGACCCTGTGGTCTGTCAGCCTCTCCCTCCGTGTCCCCCAGGAGCTCCCCGCCACAGCCCTTGGTCTCCTCTCCACTGGCACTGCTGCCTTTGAGGGGCGCCCAGCACCAGCCAGTGCTGCTTGATCTGTGAGACCAGTACTGGCATCCCCCCACTGCAGAGGGGGGACCCCCTCCCCCTTTATTGCTCCAAAAATGGGCCATGATCTGTCCTCCTGACTGCACAGTCCCCCTGCGTTTGGCCCACCCTCCCTGTGTCCCCCAGCCTGGCCCCTAGTAAGCCTTTATGAGCAAGACGATGAGTGGATGGCCTTGGGGGAGACGAAGCCAAGCCCTTGCTGCCTTCTGGGGACACTTTGCAGACCACCACTTCCCTTGGGCATTTTGTTTAAAATACAGGATGTGCTGACATGATCCCAGTGTTAACTGTTCATCAAAAAAGCCCAGGGCTGTCCTTGCTCATCCCTCTCCTGTTCCCCCTTCTCCTGAATCTGTCCTCATATCAGTCAAACTGCCTGGGTCACCACAACACCCTCCATGGGGTGTCTCTAGTTCTGGATTCACACCCCTGCCCACCCATCCAACTCTGGTCTCATCGATTCCCTGCAAACAGCCTCCAGGACTCCCCAGATGAGTCTGTCCTCCAGGGATGAGTTCTCTGGGTCTGGGCCTGGCACCTGTCTAGCCTGCTCTCAGACCACCTTGGCCCCAGGACTCACTTGGTCCAGCCCTGTGGGCCGCCTGGAGCTTCTCGAGGCTCTATGCCTGGGAGTCCCCTGCCAGGTGTCCCCTGCACCTGTCACTCATCCTCTGTGGAGACCCCTCAGGCTTTCCCTGTCCCAGTCTCTGTCCTGCAAGCATCACACTGCATATGGCTGTCACCTCACACGACACCCTCATTTTGTGTGCTTGAGTTGGGGTAAGTCTGGTTCCTCTGGGACCTCAGCCCTGGCACAAAGCCTGACGCTGATGGGGACTCCTTGCCTAGAAGTCCCTGCAGGACACTGAGACCCTGGTCTCAGCCTGGCACCCACTAGTTTTAACCCTCCCCTGACAGAGGGACTGCTGGACTGCTGGTGTTGCACAGGGTCAGCTTTCCTCGTGGAAGCCCTCACCACGGCCACTGCAGGGGTAGGGCATCAGGCTGCAAGGCCCTCACCAATCAGAAACCTCACTTTGCAGAAGGGGAAACTGAGGCTGCAGAGGTGCACATGTCAGCTCCATCAGCTCAGGGGACAGGGACAGGGAAGAGCTGCAGTTGGACTAGCTAAAGCCTTATGACTTTCTCAATCACTAGAGCTGCTAAGCTGACACTATCTTTATTACCTGGTTCCTCTCAGAGTTGACATTTGGAATAAAGTACATGGCCTTCCCTTTATTTCTGTGAAATGACATCTTGATCTAGTTGTCCCAGTCCACTGCATTTGGTGCAATTGTCCAAGGTACTCATGAACTCTGCCAGCTCTGCGATATGAGCTGAGTGAGTTGGGCGGGTCGCCTCACCACTCTGGCCTCTATCTCTATTTGTACAATGGGGATCACAGCAGGACCTGACTATGAGGTCACTGAGATGGAGGTTCTGTCCCTGAAATGATTATCACCTGGGGTATAAAGTTCACCAGTGATGAACAGGCCATTGTGACCCAGAAGGTTGTAAATGAACCCAGATGCTCAGTGCTTTGGGGACCTCCCACCACACACAGAGGGCAAGGACTGGGGTCACACAAGGAGAGGGGCCGCACCATGTCCCCCCAACAGGTCCTCCCCAGGGCCTTTCCCTCAGAGGCACCAGCACCGTGTAGGCTTAGGTTTCCTAGGGGTCAGTCCTAGGAGGTGACTCTGGCTGAGGTCTAGTGACCCACAGACCCCAGGGAAGGCCCCCACAACATCAGCTGGAGCCCACCACCTGGTGCTCGGGGAGGTGGCCCCTGCCCAGTGGGGGAAAGGGTGTGGAGGCGGCACATACATAGTGGGAGGAGGAGGAGGAGGGGGAGAGGAAGGGAGAAAGGAGGAGCCTGGGTGCCCTGTGGGGACAGCGGCCACCATCCTCTGTGGACATCCTGCCCCTGCCTCCATTCCCACCCCTGCCTCCATTCCCACCCCTGCCTCCATTCCTGCCCTATCCAGAGGACTGGGGGGAGGCCAGTGAGATGCTGGCCTTGGTGCCAAATTTAACAGGGGCCAGAAATCTCACGAATCAAGATAAATAATATTTTAATATGATATTTAAAAATAAAAATTAGGCCGGGCACAGGTTAATTATGGGCTCATGCCTGTAATCCCAGCACTTTGGGAGGCCGGGGTGGGTGGATAACTTGAGGTCAGGAGTTCGAGATCAGCCTGGCCAACATGGCGAAATGCCATCTTTACAATAAAAAAATTAGCCAGCCATTGTGTGCACCTGTGAGCCCAGCTACTTGGGAGGCTGAGGTAGGAGAATCGCTTGAACCTGGGAGGCGAAGGTTACAGTGAGCTGAGTTCACGCCACTGCACTCCCGCCTCAAAAAAAAAAAATTTTTTTTTTTGAGTGAGACCCCACCTCAAAAAAAAAAAATTAATTCAAACAAGTTCATGATGGACAAAATAGTAACCCTTTAGTGAAAGCTAGTGTCTGCCCAGGCCCCTCTAGGGGTTGATGTTCCTCCTCAACCCTCTGGCTTGTCTCCTCCACAGGCCTCCACATTCCATAAAATCTCTCACCCCTTACCTGCCCCACAGGCTTTTGGGGCTGGACTGACCACTTCCCTCCCAGGCTTCCAGCTCCAGCTGGGAGGAGCCAGGTGGGGCCTGTTTATGGGGGAGCCTTGCCTCATTGTACTTCTCCCAGTACCTGTACCCGAGCTGTGCCATGTGATGCCCCCCTTCCCATAGAGCCCCAGGTCCCTTCAAGACCCCTTGGCCAGAGCCTATGGCTTCCCATTGGCGTCGGTTGGGGCGCAGCTCTTTTTGGTGTGTGAGACACTGGCCTCCACTCTAGGTCTTCCATCTCGGAGTCGAACCCAAGCTCTTCTCAAAGGCTGGTCTGACCAGGCGTGAGTCTCCAACTCCTTTGAAATATTTGGGGTGGGAAGCGGGGGCTTTCTTGGCTCCCCTACTCTGGGGCAGTGGTAGGGAAGAGCGGAGGGTCTCCTGGTGTGCCTGGGCCCCACAGCAGTGAGGTGCGGGATCTCCCAGGGCTGGCTGCTGCCTCTCAGGCCACTGTGCCCTGCTACGGCAGATGCCCCCTGAGATGCCAGCGACCAAAGGCTGGCCCTCCCTGGGTCCTCTGCGCCTGCCCTCTCATTCAACTGCTGACATGGCTGTCACCCACCCACAGCCTCCTGCTGGCTTCTCAGGCCCCTGGCCAGGCAGCTTCGTGGGGTGATGGGGAACTTACAAGTTCTCCTGTCAAACCCACCAAGTTGCTCTGCAAAATCCTTCCTGCACCCTGCAGGCCAACCAGCATGGGAGGGGGTGTGGCCGGTCCACCCTCAGTGCCCTTTCCTGTTGTGCAGGGGCCCACGATGTCATCAGCAAGGGTCTGATCCGCTCACTGATGTGGAAGCTGTAGAGGGAGGAGCGTTCCGGGAGCTCGTCCTGGACCCGCTGTCTCCTGCCTGCAGGAGGATGCAGGAGAGGGTCTGGCACCTCCACCCCATGAGGAAGGCGAGAACAGGAGAAGCACTGGTGACGATCCTGACACCCAGTGGTCACTGAGTGTGTCCTGTGTGCCAGGCATTGTCTCCAAACCTCACATTTAGACAACCCTCCAGGGAGGCGATGTCTGCCTTCACAGGTGAGGAAACGGAGGCACAGTGTCTTGTGTCTCAGTCCAGGTCACATAGGATCACAGTCTACATCCTGGCCTCAAAACTGGGGGAGCACAAAGACTCAGAGCTTGCAGTGGTTGGGGAGTGTTCCCACACTGGGACCCTCATTGTGAGGATGGGCCAGTCACCGACCCCCAGAGTCCCTGCCTTGGCCGTGGCCATGTCCTCTTGCTGGCGGGGGCGGGGGGGGGCCTCTTGCCTTCCCTAAGTCCAGGTTTCTCTTTCTTCTGAGAGTCTCATTAGAGGCCCGGGTATTTCTCCAAGTGTGGCCCCTGAACCAGACCCTGGGTGGTCTGTGGAAATGCATGTTCCCAGGCCCCATCCCCGCCCCATCATTCTTAGGTTTGCACAGAGGTCCCTTTCCATGGGATCAGGAGAGTGGCTTTCCAGGAGAGAACTTTCTCTCTGAAAATGCAGCCTCCCCAGCCTCCCTGCATCCTCCTATGTCCACTGTGACCACCATCCTTGCCATCACTTTCTGTGTCATCCCCAAGGGGAGCTCCTGAGGACAAGGCTTTGCTCTGTTTGCTGCTCCAGACCCAAAGGTCACAGCAGGGGAGCTTTGGCCCCAAGTTGAGAATTACCTGGCCCAAAAGACTGCTGAGGTGGGGAAACCCAGCTCTTGCCTCAGCATCTCGCTGCATGAATGAATCAGGGAATCCCTGCAGCAGTGGGACAGGGTGGCACCTCCCTTTGAGACTCTGCAGGCACCAGGGTCAAAAGAGGGCTAGGGTGAGAGGGGGTGAGAAGAGGCCCCCCCAGGCTGTTAGAAATTCCGTGTTGGTGGCCTGCCGAGAAGTAGGTGGCCCTGGACGCACAAGCCATCAGCCTGCTCCTGAAGCTGCTACACTCATGCATGGGCAGGGTGTGCCTGAAGGCCACCAAGGCCCTCACCATGCTGCCAGAGGCCCCTGAGGGCTGCAAGGTCCTGCAGGCCCATATGCACACCTTCCGTGTCCTGGAGGAGGACTCTGACAGCAAGGCTTATGAGGGCGAGGCCTTATAGAAGGTGACCCAGATCGCCATCGATGTCATTGAGTGGAAACCCTGAGCCCCTCATTGGGTCAGACCTGATCAGCCACCTCTGCACCTGAATAAATGCACTCAGTCTCTTTATTTCAAGTGGGAATGGCACTTTCTGCTCGTGGAGCACAGTCACGTCTCTTCTCACTCTCTTGCCAAAGGAGAAATGCCAGGCCCAGAAGCACTGGGTCCTGGATGGTACAGGCCAAACCTAGTGCTGGCGGTGGGTGGGAAGCAGCCTTGGACTTTTTCTCTCTGCTGGGACCAAGAGTTTTCCTCAGAATGTAGAGAGGATTGAGACCTCCAGGGGCAAAGCTGGGGACCCTGCAGCACGCGCTGGCCTGCCCTTTGGGTCAGCACCCTGGTCAGCTCCACAGAAGGGCTTCACCCTGGATGAAGAGATAATCCCTTTTTAGTGAGAGCAGGCTCCCAGCTTTGTGCACTATGACATCATCCCACTAAGCAGCCTCCACGCCAGCATCCCTGGGCTCCCGCCTCTGCAGTCCAGGCTGAGGAGAAATTACAGATGCGGAAACTCATCAGCCAGGGACAGAGGTGCCTCTGTTACAAGGGGAGGGCCAGGAACACAGCCTATGTTGGGACCTAGAAGTCCTGAGCCCCACACCCTTGCCTCCATTCTCCAAGGCCCATTTACCGTTATCAGCTTCTGGGATTTAAGAAACTGCTGTCGGGAGAGGTATGGGAGCCAGCCTGGAAGAGGCAACTGGTCATTCAACTGTAGCCCAGAGGCACAAACTGACACCCCAGACAGCTGAGTTTGGACAAGGGCAGAGGGACAGCCAGTGGCTATAAGCCCACACTATGGAGGGAGGCTGCTGTGTTGAGACCCCCAGCTCTACACTGACTGTTTATCTGTGGAGTCTGGGGCAAGTTGATTAACTGCTCAGTGCCTCAGTTTCACTAGCTCTAAAGTGGGGCGAGTAATTGTGCCTATCATAAATGGGTATGATTTTGGCAGTGCCGGGGGCATCATACTGAAAATAAGTGCCTTGTACATTGTGGGTACCCAGGAAGCCAGTTTACAGCCCCTCAGAGGAGACCCATCAGCAGGCATCTGAGGGAGCCTGGAGCCCTGCATCCTGCAGGTGCCTGGGGTCTTGTGCCCAGGAGAAGCTGCTCCCTCACTCCACAGCAGTCTACAGAGCACCCCCTGACCAGGGGTACACCTGTTTGTGCAGGTGTCAGCAGGGAGCCCTGGGCCTCTCTGGGCTCTGACTTTCCCTGGCAGGACTGTAGAGGGCCCAGAACCCTGCCTTCTCCCAGCCAGGCCCTTCCCTCCCTTCCCCAAACTCACGGCCTCCTCACCGCTCTCTGCCTCAGATTCAGGACTAATCTCACTATGTCCTTCATCCCTGTTTGCATCAGGGGCTGCAAGAAGCTCAGCTCACCTCTCCCTCAAGGCCATGAATACTCCTTTTCTGACCCCATCTGCTGCAACCTTTTCTCCAAGCCCTCTGGAGGCCCTCCCTGGAACATTCTTTCCTTTCTTGCTTGGACTGAAACCTAGCTCTCCCAAGACCTGCTTCCCCTCCCTGGGCATCCTCCTATGTGGGGCTGCTTTCCTCCCTCCCTGCCCCTCATGCCTTCACTGGAGTGGGACAGGTCCTTACGAACCATCTCCTATGCCCGTTCTGAGGAGCCCTCTGGTTCTGAATCCCTGCACAAGCTCTGTTGCCCTGGCCGTCTCTCCTCCCCAGCACCACACCACCAGATTGCTCTTGTAGGGCACGACGTGGTCTCCATGTGGCTGAGCCCAACCGCCAGTCCTCAGGCCTCATGTTTCTTTGGTCATGAGGATTTCCTCACCTCACCACCTCCCCGTCCCTGAAACACTTCCAGGAAATGAGGCCACTTCTCTGCAATTTTGGTTGTTCAGTAATGTGCTATTGTGCTCTTTAAGAAACTGATACACATCTTGGTGTGTTTAAGCCTTTAGGGAAGTGGGAGGATACTGGGGGCTGCTGTGTGAGCACCTCTATGCCATACCAAGTAAGACCAGTGAGGGAAACTGGACCGCTAAGCTGCAGGGCTACCTCCCCCTCCAGGATGCTTTTCACATCTTCCAAGATCCCCTCACTGGAGATCTTCCATGGCCTGGACTCATCTTAGGCCTCCCTGTTCTGTCCATGTGCTACTGGGGTGCCTGCCGATCAGATAATTGGTGATGCTGTCACTGAACTGACTGCCCGCGGGGACTCGTGGTCTTTGGCATTCCAGGCTCCACCACAGTCTCTGCATCCACAGGCAACTGTGGTCCTGGCTGCTCTCTGCTGTTAGGTTTCCCTTCCATTTTTACTTATTGCCTAAAGAACTTCATACAAAACTCTACTTAAAAGCAGTTTATTCCACAGTCCCACATAGAACACATCAACTATTTTAATTTTTTTCTTCTTTCCTATCACTGTCTAAAAGCACTCTTTTTTTTTTTTACATAGTAAGACCCAGTGTGGTTGACTGTATCTAATTTTTAACCTATTATTAGATGGGCAAAATTTTTTTTTTTTTTTTTGAGACAGAGTCTGCTCTGGGTGATTCTCTTTGATTCTCTCTGTTCTCATTCCATCACATGCTCTATGGACGCATAACCCTTCAATTGCACTCATATAACCTGTCAGTAACTTTTCACTCCCTGAGCCAAGAGCTTCTCCTTCCAAGCTTCAGCAAGACCAATTTCTGACCCATGGAGCAATGGGTAACACCAGCCTCACCGAACTCACATGCCCAGTTGTGGAAGCAAATTTCATTTTATGGTAATTCTATTTTGCCAGTACAGGCGGTGTAGCACGTTAGTTTATAGGTTAACCTTTGGCGTTAAAGAGATCCAGCTCTTGGCGTGTCTCCTGAGTAATTTACTTAACTGAGACCCACATTCCCCATCTGTATAATGACTAAAACAAAACTAATTCTGTCTCAAAGTGATTGTGACACTTCAAGGAGACAACATACAGAAGTGCCCACATACCCAATTTATGGCTGTTCTTATTTTCATTCATTTTTTTTTTTTTTTTGAGATGGAATCTCGTTCTATCACCCAGGTTGGAGTGCAGTGGGCATGATCTCGGCTCACTGCAAACTCCGCCTCCCAGGTTCACGCCATTCTCCTGCCTCAGCCTCCCAAGTAGCTGGGACTACAAGCGCCCACCACCACACCCAGCTAATGTTTTGTATTTTTAGTAGAGACGGGGTTTCACTGTGTGAGCCAGGATGGTCTCGATTTCCTGACCTCGTAATCCGCCCACCTTGCACCTGCTTATTAACTACAGCCATATGTAGCAGAATGACATTTTGGTCAATGACAGAACACATGTATGACAGTGGTCCCATAAGATTATAACAAAGCTGAAAATTTCCTTTTCCCCAGTAAAGTCGTACCTGTTAGAAGGTCGGCGCAGTGCATTACTTACGTGTCTGTGGTGAGGCGGGTGTAAACAAACCTACTGCGCTGCGTCATTACAGTAAAACAACACTTCTTTTTGGAGAACATTTTAAGTAATATGTTATACAAATGACAGACTAACCACAGTGATGGAATTTTTAGAAAGAGATAAAACTAAGAGTCCGTGAGGATTTGGAGAAACGGCTACTCACATATGCTGTTAGAGGAGCATGAATTGGTGTCATCATTTTGGAAAAAGTTTGGCATTATTTATAACAATGAAAGATATGCCCCCTTCTAACAGTCTACTCCACAAAAGTGAGTGCTGGTGTTATTCCAAAACCACTGACAAAAATACTCAAAGCACCATTACTTGAGATAGCCACAATTACATTAAAAATAACCCTGGCCAGGCATGGTGATACATGCCTATAATCCAAGCACTTTGGGAGGCTGAGGCGGGCAGATCGCCTGAGCTGAGGAGTTCCTGACTAGCCTGGCCAACATGGTGAAACCCTGTCTCCACCAAAAATACAAAAAATTAGCCAGGCATGGTGGTGGACACCTGTAGTCCCCACTACTCGGGAGGCTGAGGCACGAGAATGGCGTGAACCCGGGAGGCGGAGCTTGCAGTGAGCCGAGATCGCACCACTGCACTCCAGCCTGGGTGACAGAGCGAGACTCCATCTCAAAAAAAAAAAAAAAGAAAAAAAAAAGTCTAGAACTTAAGTGATGAATAGCAACTTAGAGAACAAAACCAAAGCCAAATTTTTGAAGACAGGAAATAGTGTGATACTATCTTTTGTGGGAAGGAACTTTTGGCTTCCCAAAAAATTAGAGAACTGGGAGAAAGAAGCCACATCTCAGAATCTGTGATTGGGTTGGGCAGTGGAGGCTGGAAAAGTGCTCAAGGTCAAACTTTTCTCCTCCCCTCAAAGGAGACTGGAGTTTTACCAGTGACCCCAGAGTGAATATTCACTCCACCATCCACTCCGGGAGATCCCTTTAAACCAGGAGTGCACAGTGAGGACAGAAACATGAATGTGCACTAACAAGTCCTGAAAGTTCAGAGGGTGATTCTCGATTTCCCCTTGGCACACAGCACAAGGACTGTTTCTCTAGGTTCCAGGAAATGCCTGTGAGAGAGTTGTGTCCCCCAGATTCCCTTCATCACAGATGACACCCAGTGCTTAGGCCTATACCCCTTGTGCCCACTCCCAAGGAGTGTTGACTAATCCAAACCAAAGGCTATGATGTTCCACAGGGCACAAAAGAGCAGGTGCACTGCAAAGATAATCTCTCATGAACGCAGCACCCTCATAGCCCATAGAGACAGTTCTTACCATGATGCCAAGAAACTCTGAAAACAACAAGCCAGACCTCACACATATTTCCATTTTCTTTCTGATTTCATACCCCCTCCTTCAGCCCCTCCTCACAAGCAACAGGGATAACCTGGAGGCTCCTGGGAACCTTTTCCCATTGGGTTTTTGCTGGCACGTAGTTCCCTACCTGGATGAATCTCTTCATCACTTAGACTCTCCAGCGTCAAGTCTTTAGAAACAAAAACACCAGAATAAGTCATTAGAGAGAGTGACTCACCCACTCCTCCTACTTTACTTTAGCTGAAGCTGAGTGATGAGCTAGTCTCCCACTCCATGCTGCTTCATACATGATCCCCTAATCTTTCTTCTGGGTCGACAAACCTTCCTACAGCTTCTCAGGCCAGAGTTCTATACTGGCAGAATCACTTTCACGAGAACCCCAAGCCTCTTTCCCAGCAGGACCCCAGAATCAGGTTTCTATACACTGAAGCTAGCAAGTTTTTTCCCTCAGGAAGTGAGTTATCTCATGGTACATACCACTTTCTATCCGAGCTGTTATCTGCAATTATATAAAAGAAAACATTATGAAAATCAGATTCTGCTGTGCGCTTCACACAGATCTGTTATTCTCTGGACAACGATAAAAAACCAGAAGGCAGTATAGTGATTGAGCCATAGGTCAAAGTCCCCCAAAGACTAGCACAGAGGATAGCTATAGAAAAACAAGACCTCTATTTGTAGAATTTACCTTTAATTTTATATGCAAATGCACAATGCTTAATTCAAGGTGGAAAACTGTTGTTGTGGAAAATGCCTCAGTATTCCAGTTGATAATGGATGCTGTCATTTAAAAGCACCCTAGTGGACCACATATAAGTTGGGAAGACACTCCTATGGAATTCCAGCCCCACAAAGAGAATAGTGTACAGTGTACATAATGTGCATTGCCAGATTTTCATATCAAAATTAATTGAGAAATAAAGGAATCAGGAAAGCAACATTGCTGTAGAAGACAAAAAAAGGGAGGTCTTACGTGGATGTCATCATCATCTTCTTCTTCTTCATCTTTGTGTCTCAGTGAGCATCTTAAAAACAGGCTATCTTCAGAACAAGCTGGAAGGACACAGAGGAAAGATCAGTGCACCGGTGGTTGGTGACTCTGAGTCACTCGGGGAGCTTTGCTGGATGTGGTGTATGGAGGTGGTTGATTAACAAGCATGGACTGAGTTGATGCTGGGCTATTCCCCTGAGTGGAAGAGGGATGGCAAAGAAGGGAAGCATGAAAGACATGAGACATGGAGGCCTTGGCCTTGTACTAGAGGCATCAGGAAGCAACACAAAACAATCACCCCCAAATGTAAGTAAAATGCACACTAAGGGTCAGTGGAAGAGTGCCTTCCTCCCTCTCAAATGTTTTGAAACTCTTCAAAACCAACAGGATTTTCTTAACGTATTCAAGACTGTGTCAGTACACTAGGATCTAATTATGCTGATACTACATTTAGCATCTCTTTTAAAGGATTTATTACTTATTTAAAATCATATTTTATTTTGAAATGGACTCAATTTTACCCAAATTATTCTATTAATGACACTTTCTTTTTCATAGAGATCATTTTAAAAATTCAATATTAAAATGCTACAATTAAAAATAGTCATGATTTCCTCTTTGTAAGTCTTCTTCTGGAACAACTTCTACACACACTTTTGGACAGCAGCTCCTGTGTCACTCTCCCTGAGGAGATTCCCTAAAAATCAGGCTTCATTCAAACAGGCCAAGCCCACAGAGCCTGCTCTAACTATACCAGTGAAGCTGAGAGACGTGACTCTGAACACTTTCTGCCATGAGGATAAGTTTCCAGGTTCAAATATACATTATCTACTGAACTGGGGAAATGTATACCAATACAAATGAACAAATTCATGAAAAAAAGTCCATGAGTATGGGGGTGATTTTTGGTTAGCTATCTTATATAAAAATTATTTTTTTGGTTGAGCACTCTGGCTCAGACCTGTAATCCCAGCAGTTTGGGAGGCTGAGGTGGGTGGATGACCTGAGGTCAGCAGTTCATGACCAGCCTGGCCAACATGGTAAAACCCCGTCTCTACTAAAAATACAAAAAAATTAGCCAGGCATGGCGGTGAGTGCCTGTAATTCCAGCTACTCAGGAGGCTGAGGCAGGAGAATCACTTGAATCTTGGAGGCAGAGGTTGCAGTGAGCCGCGATCACGCCATTGCACTCCAGCCTGGGCAAGAACAGTGAAACTCCATCTCAAAATATACATATATATTTATTTGATACCTATTCATTCAGACATATAAAATATTGGTATAAGAAACCAAAAATTTTTATCAGTCATGTTAAATCTAATTATCAGCTGTCAACATGAAGATCCTCGGAAGTAAAGAAGGTACAAATAAGTGGAAAGGCATCCTGTATTCATGGATAGGAAGACTAAACCTGACTAACACACAATACTACACAGATGATCTACAGACTCACAAGAACTGCTATCAAACTGGCAACAGCCATCTGTGCAGAAATGGAAAACATAATCCTACAACTTTAATGAATTTTATATGTCTCAAGTAACCATGATGATGTTAAAACAATAGTGTTAGAGGTTGCACATTCATGAGATTGAAATCCACACACACACACAAATACAGAAATTCAGACAGCATGGTTCTAGCATGGGGGCACTCATAAGTTTCACAGATATAGAGAGCCAAGAATTGAATGCACACATACACTGTAAACTGATCTTCAACAAAAGTGTCAAAAATACACAATGGGGAAAGGACAGCCTCTTCCACAAATGATGGTAAAACTGCATATTCTCATTCAAATAAAGAAATAGAATGTTGACAGTGTGCTCAAGGTTGTGCTTCTCCCTCCATTTCCAAGACACTGAAGCTTGTGCAGTGAGCCCAGAGTGTATTTTCATTCTGTCCTCCATGCCCAGGAAGAGCTCTTGATACCAGAGGTAAGCAAGAAAAACAGACAAATGAATGTGCTGCCATGAAACCTAACAGTTCATAAGGTGAGAATTAATCTCTCCTATGCATCTGGGCACACCACAGAAGAATTTTGTCTCCAGAATTAAGTAACTGCCTGTGACAGAACTCTGTCCTAAACCAAAGGCTTTGAGATTTTGCAGTGGCACAGGCAGAAAAGAGCAGGTGTTCTAGAAAGATCATCTGTAAATAATAAAGTAAGAAGAGGTGATCGAAAACACAGGATACTCAAAAGCCCATAAACATAGTACTTCTCACCATGATGACATTAAACTCTAAAAAGAACAAACTTGACCTATATTTACTTTTTCTTTATCTATTTCTGCACCTTCCCTAACCCTGCCAAGCAGCAGGTATAACATGAAGGCTCCTGGAAATGCTGTATTATTAGACCCCACTTGAAATCTTTTTACCTACCTGGAAAGGCATACTCTTCCCTGCTGAGATTCTCCAGAATCCAATCTTTAGAACCACCAACATCAGGATAAGTCAGTGAGAGGTGCACTCACTTCTACTCCAGGTGAAGACACACTGGCTCACACAAAATCTCCTGGTTGGTCCTCTGGGTTCACACACATTTCTACAGCCCCTCTTCTCATAGCTATACACTTGCAGAATCATTTGCTCTCACCACACCCCCAATATTTTTTAACAGGAACCCAGATTAAGGTTTCCATATATTAAAGCCAGCAAGTTTGTTTCTCAGAAAGTGAGTTAGTTCAAGGTACATACCCTGGACAGGTGACGGTAAAATCTGCAATGAGATAAAAGAAGATGCTGTAAGGATCAGATCAATTCTGCCACACCCCTTACACAGATCTGTTAGTCTCTTGATGACTTCACAAAACTATTTGTAAGACAGTGGTAAGTCAAGGTCAAAGACCAAACATTCTAGCATAGAGGACATGTGTGGAAAAGACAAGAGCTTTTCCCACAGAATTTATCTTTGAAGTTGATTTAGATTGGTAAATGCACAATGTCTAATCCAAGGAGAAAAACTGGTGTGGAGGAAATGCCTCTGCATTACAGTTGATGATGGATGCTGTCATTTAAAAACATCCTAGTGTGTCATGCATTAGATGAAAAGAAACTCCCACTGAACTCCATCCTCACAAAGAGAATTGTGTATGTTGTACATAATGTGACTTGTCATATTTTTATATCAAAATTAATTGAGAAGGGAAGAAATCAGGTGAAGGAAATAATGTATACAGTGGTCCATGTTTAATACAAAGTGCCTTGAACCGGTCTAGGTCAGCAAAAAAACCAGAATAGGATATGCTAGGCTCCTGCTTGGATTGGCAATGCCTGCTTGTTGGGCCCCCTCTCCTGGGAAATCTCACTTTTACTGTTTTTCAGCTGCCTGAGTCCATTCTTTGGGATTGGATTGGTGAGTTTGTTTCTCACATCAGAAAACCAACATTTCCTTAGAAGACAAAGAAAGGTTGTCTTACCTGGGCATCATCATCATCATCATCACAGTCATCATCTTCACTTCGTGGTAGGCATACTAAACTCAGGTTGTCCTCAGAAGAACCTGGAAGCACACAGAGGAAAGATCCGTGCCCTGGTTGTTTGTGACTGTGAGTCACTCAGGGAGCTTTGCTGGATGTGGTATATGGAGGTGGTTGATTAACAAACATGGACTGGTTAATGCTGGAAGAGGGATGGCAGAGGAGGGGAGCAGGCATGAGGCATGGAGGCCTTGGCCTTGTACTAGAGGCATCACGCAGCAACACAAAACAGTCAACCCCAAATGGAACTAAAGCACACACTAAGGGTCAATGGAAGAGTGCCTTCCTCCCTCTCAAATGTTTTGAAACTCTTCTAAACAAACAGTATTTTCTTAATGTATTCAAGACTGTGTAAGTACACTGGACATAATTATGCTGGTACAACATCTAGCATCTGTTTTAAAGGATTAATTACTTAATTTATTGGTGAAATGGATTCAATTTTACCCAAATTACTCTATTCTATTGATCACACATTCTTTTTTTTTTTTTTTTTTGAGACAGAGTCTCACTCTGTCCCCCAGGTTGGAGTGCAGTGGTGTGATCTCAGCTCACTGCAAGCTCCACCTCCCAGGTTTGCACCATTCTCCTACCTCAGCTTCCCGAGTAGCTGGGACTACAGGCACCCACCACCACGTCTGGCTAATTTTTTTGTATTTTTAGTGGAGTTGGAGTTTCACCGTGTTAGCCAGGATGGTCTCCATCTCCTGATCTCATGATCCACCCACCTCGGCCTCCCAAAGTGCTGGGATTACAGGGGTGAGCCACCGCACCCAGCTGATCACAATTTTTTTTTTCATAGAGATCATTTAAAAAATTAAATATTAAAATACTAAAATTAAAAATAGTCATGATTTCCTCTTTGTAAGTCTTCTTCTGGAACCATGGTGTGTGAACACAAACTTTTGGGTCCCTGTGATCAAGGGCTTCAGCAGCTCTGTGTCAATCTCCCTGAGGAGATTCCCTAAAGATCAGGCTTCATTGAAACAGGCCAAGCTCACAGAGCCTGCTCTACCTGTACCAGTGAAGCTGAGAGAGGTGACTCTGAACACTTTCTGCCATGAGGATAAGTTTCCAGGTTCAAATATACATGATCTACTGAAATGAGGAAATGTATATCAATAGAAATGAACAAATTCATGAAAAAATGTCCATGAGTACGGGGGTGATTTTTGGTTAACTAGCTTATGTAATTTTTTTACCTTGATGCCTATTCATTCAGACATACAAAATATTGGTATAAGATATCACAAATTTGTCCAGGCGCGGTGGCTCATGCCTGTAATCCCAGCACTTTGGGAGGCCGAGGTGGGGGGATCACGAGGTCAAGAGATCGAGACCATCCTGGCCAACATGGTAAAACCACGTCTCTACTAAATCTTCAAAAATTAGCTGGACGTGGTGGCATGCATCTGTAGTCCCAGCTACTAGGGAGGATAAGGCAGGAGAATCAGTTCAACCTGGAAGGCAGAGGTGGCAGTGAGGAGAGATCACATCACTGCACCCCAGTATGGTGACAAGAGTGAGACTCCGTCTCAAAAAAAAAAAAAAAAAAGAAAAAGAAATCACAAATTTATATTAGTCATGTTAAATCTAACTAATCAGCTGTCAACATAAAGTTTCTAAAAGTAAAAAACATACAAATAAGTTGAAAGGCTTCCCATATTCATGGATAGGAAGACTCAGCATGACTAACACACAATACTACACACATGATCTACAGACTCACAAGAACTGCTATCAAACCGGTAACAGCCACCTGCGGAGAAATGGAAAAGTTAATCTAAGACTTTAAGGAATCTCTATGTGCCTCAAATAACCATGGTAATGTTGAAAAAGAACAGTGTTGGAGGATGCACATTCATGAGATTGAAATCTACAAAAAACAGAGAAATGCAAACAGCATGCTTCCAGCATGGAGGTATCACAGATATAGAATACAGAGCCCAGAATTAAATGCACACATACAGAGTCAGCTGATCTTCAACAAAGTTGTCAAGAATACACAATGGGGAAAGGAAAGCCTCTTCCACAAATGATGGTAAAACTGCATATTCTCATTCACATGAAAAAACAGAATGCTGATAGATGCTGAAGGTTGTGCTTCTCCCTCCATTTCCAAGACACTGGAGCTATTGCAGTGAGCCCAGAGTGAATTTTCATTCTGTCCTCCACACTCAGGGAGATGTCTTGATACCAGAGGTAAACAGCAAGCACAGACAAATGAATGTGCTGCCATGAAACCTAACAGTTCATAAGGTGAGGATCCATTTCTCCTATGCATCTGGGCACACCACAGAATTCTGTCTCCAGGAGTGAGTAACTGCTTGTGACAGAACTGTGTCCCACACCAAAGACTCTGAGATTTTGCAGTGCCAGAGGCAGAAAAGAGCAGGTGTTCTCAGAAAAATAAACTTTAAATAATAAAGCAAGAAGAGGTGAACAAAAACATAGGATACTCAAAAGCCCATAAACATAGTACTTCTCATCATGATGACATTAAACTCTGAAAAGAACTCGGCTTATATTTACTTTTTCTTTTTCTCTTTTTACACCCTCCCTCACCTCCCAAGCAGCAGATATAACATGAAGGTTCCTGGAAATGCTGTTTTATTAGATCCCACCTCAAGTCTTGTTGCCCACCTGGAAAGGTAACCTCTTCCCTGCTGAGATTCTCCAGAATCCACTCTTTATAACCACCAACATCAGGATAGGTCAGTGAGCGGTGCACTCACTTCTCCAACTCCAGGTGAAGACACACTGGCTCACACAAAATCTCCTGCTTGGTCCTCTGGTTCACACACATTTCTACAGCCCCTCTGCTCATAGTTATACACTTGCAGAATCATTTGCTCTCACCACACCCCCAATATTTTTAACAGGAACCCAGATTAAGGTTCCTATATATTAAAGCCAGCAAGTTTGTTTCTCAGAAAGTGAGTTAGTTCAAGGTACATACCCTGGACACGTGACGGTAAAATCTGCAACGAGACAAAAGAAGATGCTATGAGGATCAGATCAATTCTGCTGCACCCCTTACACAGATCTGTTATTCTCTTGATGACTTCAGAAAACTAGTTGTGAAACTGTTGTTGAGTCAAGGTCAAAGGCCAAACATTCTAGCATAGAGAACACCTGTGGAAAAGACAAGAGTTTTCCCACAGAATTTATCTTTAAGGTATTGGTATTGGTATCTTTAAGGCTATTGACTTAGATTGGTAAATGCACAATGCCTAATCCAAAGAGAAAAACTGGTGTGGAGGAAAATGCCTCTGCATTACAGTAGATGATGGACACCATCATTTAAAAACATCCTAGTGTGTCATGTATTCGATGAAAAGAAACTCCCGCTGAACTCCATCCTCACAGAGAGAACTGTGTATGTTGTATATAATGCGCCTTGTCATATTTTTATACCAAGATTAATTGAGAAGGAAAGAAATCAGGTGAAGGAAATAATGTATACAGTGGTCCATTTTTAACACAATCTGCCTTGAACTGGTTTAGGTGAGCAAAACACAGAAGAAATAGGATATGCTGGGCTCCTGCTTGGATGGGCAATGCCTGCTTGTTGGGCCCCCTCTCCTCCCCACTTAATTGCCCTCACTTCAACCAAAGAAGTTTAGTCTAAGTTGAAAGTTTACTAGCCTGCAAAATAGCTCGCTTTGTCTGTTCTTATCAGCCTGCCCAGCTACTTAGGTCATAGGTCAAATACTTGAAGAGCCCCTGAGCTCACTAGGATGGTAATGCATTGTGGGCTGCAACAAAATGCAGTAAGACAACCATAAAAAAAAAAATACCTAAAGCCCCTCCCCAACAATCAATATGTGACACCCACGAAGATTGTGACCTCATAGTACTCAGCCTATGAGGAACCAGGGTAGGGACCTGCACACTAGGGGATAAATTGCTTGTTGAAACTGTGCTGGGTGTGTCTGCCCATAAGGTACCGGATCTTGCAAGATCTTGCAAGACTGTCATTAAAAGTCTCACTTTCGGCCAGGTGGGGTGGCTCATGCCTGTAATACCAGCACTTTCGGAAGCCGAGGTGGGTGGATTACCTGCGGTCAGGAGTTCGAGACCAGCCTGGCCAAAATGGTAAAACACCGTCTCTACTAAGAATACAAAAATTATCTGGGCATGAAGACACATGCCTGTAATCCCAGCTACCTGGGAGGCTGAGGCAGGAGAATTCATTGAGCCCAGGAGATGGAGCCGAGATTGCACCACTGCACTCCAGCCTGGTGAACTGAGTGAGACTCTGTCTCAAACAAAAACAAAAACAAAACAAAACAAAAAAAGAAAAGAAAAGAAAAAAGAAACAAAGAAAGGAAAGAAAATCTCACTTTTGTTGTTTATAGCTCCCTGAGTCCATTCTTTGGGATTGGACTGGTGAGTTTGTTTCTCACATCAGAAAACCAACATTTCCTTAGAAGACAAAGAAAGATTGTCTTACCTGGGCATCATCATCATCATCATCATCACAGTCATCATCTTCACTTCGTGGTAGGCATACTAAACTCAGGTTGTCCTCAGAAGAACCTGGAAGGACACAGAGGAAAGATCCGTGCCCTGGTTGATTGTGACTGTGAGTCACTCAGGGAGCTTTGCTGGATGTGGTGTATGGAGGTGGTTGATTAACAAGCATGGACTGAGTTAATGCTGGGCTATTCCCCTGAGTGGAAGAGGGATGGCAGAGGAGGGGAGCAGGAAAGACATGAGACATGGAGGCCTTGGCCTTGTACTAGAGGCATCATGCAGCAACACAAAACAGTCAACCCCAAATGGAACTAAAGCATACACTAAGGGTCAATGGAAGAGTGCCTTCCTACCTCTCAAATGTTTTGAAACTCTTCAAAACCAACAGTATTTTCTTAATGTATTCAAGATCGTGTCAGTACACTAGGATCCAATTATGCTGGTACTACATTTAGCATCTGTTTTAAAAGATCTATTACTTAATTAAAAGTCTATTTTATTGGTGAAATGGACTCAATTTTACCCAAATTACTCTATTAATCACACATTCTTTTTCATAGAGACCATTTAAAAAAGAATATGAAAATGCTACAATTAAAAATAGTCATGATTTCCTCTTTGTAAGTCTTCTTCTGGAATAATGGTGTGTGCCCACAACCTTTTGGGCCCCTGTAATCAAGGGCTTCATCAGCTCTGTGTCACTCTCCCTCAGGAGATTCCGTAAAGATCAGGTTTCATTCAAACAGGCCAAGCTCACACAGCCTGCTCTAACTACACCAGTGAATCTGAGAGACGTGACTCTGAACACTTTCTGCCATGAGGATAAGTTTCCAGGTTCAAATATACATGATCTATGGAAATGAGGAAATGTATACCAATACAAATGAACAAATTCATTAAAAAATGTCCATGAGGAAAAGCGTGATTTTTTGGTTAACTAGCTTACATAAATTTTTTTTGTTTGATGCCTATTGTACCAAAAAATATTGGTACAAGATATCACAAATTTGGCTGGGCATGGTGGCTCATGCCTATAATCCCAGCACTTTTTGGGAGGCTGAGGCGGGCAGATCACGACATCAAAAGATTGAGACCATCCCGGCCAACATGGTAAAACCACATCTCTACTAAAAATACAAAAATTATCTAGGCATGGTGGCACATGACTGTAGTCCCAGCTACTCAGGAGGATAAGGCAGAAAAATCACTTGCACCCAGGAGGCAGAGGTAGAAGTGAGCAGAGATCACATCACTGCACCCCAGTATGGTGACAGAGTGAGACTCCATCTCAAAAAACAAAAAAGAAAAGAAAAAAATAGAAATCACAAATTTATATCAGTCTTGTTAAATCTAACTAATCAGCTGTCAACATAAAGATTCTAGAAAGTAAAGAACATACAAATAAGTAGAAAGGCATCCCATATTCATGGATAGGAAGACTGAGCCTGACTAACACACAATACTACACAAATAATCTACAGATTAACAACTGCTATCAAACTGGTAACAGCCATGTGTGCAGAAATGGAAAAGATAATCCTCAGACTTTAATGAATTTTCATTTGCCTCAAATAAACTTGGTAATGTTGGAAAAGAATAGTGTTGGTGGATGCACATTCATGAGATTGAAATCTACAAAAAACAGAAATTCAGACAGCATGCTTCTAGCTTGGGGGCACCCATAAGTATCACAGATGTAGAATAGAGAGCCCAGAATTAAATGCACACATACAGAGTCAGCTGATCTTCAATGAAGGTACCAAGAATACACAATGAGGAAAGGAAAGTCTCTTCCACAAATGATGGTAAAACTGCATATTCTCAACAGAATGCTGACAGTGTGCTCAAGGTTGTGCTTCTCTCTCAACAGAATGCTGACAGTGTGCTCAAGGTTGTGCTTCTCCCTCCATTTCCAAGACACTGGACCTTTTGCAGTGAGCCCAGAGTGAATTTTCATTCTGTCCTCCACACTCAGGGAGATGTCTTGATACCAGAGGTAAACAGCAAGCACAGACAAATGAATGTGCTGCCATGAAACCTAACAGTTCATAAGGTGAGGATCCATTTCTCCTATGCATCTGGCACACCGCAGAAGAATTCTGTCTCCAGGAGTGAGTAACTGCTTGTGACAGAACTGTGTCCCAAACCACAGGCTCTGAGATTTTGCAGTGGCACAGGCAGAAAAGAGCAGGTGTTCTCAGAAAAATCATCTTTAAATAATAAAGCAAGAAGAAATGATCAAAAACACAGGATACTCAATAGCCCATAAACATAATACTTCTCACCTGATGACATTAAACTCTGAAAATAACAAACTCAGCTTCTATTTACTTTTTCTTTTTCTGTTTCTACACCCTCCCTCAGCCTCCCAAGCAGCAGGTATAACATGAAGGTTCTTGTAAATGCTGTTTTATTAGACCCCATCTGAAGTATTGTTACCTACCTGAAAAAGCATAGTCTTCCCCACTAAAGTTCTCCAGAATCCACTCTTTAGGATTCTGGTATCTTTACCAACATCAGGATAAGTCAGTGAGAGGTGCACTCACTTCTACTCCAGGTGAAGACACACTGGCTCACACAAAATCTCCTCATTGGTCCTCTGGGTTCACACACATTTCTACATCCTCTCTGCTCATAATTATACACTCGCAGAATCATTTGCTCTCACCAGACCCCCAATATTTTTTAACAGGAATCCAGATTAAGGTTTCTATATATTAAAGCTAGCAAGTTTGTTTCTCAGAAAGTGAGTTAGTTCAAGGTACGTACCCTGGACAGGTGATGGTAAAATCTGCAATGAGACAAAAGAAGATGCTATGAGGATCAGATCAATTCTGCTGCACCCCCTACACAGATCAGTTATTCTCTTGATGACTTCAGAAAACTACTTTTGAAACAGTGGTTGAGTCCATGTCAAAGACAAAACACTTTAGCATAGAGGACATGAGTGAAAAGACAAGAGCTTTTCCCACAGAATTTCTTTGAGGTTGATTTAGGTTGGTAAATGCACAATGCCTAATTTAAAGAGGAAAACTGGTGTGGAGGAAAATGCCTCTGCATTACAGTTGATGATGGATGCTGTCATTTAAAAACATCCTAGTGTGTCATGTATTAGATGAAAAGAAACTCCCACTGAATTCCATCCTCACAAAGACAATTGTGTACGTTGTACATAATGTGTCTTGTTATATTTTTATATCAAAATTAATTGAGAAGGAAAGAAATCAGGTGAAGGAAATAATGTATACAGTGGTCCATTTTTAACACAAACTGTCTTGAACCAGTGTAGGTCAGCAAAAAAACAGAAGAAATAGGATATGCTGGGCTCCTGCTTGGATGGGCAATGCCTGCTTGTTGGGCTCCCTTTCCTCCCCACTTAGTTGCCCTCACTGGAACCAAAGAAGTTTAGTCTAAGTTGAAAGTTTACTAGCCTGCAAAATAGCTCGCTTTGTCTGTTCTTATCAGCCTGCCCAACTACTTAGGTCATAAGTCAAATACTTGAAGAGACCCTGAGCTGACTAGGATGTCAATGCAGTGTGGGCTGCAACAAAATGCAGTAAGACAACCATAAAAAAAAATACCTAAAGCCCCTACCCAACAATCGATGTGTGACACCCGGGAAGATTGTGACCTCATAGTACTCAGCCTATGAGGAACCAGAGGAGTGACCTGCACACTCGGGGATAAATTGCTTGTTGAAACCGTTCTGGGTGTGTCTGCACCCAGATCTTGCAAGACCATCATTAAAAGTCTTACTTTTGCTGTTCTGCAGGCCTCTGAGTCCATTCTTTGGGTTTAGATGGGTGAATTTGTTTCTGACATCAGGAAAGCAACATTTCCTTAGAAGGCAAAGAAAGGGGGTCTTACCTTGGCATCATCATTGTCTTCCTCACTTGATGGCAGAAATTTTAAACTCAGGCGGTCCTCAGGGGGACCTAAAAGGACACAGAGTTAATGTCAGTGCCCTGGTGGTTGGAGACTGGGAGTCCCTCAGGGAGCTTTGCTGGATGCGGCACATGGAGCGTGGGACTGAAGGTTCGGAGACCATCTCAGAGAAACAACTGTGTTCAAGTAGTGAGCATGAGGGAGTCTCACCAGATACCTTGCATCTTAGCCAGTGCCCAGACCTAATAAGACTCTTGCATTCCGAAGTCCCAGAAGATATTAACCAATCAAAAATCAGGGCTTTGATGTTTGCTGTGACATAGGAAAAACTGGTCTTCTGGGAAAGGTAATCATTAAATATCAGAGCAAGAAAAAAAATGGTTACAAACACAGCACACAAAGCCCATGGATACAAATTGTCTCATATCTATCTTATTAAAATTCCAAAGGAACAAGTCAGACTTCTACACATATTTCCTTTGGTTCTGACTTCATTGCCCTTTTCCTAGGTTCCAAAGCAACAGGTGTCACTCAACTGCTCCCCAGAGATCCTCCTAGAGTATCATTCTCTAGCTGCAGATCTGCCTCATTGCAGCTGCCCTCATGGATGGTGTCCATTGGCCAATCATTAAGAGACAAAAACTCTGCAAGAAGTTATTCCAGAGAGCAACTCGCCCAGCCTCCTACTGCAGGTGAGGCCACACTGGGTTGCACAAGATTGCTCTGCACTTTCCTAGGTGTTGTCAGACTCTCCCTGGTCTCTGTGGAGTCAGAGGTCTCTAAAAAGGCATTGCTCACACTTGCCAGCCTTTGAGTGAGAAAGAGGAACTGAAGGAACCACTTTTAACTTTTTCCTTCCACTGGCCCATTACAGGTCTCACCTCCAATCTCACAGCCCTGAGATTCCCACTTTGATGTGCACGCTTTGAGTTACAGGAGTTCAACAATTGGTCCCTCAGCCAGGCTCACAGCAGATGTGAAAGAGCATTCTGCGGGGATGTAAATCTCTCCACTTCATTAACATAAGGCTGATGGGCCATTGCACGGTGGCTGTTGTGATGAGGTTCTGATTTTTTTTTTTTTTTTTTTTTGAGACGGAGTTTCACTCTTGCTGCCCAGGCTGGAGTACAATGGCATGATCTCGGCTCACTGCAACCTCTGCCTCCCAGGTTCAGGTGATTCTCCTGCCTCAGTTTCCCAAGTAGCTGGGATTACAGGTGTGCGTCACCACACCTGGCTAATTTTTGCATTTTTAGTAGAGATGGGGTTTCACCATGTTGGCCAGGCTGGTCTCGAACTCCTGACCTCAGATGATCCACTGGCCCTGGCCTCCCAAAGTGCTGGAATTACAGGTGTGAGCCACCACGCCCGGCCCTGAACTTTTAATTGTAAATAGTTAAATGTATTTAAATATGAGGAGGCACAGATATGACTGAGAACCTCACTAGATGGCACAGGAGATCCAGACATGAGGAAGACATGACTCCCCTCCCCTGGTGTTTTCTTGCAAAATAGTTTGCAGCTCTGCTCCTACCATATGTTTATGGTTACTTCCTGGGCATCTACACAAGGGCCAGTCACTGTGTGGGGCTGGGGATATGACAACAATGAGAACAACATCCAGGTCCAGAGGGATTCCAGCAGGGGGTGCACGTGCACACAGGGGAAGAGCGTGGCCCTGCACAGCCTGTCTAGACAGGATCAGAGCAGCAGGAGCCAAGGGGCAGGGGCACCTCACTGTCCTCAGGAGCTCAACTTCATCTCCAGGGACCCTGACTCAGAAACTGGGGCAGCCTCCAGGATTGGTGTAGGGCTCAACAGGCTGGACAGGCTGAGAAGGGAACATTTCCACAACTAAGCTAGATCCCACCCCAGAGGCGACCTAGAACTCATCCCAGGGGTGTGTTCATTACAATGCCCATGGGGCCTAACATGTTCTCCCCAGGACTGAGCTCTGGGATAAGGACTAATGAGGAAGACACAGTCACTGCCCTGGCAGGAAACACCCATAGCCAGGGCCCCTCTACCCACCCTGTGGGAAGACACAACACAGATAGAGTTTGACACTGAAGATTCCAAACCTTCTATAAAATAAGTGGAAACTGATGTGTGCTGGATTCCACAGAAGAGTTGCAAGGATGAGCTGGACTCTGGAATCAGTCCCCATCCCTCTGCTGAGCTCATGGTGCACTGGAACTTGTGTCCCTCCCCACCTCCCCTGCTACTCAGGAGTGCTGCAGCTACAGGCTCAGTGCTAGGGGGCTCTGTCCAGTTGATACACACGTCAGCCAGGCACAGTGGCTCACGCCTGTAATCCTAGAACTTTGGGAGGCCGAGGTGGGTGGATCACTTGATGTCAGGAGTTTGAGACCAGCCTGGCCAACATGGAGAAACCCTGTCTCTGCTACAAATATAAAAATTAGTTGGGTGCGGTGGCACATGCCTGTAATTCCAGCTACTCAGCAGGCTGAGGCAGCAGAATCAGTTGAACTTGGGAGGTGGACGTTGCAGTGAGCTGAGATCGCACAACTGCACTACTCCAGCCTGGGCAACAGAGTGAGACTCCACCTCAAAAAACAGACAAACAAAAACACATTTCTGAGCCAGACAACCCTTGGCAAATAGTGTCTCCTCAAGGCCATTCCTCAAGTGACTTCCATAAGAGGTGAAAAAGAAAAAGTCATCTGTCCCAGCCCCAGGAAGATCAGGCCTGGGACCTGTCTGTGTCTGTCCTGACCCTGAAGTCCATCCCTGCTGACTTGTGTCCTGTCTGCTCTGTGTCAGAGAAGTGGGGACCTGATTCCTGCTCTGCCCCCCCACCAATTTCTGCCAGTGTCAACGGCCATCATCGCACAAAGAGATGGAGAAGACAAGAGAAAGCAATGAAACTCCATTCTTGAGGCATTTAGGATGATGTCCATGCCATGCTCTCGGCAGACAGGAAGGCCAGGTCCTGTTCACTCCTACTCAGAAGGGGTCTCAGATATATGAGTACTAACCCTGTTAGATATTTCTCCTCCGCTCTTCTCTTTAATTTTTTGTTTTGTTTGTTTGTTTGTTTTGAGAAGCAGTCTCAGTCACTGAGGCTGGAGTGCAATGGCTCGATCTCAGCTCACTGCAACCTCTGCCTCTTGGGTTCAAGTGATTCTCCTGCCTCAACCTCCCGAGTAGCTGGGATTACAGGCACCCACCACCACATCCAACTCATTTTTATATTTTCAGTAGAGACAGGGTTTCGCCAGGTTGGCCAGGCTGGTCTCAAACTCCTAACCTCAGGCAATCCACCCACCTCGGCCTCCCAAAGTGCTGGGATTACAGGCATGAGCCACCGCACCCTGCCCATGTCTTCCATTTATTTGCACTGTGTGTGCATCCATTGAGTCAGTGGCTGCTCATGCTCACACCAGCCCCCAACAGTGGGACAGTCCATCATGGGGATCAGTACATGGGGATCAGTACATGGGGATCAGTACATGAGTGTTGAGCCTCACTAACCTACTGGTGCAAGAGGTCTCCAATGAGGGTGATCGGCACCAGGCTAATAATAATATTGTCCTGAGTTCTGACGTGGCACTGGCCCTTGTCTGTCTGCTATGGATTGCAGCATTTCTTTTTATTTATTTCTTTATGTTTTTGAGACAGAGTCTCACTCTGTCACCCAGGCTGGAGGGGGCAGTGGCTCGATCTCGGCTCACTGCAACCTCCACCTCCCAGGTTCAAGCGATTCTCCAGCCTCAGCCACCCAAGTACCTAGGACTACAGGTATGGGCCACCATGGCCAGCTAATTTTTGTATTTTTATTAGAGACAGGTTTTTACCATGTTGGCCAGGCTGGTCTCAAGCTCCTGACCTCAGGTGATCTGCTGTCTTGGCATCCCAAAGTGCTGGGATTACAGGTGTGAGCCACCGTGCCCGGCCATGGATTGGAGCATTTCTAAGGCTTGAGGTACTCATGTTACTAAATACAATGCAATATCTTCCTGATCCTTCCCTGCTTTGACCAAGTGCTGAGGAATGACCCCAGCACTGACAGATGTTGACCTGCACTGTTCCATGTGATCCCTTACACTTCTCAGAATCTGTGAGCTGACCAGAAGCCTGTGAGCTTTCTATGTGTATTTCACAGTAATGCCCATGCCAACGTCTATTGTTCCGTGTACCTTTTGCTACCCAGAGTTATGTGACCACTGGGGCCCCATCTGATGGTGGGCAATGTTTGGCACACTTATAGGCCATCCACTACCACTACCAGGGGCACGCATAGGTGCTGGAACTCCCTGGTGTGGGGTCATATATCACGGTGGAGTGATGACACGGTTGAGTAATGCAGACCATCAACATCGGGACCCATTTCTGGGTTCACTTTTGCCTCTTCCATTCAGGAGGTCAAAATCTGGGTTCATTCCTTTCCACACTCTCTCTCTCTCTAAGAAGTAGGGATATTAAACTGACCTTCAGGTACACTGTGTTGAGTGAAAAAGAGGTCATTTATGTAAAGTGTATGGTGGTGCTGAAGTTTTTCTTCCTTTTTATTAGAAGAATGACATGACTTGGGAGGCTGAGGTGAGAGGACCACCATAGGCCAGGAATTCAAGAAAACTGACACTTGCACTTGTGCTGGGCATGCGGGTCCACATTTTTGGGGGAAAACACACATTTACAAACACTACACATTAATTCACCCCTGGCTATCTCCCAACCCTCATGCACACAAACCCACATCATCTAAATGACACGGCTGTTTCCAGGGACTCTAGTGGATGATGACAGTTCTTCACTGAGCCATCTGTTTCTCACACTGCACTCCAGGTCCTCACTCCTATCAGGAACCTGAAGCCAGGCAGGCTCTCCAGACAGAAGCAGGGAAGAGAGTCCCCTGCGAACCATCACTTAGATTTGTCATCAGCAAAGGAGTGGTCTTAGAATACGTACGGTGTTAGACAGGGAATGATACACACTGGGGCCTGTCAGGGGGCAGGGGAAGGGAGAGAATATGGATAAACAGTTAATGCATGCAGGGCTTCATACCTAGGTGATGGGTTGACAGGTGCAGCAAACCACCATGGCACACTTTTACCTACGTAACAAACCTGTACATCCTGCACATGTACCTCGGAACTTAAAAAAAATTAAATTAGGAGCCGGGCGCGATGCCTCATGCCTGTAATCACAGCACTTTGGGAGGCCGAGGCGGGCAGATCACCAGGTCAGGAGATCGAGACCATTCTGGCTAACACAGTGAAATCCCGTCTCTACTAAAAATACAAAAAATTAGCCGGGCGTGGTAGTGGGCACCTGTAGTCCCTACTCAGGAGGCTGATGCTAGAGAATCGCTTGAACCCAGGAGGCAGAGGTTGCAGTGAGCTGAGATCCCGCCACTGCACTCCAGCCTGGGCAACAGAGCAAGACTCCATCTAAAATAAATAAATAAATAAATAAATAAATAATAAATAAAATTTACAAAAAATAAGCTACCTTAAGAGATGGAAGAAAAACAATCTGACCCTTAGCTGGTTCCTTCATTTAGGTACCAAACCGGCCAGATAGGTGAGGCTAGAGAATGGGATGGGGACTCCAAAATTGGGGTATTTGAATTTTCATTGAGAAAAGGGCTCTCCCTTTTCTAGATCAAAAAGTCTCAACGACAAAGACAGGAGGCAGAGTCAGCCTTTGTCCCCCATGCCCAGACCTGGGAAAGCTGGCTATGGACAGGAGGGAGCTGGAAGCTGAGGATGTCTCTGGGGATGAGGGTAAGGGAAGGGGGTGGGGGTGGCCAGAGGTGTGCCAGAGGGTAAACGGCACCCGTGGCTTTTTTACCTGTGGGCATCTTTTGGTTGCTGATGTGCTGCAGGTCTTGGCCCTCCGTGGCTCCCACATCCAGCTTGCCAGGCTCTACAGTAGTGGATTCTGATGTTGCAGCAGCCACAGTCTCATAAATATCAGTATCAGATTCATAACAGGGTGCGTCCTTCCCCCTGGGCCAGCCACAGTGGGAGTTGATACAACAGGTCAGTATATTCCCCATGGGGCCTCTCCATGCCTCTCCACTCCTGCCTCAGCCTTCAGCGAAATTGTAACTGTGCTGCCCTAGCAGCCACACTACTGAGGGTGGCCCTGCACTTTTAGAAGCAGCCTGACCCCAGGCAGATCTGGGTCCTCAGCCCTTATTCTGCCGCCACCTCCCAAACTAGCTGGTCTATGAGGTCAGGGACCTGCTGTCTTCTTTGAAAAATAAACGAACATGACAAGCACCCAAAGGTGCAAAAACTGCCATCAAAGAGCACAGTTGGAGCTCCTCCTCCCTCCACTGCGAGCTACTGACTGAGGGCTGCTGGCCCTGGCTGATGCTTATAACCCACAAAGCTTCCTATGTCACCTGGTTACCAGGAAACAGCCAGGTCAGGCTAGTGACTCACAATGTCCAGCCCCACAGCCCCCCCCAATGCCTCATAATGCCTGTCCCTGCTGCTGCCCACCTTGTGGCCCCCCTGCCCCTCTGTGGGGACTGCACTACTCAGGCTTTTATTCACCCTATGCTGCCTGAGCTTTCCAGTCCTGAGCTAAGTGCAGGGGGAGTTGTTATTGCGAGTCACCCTTGGCAAGAAACTCAATAGAAAACCCTGGTATGGCCGGGAGTGGTGGCTCACGCCTGTAATCCTAGCACTTTGGGAGGCTGAGCGGGGGGGGTGGATCACTTGAGGTCAGGAGTTCAAGACCAGCCTGGCCAACATGGTGAAAACTTGTCTCTACTAAAAATACAAAATATTAGCTCGGCCTGGTGGCGGGCACCTGCAATCCTAGCTACTCAGGAGGCTGAGGCAGGAGAATCGCTTGAATCCAGGAGGCGGAGGTTGCACAGTGAGCCAAGATCACACCATTGCACTCCAGCCTGGGTGACAAAGGTGCAACTGTCTTTAAAAAAAAAAAAAAAAAAGAAACAAAAGAAAGAAAACCCCAGTTACTAAAGTCAGTTCCACCAGCAGTTCTGTTTTTCTGAGTCTGACAGCTTTCATTTGCTCACCAAATGTAGTTATACACAAATTTTTTACTGCTTTTCTAATTAAATGCTTCTCTCCTGTCTTACAAGTGTTAGTTCTTGTCTGCAACTTGACCATAGCTACCCCCAGGGCCCTGGTCCCACTCTCAATAGAGAGTTATGGCTGTGTATCCTCAGTGAAACCCTGGGACACATCACACTTCCCTCCTCGTCTATAAAATAGGGACTGAACACATCCTTCCCAGTTCTGTAATGCTACGACCTACCAACTCCCTTTTCTCGCTCTGTTTCTTCTTTCCATGGCAGGGGTATTCAGATATTTCTTTTATTTACTTATTTATTTATTTTTTGAGATGGACTATTGCTCTGTCGACCAGGCTGGAGTGCAGTGGCACGATCTCGGCTCACTGTAACCTCCACCTCCCAGGTTCAAGCGATTCTCCAGCCTCAGCCTCCTGAGTAGCCTGGACTACAGGCACACGCCACCGCATCTGGCTAATTTTTGTATTTCTAGTAGAGACGAGGGTTTCACCATGTTGGTCAGGCTGGTCTTGAACTCATCTCAGGTGATCCACCCGCCTCGTCCTCCCAAAGTGCTGGGATTACAGGCATGAACCACCATGCCCAGCCTCAGGTATTTCTTTTACTAACAAATCATAAAACATTATTTTCTTATACAAAATTGAGAACCCCACAGTGGGGTACCATTGTCCTCATAGGACAAAGACAAATAGTCAATATCTGGCAAGCATTATGTGCCTGACAGTGTTCCAACTGTGGCATACTAATTTAACCCTCAGAAATAGTCCCATTTTACACATCTTACAGCGTAAATCTAGAGGGAAAAGTCAAGTAACTTCCCCAAGGTCCCACAACTGCTCAGTGAGTTCAGGCAGATGAGCAAACAAAGGCTTAGAGTTCAGTTGTCTGAGGCTACACTGCAAAACAGTGGATGAACCTGGAATACAAAGGCTCATTCACTGTCCAGCAGTAGAGTTGAAGTAGAGTTTAAGTTTTATTCTGGAAACATGAGAGTCACGGAACCACACAGAGGTGAGGAGTCTCTATCAGATGTGTTTGCAGTGAGGTCTCTCTGCACAATAGAGAAGGACTCATGGAACCAGTGGGACCAATTAAGAGACATGATGTTGGGAGGCCAAGGTGAGTGGATCATTTGAGGTCAGGAGTTCGAGACCAGCCTGGCCAACATGGTGAAACCCCATGTCTACTAAAAATACAAAAATTAGCCTGGCATGATGGCGGGTACCTGTAGTCCCATCTACCCAAGGGGCTGAGGCAGGAGAATCGCTTGAACCCAGGAGGTGGAGGTTGCAGTGAGCCAAGATCACACCACTGAACTCCAGCCTGGGCAACAGGGAGAGATTCTGTCTCAAAAAAAAAGAGAGAGAGACATTATGTTCATCTGGAAGAACAGATAAGGCCAAAGGAAGTAGAAATGACTGAAGTGGACAGAGAAGTTCTGTGATCATTTGGCAGAGAGAACAGAAAGTGCTAGAGGATTAGATGTGGAAGAACAGGGGAAGGAAAAGGAAAAACAGGCTGCTAAGGCTCTAGTTTGAAGGACTGGGTAAATAGCAGTGAATGTCTCCTACAAAGACAATGTAGGAAGAGGAATAGGTATGGGGAATAAGATAGTTTTCGGCTGGGTGCAATGACTCACGCCTGTAATCCCAGCACTTTGGAAGGCCGAGCTGGGTGGATTATGAGGTCAGGAGTTCGAGATCAGCCTGGCCAACATGGTGAAACCCCATTTCTACTAAAATTACAAAAATTAGCCGGGTGCGATGATGGGCACCTGTAATCCCAGCTACTCAGGAGACTGAGGCAGGAGAATTGCTTAAACCTGGGGGGCGGAGTTTGCAGTGAGCCGAGATTGTGCCACTGCACTCTAGCCTGGGTGACAGCGTGAGACTCTGTCTCAAAAAAAAAAAAAAAACACCACATAGTTTTGGACTCTTAAGTATCGCATTGAAATGGAGCTCTCTGGTAGAAAGTTGGACAGAAACCTCTGTAGGCTAAGTCCATTCTGTGACATCACAACTCATGTTTTAAAAAATACACCCACAAAGTCAAACCATTTAGGAAATTTCCTAAAATTTACATACTCAAATATGACAACTTTTTAGTTATTACTTTCTTAGAGCAACTTCGAATTTACAATCGTAGTGAATGAGGTGTCATGTAAAATAGAACTGTTATATAAAAACAACATTTGAATTTTATTCTCATCAGAGCATATAGAAAACAATTGAAGCCATGGGTATGGCAGGGATTGCTTTAAAAAGCTGTGCCTGATAAGGGGAATTGGAAAGAAAGGAGACTTGGGGGCTGGGTGCGGTGGCTCATGCCTGTAATCCCAACACTTTGGGAGGCCTAAGCAGGTGGATCACCAGAGGTCCGGAGGAGTTCGAGACCAGCCTGGCCAACGTGGTGAAACCCCGTCACTACTAAAAATACAAAAATTAGCTGGGCATGGTGGTGGGCACCTGTAATCCCAGCTATTTGGGAGGCTGAGGCAGGAGAATTGCTTGAACCCAGGAGACGGACGTTGCAGTGAGCCGAGATGGTGCCACTGCACTTCAGCCTGGGTGACAGAGCAAGACTCTGTCTTAAAAAAAAAAAGAAAAGAAAGAAGACTTGGGGAATAGGGAGATTTAAGTGGCATTAAGTAAAGCCTGCAAATGTGAGCAGGGAGTGTCAAGGTACCTGAGTGTTCATCAGAAATGGCTGATCGAGTGAGTCTCATCACAATGGAGCTGGTGTCTGCTTCTCATTTCTCTAATGGCCACACCTAGCACAGTACCTGGTCAATAGGGACTCAATACCTGATACCCCAATGAACAGAGTAAAATTCTGCCAGTTCAAACACACGTCCATGCCCACCAACTTCCCTCGTGGAGTTTTACTTCTTTCACTTACTGTAATGTTTTGAAGATCATCCCTCCTGTGACCTGTATCCATAGTTTCTTTTCCTTGTGTAACTGAGCAGTACTCCACTGTATGCACAGACCACATGGGTCTATCCATTCTCTAGCTGACGGACACTTGGGTTGTTTCCAGTTGCTGCCTATAGTGAATGAGGCTGCTGAGAACATTTATGTACACGTCTTTTTGGAACACATGCTTTCATTTCTTCTAGATAAATTCCTAGGGCTAGAATTGCTAGGTCAAATGGCTAGTTTATGCTTAACTTCTTTTTTTTTGCCTTTCTTATTCATAGAAATTACACTGATACATAATATTGGACATTTCTATGAGGTGCATGTGCTGTTTGGTTCCGTGCATCCACCATGTCATCATCAAGTCAGGATATTTGGGGTATGGCCTTGAGTATTTATCATTTCTATGTGTTGAGTATATTTCAGTTCTCTCTTGTAGCTATTTTGAAATATACAATACATTATTGCTAACCATAGTCACCCTACTCTGCTATCCAACATTAGAACACATTCCTTGCATCTAACTGTAAGTGTGTATTCATTGACCAACCTCTCTGCATTCCCTTCTTATACCCAGAGAAGGAGAGAGGAAGGAGGGAAAGGAGCTGTGGTTGGGCTGAATTAGGGCCCAGGGACGGCTGTGTCCCAGTCCCGGGACCTGTCCATGTGCTGTGTTGTGTGGCCTCAGGGACTTTACAGATGTGATGATGTCAAGGGGCCTGAGGTGGAAGATGATCCTGGGTTATGTGGGTGGGTCCAAGGTGGGGTCTTTATAAGGGAAAGGAGGAGGCAGGAGGGTCAGAGTGACAGCAGGTGTGGGGCTGGAGGACAAGAAAGGGAGAGAAGGAGGGAGGGTGAGAGAAGACAGTTGGCAGGGAGAGAGAGAGAGAGAGAGAAGAGTGGGAGAGAGATTTGAAGATGCTGAGCTCTGGCTTTGAAGTTGGAAGAAGGGGCCAGGAGCCCAGGGCGTCCTCTAGAAGCTGGAAAAATCCTGGAAATGGATTCTCCCCAGAGCCCTCAGAAGGAGCCTGGCCCAGCTGGCACCCTGATTTTAGCACTCTACGATTCATTTTGGATGGCTAACCTCCAGACCAGGGAGAGAACCAATGTGTGATGTTTTAGGGGTCATTTGTGACAGCAGCCACAGGAAAGTCAAACAGGAGCCATGGGAGAGACTCCCTAGGATGCACCGAGGGTCCCTCCCTGGCCCCACCCACAGAAACACAGGCCTGACCACTGCTAGTGCCCCCACCCCTCTAACACCCTGATGAGCAGGAACCATGCAGGAGGGGCTGGGTGTGGCTGGGCCCTGTTCTCTCCCCCGACACCTTCTCAGAGAGGAGCTGGAGCCCCAGACCCTGGGAGCCTCACAGATATTCCCAACACAGGACCTGGTTTTCCATTTCCCAAAATGATGCTTCCTCCAAAGATGGCCAGTGACTCTCTGTGCCAAGCATCTGAGAAACTCTCCAGGTCCTAGGGCTGCCAGGCAGTCAGCTGTGCACATGTTGGAGCCCAAATCCCATCAATAGTGAGGCCCTGGGTAAAACACATCCCCACTTTTAATTATGAGGAGATGCCTGGCCTCAGCATTGAGAACACCAACTTCCCTCAAGTGAAAACTTATTTAATCTCTTAGAAATGATGGAGCACACCAGCCTGAACAACATGGTGAAACCCTGTCTGTAATAAAAACACAAAAATTAGCCGGACATTGCAGCATCTACCTGTAATCCCGGCTACTCAGGAGGCTGAGGCAGGAGAATTGGTTGAACCTGGGAGACAGAGGTTACGGTGAGCCAAGATCGAGCCATTGCACTCCAGCCTGGGCGACAGAGTGAGACTCCATCTAAAAAAAAAAGAAAGAAATGATGGAGCACCTATTACCCTTCTTGCACTGGTTCCTGGGGAGCTCAGAGCCTATCTTTTGCAAGTGTCCTGATCCTCTTGCAGGCCTTTCATGTGTGTTTTCTTTCTGGCTTCCTCCTGTTTTTCTCACACTTCTGAACCTGCTGTCACGTGAAGAATCAAGGTGGGCCCAAAATGTAAGAGCTCATGGATTTGATGGTGTTGGAGTGTCCTGGACAGTCCAGCTCTCGGGGTGGGGAGTTGCGCAGAGAGGAAGGAGGGCATTCCAGGGGCCAGGGCCAGAAGCAGAGGGACTCCAGGCCCAGAGTAGGATTTCCAGGCTGAGGAAAGAGAGGCCGTGGGTGGGTAGAGGGTCCAGACCAGGACAGGGACACAGGGTGTATCTGGAGGCTCAGCCAGAAATAGCTCCCTACAGAAAGCAGGCAGCGAGTTGGGGGTTGAGCTGCAAGGAGGAAGGGGAGGAGGGAGAGAATGGAGGGACTGGTGTCCAGTGAGCTGACTCCTATCCTGGCCTATTTCCCCAGGGGACACCCCTGGGAGACTGTGATCCTCTCCTCCAGGCTACTTTCCCACTGGTGCCAGGATTCCCCCAGTGCCACACTGAGAACCCAGGAGAAGCATTAGATTATATGAGAGATAAGAAATGAAGAGAGGGAGCAGGATTTCTGGCTGACAAAGATATTTATTGAGGGTTTACTGGGTACAGCGAGAAGGGCTGAATGGCTTGGGATGCAGAGAGAGACCCCTCCCCTGGGATCCTGCAGCTCCAGGCCCCTGTGGGTGGGGTGGGGGCTGGAACCTATGAACATTCTGCAGGGGCCACTGACTTCTCCACGGTGCTCCCTTCTTGCATAACCTGGCAGCTGTAGCTTCTGCGGGACCTCCACTGCTCGGGCGTCAGGCTCAGGTAGCTGCTGGCCACGTACTTGTTGTTGCTCTGTTTGGAGGGCGTGGTCTTCTCCACGCTCTGGGTGATGAGGGTACCATCTGCCTTCCAGGTCACCATCAAGATTCCCGGATAAAGTTATTCATGAGACACACCAGTGTGGCCTTGTTGGCTTGGGGCTCCTCACAGGACGGCAGGAACAGAATGACCGACGGGGTAGTCTTGGGCTGACCTGTGTGGACAGAGGAGGGGGTGAGAGATGGCAGAGGGAGTGTGGGGTGTTGTGGAGCGCCTCTCTCTGTCTAAAGTCTCTGGGAGGGTTCATGGTGTGGCCGTCTGGTCCACCCAGGGCCTCTCCTTCCCTCCTCATTCCCTCCTTTCCACTGGAGCCCTCTGCAGAGCAGACAGCCCTGTGCCTTCCTAGGAGCCCTTCCCAAGTCACCTTTCCCAGGTGTCCTGGCCCAGCCCTTTCCTCTGCAGCCTCAGTTTCCCCGTGTGTACCCAGGGCAGGCTGTGCTCCCTCCTTCCTGGTTTCTGGAGTCTGAGTTTGGAATCTAGGGGTCTCCCTCACAGCACACAAAACTGACCTGGCAGGGTGTGGGGAGGCCCAAGCCTGGCATGGCCTGGAGCTTCCCGTCCCCTGGGGCACCAGGCTATGCCCCAGCCTGGCCCACTCAGCTCTCCTGGTGAAGCGTGGGCTCCACCCAGACACACCCTGGGGCTCTGCCATCGCCCCTGTCCCCACCAGCCCAACCACAGGACCCTTCACATCGGCTGGGTTCTTGGGGCTGCTAACAGACTTCGGGGCACCGCAGCCCCCATGCCCACTCCAGCAGCCTCTGATACCCCTGGACTTCACCTGTCAGCCGTGGAGTTCTCTGCACTCCCGTTTACTCCCCACTAGTCACCTCCTGAGTCTAAGGTGCCCTTCCTCAAATGAAGGTGGGAGGTCGACCCTTCAACAGACACCGGGCCCCAGAGGTGATGGGACTCCAGGGACAGACACATCTCTGCACTAAGAGACCCTCTCCTTTCTTGGGACTGTCCAGGGAGGGCTGGGCCTTGGGACCTCTCCCAGTTTCACCCATCCCTCTGTGTCCCCATGTCCTCACGACCCAGCAGAGGCCACAGAGCTACACCCTAGACCCAGAGCCCTCTCTGCCCTCCATTGGTCTCCCCTTGGGATGACCCCTGTGTCCACAGGCCCCCGTGTGGCCCTCCCAGCCTGGATAGGCATCCAGCCCTCAGCCTAGACCCTGGGGTCCCAGGGACTGTCTCTAAGGCCACCGTACGGCCCCTCATCAGAACCGGCCTCTGTCCCTCATTCAGACATGTGCCCTGCCCAATCCCAGCCCAGGCCCCAGGACCAGGCTGTGTCCCACTGTTGGAACCTGAAGGCGGCTGCTCCCACTGTGGGAGCCCTTCATGCCAGTTAACCTGAGACTAGCCCGCTTCCCCCAGACCCTATGGAGAAAGGAAGGGTTCCGTGCTTAAGGCTTGGAGGGCAAAGGGGAAGAAGCCCCAGAGAACGAAAACAGATTTTTGCAGAGACAGGAGAGGGTGCGACAGGCTAGGGAAAGTTGTGAGAGCCACGTACCTAAAACAGTGAGCTGGGTCCCACTGCCAAACACATGCTTCACTGAATTATGCTTGGATTGAAACCCCCAGGGCCAGCATCTGGCGCCAGTCCAGGAGCCACGCTGGAGCAGGAACCTGCTGGGTGTGAGGGGCACAGGGCTGCAGTGTGTAGGCTGTGACCCAGGCACAGGGCAGGGGGGTGGCCAGTATCCCAGTAGTGTCCCCCAGTAGTGTCTCTGTGCCTGTTCTCTATCTGAGGCAGGTGCCGCCCACAGCCTTGGAGTCACCCCAGCATATGTCCCCCTCTCTGAAGCTGTTGGTGCTGATGGCAACGCTGGGCCCAGTAGGTCCCAGCAACTCCCTGAGTGACACATCCCCTCAGGCAGCTGTGCCGTGTGGCTGAGGAGTCCTCAGCTGGCTCGGACCTGTCCACCTCACTTGGCCTCATTTTAAGGGCCTCTGAAATCTGCCACAAGTGTCTGCAGTCAAGCCAAGTTGACTTGCTCCCTGGACCAGGACATTGGGTCATTCCTGACTCAAGAGGAGAGTCCTCTGCTTTTGTATCTACCCATGGAGATGCAGCTCAGTCTCACTTTGTTCATGAAGCCTTTTCTGATCATTCATTCCGTCTGTCCGTCCATCCATCTGTCCATCTATTCATCTGTCTTTGCATCCATCTATCATCTGTCCATTCATCCACCTACCTATCCATCCATCCATAAATCCATCCTGTCTACCAGGCACTGTTTCGTGTACTGGGGACATGGTGTGGTCCCCCAGGCTCTCACCCCCATCCATCCCAGGTCATGGCCAACAAGGCCCTCCTCATGGTCATGTCCAAGGTCCTTCTGCTGTACCTGGTGTCTCTGCTGGATGTGACACAGAGCTGGCCCCTCCTTCCAGTGACTCTTTTCCCCTTGAGGTCTGACTCCCCTTTCCTCTTCCCCGGCATCTGTTTCTCCACGGCCCATGCCTGGCTGCTGACTCCCCAGACCCCCACCCAGACCTCTTTCTTGGCCGTCTTTACACTCTGTGACCCCCACTATTGCCCACATGGTGAGGCTGGAGTCTATCTCAGCTCCAAACCCTCTCAGCTCCTCAACTGCCTACTGACCTTGCCCAGTGGGCTACCCAACAGGAGTCTCAAACTAATCACTTCCAGAGATGACCACCTTCCCCCAGCCCAACTCATTTTCTGTCTTCATCTCATCACAATGACCATGGGCGGTCTCAACCCCACAGCCAGAAACCTGGAGTCCCTGGATTCAGTCACCTCGCCTCCCACACTGAAATGGCTTCTGTGTACTTAGCTACTGCATCTAGACATTCCTTTTTTTTTTTCTTTGAGACAGAGTCTTGCTCTGTCACCCAGGCTGGCGTGATCTCAGCTCACTGCAACCTCTGCCTCCCACGTTCTAGACGATTCTCTTGTCTCAGCCTCCAGAGTAGCTGGGATTACAGGCATGCACCACCACACCCGGCTAATTTTGTATTTTTAGTAGAGGCGGGGTTTCACCATGTTGGCCAGGCTGGTCTCAAACTCCTGACCTCAGGTGATTCCCACGCCTTGGCCTCCCAAAGTGCTGGGATTAGAGGCATGAGCCACCGCACCCGGTGACATTCCCTTTAAAGCTAAAATAAGACTCAATATAATTAAGAAACAATAAAACCACCTTCTGAGACTCTAAAACCACAAAAAGTGTGAACTTTGCTTTTCTGGATTTTAATCTCAAACTCTCTTTGGTACAAGGATTTGGTGTTGAACTGGGGCTTACTGGGTGCAAGTTCCCTGCCAGGGGTTCAGACCAGAGTGTTTCTACCTTAGAAGCTGGTCTAGTAATTGGTATTGGTTTTGTGTGGTAAATATAAGATTTTTAAAATTTATTTGTTGACACAGGGTCTCGCTCTGACACCCAGACTGGAGTGAAGTGGCGCCATCACAGCTCACTGCAGCCTTGATCTCCTGGGCTCAAGCGATCCTCCCACCTCAGCCTCCTGAGTAGCCGGCACCACAGGCATGTGCTACCACGCCCAGCTAATTTTCTTTTAATATTTTTTTGTAGAAATGGGGACTCACCATGTTGCCCAGGCTGGTCTCGAGCTCCTGGGCCTCCCAAAGTGCTGGGATTATAGGCATGAGCCACCATGCCCAGTGGTATTTTATTTTTCTTTTCCTTTTTTTTTGAGACGGAGTCTTGCTCTGTCACCAGGCTGGAGCGCAGTGATGCGACTCAGCTCACTGCAACCTCCGCCTCCTGGGTTCAAGCAATTATCCGGCCTCAGCCTCCAAGTAGCTAGGACTGCAGGTGCGTACCACCACACCTAGCTAATTTTTGTACTTTTAGTAGAGTCAGGGTTTCACCATGTTGGCCATTATGGTCTCAAACTCCTGACCTCGTGATCCACCCACCTCAGCCTCCCAAAGTGCTGGGATTATAGGTGTAAGCCACTGTGCCTGGCCTTTATTTCTTATTTTCAAAAAAACTTTTTTTTTTTTTTTGAGATGGAGTCTTGCTCAGTCACCCAGGCTGGAGTGCAGTGGCGGCATCTTGGCTCACTGCAACCTCCACCTCCCGGGTTTAAGCGATTCTCCTGCTTCAGCCTCCAAGTAGCTGGGACTACAGGCGAGTGCCACCACGCCTGGCTAATTTTTGTATTTTCACTAGAGATGGGGTTTCACCATATTGGTCAGGCTGGTCTTGAACTCCTGACCTCGTGATCTCCGTGCCTCAGCCTCCCAAAGTGCTGGGATTACCGGCATGAGCCACCACCCCCAGCTTTTTTTTTTCTTGACTGAGTCTCACTCTGTTGCCCAGCCTGGAGTGCAGTAGTATGATCTCGGCTCACTGCAACTTCCGCCTCCTGAGTTCCTGGGTTCAAGCAATTCTCATGCCTCAGCCTCTCAAGTAGCTGGGACTACAGGCATGCACCACCACACCCAGCTAACTTTTCTATTTTTTACAGAGACAGGGTTTCACCATGTTGGCCAGGCTGGTCTCGAACTCCTGACCTCAAGTGATCTGCCCACCTGGGCCTCCCAAAGTCCTGGAATTACAGGCGTGAGCCACCATGCCCAGCCCCAAAAAAATCTTTACTCTTTTAAAACTATGAGAATATAACAATGAAGACAATTAAGGAATAGACAAGTGCATTTAAGAAGTGCAATATTGGGCTGGCCTCCGTGGCTCACACCTGTAATCCTAACACTTTGGGAGGCCAAGGTGGGCAGATTGCCTGAGCTCAGGAGTTTGAGACCAGCTTTGGCAACATGGTGAAACCCCGTCTCTACTAAAAATACAAAATTAGCCGGGCATGGTGGCGCATGCCTGTAATCCCAGCTACTCGGGAGGCTGAGGCAGGAGAATTGCTTGAACCTGGATGGCAGAGGTTGTGGTGAGCCAAGATTGTGCCATTGCACTCCAGCTTGGGCAACAAGAGTGAAACTCTGTCTCAAAAAAAAAAAAAAAAAAAAAAAATTAGCTGGGCATGGGTGTGCGCCTAGTCCCAGCTACTCAGGAGGCTGAGGCAGAATTGCTTGAACCTGGGAGGTGGAGGCTGCAGTGAGCTGAGATCGTGCCATTGCACTCCAGCCTGGGCAACAAGAGCAGAACTCCATCTCAAAAAAAAAAAAAAAAAAAAAAAGAAGTGTAATATTGGCTGGGAGTGGTGGCTCACACCTGTATTCCCAGAACTTTTGGAGGCCGAGGCGGGCGGATCATGAGGTCAAGAGATCGAGACCATCCTGGCCAACATGGTGAAACCCCGTCTCTACTAAAAATACAAAAATTAGCTGGGCGTGGTAGCACACAGCTGTAGTCCCAGCTACTCTGGATGCTGAGGCAGGAGAATGGCTTGAACCCAGGAGGTGGAGGTTGCAGTGAGCCAAGATCGTGCCACTGCACCCCAGTCTGGCAACAGAGCAAGACTCCATCTCAAAAAAAAAAAAAAAAGTATATTTATCTCTCCCTCTCTCTCCTGCTACATAGAGCCCCATTTCCTTTTTTTTTTTTTTTTAGACAGAGTTTCACGCTTGTTGCCCAGGCTGGAGTGCAATGGCACAATCTTGGCTCACTGTAACCTCTGCCTCCCAGATTCAAGCCATTCTCCTGCCTCAGCCTCCCAAGTAGCTGGGATTACAGGCATGCACTACCACGCCTGGCTAATTTTTTGCATTTTTAGCAGAGACAGGGTTTCTCCATGTTGGTCAGGCTGGACTCGAACTTCTGACCTCAGGTGATCTGCCTGCCTCGGCCTCCCAAAATGCTGGGATTACAGGTGTGAGCCACCACGCCCAGCTCCATTTTTATTATTGCAGTAAAACATACATAGCATCAATATTTCCACTTTAACTATTTTTAAAAGTACAGCTCCGTGGCACTAAGTACATTCACACTGTTGGGCAACCTTCACCACCATCCATCTCCAGAACTCTTTCATCTTCCCAACCAGAAACTCTAAACCCATTAACTACAGTCCCACATTCTTCCTTCCCTCTCGTCCCAGTAACATCAAATCTACTTTTTGTCTATGTGAATTTGCCTATTCTAGGTACCTCATAAAAGTGGATTCAAATGACATTTGTCCATTTGTGTCTGGCTTATTTCACTAAGTATAATGTCTTCAAGTTTCATCCATGTTGTAGAACAGGCAGGTGCCTGTAACCCCAGCTACTCGGGAGGCTGAGGCAAGAGAATCGCTTGAACCCAGGAGGCAGAGCGTGTGCACCTGTAATCCCAGTTACTGGGGAGGCTGAGGCACGAGAATTGCTTGAGTCCAGGAGACTGAGGTTGCAGTGAACTGAGATCTCACCACTGCACTCCAGCCTGGGTAACAATGAGACTCTGTCTCAGAAAAAAAAAAAATCAGTGCTATTTTATCTTCAGTGTGTTATGATTAAACTTCTATAATTGTCTATTGCACTAAGTTTATTATTTGTATTAAACTTTAGATTCATGGGGTACATGTGTAGGTATGTTCCATGAGTACATTGCAAAATGCTAAGGTTTGGGCTTCTAGTGAACCCATCACCCAAACACTGACCATAGTACCCAATAGGTAGTTTTTCAACCCCTTCCCCCTCCTTCCCTCCCCACCTGTGGAGTTCCCAGTGTCTGTTATTTCCATCTTTATGTCCATTTGAACCAATTGTTTAGCTATTTATTTATTTATTTTATTTTTTTGAGACAGAGTCTCTCTCCTTTGCCCCGGCTGGAGTGCAGTGGCGCCATCTCAGCTCACTGCAACCTCCCCCTCCCGGGTTCAAGCGATTCTCCTGCCTCAGCCTTCTGAGTAGCTGGGATTACAGGCACGCGCCACCACACCAGGTGAACTTTTGCAATTTTAATAGAAATGGGGTTTCACCATGTTGGCCAGGCTGATATCAAACTCCTGGCCTCAAGTGATCCACCTGCTTTCCCCTCCCCAAGTGCTGGGATTATAGGCATGAGCCACTGCACCAGGCCTATTTTTAAATAATACTTAATTTTCTTTCATTTTATTTGCTAATAATTTACAGTAGAATTATATAATGATGTTGATTTTTTTTTTGGGGGGGACAGGGTCTCACTCTGTCACCCAGGCTGGAGTGCAATGGCTCAATCATGCTTTGCTGCAGCCTCAAATTCCTGGGCTCAAGTGATCCTCCCATCTCAGCCTCCCGAGCAGCTGGGACTACAGGCACGCACCACCATGCCCAGCTAATTTTTCTATTTTTTGTGGAGGCAGGGTCTTGCTATGTTGCCCAGGCTGGTCTCAAACTCCTGAGCTCAAGCAATCTGCCTGTCTTGGCTTCCCAAAGTGCTGGGATTACAGGCATAAACCACTGTCCCTGGCCTAATAATGTAGAATTTTACTTAATGCTTCATAATATGATTTTAAAAGTTTGTATCTGAAATGTATTTAAATATGTAGTTTGATCTTTTGAAAAACATTTGAATTCCTAACAGATTATAACATACTAGTTGTGCCCAGGAGGTGGAGGTTGCAATGAGCAGAGATCACGTTGCTGCACTCCAGCCTGGGTGACAGAGCAAAACTCTGACTCAAAAAAAAAAAAAAAAAACAACTAGTTGTGTTAGGGTTCAAACCAGAGAAGCAGAATCAGTAGCAGAGATACACAGATTCATATATAAACATATAGGGACACACATCTGCATAGATTTATAAAAGGTTGGCTTCTGGCCGGGCACAGTGGCTCACACCTATAATCCCAGCACTTTGGGAGGCCGAGGCAGGCGGATCACCTGAGGTCAGGAGTTTGAGAGCAGCCTGGCCAACATGATGAAACTCTGTCTCTACTAAAAATACAAAAATTAGCCAGGGGTGGTGGTGCATGCCTGTAGATCCAGCAACTCAGGAGGCTGAGGCAGGAGAACTGCTTGAGCCCAGGAGTTAGAATCTAGCCTTAGCAGCCTAACAAGACCTTGGTTCTAAGAAAGATTTAAAAAATAGTCCGGCCGCGGTGGCTTACGCCTGTAGTCCCAGCACTCTGGGAGGCCAAGGCGGGTGGATCGCTTGAAGCCAGGAGTTCAAGACCAGCCTGGCCAACATGGTGAAACCCTGTCTCTACTAAAAATACAAAAATCAGTTGGGCGTGGTGGCACATGCCTGTAATCCCAGCTGCTCAGGAGGCTGAGGTGGAAGAATTGCTTGAATCTGGGAGGGAAAGGTTGCAGTGAGCCAAAATCACGCCACTGCACTCCAGCCTGGGTGACAGAGCGAGACCCTGTCTCAAAAAAATAAGAAAGATTTTAAAAATAAAACACTTTTAATATTTTAATTATTTCTTCCTTTAGCAGCACATTGAGAAGTTGAGTAAACTTTTTAAAACAGTTTTAGAATTACAGACAAATTGCCAAGATAGCACAGAGTTCACATATACCCTTGTACCTGGCTTCCTTGTTATGAACATCTTAAATTAATATGGTAAATTGCTACAGTTAAAAAACCTGGCTGGGCATGGTACCGCACGCCTATGATCCCAGCACTTTGGGAAGCCAAAGTGGGAGGATTGAGTCTTGGAGTTCAAGACTAGCCTGGGCAATACAGTGAGACCTTGCTTCACTTAAAAAAACATGTAAGGTCAGGCGCGGTGGCTCACGCCTAAAATCCCAGCACTTTGGGAGGCCGAGGCGGGCAGATCACCTGAGGTCTGGAGTTTGAGACCAGCCTGACCAACATGGAGAAATCCCGTCTCTACTAAAAATACAAAATTAGCCGAATGTGGTAGCGTATGCCTGTAATCCCAGCTACTCAAGAGGCTGATGCAGAAGAATCGCTTGAAACCAGGAGGCGGAGGTTGCGGTGAGCTGAGATCTCACCACTGCACTCCAGCCTGGGCAACAAGAGTGAAAATCCATCTCAAAAAAAAAAAAATTTTTTTTAATGAAAAAATTTTTGGAGAGATGTGGTCTTGCCCTGTTGCCTAGGCTGGAGCACGGTGGCACAGTCACAGCTCACTGCAGCCTCAAACTCCTGGGCTCAAGCAATTCTCCCTCCTCAGCCTCCCTGGCAGCTGGGACTATAAGTGCATACCACCATGCTGACTAAAATAAAAAACAATTTTTTTAGAGAGATGCGGTCTCACTATGTTGCCCAGGCTAGTCTCACACTTCTGACCTCAGGATCTTCCCACCTTAGCCTCCGAAAGTGCTAGGATGTGATACCATGCCTGGCCCCAATAAACCAATACTGATACATTATTATCAACTAAGGTTCATCTTGATTCAGATTTCTTTACTATTTCCCCTAATCTCCTTTTCCTGTCCCAGGATCTCATCCAGGACACCATACTATGTTTAGTTCTTAAGTGTCCTCAGGATTGCTGGAGTGCAGTGACTCCATCTCGGCTCACTGCAACCTCCGACCACTGAGTTCAAGCGACTCTCCTGCCTCAGCCTCCTGAGTTACTGGGATTACAGGCACCTGCCACCATGCCCGGCTAATTTGTTTTTTTGTTTTTTTGTTTGTTTTTTTTTTGAGAGGGAGTCTCCCTGTCGCCCAGGCTGGAGTGCAGTAGGGCGATCTTGGCTCACTGCAACCTCCACCTCTGGGGTTCAAATGATTCTCCTGCCTCAGCCTCCCGAGTAGCTGGGATTACAGGTGTGTGCCACCACACACTATTTTTTTTTTTTTTGAGACGGAGTTTGAGATGGGGTTTCACCACGTTGGCCAGGCTGGTCTCGAACTCCTGGCCTCAGGTCATCCACCCACCTCAGCCTCCCAAAGTGCTGGGATCACAGGTGTGAGCCACCCGCCCAGCTTGGCTAGGTTTTTTTTTTTTTTTTTTTTTAATGCAGTAGCTGGGGTCTTGCTTTGTGCCCAGGCCTCCCAAAGTGCTAGGATTACAGGCATGAGCTGCCGCTCCTGGCCTAGGAGGTCACTGTGATACCCTGTTTGAAGGGGACAGGGCCTGGACAGGGCAGAGGCTGTGATAGGAGCCCCCTCTTCCCTTCCCATCTATGACTCTCAGTGTCCTTGCCCAGTTTTCTCCACTTCCATTTTATTTTTTATTTTTAGAGACAGGGTCTCACTCTGTTGTCCAGGCTGGAATGCAGGGGTGTGATCATAGCTCACCGCAGTCTCAATTCCTAGGCGCAAATGATCCTCTCACCTCAGCCTTACAAGCAGCTGAGACTATATGCATGGGCCACCATGCTGGGCTAGTTATTTTATTACTGGGTAGAGATGGGGTCTCCCTGTGTTACCCAGGCTGGTGTCAAACTCCTGGTCTCAAGCATCCTCGCACCTTGCCTTTCCAAAGTGCTGCGATTACAGGCGACCCCGCTCTGCCTCTCCAGTCCCTGACCGTCCCCACTGGCCAGCCCTGGAAAGCCCAGCAACAAGGGAGCCAGGGTGGGGCAGGAAACACGTAGCAGCCTCCTCTCGCGCCCACTTTATTTGGGGGCAGGCGTGGGAGGACCTAGGCCTGCTGTGCCTGTAGTAGCGCCCGCACCTGGCAGATCTGCCAGTCGACGCTGGAGTGCTCAGTGCCATCCAGGGCACTGTACTGCTCCACGCTGTGCCCGTATTCCCACATGCGGCTCATGTCGCCTGAGAACAGGGGGCTAAAGAGAGGAAGAGGTGGGCCAGGGTGCCAGGCCACCTGGAGACAGCGTGGGGAAGGGGGTGGGCCGCACCTGATGGTCTGCAGCTCCCGTAGTGACAGCTGGTTGAGGGCAACCCCCTTGGTCTCGGCCATGAACATGGCTTTCCTTGGAGGCCTCGTGGGCCTAGTGGAATGGCATCTGAGTGCCGGGCAGAAAGGTGGCACTGAGGCAGCTTCGTCCATGCCCTAATTTGCCTCCACTGCCTGCACCCTGTTTTTTTTTTTTTTTTTTTTTTTCGATACAAAATCTCACTCTGTTGCCCAGGCTGAAGTGCAGTGGCCTGAACTCACCTCACTGTAACCTCCACCTCCCTGTGGGAGAAGAGGAGCAGGGGCTCAGGTGGAGGCTCGGGCAAGGCCTGCCTGTGACACTGGGACCCTGCAGGCCTGGGTCACCCCTGGAAAAAGTGTCGTCCTGCAGCACTCCACCTGAATGAGGGATCCAGTGATCTCCCAGGACAAATCAGTCTTAAGGGAAAAAGAGGATGGAAGTGGGGCCATGTGAACCAAGGACTAGGTCTGAGCTGTGGGGCCTCCGGAGGTGAGGGTTTGCCAGGAACACCCGAAGGCTGAGCCTCTGTCACTCAGCATCTCCGAGCTGAGGCCAGAACAGGGGAGCAGGCCCGTGTTGGGTATGACTTGGCCATGGGAGGTTTCGTTTGAGGACCCCAGAAATAGCTGGGGCTCATTCAAGGGCTGCTCTGACCAGCTGAGACACCCTGCTCCTCATTCAAGTAGGTAGGGCAGAGGCAGAGGTGCTGTGAGTGATGGTCCTGTTTTCTTACTGTTTTTATTTTCAGAGACAGGGACTTTTCTGTTGCCCAGGGTGGAGTGCAGTGGCACGATCATAGCTCACTGCTGCCTCGATCTCCTAGGCTCAAGTGATCCTCCTGCCTCAGCCTCCTGAGTAGTTAGGACTACAGAGACATGCCACTATGTCCAGCTAATTTTTAATTTTTTGTAAAAATGGGGTCTTGCTATATTGCCCAGGGTGGTCTGAAACTCCTGGGTTCAAGCAATCCTCCTGCCCTGGCCTCCCAAAGGGCTGGGAATACAAATGTGAGCCACCACACCTGGCCTGTTTTTTGTTGCTGTTGTTGTTTTTGAGACAGCGTTTCACTCTTGTTGCCCAGGCTGGAGTGCAACGGCACGGTCTTGGCTCACTGCAACCTCCGTCTCCCAGGTTCAAGATTCTCCTGCCTCAGCTTCCCAAGTAGCTGGGATTACAGGTGCCCGCCACCACGCCAAGCTAATTTTTTGTATTTGTAGTAGAGATGGGGTTTCACCGTGTTCACCATGTTCACCAGGCTAGTCTCAAACTCCTCACTTCAGGTCATCCACCCGCCTTGGCCTCCCAAAGTGCTGGGATTACAGGCGTGAGCTACTGTGCCCGGCCTGTTGTTGTTTTAAATAAACCAGCTTTACTGAGATCTCATTCACAAATAATTTACCCATTTTAAGTTCACATTGTAGCGTACAACCATCACCAAAACCAATTTTAGAACATTTTCATCACCCCATAAAGAAATTCTGTACTCAAGGCCAGGCATTGTGGCTCAAGCCTATAATCCCAGCACTTTGGGAGGCCAAGAGGGAAGAATCACTTGAGGCTGGGAGTTTGAGACCAGCCTGAGCCACATAGTGAGACACCCCGTTTCTACAAAAAATTTTAAAAATTTGCAGGGAGTGGTGCACACCTGTGGTTCTAGCCACTCAGAAAGCTGAGGTGGGAGGATCATCTGCGTCCAGGAGTGTGGGCCTACAGTGAACTATTACTGAACCACTGCACTCCAGCCTAGGTGACAGAACAAGACCTCATCTCTAAAGACAATTTAAAAAGTCACAAAGTTAAAAATTAGGCCGGGTGCAGTGGCTTATGCCTCTAATCCTATCACTTTGGCAAGACAAGGCAGGCGGATCACCTGAGCTCAGGAGTTCGAGACCAGCCTGGCCAACAAGGCAAAACCCATCTCTACTGAAATAAATACTAAAATTCGCTGGATGTGGTGGCGCACACCTGTAATCCCAGCTACTTCGGAGGCTGAGGCACTGGAATTGCTTGAACCTGGGAGGCAGAGTTTGCAGTTAGCTGAGATCGTGCCACTGGACTCCAGACTAGGCGACAGAGTGAGACCCTATCTCAAAAGAAAGAAAAAAAAAATTAAAGAAACCCTGAACTCAGTAGCAGACACTCCCTGTTTCTCCTAGCAGCCCCGCCCCACCTACAGGGTGACAATTTGTGTGCCCTTGTTTCCCCCCAGGTCTGTGAACCAGGGGTCACAGGGAGTTGAGGAAGAGGAGGGGTCTCTGACAACACATCAGAGACTCCTCAGCAGCTCCCCATCCAGGTCTGCAAGGATCAAATCCAGTCCCAAAGACACCAGGTGAAAGCCTGGGATGAGGCCAATATGAGGCAGCCTTTGGCTCTTTTGCCAGATGGGCTAGATGGGGACGCGGAGCATGGGATGGGAGACGTGGGGCACAGGCAGGGTAGCAGGTGAGTCTGGCTGCTCCAGGCACAGCCAAGCTAGTGCCTTAGCTTCCTGCCCTTAAATCCGCAAAGGGTGAGTTTTCTATTTTATTTTTGAGACAAGGGTCTCGCTCTGTCGCCCAGGCTGGCAGTGGCTCAATCTTAGCTCACTGCAACCTCTGCTTCCTGGGTTCAAGCAGTTGTCCTGCCTCAGTCTCCTGAGTAGATTGGATTACAGGCGCCCACCACCACACCTGCCTAATTTTTGTATTTTTAGTAAAGATAAAGAGTTTCACCATGTTGGCCAGGCTGGTCTCGAACTCCTGACCCACCTGCCTCGGCCTCCCAAAGTGCTGGGATTACAGGCATGAACCCCTGCACCGGCCCCATGAAGGGTGAGTTTTCCTTGCCAGCTGAGCTAGACTGCCATGGGAATATTGCCGTCTGCAGGAAATGCCCCACTCCTGGCTGCTCTGCCTCGACCCTGGAGTTTTGGGATGCCCCGGTCCCCCAGGGCCTGGCACCCCCACCCTGTTCACCCCTGCCACCTAGGTCTGCTGTTCAGGCTGCCATCACACCTCTCTCTGCCCCCTGGGTGTCCCTTGGGTACTCACACCTCTGCCCAATCCCCCATAGTCCTGATGAGCTCCCAGAGGAGGCCCGAGAGCGTGAAGCAGGTCTGCCACATCCACAACCTGAGGTCCGTGACCACCTGTGCGAAAAGGAGGTAGTGCTCAGGGAAACTGACATATTACTTCCCTGGGGAGCCAGGACCACTGCTGAGCTCTGACTGCCCCCTGGGCTCCCCAAGGTTGGGACAGCATGGAGTTGGGGGGTGGAGGGGCTAGAGGCACCTGGTCATTCCAGCTCCATCCCATGTGCGCCTTCCCTGCGGTTTCACCAATGATCACAGAATGATGGTGCTAATGCTCAAAGTGGCCCCGCGCAAGGTGGAGAGGGGAGGCCAGGAAGGCAGTGGGGCTGCAGGGTTCGTACCTTCAGGTGGCACTTGTTGGCTGTGTGGATGTCCTCATCATTGGGGTTGAGTTTGAAGGTGCCCTGGGCCCACTCCTCAACCACCTATAGCACGTAGCAGCAATACCAGGGGTCAGGTGAGCAGGCATCAGCAGCCGAGAGCCCCTGCCCTGATCCCACCTTATTCCTGATGACTGACTGTCCCTGTCCAGGAGCTGAGTCCTGGAAGTGCACCCTGGGAGGGGGCATCTCGAGCCCAGCACACCTTTACCCATAAGCCATGTGGGCCACAGGGATCATTAAAGGAGAGAAGAGGTCAAGGCACACAGTTAAACAGCACTTGAGTATATAATTAGTTCAACGTAAAACCATCCATCTCGGCCTTGGCGAGGAGCCCTGCCTTCTCCATGCCCCGGCTGTAGGCTCTGCTGCCTTGAATATCCACCTCCCACAGGTGCTGGTCGTAGGCTGGATGTGTTGAACTTCTCCATGATGGGGTCCACTGCACCCACTCTGGCCAGGAGAGCAGAACAATTAGTCTCTCCTCCACCATCCAGAACAGTGCCTCTTGCAGAGTCTCCTTGGGAAACTTACCAAGTCTGATGGTAGCAGGGGCATGGGACCATCCTAACTGGGAAGACAAAAAGGCTGAGACCTTCCCAGAGTCACCTTGGGAGTGAGCATGGGAACATGGCTGAACACCAAGACAGAGCCAGGCTGGACTGCAGTAGTGCAACCTCGGCTCACTGCAACCTCCGCCTCCCGGGTTCGTGAGATTCTCCTGCCTCAGCCTCCCGAGTAGCTGGTATTACAGACACGCACCACCACACCTGGCTAATTTTTGGATCATTAGTACAGACAGGGTTTGACCATGTTGGCCAGGCTGGTCTTGAACTCCTGACCTCAGGTGATCCTCCCATCTCGGCCTCTGAAAGTGCTGGGATTATGGGCATGAGCCACTGCGTCTGGCCTTGAAGTTGGGGTCTTTCCCACCACATGGCACCACCCCAAGGAGATGGTGGCAGGGCCCGAGGCACCCCGGGACCAGAGCAGAGCTTCTGGAACCTTTCCTGCCACTGACCAAGGTGCCAGGTGCCATCCTAATTGATGACACAACTCTCTGGGGTAGGCACCAATACAATCCCACTATGAAGAGGGGGAAACTGAGGCACAGGGAGGCATGCAGCCTGCCCTTACCCGGGGAGGGAGAGCCAGGGCTGCAGCCCAGCAGTTTAAAGTCAGAACCCATGCTCTTCACCCCTGTTCCACCACGGCCTCTGAGCTTGGCTCTGGTGTCCTGAACTTTTGCTGCAGGGACAGGCAAGGAGGCACTGACGGTCTCCACCAAGCTTAAGTGCCCTGCAACTCTCTCCCTCACAGCTTGGAGTCAGACTAAGAGACTAAGATCCCAATTCCTACTGCTCCCTTGGCTCTGAAGAGCACTCTGACACCCCCCATTGTCACTGGCCTTCTAGGAGGTCACTGGGTGACCCTTACTCCCCAGGAGCCAAGGGTAGAGAGATGGTACGTAGGCATCTACATTTTGTTCTTATTTTTGAGACACGGAGTCTCACTTGGTCGCCCAGGCTGGAGTGCAGTGGTGCGATCTCGGCTCACTGCAACCTCCGTGTCCCAGGTTCAAGCCGATTCTCCTGCCTCAGCCTCCCAAGTAGCTAGAATTACAGGTATGTGCCATCACACCTGGTTGAGTTTTGTATTTTTAGTAGAGACGGGATTTCACCATGTTGGCCAGACTGGTCTTGAACTCCTGGCCTCAAGTGATCCACACACCTCAGCCTCCAAAGTGCTGGGATTACAGGCATGAGCCACCGAGCCCAGCCCATTTTGTTATTTAAAAAAAATTTTAATTCTTTTTTAGAGACAGGGTCTCACTCTGTTACCCAGGCTGGAGTGCAGTGGTGCCATCACAGTTTACTGTGGCCTCAAACTCCTGGGCTCAACCAATCCTCCTGTCTCAGCTTCCCCAGTAGTTCGGACTACAAGCATGTGCCACCACACCTATACATTTTTGAAAAATTTTGTAGGGCTGGGTGCGGTGGCTCACACCTGTAATCCCAGAACTTTGGGAGGCCGAGACAGGTGGATCACGAGGTCAGGAGATCGAGACCATCCTGGCTAACATGGTGAAATCCTGTCTCTACTAAAAATACAAAAATTAGCTGGGCATGGTGGTGCTCGCCTGTAGTCCCAGCTACTCAGGAGGCTTGGCAGGAGAATCGCTTGAACCCGGGAGGCAGAGGTTGCAGTGAGCCAAGATCGTGCCACTGCACTCCAGCCTGGGTGACAGAAGGAGACTCTGTCTAGGAAAAACAAAAATTTTGCAGAAAATATGTTGAGACAGGATCTATGTTGCCCAGGCTGGTCTTGAACTCCTGGGCTCAAGCAATCCTTCTGCTTCCGAAAGTGCTGGGATTATAGGCATAAGCCAAGGCGCTGGCCACATCTATGTTTTGAAAGCGGGCAGAGGCCAGGGCATGGGACAGATCGGGGAAGGGTACAGGGCACCTGGGAAGTAGTCCTAGTGCCCAGGACTGGGGGGGAGGGTGGGGTGGAGGTGGGCACGTCACTTGACTGACATCCTTTTTGTGGAAGGGACTCTACAATGGCCAATAGGGACATATGTCCTCCTCTGTCCCCCTGCAATGCCCCAGACCTCTGTTAACCACCTGGCCTGGGGCCTATTATAAAAACTCAGGGTTGGGAGGCCCAGATGGGTGGATCCCTTGAGGTCAGGAGTTTGAGACCAGCCCGGCCAACATGGGGAAACCCTGTCTTTACTGAAAATACAAAAATTAGCCAGGCGCAGTGGCGGGCAGCTATAGTCCCAGCTACTTGAAAGTCTGAAGCAGGAGATTCACCTGAACCCTGGAGGTGGAGGTTGCAGTGAACAGAGATGGCACCATTGCACTCCAGCCTGGGTGACAGAGCAAGACATCTTCTGAAAAATAATACAGTACCTATGTGATAGCCTTGTTTTGAGCATTCAATCAGGTAACATTTGCAAATTGCATGCATAACATGGTGCCTGGTGCTCAGGAAGGAATTGGGAAATGCCAGCAGTTACTAAGGGAGGGCAGGCAGGGGACAGGACATGTTTCAGCTCCACTCCTGGTTCTTGTGTGCACCCAGAGACCTCTACCGTGCTCTGGCCCTGAGCTGTGAACTGACCCCTCCATGCCCAACAGCCCCAGCTGCCAAAGGACTCTGCCCTGCAGAGGGAGCCTCCGCCCCCACCCCGTCTTTTGAGCTGGTCCTGCCCCTTACCCCACAAGCTGCCCCACCAAGCCTAGATCTCCAGCAAAGCACTAGGTGGGGCCTGGATCTTTCTGATCACTGGGGCCAGCCAGTCAGAATTGGAGCCAGCCTGCCCCTCAGCTGGGAGCCTGGCAGTACCTCCCCCAGCGGGGTCCTGGGCCACCCTGCCTGTATTATTAGTAATAAAAACTGCTAAATATGCAAGGCTGCAGCCAAACCAATTAGTGCCAACCTACAGGAAGGCCTGGGGCAGGCTGAGGTCACCTGGAGTGCTGGGCTGGTCCAACGGCAGACCACTCTGCTCTAGGACCAAGCGCCTATCCTTACTGGCAGGCATAATAGGATGCCACTGGGAGATCAGAGTGAGGTGCCTCCCCTTGGGCACTGAGGAGAAGGGAGGCCCAGTGTGGTAGCAGAAGGTGCTGCTCCGAGCCAGGACACTTCTGGGCCAGAATGGTCTCTTCAGGGCCAGGGGATGGGGCACTGAGTTGGGCTGGGTTGAATGAGCAACAGTCAAGGTCGAATGTACACGGGAAATATCAATTTTGGTTTTGGGGTTTGTTTTTGTTTGTTTGTGTTGGTTTGTTTTGAGACAGAGTCTGGCTGTTGCCCAGGCTGGAGTGCAGTGGCAAGATCTTCACTCACTACAACCTCCACCTCCCAGGTTCAAGCAATTCTCCTGCCTCAACCTCCCGAGTAGCTGGGATTACAAGCGCTTGCCACCACGCCAGGATAATTTTTCTATTTTTAGTAGAGATGTGGTTTCACCATGTTGGCCAGGCTGGTCTCAAACTTCTGACCTCGTGATCCACCCATCTCAGCCTCCCAAAGGTGCCGGAATTACAGGCATGAGCCACTGCACCCAGCCCGCCTGGCCCATTTTGTTTTTCTTTTCTTTTCTTTTTTTTTGAGATGAAGTTTTGCTCTTGTCACCCAGGCTGGAGTGCCATGGCATGATCTTGGCTCACTGTAACCTCCACCTCCCGGGTTCAAGTGGTTCTCCTGCCTCAGCCTACATAGTAGCTAGGATTACAGGCACCCACCACCACCCCCAGCCAATTTTTGTATTTTTAGTAGAGATGGGGTTTTACCATGTTGGCCAGGCTGGTCTGGAGCTCCTGACCTCAGGTGATCCGCCTGCCTTGGCCTCCCAAAGTGCTGAGATTACAGGTGTGAGCCACCCCTCCCGGCCCCTTGCCTGGCCCAATTTTTAATATATTACAGGATTGTGGCAACCTTGTGTTGAGCTAGTGTAGTATTGGTGCTATTTTTCCAACAGCACGTGCTCACTTGGTGTCTTTGTTCAACATTTCGGTAATTCTTATTGCATTTCAATAATTCTTATCGCCTCCCAAATTGCTAGGATTACAGGCGTGAGCCACGGCTCCTGGCTGTTTTTTTGTTTTTGTTTTGTTTTCTTTTGTTTTTTTTGAGATGAGATGGAGTCTCACTCTGTCTCCAGGCTGGAATGCAGTGGCACGATCTCGGCTCACGCAAACTCTGCCTCCCGGGTTGAAGCGATTCTTCTGCCTCAGCCTCCCGAGCAGCTGGGACTACAGGGGTGAGCCACCACGTCCGGCCTGGCTGTTTCTTTGTCCTCCTCCTCCTCTTCCTCCTCCGTTTCTTTTTCCTCCTCCTGTTTCTTTTTCCTCCTCCATTTCTTTTTCCTCCTCCTCCTCCTCCATTTCATTTTCCTCCTGCTCCTCCTCTTCCATTTCTTTTCCCTCCTCCTCCTGCTCCATTTCTTTTCCCTCCTCCTCCTCCACCTCCTCCTCCTCCAACTCCTTCTGCTCCGTTTCTTTTTCCTCCTCCTTTTTTTTCCCCTCCTCCGCTTCCTCCTCCTCCTCGTAGGCACGAGACACCATGACTGGCCTGGTTGTTTCCTTTTCCTCCTCCTGCTCCTCCTCCACCTCCCAAATTGCTGAGATTACAGGCATGAGCCACTGCACCTAGCTGTTTCTTCTTCTTTTTTCTCCTCTTCCTCTTCCTCCTCCTCCATTTTATTTTATTTTTAGATATGGAGTCTCACTCTGTTGCCCAGACTGGAGTGCAGTGGCCTCACTGCAACCTTCACTTGCCTGGATTCAAGCAATTCTGCCTCAGCCTAACAAGTATCTGGAATTACAGGCAGCAGCCACCATGCCCAGATAATTTTTGTATTTTTAGTAGAGACGGGATTTCACCATGTTGGCCAGGCTGGTCTCCAACTCCTGACCTCGTGATCCGCCCACCTCGGCTTCCCAAAGTGCTGGGATAACAGGCCTGACCCACTGCGCCCAGCCCGCCTGGCCCGTTTCTTTTGTTTTCTTTTTTTTTTTCTTAAAACAGAGTTTTGCTCTTGTTGCCCAGGCTGGAGTGCAAAGGTGCGATCTTCCCTCACCGCAACCTCCACCTCCCGGGTTCAAGCGATTCTCATGCCTTAGCCTTCCGAGTAACTGGGATTACAGGCACTTGCCACCACGCCTGCCTAATTTTTGTACTTTTAGTAGAGACAAGGTTTCTCCATGTTGGCCAGGCTGGTCTTGAACTCCTGACCTCAAGTGATCCGCCCTCCTCGGCCTCCCAAAGTTCTGGGATTACAGGCGTGGGTCACTGCGCTGGGCCTACAGCTCATTTCTTACCACATAAAGTTTTGCGCCTCTCCACAAAACTGCCATCAGGGATGTCCCCAGAAACCATTCATCCCAGGCGCCACGCAGAGAAGAGCTGCTTGTTCTCCTTTTCCCTTTACCTCTTCCATCTCACCTCATCTTGTTCATTCATTCATCCCTTTTCCATTCTCACTTTTAAGCGTTAACCTTTCAAAACCCTGTTTTCCCCTATAAGTAATGTCTTGTAACTCCCGCAATCACCATATCCTTCTCCAACCCACCAAACTGCCATCCTGAGTTTATGGTAAGTCCATAAACTAAGAAGAAATGGGAAACATTCATTGCAAACCTGGCAGCCCCTCATCCACCCAACGTGACAGCACAGATGTTCTTGTCTTTGAAGACCCCCTTTTTTTTTTTTTTAAGACAGGTCTCACTCTGTCACCCTGGCTCAAGTGCAGTGGTGTAATCATAGCTCACTGCAGCCCCCAACTCCTGTGCTCAGGCGATCTGCCTGCCTCAGCCACCCAAGCAGCTGGAACTACAGGAACACACCACCACACCTAGCTAATTTGCTTACTTTTTGTAGAGAAGGGGTCTTGCTATGCTTAGCAGACTGGTCTCGAACTCCTGGCCTCAAATGATCCTCCCACCTTGGCCTCCCAAAGTGCTGGGATTACAGGCATGAGTCACCATGCCCAGTCTAAAGACTTTTAAATGCTGCCATATTCAAGATGTGTTGAAACTCACCTGTATTCGATGAGCCTGCTTTTTGCAAGTGAGTAATATAAAACAGACTGAAATACCTTAAGCTTCTCAGGCTTTGTACCTTCCTAAAGTAAATCCATGAGGTCCAGTTTTTCCTTCCTCCTTGGCTATGAAATAGACAAGAAAAAGGCAAGCTAGCCATTTACATCTCACTATAGCAGACTCTCCTGTTTGCTTTTTGACTGTATTTGGGAAGCAGGGGCCTGACTGCTTTCCTACTTACTAAGCACAACTCACTTTTCCTAGGAAATCCTCAACGCAACCTGCATGGATTAAACCAGCTCCTCGCTTTGTTTCCAATATTCTTACAATCAAAGTGTCCAGAATGGGCAAGGCAACCTGAAAAAATGAGGACGGGTACATTATCCTATGAGCCAAACTGCCGCTTACACTGGTTAGTCATGAAATCGGCAAAATTCCAGATGAGCTCTCCAACCACGTATTTTCTGAGTTTTTGATCCAGACCCAGATGGTACTGCTCTAGCAGACTTTTCTGGTAGTCTTCACTGAACATCAGAGGTGGATCCTGGGATTCAAGGCAAAGAGAATTTAAGAGTCAGAACTGGCAGAATTGTAAATGTTAGATAAAAAATAAAGATCCACTTGATGGTGACCAAAATATCTGTCCTCGCAGGGGGCTATAGTGACTGCAGGACTCACTGATGCTAGGGTAAAGACAGCCAGGGAATGATGTAACCCAGAGTTAAAAAGGAGGTTTAAAAAAACAACATATTAATTAGTAACTGCTTTATTTATAAATGTAATCTGATATTCACTTTTTCTTACTTTTCCGTCTCTATCTGCTGGTACAGTCTTAAGGCTGAACTACGTTAGAAGTAAAAATATGACTTTGGGCCAGGTGCACTGGCTCATGCCTGTCATCCCAGCACTTTGGGAAACTGAAGTGGGAGGACTGCTTGAGCCTAGGAGTTCAAGACCAGCCTGGGAAACATAGCAAGACCCCATCTCTACAAAAAGTACAAAAATTAGCCAAGCATGGTGGAACACAACTGTGCTCCCAGCTACTTGGGAGGCTGAGGTGGGAGGACTGCTTGAGCCCTGGAGGTCGAAGCTGCAGCGAGCTGTGTTTCCACCACGGCACTCCAGCCTGGGTGACAGAGTGAGACCCTATCTTAAATAAATAAATAAATGTATGTATGTAAAATTAAATTAAACCAGGCTGGGCATGGCAGCTCAGGTCTGCAATCCCAGCACTTTGGGAGGTCGAGGCAGGAGGATCACTTGAGCCCAGAAGTTCAAGACCACCCTAGACAACCAGTGAGACCCAGTCTCTACAAAAAGTCTAAATATTAGCCACGTGTGGTGGCACATGCCTGCGGTTCCAGCTACTTGCGGGGCTGAGGAGGGAGGATCGTTTGAGCCCAGGAGGTTGAGCAGTGAGCTGTGATAACGCCACTGCACTCCAGCCTGGGCAACACAGTGAGGCTGTCTCAAAAAAAAATTTTTTTTTAATTAAACTAAATAAAGTTATCCTAGTCATATGTCAAGACCTCAATAGCCACATGGTCCCAAAACCTCTGGATAAAACCTAATTCCCAAAACCTGTGGATATTACCTTATACAACACAAGAGTGACTAATACCTTAAGTGGAAAAGTATGTTAAAGATTTTTTTTTTTTTTTTGAGACAGAGTCTCACTCTGTTGCCCAGGCTGGAGTGCAATGGCGTGGTCTGAGCTCACTGCAACCTCCGCCTCCCAGGTTCCAGTGATTCTTGTGCCTCAGTCTCCTGAGACTACAGGTGTTCGCCACCATGCCCAGCTAATTTTTTTTGTACTTTTAGTAGGGATGAGGTTTCACCGTGTTGTTCAGGCTAGCCTCGAATTCCTGGCCTCAAGTGATCTGCCTGCCTTGGCCTCCCAAAGTGCTGGGATCACAGGTGTGAGCTACCCTGCCCGGCCTTTTTTGCATTTTTTTTTTTTTTTTTTTGAGAGTGAGTCTTGCTCTATCACCCAGGCCGGAGTGTGTGGCACAATCTCGGCTCACTGCAATCTCCACCTCCCAGGTTGAAGCGATTCTCCTGCCTCAGCCTCCTGAGTAGCTAGGATACAGGCATGCGCCACCATGCCCAGTTAATTTTTGTATTTTTAGTAGAGATGGTGTTTTACTGTGTTGGCCAGGCTGGTCTCCAACTCCTGACCTCAAGTGATCCACCCTCCTTAGCCTCCCAAAGTGCTGGGATTACAGGCATGAGCCACCGCACCCGGCCTAAAGTATGTTAAAGATTTTGAGAGGAGGAGATGATCCTGGATTATCTAGATGTGCCCTGAATGTGACCACAGTGTCCTTGTAAGACAGACACACAGAGGAGAGGACACACAGCAGAGGAGAAACCAGTATGACCATGGAGACAGAGACTGGAGTGAGGCAGCCACAAGCCAATGAATGCTGGCAGCCACAGGAAGTGGGAAGAGACTGTGAAAATTGTCAAAATAGAGCTGCGGCCACACACAGTGGCTCACACCTGTAGTCCCAGCACTTTGGGAGGCCGAGGTGGGTGGATCACCTGAGGTCAGGAGTTCGAGACCAGCCTGACTAACATGGTGAAACCCCATCTCTACAAAAATACAAAAGTTATCTGGGCATGATGGCGGGTGCCTGTAATCCCAGCTACTGGGGAGGCTGAGGCGGGAGAATTGCTTGAACCCAGGAGGCGGAGGTTGCAGTGAGCCGAGATTCCGCCACTGCACTCCAGCCTGTGCAACAGAGCAAGACTCCATCTCAAAACAAAACAAAACAAAACAACAAAAAACAACTCTGAAAAATAGAGCCAGGGAAAGGCCATGAAGAGAGGACTCTCGTGCACAAGTGCCCCATTCTCGGCTGGGTGTGGTGGCTCATGCCTGTAATCCCAGCACTTTGGGAGGCTGAGGTGAGAGGATTGAGGTAAGAGGATTGCTTCAGTCCAGGAGGCTGAGGCTACAGTGAGCCTTGACAGTGCAACTGCACTCCAGCCCAGGTGATAGAGCAAGACCCTACCTCAAAAACACAACTCACAACATTACACAAAGGCCATCACAACCTTACACAAAAAATACTTCTGCAAAGACATCTGCCCAGGAGTGGCCTGTCCAGCCTCAGACTAGTGTCACCCTTATCACTGATCCTAGTAGCCAAGGATGATAATTCCAAAACAGTTATATACCAAAGCTAAGCTATGAGGAAGCAAACACATAAGAATGATATAATGGGCCGGGCGCAGTGGCTCATGCCTGTAATCCCAGAACTTTGGGAGGCTGAGGCGGGTGGATCACCTAAGGTCAGGAGTTTGAGACCAGTCTGGAGAACATGGTGAAACCCCGTCTCTACCAATAACACAAAAATCAGCCAGGCATGGTAGTCCCAGCTACTCGGGAGGCTGAAGCAGGAGAACCTCTTGAACTGGGAGGTGGAGGTTGCAGTGAGCCAAGACTGCACCATTGCACCCCACTCCAGCCTGAAAGACAAGAGCAAAACTCTATCTCAAAAAAAAAAAAAAAAAAGGGTCTGGGAGCCAAGATGGCCGAATAGGAACAGCTCCAGTCTACAGCTCCCAGCATGAGTGACGCAGAAGACAGTGATTTCTGCATTTCCAACTGAGGTACCGGGTTCATCTCACTGGGGAGTGCCAGACAGTGGGTGCAGGACAGTGGGTGCAGGACAGTGGGTGCAGCGCACTGTGCGTGAGCTGAAGCAGGGCGAGGCATCGCCTCACCTGGGAAGTGCAAGCGGTCAGGGAATTCCCTTTCTTAGTCAAAGAAAGGGGTGACAGGCGGCACCTGGAAAATCGGGTCACTCCCACCCAATACTGTGCTTTTCCAACGGGCTTAACAAACGGCACACCAGGAGATTATATCCCGCACATGGCTCGGAGGGTCCTACGCCCACGGAGCCTCGCTCATTGCTAGCACAGCAGTCTGAGATCAAACTGCAAGGCGGCAGCGAGGCTGGGGGAGAGGCACCCACCATTGCTGAGGCTTGAGTAGGTAAACAAAGCAGCCGGGAAGCTCGAACTGGGTGAGGCCCACCACAGCTCAAGGAGGCCTACCTGCCTCTGTAGGCTCCACCTCTTGGGGCAGGGCACAGACAAACAAAAGGCAGCAGTAACCTCTGCAGACTTAAATGTCCCTGTCTGACAGCTCTGAAGAGAGTAGTGGTTCTTCCAGCACGCAGCTTCAGATCTGAGGATGGGCAAACTGCCTCAAGTGGGTCTGTGACCCCCGAGTAGCCTAACTGAGAGGCACCCCCAGTAGGGGCAGACTGACACTTCACACAGCCGGGTACTCCTCTGAGACAAAACTTCCAGCAGAATGATCAGGCAGCAGCATTTGCGGTTCACCAATATCCGCTGTTCTGCAGCGACTGCTGCTGATACCCAGGCAAACAGGGTCTGGAGTGGACCTCCAGCAAACTCCAACAGACCTGCAGCTGAGGGTCCTGACTGTTAGAAGGAAAACTAACAAACAGAAAGGACATCCACGCCAAAAACCCATCTGTACGTCACCATCATCAAAGACCAAAGGTAGATAAAACCACAAAGATGGGGAAAAAACAGAGCAGAAAAACTGGAAACTCTAAAAATCAGAGTGCCTCTCCTCCTCCAAAGGAATGCAGCTCCTCACCAGCAATGGAACAAAGCTGGACAGAGAATGACTTTGACGAGTTGAGAGAAGAAGGCTTCAGAAGATCAAACTACTCGGAGCTAAAGGAGGAAGTTCGAACCAATGGCAAAGAAGTTAAAAACCTTGAAAAAAAATTAGACGAATGGCTAACTAGAATAACCAATGCAGAGAAGTCCTTAAAGGACCTGATGGAGCCGAAAACCACGGCACAAGAACTACGTGACGAATGCACAAGCCTCAGTAGCCGATGCGATCTACTGGAAGAAAAGGTATCAGTGATGGAAGATGAAATGAATGAAATGAAGTGAGAAGTTTAGAGAAAAAAGAATAAAAAGAAAGGAACAAAGCCTCCAAGAAATATGGGACTATGTGAAAAGACCAAATCTATGTCTGATTGGTGTACCTGAAAGTGACAGGGAGAATGGAACCAAGTTGGAAAACACTCTGCAGGATATTATCCAGGAGAACTTCCCCAATGTAGCAAGGCAGGCCAACATTCAAATTCAGGAAATACAGAGAACGCCACAAAGATACTCCTCAAGAAGAGCAACTCCAATACACATAATTGTCAGATTCACCAAAGTTGAAATGAAGGAAAAAATGTTAAGGGCAGCCAGAGAGAAAGGTCGGGTTACCCACAAAGGGAAGCCCGTCAGACTAACAGCTGATCTCTCAGCAGAAACCGTACAAGCCAGAAGAGAGTGGGGGCCAATATTCAACATTCTTAAAGGAAAGAATTTTCAACCCAGAATTTCATATCCAGCCAAACTAAGCTTCATAAGTGAAGGAGAAATAAAATACTTTACAGACAAGCAAATGCTGAAAGATTTTGTCACCACCAGGCCTGCCCTAAAAGAGCTCCTGAAGGAAGCACTAAACATGGAAAGGAACAACTGGTACCAGCCACTGCAAAAGCATGCCAAATTGTAAAGACCATCGAGGCTAGGAAGAAAGTGCATCAACTAGCGAGCAAAATAACCAGCTAACATCATAATGACAGGATCAAATTCACACATAACAATGTTAACCTTAAATGTAAATGCACTAAATGCTCCGATTAAAAGACACAGACTGGCAAATTGGATAGAGTCAGGACCCATCAGTGTGCTGTATTCAGGAAACCCATCTCACGTGCAGAGACACACACAGGCTCAAAATAAAGGGATGGAGGAAGATCTACCAAGCAAATGGAAAACAAAAAAAGGCAGGGGTTGCAATCCTAGTCTCTGATAAAACAGACTTTAAACGAACAAAGATCAAAAGAGACAAAGAAGGCCATTACATAATGGTAAAGGGATCAATTCAACAAGAAGAGCTAACTATCCTAAATATATATACACCCAATACAGGAGTACCCAGATTCATAAAGCAAGTCCTTAGTGACCTACAAAGAGACTTAGATTCCCACACAATAATAATGGGAGACTTTAACACCCCACTGTCAACACTAGACAGATCAACGAGACAGAAAGTTAACAAGGATATCCAGGAATTGAACTCAGCTCTGCACCAAGCGGACCTAATAGACATCTACAGAATTCTCCACCCCAAATCAACAGACTATACATTCTTTTCAGCACCACACCACACCTACTCCAAAATTGACCACATAGTTGGAAGTAAAGCACTCCTCAGCAAATGTAAAAGAACAGAAGTTATAACAAACTGTCTCTCAGACCACAGTGAATCGAACTAGAACTCAGGATTAAGAAACTCACTCAAAACCACTCAACTACATGGAAACTGAACAACCTGCTCTTGAATGACTACTGGGTACATAACAAAATGAAGGCAGAAATAAAGATGTTCTTTGAAACCAACGAGAACAAGGACACAACATACCAGAATCTCTGGGACACGTTCAAAGCAGTGTGTAGAGGGAAATTTATAGCACTAAATGCCCACAAGAGAAAGCAGGAAAGATCTAAAATTGACACCCTAACATCACAATTAAAAGAACTAGAGAAGCAAGAGCAAACAGATTCAAAAGCTAGCAGAAGGCAAGAAATAACTAAGATCAGAGCAGAACTGAAGGAAATAGAGACACAAAAAACCCTTCAAAAAAAAATCAATGAATCCAGGAGCTGGTTTTTTGAAAAGATCAACAAAATTGATAGACCACTAGCAAGACTAATAAAGAAGAAAACAGGGAAGAATCAAATAGACGCAATAAAAAATGATACAGGGGATATCACCACCGATCCCACAGAAATACAAACTACCATCAGAGAATACTATAAATGCCTCTACGCAAAAAAAAACTAGAAAATCTAGAAGAAATGGATAAATCCCTAGGCACATACACCCTCCCAAGACTAAACTAAGAAGAAGTTGAATCTCTGAATAGACCAATAACAAGCTTTGAAATTGAGGCAATAATTAATAGCTTACCAACCAAAAAAAGTCCAGGACCAGATGGATTCACAGCCGAATTCTACCAGAGGTACAAGGAGGAGCTTGTACCATTCCTTCTGAAACTATTCCAATCAACAGAAAAAGAAGGAATCCTCCCTAACTCATTTTATGAGGCCAGCATCATCCTGATACCAAAGCCTGGCAGAGACACAACAAAAAAAGAGAATTTTAGACCAATATCCTTGATGAACATTGATGCAAAAATCCTCAATAAAATACTGGCTAACCGAATCCAGCAGCACATCAAAAAGCTTATCCAGCATGATCAAGTGGGCTTCATCCCTGGGATGCAAGGCTGGTTCAACGTACGAAAATCAATAAACGTAATCCAGCATATAAACAGAACCAAAGACAAAAACCACATGATTATCTCAACAGATGCAGAAAAGGCCTTTGACAAAATTCAACAACACTTCATGCTAAAAACTCTCAATAAATTAGGTATTGATGGGACATATCTCAAAATAATAAGAGCAATCTATGACAAACCCACAGCCAATATCACAGTGAATGGACAAAAACTGGAAGCATTCCCTTTGAAAACTGGCACAAGACAGGGATGCCCTCTCTCACCACTCCTATTCAACATAGTGTTGGAAGTTCTCGCCAGGGCAATCAGGCAGGAGAAGGAAATAAAGGGCATTCAATTAGGAAAAGAGGAAGTCAAATTGTCCCTGTTTGCAGATGACATGATTGTTTATCTAGAAAACCCCATCGTCTCAGCCCAAAATCTCCTTAAGCTGATAAGCAACTTCAGCAAAGTCTCAGGATACAAAATCAATGTGCAAAAATCACAAGCATTCTTATACACCAATAACAGACAAACAGAGAGCCAAATCACGAGTGAACTCCCATTCACAATTGCTTCAAAGAGAATAAAATACCTAGGAATCCAACTTACAAAGGATGTGAAGGACCTCTTCAAGGAGAACTACAAACCACTGCTCAATGAAATAAAAGAGGATACAAACAAATGGAGGAACATTCCATGCTCATGGATAGGAAGAATCAATATCGTGAAAATGGCCATACTGCCCAAGGTAATTTATAGATTCAATGCCATCCCCATCAAGCCACCAATGACTTTCTTCACAGAATTGGAAAAAACTACTTTAAAGTTCATATGGAACCAAAAAAGAACCCACATTGCCAAGTCAATCCTAACCAAAAAGAACAAAGCTAGAGGCATCACGCTACCTGACTTCAAACTATACTACAAGGCTACAGTAATCAAAACAGCATGGTACTGGTACCAAAACAGAGATATAGACCAATGGAACAGACCAGAGCCCTCAGAAATAATGCCGCATACCTACAACTATCTGATCTTTGACAAACCTGACAAAAACAAGCAATGGGGAAAGGATTCCCTATTTAATAAATGGTGCTGGAACAACTGGCTAGCCATATGTAGAAAGCTGAAACTGGATCCCTTCCTTACACCTTATATAAAAATTAATTCAAGATGGATTAAAGACTTACATATTAGACCTAAACCATAAAAACCCTAGAAGAAAACCTAGGCAATACCACTCAGGACATAGGCATGGGCAAGGACTTCATGTCTAAAACACCAAAACCAATGGCAACAAAAGCCAAAATTGACATATGGGATCTAATTAAACTAAAGAGCTTCTGCACAGCGAAAGAAACTACCATCACAGTGAACGGGCAACCTACAGAATGGGAGAAAATTTTTGCAACCGACTCATCTGACAAAGGGCTAATATCCAGAATCTACAATGAACTCAAACAAATTTACAAGAAAAAAACAAACAATCCCATCAAAAAGTGGGCAAAGGATATGAACAGACACTTCTCAGAAGAAGACATTTATGCAGCCAAAAGACACATGAAAAAATGCTCATCATCACTGGCCATCAGAGAAATGCAAATCAAAACCACAATGAGATACCATCTCACACCAGTTAGAATGGCGATCATTAAAAAGTCAGGAAACAACAGGTGCTGGAGAGGATGTGGAGAAATAGGAACACTTTTACACTGTTGGTGGGACTGTAAACTAGTTCAACCATTGTGGAAGTCAGTGTGGCAATTCCTCAGGGATCTAGAACTAGAAATACCATTTGACCCAGCCATTCCATTACTGGGTATATACCCAAAGGATTATAAATCATGCTGCTATAAAGACACATGCACACGTATGTTTATTGCGGCACTATTCACAATAGCAAAGACTTGGAACCAACCCAAATGTCCAACAATGATAGACTGGATTAAGAAAATGTGGCACATATACACCATAGAATACTATGCAGCCATAAAAAATGATGAGTTCATGTCCCTTGTAGGGACATGGATGAAGCTGGAAACCATCATTCTCAGCAAACTATCACAAGGACAAAAAACCAAACACCACCATGTTCTCACTCATAGGTGGGAAATGAACAACAAGAACACATGGACACAGGAAGGGGAACATCACACACCAGGGACTGTTGTGGGATGCGGGGAGCGGGGAGGGATAGCATTAGGAGATATATCTAATGCTAAATGATGAGTTAATGGGTGCAGCACACCAACATGGCACATGTGTACATATGTAACAAACCTGCACGTTGTGCATATGTACCCTAAAACTTAAAGTATAATAATAACATTAAAAAAGAAAAAAAAAAAGAATGATATAACGGGGTCCGGCATGCTGGCTCATGCCTGTACTCCCAGCACTTTGGGAGGCCAAGGCAGGCAGACCACCTGAGGTCAGGAGTTCAAGACCAGCCTGGCCAACATGGTGAAACCCTGGCTTTACTAATAATACCAAAACAATTTAGCCAAGCATGGTGGTGGGCGCCTGTAATCCCAGCTGGTGGAAGGCTGAGGCAGGAGAATCACTTGAACTCAGGAGGTGGAGGAGGTTGCAGTGAGCCAAGACCACACCATTGCACTCCAGCCTAGGCAACAGAGTGAGACTCCATCTCAAAAAAAAAAAAAAAAAAAAAAAAAAAAGAATGATATAATGGACTCTGGGTACTCAAGGGGAAGAGTAGAAGGGGAGGGGGATGAGGGATAAAAGACTACACACTAGGTACAGTGTACACTGCTTGGGTGATGAGTGTACCAAGATCTCAGAAAACACCACTAAAGGCCAAGTGCAGTGGCTCATGCCTATAATCCCAGCACTTTGGGAGGCTGAGGCAAGTGGATCAATTAAGGTCAGGAGTTCAAGACCAGCCTGGCCAACAGGATGAAACCCCGTCTCTACTAAAAAGATAAAAGTTGGCTGGGTATGGCGGCTCATGCCTGTAATCCCAGCACTTTGGGAGGCCAAGGCGGGTGAATCACCTGAGGTCAGGAGTTCAAGACCAGCCTGGTCAATATAGTGAAACCCCATCTCTACTAAAAATACAAAAATTAGGCGGGTGTGGTGACGCATGCCTGTAATCCCAGCTACTCAGGAGGCTGAGGCAGGAGAATCGCTTGAACCTGGAAGGTGGAGGCTGCAGTGAGGTGAGATCACACCACTGCACTCCAGCCTGGGTGACAGAGCGAGACTCTGTCTCGGGAAAAAAAAAATTAGCTGTGCATGGTGCTACATGCCTGTAATCCCAGCTACTTGGGAGGCTGAGGCATAAGAATCACTTGAACCAGGGAGGTGGAGGTTGCAGTGAGCTGAGATCGCGCCACTGCACTCCAGCCTGGGCGAAAGAGCGAGACTCCATCTCACAGTAAATAAATAACTAAAAATAAAAAGAGAAATAAGTAAAAATAACAACCAAACGACAAAACAGTGCAGTTTATTCAAAGAGACAGAGACTCTTAGAACTGAGAAAAGGGCCCTGTTGGGCTCTAGAGACCCACACCCTGCTCTCGGGGTCACCGTCCCCTACCCAGAGGCTACTGAGACAGTCCAAGCAAAGAACAGGTGGCTCTATGCACCTGGGACACCCGTGCCCAGGCAGCCTGCTTACATGTGGGGAAACTGAGTCTCAGAGGGGCTAAGGTATTGCCGAGGTCCACTTGCCCGGTTTCCAGGGCCCATGCCCCCATGCCCTGCCCTGCTCATCTCCCAATCTCCAAGCAGGGCTTGGCACCCGCAGCTGAACAGGCCTGGTGTACACATGGTTGTCAGGTTCCTTGGAGGCCGAGGGCAGCCAGAGACAGAGGCCAACAATGAGCAGCACCAGGACCACGGCCAGCAGACCCAGCACCACTAACTTCATCTTCATGACTCTACTGCATCCACGGGGCAAGGAGCAGGGTCAGACCCAGCCTCAGACACTCCCTGGCACCTCCCCAACAGAGCACAGTCTAAAGTCGGGCCTCAGAAACACAAGTTCAGTGTCTCCTTCTCGCCTCCCAGAACGTGTGCATGCTGTCCAGTCCTGGGAGTGGGCGCCTCCAAGGAGGAGCAGAGGCAGGGAAGGAGCAGGAGCTGCCAGAGAACCCATAAGCTTACCTAGTCCCAGAGGGGACAAGAGGCCAGCCAGGGGGTGCCCAGCAGCCCTGGGGGACAGTGCAAGGCATCTACACAGGGTGCAGGACAGGCAGGCCTCTCACAGAGGTCCAGCCTAGCAAGGAGGATGGGGAGGCTGACGTCACAGCAGCAAGGAGGCACACAGTGACTCCGCACAGTAACTCAGCCTGTCACCAGGTGACTAAACTTCATGCAGCCCTGGGAGGGCCCCGGGTGGGAGGTGTTGTGAGCCGGGGAATAGGGTTCCCACTTCCCAGGCTCAGTTCCTTCCAAAGGGTGCTGTCTGCCCACGAGCCCCTCCAGTGAGCCCCAGGCTGGGTCTCTCTCTGGCTCTCCCTGTCCCTGTTCAGAACATCTGAACTCACAGCCAGTGTCCCAGAGATGGCTCTGGAGGCGGTGGAGTAGTGGTGCCCCTGGCACTAGACCAGAACCCAGCCTAAGGGGCCTCACCACACGCTGCTGTCAATGCTAAAGGTGTGTTCCGGGAACATGGCCTGGGGCCCTGAGTGCAGACTGGTTCTGCTGCCCATCCAGAAACATTAGCACCCCAGGCCCAAGGAACCACCCGAACAGCCCAGAAAGGCAGGGCCCAGAGAGGGCCTGAGCTGGCCCAAGCTCACACAGCCCAGCAGTGCAGGCTTGGCCACTTGGTAACTGCCCCAAGTTACTGCATGTTTCTGACCAGCCCACCAAGAAGTCTGAGCCAGGAACAGCTGCGGACCCAGCCCAGGGGACTTTGGACAGTGCTGCCCATTCCCCTGTGGCCCTCATCTGCCAAGGATATGGGCCAGAGTCTCCCTGAGTCATGGCTCCCTCCCCTGCTCCTGGGCCTGCTGTGTCTACGGTGCCGGAGAGCCCCTGCAGCCTCCACCTGAGGTCTATTCCGTGCCCATAACACCTACCCCACAATCATCCTTCCAGGCTGCCCCAGCTGACAGAAGGGGACATGAAGGCTGACCCAATATTGCTGCCTGCCTGGGTCACATAGACCTGTCCTGTCATCCACTGCTCTCAAATGGGCTCTGGACAGAACCCACCAGACACACAACTGTGAGATCCTCAATAGCCCTAGGGTGGAGGTGCTATGACCAAGCCCTTACCCTGGCTATTCCTCCCCCTGAAGATCAGGGTGACTGGGAAGATGACAGGGCAGGAACCAAGGCCCCATGACCTGTCCCTGAAGGCTAGACAGCCAACAGGAACATCAGGGGATTTGGCCCTCCTAAGTGGCTGCATTCCATGGCAGTCAGCCATGAGGGGTCTAAAGTGGAGAGCCACAGGGCTCTGTCCCCTGCCCCGGCCTGCTCAGCAGTTTCCTCTCTGCCTGAGAGCATATAAGACAGGCAGGATTCACAGCAGCAGGTGGGCAGGAAGAAAGTCTGAGTGCGCAAAGGATGGCTCAGACCCCCGCAGCTGACCCCAAAAAGAAAACCCTGGGCTGGGGAAAGTAGGGAGACAGAGCTGCCTTTGATGGGGCACAGCCGAAGCCTGGCAGCAGCTGAGGATTCCAGAGAGGGGAGACAGGAGGGGAGGCACTTTATCAAAGGACATGTTAATAGAGGTAGGGCCTACAGAACGAAGGAGGCTTCTCCTCGCATGCTGAGTGTGTCACATTCTGTCCCAGTCAGCCCTCTACCCCCTGAATGCAGAGAGGGCACCTAGGGGGAAGTGGGTCTGGGGAAGCCATGTCACCCAAGGAAAGACTGCAGGGGCTGGCCTAGAAGTCTTCTGCAGACCCCACAGCTCTTGTCCTGGGCACATAAGGTAGTGAGTTCCCTGTCCCCAGAAATGTGCCAGCCTCACTCACCCAGAGACACAGACTCTGGTGTCAGTATCACCCACTTCCAACACACGTGCAAGCACGTGCGCACACACACAACTGAGCCTAATCTAGGCTGAGCAGAGCAGCTTCCCAGGATGCAGCAGAGAGAGGAGTATGAGGAAGAGATAGACATGGCAGCCAGTCTGAAGTTTCCTGGTTAATCCTTCAACCCAGCTTGATGGCTTTGTCACCACAACCCCAGAGCCACAAGGGTGAAACCAGAGCACAGCCCCAACCCCATTCACAGGCAGGAAACTGAAGCTTAGACAAAAGGGATTTACCGAGGTCAGCTGGCCCCAGGAGGTCTGCAGACCTGTAGGTAAGCCCAGGACCCACCCATCCCTTACCCTGCCAGCCCCCAGCCTGGAGTCACTATCCCTGGGTACGAGAACGCACAGATCTCTGTGGCTTCTCCAGGCCTGTCTACATCCCTGGACTGGACGCTTACTACCCAGACCTGGAGTTGGAATCCATCTTCCACGCTGTCTACCCATGCGGTGCAGTGTTGAGAATTAGAAAAAACACCCCTTCAGTAAGATTTAATAACCACTACCTGCTGGAAACCTGTTGAAAGAACTATATATATATCCCCATATATATAGCTGAGAGGTGGCAGGCACCCCCTGGAGTTGGGCAATGACCCCTTGCACAAATGGCCCTGCCCCACCCCAATCCACAGCCACAAACAGAACCCAGGAGTGAGGCAAGCATGGCCCAAGGACACAGGGTCCCCCAACCCCATCACAGCTCTGGCTCTACTCCAGAGCTGACCCCCCGCCCCCATTCAGGGCTGCCAGATCCTCCTGGGTCTGTTTCTTCATGCTGCACTCTCCCCTCCTTTTTTTTTTTTGAGACAGAGTCTCACTCTGTTGCCCAGGCTGGAGTGTAGTGACACGATCTCGGCTCACTGCAACATCTACCTCCCGGGTTCAGGTGATTCTCCCACCTCAGCCTCCCGAGTAGCTCAGATTACAGGCACGCACCACCACGCCCAGCTAATTTTTCTATTTTTAGTAGAGAGGAGGTTTCACCATGTTGGCCAGGATGGTCTCGATCTCTTGACCTCGTGATCCGCCCGCCTTGGCCTCTCAAAGTGCTGGGATTACACGCATGACCACTGCGTCTGGCCCACTCTTCCCTCTCAATTCCAAGAAGCCACGGCTCTCTCAAGGGCTTCTTCGAATAAGTCAGGTGACTCTGCCCCAGCCCTCCCTCACCCACCGGCATACCTCTCTCAAACCCACTTAGCCAAGAAACAGAGGCGCCCCCTAGCCCAGACGCAGTTGGATAGAGAACCCAGGGCTCTCCCCTTCTGTGGGATCCCTCTGCAGGATGTGCCCACGTGAGTTTCCCCCTTCACCCCGAAGTGCAACTCACTCCCACTGCACAGGTGCATAAACCGAGGCTCGGAGAGGAAGAGGAACTCCTCTAGAGCACAGCAAGCATACGGCAGAGCTGAGAATGGAACTCAGGCCTCCAGACACTCCTGGGAGTCCCCTGGCCTGAGCTTCCCCACTTATGATGTCCAGCATCTCAGAGAGAGTGAGTGGCTCCTCCGGGTCACACAGCGCTGGGCCACAGCCAGCTGCCCTCACTCACTGGCTCACCAGACTCTGGATCTGGTCGTCCAGCAGCACACTAAAACCAAGCTAAGATTCCCCGCTGTGACCCAGCTCCTCTCCTCCCCGCCTCCCCAGGCAGCATGGGGGCGGGCAGTGCGGTGCGGGGGAGGCATTAAAGGCACAAGAACTGCTGCAGGTGGGACAATGGCTGGCTGCTGGTCCCATCCCTGGGGCTGTGTGATCTGGGACCGCTGCAGGTCTGAGTCCGGTGGGGTCTCAAACCCTGAATGAGAGACCTGAACTCTGAAAGCCTCGGTGGGGCTGAATGAGGCTGGGTTTCAGTGGGAGGCAGATTAGACCAAAGGTTCCCTGGGAGATGGGGCCACAGAGCTGGGCTGCAGCCAGATGCCCACGCCAGGAGGGGCTGGAGATGTAAGCATCTGAGGCCCCACAAGGTCTGAGGAGCCTAGATCACCTCTACAACCCCAGGGCAGGGGATGCCTCTCCTAACAGGCCCTCTCCCCAGCTTGCAGGGCTACAGGTGGGGCTCTAGGAGCTGTCACTCCAAGGACCCTGGTCACCTGGACTGAAGGGAGTCACATGATCCAGGAGGGTCCTTCCTCAACCCCCAATTTCAAGGGTCTGAGCAGACAGGCTGACAGAGGACCCCAGACAGTGGGAGCAGGGGGATGAGGCCCATCCATCCATCACGCCCTCACCTGCTCTGCCCCATTCAATGAGATGGGGTGGGTGCCCCCACAGCACTGGCAGGCCCAAGCCTCTCAGCCCTCAGATCGAGGTCCACACATGGTCTGCAGCCTGCCAGTATTGTCACTCTTAGCAAGGTGCATACTTACCTTCCTTCTTTCATTCCATCATTCATTCTCTCATCAAATCCTGGCCCCTCCAGATTCTTCTCTCAAGGAGCCCTGACCTGGCTGGGCATGAGACAGTATGGTCACCCCAGGGGGAAGAGCCCTACGGAAGGGGCAGACACCAGAATAGGGCCCTTGGGAATCCAGCCGGAGGTGGGATTGGATTTGGGGAGGACCTGACAGGCAGAAGGAACCACCTGAGCCTGAAGGCCAGGAAATGGAGCCTTTTCCAGGAAGTGAGGGCTGCAGGGGACCTCTTGACCACCCTAGGCCCGTCCTGAGCCCCGAGGTGTCAAAGCTGGAAAAGGAGGTGGCCGAGCTAAGACCTTCAAGGCCAGGCCAGTCTGGACTTTGAGAGCCCTGGGAGGCTGGTCAATGTGTCACCGGGCCCAGTAAACCATTAACCCTGGCTCACTCATTAAGACCCTGGTGGGTGTCCATTAGCTCCTTGGCCGGTTTCAGGAGCCGGGCAGAGGGTAGGGGTCATGGGAAGAAGGGAGTGCTGATTGGGGTGCTAGGTAGAGGCTGGCTGAGCTGGCTCTCTGTGTCCTTATTCCTTGAGGAGCGTTCCAGGGCCAAGCTGGCCTCCAGCCAGGGGCAGCTGCAAACACAGCCCGGCGGGGGTGCCGCCCCACCATCCTAGTGACTTTCATCTTCTTATCACTCCTGTGTACTGGCACCAGCAGCCCACAGTGCCTCGGGGGCCTCAGCCTGACAGGAGGCTCAAGGGGCCAGTCCAGTGCCTGGCTCAGCACCCAGCCACACTGCCCCTCTGAGAAATGGGCCCAATGTGGCCTCCAAAGCCTTGTCTGTTTCAACGGGCTGGGATCTGCCCCACCTCTGTATCTGGGAAAACAAGGCCCTGGTGGGGCAAGAAGGGAGCTCCTGGCATAGGAACCTGCAGGCTGAGAGGGGAAGGGACCTGCCCAAAGCCACTCGGCAAGACAGTGACCCATGACACCAGGAAGGCTGTGCAAACCACTTCCTGCAACTGGCGTCTCATTGCAGCCCCACCCCACTGTCAGGTCCAGGAAGCTGACCACAGGAATCACCCGGAAATCCTCGTGCCCTGAGTGGGCCATGGGGGCATGACATCCTGAACTGCAGTCATGAGGCTCACAATGAGCGAGCAATGCGGATGGGTCCAGATGCAAGCTGTGCCTGGCCCATACTCCAGAACCGCTGGAACAACATCTCAGGGACCCCTGGGAGCCAGAAACCCAATATTATCTAGGACATTTTGTGTCTCCTGGTGTCCTGCACCAAGGAGACACTTGGTAAACTGGCTAAATAGAACTGACTTCAAATCCAAGCATCATAGCATTGGAGTCAATATTAGGATCACGGAATCTCAAGTGTTTGCCCTCTGATCTTCCAGCATCCCAGAAAGGTCAGCTTACATACCTTCCCCAATGGGGAGCTCACTACCTCCAAAGATAGTGGGACTGTGTTTGGTTGGCGAGTTCTTCCCAACATTAAGTGCCAATTTGCCTCTTTGTAACACCTGCTGCAGGTGGGCCTGGCCTCAGATCCTGCCCACTGTCAAAGGCCACAGAGCAGAGAAACAGGGGCCACCCCAGATCCTGTACCTGGCCACAAATTCTCTGAGCCACAAAGACCACACTGAAGGAATGGGAGGAAGACTTCAGCTCAATGGAAGGGCTGGTGCCACTCAGCTTGACGGAGGGAGGTCAGCACAGGCCAACTGTGGGCATGGGCAGAGCTCCTGTGCCCCCAGAGCCTGGCCAACACCCCCAGTGCCATTTGTAGCATTTGTTATTCCAGCACCCACCTGTGATGTGAGGACACAGACTGAAGCATGGCCAAGTGCGTGGGCCCTTCAGAATTGTCAGCTTGTGAATGCCTGGGAGCACCCAGCAGCAGGGCTGGCCTGGCACTTGATGGAACAAGTCCAACTCCCAAACTCAGAGGCAGGATGGCAGAGGCATGGGCCCTAGAGTCCCTGGGTTCAAACTCAACCCCAGCCACTGATAGTGTGGGTATCACAGCAGCCTTTCCCTTCCTGGCCTCAGTCTCCTACCTAGAGAGCAGGGATAACTAGAACAGTTACTAGGTGGATTCCCTGAGACGGCCACGCACAGACTGTAGGGAGCATCTGCTACTTTCAAGACCTCACAGGGTCTCGCCAGGCTCTGACACCAGGCCTGTAGGAGCTTCTCACCTTTCCTGATGAGCAGCTCAGAGCAGGGGCCCAAAGGGTACCCCTCCTGGCCGCCCTGTCCTCCCTGACCAGGCACCCTCCACAGGTAGTATTTATCACATCACCTGGTAATTATCTGCAGTGTCTGAAAGCTCCAAGGAGGGGTTGGGGGTGCAGGAAGACTGTCCATGCCTCAGCCCCGACACTATCCCACGTCCTGGTCTCCAGGAAAGCCAACCCGAACCCGCTCATGTCTCAAGGCCTCCCTGGTGACATGCCCAAGCACACCTGTTCACACACAGCCCCGTGACTTCACTGATGCCAAAACTGCGCAGCACTTTCCACGCACGCCATGCTCTCATCTGGACTTTTGGGGACCTCCCCCTGCCTCATAGCAGCACCTTCCCGACCTCCCTTGCTTCTTGGATACTGGGCTCAGGAATGTTCTCACTGACGAGTCTGCGCCCTGCTGGCTTATGTTTCAGACACACCAGATGGACGTGCCCAAGCCTGAGCTAAGCAGCTGCCTCCCCAGACCTCCTACCACCAGGGCAGCCAGAGTCTAGCCCTGGGCAGCTGCCCCTGCATCCTCACTGGGCCTGTCCAGCTGCTCCCACCTCTATACCCCACTCCCAGCCTCACCTGATCCCCAGTCCCCACAGGCCACCCCTCTCACCTGGAGACTCCCAATCACAGGTCCCAGCCCCTCTGCTGTTTCCCTACTGCAGCCCTGGCAATCGGCATGCAAATCTGAGCACACCCCTCCCCCACTGGAAAAAAAACACTCCAGAGGTCCCCCTTGTCCTACCTTGCTGGCACCCGTCCTTTCCTCCTTTTTTTTTTTGGAGTGGGGCAGCTGGATATGAACCGTCCTTTCCCCTTGCTCCTTCCCGGTCTTTGGGACTTTGCACTGACTCCATTATCATGGAGACACTCTTCAGACACCAATCACAATGCCACCTCCTCCTGAAGCCCTCCGGCACTGCATCTCACTCTGCAGGCCGGCTGCGACTGCTGCCCCCTCCACAGTATCCACAGTGCACAACAATCTTCACTGAATGGATGGATGCCAGCTGTCAGGTGGCTAGCTGTTTTTACTAAAATGCATCTTCTAGGACTTTACACTGAATCTACCTAGCCACCTGACAGCTGGCATCTCTAATCTTGTAATCCCAGCACTAAGGGAGGACGAGGTGGGTGGATCACTTGAGACCAGGAGTTTAAGACCAGCCTGGGCAACATAGTAAGACCCTGTCTTTAATTTTTTAATTATATATATTTTTTTACAAGACCAAAGAGGACAAGGTTTGGGGAGCTTCATGTGGAGGCCGACAGGAAGGTGAATAAGAACTCATCCAAGGCCAGGCGCAGTGGCTCATGCCTATAATCCCAGCACTTCCAGAGGGCGAGGTGGGTGAATGGCTTGAACCCAGGAGTTCACCACCGGCCTGGGCAATATAGAGAGACCCCATCTCTACAAAAAAAAAAAAAAAAATTAGCTGGGTATGGTGGCATATGCCTGTGGTCCCAGCTACTTGGGAGGCTGAGGGGGACGATCACTTGAGCATGGGAGGCAGAGGCTGCAGTGAGCTGAGATAGTGCCACTGTACTCCAGCCTGGGCAACAACAAAAAAACCCAACTCATCCATGTGTCCAACTCCATTAGGACAGAAACTTCTGTACTTGGGAGTCTTCCAGTCTTTGCCTTATATTATCTCTTCATCTGACTGTTTATTTGTAGCCTTTATTTATTTTATCTTTTTTTTTGTGATCCGCCCGCCTCGGCTTCCCAAAGTGCTGGGATTACAGGCGTGAGCCACCATATACCACGTTCTCACTTCAAGTGGGAGCCAAGCACTGGGTACACATGGACATCAAGATGGAACAATAGACACTGGGGACAACCGCAGGGGCTGAGAGGGAGAGGGGCAAGCGCTGAAAACCTACATATTGGGTCCTATCTGGGTGCTGGGGATCATTCATACCCCAAACCTTAGCACTGCACAATATACCCACATAACAAACCTGCACATGTACCCCTTGAATCTAAAGTGAAAGTTTTTTTTAAATCTCATGGGATTCTTTGGAGGAATTAAAAGAGGTTGAGTCCATCCATGCCCCATTCAAAATCCAGGAGTGGCTTACAAATGCTCTGGTTTTAGAGCTTCAATATGAGTTTTGTGATACAACACAAACAGGCAGAAGGGAACTGTATTCAATATACTTGAAACGAACCATTGCATATAAAATAAAACGATACCATTTGTGGCCAGGCACGGTGGCTCACATCTGTAATCTCAGCAGCACTTTGGGAGGCTGAGGAGTCCGGCGGATCATTTGAGGTCGGGAGTTTACATTCCCACCAACAGTGTTTGAGGGCTCCCCTTTCCCCACGTCCTCACCAGTGTTCATTATTGCCTGTCTTTTTGACAAAGGCCTATTTTAACTGGGGTGAGATCTCATTGTGGTTTTGATTTGTGTTTCTCTGATGATTAGTGACACTGACACACCACTGTGCCCTCGGCTGGCCTTAGTTCACTTATACATCTAACATTCACACGACTAAAATAGTCCCCATGAAGCCAATAGTGCCATTGGTATCACGTAGAAGGATACAAGACACGAAACACCGTGTGCCAGCAGATGTATCCTGCCTGTGTCTTTAGCAGGAATCCTCACGGCTGTCCACACTTCAGGCCAGGAGCTATTCTCTGGATCCTGCTCCCCAAGTGACACCTCACGTGCAAAGCAGCAAGGTCACATGGGTGGGCACAGGGCTACCAAGCTTAGAAGCCTGTGTCCCAAAAAGACACTGAGATTTCTTTTAACAGTCCCATGGTCAAAGTTTTCAAGGGTCCCAGCAACGGACATGCCTAGTTACAAACACCACTGCGCTCAGGGAAACCCAAAGTATGGTTTACCTCTTGATTTTTTCTCCAAAGCCAGCCACGAAAAAGTTGACCACAGACTTCAAAACATTTCTAACAATAGCAAAGTCCAATTGATGGCAGACTTCAAAAATTGCAAATACTCTTCTCTAACTCGAGATGCCCCCATTGTTTTACAATTCATTCACAGCTCTCCCAATTCAGATAATGATGACCAACTCTGGGCCATTTTTATTTGTAGTCTGGTAACCCAACACAGATGACATTCCACCTTTTCCAGGTTTCCAAGGGAACTGACTCAGAAAGTTAACCCAAGTTCATATTCATTTCTAGAGAAAGATAAAAAAAGTTTTCTAACTTTATTCATGCATACGCAATACAAGGATCCGTGGAATTTCTGAGAGACCTTCAACCTCACTGCCAAATTTTCAAGAGCTGTGACAAACCTTAATGTCAAAGAAAGACTGCTTTCATAGCAGCAGAACTGCCATCACATCTCTCAGCTGGATCTGCCACGGGCTTTTTTTTATGACGTATCAACTGCTTCCCCATGTCTCTGAGTTGTTGAAAGTATCACAGCGGCAAACACATTTTTCTTTCTCACTTTTTTTTTTGCTGTTGAGATGGAGTCTCAATCGGATTATCCCCCAGGCTGAAGAGCAGTGGCGCAATCTTGGCCCACTGCAACCTCCGCCTCCTGAGTTCAAGCGATTCTCCTGCATCAGCCTCCAGAGTAGCTGGGACTAGAGGCACATGCCAGCACGCCTGGCTAATTTTTGTATTTTTAGTAGAGACAGGGTTTCACCATGTTGGCCAGGCTGGTCTCAAACTCCTGACCTCAGGTGATCCACCCGCCTTGGCCTCCCAAAGTGCTGTGATCACAGGCGTGAGCCACCATGCCCAGCAGGCAAACACATTTCTAGTTCATGCATACATATGCCAGGTGGGATGAACCTGCCCCGGGGCCCCTGATGGTGCTCATGGGTAGAGCAGGGTGATCCCCAGGTCCCACGATGGCATGGGACCTGATGCTGGCATCAGGTGGTCTGGCCTGTTGTTAGGCCCCCTGCTGGTGCAAGCACATGCCAGAAGTGGAAGGCAGGGCAGGTCTATACCCAGGTCCCTGGGTGAAGTACTTGGGTACTTGTGGGGTGGGGGTTCTCTGGGAGGGGTCAGCCTGTCCTTAGGCCCTGTGGGAGCCTGCATGGACACAGGTTGTGGTTGGTGGGCTGGGGTGATCCCCAGGCCCCTGAATGTCATCCTTGGGGACCAGGGGCAGGTGGGCTGGGTCTGTTGGCAGTCCTCCCTATGGTATGTGTCTGTGCCCATGGCAAGAGGTGGGCAGAGCAATTTCCAGGCTCCCAGGTGGCTTGCTTGGGTGGCAGTGGTGGTGACTGGTTGTGAGTGGGTTGAGTCTGCATTCAACAGTCAACTCAGAAACCCCAGACACCATTTTCCATGCCAACTGGCCTGTCCACCACTCAGAAAGGCCCTGGACACTGTGCCATGTGGCTGGCCCCGCATTGGGCCAGGCTTCCATGGGAGGCAGGAGGTCTGGGCCCTGCCCTGGGGAGGGAGAAGAATGGGACACAGGCAGTGGTCATTGAGCGGAAGAGACAGAATGAGCACAGGATGCTGTGAGGCGGTAAGTATAAGGAATCATGGAGCTGAAGGTGTTCATCTGACATATACCAGAAACTAACATAAGGTAGGAAAATACACAAAACCAACTAATCCAACAAAACTTGGGCAAAGAACTGATAGACATTTCTGAAAAGAAGGCAGGAAATGAACAGGTAAAAAAAAAAAGCTTGCCCACATCACTAATCATCACAAAAATTTAAATCAAATCACACTAAGACAGCGTCCCCATCCACATAAAATGAATGTTGCCAAAAGCAAAAACAGAATTTTTAAAACGCAATCACAAGTGTAAATTTACAGAGAGGGAAACTCTTAGACACTACTGGTGGGAATGTAAATGGGCGTACACACTATGAGCAATAGTTGGCAGTTCCTCCTCAAACTAAAAATACAATTACTATGTCATCTAGCAATCTCATCACTGGGAAATACAAAGTACATGGATGTATTATGCTCCCTGATTACAAATGACATAGAAGAGCTATAGTGGTCCAAACAATACGGTATTGACATTAACACAAAAATACAGAACAAGACACAACGAGGGAACCAAATACCAAACCCAAATTCATATATGATGGACACATTTTTAACAAATATACCCAGGGGATGGGAGACCCCGGGCTGCCTTCGGTTGGGGCTGCAGAAGTGTCCTGGGGGGACCTGCAGCCACCTCTCACCTGGGCTCTGGATGGTTTCTACTCCATGAGGATTTCCAGAGTTTCCCCTCAGCCACCCTCAGAGTCAGGGGGGCTTCCATGGGGCTGCAACCATCTGTCCCAGTCTTTCCTGTCTCTATGACACACCGTGTGACCTGTGTACACTGCGAGATGTAGGTGCGTGCATTGAAACCGTACAGTTAAGATGACCTACAACTGATGCTACTCTAAGTCTTCCAGAGATTTTTCAGATATCCCCAGAGTAAACCAAACTAGTGATATCCCATGGTTTTGCAAACCAGAACCAACAACTGCACAGAAACAGCTCCTTATGCGCCATCAGACACTCTCCAGACCTGCCCCTCACTCACAAATGTAACAAAGCAGCATGAACCCAGGCAGTCTTCACTCCTCAGGGCCACATAACAACCTCTATCGGTCAGGAAGCCTTTGATCTGGGCCAGGCTGCCGACCCACAGGGGTTAATTGTGCCTCTCATGCTGAGTGTTGTTTCTCCTCACTGGACTAACCCCCACCCTTCCACCAAGAAGGGCCCCCAGGGAAACTGCTGTTTGACATCCAGGAGCCCATGTGGAATGTTCCAGCAACCTGGATGGCCTTGGCCACCTCTAATACCAGCCTTTCCCTCTGTGGGGCTCCCTTCCTGGCTCTTGCTCATGCAAGTCAATCTAAAGTGGCTGAGATGTCCTGCTCCCTCACCCTCCTGGGTCACCCTGATGGCATAGGCAGGTGTCTGCATTCAAGAACGAGTTACCCACAGGCCAACTTCCCTGGTGTGGGGGACAATGCCTGGGGCCTCCAAACAGCCAGCCCCAGGTAAACAATCCAGCTCTGACACAGCTCAAAGACTGTGTGGCGTACCTGGAGAGACTCTCTGGTCCTGTGCCCTCTTCTGGCTCACTGGATTCTTAGGATTATTGAGAGACTGGGCTTAAAGCTCTCAGCCTAGGGCCCACAATGCCACAGGGAATCAAATCAGCATGACCAGGGATCGAAGACCTCTCCTTGGCTGGGAATGGGGAATCAGGGTTGCAGAGACAAGGGGCACAGAGAGATGCCTGTGCCATCAGAGAAGGGACTGGGGATCTGGTCCACTCTGGGCTCCTCAACCTGAGCGTGAGGCCTTGCTGTGCCATGAGCTCACCTGCCCCTTGGGAGTCCACTGTGACTGCAGTCCAGTGGGGTCAATGTCCACACTGATGCCGGAAAGAAGTCCTGGGAGATGCGGAGGGCATCCTGTAGCGGCAGGCAGTCTGGGTGGTCCACGGGTGTGAGCTTCAGCAGGTCCTGGGAAGGGATGAGGTGGTGAATTGGGGGCCGTGTTTTTGGGGTTCGATGAGAAGCTCCTGGGGGAATGCTCAGTCCTCACCAAAAGAATTCAAAGGGCAGGTACTCAGGGACCCACACTCGTGCCTGCAAAATCTGAACTGAAAATTAGAATCGGAGCAGCAGGGTTGATTCTAAAAGGGGCTGGGCTCGCTTTTCTCCCTGCTGCAGTCATTACTCGTTTCCCCTGGCAGAGGCAGCCGGGTGGAGGCTCATCTCTTCAAGCAGCTGGGAGAGACACCCCACTACCCACCCTGCAGCTGCTCCAAGGATACTGGAGACAAAAAGACAGGGGCTGGGGAAGCAAGATGTTCCTGCCTCGACCAAGACAGCAATTGGCCAAATGCCCTGACCCTGCTGGCATGGTTACCGCAGGCCAGGCAGGCATATTCAGGGCTCAGGATCCCTCTGCCTGACTTTTCAAATGGGCTGTTCTCAGTGACTCTGGCCCCCTCCCACCCTGGGCTCACTCTTGAGAAACTCCTAAGCCTTCTCTGGCCCTTCAGGGGCCTTAACGCTTATGTGTAGGACCAGGATGCTCTGAGTGACCTACTTGGTCAATGGGCTGCTACAGCAGAGCTGTTGGGGAAGGCAGAGAGAAAAAGGACAATGACAGACAAAGAACCACTCAACACCTCAGAGACCAGCTTTGTCCCCCACCCAACCGCCTTGCTCCCCACATGAACACCTGCTTGCAGGAAGCCAAAGTGGGTCCACAGCAGCCCACCTCTGTTCTCACTCCCAGGGCAGACAAAGCAGCAAGAACAGGTGACACACAGCCCCGGTGACCCTGTCCCCTCCCTACCCGTGCCTACTCTCCCATCAAACCTGGCTTCGAGGGCTGCCCGCCAGTCCTGTCCAGGCCTTATCTGGCTCAGAGCAGATGATCCCCTGCACCTCCCACCCTGAATCACACAGCTACACCCAGCACATGCTACAGAGGCCCAGCACACTCTGGATCACATCCAGAAACTCCACAATAGGGGAGGAGACATGCTGTTTCCCAGGAAGGGCAGCTCCCCAGACTTGGTCATTCTCAGACTCCTCCAGTCAAAGGCCGGGCACAGCCAGCTGGGATCGCCATGCTTCACTCTGACCCACACGACTGGCCTTGCCTCCTCTATGGGAAGAGACCCCTCAGCACAACCTCAAACCGAGACATAACAGGACAGGACAGGCTGGATGCTAGAGAGGCCAGCCAGATCTCCACACAAAGGCTCTGCTCTTAAGCAGGAGGTAGCCTGAGGGTCAAAGGTTTCCTGAAGCAACTCAGGTGAGACCTCACATACAAGAGCCCCAAAGAGGCTGCAAAAGCACCAGCTCAGCCAGCCAAGAACCCAGGTGTCACACCCTTCTCAGACCACTGAGGATCGCTGGGATTCAGCAGGAAAAGGTGGACATGACAGCTGATGGACCAATACTTCCCAACACCCTTCCAGCAAGCAGCTGTGCCCCGCCCCTCCCCACATGAGTCACTCAACTTCAGTCCTGCACATGGATGCCTTTGACCATGGGGTCATGGCTTTGGTCTCCTGCCATAGGGGCAGTGAGAGGAACAATGGTGGTCTGGGAAGGAGGATCCTAGACTGGGTGTCCCACAAGACCAGGCTGTGACAGATCCCAGAGCCAATACTCATGCGCCAGCCAGTCCCCAAACCCAACAGCTACCCAAAGCCCAGGATATAAATAGCCTGTGCACTGCTAAGCAGATACTTCAGGGAATGATCTGCTGGCTGTGAAGAAGATGCGGCCTCAGTAGGGTTCCACGAGCCTTCTGCCAGCAAAATCTTCTTTGCTTGGATGCCCATTAGAAACACTAAGGGAGCTCTTCAAAGGAACAGGCCAGACATGGTGGCTCACATCTGTCAACTCAGCATTGTGGGAGGCTGAGGCAGGAGGACAGCTTGAGGCTAGGACTTTTAAGACCAGCCTGGGTGGAACAGTGAGACCCCACCTCTACAAAAAACACAAAAATTAGCATGGCATGGTGGTGCATGCCCATAGTCCCAGCTACTTGAGAGGCAGAGAAGGGAGGATTCCTTGAGCCTGGGAGATCAAGGGTGCAGTGCCCATGATCATGCCACTGCACTATGGCCTGGGCAACACTGCAAAGTCCCGCTTTCAAAAAAGAAACAAACAAAACAAAACAAAACCAAAGATGCCTGTCTCCTGCCCCATCAAATAAATCCAAATCTCTGCAGGGTGACACAGGGTATTAACATTCTTAAATTTTGCCTTTGCTGAAGTAAACATATAGTAATGGCTGAAAACCACTGCGTTATGTAAATACACTTCCTATGACTTATTTGTAGTCCTTTTGTATCTAGCAATTTCTACAGACCCTCTCTGTGGGCTTCGGAAGCCAGAATGGGCAGGGCCAGGTGTGAGGTGTCCTAGGACACTGAGGGTAGAGCACAGCTCCCAGCTCAGGGGGACCCATTTCTGAGGCTAAGGCACCCACCTGGGGCTCAGCCTATCTTCAGAGGGAAAATCACACCTCAGAACACCAGACACCCAAAAGAAAGCTCCAGTTCGGCAGATACCTGCCAATAGACCCTGGAGTGGCTGCCCCAGGGAAAACTGCCATTGCACTGTCAGCTCCCTCCAGCCCTCTCTCAGGTCCCAGCAGGAGCAGATTTCTGACTAAGCTCAGAGGTCTCAACAAATGGCAGGTTGAACATCAGAGGAGTTATTAATAGGCCTATAGTTACCTCAAGACTCCACCTTACCAGGGCCAAAAATGAGTCCTGGGAGGGCAGCCAGAAAGAAAGTAGGGCAGAGAGGAAACACAGGGAGAGGGGCCCTGGGACCACGTCAGATATGGAGGGAACCAGGGGAACGAGAGCAGCCCTGATGATTGTACTCCCCACAGCCCCTGCATGCCTGTGAACCCTGAGAATTCAGGGTGAGGAGCTCACTCTTGCCTTTCACCTGTTCCTGGGCTCTGGCAGGCTGGCCTGCTTCCTGCCCCAGCCTCACCCACTCTCCGCACTCCTCGCCACTGATGTGGGCAGCTGATCTCTCCGGTTTGCTGGGCTCTCACCCTCTGCCCAATGGCACCAAGTTAACTTCTTCGCATGCTTTATTTTCTGTGATTAAAAAGGGAAACAATTCTCACTAACGCCATTTCTCAGAGGAGAAAACAGGCACAGGGATGTTCTATGACTTCCTCACGATCACCAAGCTACAAGGGGGAGCTGGGCTTTGAATGGAGGTCTACCCATGCTCCTAAAGTTGAGGCGTCCTCCAAGGAAAGGACAGCACCTATAAAAGCTCAATGAATGGGGCGGCAGTGTCACCACTAAGCCCGACCACGCTGCTACTCTGATATCCAACTTCCAGCCTCCAGAACAGGGAGAAATACAGTTCTGTTTTTGATGAGCTCCCCAGGCCGTTACAGCTCTTTCTTTGCTGTAACAGCCTGAACTAGCCCAGAAGTGCTATTCCATCATCTGTGTCATATTCCATCATTCAGAAGGGAGTCACTAACCCCTCAGTGCTGTCTCTGTGGACGCTGCCCACCCTAGGCTGAGATGAGGCACAGGGTCTGGGTCTAAATAAAATGGGAAGGCACTGGAAGGTGCAATGTCATAGGAGGAGGATGTCTGAATTTCATTTAATCTCAACCTCTACTGGTGCAGCATGAAAGATGAGGCCCAGAGCAAAAGTGTCTTTTCCCGAGATCACACTGTGGACCCCAGGCCCACTGGAGTTGCATTAGACGTTACCTCTCACCCCTTCTTGTATTTGTTCCATTTCTAAGTGTGTGCAATATCCACAGGGAACACCACACCATGAGTTTTTAAATATTTATCTCAAACATAACCTCATGAGTTCCCTAGGAAAGAGATGCTAGCATAACCCCCATTGTGCATGCTGGGGAGACCCCAAAACACCAAAGGAGTTCTCTAGGGTCTCACAACTGCTAAAATAAAGGCTGTTTGACCCAGCACTGTCTCCTCAAACCTGGGACCCTGGTTATATCCAGGTCTTCCCAAGGTGCTGAAGGGGCACACTTTTTCATAATGGTGACTACGTAAGGAGTTGACGGGGGAGGGTGAGCGGTCAGAAGCCCAGAGGGGCCTTTGAGTAGGACTTATGGAAAGGAGGAGCTTACAGGATGGAACCTACAAGATGTGACCTCACTTCCTTGCCGACAGACCCCCAACAGAACTTACAATTCTGGTAACTAGGCACCCACATTCTAGAGACAGCCCCATTTCCAGCTCACTTCGTAGGCGATGCTCGAGAGAACAACATGTTCTCCTGCTGTATCCCGACATGCTGCCGACCTCCTCGTCGCACAAGAGGCCAAAATGAGAGTCTTTCCCGAGAATATAGACATTGGTTCAACCCTCACCCTCGACGCCTCTGGCCCTTTGCCAGAAGGCACCCACAGGTAACACAGGGCCCAGGGCAGGCCCATCCAGGCTAGGCCTCAGCTGTGCCCATCAGGGCAGCCTCAGGCCCCTCCCCACTTGTTTGGGGGAAACAGGAGATGAGGGGCCCTCCCTGGATAGGAGCAGGTAGGTTGTCAGGTGTTTGGAGCCTGGTAGGTATGTCAGGTTCACAGCCCAGGCAGTGCCTGGCAGGATGGGAAGGTGAGTGTCAAGGACACAGTTTGTCTGCTCAGATCTGAATCCCAAGTCCTCAAGCTGTCATCTGCCGGAGACCTCAGGCTTCTCTGGCTGGAGGTCTATGCAGATGCTCCTATGTGCCAAATCCTGTTGGGGAAGGGGGTGCCAGGGATGAGTTCTAATGGGGGTGTCCCACTGTGGGGTCAGCCAGACAGGCCACTGACACCTCTTGGCCCGGCTCTCGGGCACTCTCTTTGCAGAGCTCCACACAACAGACCAAACAAGAGCTGTTGGATGGATTCAATTTCTCCATATTCTTCAAAGGGCACGTGCACCACACCACCAACCACGTCCAGTGCCGGTCTGCGGTGAGATTGGGCACAGAAGGGTCTCCACAGACAGGACTTGTGAAAACCAAGGTGGGCCCAGGACTCAGACACGAATATGGGGACTCCCTAAGCTCCATCCTAGGGCGTTCCCACTTGAGTGACCCACTGTCCTCTCCCAAAGGAATCTGGCTGCCATTAGTCCCCAGTGGCAACTTGGTTACAGGCAAAGTCCCTTTCACCTATCAGAGGAAGACCAGAGAAAATCCTTCTGTTTTCACTTTAGGCTATGCCAGGAGTATCTCGGCATGTTGCTTTAAGAATTGAGTACAATGGTAACATTGCAGCAAAATACTCACACTGTTATCATTTTAACTCCCCACCCTAAGTGGATCTCCGGCAACAGGCAGGCAGCTCCGCTGCCCTGCCAGACCTCCTCCAGGACTTAAAATCCAACACTTTTGCACAAACAAGGGGTGGGGGTGGGGGGGGTGCATTGATTACAACAAAAGAAGGTGAAGCGACTCTATGCATTAGTCTTTAAAGTGTCATCTCACAGAACTCATCCCTGCAGCCCCATCAGGCAGGAGTTGTACCCTCGCATGTCATTGTAACATTCCTTAAGGGAGGCCATTTTCCACAGCGGGTCAGCCTCTCAGTGCTGGTGGAGCCTGTCATGATAAAATTCCCTTTCGAGGCAGCCTTTCTACAAGGAGCATAATCCTATGCGTGTCCTAATAGGCTGGAGCAGTTTGCCAGGGCTGCCATAACACGGCACCCTGACTGAAGGGCTTAACCACAGAAATCTGGTTCCTCACAATTCTGGAGACTGGAAGTCCAACGTCAAACTGTCAGCCTGGGGTGGTTTCTCTGGGCCTCTCTCCTTGCCTTGGAGATGGCGGACTTCTATCTCAGTCAGCACAGGGTCTTCTCTTGAACTTCTCTGTGCGCTGACCCCCTCTCCTTGTAAGAACCCCAGGCATGTTAAATTAGGGGCCACCCTAATGAACTCACTTCACCTGAATTACCTCTTGGAGTACTCTGTGTCCAGACACAGTCACATTCTGAGTCTCTGGGGTTGAGAATAGAAACAGTTACATTTGGGGAAGGGGACACAATTCAACCCATAAAATAAACAAATCCCCTGCAGCAGACAGACACCCAGGAAAGGGATATCTGGGTGAAAGGATATGCAGATATCAACTTTCAACAGCTCTAGCTAGTTGACTTTCCAAAAGGGCTCCAGCTGGTCACACGGTCACCAGCAGCCTCTGAAGGTAGCTGCTTCTCTGAACGCAGCCTCCCCTGAATACTAACACGCTTTTAACTTTTCGCCAACCTGCTGTCTGTGTGGCAGAGAAAATCCTTGTTTCATTTCCACTTTCAAACATACATTTGCGTAACCTTTCACGGGTTCAATACCTGCCTGCGTTTTCCCCAAGTCGCCTCGCAGATCCTGGGCCTTGGGACGCGCTTCCTCCCACCCTGGAGTCTTCCGGCATTTTCCCCTTGGCCAGGGCTGGGATGGCCGTAGCTGTTTCTCCAGACTCACGTTCATGTTAAAGGAACAAAAACAATCATATACCTTTAAGTCAAAGAGTTCTTCTAGAGCGTATTGTCCTGTGTGCTGTTGCTGAAATGAGGAGGGGATGAGGCCTCCCCAGGCCTTGAGGACTTGCAGGGATGATGCTCTTCATGCAGGTTGCTGACACAGAGGGTGCTGTTGCCCCACAGCTGACAAACACCGGGACGATGCCTTGAAGGCAGGAATCGTTTTATCATTCTCCATCCTCACATGCAATGTTACTTTGAAAGCCTAGAACGCTTTTCACCATGGGCACCCAGGTTCTCCATATGCACAAGTCCCTGAAGGGTTGGTGCTTCTTGGTGTGAGTTCCAGATCCCGATCCTCTGGTGGTCCATGGTGTTACCACTGACTCCCATGTCCCTCCTTGTCCCCCTAGTATGAAAATGAGATCTGCAGGATGCTAACTTTCCAGCCCGGCACTGGGGAGAAGCTGTTGGGAGTCCCTGGTTCCAGCCTTTCTAACTAAACCCATCTCCTCCTATGCCACCTGCCTGGGCCCCTCCTGGGACTTTATCACTGTGCCACACTTTTTGGAACTACTGGTTAGAAGGTGAGTGTCCATCCCCCTCCAAGACACAGAGGTGCCTCTGTCCCCTACTGGCTCTGTCTTGAAGATGCACCTCTCGGAGCCTCGGTTGGCTCCTCTGGAACAGGGAGTAGTGAGAAGACGAACCTCACAGGGTTCTTGTAGGGACTCAATGATCTAAGACACAGCAAACAAAGGGGTCCCTAGAGCCTAAAACTCTGGAAAATCTGCTGGGGGTGCTGTGATTCATGTTTGTTACTTTTCTCTTCCCCCTCACTTGAAGCAGCTCTCAGCATTCTGCCTCAATGGCCTGTATCACTCACTGTTTGGAAAAACACATAGAAACCAAGTCTGCGATGGCACTGGTAAAGGATGTCTGAGATTCCTTCTGGCTGGTCTTTCTCCTTGACACAGACAGAAGAGGGGTCCCTTGGTGCTGAAAAAGGAGCCACAGGCCCACTCAGACATCTGGAGAGGCTCACTGGGGTTCTCCAAAGGTTGGGGTTCACTCATTCAACACATACATTCAAAACACCTCATTTGTGCATCGCTCTTCTTGGGGCTTGGCATAATTTCATAAACAAAGCAGATGACAATCCCCCGGCCTTGATTCTACTCAGAGTCAGGCACTCACAGTAGACAGAATAAACAAGTCATATCTACAGAATGTTACAGGTGAGACCCTCATGGCCTCCTCTACGTATGGTGGCATCCTCCCAGATTCTGACTAGAATGACGCAGCCCAGCAACAAATATAAACTGGGTGGATTTAGGGTTCTGAAGGGCCTTTTCACCCACAAAACATGGGGGAAAATATGTGGACTCTGGCTGGGGAGAGACTAAAGGAGCTCTGGGGCTCATACTTCTTATAATTCCCACGAGAAGGCTGACATCTGGGGACTTCCCCCACAAGAGGCAAATAGTGAGTTCTGTAAATGGAGACTTAGGTCCCCTGCAAAGCAGAGGGGAGGCTGGGGTCACAGCTGGCCACTGAGAGACCCATCCCCCTCAGCACCGTGGCTTCCCAGCTCTCCCTGTCCTCCTCCCCCCGACATCTGCCCCTTCCCTCCTAACCCCAGGACCAGGGGACCCAGATCTGGAGCTTTGATGAGGAAGCTGCTCACAAATCTGCCTGCAGCTGCAGTCTTGAGTGCCCAGGTGTACAGTGCTGTGCTCCAGGGCCTTTGGGAAGAGAATGTCTGTGGGACGCCAGGGCGCACGAGGGTCTGTACAGCCCTGCTGTATGGCCAGGTCTGCCCCTTCCAGGACAGCACTGATGGCTTACGGTAGGGTGGGGCTGTCCTCCACACTGGCAGCAACAGGCCAGGGACCCAGAACCACGCAGGGGTGCCCTGGAGGGTTGTGTGGGAGAAGGCCAGGCCTCTGACTCAGCTGTCTACTCCATCACCAGCACCATCACCTCCATTTTGTTCAACTGGCCCCCCGAAAACACTTCAGTTTACTATCAGCCCCCGCAACGGTCATCTTTCCGGATAAAGCTGGCCTTCAGGAACCTCTCCTGGCCTGGACTGGGCTTGGAGGACCATCAGGAAATTGTCCTAGGCCAGTTGGTGCTTCCGGAGCCCAACGAGGCCAAGCCAGATGGTGAGGGGGCTTGCAGTCTGCAAGACTTTCCGGGGGTGGTGTTTTGGGGCTACAATTCCCTTAAATTCCACCCGGTCATTTCTGTGCTTGGAAAACCCAGTGAAAAATGACTGGTGTGGTGACCTTTTCTCCTTTTCCAGATCCTGCTCCACGTCCTGGGCAACACGCATTAACAATGCCGGCCCTGGAGCCAGCACCACCACTGCTGGCGGACCTGGGGCCTGCTCTGGAGCCAGAGTCACCTGCAGCCCTGGGTCCACCAGGATATCTACATTCAGCACCAGGGCCAGCACCAGCACCAGGGGAAGGGCCCCCTCCAGGGACAGTGCTGGAGCCACAGTCAGCCCCAGAGTCCTCCTGTCCCTGTCGTGGGTCTGTAAAGAACCAACCCAGTGAGGAGCTGCCTGACATGACGACCTTCCCTCCCAGGCTGCTGGCAGAGCAGCTGACCCTCATGGATGCGGTGAGCAGCTGAGCTTTGCAGGCTGTGTCTCTGGCACCAGCTGTCTCAGACCAGCCTCTCCCTGAGGAGCAGCCAATGCCCTCGGTCCAATTTCAGCCCCACTTCTTACCAACCGTGGGATCTGGATGAGTTTCCTCACCCACAAGCCTTCCCTGTCTGCATGTGGACGGCAGAGATGGGACATCACCAGCGCCAGCTGCACAGAGTGACTGTGCAGACTGAGTGACAGGAGATGGACAGAAAGCAGGGCAGGGCAGGTGCTCACTGTGGGGCAGGCAGGGCCATGGGTCACTCACCCAGCTGCTCAGGAGCCTCACTACCCTCAGCACTTATTAGGTACCTGATGCATACTGGATTCTATGGTAGACACCCAAACAGAGCCCATAGTTGCAGCTGCCACAAGGAAAGTGCACCGGTACGGAGAGGAGTAGTAGAGGGCTGATTGGGATGGGAGGAAGACGAGGCCTCAGGATGGGCAGGCCTGAGCCACCTTCTAGTTCTTAGAGTGTGGATGGCCTGGGAGAAAATGTCACTCTCTCTTCCCACCCTTGTTGGGTTCTAGGCCATGATGCATTCAGGTCCCTCGGGGGCAGAAAACCAAACCCAGGGACTCCCACAAGTCTGGAGCCCATTTTAAAGCTTTCTGAGCTCCAGCTTGGTTCCTGCCAGAGACCGTGGATGACTGTGAGCTCAGTCCCTGCCTGGGACTGTGGGTGACTCTGAGCTGCAGTGTGCTGTGTCCGTGACACTCTCCTCCTCCCCCAAAGGAGCTGTTCAAGAAGGTGGTGCTCCACGAATGCTTGGGCTGCATCTGGGGCCAAGGACATCTGAAGGGGAATGAGCACATGGCACCCACAGTTCGTGCCACCATCGCACACTTCAACAGGCTCACCAACTGCATCACCACCTCCTGCCTCGGGGACCACAGCATGAGGGCCCGGGACAGGGCCAGGGTGGTGGAGCACTGGATCAAGGTGGCCAGGGTAAGCTATGGTTGGGCCTGGGGATTCCCTCTTTAAAAATGGGGAACTTCCTCTTCTCCTCCATCGGCTTTCAGGATCGGCATCTGTATCTCTGGCCTGGACCCTGCACATCCCCTAGGCTCTTCTTGCCAGAGCTTCACTCACCTTGACTCCCACGGCCCAGTGGTGGCTGCTCACTTCCGACCTGGGGTCTTCCTTGGGTTGAACTAAAATCCTCCTAGATGAGTGACATCCACTCGGCCCCAGGTCTGCCCTCCTGAGGCTCCCCAGGCCTCTGCTTCATCCAGGAGGGGAGATCTCAGCAGAGGGGGCTGAGGCTGTAGTGGGCCAAGCTCCAACTCTGAACCGCACAGCTCATTCTTCCCTCTCCAGGAGTGCCTAAGCCTCAACAACTTCTCCTCGGTGCACGTCATCGTCTCTGCTCTGTGCAGCAACCCAATAGGTCAGCTACACAAGACGTGGGCAGGAGTGTCCAGGTGAGGAGGGCTCTCTCCATGGCAGCATCAGGGTTGACCTAGGGACTCACAGGTCTCCCCCCATGTGCCCTCAATGACTCTGAAAGGTTCTTGGAGTCCAGGGACACTGGAGGCAGGGATGGGCCGGTGGCTGTGGTCACTAAGCTGCCCTGGACTCCTAGGCAAGGATTTCCAACTCAGGACTAAGGTTTTTTAACCATCAGGAACAGACTGGAGCCAACTGGAGGCTTTCAGGTGTTTGTACCCAGCAGTGGAACTCTGTGTCCAGCTGAAAGCTAACTGTAAACACGCAGTGGCTCATGTGAAGTGGAGATGGGGCCCAGGGGAGGAGCATGAGAGGTCCCACCCTGGTCCTCTGGAGCCCCTGTGATCAGAGGACTCCACTGAAAACTCTCACCCAGTAAGCTGGGATTCACTGGGTTTTCAAACAAAAGGGACTGGAACTCACAAATCTCCCCTGATTCCCAAATTTACCCTTCTTTCTTTCCTCTGCCCATAGCAAAAGCATGAAAGAGCTAAAAGAACTCTGCAAAAAAGACACTGCAGTGAAGAGGGACCTACTGATCAAGGTACAGTGGAGTCTGGGAGATGCAGGACAAGTGTTTAAGGGTCAGAGAAAAGAGTGAGTTTGGAAGGGCATTGGACCAGGTGTCGAGTGGTTATTTTGTTTGGTTTTGACTTACCTACTAAAAGTGGACTTGAAAAATTCCCTCCATGCCTACCTTGGGCCAACAGGAAGAGTGGTGTGTCGGTCCATGGGCACGTGGGGGCATGGGGGCAGGAGGCCCTGGAAATGGGATGTGGCAATGGCTGCTGGGCTGCTGGGCTGCTGAGCAGGGGTGATGAGCTGCAGCATTAGCAGGGCTCTGGCTCCCATGCTGGTCCATGCTGCTGGCATGGAGCTTCCTCCAGGCTGGAGGGTGATCATGGTAGGTGGGACTTCCTTCCTTCCTCAAACCGGCCAGCAATTCCTCAGGAAGCCAGGCCTCTGCTGCTGCTGCTGCTGCTGCTGCTGCTGCTGCTGCTGTCTGCAGCACACCTCCATGGGCAGGGGGCCTTGGCCTGCACTGGGGGAGAGGGGGAACAACAACAGAGGAAGCTCATGTGGCAGGGAGTCCAGTAACTGCCCAGCTTTGGGTACCAATGGGCATACTGGGGACAGACGTAGCTGTTTGCTGGGACTCCCCACTCTGCCCTTTGCAGACACCCAAAAACGGTCATGTCAGAGGATTCTCACCGGTTAGCAGCGACGCATGCTCATGACAAGTATCTGGGGGATTCATACATTGCTAGGGGATCCTCCCTGACCAGATCTCAGAATCGTCCATGCAAATGAGAAGGCAACATGTCACCCCACCCAGGACTCTGGAAAACCCTGCCATTGCAGTCAGAGATGGCGCATCAGGAGGCTACTTCCTCAGTGGAGAAAGAGAGAGTTCCGTGCACGGAACTCCCCTGGGGGATCATTGGCGAGGCGAAGCCTTTGGCATGGCTCAAACCCAGTTTGCGTGGCAGAGATTCCAGTGGGGCTGGGATAGGCAGGTGCCACTTAACCAGGTCTCCTAAAATGCCCTGTCCCTTTCCCATCACGACTGTATGTGGCTGGAGACCTAGACACTCAAAGACTCCAGAGAACACGACCCTGATGGGTGGTGGTGCTGGGATGTGAGCTGAAGGCAGCCGAGACGGAGCCTCCAGGAGCAGAAGGAGGCGTCCTCTCTTTGGGGGCCCTGGGGAGCCACTGCCCGCTCTGGGCCTCTGTTTCCTCATCTGGAAAATGAAGGGATGCTGAGCCTGTAGTGCAGGCCTCACAGGGTAGAAATGAAGTTCAAGAAAAGAAAGCAATTTGAGGGTGCTCGTGCCTGGTTCTTCCTCAGAGGGATGACGGTGAGAACAACGGCAACAGCTACAGGAAACTGAGCCCTCAGAGGCCCTGTGAGGTAGCTGTGGTTTGCATCACTCTTTACAGAAGAGGAAACAGTCTCAGGGAGGCCCGGCTGCAAGACTGGGTGACACACACAGGGAGTGTGGATCTGGGCCAGTGGTATGAGCACGGTGCCAGGTGGCTCCCGCCACTCCCTGGGGATCCAAGTGCGGGGTGGCTGGGGTGTAACTGGGGGAGAGGAGGAGAGCCTCACTGTCCCTGTCGCTGACACCTGGCAGGCGGGGAGCTTTAAGGTGGCCACCCAGGAGAGGAACCCCCAGAGAGTCCAGATGAGGCTGCGGAGGCAGAAGAAGGTGAGTGAGCCTGTGGCATGGACGGGCCGCAGGGGATCAGAGGACAGGGCTCCCTTCCCCGCCAGCTGGAGGCCTCCATATCAAGACAGCGGGGGCTTCCTCCCCAGCCCTGTCCTCCTGTGGCCACTGGGCCTGGAAAACCTTCATTTGAGAGACCAGAGGAAGGGTCTGGGAAAGCTGGACTCAGACTAGATGTGGGGAAGGGTAAAGCTGGGACCACAGGCCTTTGTGACTTGTTAAAATCCCACCATAGAGGTTAACAAGGAGTGCTTGCTAGACTTGGAGGTCAGCTGGGATACAGGAGGCAGAGAATTGGGAAAGGCAGCTGAGGGTCTTTGGCTGCTCCAACCGGGAGACCTGAGGAGGGGGCTCTGGGAGACAGGGGCTGATGGGATTTCATGGGACAGGACCTTGGGCAGGCACCTGAGGGCCAATACTCATCACCACTACCCCTCCCACCTCCCCACCCCTCCTTGGCACAGGGTGTGGTCCCCTTCCTGGGGGATTTTCTGACTGAGTTACAGAGGCTGGATTCGGCCATCCCGGACGACCTGGATGTGAGTGAGCCTGGGGCAGGGTGCTTGGGAACCAAGATCCTGAAGCTTGGGAGGAGAGGGTCCTGGACCGAGCCTTTAGATCTCAGCCCTTGGCAAACCTCCTCTCCTAAGAGCCTCACAGCTGCTCCTGTGGGTGGGGGTGTCAGGCCCATCTCATCACCTCTGAGTGATGGAGGCTCCATGGCAGCCACCAGGCCCTATTCCTGAGTGGTGAAGCTGCAGAGCTGCCTGACTGCAAAGCTGCTGAGGTGTGGGCTGAACTGGGCTCAGCTTCTCCCTAGGGTAGTCCCGTAATAGGAGGGTGAAATTGAGCCTCTCCAAGGGCAGGCAGTTCCAAGGTCACTGAGCGCTTTCTTTCTATGAGAGACCTCAGTTTCCCTGTCTGTCATCACAGAGGGTTGGGGCAGAAGGTCCCTGGGCCTCAGCTCCCATTCCCCCTGCTCTAGAGCCCGGAGCCTGAGGCAGGTCCAAGTCCTGTCGTGTGCACATCCCCTGACCCTGGTGGCCCTGGCAGTAGTGCAGCATGGGAAGGGGTGGGGTGGGGCTGGTTGTGGGCCAGGGGCCTTTCTGATGGACTCTGTCTGCCTTCCAGGGCAACACCAACAAGAGGAGCAAGGTGAGCAGCTGGGGCACTCACGTTGGATGAGGGTGGGGATGTGGACGTCACAGTCCACCCTGGGCAGGACACTCCCTGGCTCCATCCTCTACATCTTAGGCTTACTGGGAGTGTTTGACACACACAGGAGGAGGGGACCTATCCCAGGAGAAAATGGGAAAAGCACTGGAATCAAAGACCAATTCCTGCAGGAGGGGCTGTTTATATCCAACTCTGAGAACAGGCTGGGGGCGCTGCATGGGACCCCTTCAGAAAACTGCCCCAGGGACCAGCCCCTTCTCCCTGCCTGCCAAAGGCCCCCACAGCAACTTCCACCCAGGCCCTGTCAGCATCCTGTCCTCTGTCTCTAGGAGGTCCGAGTTCTGCAGGAAATGCAGCTGCTCCAAGTGGCTGCCATGAATTACAGGCTTCGGCCTCTTGAGAAATTTGTCACCTATTTCACAAGAATGGAGCAGCTCAGTGACAAAGAGAGGTGAGGGCCTAGCCCATGGGCTGAGGGTGGGAGAAGGCTCTCCATTTTTTTTTTTTAACATGGTCTGGCTCTGTCGCCCAGGCTGCACTGCAGTGTCACCATCTCTGTTCACTGCAACGTCTGCCTTCTGGGCTCAAGTCCTTCCTCAGCCTCCCAAGCAGCTGGGACTACCGCTGTACACCACCATGTCCGGTTGTTCTGCTGTTGTTGTTCTGGTACAGATGGGGTTTCACGATGATGTCCAGGATCGTCTCAAACTCCTGGCCTCAAGCAATCCACCCACCTCAGCCTCCCAAAGTACTGACGTTACAGGTGTGAGCCACCCCACCTGGCCTAGAGGAGGCTCTCCCGTGGCCAGCTGCAGAGAGCCTATGGCCATGCCTCCACGGCCAGCATCAAGCCCTGTTGCATGGGGACCACTGGGGACCCAGGATTCCAGCTGGGCAGGCACTGACAGGGGACCTGATGTGTGGCTCATGGTGGCCTCACAGCTGCTTCTCTGTCCTGCAGCTACAAGCTGTCCTGCCAGCTGGAGCCCGAAAACCCGTAGGCTGGCAACATCCTGCAGTGGCTGGGAACCCACCGGGATGCTGGCCAGAACACCGGCTCTGCACCATCCCTCACCCAGACCGTAGACACCAGGGAACCACATCTAGGAGGCTGGCAGCTCAGCTGCATCTTGCCCTGGATCCTCATCACCAACTGCTCCTGCTGGCCAGGATCAGGCCATGGGACTTTTGTGAGTCAGGCGGGAGACCATTTTATGTTTATTTTCTTTAGTGTATAAGTAAGGGTTTTTTCTTAACTTTCGTTAAAATAAAATTTTAAAAAACTATTCAAAATGTTCTGTAGTTGTTGGAATGAGAAAAGTAACTCCAGTGCGGTAACCATATACCAGTCTTTAGGATTCATAGCCTAGCATGTCAAATTGAGGCTATGGCTGAACAAGTTATGGAATAGCATTCACATTACACATGCCAAGCATTTAATGTTTTCCTTCTTTATTCAAATTATTGTTAACTCTGCTTAAGAAAACAAACAGAACAAAACAAAACCCCTTAAAAGCCATAGTATGTCACCCAATCTATGTCACCCATAGTATGTCACATTTGTTCTACTGACCAGCTATTCTCAAACTTAAATTCTAGTTAAATTCAAGTTCCACTGGGTTACTCAATTTTCTTAAGGTTTAAATATTTAACAAATCACTTAAATATTTACTGAAGGGCTGGAGATGGGAGGTATTTAAGCAAGTGGTAGGGCTGGCCTTCTCCAGAAGTCCTGGGCAGAAGGGAGCTGGCCATCAGTCTCCACGAAATACAGATAAACTTTTTCCACTGTGGATCTTCCCAGACCTTCTGACACCTCTCCCCTAAATGAACATCAAGGAAGGTGAGAACTGTTTGAACTCAGTATCTAAAAGATGTCCCACAGCTTAATTTGAACACAACCCCCATTGTGGGATATCAGACAAAAACATGCCAAAGAAATCAACATTTCAGGGTCTGAAACATGTAATACCCCCAAATCAACACAAAATAGACACCTAAATCCAATCCTGGAGCCGCAAAGCTCCTATAAGAAAAGCGGGAGTTTCTATTTCGGCAAAACTTGTATCTATGCACGCAGTTTGCAAAAAAGAAAGAAAAGAAAACCAAAAATTATCTATGGCAAGAAACCCTTTGACCATGCAATTGATTTGGCAATACTTTTTCTTATTTTTTATTCTTTTTGGATGGAAAACAAAAATGTGAATACAAACACATAGGACTAAACATCATTTTAGAGCTTCCGCATGGGGAAGAGAAACAATGAACCATTAAAGAAGGCATCCTACAGATTGAAAGAAAGTTCAGCAGAATCATCTGTGAAAGGGGTTGTTATCTAACATGTACAAGAAACTAACACTACTCTTAACTGGAAAAATGAACAAAACCTAATACCCAAGCTAAAACTGGGCAAAGAACCTGAACAGGCACATCTGAAGAGAAAACACGAAATTGACTGACAGGTCAAAGAGAAGTTGCTCAACTTCACTAATCCTCACACAAATGTCTAACTGCAAACCAGACTCAGATACCTCTCACTCTAATTAGAATGAAACTTACCAAAAACAACAAAAAACCCATATGTTCACAGGCAGTGGCCAACGTAGAAACGCAGAAAAAGACACTTTTATAAACTATTGGTGGGAAGGTACATTACTAGACACACGAAGCGAAGCAGTTGAAGGTGCCTTAAACATTTTACATTACAACTACCCGTTCACCTATCAATCCCACCACTGGTTATACACAGAAAGCGCATGGAATCTGTTATGTTGAAGAGATATCGGCCTTCCTATGGTGACTGAAGCACTACTCACAATAGCAAAGGTATCCAATCCACCTACCTGTTCATGCACAGATAAAGGGATAAAGAAACTGCAGCACGCAGTGGAATCCTCTTCGGCCGCAGAAATTCATGAAATCATGTCATCTGCAGCAACGTGCAGAAACCTGGAGGACATGACCTTCAACAAAATGAGTCAGGCAGAGAAAGACAAACAGCATGATTTCATGCATGTGAGAATGAGATCAACTTTCTCTCTAAACGACTTTATCTCCTAGAACTAGAAAGTTCCACAGTGGTGAAGAGAGGCGGGGGGTTGGGGAGTCCGGGCAGGAACTGGGAAATGGATACAATGTTACATTCAGATGACAGGAATAAATTCAGCTGTTCTACTCCACAGTAGGGTGTCTAGAGTTAACAGTATCCTACCATATTTTCCAAAAAAGGCTGAAAAGAAGGATTCTGCATATTGCAACGACAGAGAACTAATAAATAATAACTACACAAGGTAACAGAGACAGTCAATGCCTTGCTTTCATCATTACACAAGGTATATATGCATGATCAAAATGTCCCACTCTACTCTTTAACTGTATACCTTTACTACAGAGCAAATTGGTTTTAAGGACACAGAAATAAACAATGCTGGAGTTCATGTGACACCAGGAAATGCCCGGCATTTCCAAAGCAATTCTGAGAAATCCAAACTACATTGGATGCATCACATTCTCTGATTTGAAATTTCACTCAAACTCTAGGGACCTGCTTCCACATGGATGAGTGGAAGAGAACCTGAAGTAAACCCACACACCTCATACGACCTGATTTTGGATGAAATACACAATGATAAGTAATGGGGAAAGAACTCCCTTTTCAATAGTCTTGGGGTAAGTGGCGAGCCATATGCAGAACAGTAAGTAACACTAGGCCTCTACTTCTCACCATGTGCAAAAGTTCACTCCGATGAATGAAAGATGTAAATGGAAGACCTCAAACTACAAAAATCCTACAAGAGACCCTAGGAAGTACCCTTCTCGACATCGGCTTTGACAAAGCATTTATATGCCTAAGACCCCACATGACACTGCAACAAAAGCAGTAATCAACATGTGGGACCTAATACACTGAAGAGCCACCGCACAACACGACAAATTACCAACAGAGTAGACAGACAACATACAGGATGAGAGAAAATGTTCCCAAACTATGCACCTCACCAAGGTTCTAATATCTAGAATCTACCTTAAAGACCTTATAGAAATCAATTAGCAAAACCCCCCAAATAACTAATAAATAGACAATGGATATGAACACACACTTCTTGAAAGATGACGTACAAGCAACCAACAAATCTGAAAATATGCTCAACCTAACTATCAGAGAAATATAAATCAAAAGCACAAGGAGATATCATCTCACACTGGTCAGAATGGCGATTACACAGTTAAAAAAAAAAAAGGACACTGGTGTGGCAGCAGAGAAAGGGGACACTGGTCCACTTTTGGTGAAAATGCAGAGTAGTTCAGACACCATGGAAAGCACTTCGGAGATTGCTCAAAGAACTTAAACCAGAACTACCATCTGACCCAGCAATCCCACCACTAGGATATACACAAAGGAAAATGAATCCTTCTGACCAAAACACACATGCACACAAACGGTCCTGGCAGCACTATTTACGATGGCAAACACGTGAAATCAACCTAGGTACCCATCAACAGTGGATCAGAAAAGGAAAATGCAGTACATATATACCACAAAAAGCTAGGCAGCCATTACAAAAAAGAAGGAAATCATGTCCTTGGCAGCACCATGAAAGGAGCTGGAGGCCATTATCTAAAGAGAAATAAGGAAAAAACAGAACACCAAATGACACATGTTCTCACTTACAAGGTGGAGCTAAAATTGAATACACCCTACCGTAAAAGTGAAAACAGCAGACACTGGTGACTATCAGACGAAAAAGAAGGGACAAGGTATGTGCTAAAGACCTACCCGGTGGGTGCACCTGTTCCCTGCGTGATAAGGTCCCTGGGACCCCAAGTCTCAGTGGCATGCAGTATACCAAAGGCAGTAACTAATCTGCCTTTGTACCCTTTAGTCTATAATAAACGTAGAAATTATGTTAAAAAATACACTTAGAAGCTAAAAAAATGAATGAAAAACACAAGCTTTTATAATTATCCAAACAATCCTTTATTGGTATAAACTAAGAAAGTGGACAGAATGAGTAAACCAAATACTCAACCCCAATTTACATATAGTGAACACATTTTTTCAAAAGAACACCAAAAAGACACAATGGGAAAAAGAGACTGTTTAATAGATGATTTTGAGCAAACTGAATATTCACATACAAAACACTGAAATAGGACCCTTATGTCATGCAACACAAAAATCAATGCAAAATACATTAAAGACCTAAAACTCAATTCTGAAACCACAAAACTCCCACAAGAAAACAGGGTGCGCATGTATTTTAGAAAAGAAATCCATGCACGCAGCCTGCTAAAGGTATAAACAAAACATTAAAACAAAGGAAACACTCTAAGAAAACATCCATAGACAATGTAATGGCTTGGCATTTTCACTGAAAAGCTGGGGACCCGGTTCCACAGAGCAGTGGAACAGATTAGAAGACCCAGATATAAACCCGCACAACTGAAACCATCTGATGCTTGAAAAAAATCAACAAAAATAAGCGATGGAGAAAGGACTCCCTATCAGTAAGTGGTGCTGGGATAAGTGGCTAGCTGGATGCAGAAGAAATAACACTGGGCCCCTGTGTCTCACCATGTACAGAAAGCAACTCAAAATGAATCAAAGATTGAAATGCAAAATCCCAGGCTGAGCACGGTGGCTCATGCCTGAAATCCAAGCACTCTGGGAGGCAGAAGTGGTCAGATGATTTGTGGTCGGGGAGTTCGAGACCACCCTGGCCAATATGGTGAAATCCCGTCTCTACTAAAAAAGCAAAACTTAGCCGGGCATGGTGGCACGTGCCTGTACTCCCAGCTACTTGGGAGACTGAGGCAGGAGAATCACTTGAACCCGGAAGGTGGAGGGTGCATTGAGCCGAGATCGCTCCATTGCATTCCACCCTGTATGACAGAGTGAGACTCGGTCTCTAAATAAATACATAAATACATAAAAATCCAAGACCTGAAACTATAAAAAAATCCTGCACAGGAATCTAGTAAATACCCTTCTCGACAGAGGCTTCGGCAAAGCATTTATATGTCAAGTCCCCAAAACCAATGGCAACAAAAACAATTACTGATAAGTGAGACCTAATGCACAACAGAGCTGCTGCACAGTACAAGAAACTACCAACAGAGTAAACAGACAGCCTATAGAATGAGGGAAAATATTCCCCAACTATGCATCTGAAAAACATCTAATATCCAGGATTTATCGTAAAGACCTTAAACAAATAAAACCAGAAAAAAAAAAAAAAAACAACTTATAAATGGGCAAGGGACATGAACACACACTTAAAAGGAGGTGTACCAGTAACCAATGAGCATGAAAACATGCTCGATCTCACTGATCATCAGAGAAATGCAAATCAAAAACATACTGAGATACCATCTCACACTGGTCAGAATGGCAATTACGACACACAGTCCACAACAACAGAGGCTGGAGGGGCAGATGAGCAAAGAAATGCAGGTCCACTGTTGGGGGAAATGCAAACTAGTTCAGACCCCCTGGAGAGTAGTGTGGACATTTCTCAAAGAACTTAAAAGAGAACTACCACCCCACGCTGCAACCCCACTCCGAAGGATCTACCCAAAGGAAAATCCTTCCACCAAAAACACACATGCACTCATCTGTTCATGGCAGTACTACTCACAATGGTAAAGACATGGAATCGGCCTTGGTGCCCATCAGCAGTGGATCAGAGAAAGGAAATGTGGTATATACACACCACGGAACGCTACACAGCCATAAAAAACAAATCCATGCCCTTACCAGAAACACGGACAGAGCCGTAGTCCATTATGAACAAAAGGCAAGAACAGAAAACCAAAATTTTCAAAACAGCTACAAAGGTCAATTGTGAATATTCTCTCCACAGAGAAATCATAACTCTGGAGCTCACAGAGATGCTAGACACTGCAACTTCATTATGATGCCACTTTTACATAGATCAAATTGTCCCTTACAGCAGCTGGTTATACACACATACTCTACGGCAATGAAATTGCTATCCCATTCTGGTAACATTCATTCTCAGTGGAGTGAGATGATATCTGAGTGTGGTTTTGACTTCTCGTGAGGATCAGTAATGTTGATTCAGAATCTTTTACCTGTGCATCCGTCTCAGGTCTTCAGGTCCTTTGCCCAGTCTTACACATTAAATTGAAACAAGTTCACAATAACTTGGCAAACATCACTCACCACAAGCAAAATGTAAATCAAAACCACACTTAGATACCATCTCATTCTAACTAGAATGAGTGTTACAAAAAAAGACAAAAAACATTGAAAGAAAGGCAAATGCTGGTGTGTGTTTCCAGAGAGAGAGAGAGAGAGAGAGAGACACTCTTCTCCAGTTTGTGAGAAGGTAAACTAGTACACACGCTACAGAAACCACTTGGAGGTTCCTCCAAACCTTAAAAGACTCCAACTACCATTTCAACCAGCAATTCTACTAGGAATACGCTCAAAGCCATTGAAATCAGGACACCAAAGATAGATCTACCCACCCATGGGGATTCCAGCACTGTTCCCAAGAGCCAGTATAAGCAATCAACCTACCTGCTTATCCACAGATGAAGGGATAAAGAAGCTGCTCCACAGGTACATACTGGGATACTCTTCAGACAGAAAACCACAATGAAATCATATCGTGGGGAACCACACGGTTGCACCTGGAGGACATGATGGTAAATTAAATGAGCAAGGGGGGAGAGACAAACCTTGAGTCATCTCACTCATGCAGAATCTGAGAAACTCTATCTCAAAGACCTGGCGACCACAATATTGGTTTCCAGAGATTGGGGGAAAAGAGGGGTAATGGGCAGGAACTGTAAATGGGTACAAAGTTACACATAAATGAGAGGAAGAAAATTCTGTTGTGCTATTCCACTGCAGGGTGACCACAGTTAACAGTATCAGCACATCACTTTCAAAGCAGCTTGATAGGAGAATACTGAAGGTTCTCACCATAAAGGAATAAACAATGGGAAAAGGTAACAGAAACACTAAGTACCCTGACTTCATCATTCCACAATGTATGCATGGACCATAACGCCCCACTCTACCCTCTCATTGTACTGTTCCTTTACTATGGAACACATTTGTCGAAAGAAATAGAAATACACGATGCTAATATTCACGTGGGACCATGAAGCGAACTGAGTTTCATCCTCAGCAATCCTGAGACATCCAGACTACATCGGATACATCACTCCCTGATTTCAAATTTCATGGAAAAGCTAGGGATCCGCTTCCACACACAGCAGTGGAACACAAGAGAGGACCAAGAAGTAAAACCACACACTGAAAACTATCTGATCTAACACAGAATCCACAAAAGTAAGCAAAGGGAAAAGGACACCCTATTCAATCAATGGTGCTGAAGTAAGTGGCTATCAATGGTGCAGAAGAATAACACTGGGCCCTCCCTCTCACCAGACACAAAGAGGAAATCAAGATGAATGAAAGATTTAAACGTAAAAACTCAAACTATTAAAATCTTATGAGAAAACTTGTGAAATATCCTTCTCCACATAGGCTTTGGCAAAGCATTTAGATGGCTAAGTCCTGAAGAGCAAAGGCAACAAAAACAAAAATTGACAAGTCAGACCTAACACCTGAAAGAGCTGCTGCACAAAAGAGACTACCAACAGAGTAAACAGACGGCGTACAGAATGGAACATGTTCCCAAACTGTGCATCTGACCAACGTCTAATATGCAGAATCTACAAGGCCCTTCAACAAGTCAACCAGGGGAATAAACAGAAAAAGAATATCCCATTAATAAACGGGCAAGGGATGTGAACACACACTGCTCAAAAGTCGATGTACAAGCAACCAACAAATAGGAAAACGTGCTCAAACTCACTCATTATCAGAGAGCTGCCAATCAAAAGCATGACGAGATGCCATTCCACGCAGGTCACAATGGTGAGGACCACGCAGGCAAAGAACACATGCTGGTGAGGCAGCCGAGGAAAGGAAACGCTGGTACACTTCCGGGTGGGATGAAAGCTAGTACAGACACCACCGAAAGCAGATCGGGGATGTCTCAAAGAGCTGAAAACAGAACTACCATCTCACCCAGTAAGCCCACTCCTGTGCATCTACCCAAAGGAAAATTAATCCTTGTATCCAAAAGACACAGGCACTCGTATGTTCACAGCAGTGTTACTCACAATGTCAAAGACATGGAATCCACCTAGCCATCAACAGTGGATGAGAGGCCGGCACAGTGGCTCACACCTGTAATTCTAGCGCTTTGGCAGGCCGAGGCAGGTGGATGGCTTAAGTCCGGAATTCGAGACCAGCCTGGGAAAAATGGTGAAATCCCATCTCTACAATAATACAAAAATTAGCTGGATGTGGTGGTGGGCACCTGTATTCCTATCTAATCAGGAGGCTGAGGTGGGAGGATCACCTGAGCCCGGAACATGGAAACTGCAGGCCACTGTCATAAGTGAACTAAGGCCCAAATAGAAAACCAAATGCCACATGTTCTCACTTATAAGTGGCATTCAGAGCTAAACTTTGAATGGACTCAAACATAAAGAAGAGAACAACAGACACCTGGAATGACCACCAGACCAATAAAAAAACAGGGGAGAGGAAGAGTGTGCTGCAGACCCACCCTGTGGGCCCTCTGCTCACTGCCTGGGTTATGTGGTTGTTGGGACCCCAAGTCTCAGTGTCATGCAATAAACAGATGTAACTAACTTGCATATGTACCTTTTAAACTCTAATAATGAGAGTAGAAAGCATTAAAAGAAAAATCCAAGGTTAGAACCCAAGAAAATAATAAATGAAAAAACAATCTGTAGTTATCCAAACAATCCATGACTGTCACAAACACAGAACGAGGACCTAAGTGACAGAATGAGGCAGCCAAATACTCTATCCAACATGATATGTAAGGAATACATTTTTCAAAACCCCAAAAAGATACAATGGGAAAGGAAGAGTCTGGTTCAATTGATTTTGAGAAAACTGAATATCCACAGGTAAAACACTGAAATAGGGCCCTTACGATGCACGATACACAAAATCAACACAAAATGAATTAAAGACCTAAACTCAATCTTGAAACTGTAAAGGTCCTATAAGAAAATAGAGAGCGGGTGTATATTTTAGGAAACCTGTATCTATGCAAACAGGCTGCAAAAGGCAAAAAAGCATCATAACACTAAAAAAAAAACACCCACAGACAATGCAAGGCATGGCTGTGCGTGTGTGTGCGTGTGTGCGTGCGTGCACACACGCATGTTTCTGTGTTTTGTGGAAGTGGGGTGTTAAACACAAAAATCACTGCTAACATATGCAACTATAACCATATGAGACTAGGGACACTTTGCAACTTCTACAGGGAAAAGAAAACAATGAAACAAACAAAGGCATCCTAAAGACTGAGAGAAACTCTAAAAAATCCTACCCCTGAAAGAGGTTGTTATCTACTACATACAGTAAACTAATATGACTAAGTGTAAAACAACAACAACAACAACAACAACAAATATCCAAGGTAAGAGGATCTAAATAGACCTGAGTGAAAAGGTGGCAGGAAATTGACTCACAGGTGACAGTTTCTCAATATCACTAATCCTCACAAAAATGTGAATCAAAACCATACTCGGTTACCATCTAATTCCACTTAGAATGAGTATTACAAAAGACAAAAATCAAAATTGTTGAAGGCAATGATCAGTGTAGACTTGCAGGAAGAAAAAAATCTTCTACACTCTTTGTGGAATGAAAATTACTATACACTCTATAAAAAACTTTTGGAAGCTCCTTAAAAAAGTAAAAGGTAGGCTGGGCGCAGTGGCACACACCTGTAATCTCAGTACTTTGGGAGGCCGAGGCAGGTGGATCACCTGAGGTCAAGAGTTCGAGACCAGCCTCACCAACATGGTGAAATCCCGTCTCTACTAAAAATACAAAAATTAGCCAGGCGTGATGGCAGGTGCCTGTATTCCCAGCAACTCGGGAGGCTGAGGCAGGAGAATCGCTTGAACGTGGGAGGCGGAGGTTGCATTGAGCCGAAATCGCGCCACTGCACTCCAGCCTGGGCAACAAGAGCAAGACTCTGTCTTTAAAAAACAAAACAAAACAAAACTAAACTAAAGGTTAAAGTACAACTGCCACTCCAGCTAACAATCCCACCACTGGGTACATGTTTAGAGAAAATGAAATCCCTGTGTTATCTGCCTTTTCATGTGTCCTGAAGTACTAGTCACAATAGCCAAGATGTGGAATCAACCTACCTGTCTATCCACAGATGAAGGGATAAAGGAACCACAGTATATATACACAAGGAAACACACTTCAGCTCTAACACTTTGGGAAATCATGTCATCTGCAACCACTTGGAGAAATCTGGAAGACAATTAGGTGAAATGAAATGAGTCTGCTAGGGAGACCCACACTGCATGACATCAGGCATATGGAATCCAAAACACATTGTCTCCTAGAAGCAGAACTTCCAATAGGGGTTACTACAGGCTGGGGAGAGCAGGGAGCCTGGGCAGGGATGGGTAACGGGTACAGAGTGATGCTCAGATACGAGGAATCCATTCTGGTGTTCTGTTACACAGCAGGGTGACTAGGTGACTAGGGTCAACAGAATCTACAAAAATTTTTCAAAATCAGCTGGAAAATACGGTTCTGAATATTCTCTCCACAGAGAAGTAACAATGATG